>NC_000022.11:43709564-44959564 GCF_000001405.40 Homo sapiens
TCTGATTACAAATATGTAAAGATTATATTTGTACGTGAATACAAAAATGGAAGAGAATGTGGAACAATGAAAATAGTAAATTTGTTAGGTAAGGTGGATGGTGACTATCTGCTTTTAATTTTTATTATTGCTATTAAATTATTATTTGCATAATTTTGAAAATGAGATAAGAAGAAATGGCTGCATAAGTTTTAGCGAGGCAAGAAAGTAATTCCTGAAAAATGTCACCATGTGTAGACAGAACAAAAGAGCTGTTTTCTGAGCCATGGAAACATTTACTCCTAGGGCCAAACTTTGCTTTCACTATAAAAGCCACAGCATTCGTACATGGTGATTCTCTCTGGACATATAGGGAGCTGGCAAGGAAAGTGGGGTGCTGTGGGGAATGGAGCCAGCTGCTGTAGCTTCATGCCACATTTTCCATCCCCTTCTCTCATGCCTCTCCTTTCTAGAGAAACCCCAAGGCACCTATCAATTACCCACAGTTTGACAGGACAATCTTTCCATTAGCTTCTACTCTATTTCCCCCCAAAAAAGGTTCTCTGTCTTACCTGGACAGAAAACCAGGTAAAGAGAGTATTCCTAACCTAGATTGTGGTCTACATATACCATTTCAAATTGGAAAGAACAGGGATCCTTGGAGAAATGGCTCATGCCAGGTCCCAGGCAAGGGATGTACAAGAACAACCTGGAACGTTTGTCATACCACAAAGCAAGGAAGCTGTCAAAGACTATCTGGTCACATCAACAGGATGTTGGAGCCAACGTGAAAATGCTCCCACTGGCCAAGATGGAACAAATTGAGTATCAATATAACAGCTGTAATGAATTGAGACACAAATATGCTTAAAGTAATGAGTTCTTAATCATTATTAAGAAAAAATCATTAAGAAAATAACACTGATTGCTCACTTTTGGAGGATGCCAGGGAACCAGCTCATTATTTTGCAAAGTAGGAAATGCAGGGAAAGAATCAAGGCTATCCTGCCTTTCTTATATTAACTGTGTCTTGTTGTCACCAAATAGTTGGAGAGGGGAAGTTGTTATTACAGAAGTCCTCCAACCAGTAAGAGAAGAAGAAATGATAGACACAGAATGTCATCATTTTATAATCTCTAATGAATGGATGGATCTGAGTATGATCAACAATGGTTGATAAGATCACGAAAAGAGAGACAGTCTATATATGTTTGCCACCACCTATGAAGTATTTTTGTCCCCCCCACTCCCCACAAAATGAACATGGGTCTGTACATCTACATCTAACTATCAATTTAGGGTAGGGAGTCAGGGGAGGGAGATAGGGAAACATGTAAAATGACACTGTGGGTTACAAGCAGTCAAATGCAGATTGTAAGAAAGCCCCCATAACAAACAATCCAGATTACTTCTAAAATTAAGAAATGGAGAGGAGGGCTACAGTTCTAAAAAGAATTGTGAAAAATCAACCAGTTGAAACTACAGACTTAATTTGGATCCTGATTTAAATAAATTTAAATTAGAAAACATGAGGCAAGCAGTTAGATTTGAACCTTGACTGGATATTTATTAATATGATTGATAACTCTATTAGATGTGAAAACTGTATTTTCACCTTGTTTCTAAAAAGAGTTCTTATTTTTTAGAGAGAGAGGGAAATATGCTATCTGGTATTTGTTTCAGAAATATCTGGGGTTGAAGAACATGAGCAGGAATACAAATGAAATAATTGGCCAAGATTTGACCATTGTTGAAGCTGGGTAGTGGGTACATTCATGGATTTACTATATTATTCCCTTTACTTCTGTATACGTTTTAAATTTTCAGTAATAAAAAGTCTAAAACATTAATAAAAAATAAACGAAGCTGTGCCTTATTCTTACGGTTGACGTTTGGGGAAAAAAATGTCAAGGAAACAATGAGACTCTTACCTTTTCATTAACTGGATAAAAATTCTTCTTGGTATTTGGTATACAAAAGTGTCGAGGACAATCTTTAGATAATTAAAAGACACGTAGCCACCTTTACAGGGGTCCCCTGCACTGAGGGCCTTTTCAACCTTTTCATAAGACTTCGAAAGCTGCAATAAATTGAAATTAGAGTGTGGCGTTCATAAATATCAACTTCATGGAGCTATTCAACCATTTTATTTTTACCAAAAACCTCTTCAAATTTTTCTCTCCAAAAACTGATCAAAAAGGTTACTATGGCATGTACTGAACTTCAAATGTTTAATTGATGAGCTCACTACAAAACAGTATTCCCAGTCACAGCTACTCAAGTGACAAGGCAGACACGTTTCCCAGGGAAAAACAGCACATAGAATAGCTCCACCTCAAATTTCAGAGCTAAAAATACTTGGTAGATCTGCCGGTTTGATACATCTTCCTTAATATACTTTCAAGTTTTTCCCTACTGTGAGCCCACGCTACGCTTCTCCTGATTAAATCAGGCCAATCAAACAAAAAAGCTGGTAATATTTTATTAAAAATAGAAGTAGCTTTTACAGTAAGGAAAATTATTAATATAAGGACTGCATAAACACAATATACATTGGACATTTCTTTAATCATCCTTTTCTTTTTTTTAATGAGGAATTATAAAGAACCTGGGTGAACGAGCTTTGCTTATGGGGCTTCTAAAATGCAGTAACATAGGTTAACCACTGATTTTTATATGACTCATAAAAATACTGTGAAGACGGGTTTTATTTCCAAAGGTTTTCCTGCTGTTTATTATTGAGTAATAACAATATTCTCCAATATCTTCAACCATCCCACTTTGTCTGAATTCAATTTTTTCCTGCTAACTGGGATAAGAAGATAAACAAAATCACCACAACTTGGTGTAAAAGGTCATTTTCTTAAAGAGCTCCTGGAACATGGAAATATATGTATAAGAAACTCGATCCACTAAAGGAATAAAAAGCAGAATCACTAAATTTTCCTTAGTGTGCATAGAAATATTGGTATCTAAAGGGAAATATCTTTAATAAAAATATTTAGAGATATAAGTTCATTAGAAAGGACCTAAGCTTCTTAGAAAATTGCATAAAATTAACCCAAAGAGCAGCTAAATTTGTCCATTTCTCTTTCAGGGAGGTGGGCTGCATCTGATACACTGCCTGGGGGAAGACTTGGAGAGAGAAGCAAGAGGCAAGAGCCTGGTGTGTAGCGGGGGCTCGGTGCAGTTACTGGATTGGTGAAACCCATTTTTAATGTCTTAATGACATATGGTTTTCCATACTTTTTTTTCTTCAGGAGAGTGTTTCTGCGATGATCAAGAGCTTTTAGAAAATGGGTAAGGTATGAAACCGAAATAGTGTCCTTGTGACAAATATAACTTTTTAGAAATTTTCATTGTTACTGTTTATATAGAAAGTACAAGCCTTTG
Source organism: Homo sapiens (assembly GCF_000001405.40). NCBI lineage: Eukaryota > Metazoa > Chordata > Mammalia > Primates > Hominidae > Homo > Homo sapiens. The sequence goes on from NC_000022.11 coordinate 43,712,937, forward strand.
TTTAAAAAAAATGCAAGCAATTCAGCAAAGTATAAAAAAGGAAATAAAAATACCTGGTAGTCTCACCTTCACATACCATCATATTCTTGATGGAAAAGCCAACAGTACATCCATTTTCCATCTTCATATGTTTAGTTTTTATAAATGTTTCCTTAGTCTTAAATCTAAATGAGGTCCCTGCTGTTATTCTCTCTCATAACACCCTGGTCTTTTTCATCATACCACTAAAAAAAAATTGTATTCATGACTTTTTACCTGTTTAATAACTCTCTCCCTGATATAAGGTAACGTGATCTCTATACGAGCAGAGATCGTATCTGTTTTGTTCACAAATAATTACCTAGAATGAAGCACATTATTGGCATGCAGTCAGCACTCAATAAATATTTATTAAAAGTGGGTATATTTTTATCAAAAACGTTCTAAACAAAAGTTATAAAATATAAAAGGCTGTTCAACACATTAGTAAAAAGTGAAATAAAAATTATAGCTGAGATAGCATTTCATCTGTATCAGACAGGCAGAAATGTACAAGCTTAGCAGTATCAAGTGTTGGGGGCACGTGGAACAGCAGGAGTGCTCACGTGCTTCTGGTGGGAGTGTAAATCAATATGGTGGCAAGCAATAGGATACTGCCCATTGAGCCTGAGGGGCATGTTCTCTACAACCCAGCTCACAACTCCACTCCTAGGTGTAATTTCCGGAGAAACCTTGGCATCTGTGGACCAGAAGCTAAGCTTACAACCACTTATGGTGGCGCTGTTTGGGTTGGCATAAAACAGGAAGCAATCCAAATGTCCATCCATAGGAGAATGTATAACTTGCAAAATATTTAGATAAGGGAAACTGTAGAGCAGTGAAAATGATAACACAGCTATACTCATAATATGAGTGAATCTCATCTTGAGCACAAACAGGATGAAAAATAAATGGTTTTGCAACTATGCCAATATATGATGGGGAAAAAGAGAAAGAAGGATCAGGCAAAGACAAAGAACCCGGAATGGAAGAAGACAGAATATAAAAGAATATGAACACATCCCCTGCAAAAATTTCATGCCACAAAAAGGAACTAAATTAGAAAATCAATTAATTGAAAGAAAATCTTGAAAATGATAAAATAACTTTTTAGAAATTGTCATTAAGAAGGAATATTTCAAAGCTAAGAAAATAGAAAATAAAAATAGCATCATTACAGGAACTAATAAATTAGACACAGCAAGAATAAGAGGCAAGGATGAGATTTAAATTAGTATTAAAGGAGTGCCGTGGAAGAATCTCAATGAAGCAGAGGAAAGGGACAAAAGAATTAAATCAACTTGAGAGAAGATGACAGCTATGAAGGAGAGGCAAAGATGATCCAATATAAGGATAACAGGGACTACTGTGGAAGGAAGGAAGGATAGAAGGAGGAAGGGAGAGAGAGGAGATGATTTTAGTACTATGACACAGTATCCATTGCTTGCCACCACATTGATTTTCCTGAAGTAAAGGAAGAACTGAATCTGTCCATCACACTGTATTCCAGGAAACTTTGTCAAAATGGTCCATGCCGAGATATAGCTTTGTTTTGCTTTGTTAATTTCAAGGATCAAGAAAAAAAAAAAGCTTCAGGAATCCAGGTAAAAAAAGAAATCACCTACAAGGGGGAAAGAATTCCGGCTGACTCCAGGTTATTTTCACAGCAACATCCAATGCTAGAAGACAATGGAAAAAATATTTACAACATTAAAGGAAAAGAAAGCATGATGGACGGATTATAGCCAGCCAAGTTGCTGTTCAAATATAAAAGCAAAAGGCACATAGTTTCAAATATGAAAAAAACAAAGGGAATAAGGCACCCATGAGCCTTTCCTAAGGAAATTACTTGACAATGAAATCCAGCCAACCAAAAAATAAATCAAAATAAAGAACTCTGAGAGGGATAAACTGTGATCAGTGCTGCACTATCGTGATGCACATTAAATTCATGCAAATATAAAACAAAGTCAAAACAACAGGGGGAATTATGGCAACTGAACAGAGTATAAATATTATAAACTCAGCTAAGGACAAACTATAAAGAGCAAAAATGGTGAGGTGGGAGGTAGGCGTAGGAAGAAACAAGTACCCGTCACTTCGAGTTTCATAGCAGAAAGCCAGCCCATACTGTCTGAAATGGAAACATCCTTCAAAAACATAGTTTCTCCAGCTCTTAATAGCTTTTAAAATCTCTTTTCTCGCCTTAGAGTCCCTTTGGGGACCTAATAAGTCTTGCGGGAAGGAAATGTTCATCCAGAGTTCTTAGTGTCTCCACTTTCCCTTGAGGACAGTGTTGCAGGGTTAAGGGCAGGGACTGGATAAGCCTGCACTGCATAGGCTGTTTACACTCAGCCCCAGGACTTAGCTGGACTCATTTAACCTATTCATGCCTCAGTGTCCTCAGCTGGACGATCACAGTGCGCTGCTCATGGGGTTGCTGTGAAGACTGAACAGACCACCAGCAAAGCACTGGCAACACTGCCTGGCACAGAGAACATCCCATAAAAGAGTTAAATATGATGGCGATGCTGACATTTCCTTTTCTTCTGGGAAATTCAAGGAAATTTAAATTAAATACGTTTTATTTTTAAAAAGGAGTATGATCCTCTTCTTATAAAATTATTTCTATCTATGTCTCCACCTACCCACTGATCCAGCCGTCCTTCTATACATGAATAAAGAGAGGTCCAGAATTATGTTCACCAAATGTTGCCTTTGATTCTTTCTGGGTGGTGGATTGTGAATAGTTTATTACTTTCTTCTTTGTACTTTTTAGAATTGCTTACGTTTTTTGCAATGGTCATGTTTTTATGAAAACAAGAAAGTCATTAACAACAACTAGAGAAAACAAATTTAACCAAATTACCCACAAATATGACAGTGCTCACTTCTCCAACACCCTTATCGACACTGGCTTTGTGAGTTCCTCCTGCATTGACATCCGTCTATTGAACATTTTATATTAATAATATGTAAAAGTTCTATGAATGTTGGGAATTATTCATCTGTCATTTATGTTGCACATATTGTGCCAAGTTTATCATATGTTTATACAAAGTTTTGCTGTATAAAGGATTGTTCATTTTTCTGAAGTTAAATTTTATCAGTCTTTTTCTTTAAGGCTTTTGGGCTTTACTTCATGCTTACAAGAGATTCTAAATTTCAACATTAATACATGTTTACCCACATTACTTACATTTAAATTGTTGATGAAGATAGAATTTATTTTTGGTGAAGAGTGGAAGGTTATAATCTTCGTTCCCCAAAATGGCTGGATAGCAAATTATCTCAATAATAATTACCAAATAAGCCTCTCTCACTACACTTTATTGAAATGCTTCACATCACAGGCTAAGTTCACATATAAAGAGTGGTTCATTAGCCAACTACCCCTTTAAATCCATTTGAATGTCCATTGCTGCACCAATGCCATATTGTCTTAATTATTATGTCTTTATAAAATATTTTATATGTGTAGAGTAAGTCCTCTATTATAATTTTTCAGAAGAAAAAATATATATCCTGATATAGGAAGAATAGGTAGTAATACTAAATCTTCCAATCCAAGAATCAGAAAAGACCTCTTCACTTATTCATGTTTTCCTTTACGTTACTCAATAACGTTGCATTATTTCTTTATATGTCTTATTAGAGTTAGTATGTGAGTAGCACAAAGGATGTACTTAAAAATTAATTTCACATCACCATCACGATTATCCATGATCAATGTATTGCTGTTATTGGGAGGTAGAGGGGGTCTCAGTATTGGAGAAGACATAGGTAGGATCGAAACAAATTTTAGAAATAATGTGTAAACCTAATAGTTTTCCATATTGTCTACTTTGCTGTGTTTACTCTGTAGGTAATTGTGGCTTAGGAAAACATCTTACTTGTAGACAAAAGTTCCTCTCAATTTCATCCAAGGAGTAGTTTCTCCAGATATCTTCAGATGATGCAGAACCTAGCAAACGTTCCTTTTTGGAATTTTTGGCTTGTTGATTCTCCAACGAGACCTCTGTTGAAACAAAATAGCTTCGGCTTATCAACATTGTCAAAGGTTAAACATTTAAATATTGTTTCATTTTAATCATTACTTGTTTGGTAAAAAAGGAAGGCTTGAATAAACCAAGAAAATGATGAACCATCTGATTAATGGTGTTGAAATAACTGGCTAAACATTTTGGAAAAAATAAAAGTAATCATCTACTCACTATCTTACTCTAGGATAAACACTAGATAGAGTGAAATGTACACTAAATAGAATAATACAACCATAAAAATAGAAGAAAATTAAGATGACTGTTACATACTACATAATCTTTGTGTGAGAAAGCCTTGCCAAGGAAAACACTAAAGCCAGAATTTATTTAAATAAAGGATAAGTTTGACAACATAAATACTTGATTTTTGTTTGGTAAAAAAAAAAAAAGCCACAAGTTAACAGTGAAAAAATAATGAGTGGAGAAGAACTATTGTTAATATACATGAGAAATACAGGTTAATTTTCATAATATATGAGTAGCTCTTATGAATCAATAAAATAAATATAAACATCCAATAGAACAGTAGACTAAGGTTATAGACAGATAATTCACATAAAAAGAATTTTAAAGCATCCAATAAATGTATGGACTACTCAAGCTCATTGATCATTTTTAAAGTCTTATTAAAACAAATTAACATTTTTTTCTACTGGTCAAATAGGCAAGGAGTAAAGGGAATAATAAGAACCAGTTCTGGCTTGTGTATAAAAACTTGGTACTTGAATATGCTTAAATCCTTTTCTAGAGTTTTGTACTCATGGCATAATAGGGCTACTCACCGAATTCACATGGATAAGGATATTTTCTGCACTTTTCTTTATGAGAGGAAAAAAATGAAACAATCTAAATGCCCATTCATAGAAGATGAATTTTATAAATGAATGGTCCATCAAGCCTATGAAATACTACACAGACTTTAAAAACAAAGATACGTGTCTAAATTAACGGATGTGGGAAATGTTCTTTGCTATATATTGTTTCATGATTTTAAAGGGGTAATTAGCATAATTTCATTTTAACACTTATTTTGTATATCTTTCTATGCATCCATCCATCCATCCACCCATCCATCCATCCATCCATCCATGTAAGTACCAGAAACAAAATCTGAGAGGATACTACACGAAAAAGAAAAAGTGGTAGGATTCAGGTAGTAGAATTATACGGGATTATTATTTAGTGTTTTTGTGTTTTCTGGCTTTTTTGAAACAAGCATGTATTATTTTTATAATAAAAGAGAATGAAATAAATCTAAAATATAGCCATTTTCTTTCTCAAAGTTGACTGCAAAGAATCACAAATGGTTTCCCAGATTTATTTCCTAAAATGTCTGCAAATACGCTTCAGCCAAATTAAGCACACTTAATTCAGCTGCAGTTAACAAACTGCCAGTCATCTGGAATTCTATTTCCTAGCTCCAAAAAAGAGAAAGGGGAGAAAAAAAAAGATCCCTCTGGGCTATATAATAAAAGACAAAGTTGGTCTTTAGAACTTGGTCATGGCCAGGCACAGTGGCTCATGCCTGTAATCCCAGCACTTTGGGAGGCCAAGACGGGCAGATCACCTGAGGTCAGGAGTTTGAGACCAAACTGGCCAACGTGGTGAAACCCTGTCTCTACTGAAAATACAAAAATGAGCCGGTCATTGCGGCACGCCTATAGTCCCAGCTCCTCGGGAGGCTGAGTCAGGAGAACTGCTTGAACCTGGGAGGCGGAGGTTGTAGTGAGCTGAGATCATGCCACTGCACTCTAGCCTGGTGACAGAGAGAGGCTCCACCTCAAATAACCGTAATAATAATAATAATATCAACAAATTTGGTCTTGGTCTGGAATTCTACAGCCACAGTGGGCTGAGCATTTGAAACCTGGTGTCTCAGGACATTTGAGCTGCAAGGGCCCTCGCTGAAAGATGAGGAAGCTGTGTCACAGAAGCGGGACCTGAAGTGGTCTAGCACACAGAGGCCTCCAGCCCCTCTTGGACACCTCATCCTGTTCTCAGTCCACCTGTGACACTGGTACTCTCATGGCACATTTCGGGAAGCCCACTGGGGCTCTGTTTAAACAACATGTCTGGCTTGGAAGGGTGGAGAAGGGATTAGGGTGTGAGGCCTGCCCTGGGGAGCTCACGGCCCACAGGTCTGTGCACACGCCCTGTGGCTGCTCTCACAGGCTGGCTGACAGCACTCGGTACGGTGTATTCAGTGACGCCTCTCTCACCACAATTATACCAGCTTTCATTCTCCAGGGCAGCTTGATAATGCCTGCAACCTTCTGATTTTCTCAAAATTTCCTCTGAAGGATGATGCTACCCAATGTGAAACTGGGTGGAGAAGCAATCCAAAGCTTACAGTGCGGTTTATGTTCACTGCAGGCGAAAGGAAATCTGCTCCCCAGCATCTTTCTTCATGTGCCCAAATAGATGGTGCTTTTCATAAGCAAGATGGTGGTGGCTTATTAAGAACACAAATGGAACCAAAACAGAAGTTAGCAAAATTAATAGAACACATTGTTCCACATTTAGAGAAGTCAGAGATAAAAGGTTGCTGCAAATATATGAACTAGCGACTCTCTTATAGAGGTGAGAACAGCACCAAACCTCTAACCGGCTCTTGGTAATTTGTTCTTATATAACATATTTTCCCCCAAAAAATTTGCTGACTGGCTCTCCCACTTACTAGCTATGCAATGGTGTGCTTTTGTTTCCTTATTTACAAGAAGAGATAGAAAACAGTACCTTTGTCATGGAACTGCTACCTGGATTAGATGAGCTGATAGAGGTACTTGCCTGGCACTTGGTAGATACTCAATAGGTATTAGCTACGTATTGATTCATAATACTGTTTCAATGATAGGAGTCATGGAAGAGCAGTATCAATCAGAGTCTGAAAACTCAGAACTCAGATGACAGAAATCAGGAGCAAATTACAAAAAAACATTATGTCAGGTATAAAACGTTGTATTATTAACGAATAGCCACCATGAAATTTGCTAAGAGAATAGATGTTAAGTGTTCTCACCACACACAAAAAAAGGTATCCATGTGAGGTGATGGAGGTGTTAACTAATTTACTGTAATAAACATTTCACAATGTATATGTACATCAAATCACCACATTGTACATCTTAAATACACACAATTTTAACTTGTCAGTTATACCTCAATAAAGATGAAAAAAAAAATCATTTCAGAAATGAAGACTAGGCCGGGTTCAAGGAAAGGAAAGGAGAGGAGACTAAGCTGGGCACAGTGGCTTACACATGTAATCCCAGCACTTTGAGAGACCGAGGCAGGAAGCCAGGAGTTCAAGACCAGCATGGGCAACAAAGCAGAACCTGTCTCTACAAAAGATTAAAAAAAAAAAAATAGCCGGGCACAGTAGCATGTACCTGTGGTCCAAGCTACTCGGGAGGCTGAGGCAGGAGAACTGCTTGAGCCCAGGAGTTCAAGGCTGCAGTGAGCTATGATCATGCCATTGCGCTCCAGCCTGGGTGACAGAGCAAGACCCTGTCTCTAAAAAATAAAATAAAATAAGAAATGAAGACTAAACTAAAAGAAACACAAGAGCAAATAAACACAATAGTAATAGGAGGTGAAATCAAAGTTATATCATGGAAGGAAACAAAGAAGGGAGAGAGGGAGGAAAAGAGAGAGGAAGGGAGGGAGGAAGAAAGTAAGAAAAAAGGGAGGAAGAAGGACTTGTGAGGAAGTTGTGGTGTAGAAGAGAAGAGAGGGGGAAAAAAGATCCTATCTTTTGGATAGGGAATCCAAAAGATACAATACATATGATATGAATCACTGAGAAGAAAACCAAACAATGGAATGGAAAAAATACTAAAAATCACAATTCAAGAAATTAAAGAGGAAGTCCTAGCCAGAGGAATCAGGCAAGAGAAAGAAAGAAAAGGCATCCACATACGAAATGAAGAAGTCAAACTATCTCTCTTTGCTGACAATATGATTCTATACCTAGAAAACCCTACAGACTCTGCCAAAAGGCTACTAGAACTGATAAATCATTTAAACAAGGTTTCAGTACACAAAATCAATGTACAAAAATCAGTGGCATTTCTATACATCAATAATGTCCAGGCTGAGAGTCAAATCAAGAATACAATCCCACGTGCAATAGCCACAAAGAAAATAAAATACCTGAGAATACAGCTAACCAAGGAGGTGAAAGATCTCTACAAGAAGAAGCACAAAACAGTGCTGAAAGAAACTAGAGATGACACAAATAAGTGGAAAAAATATTCTATGCTTACGGATTGAAAGAATCAGTATCATTAAAATGGCCATACTGCCCAAAGCAATGAACAGATTCCACGCAGTTCCAATCTAGCTATCAATGTCACTCTTCAAGAATTAGAAAAAGCTATCCTAAAATTCATATGGAACAACAAACAAAACAAAACAAAACCCAAAGCCCAAATAGCCAAAGCAATCCTAAGCAAAAAGAACAAAGCTGAAGGCATCAGTCTACCCAACTACAAACTATACTATAAGACTATAGAAAGCAAAACAGCATGACACTAGTACAAAAACAGACACATAGGCAAATGGAACAGAATAGGAAACTCAGAAATAAAGCTACCCACTTAAAACATCCGATCTTTGACAAGGCAGACAAAAATAAGCAATGGAGGAAGTTCTCCCTATTAAATAAATAGTATTGGGATAACAGGCTAGCCATATGCAGAAGAATGAATCTGGACCCTTACCTTTCACTATATATAAAAATTAACTCAAGATGGATGAAAGAAGTAAATGGAAGACCTCAAACTATAAAAATCTAGAAGAAAAACTGGGAAATATCCTTCTCAACATCAGCCTTGGCAAAGAATGTTTGGCTAAGTCCCCAAAAGCAATTGCAACAAAAATAAAAATGGATAAGTGGGGCCTTCTTAAACTAAAGAACTTTTCTGCACAGCAAAAGAAACTATCAATAAACAGACAACCTACAGAATGGGAGAAAATATTTGAAAAGTATGCATCTGACAAAGTCCTAATATCTAAAATCTGTAAGGAATTTAAACACAATATCAACAAGCAGAAAACAAATAACCCCATTAAAAAATGGACAAAGGACACGAACAGACACTTCTCAAAAGAAGAAGACATACACACGGCCAACAAACATATGAAAAAATGCTCATAATCACTAATCATCAGAGAAATGCAAATTGAAGCCACAAGGAGATACCATCTTACACCAATCAGATTGGCTATTATTAAAAAGTCAAAAAAGGCAGGGCGTGGTGGCTCACACCTGTAATCCCAGCACTTTGGGAGGCCAAGGTGGGCAGATCACGAGGTCAAGAGATCGAGACCATCCTGGCTAACATGGTGAAACCCCATCTCTACTTAAAAAAAAAAAATTAAAATTAGCTAAGTGTGGTGGCATGCGCCTGTAATCCCAGCTACTCAGGAGGCTGAGGCAGAAGAATCGCTTGAACCCAAGAGGCAGAGGTTGCAGTGAGCCGGGATCGCGCTGCTGCACTCCAGCCTGATGAAAGAGTGAGACTGCATCTCAAAAAAAAAAAAAAGTCAAAAAACAACAGATGCTGGCAAGGCTGCAGAGAAAAGGGAACACTCAGGCATTGTTGGTGGGAATGTAAATCAGTTCAGCTACTGTGGAAAGCAGTTTGGAGATTTCTCAAAGAATTTAAAACAGAGCTACTATTCAACGCAGCAATCCAATTACTGGGCATATATCTAGTGGAAAATAGATTATTATGCCAACAACACATGCACTCATATGTTCATTGTAGCACTATTCACCATAGCAAAGACATGGAATAAACATAGGTGCCCATCAGTGGTGGACTGGATAAAGAAAATGTGGTACGGATATACCACAGAATACCACACAGCCATAAAAAAGAATAAAATCAAGTCATTTGCAGCAACATGCATGGAGCTGGAGGCCATAATTCTAAGCAAACTAACACAGGAACAGAAAACCAAACACTGCATGTTCTCTCTTATAAGTGGGAGGTAAACATTGAACGAAGTTTATTCCAACCCTAATGGATGACTTTAAGGGGTTCAAGACTTCAGTGGAGGAAGTAACTGTATACGTAGTGGAAATAGCAAGAGAACTAGAATTAAAAGTGGAGCCTGAAGATGTGACTATATTGCTGTAATCTTCTGTTCAAACTTTAAGGGATGAGGAGTTGTTTCTTATGGATGAGCAAAATAAGTGGTCTCTTGAGATGAAATCTACTCCTGGTAAAGATGCTATGAACATTGTTAAAATGACAACAAAAAGTTGAACACACATGGATATAAGCATGGGAACAACAGATAACAGGGCCTACTAGAGGAGGAGAAATGGAGGGGGTGTGGATTGAAAAACTACCTATTGGGTGCTATGCTCACTACCTGGGTGCAGTATACCTGTGTAACAAACCTGCACATGTACCCCTGTATCTAAAAGTTGAATTTTTTTAAAAAAGAGACTCAGATGAAAACCTAAATAGTACACAATGTACTCAGGGAATCATTCAACCTTGAGTACCTAATATCATGACATAGTCTAGCAAAATGTATTGGGTTTTAAATTTTTTTAAATTATCAGGGCATCCAGACAAAAAGATCAAATTATGAATAAGGAAAACAAAGGTGGAGCCCACTCTGCCTCTACAATTCTTACATTCTGCACACCTGCAGGGTTAGCACCTCATAGTGTCAAAAGCTTACTGCTTGCACCTTCCAGAGTTATGGCATAAGCCACATCTGGGCCCACGTGAGCCCCAGTGTGCTGCCACCAAGCTTTACAGCTTGTACTTTTCAGAGGGGCACCTAAGCCACAGCTGGGACCAAGGAGCCCTGCACCGGAATGTGGGGGCAGAGTCCGGAGATGGCCCTGGGCAGCAAGCCCATCGAGCAGGCTTTTTAGGGTAATTGCCAAAAACCATTCTGCCTTCCTATGGCTTTGGGTCTGTGATGGGAGGGTCCTTTCTATTTATGCTAATCTATTTAACCATGAGTCACTTAGCCACATCCTTATTTTGTTCTCATGAACATGCTTTTTTCATTCTGCATGTGGCCAGGCTGCACTTCCTTCAGGATTGTAAGTTTTATCTTTGTCATCCTTTTGCTTCCAAATCTCACTGCAAGTGGCCAAAAGTAACCATGCAGCACCTTGAACACTTTGCTGCTTAGAAATTTCTTTCACCAGCTATCCTAGTTCAGCACTCTCAAGCTCAGCCTGTCACACCACCCTATGGCATGGATACAATGCAGCCAAGTTTGCAACTGTATAAAAAGGATGGCCTTTACTTTAGCTTCCAGTACTTTGTCCCTCATTTCCATCTCAGACCTTGTCAGAATGGTCTTTACTGTTTACTGTCAATATTTCTTTTTTCTTTTTTTTTTTTTTTTTTGAGAAGGAGTCTCGCTCTGTCTCCCAGGCTGGAATGCAGTGACACGATCTTGGCTTACTGCAACCTCTGCCTCCTGGGTTCAAGTGATTCTCCTGCCTCAGCCTCCCAAGTAGCTGGGATTACAGGCACACGCCACCACGCCCAGCTAATTTTTTTATATTTTTAGTAGAGACAGGGTTTCACTGTGTTGGCCAGGCTGGTCTTTAACTCCTGACCTCAAATGATCTGCCTGCCTTGGCCTCCCAAAGTGCTAGGATTACAGGCATGAGCCACCGTGCCCTGCCTACCATCCATATTTCTATCAACATTCTGGTCACAACCACTCAAGTAATCTCCAAAAAGTTCTAGACTTTCTCTTGTCTTCACTTCTTCTAAGCCCTCACCAGAATCACCCATAATGCTTTGCTCATGGTAATCTAGGCTTTTTCTAGCCTGCTCCTCCAAATACTTCCAGCCTTTGCCAATTACCTAGTTCCAAAGTTGCTTCCACATTTCCAGTTATCTGTATGGCAACAACCCCACTTCTCTGTATCAAGTTTCTATCTTAGTCCTTTTTATGTTGCTGTAACTACATACGTGAGACTAAGTAATTTACAAAGAAAACAAATATATTTCTTATAGTTCTGGAAGCTAGAAAGTCCAAGGTCAAGGGACTGCAGCTGGCTGGCTTCTGAGGCCCTCATGCTCTGTTGTAACATGGAAGAAAGCATCACAGGGCAAGAGAGAGGCATGTTGAGAGCCAAACTGGCTTTTTTTTTTTTTTTTTTTTTTTTAGACGGAGTTTCATTCTTGTTGCCCAGGCTGGAGTGCAATGGCACAATCTTGGCTCATTGTAACCCCCCGCCTACCGGGTTCAAGCAATTCTCCTGCCTCAGCCTCCCGAATAGCTGGGATTACAGGCATGCGCCACCACGCCCAGCTAATTTTGTATTTTTAGTAGAGATGGGGTTTCTCCATGTTAGTCAGGCTGGTCTTGAACTCCCGACTTCAGGTGATCCACCCGCCTCGGCCTCCCAAAGTGCTGGGATTACAGGCGTGACCCACTGCACCCGGCCCAAACTAGCTTTTATAACAGACTCACTGTTATGATAATCCATTAATCCCCTTCACAGGGGCAGAGCCCTCATGACTCAGTCACCTCTTAAAGGCCACATCTCTTAAAACTGTTACATTGGGGATTAAGTTTCAACATGAGTTTTGGAGGGGGCTAACATTGAAACCATAACACCAACCCAGAAAGAATATGCTGACACCATGAGTTTTACACTTTAGGGCTAAAGTTTTGAACTGGTAGGATGGCAGCGGGGAAGATGATGGGCTGGTGTCAGCAATTCAGCCTTTCCTACTACATACCAATAAATAGGCCTCTGTCCTGACAGCCTTAGTGTAGAGATTTAATATTATATGCCCCATAACCCCAAACTACTATATCTTTATTTTAGAACATCCACAAAATGGTTTTGCCTCCTAACTGGAGGATTTGAATTTCAATGATAAAAGTTATAGGATAAGTATTCAATAGGAAAAATGATGGAACTAAGATTGTATTTTACGATGAATGCAGGATAGAAGACAGACTGGGATAGGCCAATAGGCTTTAGACTGTGGTACCAGTTAGGAGGCAGCAATGAGAATGTAAGCTAATGCTGCAGAAACAGGAATATACAGAATGACTGGATATATAGCTTACATTGGATCAAATCAAAGACGCCTTTCATTTAGGCATTGGGGATACATAAAATAATGCATTATTAAAAATCTGCTGCCAATTATTGATAAAATGCAAAAACAAAAAAAGGGATGTCCATAGCAAAACTGAAATTGTATCCTAGAACTTACCTTCTTATAATACCTAAAGAAATAAGCAGAAGAAAAAATGTAAAAATTCACCAAAAAAAAAAAAAAAAAAAAAAAAGACAGCATAAATTGAAGCAAAAAGAAACTGACTATGAGTAGACAGAAAGTTTTGCTTCCAATTTTGGTGGATTAGCTCATACAACCCTCCCAGCAGATAACATTTAAAACTCTGGGCAAAATATAAACAGAAAACTATCTGGAGGCCCTGGGGAGCAACTGAAAGCAGATACAAACTGAAGCTGGCACTTGGAAAAATGAAATCTTACTCAGTGAATTTCTTGTGATTTGGCTTTTTGCCTGAGGGCAGGCCCCAGCTGGAATCATGCTAAGTGGCTAGAATTTGGATATAAATTCAGGCTCTTACCAGCTTTAGGAATTGGAAAACAGAGTTCAGGCCTCCCACAGTGGCCAGAAGGCAAGGAAGGAAAACCCAAAAGGAAGAGAGGCATAAAGGGGGATCTCCAACATCTGTGAATAAACTTTGCCCAAATCTCTGGCCAACTCCTGAACTATAGATGTGCAGAGAAGACACCAAGCTGCCCCTCTAGGGAGAAAATAATGAAACAAAGATGTCCCACCGCTGGGAGGACAAAGTTTAGAGTCTGAATACAGCCAAGTAAACTGGCTGCTAAAACAAACAAAATAACAATTCTTCAGAACATAACAGAATGCATAGTTTCTATAATGCAAAATTATAGACATTTACTATATCCAGAATAAATTGCAAAATTATGAGACAGAAAAAACCTCAGGAAACTGTGATTCACATTCAAGAAGAAAGGTAATCAATAAAGACCAAACCCTTACTTCTTATGGTATAATGTTGAAAAAAAAGTTTTAAAACCCAAACCCTGAGATGACCTAGTTGTTGGAATTAACAGATAAAAAAGTTTAAAGCAGCCAAGTGCAGTGGCTCACGCCTGTAATCCCAGAATTGGGGAGGCTGAGTGAGGCAAGAGGATCACTTGATGCTAGGAGTTTGAGACTAGGCTGGGCATGACAGTGAGATGCCATCTCCACAAAAAATAATTTTAAAAATTAGCCAGGCATAGTGGCATGCCTGTGGTCCTAGCTGGTCATGAGGCTGCTGTGGGAAGGTTACTTGAGCCCAGGGGTTTGAGGCTGCAGTGAGCTATGATTGCACCACTGCATTCCTGCCTGGGCAACACAGCAAGACCCTGTCTCAAAAAGAAAAAAAAATTTTTAAGCATTTAAAAATTCTTAAAATTGTAAAATAACAGTGTTTGAGAATGTAAAAGAAAATATATTTCTGTTGAGTGAACAGACAGGAAATCTCAGTGGAACAACAGGAGCGTAGCAATGTATTATGTGTTTATGGTGTATGTAAAAGTACAATGCAGGGCAGCAATATAACAAAGGATAGGAGAGAAGAACTGGAAAAACACTGTAGTAAGGTCCATACACTGCACATGAATTACTATAATATTACTTAGAGGTAGGTTCTGATTAATCAAAGATGTATATTAGAAACCTTATTTATTAGTCTGCTTTGCATTGCTATCAAGGAATACCTGAGACTAGATAATTTATAAAGAAAAGAGGCTCATTTGGCTTATGGTTCTGCAGGCTGTACAAGCATGGCTCGTACATCCTTGAAGCTCGAGCATCTGCTCGGCTTCAAGAAGTTTTTTTTTTTTCTTTTTAAATTATACTTTAAGTTCTAGGATACATGTGCAGAACATGCAGGTCTGTTATATAGGTATACATGTGCCATGGTGGTTTGCTGCACCCATCAACCCATCATCTAGGTTTTAAGCCCCACATGCATTAGGTATTTCTTCTAATGTTATCCCTCCCCTTTGCCCCCACCCCATGACAGGCCCCAGTGTGTGATGTTCCCCTCCCTATGTCCATGTGTTCTCATTGTTCAACTCTCACAATGAGTGAGAACATGCGGTGTTTGGTTTTCTGTTCCTGTGTTAGTTTGCTGAGAATAACGGTTTCCAACTTCATCCATGTACCAGCAAATGACATGAATTCATTCTTTTTTATGGCTGCATAGTACTCCTGGTGTATATCTGCCACATTTTCTTTATCCAGTCTATCATTTATGGGCATTTGGGTTAGTTCCAAGTCTTTGCTCTTACAAATAGTGCTGCAATAAACATACATGTGCATGTGTCTTTATAGTAGAATGATTTATAATCTTTTGGGTATATACCCATTAATGGGATTGCTGGGTCAAATGGTATTTCTGGTTTTAGATCCTTGAGAAATTGCCACACTGTCTTCCACAATAGTTGAACTAACTTACACTCCCACCAACAGGGTAGAAGTGTTCCTATTTCTCCTCATCCTCTCCAGCATCTGTTGTTTCCTGACTTTTTAATGATCACCATTCTAACTGGCATGAGATGGTATCTCAGTGTGGTTTTGATTTGCATTTCTCTAATGACCAGAGATGTTGAGCTTTTTTTCATATGTTTGTTGGCTGCATAAATGTCTTCTTTTGAGAAGTGTCTGTTCATATCCTTCACCCACTTTTTGATGGGGTTGTTTTCTTCTTGTAAATTTGTTTAAGTTCCTTATAGATTCTGGATATTAGACCTCTGTCAGATGGATAGATTGCAAAATTGTCCTCCCATTCTGTAGGTTGCCTGTTTACTCTGATCATAGTTTGTTTTGCTGCACAGAAGCTCTTTAGTTTAATTAGATCGCATTTGTCAATTTTGGCTTTCACTGCAATTGCATTTGGTGTTTTAGTCATGAAGTCTTTGCCCACGCCTATGTCCTGAATGGTATTGCCTAGGTTTTCTTTCAAGAAGCTTTTTACTGGTGGTGGAAGGTGAACAGGGAGCAAGTGCATCAAGTGGCAAGAGAGGGAGCAAGGCAGAGGAGGAGGTGCCTGTCTCCTTTAAATACCAGCTCTTGTGTGAACTAACAGAGCAAGAACCCACTCATTACCATGGGGAGGGCACCAAGCTATTTATGAGGAATCTACCCCAATGACACAAATACCTCCCACTAGGTCCAACCTCCAACACTGGGGATCACATTTCTTTCTTTTTTTAAATAGAGACAGGGTCTTGCTAATGTTGCCTAGGCTGGTCCTTGGACTCCTGGCCTCAAGTGATCCTCCTGCCTCAGCCTCCCAAAGTGCTGGGATTACAGGCGTGAGCCACCATGCCTGGCCTGGGGATTACATTTCAACATGAGATTTGGAAGAGACAAATATCCAAACCATATCACCCTAGAACAAGCACCAAAAAATTTAATAATAAATAAAAAGTCAATAGAAGAAGTAAAATGGAATAGAAAATACTCAGTTTATCCAAATTTCATGAAAGTACGCAAACTCTCCAGGAGTGGATAGTGAAGGAAGGAGAGGAACATAATGAACACAAGGCAGAGATCCCACCTTGGAAGAAAACGTAACTTCAGATACAAAATTACTTTACAGAATCTCTCTATAAGAACGTGAACTCAGTAAAAGGAGAGTTGAATGGCAAGATGATAAACCAACAAAATAAGATGGAAAATAATATTGTAGACCTAAAGAAACAACATTAGAGATCTAGTAAGTAAATTAGAAACAGCAAAGAATAGGATAGACCTTGGTGAAAATCAAATTACAGGTATAGATAAAAGATCTAAGACAATCACTGTGAATATGTGCTGGTCATGGCGGCATACGCCTGTAATCCCAGCTCTTTGGGACTGTGTATAGGCAGGAGGATCACTTAAGCACAGGAGTTCGAGATTAGCCTGGCAACATAGTGAGACCCTGTCTCTAGAATTTTTTTTTTTAAAGTTAGCCAGGCATGGTGGTGCATGCCTGTGGTCCCAGTTACTTGGGAGGCTGAGGTTGGAGGATTGCTTGTGCCCAAAGTGCTGGAATTGCTCAGGAGGTTGAGGCTGCAGTGAGCTATGATCGTGTCACTGCACTCAAGCCTGGGCAACAGAGCAAGCGAGACCTTGTAGAAATAAGAAAGAAAAAAGAGAGGAGAGGAGAGGAAAAGGAGGGCAGGAGGGAAGGATGGAAGGAGGGAAGGAGGAAAGGGAGCGAGGGAGGGAGGGATGGAGGGAGGGATGGAGTTCTAGGATAAATGCCTCTTAGGCAATCAGCCAGAGAAAACAAATCATCCATAAGAGAAAAAATGAAGCAGGCCTCAGACTTTTCCACAATCAGACTAAGTACCAGAGGGCAATGGAGCAAAGTCTACGACATATTGAAGGGGGAGATGTGACCTGTGGACATTATATCCAAGATATAGAGGCAGGGTGTATTCCTCATTTTCTTGAGTTTCGTTTAAATTTCTATTCTTCTGATACACTCAGGTAAAAGTACATTCTTACAGAGAACAGCATCTATATAAACCCATTTTTACAAATGTATTTCTTTCTGCCTAACTCTTCTTTCCATATATGTGCCACGGAGAGATGCCAAGAACCCTGTGGACAGTGGTTATTTCTGGGTAGTGGGCTTGGTTCGATTGTTTACTTCCATCTCTTCCTTGTCGCACTGGCACCTGCCTCACGTGGTCGTGGGGAATATGAAGAGGCGACGCAGGAACACGCTTTGCACAGCTCCTGGCACAGGAGGCTTCGAAAACTAGAGCACTGGAGTCTGCTCTAAGCAAGCTTGGTTAGTGGAACCAGGCTAAAACCTGAGAATCTGCCATTTTTCAGCTTGCTAGTGAGAGGGATCTGAGAATCATAGAACATGGTCCCTGAATATTTGCTGCTGAAACCACACAGAGACAACCCATTTTGAGCGAGTCATTCAGGGGCAGTCACTCCTAAAGCACTAGACCACTGAGGGGAAATCTTATTTAAGGTGAGGAAAATGACCAAAGGCTGGGAAGGGAGAGGATCCAATTGCATGAGCCAGACATTCATCCTTAAAGAACTGGACCCTGACTCTCTCCAAAGCTACCCAGCAGGCCGACAACCCTGGGCGTCGTATGGAGGAGGCTGGAGTAAAGACTGTTCGCACGAGGAAACACGTTCTGTCTCAAGGTTATGTCTAATGACCTGGCTTTGCTTGTCTAACATAACTGCAAATTACTCAGCTATTTGCCCTTTTCTGTTAAGATTTTTCCCATCATTAAAGAAAAAAAGTTGAAAATACAGAAGCAACAGAAAGAACAAAATCACAGCCAGGGGCATCTCACTTAAGGACAACCTGAGTATTTTGGAATATTTTCCAATCCGCTACAGATATTCCACACACATCTTCTGTGTTATTATTAACTCTTCATGGATATCCTTGTTCCTGGCTGTAGATTTTACCACATGGCTATATTGTGACTCATTTAGCCTTTTCCTATTCTTAGGCATTGACGTTATTCTTATAAATAATGATACCATGGCTAGCTTTGTAGATAATGTATTTCCTATATTTGAAAGTATTTCCTCAGGAATGATCCAAAGAACAGGAATTACCATGCCAAAAGATATTGAAATCTTTAGCTATATACTTTAAAAATACTTACCTTGATTTCCCATACAATATCTAAGGTTCAAGTCGTTATTTATGCTGAGATTCTTCAAAAACACGTTGTAATCTACTGCAGTATCCTTGTGGATGTTGTAGTGTTTCGAAAACCTAAAATACAAATGTTCTTTAGTAATGAGAAATTATGAATCTAAAATGAAGCAAGTTTGTTACTAAGGTATCCTTTACACTCGGGCTGGCATTAATTTTAATGTCTGTTTCTAGCTACAGAGGGAATTAAAAAGTAAACCCCAGAAAATGTTACTGTCAGATTTTTTTTTTAATGCAGCTACTTCGAGATCACTTCTCCAACCTACAGATGGATGCATAGAAATTAGAGTGAGACAGAAATGTTGCTGGACCTGTTGAAGAATACCCCAACCTAGACAGCACCTAAGGAGTTTCTCCCGGCTCTGGCAGAAGGGGAGCTGGGGCTCTGTCTGCACGGCAGCTGCCTCTCCACTCCGACAGCAGAAGCAGGTCCCATTTGCCTTTAATAATTGTAGGGAAATGAGTCAGCCAGCACAAAATTTCCATAAGCAGGGAAATGGAGAGCTGGGTGGAGGAGCCAGCAGAGATGATCTCGACTGAGCATATCCTTTCTCTAGAGAGAAACTGAGGCCCACAGATGGCATATGGTTTCAAAACAGGGGATGGGTGGAGGAGGCAAAGTTTCTCTTGAAGCATTTCGTGATTTTTATATGTAACATACAAGGCTTTTTAAAACAGCGAACCACTGTCTATTCCTGAAACATACTGAAATACTTTTTTTTTTTTTTTTTTTTTAGGCAGAATCTCGCTCTGTTGCCCAGGCTAGAGTGTGGTGCTGCAATCTCAGCTCACTGCAACCTCCACCTCCCAGTTCAAGCGATTCTCGTGCCTCAGCCTACCGAGTAGCTGGGATTACAGCCATACACCACCACGCCTGGCTAATTTTTGTATTTTTAGTAGACACGGGGTTTTTCCATGTTGGCCAGGCTGGTCTCGAACTCCTGGCCTCAAGTGATCTGCTCACCTCAGCTTCCTAAAGTGCTGGAATTACAGGCATGAGCCACTGTGCCCAGCCGAGATAACCTTTTTTTAAAGTTAAGATAAATAAGATGTTTGAATTTTTAAAATAAATTTTCTATTATTCAAGCCTTCCACCTGATAAATGGTTTTCTAGATCATTTCTGTGTTATCACATTTCTAAAAATTGATGGTTTTTAAATGTTTGGTTATATTATCTCCATATGTGTTGATTTCTATAATTATCTAATCTCATACTGCTTTCTAAAAATTTGGTAATTATCACTTAAAGTATTTATTTTTCTGTTTTCCAAATTTAACAAAGAGTAATGCCATGTAGTTATTTCAATGCATACCTTTTTTTCCACTTTGATGACTCTTGCCTATTGTTTTAATAAGATAAATGATCTCTAGGTGTGATCGCTGCCAGATGTTAACAGTGAAACTCCCTAAAGAGCTTCATCTTTCATCTACGGTCTCTGTCTTGTGAAAATGAGGTGGTAAGTTTGAGAAACCAGAAGACCCAATTGAGGGGAGAAGGGTATGACTCCAATCAGCTCATAAACCTCTCCAGCGTCACCACCTGGAACTGGGTTTCATTCATCTGCTCAGGCAACAGGCTGAACTGTAGTGATTTGTTTGCTGGTTTTACAAGGCTGCTCATAAATGATTTCACCTATATCAAACACACTGGCCTCCAGGGCAGTGGAGAGTAGGCTGGAGGGAGATGGGAAACACAACACTCAATGGGTTTTGAGATGTCCTGATTAAGTATGGGGCTTGGTGGTAATTGTATCTCTGGCCTCTTGTTTTATGTAGGTTGGAGAGTAGTCTGCTGCCTAAATGGAACAGGTCATCAGAGGGTAAAGGGCATTCACGGAGTCTTTATGATGATGAGATGGTCACTGTGAAATCAGCCCTACTATGTGCAAGCGCATCACAGGCATGTTGTTTACATTTTGTTGAGTCTTCATCCCAGCCCTGAGAGGTGGGCTGCTCAGTCCCCCCTTTTTTTCTTTAAGATGGAGTCTCGCTCTGTTGCCAGGCTGGAGTGCAGTGGTGCGATCTCAGCTCACTGCAACCTCCGCCTCCCGGGTTCAAGCGATTCTCCTGCCTCAGCCTCCCAAGTAGCTGGGACTACAGGTGTGCACCACCATGCCTGGCTAATTTTTGTACTTTTAGTAGAGATGGGGTTTCACCATGTTGGCCAGGACGGTCTCAATCTCTTGACCTCATGATCCGCCTGCCTCAGCATCCCAAAGTGCTGGGATTACAAGCGTGATCCACCGCGCCCGGCCAGTCCCCATTTCTTTAAGAGAAAACTGAGTCTTGACAAGGCCCAGGAGCTACTCTGAGGCCCTAGAACCAGGGAGGAGAGAGCACAGACTTCACCTCCAGCAGCCTGACTTCAAAGCCTGGGCCATTTCTACCACACCAAGAGCCGAATGTTGATATTAAATAGAAAGCTGTTAGATAAAAGAGAGGATTCAAAAATGCATTGTTTCTTGCTCAAAAATAAAAAAGACAAAGTTAATACTGAAGCAGCTTCTCCAGGAAAGAGTATATTCTTGAGCTTCAATAAGAAAAGCATTAAAGCAATTGAAGAAATGGTCTACTTTTGATCTTCTGTGTTTCTGAGTCTAAAAGAAAGCAATTCTATTATGTTCATTTTCTCAAGCCTTATCATGAAAATAGCATTGTTTTTGAGGCTTAAAAAATCTCAAATAAAAATTTGTGGAGTTATTATTCAATACTTATGAGATGGGGAAACAGACAGTAACATTTTTTATAGATTTACTAGGTTGGAGACTGCAGTGCCAAACACAAGGTTTATTGTCAAATAAAACACTGTTTTGTTTTTTGATTGCCTGTTTTAGAAGAGTGCTGCCTCTGTTCTATAATTGCGTGCACAAAATTATTTAATTTGTTTTGTTTGGATCTTATTCTGGACACTTTCCCAGCCGGAAAAGATGTAAAAATTAAAACATCTATTATGTGTTTTATATTCTGAGGTGGGTTATAAAGAGAAAAAAAAAAGAAAAACATACTCAAAAGAGAAACAGATGCTATTTTTTCAAGTCTGCCTGCTTTTCAGGCCCTGCAGCATCAGTGACATGTCACATGCCCTCTAGACTTCCTTGCCTCAGGGGCAAATTCTTCCACTCTGCTTCTAGCAGCAGCCACATTGTCTTTATGAGATACAAGGAGCTACCGGGACCCATTTTCATAGCAACTTAGAACACCAGTGCAATGCGAAAAGCTTGGGCTCCGGGTGAAATGAGGCTTGGTGCTTTTGTTAATGGTCTGGAGCGTATTTAGAAAAGTGTTTGGGAAAAGGCACGAAGAGGGAATGGACCTCTCGGCTGGGTACTGTAGAAATTAAGCTAGACACGGGCCCATCTTCCAGTGGCTTTCACTCAAAACTCATGTAGTCACAGAAGCCAAACATTTGGCTTCTTCTAAATGATGTGGAGTTTATAGGAGGCTCAAAAAAATGCCCGTGCAGGCTTCTGTGTGCTGCCCTTGGAGTCAGGAGCAGGTGGTGGTGGCGTTCAAACACCATGAGGCAGCTAAATGTTCTGCTGTTCGTCACCCTCCTGCCGCACACCCCACCCTCCTGCCGCACACCCCACCCTCCTGCCGCACACCCCTCCACCTCAGCAACAACGGTCCTCAAAGGAAAATTAAGTCTCCATTATTGTATCAGGATGCAGAGCCAACGGGGAGCACAGCAACAACACGTGAATCCTGAAATTTGTCATTCTTCTCCTAACCCCAGGCTTTGAGTAAAAATCAACAGTGAACTAGAAATATGTGGGATGGGGGGGCGGGCACAGTGCCAAGTGGGGAAAGAGACAATTGGTGATGGATTACTCCAATAACCTGGATGTGTTCAGAGCTGCGGGCCAGAGGACGGACCCCAAGGGTGCTTAAGGAATGAGAACCATTAGCTCTCATTTTTGAGAATGCATGGGGAGCTTTAGGAACATGAGAGAATGTCCAGTGAGTGCCTCTTTGAGAAATAAGGTGTGTGTGTGTGGCAGGGGGAGGTGAGAGATGGATGGAGCCAATGAACCCAACAGGTCTCATTCTGAAATTGGTTAAAAGTTCTACTGAGCAATCTCTCACCGTGCCTTCATTTGCTTACTTTTCGTATTCCTCGTCTCTTAACTTCATACAGAAGGTCTCCAGAACCCTTCTTAGCTCCTGCGGTCGAACCAGTCCAGTCTTGTTAACATCAATGAGCTCAAAGGCTTTCATAACAGTCTTAATGTTTTTGAAAACCTATGTACAAAAAGTGATTTAGGAAAAGTCAAAAGATCTAGTGTTAGGAACCAAATGGTAATAAAAATGTGAAAGTTTTTTTTAATACTTTTTATAAAATAAAATGTTTTCAAAGACTCACAGTGGTAGGCATGGCAAAAATGACATGTCTACGGAAAAAGAACACTTTGCATTTATTGAATGTTTTCAAGGCAATTTTCTCTGTAAATGGTCTTAGTAATTTAAAAAAAATCTCTTTCTCATGTAAAGCAGTAAGTCTCATACACAATTCATTCCCTTCTAGGGCCATATGAAAAAATCTTTTTTGTTAATTGATACTTAAAAACTACAGTTCTGGCATGGCTGGACTTGTACAATTTTTATTTTTCACAGCCATATGCAAACTATTTTTAATAGGAGCTGGAAAATATGACTGTATATTTCAACCCCTCTAAATTTTTTAAAGATATCACAGGAAAGTTTTGTAGCGACTTCTCCAAATTCAGCAAATGATATTTATTGGGTGCACAGACACACATGACATTAGGATAGGCCCTGTGGATCTGCAGGGAGCACCCAGGATATTTATTGGGCTCACAGACGCACACGACATTAGGATAGGCCCTGTGGATCTGCAGGGAGCACCCAGGATATTTATTGGGCTCACAGACGCACACAATGTTAGGATAGACCCTGTGGATCCACAGGGAGCACCCAGTTGTGCTCTTGGCCTTAAACTACTCAAAGAAAAGAAACACAGAGCTGTGTGATGGAAGCCTTTCAACCCCTCTGAAGGAGGTACCATTTCCCCAGTGTTAGATACGGAAACTGACTGCTCCCTGCTCACACTCCACACCTTGTTATTACGAAGGACTGCTGACTCTGCACAATCCAGCCCCACGCTGCAGCCGCCCACCCCCCATCTTTCCAGTTCACTCCCTTGGGCGCCCAAAGCTCACAGCCTTGACCCACTGGGCCCTCCCCTGAGCTCCGGCCTCCCTCCACACTCCTCCATGCCTCTCAGCCTCACTTCCTTCCTAACCCTCCCATCAACACCTTCGCTGCTTGGCATATATGCTTGACTCCCTCCTCCCCTCTGCCCTCTCCTACTCTCTTGGTGAGACCCTAACCTGGGGTAAACCCAACTCACCGCCTCTTCCAAACCTGTCCAAATGGCCTGACGTGGCTGAAGAGAATGGGCACACCTCCCTGGCTCTCCTAACTTGAGACCATTAACTCCAGCAGGACGGGTGCTGCGTGGTAATCCCTCTTTACTGACATGGTCCACCCCATACATCATCACTGTCACACACACATGCACAGATACATGCACACACACCATCACTCACACACACACATATTCATACACACACCTGTGCATGTACTCATACGCACTCACACCATCACTCACACATATATTCACACACACACATGCACAGATACAGGCATACACACCATCACTCACACACACATATATTCATACACACACACCCCTGTGCATATATTCACACACACACCACTCACACCCATATATTCACAGATACATGCACACACACCATCACTCACACACACATGTATTCATACACACACACTCACCTGTGCATATACTCACACATACACCATCACTCACACACATATATTCACACACACACATGCAGATATTCACATGCACACACACCATCATTCACACACACATATATTCATACACACCTGTGCATGTACTCATACACACTCACACCATCACTCACACATATATTCACACACACACATGCACAGATACAGGCATACACACCATCACTCACACACATATTCATACACACACACACCTGTGCATATACTCACACACACTCACACCATTACTCACACACATATATTCTCACACATACATACATGCACATATACTCGCATACACTCACACCATCACTCACATATACATATCACACACATGCATATACTCACACACACCTGCATATACTTGCATACCCACACCATCACTCACACACATATATTCGCACATATATTCACACACACATGCACATACACTCACACACACACACCTGCATATACTCACACATTCACACCATCACTCAAATATATTCACACACACATACATGCAGATACATGCACACACACCATCACACACATATATTCATACACACACCTGTGCATATACTCACACTCACACCATCACTCACACACATATATGCACACACACCTGCATATACTCAAACTCACACACGTGCATATACTCACACATTCACACCATCACACACACATATATTCACTCACACACATGCACATATACACACACACCTGCATATACTCACACTCACACCGTCACTCACACATATATATTCACACACACCTGCATATACTCATTCACACCATCAATCACATACACATATATTCACACACACATGCATGTACTCACACATCTCTCACACACATACATTCACATACATATGCACATATACTCACATACACCATCACTCACACACACATATATTCACACACACACATGCACATATACTCACACACACCATATCTCACACATATATTCACACACACCTGTGCATATACTCACATGCACACACACTTGTACATATAATCACACACACACCATCACTCACACACATATACACCCATTCTCTTGCATATATATTCACACACACTTGCATATACTGTCATACACACCATCACACACACTTGCACATACCCCATCCACACAGCCATTCCCACCTTCTCCACTTTCCTAACCTCCAATTTCTCCTTCCACCTCCTGCTTTACTGACAACCTTACCTCTTATTTAACAGAGAAAACAGAAACAACTAAAAGACAGCATTCCCATTCCCCACACCCACTTGCAGCTGGCCTGGCTCCATCCCCACATGAGACAGGTGCCTCCTGTCCTGTTGTAAGGGATCAAGGGATGAACCTCCGTGATCCTACCTATGGCCAGGTGGGGCCACGTGATGCACATGACCCTGACCCTGTCCCCAGGCAAGGAAGTGCTCCTGCCCGTCCTACTCCCTCTCAGGTCACCCCATGAAGATGAGCTGTCTCAGAAATAGAACCTCCCTCCTTGCCTCACCTCTTCCTCCAGTCACCCATTCCCTTGCACTGAAATCCCCTCAAGATTATCTCCAATGTGTCCCCCTCTCTTAAAACGTCTCCAATCACTTTTGTCCACACTACTGCACAAACACTGTTCTTGTCAGCATGACCAAAGACTTCCACCTTGTCAAACCCAAGGGCCACTTCTCAGTCCTCATCTTGCTGTCCCAGCAGCCGCCTTTGACACAGCTGCTTGGCCCTTCTTCCTTGAGGCACTTTTGCTACTTAGCTTCCAGAGCCAATGCTCTCTCTCCTTCTTCTCCAGCCTCCTTGGAGTCTCCTTCTCAGTCTCCCTTGCTAGTTCCTCCTCCTCCTCCCATCTCTAAGCCTGGAGCATTTTAGGACTCAGTCCTCAGCCCTCTCTGCTTCTCTGACCACACTAACTTCTTGGTGGTTCACTCCTGTGGCTTCAATGTCCCACTGATGACTCCCACATGTCTGTCTTGAGCCCTGGACTCTTCTCAGAGCCCAGCTTAGAATATCCAGCTGCCCATTTGATGTCCCCCTTGAGACTCTAACAGACATCTCAGGTTTACCAAACCCAAGCTGCTCTACCCACAGTCTCCCATCCCAATAAATGGTAAATCCATTCTACTGGATTCCTTTTTGTTCACATCCCATATGCAGTATATCAGGAGAGCCCATCAGCCCCTCCCTCCAGACCATTTCCACAATGCAATCATGTCTTACCACCCCCACCCCGCTTCTCCCCGCACTCCGGGTTAGTGCAAGCCTCCCGCTTGGTCCTCCAGCCTCCACACTTGACTCCACGAAGCAGCCAAGGAGTTTATGTTTAAATGTGAGTCTGAGCATGCCCTCCGTGGCCAAAACCCCCCAGGGCTCCCATTCCACTCGCTGTGACCCACCAGGCCACACCCGACTGGCTCCTGGCCACCCCCTGGCCGTGTCTCCCTCCACCTGCCCCCCACCTGCTGCTTTCTGGCCACACCAGACCCCACTGCTCCCCATGACTGCTCAGCCCCTCCCGCCTCAAGGCGCTGGCGCTTGCTGCTCCTTCTGCCTGGAACATTCTTCCCCCGACACTCACTGGCTCACTCCCTGGCTTCATTCAGGTCTTGGCCCAGAAACGCCCTCCCTAGTCACCATGCAAATTAGGACTCCTCACCCCCAATCCTCTTATCTTCTCTCCAAACTCCTCTTCAAATGGCATCACCTCCTTTTGTCTTTATGGTCCGTCTCCCCCTCTGAGAGCAAGGTTTGTTCATGGCCCCAGCTCTAGGACAGCATCTGGCACAGTGTGGACACTCAGTGAGTATCTGTTGGAATGAATGAATCTGTCTCCTCCTCACCTGCCTGGAAAAGAGCCACGATCTGCAGAAGCCTCGTGTTATGTCTGCAAATACCTCCTCAGTCGACTGGCCCCTGCATTCAGGACCAATCCTGAGTGCAGTCATGATGACATTCAGTGTCAATGTCATGATGATTACAATAACATGATCTTCGCACAAACACGAACTGAACGGATGTCTGTTATGTGCAGAGCCCCATGCTTAACTCCATACCAGCCTCCTGACTAGAGAACAGCTGACAACCAAAGAACATTGGCTAACATGGCCTCAGTATCCAAAACTGGGAATACTGAGTGCAGCCGAGAGGGAAAGGCACCGGCAGAAGCAAAGCCGGCTCCAGTGCCTCTGTCCTCCACTCCACCGCTCTGCCTGAAAGAGGGAGCCCCAGCCACTGACAGCGCCTGCTCTCATGGCCGGATAAAAATCTCTGCACTTTGTCTGCTGCCAAAGCCAGATTTACCTCCTTTGGTAAAATGGAGGACATGAGCACGATGCGCTTTTTTAAAACCCCAGAGCAACCCATATGGATCTCTAGCGTGAGCACCGGGAAGCAGCAACCTGGCAGCGAGCTCACACCCACCAGAGCGACGTCTCCAAGGCTCTTATCATTTGTCAGACTGAAGTTTGGCAAGGGCTGAAGAATTGAGCTGCAGATGGCGAGGCTTATCAAAGGCAACAAAGTTAGGGCCGTGGTGTCCAAGACTTGTCCCACACAGGGGAGGAGAGATGAAAAAGTAAGAAGAAGCAATAAAATGGCTAAGCTAAGGCTCCCGACAATAGTGACTGTGCACACCCCACCCCCTCCTCTCCCAGCCACGGTCTCCGGGCTCTGGGCTTCAGCCATGCTGACCGACTTTGAATTCACAAGTGTACTGGGGCTCTTCTCATCCGCTATGAGCTCCTATTTATAGATGGTCTGACCCCTGCTTTATCTGCCCCTTTTCACTCTGCCTCAGTTATGGGGCCTCTTCCTTCTTCCTTACATGCACCAAGCTTGCTCATGCCTCCCTCCCTGCCTTCGTTCAGGTCTCCATCCCACGCTGCCGCTGAGGCCTTCCTCACTCGCTTACTTGAAAGCGCGCCTTCATACTCTGCTGACCACTTGCTTCATTTTTCTTCTTAGCATTCATCAACACCTGGACCATTTCCTATTTATTTCTGTAGCTGTTTATTGTCTTTCTTCCTCCTTTGAAATGTAAATTCCACAAAGCAGGAAGTTGGTTTTGTTTGCTGCCCTATCTTCAGGGCTCAGAATAGTGCCCAGACGCAGCGGATGCCCATAAGTATACATGCAGAGTGGATTCGCAGCCGTGTCTGCGGCCCTTCCCTGTCCTGCCACTGTCCACTCTGGGGCAGGATTCGGTATCTTCTCTTCTGGCTTTCCTAATTATCCCTCCATCCAGCCACGGGCAGAACCCTGACTTCCACCCTGCCATCTTGGTTTATTTCTGCCTGCACTTGGTAACTAGCTCCTTCCCCTGGGGGCAGGGGAGACCTGGTCCCTGCTCACCTGTCATTCCATTCCACCCTTCAAATCCCCAGCGCCTGGCGGGAGGAGTACTCAGAGAGCCAAATCCACCAAGAGAGGGAAAAACCGCTGAACCGGTAACAAAAGGGGAAAGGTCCCTGCTTCTTGCAGCCTCCTCCAAACCAGCATGCTTCTCAGAAAAGAACATCTTGCCCCTAGTATCACCTGAGTCATTACCCATGGAGACCTAACTCCCTTCATTCCAGGTGTGGCAAACTACTGCCCACCACCTGATTTCGTACACCTGCAAGCTAAGAATGGTTTTTAACATTTTTAAATGGTTGAAAAAGAAATCAAAAGAAGGCTAATATTTCATGACATGCGAAAGTTATGTGAATTTCAAATTTCAGTATCCATAAATAAATTGTATTGGCACACAGCCACGCCCACTCATTTACATATCGTCTAGGGACTGCTTTCCCTTCCAAGGGCTGAGTGGAATAGTTGGGAAGATATTTACTCCTGAGCCCTTTATGGAAAAAGTTCACTGACCCATACTCCACTCCTCCACCCTATACACCATCCTCGCTTACTTACATCTGAGTGGGTGAGGAAGTTTCAGGAGAGTTCTTTGTGCACAAACACGAGGAAAAGCACTGAAGATTTTAAAAGGAAACCAAAGCAACAGCTAACTATGCCTTAAGTTAAAGGCTCAGAGCCAGGAAATGGGCCTGCATGGTCCCAGAGAGTCTGGTCCCAACCCTCTTGCCCGTCTCCTGGCCAGAGACCTGGTCCCAGCCCCACTCTGCGCAGCCCCCGCTGAGCCTGGCGCTGATTCCAGCCTGACTCCCTGAGCCCTGCTCAGGGCCATATGCTAGCCCTGTGCGTGAGCAGGTGCTGCCCTCCCGGCACCCCCACTGCACCCCGGCCACCACCGCAGCACTGCAGAGCCTGGGAGCAGGATAGTCTCAGACCCTCTAGGTGTCCTTAGAGCCAGGTAGCTGCTTGGACCTCGGCATGATGGCTGAAGCAAGTTATCTAGGGGAGGACCATGAGACCAAACCCACTGGGCTCTTCTGCCTGGAGAGCAAGGCTGGGGAAGGCAAGACAGAAAACTCTGAAGTTCCAAAGTGCGGCTGCATAAGCCAAGCCCGTTACCTAACATTTAAAGCAAGGAAATGAAGCTCCATGTCACATAGGAGTGAAGTAAAAGAAGGAAGTGATCACTAAAAATAAAAATAACAAATTTTTGTAAAAAGTAATAGCAAGACAAAATATTCAATTAAAAAGATTTAGGTGAACTGATGAAGGGCAGAATTATAAATGTTACTAGAAGAAGCAGAGACTGTCTGACCTTTAAGATGAAAGCCGGAGAGTGGGGAAAATGAACCCTCTCCCAGGCAGGGTGGTTTGCCCACTGAAAGGCACATAACTGCTCTGGGCTGGAGCGACCCCCACTGGACAATCCCAGTGTATCAAATCGCCTCTTTGCCTCCTTCCTCTCCACAAGGGACCTGAAGGGCAGAATGATGTAGTGACTAGTCACAGGTGCTGAAATGAGGCTTCAAATCCCAGCTCCGCACCTGTTATTCAGGTAACCTGGGGAAAGCAGCCTGATTCCTCTAACTTCAGCTTCCTTGCCTGTGAAATGAGAATGAATAAGGATATAGGTGTGTGGTGTGTGCTTAAGATGAAAGGAGCTCATGTGTGCAGGTGCTTCACACACGGAACACGTTCAATAAATGGTGGTGAAATGAGAATTGCTGACTGGGATCAAAGGCTAAGAATAGAGATCCAAATAACCACACACCCATGTCAGGGAATATTAAGCGGCTGAAACGGCATTACTCTCCCCAACCCCAGTCCCTCCTTCACCCCTCACCCTCCACAGCACCATTGCCCAGACTAAGAAAACAGAAGCCTAGAGATGGAGGAAGGTCTTGAATAGGCATGAGTCCAGAGCCAAGACTAGGGCCTGGATCAATGAATAACTGTTAAGTGGATGGATGGATGGGTGGGTGAGTGGATGGATGGATGGGTGGGTGGGTGGATGAATGGATGGATGATGAATGAATGGGACAGATGGGTGAACGGATGGGTGGGTGGATGATGGATAGATAGGTAAATGGATGAATGAATGGATGAAGGGATGAATGATGAATGAATGAATGAATGAATGGGTTATGGATGCATGGATGGATGAACGGATGAATGGATGAATGATGAATGAATGAATGAATGAATGAATGGATGGGTTATGGATGGATGGATGGGTAGATGGATGGATGGATGATGGATAGATGGGTAGATGGATGAATGGATGGATGATGAATGAATGGATGGAAGGGCTATGGACAGATGGATGTGGGGATGGATGATGAAGGATGGATGGGTGGATGGATGAGTGGGTGGGTAGGTGGGGAGATTGCAAGCCAAGACAATCCTTGTAGAGACAGGACAGGAACCTGCAAAAAGGGTAGACAAGCATCTCATTTCCCAGTGGATTCAGTGATCTGCTCTGCACCTACCTGGGAAGAGGAACTGAGACTCAGACAGACACAGCAGAGCAAGGCAGAAGCAGCAGATGAAAGCAGCCTGAACACCTATTTTGGTATGGACGGGACTTGTGAATTTTCCATGGGTTAAGAGGACACCATGACAGGTAGAAATCTTGAGCTGTCCTGTTCCCAAGGGACTGCTCATCAGGGAAGGGGACCCAAGCAGCCAAAGGAAGTGAGCTGGACCACCAGGAGTGGGAGCTGAGGGGGTCCAGAGGGGGCTAAGTCAGGGCTGATCTTCCTCAACAGGAAACCATGAAGTTCAGAGGCCCCCAAAGCACTGTCCTAATTACTCCCCACGGACCCTATAGGAGAGCTTCCCAGAGAGGACCCAGATAAGGGAGAGAGAGACATGCTCTCCTTCCCCAGCCCTCATCACAGACCCCATGATCTGGGGGAGAGAGGAAGCAGAAAGAAGGAGGGAGGTACAGCCAGTGAGCAGGCCCTACCCACTCCAGGGCCCTCGGGCTTGGAGGAGCTGAGAAGGGCGTGCTGAACCAGCCCCACACTTGAGGTTTAAACTGAACTCGCCTGCACTGGACCTGTTTAGACCTAAATGTGACCAGAGAGCCACCAGATCTGCTGAAGATATTCCTATGGGACAAGAGAGGGAGATTCAGCAGCTCCTGTTGGAGAAAACTGAGAGCTAAGAAATCAAACTGCTTCATATTTGTACCCCACTGAGTTCAGATGGTTCCATAAACTGCTAACCATGGATGCTATTATTACTCCAGAGTTCTTTGTTTAAAATTCTTTTTATAGCACTTTGAGCTCCAGGAAGGAAAACTGTGAACTCAAATAAATCTGACCACCCAGGCTTTAAAGAAGATGAGAAAAGGCTGAATGTTTCCCCTCTGAAGCCCAGAATTCCCACTCCGCCTGGAAAACAATCCCTCTGGAGGCCTGGCACTAACGTGGCCCTTCCCGGAGGCAGGCCAAGCTTCTTCATGCCACAGCATAACCCGCAGACGAACTTAAACCTTCTACAATTTCATTCTTATTGGCTTCCGTGTAGCTGTTTTCTGTGCAGCTCCTCACCCGGAGCCACTTTTTCTCACCTGGCTTCTAAGAGAAGGGGGTCAGGAACCGCATCCCACCCGCCTGCCTGTAGACTGAGACTGAGTCCCAAGGGGAGGGGGCTTCGGGCACCCCCATGTCTTGGCTCAGCAGCAAGCGGAAGAGTTCAACACCCACGGCTGTCAGTCTGGCACCTTTCTGTCTCCACCACTAAATTCATTTTAAATTTAAGAAGTACAGATTTGAAATGAAACCATGAAAAAGGATTTCTCTTACAATAAACACATCAATGCTCATTTTCCTTATTATTCTACTTTTGGCTATTTTGTATAAAATCTTTAATTAAAGTTTTTCTTTGAAATTGTCATTATCAACCCAGAAGAAAGGAAGGGGGAAAAAAGAACAACACAGCTGTGCAGATATGAAGCACTATTCAGGACTAAATGAACTGGAACGAAATAAGTAGCTTGACTGTTATGTTCTTAGTTTTGGCTCTGTATTCTCAATAGCACAGTCTAACTTGTCACTTTATATCGATTCCATCTGTTTACACTCTGCAGAGTATTGGCTTCCTACCGTGAACATTTCCTATTTACCAGCTGGTAGAGATGCGCCAAACCAGATAGGAAAAAATTAGACTACATTCAGAACCTCATAAACACAAACTTCCAATCCGGGGACAAGCGGGAAGCGGGGGCCGGGCATCGCTCACCTTTCACAAAAGCCTCGCCTCCCTGCCTCTGGGCTGATGCTCTCATTGCTCTGGCAGTTGCCCTCGCAGGCCAAGGACTACAAATTTCTTTACTGACCATAGGCATACCCTGCCTTTACCAAAAATCGAAAAAGCTTACTGAAAAAGATATCCAAATAAGATCCACAAAAATGGAGAAAAGAAAGCTGACCCCGAAAAAATGAGCTAAAGAAACCTAAAAGTCATAGTTGACACAATGAAGCAAAACTCTGGTTCGGGGTCTCCTTGCAGCCAAGATGAAGAGGGAAACTCGTGCTTATATAAAGTCCACAGGCCATGTAAACCTTCCCCCACATTCAATTTTTCATTTTTAAAATGCTTACCTGTAACGTATAGCTTATAGACTTCTTTTAAGAAACTCTAGCTACCCATTGAGCTTACGATACAGCTATGAAAAGGTGCCCCGTCTATAAGCTGAGGGACTTACAAGGGTGCCAGGCTGGGTGCGGTGGCTCATGCCTGTAACCCCAGCACTGTGGGAGGCTGAGGCAAGAGGACTGCTTGAGGCTAGGAGTTCAAGACTAGCCTGGGCAATATAGTAAGACCCCATCTCTACAAAAAATTAGAAATTAAAATTTTAAAAAGGGCTGCTGATCTATAAGAAATCTTTCCTTTCTTTCCTTTCTTTCTTACCCAGCCCACACTCATAGGATGGGTACTCCACCTCAGCTGCCACGGGCCAAGAATCTTGGGGCCCCTAAGAGCCCTGGCCTCAGCTCACTCACAGGACAGAGCTGCACACCAGCAGGGGCAAGCCTGGAAGATCAGAAGCCACTATGCTGACCCAGCATCCTGCTGCTTATCTGGACCTCATGCAAGAGGATGCTGCTTTGAGAAAGACAAACCGCAGAAGACTGTTCAGGTTACGTGAAAAGTTTCCCAGGCTGGGCCAATGCTGGGTACTGCCAAGTGGCTGTAGCACTTTGCCAAGAGCCTAGCCAGCCACAGACCACCTCACCTAAGAAATAGACCAGAATCACATTTTAGAGTAGAAAAAGACTTTGTCTGTCGTCTCCCCCAGCATTTCCCAAAATGGCGTTCCTCCAAACACAAGTTCTTCTGGATCTAGAGCTAAACAAACACATGCACGGAAAGGCTGGCTGCAGCAACATTCAATAGATTTCTATACAGCAGCCTCCTCTGAGCCTTCACTATGCTAACGTACATTGTGAATCCTCAAGGACTAGGGGAACAGCACTGGAGAAGCTGGGGCCGGCTCTGGGGGACCAAATCTGCAGGACCTAGTGGTTAACTGTATGTAGAGGGTGAGGGAAAGGAAAGTCGAAGTGGCGCCCAGTTTCTGCCTTGGTGACCTGACTGGATAAGATCAACAATGTAGAATATGTTGCAGGTTTGGGGAGGAAGACTGTTAGCTCACTCAGTGCACACTCAGCTGGGAGTGCCTACGTCCTCCCCGTTCACCCCCGTAGACATCTTTCTTCCTGGCAAATTGATCCAGTTGGTGGGAGAACACCCACCCTGTGCCCTCCTGCCTGCCTTCTGTTCATTCATGAATTCCTAGACTTAATGAGCCCCTGCTATGTACACACCATCTGAAGTCTTACCCTTCCTCTAAGGCCTGGTTCAAACCAATCACCCTCCCTGGGTACCTCCCCAGTAGCCAATAGGGGTGACTTTCTCTTACAAAGTCTTAGAGAGTTTACTGTCCACATCTCTCAGCTGTCAGTATGAGCAACTTGTATCACTTTATTCCCTAACTCCTCCTGATCTAGGTGATATACCGCCCAATAAACACATTTTTAAACCATCATAATGTGTTGCTTACGCTTGTGTCCCCAAGGTGATTTTAAGTTTCTGGAGGACAAGAATCAGGCCTTAGTCTTCTTTGTATCCCCAATAACCACATGGTGTCCCCACAACACCAGTAGGTGCTCAACAAATGCAGACGATGATGGTAAGAGGGTGACCGATGACTTCCAAGCCTGGTAACAGGTACGCCTGACTCCAGTTGCTTTCCCAGCAAATGCACCCATGATGCTGCTGACAGCACTCTCCTAAATACATCATAACCCCCTTATCAGAAACCTTCAGTCATCCTCCTCCTGACCCATGCCGAAGGGTTAAAACCTGGCCTTCAAATGCATCTTTTCCGCCAGTCTACCTTTCAAAACTGATCTGTCCCAACTTGCCTTGAGAAACATAACTCTACAGAATAGCCGCAGGGCTTGTCTCCTTGCGGTGCTCTGGCCACAGCCCGGCTTCCCTCTCCTCATGTCCTTTTCTTAGGCCAGGTTGCAATTCTGAAAACTACCCCACATCTCTTCCCCTATCCCATCCTCAACGTGCATTGCAAGTCTATCTATGGTCCAAACTCAAGCTCCAATATCACCTTCCTCATCCAATTGTTCCTGGCTATTCCAAGGAATATGAACTTTTCTACAAAACTTTCTTTATTCATACAATAATTATTTACTGAGTGTATATCCGGCTCTAGGAACTGTTCAAGGCACTGAAGTTACCACAGTGGACAGGACAGAAAAGGTGCCTGCTCCCACAGAACACAGATCCCAGTCACAAACAAGCAAACAAACAACATTTCAGAATGTTCTACGTGTTACGGAAAATGTACAGTTTTAGGGTAGTCAAAAGACATCTCACTAGAGAGCTCTCTCGGGCAGAGCTCTGAAAGCTGGGACATTTAACTGAAGTGTACTCGATGCACAAGCAAAAGACATGGGTATGTTCACCAGAGAAGTCTGACGGGCTCTGGCTTATGTTTTGAACGGATAACTCTGGCTGTTGTGTGGAATGCAGATTATAAGGGGCAAGAGAGGCAACGGGAAACCCAGCTAAGGAGTCACTGACAAAGCACAGGCCAGCAACAATGGTGGCTTAGGTATAATGATGGCAGTAGGGATGGATCAGAAGTGTCCGGGTTTGGGATCTAGTTCAGGATACAGTAGACATAACTTGCTGACGGCCTGCATATGGGAGGGGCACTGGTAAGGGAGAGGTAATCAAGACTGGTCCTTGGTTTCTGCTTGAATGAATGATGAGTGGTAGAACCATTTACTGACCTGGGAGGAAGGATTCTTGGGGTGGGGCAGGAGGACAGTCACGAGTTACGTTTTTGTCTGTGGACACTGGTGAGTCTGGGGCCTCAGAAGGAGATATAAACGTGGGCACCCTCAGCATATAGCCCTCTTATTCTTCCCCTAGTAGCTTTCAATCCTAGAGCAGCAGTCCCTAACCTTCTGGGTACCGGGGACCAGTTTTGTGGAAGACAATTTTTCCATGGGCCAGTGGGGAGGGGGTATGGTTTCGGGATGAAACTGTTCCACCTCAGACCATCAGACACTAGTTAGATGGTTCTCATAAGGAGCGTGCAACGTAGATCCTCGCATGCGCAGTTCACAATAGGGTTCGTGCTCCTATGAGAAGCTAATGCCGCTGCTGATCTGACAGGAGGCGGAGCTCAGGCGGTGATGCTCATTTGCCCACCGCTCACCTCCTGCTGTGCATTCTGGTTCCCGACAGGCCACCAACCAGTACAGGTCTGCAGCCTGGGGGATGGGGACTGCTGCCCTAGATGATCGCATGCCATCCTTTAACTTCCCACGTAAGAACTCGCATGCTTTGTGTCCTCTAAATACAAACTCCTAATTTTGTTGAGTAACTTCTATGTGCCCAGCACTACGGTGAGTTCATTTTATATTTATTCTCACACAGAATCCCAATAACACTGAGAAAACCTTGCAATATTGTTCACCCAGTTCACAGATGGGGAAAGTCTCGAAAGAGGCAAGACTAGCTTGCTCAGGATCACTCAGAGAGTCCGTGTTGGTGTTCAAATGCATGCTTGGACTTGCTAAGGCCAGAGCTCCAGACTGTACCCCCACACCATGCTGCTTTAAACATTTACCCCTACAATCTTGCGTTTGCACTATTAATTTGTCACACACAGGAAGATTAAAAAAAAAACCTTAGTCCGAAATAATTGCAAATTCTGATATTGCAGAATCTTTGCTGTAGTTCCTTCATGAAAGCTTTAGTAAATTAATGATACAGCAACCAAAAATAGGTCCTGGGGTAGAAGTATTCTCAATATAATTTTTTAATAAAATGCCAACGGATTATTTTGTGGTGTGAGATTCTCTAGATCAAAATATAAGTGCTACTCTTCATTTAGATGCAC
Organism: Homo sapiens; assembly: GCF_000001405.40. Lineage (NCBI taxonomy): Eukaryota > Metazoa > Chordata > Mammalia > Primates > Hominidae > Homo > Homo sapiens. Next base: position 43,750,348 of record NC_000022.11, read on the forward strand.
GGAGACACAAGAATAAAAGCTGTGACATTATTAATCACTATATTCAGTTATGATTGATAGGCTTTTCTGCGGGGAGGAAACAGTGTCTCAGATACAATCTGTCCCAACAGCTCTACGATATGCTAATATTTTCTTCAGATGAAAGAGGAGATGTGTTCAAATACCTGCTACAATAGGCAATTAATACCAAGTGCAGCAAAGTAGAGCTGATGAAAGTAGGATTAGGGGAATATTAGGAATTAACCAAGAGCTTGCTTGTTTTAGTAAATGGCCTCATTTTGAGCTTGACACAGCCTTTTTGTTAGGCAAACAGACTGCATTCCTGTCTATTCATTCATGCTAATGTAGTGTTATAAAATTAAGGTGTGTTTATGAAATGGTGGTGATTCTAACAACTGATTCTTTATCCCTTGAATATTAAATTTTTAAATGTCTTTTTAAAGAAAATTCACCTCTTTAAGAGAATGAATCTACCCACCACTTTTGTCTCTTCTTCATGAGGATATTACAGAGCAAGCCAGCAGCTCAGCAATTATAATTATTTACTAATTACTTCTGAAATGACTATCTCCACACACCTCCAAGGCACCAGGGTAATCCCATAAAAACCTGTGTCAGATCACTCAGTGTCCAACAGACACGCTTGTCACAGCCGACTGGGTAGACCAGATGTTCTGGCATCATGGTGCCTGAACCTTCAAGCATTTTTTTCTTCTGAGAGCTCCCTGACTTGGGTAGTGACACGGTACAAGAGCAAACAGCCTGGGGCTTAGAATGCTTTGTTTTTCTTTATGTACTTCTTTAACTGAATATACATTCTTTAATTCTAGTCTTCAGTGAAGAACGTATTTTTTTTGTGAGGGGGAGAGTCACGACCTTCTGAACATACACTGTATTCCTATACAGGTCAGAATAGCTTTCTGTTTCTCAGTACTTCCCTCAACAGGGCTTACAATGAGCCCTCACCTCACCTTAGGTGGTAAGATGGGATTTTCTTCCTGTCTTAGCCACTCCTATCTTCACCTCTTGTCGGGAGTTGACAAATGATAGATGGAATAAAAAAACTTACACTTCGTTAGCCTGGCAACACACTGCATCTTTGTTCAAGTTCTTTCTCTCCTGGCAGTCCTCGCCTGAAGAATGTGAGGAAGCTGTCTGAGGTCTCGGGCGCTGCCACCACTCCAGGATGGAGCTGGGACCCCACAGGCAGACAGGGTGCATGAAAGACTGACGCGGTGGAGGAAGTGTGAAAGGCAGGACACCAGAGAGAAAAGGGAAGAAAACTCCCAAATGCCCACTTGAAGTAGATGCTCCATGGACAGAAAGGCAACTCTGTGGTTGGAACACAAAGCTCCACCGACTTGTGCGGTGATGATGAACAGAAAGACTTCTCTCTGTGATGGACTGGGTCTAACTACAGGTGTAACAAGTTGTCACATTTGCTGAATGCAAAGTAAGCATCAACATATGCCTGCTTAACCTCTTTTCTCTCAGCTTCCTTCCATATCAATATGGGATAACAACGGCACCTGCCTCATGGGGTTCACCTGGGAATTAAATGCCTTAATGCGATAAAGCACTTAGAACAGCTCCTAGTACGTGCTCAGTGCTAGCTATTATTACTAGAGTTGGCAAAATCTGAAAAATTACATTAATGTCCAAAAGATTAAGGCCCCACCAGCCAAGAGGGGTCCCTTATATAGGTAGCTGAAGCAGATGGATTGGTTGCCTTCCCAAATCCATTCACCTCTAACCACTTCTCCTTTCCATTTTTTTTTTTTTTTTTTTGAGATAGAGTCTCCCTCTGTTGCCCAGGCTGGAGTACAGTGGCACTATCTCGGCTTACTGCAACCTCTGCCTCCTGGATCCAAGTGATTCTCCTGTCTCAGCCTCCTGAGCAGCTGGAACTACTGGTGTGCGCCACCATGCCCAGTTAATTTTTGTATTTTTAGTAGAGACAAGGTTTCACCATGTTGACCAGGCTGGTCTTAAACTCCTGACCTCAGGTGATTCGCCTGCCTCGGCCTCCCAAAGTGCTGGGATTACAGGCGTGAGCCACCATGCCCGGCTGCCCACTTCTCCTTTCTAACAAAACCCTCTATTTTCCATTTTGTTCAGACATCCGCCCTTCTTGGGTGGCCATGTGCTTCATAGGAGGGAGCCCAGTGGCCACACCAGGTGGTGATTGAGGTTGGTCCTGGCTGCTGGCGGGAACCAATTTCCTTGCCCGTGATTGCTTTAGGTGTGGGGCATAATTCCAGGCTGTGGGACACAGGGAGGGACTTTCTCTTGTTTTTAGAGTCATATTGGGAAAAAAGGGCCCACTGAAAAAAATTTGACATCAAAGCATCTGCCTGGAGTGCTGGCAACCTCCTGGTAACCAGGAAGAGAGGTAGGTGTGTTAGTCAGTCCTAGTCTCCACGCCCTCCTGACTTCTTGGGTGAGATAAGAAGCTCCTTATTTTCTAAGATAGTTAACTTGGAGTCTTCGGTTTCTCATAAGGGAAAAAAACCAAACATCTCTGTGTCCAAGGGGTTGCCAGCTGGTGGCAGATAAAGACGGCCACAGCAAGGGTTTTAGTGGTGTTCAGCAAGGAGAACCAGCTTCACTCATCAGTAGGGGAAGGGACTCACATTTACTGACAATCTACTGAATGCAGGGGCTTTGCTTACATTCATTCTTGTCAGTACCCTGAAAGGTACTTTAGAGTTGTCTCCACTTTAGAGATGAGGAAACTCAGAACAAATGAGAAACCATCCACGGCACCCCACCGCCCCCAGCAGCAGAGGCAGGGTTTCAGCCCAGGTGTACCTGATTCTCCATAAATCCCTCTGGCTCCTAGGACATTATGGAGACAAAGAAGCTGAAGACCAGCAAACTCAACAGCCAGTCCAGGAGATGCTCAGGCAAAGGCACAGAGGAGCCACATGAAAGCAGAGGGTCAAGGTTGTGGCCAAAACGAAAAGCAAGGGCCAGGAGAGTGATAGCAAGTGAGGAATGCGCCAGGACTTAGCGTGGCTGTTGAGTGGAACCTGAGTGCAGATTAAACCAGAGCCAGGACCAGGTGGATCCCGAAGAGGACACGCTGAGAACCACCCTGGGCTTACAGAGACTCCTCCTCAAAACAGAGAGCGCCTCTTCCCATGAAGCCATGGGACACAGTCACCAAGGATGGAGAGATGAGACCCAGAGGTCATCCAATCTGGCCTTCTCCCTTGACTTATAGAGACAATGAGGCTCAGAGAGCCCAAGGGTTCGACTGGATAAGAGCATGAACATGAGCGTCGGTTGGAGGGTCTGAGGGCCTGTGAAGAAGAGAGAGGCTGACAAATCAGCCATCAGACCAAGCTCATTGCAGAAGAAAACAATTAGGAAATAGGAGTGCTGGGGTTCAGCTGGTTTGGGGTTCCCACTGCTAATTATTTGCTGGTGTAGGAAGGCTGGTCCAAACATGCATGAGCAGAGTCTGGCTCCAAAAATTCAGAGACATCTGCATGCATTCTTGGCTCCAGTAAGCCACGTGGGCTCATATTTAAAATAAAATAATTAGCATTCTTTCATTCCCAAACTGTAACCATCACCCAGCAATGACATGTGTATGAAGAGAGGCTTACTTAGATCATTCCTAAGTCTTTTTCTCAGTCTCCAACATTAGTGTGTGACCGTTAGAAGGGTCAGAGTCTTCATTAGAAGCATGCTACTGCACAAAGCACACAGTTGAGGGGTGTACTGATTTGTTCTCTTTATTTGGAGGTGGAGGGGCTGGAAAGGAATGAGATTCATTTGTGTTCCTACCTGTACTTCAAAGGAAGCTGTAGGGATAAGCATAATAGTAACAGCTGGCATTTATTAAGTGTTCCAGGTGCTTTATTCTGGATATTTTTAAGCCACACAGCAGCACGTCAAGGTGGTGGCTGTTATCCCCACTGACAGGTGAAAAAACCTAATGATGAGGGCTTGCCTGAGACCACGTGGTTGGTAAATAGCAGAGCCCCAGGATGGAAACCCAGGTCTGCCCGGGTCCCGGGGTCAGTCTCCTCCAACCTCCCCTGCCTGCCCAGGGTTGGGGTCATAGGTAGAATTTGGGCTACAGTCTGTGCTGGCTGGAACACACGGCAGAAAAAACCCTCCAGTGCTCTGGTACTAAGCATTACCTTTTCCCTTCACCTGTTTGTTCTCATAGGCAATTGAATGAAAACTGCCTGGGTTTCAACTCTTAGCAGGGGGTTCCATGGGGAGGAGGATGGGATAAAAAATTAACTGAAAGGATGGACAGCAATGGAGTTCCATTTCAGATTTGCTCACCACAGCCTTATTTTGGGCCATTTACAATCCTGGCCTTTGTCTGCATCTCCACACTCAAGGTCATGTTGCATTACTGGTCCTTAACAATGTTTCTGCTGCTGTGATAATTGTCATAAACAATGGACTTTTCCAGAAGCATATCATGATGAACACAGTTTAAAGAGTAAGAAGACATATACCCCTAAGTAATATCAATTGCACGACAAAACTCTTGCAGAATAACAAATGGGTCACAGCAAAAGCAGCAGACAATTATACCTGGGTTCTGAATAATATCAACTATAGTGAAACAGGTTTTTAGAAACACATAATGCTAAGAAATTATCATATTGAGATGAATTTTCTGGTGTTAATGGTATCAGCTAGGGAAATTGAGACAAACATTTTGTGGATCTCTGGCTATTTTTGAGTATGAAATATATGAGTCTCAGAAGAGTTCAAAAAAGAAAATTTGTCACATTTCAAACCAACATATTGAATCAAATAAATTAAACCATGATTCTCAAACTGCTCATGTAACTGACAGGCCCAAATGCATTTTAAAAAGGAGTCTGATTCCAACCCTTGAATGACATTATCATCTCCTCCCCGCCTTAGCTGTGTGCTGTGAGATCTAACCACAATCAGCAAATAGGAACGATGCTATATGCTCTTTTTCTAAACACATAGTAGCTTTCATGGCTAAATTACTCAATACTTAAGTATATATCACTTTGAGTTTGACTGGTTATTTTTACTATGCAGCTCTTGATTGGCATTGACTGCTGCAAAGCAGTCGTTTTCCCTTTCTAAAGAAAAACCTACTCAGTCTTAGACAAAGACAGAAAAGGCAGCCCTACTAATAATGATCTAAAGTTAATACAAAAGTAATTAATATTCCAGGACTTCTGCTGGTGTCACTCATCAAAAGAGATGCCATCCAAGACAGTCAAAGTAGTCGGAATACAAGCTTTCGCACTGGCTTGTTATCAGAAGATCTATTTAGTCAGACAACTATGACATGAGAACTCGGATGACAAGGTGTGGCTCATTTTCTATCATCTACCTCCACTAACAATTACTGCTGACAATGGGTGGGGTGGGGGGAAATCATTTCTTTAAAATCTCTATTACCTTTTCTCCCACTTGGATTTCAAGTTCTCTTAATGTGCGGCAGCAATTCATTTCATTCCCACCTCCCCTTAGAAATAAAAAAAAAATCTTTATTAAAACATTTTAACCAAATAAATGTTTACATAGGATATGCAGAGATCAAAATTACAAGGATTTCCAAATAATCTATTTTAAAATGCAAGGTATTTCTTACAAGCTACTGTCTGCAGGAGCATGAAACTGGGCAAATTACTTTGTTTCCCCTGGCCTGTTTTCTCATCCATAAAATGAAATATAGTAGCATTTACTCCTCCTAAGGTAATGTGCAAATTAAATACTTACAGCTGACACTTAATGAGGACTTTCTGTGTCCCAAGCCTTCACAAGCCTCGTCCCATTTAAGCCTCTCAACAGCTCTATGGATTTGGGACCATTATCATCCCTGCTTTACCGAGGAGACTGACGGGGATCTTAATAGATGAGGAAAATGAAGGTCACATGTGAGGAAGTGGAGGCGCCAGCATCAGACCCAGGTGCTCTGGGTTCAGATCCAGCTCCTAACCTCTCTGCTGCAGCTGCAGCACTTTGACCTGACCACTGTCGGGCTCTACGTCCCCTTAACGGCTCACTTTCAGCTGCTCAGTGAAGGGCTTCGTGGTCAATGCATCTATACCGTCCCTGGGTTCCATCTGCTTGTCCCTATTCACTGGTTTTTATTTTGCATTATCTGTGTATCTACAAACCACTGCAGAGCCCCTCCTTGGGACAAACTGGTAGGGTGAGGGTGGGAGGAGAACACGAGGAGGCAGAGCTGGCGCCCCTCCACTTTACAATGTCTGTCCATGCCTCCTACCTGCCAGGTCTAGGGCCGTGGTGCTAAGGAAGACACTGCCTGTACTGGTGACAGTGACGAATGGGAAATAAGCAAACAAGTAATGTGAGCTGAAATAATAAAAGGTGCCATGAAGAACATAAAGATGGGCAGGGAGATAAATTGGAGATGGGGGAAGATGGGATGACTCTTTGGATGGAGTGGGTAGCAGAAGGTCTCTCTGGCCAAGTGTCTTTTGGATAGAGGCCCACAAGGTGAAGGGCCATGAAGCCTTCCAGGCAAAGCAAAGGGAACAGGCAGCTGGTATGAAGCCCTTGGCTGGCAGGAGCTCAGCAGACCCCAGGGTCAGCAGGAAGGAGGCCAGGGAGACCAGAGCTGGATGGGCAATGAGAAGGTGTGCAGGCTATGTTCAGATGGAGGCAGATGCCAGGCTCGTGAGTCTGTGGGCCATGATAAGGAGTCGACTTCAAAGGGTAAGGGGAAGACACTGGAGTGCTTAGCAGAGATTGAATTCCTTACATAGGAGGAAACTGAGTCTCAGAGGGGTTCTGTTCCCAAGTTAAAGATAGGACTGATCAGGAATTCAAATCTATAATGCTACGTTAAATGTAATCTCTTAAATACTGTTTCAATAATATATTCAATAGATACAAAACGCTATTTGTAAAATGTTTAGGAATTAAAGAATAAGCCAAGCATGGTGGCTCACGCCTGTAATCCCAGCACTTTGGGAGACTGAGGCGGGAGGATCACCTGAGGTTGGGAGTTGGAGGCCAGCCTTACCAACATGGAGAAACCCCATCTCTACTAAAAATACAGAATTAGCCGGGCGTGGTAGGGCATGCTTGTAATCCCAACTACTTAGGAGGCTGAGGCAAGAGCATCACTTGAACCCGGGAGGCAGAGGTTGCGGTGAGCCGAGATCACACCGTTGCACTCCAACCCGGACAACAACAGCGAAACTCCATCTCAAACAAAAAAAGGAATTAAATAATAAAAATTAAACAAATGCTTGTTACTTAACCCCCGCCCCCATCCAGCTGCAGCAATGGAACACAGCCTTGGAACTCCAGGAAGCCTTCCCTTCCCAATCACATCCTCCTGCCTAGTTCTAGCCAAGCTGGTCAAGGCTTTGTCAGGTCTGCATTGCAGTTCAGCCTCTCCCTCTGCTTAATCCTGCTTCAGCCTGCTTCCCTTTACAGGTGTTTTTCCTTATCTACATCTTGCTTCCCAAACTCCATCTCAGTGTCTGCTTCAGGAGAACCCAGCCTATGACCATTTATTGTCAGATACTAACTTAGTGACACTAGCTTTCCTTAGATTAATATTGAATGGTATGTCTTTTTAAATCTTTTCACTTTTAATCTTTCTTTATGTTTGAGTTTAGGTTTTTCTCTTACTGGATTTCACTATTTGTTATCTAGACAGACAATCTTTGTCTTTTAAGTGGACTACATGATAATTGAATCCTTAAGTCTTAAAATTTATTTTGCCAGAAATTAATGTAGTTACACTTTCTTTTGTTTATTTTTTCTATTACATAATTTTTCTATCCTTTTTCTTTTAGTCTTTTTAATCCTTTCTATTTTCAAAAAGTCAATAACTGGAATTTTTATCCAGTCTGATAATCTCTGTCTTTTAACTGAAATATTTGATCCTTTGCATTTAATGTAGTCATGTTATATACAGAGGGGGGTAGGTCTATAAATTTGTGTTCTCTATTTGTAGTATCTGTTGTAGATTTTTTTCCCCTTTCTTACCTTCTTTTGGATTGAGTATTTTAAAATCATTTCAATTTTTCTTCCAAATGTTGGGAATTAAATACTTTGTTTCTATTCTTTAGCAGTTACCCTAAAAATCACAATGTGCATATATAACATTTCAACATATAAAATTAATATATTTATCCTCCTGCTGGCTATCAAATAGATCTTAGAAAACTTTAACTCAATTTATCCACACTCAGCTGACTATTGTCTAATGTTTTAACTCTAAACTTTTTATTTAACACACATAGACATTTTTGTAACCACCTTATATAGCCAAAAATCATTTCTATTTACCCATATTTTGCCACTTTCTTTGCTTTTCACTCCTAAAATCTCAGACCTTTCATCTAGGATTACTTTCCTTCTGCTTCTAGCAGAATCAAGATCTTTCAGTCAAGATCTGCAGGAGATTAACTGTCTCAGTTTTTGTCTGAAAAATGTCTTTAACCCTCAGTTTTTATTTTTAAAATGTTTTCTTACTTTTTATGTCTATAATATTCAAAAATTCAAAATAAGCTGTCCAAATCAAATTAACCTTTAGAGGCATACAAATTCAAGATGTTTTGCAACAGGCTTTTAAAAAAATATAGGTTCTGGCTGGGTGCAGTGGCTCACGCCTGTAATCCCAGCACTTTAGGAGGCCAAGACTGGCGGATCACCTGAGGTCAGGAGTTCGACACCAGCCTGACCAGCATGGTGAAACCCTGTCTCTACTAAAAATACAAAAATTAGCCTGGCATGGTGGCGTACGCCTGGCCAAAAGCCTTTCTTATTTCTTTCTTCTCTTCCACAGGCTAGAGTCAGCTAGACCTGCCTAAAGTCAGCTTCACATCTACTCTGTGAACTAATGCTCTGTTGATGCTGTTTCCTTTATCCATCTGAATCTCTGATACCTAGACTGCCAAAGAATCTTGCAATACACAGTACTGGTGAATAGATTTAGCTTCAACAGAATTCTCAGGTTCTTTAGGAGATTTTTCTTCAGAACTCTCAGTAAGTCTTCTTGTGTGGTGCTCAGAAAGCTTTTAAACACTTCTGCTGAGATTTATAATGACCGTTTTGTACACGAACGATTGTAGTTATTCTTCATGGAAGTAGCATCGTACCAAGTGCCACACGGATTATCTAATATGCAAGGGGCCCTCTCCGTCCATATGTAGAAATGTCCTACACGTCCATCTGAAGCAAATCTCAAAAGGTTCAGCCTGATCATTTTAAGCAAAATCATTCATTGGGTGTTTCTGAAGAGATGATGATGTTTCTACCATTATTATAGATGATACAAGGTCCTCTATGCTCGATACAATAATTCCACATTTTGCCCTTACCAGCTCTCATATACTCAGAGACAGAGACTTTTAAAATATGATTCCAGGTCATACCTTTTTAATCTTCATGCTGCTTCCAACTTAACCAACTACTATCGGATATTCAGAAACTTCCTCAATATGGTGATTTTGATACATGACAAGGTCTGGCAAGGCCAGGACAGAAGAGATGGCATACTCTTTCTGTGTTATGTTCACTGTATGTTATCAATGGCATTAAGTTTTGGCTGGTATAAAATGTGATATCCCAGCCGGGTGTGGTGGCTCACGCCTGTAATCCCAGCACTTTGGGAGGCTGAGGTGGGCGCATCACCTGAGGTCAGGAGTTTGAGACCAGCCTGGCCAACATGGCAAAACCCCATCTCCACTAAAAGTACAAAAATTAGCTAGTGTGGTGGCACACACCTGTAATCCCAGCTACTTGGGAGGTTGAGACAGAAGAACCGCTTGAACCCAGGAGGCAGAGGTTGCAGTGAGCTGAGATCGCACCACTGCACTCCAGCCTGGGTGACACAGCAAGACTCTGTCTCAAAAAAAAAAAAAAAAGAAAAAAGAAAAAAAAAGAAAACAAATATAAGTATATAATATAGAGTTCTGGGATGGCAAATATTTTATGTCAGCACACTGAAAAGATTATTTCATTATCTTATAGCCTTCACTGTCACTGTTGAGAGGTTGGTGTCAGTCTAACTGTCACTCCTCTGAAGTCAATTCTGTTTTTCTTCTCACTGCCTATAATATTTTCTCTTTGGTTTTGATGTCTGCAGTTTCACTGCGATAATGTCTAGATAGGCATTTCTTTTTATTTATCTGGCTTGAGATTCTCAGCCATTATCTTTCCAAATATGACTTCTGCCCTGTTTTTTCTCTTATACTGCTATGGGTTGAAGGTGTTCCTCCAAAATTTAGGTGTTGCCACTGTGAGAGGATTAAGAGGTGGTTAGGCCTGAAGGTTCCGCCCTCTTGAATAGGAGTAGGTGCATTTTTTTTTTTTTTTTTCCTGAGATGGGAGTCTCACTCTGTTGCCTAGGCAGGAGTGTGGTGGCACAATCTTGACTCACTGCAACCTTCGGCTCCTGGGTTCAAGTGATTCTCCTGCCTCAGCCTCCCAAGCAAGTAGCTAGGACCACAGGCACGCGCCACCACATGCGGCTAATTTTTGTATTTTTAGTAGAGACGGGGTTTCGCCATGTTGGCCAAGCTGGTCTTGAACTCCTAACCTCAAGTGATCCACCCGCCTTGGCCTCCCAAACATTTTGAGCTCATTCATAAAAAGGAATGAGGTACTAATTCATGCTGTAACATGGGTAAGCCTTAAAAACATGTGCTAGACACAAAATATCAGCCTTCTTGATTGACACACAGGTCACAGGAGCCTGGGATTACAGGCGTAAGCCACTGCACCCAGCCTCAGATGCCCTTATAAAAGGGCTTATAGGAGGGTGCCAATACTCTCTTGCCCTTCCTCCTTCCACTCTGCAAGGATGCAGTAAAGAGGCCCTCACCACATTGTGCTGCCTTGATCTTGGACTGCCCAGCTTCAAGAACTATGAGAAATAAATTTCTTTTCTTACACACTATAGTACCCAGTCTCAGGTATTCTGTTATAGCAGCACAAAACAGACTAAGACAGGTATCTTTTTGGAAATCCAATTAAAAGTATATTAGGACTCCTCTTCCTGTTTTCCAAGTCTCCTATGCCTGTCCTCCTAATTTTCCGTACTGCATTCTAGATAATTTCTTCAGAGCTATCTCTCAGTCCACAAATGTTCCTTTCAGCTGTGTTTAATCCACTATTTTTACCCATCCACTGTATTTTAGATCTACAATCAGATTTTTCAGAAGTTCTATTTTATACTTCTTCAAATATTCATTTTATTGCCTGTTTTGCATTCATATTTTGAATCTATTCTTTCATTTCTTTAAACATATTAAAACACTGGTTTTAGATTACATATCTGATAGTTCCAATATTTCAAGTGTTTGGAGACCTGATTCTATTGGATATGACATCTATTGGTTTGTAGTCCTCATTCTTTGATAGTTCCAATATTTCGAGTGTTGGAGACCTGATTCTATTGGATATGACATCTATTGGTTTGTAGTCCTCCTTCTTTGATAGTTTCATATTTCAAGTGTTTGGAGACCTGATTCTATTTGATATTACATCTATTGGTTTGTAGTCCTCATTCTTTGATAGTTCCAATATTTCGAGTGTTTGGAGACCCGATTCTATTGGGTATTACATCTATTGGTTTGCAGTTCTCATTCTTTGTCTCTTCATATGTTTTTTAAGATTTTTTGTGTGTGATCTGATGTTACTTGGCACTTTATCTCTGGAAATTCTTTAAGGGATAGGTTGAAGATGCATTCTTCCACAGAAGGGCACACCCCGTCCAGGATTACTCAAAAAAGTTCCTTGCCCGAAACTTTTCAGACCACATAGCATGAATTCAAGGACAGACCCTCATGCAAATCAACTTGTAATTACAATTTTCCCCTTATTCACTCAGCACCAGTGTTGAAATAGGTGGTTTTCCTCAGTGTACCCTTTTGTGATGAAGGTTTATATTTGTAATCACTGAGGATGTAGGGTCCCAACTTTGTAGGCGATGGTCCTTTGTTAAGTCCTTCCACCTTGGGAAGGCCTTCTAGGCTTTGTCTCTTGTCTCCATACTCCAAATGGCAAAACTGAATACACAAATTCACCAGGATTTGGCCAATACCCTCAGGGAGAAGCTGACTTTGTAGAATGCTCCCTTCTCTAGATCCCAATTTTTACTCTATGTTTGGCCTCTGAAGATTCCAGCTCAGTAATGTATTAAAATGTACGTACATATTTTGCCTTTTATCCAGCATTTTAATTATTTTCAGTAGAAGTGTTGTTCATGGTATATAGCCTACCGTATTGCTAGAAAAAGAAGTCTCTGTTCGCTATAATGTATTGTCTCCAACAACAAAGATAATTCTGCTTCACGAGTAAATCAGAAATCTTTCAAAGTTAGTTTAAATGTTTAGCCTTTTATGTTTAAGAGAGTAACTCATGATCTCTTTCATCTCAAATTTATTAGACAAGTTTCACAATAAGGAAAAAAAGGCTCTCCTGCTTTCAGTTTTTCCAGTTCTTTAGCTTTCCCAACAAAGACTATTCATATTAGTTTACTGTCCACCCAAGAACTTTATCCATAAAATTGGGATGGTTTTATGTCAAGAACAAGAATATGCAGCTTACAAGACAAACTGTCATTCTTTTGAAAGAGCCTGGAAATCATCTTAGTCCCCACTTAGCACTAACTAAAGAGAGCACAGAGAAGTTCCACATCATGGAGGGGATGATACTGTGTCACTCTTGCTGGAGCTGCTGCACTCATTCATTTTTTTTTAAGACCAAGTCTCACTCTGTCACCCAGGCTGGAGTGCAGTGGTGCGATCTGGGCTCACTACAACCTCTGCCTCCTGAGTTCAAGTGATACTCCTGCCTCAGCCTCCCGAGTCGCTGGGATTACAGGCACGCACCACCACACCCAACTAATTTTTGTATTTTTAGTAGAGATGGGGTTTTGCTACGTTGGCTATGCTAGTCTCGAACTCCTGACCTCAGGTGATCTGCCCACTTCGGCCTCCCAAAGTGCTGGGATTACAGGCACGAGCCACCATGCCCGGCCATCTTTTTTTTTAATTGTGATAAACATGTACAAATAACATAACCATTTTTAAGTGTGTAGTTGAGTAGGTGTTGAGTATATTCACATTGTTGTGCAAAAGATCTCTAGAACATTTTTATCTTGCAAAATCAAAACTCTACACCCATGTACATAAATTCCCTATCTCCCCCTCCCCACGACACAAATTCTTACACCTAAACTGCATCAGTGATGCATCCGTCATAAAAGCCATGATACCAGAATTTTCTAATAATTCAGGATCAAATTTAATTTTTTTAATCCCCTTAGGAAGGTCAGTTATTCATTCTGTGATTTTGTCCATATTTTGTTTATATTAAATACAGTTTTCTCTGATCAATTGATATTAATTGGCTTTTGTGGGTTTTTTTTCAATGAACTAGATAGTGTATTTATAATTTCAACTTTTATTTTTTATTATTTTTATTCTTTTGAGACAGAGTCTCACTTTGTCACCCAGGCTGGAGTGCAGTGGCACAATCTTGGCTCACTGCAGCCTCCACCTCCTGGGCTCAAGTGATCCTCCCACCTTAACTTCCCGAGTACCTGGGGCATGCCACCATGCTCAGCTAATTTTTAAGTTTTTTGTAGAGATGAGATCTCACTATATCGTCCAGGCTGGTCTCAAACTCCTGGGCTCAAGTGATCCTCTCACCTCAGCCTCCCAAAGTGCTGGGGTTATAGTGTGAACCACCACGCCCAGCCTCAAGTTTTATTTTAGATTAAGGAGTTACATGAGCAGGTTTGTTACATAGGTATACTGCCTAATGCTGAGGTTTGGGGTACAAATAATCCTGTCACCCAGGTAGTGGGCATAGTACCTAATAGTTTTTCAGCCCTTGCCCCCATCCCTTCCCCCTCTAGTTGTCTGCTGTGTCTGCTGTTCCCATCTTTATGTCCACATGTACCCAATGTGTAGCTCCCACTTGTAAGTGAGAACATGTGGTATTGGTTTTCTGTTCCTGCATTAATTTGCTTAGTATAATGGCCTCCAGCTGCAAAAGACATGATTTCATTCTTTTTAATGGCTGCATAGTATTCCATGGTGTATATGTACCACATTTTAAAATTCAATCCACCATTGGTAGGCACCTAGGTTGGTTAATTCCATGTCTTTGCTACTGTGACTAGTGCTGCGATGAACATATGAGTGCATGTGTCTTTTGGTAGAATGATTTGTCTTCCTTTGGGTATATACCTAGTAATGGGATTGCTGGGTCCAATGATAGTTCCAAGTTCTTTGAGAAATCTCCAACTGCTTCTCATAGTGGCTGAACTACAAATTTAATTCTTATATATAATTGGTTACACAACTCCTGAGGAAATGAAGCTTATTCATTTAGAGTCAGATATAAGTAAATATTTTTATTACTAAAACAATATTTCCTAAATCATACACTAAAATAAATAATTTTACTGCTGATTGAGACATTAAAGGTCAAACTCCAACCTGCTCATGTTGCAAAAAAAAAAGAGTCCCATGCTTTATGCAAAAACTATGAAATATTCAAGTAGTTCATACAAAGATCTTTTTTTATTATTTCTAGCCACGAAAACATCATCACTTTCCAATAACAACATTAAAAATGTATAAAAACCTACAAATTTTAAATTTGGCATCTTAATATTTTACTTCAAAATTAAATTCCATTAATTCCAATTTTAAATATATTGCATGTAAACTATTTTTGTCTGGTTTTAATTTGCTGTGTTTACATTTTATTACAGTATCATTCCTCTTGTTTTGAAATACATCCTATATAGATGCTAAAATCTTCCCTAAATAAAACTTGACTGGATTAATTCCATTAAATTCCATATGGACAAGTTCTACAAACTCATCTTCCATATATAGCTGTTGATATGATTAGTTCCAATGGCTTCACGTCATAGCTCTTACTCATCATTTCAAATTTCACATTTTCACATGAGCAAACCAAACACTTACCTCTTTATACCATTTATATATAGGTCAATTCCACCAAACCTGGACAGAAAGGCAAGGTACGGTACAGTACCAGAGGTGCTAAGGGGGATCTACAGTCAAGGGAGAAGAATGACAACATGTTAGAGAATTAAGATCCAAGCAATAGACGGTAAAGCAGATTTCTAAATCACAGCTCTCAGGATGTAACAGAGAATACTATTAACAGGACGAGCATTCCATTAAACATTTAAATACAACTGCTTAACCCAGGTGTCACGGTGAACATGCATTCTCAGCAAATAGAGTGTAAATAGCACCCTAGAATGCCAGTCTGTGCCCAACTGAAAGTCGAGTTATCTACAAAATTATTTAAAATCGCCTAAAAAATAAGCATAAATATACTCTATATATACTCTAATATGTGTTACACATATAATACATATTAGAAGCTGAGGCCATAGCACAATTTTATACTGAGTGTCACGTGAACTTTGTACACGAGTTTGTACATACAGTTTTAAGGTAGAAAAAAATCCATTTTTAAATTAAAAATTCCACAAAGGATATCATTGGGTCAAGTGGGTCAATACAGACTGTAGATTAAATAAAAGTATTATCTCAATGTTTAATTTGCTGACATTGATAGGTGCACTGTGATTATGTAAAAGAATAGCTCTTAGGAAATGTACACTGATGTTTTTGGGGTAAAGAACTATGATACAAGCAACTTCCCCTCAAGTGTTTTTTGTTTGTTTTTGTTTTTGTTTTTTGAGATGGAGTCTCGCTCTGTCACGCAGGCTGGAGGGCAGTCACAGAATCTCGGCCCACTGCAACCTTCGCCTCCCCGGTTCATGCAATTCTCCTGCCTCAGGTTCTGGAGCAGCTGGGACTATAGGCACACATCACACCCAGCTAATTTTTGAATTTTTAATAGAGATGGGGTTTCCCCAGGCTGGCCAGGATGGTCTTGAACTCCTGACCTCAAATGATATGCCTGCCTCAGCCTCCCAAAGTACTGGGATTACAGGCATGAGCCACCACACCTGGCCCCCCTCAAGTGTTTTTAAATATATATATATGTGTACATTGTTTGTGTATGTTGTGTGCATACACATACACACAGATAATGAGAGATCACAGAAGAAACAAATGAGGTAAAATGTTCACAATAGGTCAATCTCAATGAGGGTATATGGGCATTATTTGTACCATATGAGTGCTATTTGTACTTTTCTTATTCTTGCAACTTTTCTTTTTTTGAGACTCTGTCACCCAGGCTGGAGTAAAGTGGCAGGATCTCAGCTCACTGCAAACTCTGCCTCCCGGGTTCAAGCAATTCTCCTGCCTCAGCCTCCCGAGAGCTTGGGACTACAGGTGTTCACCACCACACCCGGCTGATTTTTGTATTTTTAGTAGAGACAGGGTTTCATCAAGTTGACCAGGCTGGTTTCCAACTCCTGACCTCAAGCGATCCACCCACCTGGCCTCCCAAAGTTCTGGAATTATAGGCGTGAGCCAATGTGCCTGGCCTATTCTTGCAACTTTTCTACAGGTTTAAGATTATTCCTTTTATTTATTTATTTAATTTTTTTTTGAGATGGAGTCTCATTCTGTTGCCCAGGCTAGAGTGCAGTGGCACAATCTTGGCTCACTGCAACCTCCACCTCCTGGGTTCAAGCAATTCAGTTTGAGATTATTTCTAAGCAAAAAGTTAAATTTTATTTAATAAAATATTTCCAAAGAAGCATTATGAATCTAAAATTTAGATAAACATTAAATAAATATACAATCAATATAAATCTATTTCATCAAGCTTCACACAAATACACAAAGTACAATTTCCCATACAGCTGAATGGCTCCCAACTCTACACAATCAAATCTGTTATTTACTAAGCCCTTAAAATGCCGGCCTCAAAGCCTGGCATGGTTATTGCAGTCTTCTCCAAAGGATGGATTGCTGTTTACTATTTAAAACATGTGTAACTAGGAAATGAGACCAGTGGAGAGGGGCTCACAGGGTGGGCCTCTGTAAAGCCTTTTCCTGGAAAGAATGCCTGTGACTTCTTTTCTGA
This sequence comes from Homo sapiens, assembly GCF_000001405.40. Classification (NCBI taxonomy): domain Eukaryota; kingdom Metazoa; phylum Chordata; class Mammalia; order Primates; family Hominidae; genus Homo; species Homo sapiens. Next base: position 43,767,358 of record NC_000022.11, read on the forward strand.
TAATGCATTTTTAAGTAGATATAATTTTGAGCAAGCATTTCAGTTTCCCTAGCCTTGCAGAAGAAGGGCAAGAGCAGATTAAACATGTAGTTCAAGGTTGGGTGCCCTCCTGGTTTTGGAAGTGATAAGAGGAAATGAGGAAGAGAAGAAACTTACATTTGCAGAGCTCACACTGACTGGATGCAGGCACTATTCTCAGTGTTTTACATGAGTAGCCCTAAAACCACCCTCAGAGGTGGTGTCACTTTCTACAACTCACAAAGCAGAGGTATGGCCTCCCTGCCCGGCACCGCCATGAGTGCCAGCGATCTCTGTGAATCCAGAGTGCAAGTCCATCCCACTGCACTAACCACCCTACCCATGAAGAAAAAGACAGCCCGTCAAATTATTCAAGCTTTCATTGCATTTCATATTGCTACTTATAGTCTAACACAAATTCTAATGTGGTAAAGAAATTCTTGCGATGATAGTCTCCAAAGCTAAGCCCCTTAGACAAGTAAAGAATCTAGTCCAAAGGGAGAGGCTCTGCTCAGTACTTGCCTTTTGGTGTTTACAATTCTGGCAAAATGTTTAAGAATCAAAACCATCTATAGACGAATTGCTGAAAGCGAATTCTTAAGGGTGGGGCTGGAGGAGGCTAGTTTTTAGATCAGTATCCGTCATTGTGATAAGTATCTTGCAAGAAGACATTTTCTCCAACCTGGCACAACCACTGGGATGAAAACACAACTTTGTTTTCCTTCTCTGGAATCAATTTACCAATTCAACTTCTTTTAAATGGCCTCCATTAATATTCAGGGACTGAGGCCACATTTTTATAAAACACCGAGTCTGCATCACTCTTAATGGAAACAAAGGTACGGAGCAGATTGCAAGAAAAACCTCCTCATACTTCCTGCCCTGGTCAGTCATTAAAACACCCTGACACTCAAACATTCCTGACACAGGTCTTCAAATAAAATTGAAGCTAAAGTAAATTCAGACTATAACTGGAAAATTCTTTCCCAACTTTAAGGGGAAATTACCATGAAATCTTTTACTCATTTTGTAAGTGTCCAGTTAGGCTTACATTAACTACTAAAAAAGAAAGAGCATGTATCACCAAATGGATTCATCATAGAACCATCTAGAAAAGCCACAGATGCTGGGAAGTCTGTGGATAGAGAAGGGAAGCCATGCCCTTCATTCCCAATGACCTTGGCCTCCTGCAATGTGCCACACTCCAGCCTCCTTGATTGACACACATGTCACAGGAGCTTAAGGTTCTGGGAATCTTACTTGTCATTTAGGACAGACTATCAAGACCTGTTTTTTAAAAAGTCTTTGAAGTTCTACAGTTCTCAGTGGCTTCTTTTAAAAACAGATGTAGCTTTTAAAAACAGATACACATTTCATATTTTCTGTACTTTTGCTCTTCCTGCATAACTGATTAGCTTGGGAAGATTGTCAAAATTTTAAATTAACATTAGATCATGACTATAAGGACACATAGCAGGAAATAATATTTTAACTCTCCATTTGGCATAAAGTATCACTTAAATCAAGTTTATGAGGAAACTGATACAATGTTTACAAGGATGAATGTTCTTTAAAAGCAAAAGAACACTACCATATGACATGGCAGTTCTCCCCTAGGTATGTACCCAAGAGAACTGAAAACATATGTTCACACGAAAACCTTTCACATGAATGTTCACAGCAGTGCTATTCACAAAAGTCAAAACGTGGAAACAACTCAAAGGTCCATCAGCCGATCAAAGGGTAAACAAAATGTGGTCTATCCATACAATGGACTATTACTCAGCCATAAAAAGGAATGAGGTACAAATTCATGCTGTAACATGGGTGAGCCTTAAAAACATGTGCTAGACACAAAAGATCATATCTTGTATGACTCCATTGATATGAAATATCCAGAATCTATAATGACAAATCTATGGTGACAGAAAGTACATTAGTATTTGCAGATACAGTGGAAAGGAAATGGAGAGTAACTGCTAAGGAGGACAGTTTCTTTTTGGAATGATGAAAACGGTTTTCAATTAGATAGTGGTGATGACTGCGAAACTCTATGAATATATGAAAAACACCAATTTATACATGTTTAAAGGGTGAATTTTATGATACGTAAATTATACCTTAATAAAGCTGCTATTAAAAATGTAGACAGCAATAAAGGGTGATGTGGAAAAAATCAAATGCACTATTTTATCCATTATTATAGAAGTAAATAAAGGGGAAATTTTTTTTTAAGGGAAGAGAAAAGTTCTGTCTTCCTCCTCCTTTTCTATCTTTTCTAACAATTCAGTCCTAAAGTCATCAGATGGGACAGAGGAAAATGACATCACAGTGTTGGAGGAGCCATCAAAGCCCAGAGGAGGATATGGGGTGAGGAGGGCATCATCATAGTGGGGTGTCAGTGCCCATGAGGGTGCTAGAGTGCATTAGCGTGATCGTGGCTCACTGCAACCTCCAACACCTGGGCTCAAGGTGAGCTAATTTTTTTTTTTTTTTTAGATGGAGTTTTGCTCTTGTTGCCCAGGCTGGAGTGCAGTGGCACCATCTCGGCTCACCACAAACTCTGCCTCCCGGGTTCAAGCAATTCTCCCGCCTCAGCCTCCTGAGTAGCTGGGATTACAGGCATGTGCCACCATGTCCATCTAATTTTTTTGTATTTTTAGTAGAGACGGGGTTTCTCCATGTTGGTCAGGCTGGTCTCGAACTCCAGACCTCAGGTGATCTGCCTGCTTTGGCTTCCCAAAGTGCTGGGACTACAGGCATGAGCCACCGTACCCAGCCAAGGTCAGCTAATTCTTAAATTTTCTGTAGAGATGGGGTCTTCCTATATTGCCCAGGCTGGTCTTGAACTCCTTGGCTCAAATGATGCTCCCACCTCAGCCTCCAAAGCATTGGGATTACAGGCGTGAACCACCACACCTGACCTACTCACAGTATGCTTCTATTAGCTCTGTTCTGAAATATTATCCAAACATACTCAAATATGAACAGCCAGGGAAATAAGACCCCTCTCAATGGAAAAGACCATCAATGCAGGTCAACCTTGAGGTGACTAACATGTGAAAATTACTAGACAAGAACTTTAAAGCAGCTATTTTAACTATGTTCAATGAGTTGAAAGACATATGCTCATAACTGCAGAAAAACAGAAAATCTAAGCAGGTAAAGAGATCATAAAGAGGAATTAAATGGAAATTCTACAACTGTAATATACAATGTCTAAAAGTAAAAATTCAAGGGATGGGGCTAACAGCAGAATGAAGATGATAAGAGTCGGTGAACTTAAAGACAGATCAATAGACATTATCCAATCTGAATGATAGAATAAAACTTTTTTTAATGAACTGAGCCTCAGGGGCCAGTGGGACAATATCAAAATGTTTAAGAGAGGAAAGAATGGGACAGAAAAAAATTTGAGAAAATTATGGCTCAAAACTTCACAAATTCAAAAAAAAAGACAGAATTAAAAGGAAGAGAAAACTTTGAAACAGAATATGGTATGCATAAGAAGAAACAACAAATAGAACTGTACTTTTTTTTAATTTTAAGTCAGAAAAAAAAAAGAGAGAGAGAGAGAGTCAGTCCTTGAAGTTAAGACTAGAATTTGGGAATGCCTGAAATTCATTGAGCTATTTGTTTTGATAACAGATCATTCCCCTGTGTTGGAAGTATACACAGTGGGTTGTAGTACACAGCAAATTCTAAAAGAAGTAAGTTTTTAAATTGCTAGGAGGTAGCATCAAGTCAGACTCTGATTAAGAACTAATGAATGAGGCCAGGCACGGTGGCTCACCCCTGTAATCCCGGCACTTTGGGAGGCCAAGGCAGACTGATCACTTGAGGTCAGGAACTCGAGACCAGCCTGGCCAACATGCAGAAACCCCGTCTCTACTAAAAATTTAAAAATTAGCTGGGCATGGTGGCACATGCCTGTAATCCCACTATTCGGGAGGCTGAGGCACAAGAATCACTTGAACTCTGGAGACGGAGGTTGCAGTAAGCCAAGATAGCGCCACTGCACTCTAGCCTGGATGACAGAGTGAGACTCCATCAAAAAATAAAAAATAAATTAATTAATTAATTTAAAAAAACTAATGAATGAGTAAATACATATATACTTGTCTGTGTGTGTGCATGCATGTGTGTGTACAAATTTAGTTATTGGGTTAAATGGAATACTAATGATATTCTAGCCCAAATTTTCTACTTTTGATCATTACAGACTGATTTTGAAAGGGTTTGACTCCTACTGCATTTCATATTCCTTTTTTAAGGCCCCCAAGGATACAGTCCACAGATTTTTACTCCTTTCATCCCCCTGGTGTGGCACACCACCAGGTGGCCAAGGGCCTTCATCCTCCACATCCCTCCCCATGTAACTGCATCACCCCTGCTGCAAACCCTTCACCGGCTCCCTACAGCCTCTAGGATAAATGTCGAACTGTTTTACGAAGTACTTTTCTGAATTGGCCCTTCTGGCCACAACATGACCCATATCCCTTCACTTCCGATAGAAGTCACAGAACTACCCAGGTCCCTGAGTAAGCATGGCAGGCGGATGCAGGCATCCAAGCTTTCACACAGGCTGTCCCCTCTGCTATAATGACCTTTCCTTCCCCTCTCATCTCGAGAATACTCACTCCTTCGTCAAAACTAAGTTAAATGCCCCTCGTCCAGAAAGCCTTCCTGGACTACCTCTCCTCATTTTCAGATAGCTCTCCCTCCAGTAACTCCCAGCCACCCTGTCGTGGCCCCTCTCCCAGCACTTGCCAACACTCCGTAAGTGTCTCACTGGGCTGGGAGCTCCTCAAGGGCAGGGCCTGAGTCTGACTTATCTGCACCGCAGTGTCTAGCATTGGCTCTAGCATAAAGCCAATGCTCCGTAACTATTTGATGAAGGGAAAAAATGCCAAAATACTAAGTTCCAAAATAGAAGTTGACCCAAATACATTTATATGGACCCTTAAAAGAAATGAAAAGAAGGCCGGGTGCAGTGGCTCATGCCTGTAATCCCAGCACTTTGGGAGGCCAAGGCAGGCAGATCACCTGAGGTCAGGAGTTCGAGACCAGCCTGGAAACATGGTGAAACCCCATCTCTACTAAAAATACAAAATTAGCCAGGCATCATGGTGGCCCACGCCTGTAATCCCAGCTACTCAGGAGGCTGAGGCCAGAGAATTGCTTGAACCTGGGAGGCGGAGGTTGCGGTGAGCCAAGATCACACCATTGCACTCCAGCCTGGGCAACAAGAGTGAAATTCTGTCTCAAAAAAAAAAAAAAAAAGAAAGAAAGAAATGAAAAGAAACTGGCTGGAGCAGCGCTACATGCAAAATATGACCGAGTAGCTGTTGATCGTGATCATCTACATCAGCCTTAATTAACTGAATTATGAAAAACAAAACTTCAACTGCTCAGTGGCAACAGTGGGGACAAAGACAGGAGAGGTTACCTGCTCCCCTGATCTACCTCAGCTTGTCTGGAATTGAGGGATTCTAAGTATGTACAACATACAGCACCTGAGCCAACACGTCCTGAAACTGTTCTCGTGTGAGCGGCATCAGGAAGTCTGTGATGATTCTTCTCAGTTCACTTTTTGACACAGTCAAGTTCTGACCAGTATCCAGCAGCTGAAAGGCTTTTTGCAACTCATCCCCTCTGTCGGTAATTTTTTGAAATAAAATCCGTTTAACATCTAAGGAGGACAGTGTTGGATTTGCAACAGCTGTGGCTATAAAAGAGATACAGCTATTTATTAAACATGTTTAAAGCCAAGATACTAAACAGAAACTCTTGCACTGTTGAACGGAACCAAGAAAACTTATTAGATGGTATTTCTCCCACCATATCTAGGTTTACGTGTATCACCGTTAGATGACTTGTAATGAAAAATCTACTCGGTCATCTTTCAACTCTGAAATTTGGTCAATATAGAATAATAGTAATCACAATAGTAAGAAAAAAAAAGAGAATCTTCCCTGTAAAGGACATAGGTCAGTACAAGTGAAAAACATGGATATTGAAAGAAAATTTAGTCAATATCATTCAAATAAATCTTTAAAATATCATATTCACCTTTCATCCCCTTGCCAATTTTTGAGGGAAAAACATGTAATTCTTAAACCCAGACCATTTCCCTTTCAAAGACAGGGAAGAGATGGACGCTAAAATGCAGATATAAAAATGTTCCGAGGGCTGGGCACGGTGGCTCACGCCTGTAATCCCAGCACTTTGGGAGGCCGAGGCAGGCGGATCACCTGAGGTCAGGAGTTCGAGACCAGCCTGGCCAACATGGCGAAACCCCATCTCTACTAAAAATACAAAATTAGCTGGGTGTGGTGGCACATGCCTGTAATCCCAGCTACTCAGGAGGCTGAGGCAGGAGAATAGCTTGAACCTGGGAGGCTGAGGTTGCGGTGAGCTGGCATCGTGCCATTGCACTCCAGCCTGGGCAACAAGAGTGAAACTCCGTCTCAGAAAAAAAAGAAAAATGTTTTGAGTGGTCTAAATAAGCTTTTGGGTTTTGAACTTTTTGGAAGGAAAGGAATAATGTCTTGACTAACGTTTTAGGTCCCAGAGCTCCCTGTGTCAGCAAAGGAGAGGTGATACACCATAGGCCTCCTTCCCCTCTCCAAGACAAAGACAACTAGAGGAACAATAGGTAGGAAATTACATAGTAAATCCTAGATGTATGTTAAAGGGCTTTAACATTGCCTCATCCTTTATAATAATATTCACAAGCAGCAGCTAGGGAGGGAGGATGCTAGTTCTTTCCCTTTGAATGAAAATTTCTTATCAAGCTATTGCACATTTCTGGCATAAGGACAGTGATAGCTTTAGTCTTGGGGTGACCTGGGCAGGTAAAAGATGCCAAAGATCTCGGTGCACCAACTTGAACCCACCCAGAGGGCAGGCTAGGATTTCCTCAGAGCTGTAGGGTGGGCTGGGCTGTCTTCTGCTTGAGGGGATACAAGAGACAACGTGCAGGCACCCCACAGTGACGCTGCCATGGAGATTGGCTGCAGACCCTAACCCCATGAGCCACAGCACAGCAGGCTCTGGGGGGCACTTCCACGCCACACAGGGACTGCGCTGCCATCGGCGATTCTCCCCCGACACCCACTGAGGGCCCAGCGCACGCAGGGCCTGTGCCGGGGGCTGGGGATGACTCTCGCTCCTGATGCCCACAGCCTCAGGGAGGGAGGTGATTCGGTAACTGGGATGCGGCGGTCCAGTGTGGAGACAGGCATTAGGTGTCTGCAGGGAGCACGGGAGACCTAAACAGAGGATGGCTGGTTTCCGGTGACAGGATGGAAGGTGACAGGAAAGCCCACTCAGTGGAAAGCAACTTGGTGATCCTGAGGGAACGCAGCTGGAAGTGGGGCTGCTGTGGGGCGTGGCCAGCCTGGGCAAAAGGGGGATGGGGGTGGGGACAAGCAGAGCTGCATCGGCCAAGAGATGACGGGAAAAGTCAGCAGGGCCTGTCCTTGGGCTTCACGCTCTGGGGTTATGAGATGGCACAGTGGGACTGTCATCAAAAGAACAACATAACCCTATTTTCATTCTTCACCTTCCCCCTGGTACCACGTGGAGGAGGAACCAAAAGGGAAGGAGAGTGATGGGGTGGAGACAGGCTGGGTGACTACAGCTTCTTAGGAGAGGAGTGACACAGTACCGTACTAGCGTGATGGTCACAGAGCAAAAAGACTTCACATGAATAAAAGAAAGGTCAAGCGGGGAGGTCTACAGACTCCTCTGATTGGAGGGGCCAGGTGAGGGATGGAGAGAGGATGGAACACCTGCGTCTGGCCTGGGTGGCTGGGCAGGGGCAGCACCCTTCACTTAGAAAGGGAAGAGGGAAGATGCAACAGATGGTATTTTCCAAGATGGGAATGGCAAGATCTCCCAACACAATATCATGTTAACACTCCTCCCTGCAAAAGTGGGCATACGCTCCCCACTTGAATCCGGTGGGCCCATGACTATGGCAGAATGGACATCTATCAGTATGATACATGACATGTGTGATCTCCAAGATGAGGTCACGCAAGCTGCTACGGCCTCTGCCTGGTCCTATTTATTTATTTATTGAGATGGAGTCTTGCTGTCTCCCAGCCTGGAGTTCAGTGGCACAATCTTGGCTCACTGCAACCTCCACCTCCTGGGTCCAGGCAATTCTCCTGCCTCAGCCTCCCGAGTAGCTGTGACTATAGGCACCTGCCACCATGCCTGAATAATTTTTGTATTTTTTAATACAGACGGGGTTTCACTATGCTGGCCAGGCTGGTCTCGAACTCCTGACCTCAGGTGATCCACCCGCCTCGGCCTCCCAAAGTGCTGGGATTACAGGCGTGAGCCACCGCACCCGGCCATGCCTGGTCCTCTTTAGATGCTCACACACAGACACCACTTGGCTGTGAGGAGGCCAAGGAGCCACCCTGGCAGGCCACATATAGGAGTTCTGGGCAACAGCCTTAGCTGAGGTTCCAGGCAACAGCTGCATCAACTGCTAGCCATTCGAGGACTCTGGCCCCCGATGTGACATCAGCCCAGCCTCTGCACCTCCCCAGCTGGACTGCATAGAGCAGAGACAAGCTGACCTGCCCAAACTGTGGATCTGTGAGCAAAATAAATGACTGTTGCTATTTCGAGCCACAATGTTTAGGGCATTTGCACACAGCAATAGATACCTGGAACAGAAGAGGAAAAGGCTTATGGAAAGAGAATGAGTTCAGCCTGGGATATCTAAGCGGGATGTCCATCTGAAAGTTGAATACATGCTCTGGAGATAAGAGAGGCTGGAGTGGAGATGCAAGTGTGGGAACCACCTGCATGGAGGCCACAGGGAAACAGGCCCAATGGGAAGAGGAGAAGGGGCCGTGGGAAACACTGACTTGTAAGGAAGTGGAATTGATTCATTCGAAAAATGTCGTATGTCAACAACTATCATATTTCAACCACTGTTTTCAGCCCTGACGGTACTGCAGTGAATAAGACAGGTACAGCTTACAATCTGGAGGTGAGACGACAGACAAGAAGCCAATAAATAAATAAACAAATGATAGGGTCATGGCGCACAGTGACACGTGCAATGAAAATGGAAAGACAAAACAATGAGGCAGAGTGCAGCTGGGGGCTGCTTTAGAGGGGATGGTCAAGGAAGTCTGCTCCAAAGTGGGTTTGTGAGCTGAAACCCGGAAGGATAAAAATGAGCCAGCCAGTCAAGAAGCTGAAGTAAGAATGTCTTCAACAGGGAAACCATAGCAACCAGTGAAGAACCCCTGAGCAAGAAGGAGCTTGATACGTCCATGAAAGAAAAAGGCTGGAGTGGACGGTGTGGCACATAGCAGGTAGGATGGAGAACAGTGAGAGGTCAGGCCAGGGGAGGAAAAGGCCAGTCCACACAGGCTTCAGGCACCTGCAGAAAGGATGGCATTTTCTTCAAAGTGCAATGGAAAGGCTCAGGAGAGTTTAGGGAGGGAAGCAATGTTATCTAATACAGCCTCTGTGTGGGGTTTTAAAAATGTGTTCTGGCTGCTATGTAAAGAATGGATTATAGGGGGCAAAAAATGAGGAAGAGAGACAAGAGAGGAGGCTGCTTCAAGGTCTAGGAGGTAACTGTGGCTTAAACCAGGTGGTAGCCCTGAAGGTAGACAAAAAGTAGACAGATAGGAGACATGATCTATCGGATCTGTAGCTGACAAGGTTTTGCTGATGGATTGGCTGAGGAGGCGTGTGAGGGGTGTTAAAGAAAATAGAGAAATCAAGGATAATCCCTTGGTGCTGGACATGAGCAATGAGATAAATGACAGTGTCACTGCTAAGATGGAGAACACGGGGGAGTCGAGAGACCCGTTTAGCCAGTTCCGGTCTGAGATGCCGGTTAGATGCGGTGCACGCAGAAAGGTCCGCGAGGCAACTGGATATACGATCGGGAGCTTAGTGGGGAAGTGAGGATGGAGCTATCATTTTGGTTACAGGTGGCATTTCAGGACATGGAGCCAGATGACTCACTTAAGAGAGGGCAGACAGGGAACAGAGGAATGAGCACAGCCCTGAGGGGGAAGAAGGAACTTAACCCTCCCACAAGAGTTCCAAGAACACTCAGTAATGCAGGAAGCACTCGGGCTTCCCTTCCATTTCTGGCTGTCACTCAGAATCTCAGAAGCAGCTGATTCACACACAGCAGCTGCGTGCTTCAGTATCAGCCAGTGAGCACTCTTTCTCCCTCTGCCCACCAGCCTGAACATCCTCCTCCTGCCCCCAGTGTCAGAGGGAGATCCCTCTTGTTAATGTACACCTCTGTCTTGAAATCCTCTCTTGGACTTCTCATATATATTTTTAGTTGCTTTCTTAGAAGCCCCACCATTGCAATCAATAATTGTAATTTAAAAGAATCAGAAAATATTGATTTGAGACTATTTTAAAATACGTAAAGGAAGACTTTTTATTCCACGTGCCTAATGCAACGTCTGAGGATGAAAATGAAAGCAGTAACCAACCTTGCAGAACCTGCTGGTGGGAGTACAAATTGATGGAATCTTTCTGGAGGGCAATTTGACAAAATTTTCTATATCCGCTTAGGATATAGAAAGTCACAACAGACTGTCACTGTCACCCTAACAATGAGAACAAGTAGGATAAGCTAAAATATATATATAGTTTTAAAACCCACCAGAGATCTGAGGATGCAAAGAAACTACAATTCAGGAAAGGACAAGCCACTCGTCAGAGAAAAAAGAATGATAACTCCTTCCAGCCCTGTGGCACAGTGGGTAAAAAGCAAATTCGTTACAGACAGGGTAGGAAGAAAACGACCCAGTATTTAGCAGCCACATGAGGCTGACAGATGGATGAGATTCCCAGGGACCTTGGTCACAGAGCAGGTCTGCGCTCACCCTCTTGGGCCTTCCCCCAGTGCAGGTAAGTAGCACTGCACCAAAGGCTGGGGCTAGAGGAGAGCTGAGTGATCCACCCCAGCATGGCACACGAGGTTTTGCACAAGTTCGGGGCAGCTGTTTACCAAAGGCTGAATACAGGGAACAAGAGCTCAGGTGAACCCTCCGAAGCATATGGGCCCTTCACTAAGTGTCAGTGGCCCACTGAAGGTTAAATCAGGGCCACAGGGTGGACACAGATGTTCCCAGGTGCAGAAAGCCACAGCAGAGCTGGACAACAAAGAGGCCTCCCATGAAACCCCCCAAAATGGCAGGTAGGCAGTAAAGCAGAGAGAGATCTCCCCGCCATATGCAAAGCTGGTGGCTGGGCTATAAAGCAGAGAGATCTGTGGAGTCTCACCAGTGCTCACACCTCAAAGACCTGTTGAAGGCAAGCATATGAAACCAGGGGTAACCCAAATTTAACTAAAACTGCAACAAAGTCAAGGCACAGCTTACCTGAGAGATTAAACTGAGCTCACCTCGCTAGAAACCTGAGAGAAGAAGAGGCTTTCCTTTTCTGGTGGTAAATATTATTGACTTCTGTCTCTGCTGTTTTTAACACAAATATCTGGCATTACTTTTTTTTTTTAATTGCAAGACAAGTGAAGAAGAAAAGGTAACTTAATCCAGGTAAAAACAGTCATCAGAAGAACACCCACAGAAAGAATAATGACCAGGTAGAAATGATCAGGTATTCAAACTGAGAATGGGAAATATGTTGGCAAGATGAAAGGGAAAAGCTGAGAACATGGTGAACATATAGGGAATTTCACTAGAGAAATGGAAAGTATTTTTAAAGAGCACATGAAAAAAATCTAAAAATTAAAAATACAATATCAGAAGTTAAGAATTCACTTGTTTTGCTTAGTAGCAGAGTGTACATGCTAGAAAAAAGAACTCGTGACTATGAACTCAGGTCTATAGAAATGATTCAACCTGAAACACAAAGATAAGAACACTTTAAAAGGAAACAGTGTGTCTAATATTTATTTGCTTATTTGATGTATGAGTTATACAAATATATATCTACAGTTATATGTTGTGCATGCGTGAAAAAGAGATCAGCCCAACTGCTGATGATACCCTCTTGTAGAGGAAAGTGGTGCTGGGAGGCAAATATATCTTTAATTTTTAAAAAGTAAAAAAATGCCGGGCACGGTGGCTCATGCCTGTAATCCCAGCACTTTGGGAGGCCGAGGTGGGCGGATCACAAGGTCAAGAGATCGAGACCATTCTGGCCAACATGGTGAAACACCATTTCTACTACAAATACAAAAATTAGCTGGGCATGGTGGCATGCGCCTGTAGTCCCAGCTACTCAGGAGGCTGAGGCAGGAGAATCGCTTGAACCCAGGAGACGGAGCTTGCAGTGAGCCAAGATCGCACCACTGCACTCCAGCCTGGGCAACAGGGCGAGACTCCGCCTCAATAAAACAACAAGAAAAAAAAGTTAAAAAAAACACTCCAGTGCACTAAAAAGTACCACCAATAGAAATAAAAAGCAAATGACAAAAAAGAAAAATACCTGTGGCACTAAGGCAGATAGAAGGTTCACATTTTCAATACAAAGAGAGCTCATACTAGTCACTAAAAAAGACCAACCCAAAGTAGGTAAACAGGCAAAGGATATGAATAGGCAACTCACAAAAGCAAAAGGCATAAGCCTGGTAAACTTGAGAAAAAAAGTTAACCTTACTATTGAGGAAATGCATATTAAATTCACAATGGAATGTTATTTTTCCATATCCAATGGGCAAGATCTTAAAAGACAATCTGTGTTAGGATACTTAGAAATGAGCACTTGTAAGTATCATGAGTGAGAATGTGCTAAGGTGTGAGCTTCCTGAAGGGTAATCTGGTGGTACTCATTAGGAACCTTAAGAGCAGGAACAGGCTGGGTGCGCTGGCTCATGCCTATAATCCTGGCATTTTGGGAGGCCGAGGGGGATAGATCACTTGAGGCCAGGAGTTTGAGACCAGCCTGGCCAACATGGTGAAATCCTGTCTCTACTAAAAATACAAAAATTAGCCAGGTGTGGTGGTGCATGCCTGTGATTCCAGCTACTCAGGAGGCTGAGGCATGAGAATCACTTGAACCTGGGAGGCAGAGGTTGCAGTTAGCCAAGATCATGCCCTTGCACTCCAGCCTGGATGACAGAGTAAGACTCTGTCTCAAAAAAAAAAAAAAAAAAAAAAAAGAGTAGGAACACCTTTTAACCCAGTCATCTCACCTCACTCTAGTCTTCTTTGTACGATCAGAAAGTTAGTTAAATAAAGATATATCTAAATTAGATTGTAGACATGGAGCTATTGAACTGGGATGCATTTATTGCTGATGATGTATTTTGATGTCAGAAACTACTAAGCTAATCCCTAATATCCACTCTCCTCTTTCTCCTTAGAAATAGACCCCTGAGTTTGGGTAGACACACGGTTGTTGGAAACAGTCTCTATTTTGCAGGCTCCCTGGTAGATGCATGGGACCTGGTGGTTCAAGTCCTGCCAGTTGCAAGTAAGCCTGAGTGTCCAGCATGACTGGGATGGCTTCACCCAATTACAAGGCAAAACCTAACTTCTTTCATAAACCCAGCTTCTTCTTTCACAGTGGCCCGCTGATTCCTCAGGCTGTGTTCATGCAGTGCTTTGTAAGTGCGTCTTACGGCATTTGGCTCACGCTACTTGAATTCTTTATCTCCCTCTCTAGACTGTGAGCTTGTCTAGGGCGGGCCTTCTCTCAGGTGCATCTCTTTATTCTTAGCACCTATTACAGTGCCTGTCACATATTATGGCTCAGAAAATGTGGATAAATGAATGAGTAAATGGAGGAACTAATACATGAAATTAAAGGATACGTATTTTTGGAAAATAATAACGTCAAATTCTGTTGCTTTTAAAACTGGTAAGAACTCCAGATGAGTTGAAAACCTATGTCCACATAAAAACCAGTACACGAATGCTTACGGCAGCTTCACTTACAATTGCAAAACACGGAGGCAACCAAGATGTCTATTTATTATTATTATTTTTTTGAGACAGGGTCTCACTCTGACACCCAGGCTGGAGTGCTGTGGCACGATCATGGCTCACTGAAGTCTTGACCTCCAGGGCCTAAGCCATCTTCCCACCTCAGCCTCCCAAGTAGCTGCGACTCTAGGCATGTACCACTATGCCTGGCTAATTTTTTGTATTTATTTCTTGTAGAGACAAGGTCTTACTATGTTGCCCAGCTTGGTCTGGAACCCCTGGGCTCAAGCAATCCTCCTGCCTCGACCTCCGGAAGTGCTTGGATTAACAGGCATGAGCCACTGTGCCTGGTCAATACACGGCATTTTATACATTTGTCTAAAACTAATACAATCTCCACCATCAAGAGTGAACCCTAATGTAAACTAAGAACTTTAAGTAAAAATAATGTTATCAGTATGGGTTCATCGATTGTAACAAATGTACCACAGTAATATGAGATGTTAATTATGGGGAAACTGGGGGTGGGAGTGAGGGGGTGTATGGGAACTTCCTGTGTTTTCTAGTCAATTTTTCTGTACACCTAAAACTGCTAAAAAAAATTAAGTCTACTAATTTACTGAGTGAGTTTTTATATATATAAGCCCCTGAATTCTGGAATCATACTCCCTGGGTTCAAATCCTGACATACCACTTAAAACCTTGTAACTTTTAGGCAAATAGCTTAATCAATCTGTGTCCCAATTTCCCCATATAGAAAACAGGGATAAAAACAGAGCCTAATTCATAGAGTTATTGTGAGGATTAAATGTCATATGAGTCCTTTGAACTAAGCTTGGTACATATTAAATACATATAAGTGATATCTACAGTTAGTGTTCTTATTTGCTCATGAATACTTACTTGAAGAAGATCTGAACTTATTTGGGGAACCATTCCTTGAATATACTCTACACGGTGAAGAATGGGGTCTTGAATGTGTAAATTTTCGTGTGTGAGGATGCGACCTAAGCCAGTCTGGTATAATCGCCATTTTGCACATTAAATCCCTGTGATATAAAAGAAAACAGATTACGTTACCTTAAAGAGCATACATTCCAAATGTGGCCAATTTCCTATCTATTCCTTTTCTGAAGGGACAGCTGCAGAGTGTAAAAATGATGCTAGTCATAATCTGCTTTGCTGATGTTTCAGACTATTCTTAAAGTGAACACAAAAATCATCATTTTGGACTCCTTGTTTTCAGCATATCCAATAAACTTCAAAAACGGCAAAATAAAGAGACTTTTGGACAGAAAAATCCACCTACATCTTGACTATCAGTGACTCATTTCTTTGGTAGGCAGTAAGGGGAAGAAAGTTTGGATTCTCTGAGCTTTTTTGAAGTGCCTCAGTATAAATTCAACATGCAGTCAGAGGCAAAGCTGGGATGACAGGAGCGAAACTGGTGGAGTAAGGACCTCCGAAAATCCTCTCCTTCATTAAATCAATGAGGACACTGGGAAAAATTGTTGAAATCAATTTTTTTTCAGAACTCTGGAAATTAACCAAAGGCTTACAGCAATCTGGGGAGCATTTATTCCCCCAAAATGGCTGAATCTCAATATGAAGAACATGCCTTGTGGCATTTTAACTTGCCTCATTCCCATTCTCCCTCACCTGCCTCCCCCTGCCCCAACAGCTTGGATGTAGCCTTGAAAACCATCAGCCTGCAATCACAGGGAAAACCCAGCAGGCTGACAGTCACTGGAGTGGACAGAACAGGGCTGGAGCTCTGTCAAAGCCTCCTTACCCGGAACTTATCATTATTTGACCTGATGTTTCCCTGAAAGATCCTACTCCCAAGGCTGTCTTTATTTGAACTCAGAGTTCACTCAGTGAACACAGCCTATCATGAAGAGGCATTTGTTAGAAGAAATCAGAGGCAATTGTTGTTTAAAATCATGGCTACCTGAATAGGTGGATAACGGGGCAAATAATAGGCAACCAAAAAGCTTCAAGGGAAAAGCTGGGGAATGAGATGTCGATAGGGACTTGAAAAAGCGCCCACATATTCTTGGGAATCTAGGAAGTCACTCAGTACACAGAGCTAGAACCATTCCCAGGGAGAGGTGTGTGCTCAGGAAAGACCTGAGAAGGCCCTAACCTCTCACCTCCAACTGACCTTCAAGCTCTGCACAAGCAGGAAATGAAGGCTAAGACAGAGTTATAAACTGCCTAGCTAAGTGTTGAAGGAATGCTCCAATACAAAAAGCCCCTCAGCAAAAATTGGGAGATACTGTTCCCAGGCATTTACGGAAATTTCTATCCAACCATGAGCTGACCACTAAGCTAACCAATCAGACTCTAGTGGCCATATATAACAAAGAATACAGACTTTATAAATTTTAGAAAACTCTATAAACAAATGAACAACAAGCAGTTAACAACAACAAAACATGGAAAGGGATGAGAATATGATTTCCACAACTACTACATTATATTATTTAAAATGTCATGGGCCTAGCATGATGTCTCATCTCTGTAATCCCAGCATTTTGGGAGGCTGAGGCAGGAAGTTCAAGACTTGAGCCCAGAAGTTCAAGACCAGACTGGGCAACATACTGAGACTCTGTCTCTACAAAAAAAATAAAAATAAAGAAGATTGACCAGGCATGGTGGCATGCACCCATGGTCTCAGCCACCAGGAGGCTGAGATGGGAAGAGCAGTTGAACCTGAGAGGTTGAGGCTACAGTGAGCCGTGATTACGCCACTGCACTCCAGCCTGGGCAACAGAGAAAACTCTGTCTCAAAATAAATAAATAAATAAAATGTCCAGTTTTCAACAAAAATTTATGAGATGTGCAAAGAAACAAGGAAGTGTGGTCCATACTTATTTTCAGAAACTATGCAAGAAAGAAAAGAGTAGAGTGAAATATTTAACGTGTTGAAATAAAAACCCCACCAACCTAGAATTCCAAACTCAATGAAATTACTCTTCAAAAGTGGATGTGGATGAGAAATACTTCCCTGAGCAAACAAAAATTGAGAGAATGTGTTGCCAGCAGACTTACTTCCAAGAAATGTTAAAAGGAATTCTTCAGAAAGGCAAGGCAAGGTGCAGTGGCTCATGCCTGCAATCTCAGTGCTTTGAGAGGCTGAGGCAGGAGAACTGCTTGAGGCCAGGAGATCAAGACCACCCTGGGCAACAGAGCAAGGCCCTGTCTCTACCAAAAAAAAAAAAAAATATATATATGTGTGTGTGTGTGTGTGTGTGTGTGTGTGTGTATATGTATATATACACATATATATGTGTACATATACACATATATATGTATATATACACATATATATGTGTATATATACACATATATATGTATATGTACACATATATATGTGTATATATACATATACATATATACACACACACACACACACACACACACACACACACACACACACATATATATATATGCCAGGCATGGTGGCATGCACCTGTAGTCCTAGCTACTTGGGAGGCTCACATGGTAGAATCACTGAGCCCTGGCATTTGAGGTTACAGTGAGCTATGATCATGTCACTGTACTCTAGACTGGGTGACAGACTGAGACCCTGTCTCTAAATAAATTTTTTTTAAAAAGAAAGAAACAAAAGAAAATGAAAGAAAGATATATGTCAGAAACTCAGATCTATATTAAAAAAAGGAAGAGCATTTGAGAAAGGGCAAGTGAAGGAAAAATAAACATATATGCACCTAACAAGAGCCCCAATATACGTGAAGCAAAAACTAACTAAATTGGAAAATAGATACTTCAACAATTATAGTTAGAAACCTCAATATCCACATTTAATAATGGGTAGAATAACTAGACAGAAGATCAACAGAGACATAGAAGATCTGAACACCACCACAAACCAACTAGACCTCACAGACAACTAAAGAACACATCCAACCAACAATAGTAGAATATCATTCTTCTCAGCACACATGGATCATTCTCCAGTATAAACCATATCTTGGACCATAAAACAAGCCTCAATACATTTAAAAGGATTGAAATTATCAGAGTATAATCTCCAACCATACAGAATGAAAACAGAAATTGAATAATTCACAAATACGTGGAAATTAAACAACACACTCCTAAATAACCAATGAGTCAAAAAAAAAATCAAAAGAGAAATTACCAAATAGTTTTAGATGGATGAAAATGAAGGCACAACATATAAAAACTTACAGGATGCAGCTAAAACAGTGCTTAGATGAAAATTTGTAGATGTTAATGCCTATATTTTAAAAAGAAGAAAATCTCAAATTACTAACCTGTTTATTCCTTAAGAAACTAGAAAAATAAGAGTAAACTAAAGCCAAAGTTAGTAGAATGAAGAAAACAATAAAGATTGGAGCAGAAATAAATGAAATCAAGAATAGAAAAATAGACAAAACTAATCAAAGTTACTTCAAAAGATTATCAAAATTGACAAATTTTTAGCTAGACCAGCCAAAAACAATGAGAAAACACTCAAATTATTAAAATCAGTGATGAAAGGAGACATTACCACTAACCTTACAGAAATAAAAATGATTATAAGGGAATACTATACACAACTGTATGCTAACAAATTAGGTAACCTAGATATAATGGAAATATTCTTAGGAAGATGTAAGATACTAAAACTGACTAAAGAAAAAACAGAAATCTAGATAGAATTATGACAAAAAGATTGAATTAATAACCAAAAAACTTCCTGCAAAAGAAGTCCAGAACCAGGACCAGATGAGTTCACTAGTAAATTCTACCAAACATTTAAAGAAAAATTCAAGGCTGGGCATGGTGGCTCACACCTGTAATCCCAGCACTTTGGGAGGCCAAGGTGTGTGGATCACCTGACGTCAAGAGTTTGAGACCAGCCTAGCCAACGTGGCGAAACCCCGTTTCTACTAAAAATACAAAAATTAGCCAGGCATGGTGGCGCATGCTTGTTATCCCAGCTACCCGGGAGGCTGAGGCAGAAGAATCGCTTGAACTTGGGAGGTGGATGTTAAAGTGTGCTGAGATCAATTCACCTAACGCTTCACAAATTCTTATGAAAAATAGAAGAAAAAACATTTCTCAACACATCCTATGACGCCAGTATTACCCTGATACCAAATCAGAAAAGACATTAGAAAAAAAGAAAGTGGCCGGGCACAGTGGCTCACGCCTGTAATCCCAGCACTTTGGGAGGCCAAGGCAGGCAGATCACGAGGTCAGGAGATCAAGACCATCCTGGCTAACATGGTGAAACCCCGTCTCTACTAAAAATACAAAAAAATTAGCAGGGCATGGTGGCGGGCACCTGTAGTCCCAGCTACTCGGGTGGCTGAGGCAGCATGAACCCAGGAGGCAGAGTTTGCACTGAGCCAAGATCGCGCCACTGCACTCCAGCCTGGGCGATAGAGCGAGACTCCATAAAAAAAATAAATAAATAAAATAAAATTTAAAAAAAGAAAGAAAAGAAAAAAAGCTAAAAACCAATATTCCTTATGAGTATAGGGAAAATTCTCAAAAATAGAATCCAGCAAACTGAATGCAGCAACATATTTTTAAAAATCAGACAGCACAGTCAAGCAAAATTTATGCTAGGAATGCAAGAGAGGTTGACCAAACAAAAATCAATTAATGTGATAAACCATATTATTAATCAAGGAAAAAAAACACATAATAATCTCACTAAGTGCAGAAAAAGCATTTCATAAAATCCTACATCCTTTAATGATTCAAAAAATAAACATTCAACAAATTAGGAATGGAAGGGAACTTCCTTGACTTAATAAAGGACATCCAAAAAACACTCACAGGTAATGTCATATTTAATGGTGAATGACCAAAAGTTTTCTCCGTAAGATCAAAAAGAAGACAAGAATGCCTGTTCTCACTACTTCTATTAAACATTATACTGAAGGTTCTAGCCAGAGCAGTTAGGCAAGAAAAATAAATTAAAGGTATCCATATTGGAGACTAAGATGAAAAACTACCTCTATTTGCAAATGACATTGTTGTATATATAGAAAATCCTAAGGAATACAGGCAGACAGACAGATACACACATATGCACACACACACACACACACACACACACACACAATTAGAACTAATAAACAAGTTCAATAAGGTTGTAGGATACAAGATCAATATACAAAACTCAGTTATATCTCTATATACCTACAATGAACAATCTGAAAATAAAATTAAGGAAACAATTCTATTTACAATATCATCAAAAAGATAAAATACTTAGAAATAAATTAAACAAAAAGTACAATATTTGTGCACTAAAAACTACACAATATTGTTGAAAGTAGACCTGAATAAATGGAAAAATATCCCATGTTCATGGATAAGATGGCAATACTCTCCAAACTGATCTATAGCTTCAACCCAATGTTTATCAAAATCCCAACTGCCTTTCTTGAAGAAATTGACAAGTTGGTATTGAAATTCATATACAAATGCAAGGGACCCAGAATAGCCAAAATGATCATGAAAAATAAAAATAAGATCATGAAAAATAAAAATAAAGTTGGAGGATTTATACTTCCCGATTTCAAAACTTAATAGAAAGCAACAGTGATCAAGACAGTGTGGTTCTGGCATAAGTATGCACATATAGATCAATGGAATAGAATTGAGAGACCAGAAATAAACTTTTACATTTATCATTAATTGATACTTGTCAAGGGTACCAAGACCATTCAATGGGAACAAAAAGTAGTCTTTTCAACGAACAGCGCCAAAGAGTGAAGTTGGCCCCCTAGCTCACACCATATACAAAAATTAACTCAAAATAGATCAAAGCCCTAAATATAAGAACTAAAACTACAGAATTCCTAGAAGAAAGCATAGGTATAAATCTTTGTGACTTTGGATTAGACAATGATATCTTAGATATGATACCAAAAACACAGGCAACTAAAGAAGAAGTAGATTAATTGGACTTCATCAAACTTTAAAACTTTTGTGCTTCAAAGGATACTGTCAAGAAAGCACTAAGATACCCCACAGAATGGAATAAATTATTTGCCAATCATATATCTGATAAGGATTTAGTATGCAGAATATATTAGGAACTCTTACAGCTCAATAATAAGGGACAAATAACCCAATAGAAAAATGGGCTAGGGATTTGAATAGACATTTCTTCAAAGAAAATATACAAATGACCAGTAAGTACATGGAAAGCTACTCAACATCACTAGTTATAGAAAAATGCAGATCAAAACCACAGTGAGATACCACTTTACATTCATTAGCAAGGCTATAATAAAACAAACAAAGAATAACAAGTATTGGCAAGATTATAGAGATATTGGAATTCTCATATTACTGGTGAGAATGTAAAATGGTACAGATGCTTTGGAATAGAATTTGAGAATTTCTCAAAAAGTTAAACATAGAGTTGCCATACGGCCAAGCAATTTCACTCCCAGGTATATACCCAAGGGAACTGAAAACATACATCCATCAAAAAAAAGTTGTACTTAAATATTCATAGCAGCATTATTCACAATAGACAAGAAGTGGAAACAACCCAAACTTCCATCAGTGGGTGAGTGGATAAACAAAAAGTGGTAGATCTGTTCAGTGGACTATTATTCAGCCCTAAAAAGGAATGAAGTCCAGATTCATGCAGTAACATGGATCAACCTTGAAAACATTATGCTAAGGCAAACCCCCAAAACCACATACTGTATCATTCCATTTATATAAAATGTCCATAACAGGCAAATCTAGAGACAGAAAGTAGGTTAGTGGGTGGCAGGGAAGGGGAAGCAGGGGCTAAAAAAAAGAAAATAGATTGGCAGTTGCCAGGAACTGGAAGAAGGGAGGAATGGGACTGCTGATGGATACAGAGTTTCTTTTAGAGGTGACAAAAATGTTCTGGGATTAGATAATGGTGATAGTTGCACAACTTTGTAAATATACTAAAAGAACACTGAATTATACACTTTGAAAGGATGTGAATTTTATGGTATATGAATTATATCACAATTAGAAAAAAGGAGGAAGAGAAGGAGAAGGTGGAGGAGGAAGGGGAAGACAGAGATGCAGCAGCAGCACTGGGTGAGCCAAGGGAGACGTTGCTTCCGTGGGCACCTTTGGCAAAGGTAGTTCCCTTTCAATAATTTCTAAGGCAATATGTTTACTTGACAGTTATTTAGATTATGATTTAAAGACCTTAGGGGAAGCAGGGCAAAAGCAAGACATCCAGATGTATCCCAGTGAGTCACAGCGGTGTCCTGCTTACCATCAGCCAGGCTCACGCCCCCACTGTCAGAGCTAACTTGGCTGTGCTCCTACTGCAGCAGACCTAATGCTCAGCGGTCACGACACTGTTACATGCCTTCGTGATTTTTAATTCGTAGATACTGCCAGTCTGTGGCAATGAGGAGTTTGGCTTATTAGTGTTTCAGAAAATAAGGGGAATTTTAGTCTGACTCATTCCTTTTTGGCTACTCTCAACGTAAGAGTGAATTAAGGAGGCCAAGCTCCAGTTCTACAAGGAAGTTTACAGCATAATTGTCTGAGGCTCCTAAGTTGGCTAACCTTCACACACACACACACACACACACACACACACACACAAAAGTCTTCCTACCAGGTTCCATGTATTAAATGCAAGTGTAAAATTATTAAATATTCAAAAATAGATGGATGTGGATGGCACTATACGAGTATACAGAATCAGACTAGATGATGCTTCTGAAGTCCTCAATTTGAAGAATCACAAAGTTTACAGGGTTGAAGAAATGAATAAGAATTTTTTTTAATGTGCAAGAAATCCACATTGGCTAGTACTTTGCTTTCCCTCTCTGGGCAGGCACCGACTCTGCCTTGCACTGTACAGTCTAGAGACCTGTCTTATTTGCCACAGTCAGGTGGCAGGTCCTGTACGTAAGAACCACCTCATGGCTTATACCATAAGAGCCCTAGAGCCTCAGCAATCCCACACACATCCTTCTTGGGCTGGATTAATTTAACTGAATTGAATCTTTACAGAGGTAAACTTCCAGAATTATACCGAAAAACAAAGCTTGGTTTGTGTTCACACAGTCAACACATATTTACTCAGTTCCTTTCTAGGAGTCTGGAGATCAATGAACAAAATATGTAAACTCCTGGACCTTGTGGATCTTATACTGTAGAAATGGAAGGCAGGCAATAAACAAATTAATCATACAAGTGAATCAGATCTACGGAGACCAGTGGAGCAGAGAAGAATAGAAGACATTAAGCAAAGATCTAAAGGAGACCAAGAGGGGAACCATGCAGTTAGGAAGACAAGGAAGAAACAGGCGGCCAGATGAAGGACAGCCTTGCAGGCCAGTGTGAGGCTTGGCTCTTATTGTGATACCTGACATGTGAAACCTCTAGGGGGTTAGTGCAGAGGAGATGATCTGGCCTCTGGGTTAAAGGAATATCTCTGGCTGTATGTCACGAATAGGCTTACAGGTGCAAGGGAGGAAATGAAGACAGAAGTCTTCTGCAATAATCCGTGCAAGAGAAGACAGCGGCTCAGACCATGTGGTTTTTGTAAAAGTATTGAGAAGTGATCAGATTCCAGCCACATTCTGAAGGAGGAGTCCATCATACTCTGGTAGATTTGATTCAGCATGCAAAAGAAAGGTTGGGTGGAATGACCATTACCTGAGATGGGAAAGACTGCAGGTAGAACAGGTTTACAGAAGATCAACACTTCCATTTTGGACATTCAAGTTTAAGATGCCTGTTGGGTATCCAAGTAGATATACTGAATAGGTCACTGAATACATGAGTTTGAGTTCAAGGGACAGATTGGGGCTGAAGATAAAAGTTTGAGAATCCCAGCACTTTGGGAGGCCAGGGTGGGCAGATTGCTCGAGCTCAAGAGTTCAAGACCAGCCTGGGCGATATGGCAAAACCCTGTCACTACAAAAATACAAAAATGAGCCAGGTGTGGTGGTGCACACCTATAGTCCCAGCTACGCAGGAGGCTGAGGTGGGAGGATCGCTTAAACCCGGCAGGTGGAGGTTGCAGTGAGCGGAGACCACACCACTGCACTTCAGCCTGGGTGATAGAAGTGAGACTGCCTCAAAAAAAAAAAAAAAGTTTCGGAATTGCCAACATATCATGTATATAAAGGCATGATATGAGATAGTCCCATCAAGAAAGTAGGTGCAAAAAAAGAAAAGGTCAAAGGGCTGAGCCTTGGGGTCCTCCAACGTTCACCGTTGAAGGAGATGAAGAAGAACCAGCAAAGGAGACTGAGAAAGACCAGAGGCCACAGTCCTAGAAACCATGAGAAGAATAAGTTCTAAGGAGGAGGGTTGATGGTGAGTGTCAAATGCCACCGTAATAAGGGCTTCGGTTTGAGTGAGCCCTAAGGCACCACCGAGGACCCTGATAGTAACAATGTTGGGGGAATGGTGGGGGAAAACCTGTCTAAGTGAGTTCCTGAACAATTCAGAGGAGAACGAGTGACAGTAAATAGAGACAGCAGTTTCAAAGAACTCTGCTGTAATGGGGAGAAACAGTAGAGCTGAGAGACAGTGTGATGACTGGTCTCAGGAGACATTTCTTCAAGATGGGAGAATCAGCAGCATGTCTGAACACTCATGACGGCAACCTAGTAGCAGGGCAAAGAGAAACGCAGCAGGAGAGAAAGAAGAGCCTCGCTGGTTCCCACGGTTGGCCAATGGAGATGGGATCCCATGGACAAGTAGCAGGATGAGCCTTCATGGTGACAAAAGAGAAGCTGGAGAATGTGGATTCAGGTGTGGTGATGGGAGCCTGTGGCAGCTCCCTTCTGATTCTGCTTTCTCCTTGAACTAGGAAGTCAGGTCATCAGCAGCGAGTGAGGCTGGAAGAAGTGAGGCTCAGGATTGAGATCACAGGACACAGAATGAAACACTGTCTAGAAGAGAAGGCAAGTCGGGGAGTGGGAGAGGTGAAGTGACAGCCAGGGAACTGTAAGAGCCATCTGAGGTTCATGGACACGAACCTGTGGTTGTGTGTTTTTCTCCAGCCATGTTCAGCAGCACAGGTAGGCAAAAAGTTGGGTTTAATTTGGGCCAGGGTCTTGACAGGCAAGTGTGATACCACAAGTCAAGGGTGTGTGCAAGGGAAGTGGAGATGTGCACATCTTGGCCAGGAAGGAGCACAAAGAGTGATGGGAATTATCTGTGTAGCTGAAATAATAAAACAAGATTGAAGAAATTAAGAGACAAGAAACTCAGCCTGATGAGGAATTTTAAGAAGGCAAATACATTATCTAACTCAATTATTTATTGGGGACTCGCGGAGTCAAGAAATGTGCTAATATTTATGAAACTTATAGTTATCATTTAACTCTTCCCACCCCCAGTTATTCTTCTTCCCACATCATAGGTGAGGAAATTAATGTTCAGAGCAGGCCAGTGACTTGCCCTGGGCTACATGACTGCGGTGCCCCAAGGCTGGAGACTAAGCCTCTCTCTTCCAGAACCAGAAGACATGCTCTTCCCCGATATCAAGTTCACATGGTTGTCAATGACCAAAGCTTTCCTGTCTCTTTTTACAAAATCAATAACACGTTCCTTAAGAGCAGCCGAAAGTCACTGGCTGCCCAGGGTTGTGTGACGGGGACACTCAGTCTCACGCATTACCCGGCTCTCTAAGCACGTGGGGAACATCCACTGTTACTGCATTCCTTGTTGCAGTGATTGCTGATGCACAGAACCGTTCTCTTTATTTTATCCATAAATTCACTTCCTAATAACAATAAGGCATGCCAGGGCTTTGGCCTCATGCCTTATTACACCACCTGAGGAGTAAGATAATCACCCGGAAATGCACTGCCTGTTGTGCATTTTATTACTTGAATACAAAGTGATTCAATTCAAGAAACACTTAGTTGAAGACAGCATGAAAAAAAAATAATCATATGAAAAGTAATTCCTCCTAATGCCACAGAGTACACTGCAGGGAGTACTCTTCCAGAGGGAGAATGGTCTGGATGACCTGTTGGGTCTCCTCTAGTTCTAATTTCTACCAACTGCGGGATCATAAAAGCTAGTGAGACTTCAATTACAATATGAAGATTCCAAAGGGCCAGATCTGGATCGTTCTGAAAATGGAGCCTATTGGGTGTTCTACCTAAACATTCTTGGTATAAGCATTTTCTAAGCAACCATTCTCTCAACCATCCATTATTCAGCAAACACTGTAGGCCACTGCAGGCATTGGCTAGGGTCTAGGAAGAGAAAGAAATATAACCCACCCTGACCCTCTAGTCACTCACCATTTAACTCAGAATGTTAAAGAAAATGGCAATATGTTGCAAAAGGAAAGAACAAGGCATCCCCGCAGCATCTCCAACTAACACTACTGTAGCCTGGAGAAATTCAGCATTGCTCTGTGGGGTACCTGTCTGACTAGAGACTAACACTACTCTGTGGGGTACCCATCTGGCTAGAGTGGGTGAGAGTGTGAACTCTATCACTCTATCTCCACGGTCAGATTAAAGACTTCTCCCAACAGACACCATCCATCGGTTCATCTGAAGGGGAGAAAGAGCTATTCCATTTGTAGATTCCTCAAGCAGAAATAACATGATTTGTTATTGTTATTAATACCATTGTTTTTAAATGCATTTATTTTCCATTTTTAAAAATGGATTTTCAAAGGGCCGTGAAAGCAAGCATATAGCTTTAAAACGGTGGTTCTCAAAAGTGTGGTGCCTGAACCAGCACTTTGAGACCTTTTTTCAGAAATGTACATTTCCAGGCTCCACCCAGACAAACTGACTCTCTGGGGGATGGGGCCCAGCCATCTGTATTTAATAAGCTTGAGACCAGTGCTTTAGAAGAACCTGAAGTTGATTGATAAGTATGAGTTTATAGGTTTTGCCTTTAAAGAGGTTCATGTGTAAAGTTTCCCACTTTATATCAAAATGAAGTTAAAAGCCAGCCGCAAACATTACGTTTAGGTCCTTCAACTAGCAATAACCGAGCATCTATTTTGCTGGGCACTGGGTGTTATCTCATTTAATCATCAACCATGTGACAACCTTGTGAGTTAGACACTATTATCCATATTTTTAGAGGTGGAAAAATTAAATGCCAGAGAGAAAAGGTCAAATTTACTCAGTAACAGTGAAGCCAAGACCCAAACTCCGGTGAATTTAATCCTTGGCTTTTTGTCCAATTGTGCCAGCATGTGTATGTGTGTATGCATTTGCCTACATGCATGTGAGTGATTTGTGTGTATTCGTATGTAAACAGATAAGAGTAATGAAGTTTTCATATATTTGATATGGCAGTAAGAAAATCTGTGTATCAATCCACAAGAATAGATAACTTGAGTTTGCAAAACGGTTTAACAATTCTGCAACCTACTCAAGAGAACATGTAGAAAATTAAAAGCAAGCCATCTACATACAGTTCTAATCAAATATGAGGATTCCAGCATTCGTGCCACCAACATTTGAAGACCAGTCCCTCCTCCCCCATTCCAGTCTCATACTGCCTTAATATCTTAGACAGACTCTACTGGCAACCCCTAGTCTATTGTTCTAAACATAGGAATTATAAGAATGCAAGTTGATTTACAAATATATTCCAAATGATAGGGTATCACAAAAAACAATTTAGCCAGTCATCTGAATTCAATTTAGCAGAAAAATCTGAGCTTATAAACTGACCTGCCTCCACAGCTAGGCAACACTATGGCCACGCATTTGGGACACAGTCTCCCTCCACCAAGGAGCTCCCCAGGCCCTGTACAGCCCCTTGCCCTGCCCGAACCTCATCGTCACAGACAGTCTACCCTCACACACTGTAAGACCCACCCCCACAAACCTAGAAATCAAATGAAAAACAACAAACTGCGGAAAGTGAATATATTTTAATGGAGTAGGATATCACTGCTATAACTGGTAACTAGAAAATATGTAGAAATATCAGAACACGTTTAGGACAATGTCAAGAGAACAAGTACAGTGGGGCATACACTATGAATACAACGATATAAAAATATATTGTCACAAATAGACAGGGACTAGAAGATATGACAAAAATTGCTACCTGGGGACGATGGAGACATTGATCTTTTTATGTTAAATGTTCTTTAATAACCGTGTCATGGCATGTTCTAGACATCATGCCTACCAGTGCCCACTAGGCAGGAGAGGAGCTGCCTCCTGCCCACATCTCCCCTCTCACGGCCCCATGGGTCCCTCGGCCCTGCTCCACCCCAGCCGATTCCTCTGCCTTGAGACCTCCTGGAACATCACTTTCTGGAGAGGCTTCTCTGACCACCCTGCATCTTCCTTGCAGAGTCTCTCACACAGCCTGCACTTCTCCGGCACTGTACATACCCCAACTTCGCATTACACTTTTAGTTGGGAAATTATGAACTCCATTATAAGCTCCATGAAATAAAAGGGTGTGTTTACACCACTCTACCCCCAGCCCCGAAGTACTCAGCACGTAACTGCTGCTCCAAATTACTGACAAATAAATGGTTTTCACAGCCCTGCCATTCAGACAGCACTCGCCTCCCAACACACACACACACACACACACTACACACTCACCACATACTCTCACCATACACAGTCACCACACACAATACACACTCACCACACATACACCACACACACACACACCCCTTCATCACACACGTACCACACACAACTCACCCCCCACAGAAACACACACACCACACACAACTCACCCCCCACAGAAACACACACACCACAGACCACTTACCCCCCACAGACACACACACCACACACACAGAGTAGCACACATGCACACCACATGTCCTTCTACTCCTGTATTTTATTGATGAGTCTCTCTTTTTCCCACCATTCAGGGTAGAAGTTTCCACGCCATCCACAATTCCTCACTCATCCCTCTACTGAGAACTGGTGGCCAGTGTCAGCCAGGTTTCCTTAATGAACACCCTCGACCCCATGACTGTTCAATGTCTGTCTTCCCTGTCAGACTATTAATGCCGTGGGAGCCAGGGTCGGGTTTGATCATGTGCTCAGCACGTCAACCTCCAAAAAATGATGAATGTTAAGTTGAACTAAATTAAGTAATTGTGTTTTGTATTAGTTTACACTAGCATGAATGTCTTGCTGCCCCAAATACAGAGCCTAAAGAAAAAAGCTTATACTGTTTTGTTTGTAATACTCCTTTATCATGGATATAAAAGTCTAATTTCAGGAGCTATCTCAGAAATTCACTATTACCTCATGAATATCATCAGACCCACCACACCTGATGTGATGACAGACACAGATACGGCAACCGAGAAAAAACAAGTCGTGTCAGAAACACTGACCACAAGTGTGCTGTCAAACATCTCAAAACAGTTGCACTCGAAGCCTTTTAAAATGTAAGAGCTGCAGACAATTACGCTCTCTCCCAGCTCCTATAAGCAGACAAGGAGGGCTGAGCACATCCTATTTATAGTCAAGCCAAATCCAAGCAAGTCCTCAGCTCCTGCAAAGTTGCATGTTTTCCCAGCTTCAGGGTTCAGGAACTAGAAGTCTTGCTGCTGCTGCCACCTATTGCAGGAAATGTGAATCTAGGTTCAAGAAAAGCTGGATTGTCGAGTGGGCCCTGCTGTCTCGCAGTGACGTGGATGGAATCATTCTCTGAACTCACTGCAGTTGTCTAGTATTTCCATTCATGCTGAGCACCAAATTAAGGTCATCCACTGTTAAAATGTATAAGCCAATGCTTGCTGATGTGATATATATGAGAATGCCTAAAAATTTTGGCCCAGGAGTCAGCACTCAGTAAATGCTTGTTGCCTGGATGACGGACACAAACCAGATAGAAGTGGCAATGGTAACATGATCAACTTTTAAAGCACCTTTCTCTTGAGACCTGAAGCCCCACACAATGACCTGGCCGCCTACTGTGCAAAAGCTGTATCAGTGAGCACAGATGCTCAGGGAGGAGGAGCATCTCACCTGGCTTTGGTACTGCCTGAGAGGGTGCTGCTGCCTTTGGGAGCATTTGTTTTGGTGCTATTTCGTTTCATGCCCTTCAAGATAAAATATTTCTGACTTTGGGAATGCTGAAAAATAAGAGAGCAATGGGGTTAGCACAGATTGGCGGACAGATTTTCTTATTCGGCCTATGCAAGCTACAAGAATGGAGCCTTTGGGTTTGTCAAACAATCCAGCAATTTGCAAGCTACCGGAGAACTGTGTAGGAAACCTTAGGCAAATCACGTGAATTTCACACTAAATTGTAGGATTCTCAGGGGGAGAGATTTTATGTGACCACTGTACAAGCATCACTTCTCTTTTCATGTCTCAATCCAATACACACACACACATGCACACACACACACACACCCCTACTGTGGTCCCTTCTGTCTTCCTCACAACAACCAGCATAATCATTTCAAATGCTGATCTCCTCGTGTTACTTCCTTGCTTAGAACACTCCAATTGCCTCCTAGTGCTATTAGAACCAAGACCAAAGTCCTTGGTGTCTTTGTGGCTGCAGCACAGGCCCTCCCCTGCTTCTCTGCTGCCATCCTCCCCCGGCTCCCTCTGCCTCAACCACACTGGCAGTCCCTCAAATGTGCTCATTCCCAAGCAAGAGATTTTTTCTCTTCACCTGCTGTAACCTCTACTTAGACCACCTATTCCTCGCCCCTCTCTGACTAATGAATGCCTCTTTCTCCTAACAATCAATGGTTCTCACACTTGAGTGGACATCAGGATCACCTGGACAGCCTGTTAGAAACAGATTGCTGGGCCCACTCCAGATTCCCATTCCAGTCCTGGGTTGGGGTGGGGCCTAAGAATTTGCATTGCTGGCCAGGCACAGTGGCTCACACCTGTAATCCCAGCACTTCGGGAGGCCAAGACAGGTGAATCACAAGGTCAGGAGTTCAAGACCAGCCTGGCCAAGATGGTGAAACCCCATCTCTACTAAAAATACAAAATTTAGCCAGGTGTGGTGGCGGGTGCCCATAATCCCAGTTACTTGGGAGGCGGAGGTTGCAGTGAGCCAAGATTGTGCCACTGCACTCCAGCCTGGGCAATAGAGCGAGACTCCATCTCAAAAAAAAAAAAAGAATTTGCATTGCTGACCCGTTCCCAGGAGATGCTGGTGCTGCTGGGCAGGACATCACTCTGAGAACTGAGGCCCTAAATTTCAGTTCAAATGCCACTTCTTCAGGGAGCCTTCCTTGACACCTCATGCTAGGCTGGCTTCCCTTCCACGCTTTCACAACGACCTCTGTTGTCCTTCATAGCCTTAGTCCAGTTTGTAATGATGTAGCTATTGGGATAAGTCTTTGATTAAGGCTTGTCTCCCACTAGACTTTCAGTTCCCTAAAGACTAGAGCCAAGGCAACTGACATCATCACTACGTCTCCAGACCCGAGGCCAGTGACTGGTGTTCAGAGGTATTCAGAATGAACGCATGAGTGGATTTGCTTCAGCTGCTGAAGCCTGACAACACAAGGTAGACAATGCCTGCCTGTGGCCTCCTGCCTGGAGTCCTCTCTCTAATCAGTCAGCAAGTGATGTCAATTTTACTTGGAGAACACCTCTTAAATCTATCTTCTGCCTCTCTGCATCCCTGAGGTCACTGTCCAGTTCATGTGCACTCTTGAGATTACAGAAACAGCCTCTGATCACTTCTGGGTCTCCAACTTCACCTCTGATTCATCCTCCTCTGTTGCAGGATTTACCTTTCTACAGCACAGGCATAATTATGGTACTCCCTTGATAAAAATACACAATGCAGCTGGGAGCAGTGGCTCACACCTTTAACCCCAGCACTTTGGGAGGCCAAGGCTGGAGGATCGATTGCTTGAGGCCAAAAGTTCAAGACTAGCATGGGCAACATAGTGAGACCTCGTCTTTACAAAAAAAAAAAAATTTTAATCAGCCAGGTAGGGTGGTGTGCCTGCAGTCCCAGGTGCTCAGGAGGCTGAGATGGGAGGATCACTTGAGCCCAGGAGTTCAAGGTTGCAGTGAGCTATGATCACACTGCTGCACTCCAGCCTGGGTAACAGAATGAGAATCTGTCTCCACACACACACACACACACACACACACACAAACATGTACAATATCAAATTATACATGTGTTAAAATTTCATAGGATTATTCACCAAGGAAAAAGATATGCACACTGTTAAAAACTAGTGAAATGTGAATGAAGTCTTTAGTTAATATTGACTTTAGTTAAATTGATGTTGTACCAGTGTCAATTTCCCAGTTTCAATAATTACAGTTATTCTATAAGATATTATCACTGGGAGATGTTGGAAGTACACAGGAACACAGTACTAATTTTATAACCTTTATGTGAATCTAAAATTATTTCAAAATAAAGTTTTTTAAAAACATGCAATAGTCCAGTTCCAAAATGGCAGCATAGAAGCAAGCTGGCTTCACTCTCACCTGAAAACCAAAGTAAATATACAGTGCCGACATTATCATCAGGAATATCCCAGAACTCTCATATGAAGACGAAACAGATCTTGGGGCCACAGCTATGAGGGGACAGTAAAAGAATTCAACTTCCACATCCACAACGCCCCTCCCCCCATTCTGCCTGGCACCAAGCATGCAAGAAATTTTCCCCCAATTCACTGTTTCTACACTGGGAAAAGTGAGATTGAGGTGGACAACCAGCTTCTCCACCATCTTGGGTTCGCTGGCAGGAGACCTATCCCTGCCTTAATCCATCACAAGTGCCTGAAGGGAGAAACATCCCTGAGGACAGACAGAGGTAAAGAGGGGGAGGTGGGACTACCATCTCCAGCTCTTGAAAAACTGCTCTCTAACTCAACAAAAGGAGACACCAAATCAGAGTGTATTTTCAGCAGTCACATGCTGTAGGAGGTTTGTCCTACTGGTCGCCTGGACACAAACCCTACCCAACCTTCCCACGCTGCTGGGACATCCCCTTTGGGACCTCCCCCATTCAGGAAGGTCAGCATTCCAAGCAGTTACTAGAGTCAAGGTGAACCTGAGCTCAAGGTACCAACAACTACAGCGGAAAAGGAGGCAGCAACCTAGCAGTAAAGAACCTCTAAGAAAATATACCCAAAGAAAACAAGCAAGAAGTCCAGAGAAGACTGGAATAGATAACTTCGATGCAAAAACATAGATGTACATCCACAAAAAAGACAGCAGCAAACAGAGAATCATGATTTCCCCAAGCAAACAAAGCAAGGAATCAGTAACTGATCCTAATGAAACAGTGATATTTGAGCTGTCTATCCAAGAATTCAAAATAGCAATTTTAAGGAAACTCTGTGATTTCCAAGATAACACAGAAAATCAATTCAGAACTTTATCAGAGAAATTTAGCAGAGATTGAGATAAATTTTTTAAAAATCAAGTGGAAATCTTGGAACTGAGAAATACATTTGCTGAACTGAAAAATTCATTAACGGCTACCAACAGCAAAATGGATCAAGAAAAGGAAAGAAGCAGTTAACTTGAAGACAGACTATTTGAAAACACACTCAGAGGAGAAAAATGAAAAAAAAGAATGAAAAGCAATGAAGATCACCTATAAGATATAGAAAATTTCCTCAAAAGATGAGATTTTAAAAAATGATTAGTATTCAAGGGAATTGAGCAAGAGCAAGGGGTACAAAGCTTATTCAAATAAATAATAACAGAAAACCTTCCAAGACTTGAGAAAGATATAAATATCCAGGTACACAAAGGTCAGAGAACAAACAGATTTGACCCAAATAAGACTATTCCAAGGCATATAATAAACTCCAAGTCAAAAACTAGAGAGAATCCTAAAAACGGCAAGAGGAAAAAAAACAAATAACATATAAAGGTGCTCCCATTCATCTGGCAACAGACTTCTTAACAGAAATCATATAGCCAGGAGGGAAGGGAACAAATTTTCAAAGTTCTAAAAGAAAAGAAAAGACACTGTCATCCAAGAATATTATATCCAGCAAAGTTATCCTTCAAATATGAAGAACAGATAAAGTCTTTCCCAGACAAACAAAAGTTGAGAGAATTCACCACCACCAGACCTGTCTTACAAGAAATGCCAAAGGAATTCAATCTGAAAGAAAGAAAACACTAACATTCAGAAAAAAAACAAAAGATATAAAACATGCTGGTAAAATTAAGTACACAGACAAACCTGGGATACTCTAATACTGGAATTGTGATGTGCAATCTACTCGTAACTCTAGCATGAAGCCCAAAAGAGAAATCTCTTAAAAACAATAATAGCTACTACAACCTGTTGAGATAGGTAATATAAAAGTATGTAAATTGAGACAATTAAAAGTCAAAATGTGGAACAGATAGAATTAGTGTAGAGTTTTTTCATTTCTTGTTTGTTTATATTCTTTTTTCTGACCTAAGATGAGCTGTCATCTTTTTAAAATAATTTGTTATATCTATAAGATGTTTCTGTAAGCCTCATGGTAACTATAATGCAAAAACCTAAAAAGCAATGGACTAAAACATATTACCAGAGAAAATCAACCACAAGGGAAGACAGTAAGAAAGGAAGGAAGGGACGACTTAAAACAAACAGAAAAAAGCAACAAAATGGCAACAGTAAGTTCTTACTCATCAACAATAACACTGAATGTTCATTGACTCGGTTCTCCAATTAAAAAGCATAGAGTGGCTGAATGGATTAAGAAACAACACCCAACAATATGCTGCCTATAAGAAACCCACTTCACCTATAAAGACTCGTATAGACTGAAAGTGAAGGGATGGAAAGGATATTCCATGCAAATGAAAACCAAAATAAGAGCAGGAATAGCTTTACTTGTATCAGATAAAATAGACTACAAATCAAAGATTATCAAGCAGTGTGAAAAAGAGGTGAGATGTCCCCTGAACTGACAAGAGGCTGTGTGCTGCTACATCCTGCAACCAGCACCGACATCCCACTGCCATCATCACCATGCCCAAGAGAAAGGTTGAATAGGACATGAAAGAAGATAAAACCAGCTGGGTGGCTCACGCCTGTAATCCCAGCACTTTGGAGGCCAAGGCGGGTGGATCACCTGAGGTCAGGAGTTCAAGACCAGCCTGACCAACATGGCGAAACCCTATCTCTACTAAAACTATGAAAAATTAGCCAGGCATGGTGGGGAGTGCCTGTAATCCCAGCTACTCAGGGAGGCTGAAGCAGGAGAATTGCTTGAACCCAGGAGGCAGAGGTTGCAGTGAGCCTAGATCATGCCACTGCACTTCAACCTGGGTGACAGAGCAAGACTCTATCTCAAAAAAAAAAAAAGATAAAACCAAGATGAAGGACAAATCACAGAGATCTGCAAGCTTGTCTGCTAAACCTGCTCCTCCAAAGCCAGAGCCCAAGCCTAAAAGGGCCCCTACAAAGAAGAGAGAGAAGGTACACAAAGGGAAAAAGGGAAAAGCTGATATTGGCAAGGAGGAGAATAACCCTGCACAACATGGAGATGCCAAAACAGACCGGGCACAGAAAGCTGAATGTGTTGGAGATGCCAAGTGAAGTGTGTGCATTTTTAATAACTGTGTACCTCTGATGACTGTACAGTTTGAAATACTATTTTTAATCAAGTTTTATAAAAATGCAGAAGCTATATTGTTAGCACACAGAACACTTCATTGTTGTCTTTTGGGGAAGGAGCCTATGTCACTAATAGAATGTCTTCAAAACTAGACTGATGTGGAAAAAACACCTTTCTCTTCTAGTTTTGAGAGACTTCCTCTTGGCTCCCACAAGGAGGGATTTCCTGGCTTTGACACACATAGCCACTTTAGCATGAAAGCCTTAAGGAGGGGAAAACAAATTTATTTTTATGTCCTCTTTTCTCTTTCCACCTTCAGCATACACTTAACTCCCTTAAACCGAGATACCTGTTGGGACCTGACCCTCAATAATTGATTATCAGCGTGTCAGGCAATCTGGACTTTCCAGTGAAACCACTGAGATGGTGCCCCTCAAAAGAGCAGCGGTTCTCTTTCTGGGTTGTGGATCTTTAGACAAATTCTCCCATTTTCATTTCACTTCCTGAAAGTCATGCTTGGGTCATGAAAAGTTGTTCAACCCTCACTCTAAACTTTCCCTGTTCAGAGCATCAAATGAAAACTTCATAGGGTTTGATAGGGGCTTTCTGATTTTTGATAGTCGGTTGAAGAAGGGAGTTTGAAAGTTGTTAAATACTGTTAATGATTGTCTGCCCATGTCCTGCTGAAATACCGTGATTGGTTATGGAAAGTATCTTTAATAAAGCTGGGTATAGTTTGGCTTGGGAAAAAAATCAAAACCTATCAAAAAAGAAAAAGAAGGTCACTATATAATGATAAAGGGATCAATTCAGCAAGAGGATATAACAATTATAAATATATATGCACACCATGCCAGAGCTCACAAAGACCTGAAGTTAAACATTACTAGATCTAAAAGGAGAGACAGATTGCAATACAATAATATTAGGATACTTCAAAATGCTTCACTCTCGGTAATGAATAGATCATCCACATAGAAAGTCAACAAAGAAACACTGCCATTAAACTACAGACTAGACCTAATAGGGCTAACTGATATTTACAGAACATTTCACCCACTGCTTCAGAATACGCATTTCATTTCCTTTTTCTTTCTTTAGAGATGGGGTCTTGCTGTATTGCCCAGATTGGACTCAAAACTCCTGGGCTCAAGTGATCTTCCCCTCAGCCTCCCAAGTATCTAGGATTATAGACACGCACCACTGTATCCAGCTAGAATGACATATTCTTTTCATCAGCACATGGAATATTCTCCAGAATAGACCACATCTTAGGCCACAAAACAAGTCTCAACAAATTCAAAAAAGTAGAAATCATATCAAGTATCTTTTATGATCACAATGGAATAAAACTATAAATCAATAACAAAAGGAACCTCAGAAACTCACAAACACATGGAAATTAAACAACACACTCCTGAATGACCGATGAATCAATGAAGAAATTAAGAAGGACATTTTTAAATTTCTTGAAATAAATGAAATGAAAATCCAACACACCAAAGTCTATGGGCTACAGCAAAAGCAGTACTAAGAAGGAAGTTTATAATAATAAATGCCTATGTCAAAAAAAATAGAAAGACTTCAAAAAAACAACCTAATGATGCACTTCAAGGAGCTAGAAAAGCCAGAACAAAGCAAACCCAAAAGTAGTAGAAGGAAAGATATTATAAAGATCAGTGACTGGACACGGTGGCTCACACCTGTAATCCCAGCACTTTGGGAGGCTGAGGTGGAGGATTGCTTGAGGCCAGGAGTTCAAAACCAGCCTGGGCAATATGGCAAGATCCCATTTCTACAAAAACTTTTTTTAAAAAATTAGCTGGGAATGGTGGTGGCACGCACCTGCAGTCCTAGCTACTTAGGAAGCTGAGGCAGTATTGCTTGAGCTCAGCAGTTTGAGGCTGCAGTGAGCTATGATCCTGCTACTGCACTTCAGCCTGGGCAACAGAGCCCTGCCTCAAAAAAAAAAAAAAAAAAAATCAGAGGATAAATAAACACAATTGAGACAAGAAAAAATACAGAGAATCAATGAAACATGATTTGGTTTTTTGAAAAGATAAAGTCAACAAACCTTTGGTTAGACTAAGAAAAAAAGAGAGAAGACCCAAGTTGGAAGAGAAGAAGTCAAATTAGCCTTGTTCACAGATGACATGATCTTATATTTAGAAAAAAACCAAACACTCCACCAAAAACCTGTTAGAACTGATAAGTTCAGTAAAGTTGCAGAATGCAAAGTCAACATTCAAAAATTGGTGGCATTTATACATACCAACAGCAAACAAACTGAAAAAGAAAGCAAGGAAGCAAACCCATTTACAATAGCTATAGAGAATATAAAATACCTAAGAATCAATTTAACCAACGAAATCAAAGATTGATACAAGGAAAACTATAAAACACCAATGAAAGAAATTGAAGAGGACACCAAAAAACAGAAAGGTATTTCATGCTCATGGATTGAAAGAATTAATATTGTTAAAATGGCAATACTACCTAAAGCAATTTACAGATTCAGTGCGATGTGATACATATACCCAATAGAATATTATCCAGCCATAAAAAAGAATAAAATTCTGCCATTTGTAGCAACATGGATAGAACTGGAGGTCCTTATGTGACATTCTGATTAAAAAATGAGATAAGCCAAGCACCAAAAAGAAGAATGTTGCATGTTCTCACTCATATGGAGGAGCTCAAAAAGTGGATTTCATAAAGATAGAGTAAACTGGTGGTTAGCACAGGCCAGGAAAGGTAGAGGGGAGGAGAGGATGAAGAGAGGTTGATTAATGGGTACAAATATATGGTCTGATAGAAGAAATAACACCTAGTGTTAGACAGATCAGTAAGGTGACTATAGATTACAATAACCTATTGTACATTTCAAAATAGCTAGAAAAGAAGAATTTGAATGGTTCTAACATAAAGAAAAGACAAATATCTCAGGTGATGGATATCCCAAGTATACTGATTTGATCTTTACAAATTATATGAATGTATTAAATTATCCCATGTACCCTGGAGCTATGTACATGGATTATGCATCAATAAAAATAAATAAAATTTCTTTTAAGAAAGAAAAATAGGGCTGGGAGCAGTGGCTCATGCCTGTAATCCCAACATTTTGGGAGGCCGAGGTGGGCAGATCACTTGAGGCCAGGAGTTCGAGACTAGCCTGGCCAACATGACAAAATCCTGACTCTACTAAAAATACAAAAACTTAGCTGGGTGTGGTGGTGAGTGCCTGTAATCCCAGCTACTCGGGAGGCTAAGGTACAAGAATCGCTTGAACCCAGGAGGTGAAAGTTGCAGTGAGCCGAGATCATACCACTGCACTCCAGCCTGGGTGATCAAGTGAGACTATCTCAAAAGAAAAGAGAGGAGAGGAGGGGGAGGGGAGGGGAGGGGAGGGGAAGGGAAAAAAGAGAAGAAGCAATGCTTCTCCAGGGCATAAAGACTGAAATTCAATTTTTTTTTTTTTTTGAGAGGAGGTCTCACGCTGGAATGCAGTGGTGCAATCTTGGCTCACTGCAGCCTCACCTTCAGGGCTCAAGTGATCCTTGCACCTTAGCCTCAGCCTCCTGAATAACTGGGACTGCAGGTGCATGCCACCACACCTGCCTAATTTTTGTAGAGGCAGGGTTTCACCATGTTACCCAGGCTGGTCTCGAATTTCTGGGCTCAAGTGATTCTCCCACCTCAGCCTCCCGAAGTGTTGGGATTACAGGTATGAGCCACTGCACCAGGCCTGAAATTCAAACTCTTAATTGTGGGGTAGAAGGTCATTCATATAATTAACCACCTGGCTT
The DNA here is from genome assembly GCF_000001405.40 of Homo sapiens. NCBI lineage: Eukaryota > Metazoa > Chordata > Mammalia > Primates > Hominidae > Homo > Homo sapiens. Next base: position 43,806,606 of record NC_000022.11, read on the forward strand.
CAGGTGATCCTTCCAGACGCCATTACCTCCAGGCATGCTACGTTCTTACCCAGTGCTCCCAACACACCACGTAGTTCCTCACTTCTGAGCTTTGGTTCATGCCTGTGCTAGAATTTCCTTCATTCTTTTGCACCTGGCACACTTCAATTAATCTTTCAAAACTGAGGGTATATCCCCTTCCTTCAGGAGACCTTCCTATTGTCCTTAAACAAAATTAATCATGCCTTTACAAAGAACTTAAGTCTTATAGGTGTGCTTTGCTAATTGTTTCATTTAATAAAGAAAAGAACCAAAAGATAAAAGCCACTCGTAATTCCATCACTTTGCTGTGGGGCTGCAGATGTGGTGGGTAAAATATGAAGTAAAAGTTCTAATATTCTCCCATCTGTTCCTCTAGTCCTACCTCAATTTTCACTTTGATTCTCTGCTTCCAGACCTTTATGTTGGCCCCTGCTAGACAATAAGTCCCTCCAGTGGACTCCACTTACCTTTTTACACTCAACATGGCATAGCATGCAGTAAGCACCCCATTAAACTTTGCTCTTGATGGACCACAGTTATCAACACTATGACTGCAAGGGATAGAAGCTTAGGCTAATTTTACCCTTGATTTTGAAAGCTAAACAAGGTTCTGAGTATGACCAAGGCACTGTGAGGAGTTCTGTAGCTCACCCCTGACTTTACACCATCCTCAGCTGAGGTTTTCAAAATAAAGAGAATTTTGAGACATTAATGAATGTGATTACTTCAGAACTTGGTGAGGTAGAAATTGGCAAGGATCATAAAAACTAATACCCCCAAAATAAGCATCAAGTCACAGACCATCAAATACACTTCTTAACCAATGGGAAAAACACAATTAGAAGGCTATCTCACTGATATATTTGTTTATTTGCCAGAGAAGTATTGATGTCCAGTTTTAAACACGTGCTATTTATATCAGAATCATAACAAAAGTGCCATCCATCTGCCTTGGCATCCAGAGAAAACATAATTCAACACAAGAGTAAAAAGTGTGCACAGCCAAATAGAAATGGCACCAGAAGCAAAAATTGCTGGAACTGTATCATGGAGAGGGGTGTGGAAATTATCACTCGACTAAATTGGAAAAAATTGTAAGCAACACAAAAGGTTTTGGCAGTTAAATCCAAACACTTGAGAAAAATCTTCTTGTCTATACTGATATCAAATGGACTGTTATATTTTGGGACATATCAACTATCAAGTTCCCTTTATAGCCTTCCACACACTTCCATATACACATTGGCCATTTACTGAGCATCTACATTCTTGGACGGTGGAAAAATCAAAACCTTTGACGTCAAGCAGGCATAGGGTCAAACTGGCTCCACCATCCACCACAACAACTTGCAAGTTAATTAACCTCCTCCTGACTCAGTTTCCTCATTTGAAAAAGGGAGATACAGTTGTCGTCCATATCCATGGGTTCCACATCCACAGATTCAACAGTGGATTGAAAATATTCAGGAAAAATATGGATGTTGATGTCTGTACTGAATATGTATGGACTTTTTTCCTTGTCTCAATGATATGGTATAACGATTTCCATAGCATTTACATTGTATTAGGTATTGTAAGTAATCTAGAGATAATTTAAAGCATATGGGAGGATTATGTAGGTTATATGCAAATACTACACCATTTTATATAAGGGAATTGAACATCCATGAATCTAGGTATCTTCGAGTGGGTGCTGAAACGAATCTCCCACAGATACTGAGGGACCACTGGAATATCTCTCCTTTAAGCAAGTATTCTTAACATGGAATCGCGGTCCATGTGTGTGCTTTTATAGCCCTACAGACTTACTGACATGCAAAACTGTGTGTGAGATGATTTTTCTAGAGCACTTCTCAAAAGGCAGGTGACCCCAAAATGGTAAATGCCACTGCTCCAAAGGTGTAGATGGATCACAGGTGATATTCGTGAAGTGCCTGGCACACAGTGAACTTTAGCTATTTGGTAGCTGTTATTTTTAGGTCCCGAGGATATACAGAAAGATAAATCAGACAGAGCATTGGGCAAAAACAAAAACAAAAACAAAAACAAAAAACAGCTATATGGTTATAGGTGTCACCTCAGAATATCAGAATAAAATAACAGAGAAAAAACAAAAAGTGAGTCCAGAAAAAAACCCAGCAGGAAGAACTGGCAGGATGGAAACACCAGGAGTGCCAAGGCAGTGAGATGACCACTGCCTGGGGATCCCCAATGCTTAGGCAGGGGTTGGCATATGGCAGATGCTCAATGAATAGTTGCTAAGTAAATGAGCAAACAAATGACTGAAACCAACCCAGGATGCAGGATAACACCATTTACAACGTCCCAGGGGAAAAACTACATTCAGAAGGTGTTATCGAAAACTTACTATTCAGAAATCTTCAATCTCAAATATTCAGTTCAAATGCTAAAGTCCACATTCTCTCCCTGAAGAGTGAGGACATTAAGCCCACACTTTTGTCATTGGGCAGTAATCTAGGCCCTTCCAATCCTCTGCGATGAGCCCTGTGAGAAATTTATTTTAGAAACAGGTTAGACCTATTTTTCCAGATGAATCAAAAGGCCTTATTTCCCTGGAAAAAAAAATAAATTTTATTACCTTCTATTTTTTTACTTTTATTTTTCCATGAGTTGACAAGAAGCTCCCAGCTAAATTTCCAGCCCAACTTTATTAACCGTTATAGATGATCTGAGTATTCCTTCTTTCTGATACCTTCCTATTCTGTCTATATTTTTAATGATTCTGATTTACATGTTTCTATTTTATCACATTGTAGTTATTCTTACAAGTCATCTCAAAGCCTTGGCAGGACTTGTAGAGTATATAAGTGTTTGAGAGTGATAGCATACTCATCAAGAACACAGGTTATTATCAGGCAGTCCTGGAGTTGGAGCCATACTCACTACCATTTATCAGCTTTGTTAAGTCCCTTAACCTCTCTGTGTCCCTGTTGCCTTTTGTTTTGTTTTTTTGTTTGGTTTTGGTTTTGTCTGTTTTGAGATGGAGTTTTACTCTTGTTGCCTAGGCTGGAGTGCAATGGTGTGACCTCGGCTCACTGCAACCTCCACCTCCCAGGTTCAAGAGATTCTCCTGCCTCAGCTTCTGGAGTAGCTGGGATTACAGGTGCCTGCCACCATGCCTGGCTAATTTTTTGTATTAGTAGAGATAGGGTCTCACCACGTTGGCCAGACTGGTCTCGAACTCCTGACCTCAGGTGATCCAACCGCCTCGGCCTCCCAAAGTGCTGGGATTACAGGCATGAGCCACCGCGCACAGCCTGTTTTGTTTTTTGAGACAGGGTCTCATTCTGTCGCCCAGGCTGGAGTACAGTGGCATTATCATGGCTCACTGCAACCTAAAACTCTTGGGTTCAAGTGATCCTCCCATCTCGGCCTCCTGAGTAGCTGGAAGTACAGGCACATGCCACCATAGATATGGGGGGGGTCTGACTTTGTTGCCTGGGCTGGTCTCGAACTCCTGGCCTCAAGCGATCCTCCTGCCTCAGCCTCCCAAAGTGGTAGGATTACAGGCATAAGCCACCACACCCAACTTGTACTTTTCCATAGCCAACTTGTGAGGACTAAATTTAAAAAGTATGAGGGACCAAACTGTGCTTGGCACACAGTAAGTGTTCAATTAGTATTAGCCAGTAGTAGTATTAGTAGTTGCTGTAGTAGAAATAGAAGTAGTAAAACTGTGGACAAATAGATGGAAAGAAAAAGTAACAAATGGTACCTGAAACAAAGTAAACAAAATAGCAGTGAAAGATCAAAACCAAAAGTAGAAAATGAAGCTTTTAATACTGAAAGGGTATCATATTCATGTTATCTCTATTCACAGTTTTCTCAAACCTGTCTCAGTTGTTAACAACTGCCTTGTTAACAACCAGTGGCCTCTCACCAGATTCCTGATCTGGGCAGGCACCAGGCTACTAAACATCCTCATGGAGCTGGTTCTGTCTCCAGGTGCCAGTCAGCTGCAGAGATCAGAGCATGGGTGCTATAGAGATCTCTGTACAAGGGGAAGAGGTAGATAGCTGGAACAGGGCAGTTTTTCCCTGGAGAGCGAAATTTACAGTCTCAGGTAAGCACTTCTTGATAAATATCTATGATCACCTATCATGAACCAAGCATTAAAATAAGCATAGAGGAAAAAGGGAAAGCACAGATAACTAAAATAAAATCCTCATCCTCAAAGGATCTTGCAATAAGACTGGATAGGAGGCAAATATCTTCACATATAATCAAAGGGGCCATTTCTGACTCACTTTCATATCCCCAGAACTTAGCCAAGTAAACGTTTGCTGAATTGAAGGCAATGGATAAAAGACATGAACTGTAGTGTATGAAAGTAGAATTGATTTACAGCATTTCTGTTAAGGCCACCCATTTAGGAACACATATTAAATTAGGCCAAGGCGGGCGGATGGATCACTTGAGGTCAGGAGTTTGAAACCAACCTGGCCAACATGGTGAAATCCCGTCTGTACTAAAAATACAAAAATTAGCTGGGCGTGGTGGCAGGCGCCTGTAATCCCAGCTACTTGGGACACCGAGGCACGAGAATCGCTTGAACCCGGGAGGTGGAGGTTGCAGTGAGCTGGGATCGCTGCACTCCAGCCTGGGTGACAGAGGAAGACTCCATCAGGAAAGAAAAGGAGAGGCGAGGGGAGGGAAGGGGAGGGGAGCGGAGGGGAAGGGGAGGGGAGGAGAGAGGAGGGGAGGAAGGGAAGAAAGGGGAAGGGAAGGGAGGGGAGGGGAGGGAGAAAAGAAAAGAAAAGAAAAAAGAAAAGAAAAGAAGAGTCCTCTTAACAGGGGCAAGACATCCTGAAAGGCAAAGATTTGGAGAGAAAGGAAGGGAGTAGAGAGAGGGGTGATTTGGACAACCTTCAAGTAAGCCCTATACAGATGTATACCTCACAAAGTGCTTCCAAACAAAATTTCTGAGGGAGGCAGGGGTAATTATGTGCAGGCTGTGGGAGAAGAGTGTAAAAGAGCAGAGATTTTGCCGTGATACAGAAATGAGTTTGAATTCTGGCTCAGAAACTTCCTAAGATAGTTGTGTGACTTTGGAAAAGCCCCTTCACCCCACAGGTTTCAAGTCCTCGTCTGTCTACAGGAGGGAGTCAATCATGACATTCACAAGACTGCTGTGGGCACAAATGAAATCAGGGGCATGAGACATGTTGTAAACTGGAGAGATTTAGGGCGTTTCCACACACATTTCCCAGCTGATTCTCACAGAGAGGCAGGGAAGAAGACGTCACCACCGTCAGCGTTGTTTATCGTTCTTCTCCACATATCAGGTAAGCTACGGGAACAGGGGCCCTACTGTTCCCCACAGGGCCCCAGGGCCTACAACATGCCTGGCACAAGCAGACGCGCCATGAACACCTGAATAAACGAATCACCACCCCTTCGTCCCTGGGGGTGGGCAGCAGCGCCGGCCTTCTCAGGGCAGTGAGACCCACGGAGCTGCCCGCCCGCCCGGCCCCTCCTCGGCCTGTCGCACGCGCGTGGCCACCCCGAATACAGCCTTACCGGGAACCCCTCCTCGATTCTCCGCCTAGCTGGGCCGGCACCCGCGTGCGCGGACCCCAAGCCGCGGGGTCTCAGAGGGGCTGCCCATTCGGCGTCTCTAGGACGCTGTTGCCCGAGAGACGACGGCAGTCGCTGACTGGAGAATGAGCCTACGCGCCTGGCAAGAAGCTGAGCTGTGATTGGTCAATTGGAGATAAACGAGGAGGGGGCGGGGCCAGGTCAGTCCCGCGCCTCCGCTCCCGGAAGAAATTTCCGCCGGAAGTCCCGTTCTCTGGGGAGCGGGAACCCTGGCGACCCGTGTCATGGGAGCGGGTTTCTGTTACGTGGGCTTTAGCGCGAGCTGGGCGGTCGGCCCGGTCCCACCGAACTGCATAGGGCCGTGTAGCCGGGGGAAGTCAGCCCCCTGCTCTGAGAAGCAGACTCTGCATCTGTAAAAGGCTAAGCGTGCCCACTGGGGCCTGTGGTCAGGATTGGCTGCAGTGAGGTCCGCAAAGCCCCTACCGCATCCTGCGCCTTCGTTAGGGTGAGCAGTCATGGGGACTCGCATTGTGCCACCACGTAGCGGGTCTCACTGGGTCCGCTTGTCTGCTCGAGGAGACAGCCGGTGAGGACGGGAGCTGGCCTGCTTTGCCCAGGCTGTAACCTCAGCCTCCGCCCATACCCACAGTAAGCATCCATTCCATTGATATTCGCTAAATGAGTGAATTATTACTAAGACAGAGGGCCGAGTGGAAGCGCCATAAATCACGTGAGTGAATGTAATTGTTGTCGCTGACCCTATGGAGCACTTCCCTTGCCAGGCACTCACCCATCCTAGGTATGTACTTTACATGTAATTGTCATCTTCATTTGTCTTCACAACAACCCTGTGAGGTGGGTGCTGTGGTTACTCCCATTTTACAGATAGGTAACTGAGGCACACAGAGCATTTTGTTCAAGGACACACTGCCAGTCAGGGGTAGGAGCAGAATGAGAACCTATGGAGCTTGCTCTTAGGCACCCTGCCACACTGCTCACTGTGGGAGAGAAGCAGCCAGGCAGACGTGTGCAGCTTGGAATTCCTTGCACACATGGCTGCGGCAGGTCAATTAGGTGCCCTGGTGTGTGCTGCAAAGATGGATACTATGCGGTCCCTGCTGGGCACTCTGACTACTTCACTGGGCAGCTAGTTTTCCTGTTCACCAAGAGAATTCTTTCCCATGGCTTGTCTCAGACCTCCCGCACTCACTACTTCCTCACCGGACTCAATGACCATGGGTCTTATCCCATTGAGAAAATGTAATGCATAAGAATGGAATGCACTCCTTCACAATCACTTTGGCATTCATCGCCTCTTTTCCTCTTGCCCCAAAAGAGGGTCTCTTACAGAGGCCAGTCCCTCTAACTGTGTCCTGGATCCCTCCCCATTTGCCTTCTTTATTATAGGCAGTGCTCTAAGTGTGGTCTGGGAATCCCTGGGGATCCTGAGACCCTTTCAGACTGTCCATGGGGCCAAAAAATACTTTCATAACACTTAAGACTTTACTTGCTTTTTCATTGTTTTTCTCTCATAAGTATATGGGGGGATTTTCCAGAAGCTACATGATGTGTGATATTGCAACAAATTGAATGCAAAAGAAGGTAAGAGATCCAGCGGTCTTGTACTAAGCCAGATGTTAAAGAGATCTGCAAAAATAGAAAACTGCCCCTCTTTTCACTTTTTTGGAAAGTGTAATTTTTCATTAGAGAACGTTAACATCTAATGGGTTTATTATTTTTAATGAGTTAATAAATTTTTTATCAATTGTATTTTCTAACATGGTAAATATTGATAGATATAAACATAAATAAAAGTTTTTTGGGATCCTCAATACTTTTTAAGAGTGTGAATGGATCCTGAGGCCAAAAAGTTTGGTCCTGAGATCAAAAGGGCTTCAGTTATTCCCTCTCTCATGATAGCCAAGAGTCTCATTCTTTCTCTTTCTCTCTTTCCCTCCTTCTTGGAACATGCTCTAGTATCTCACATCTTTAAAAAAAAAATAGATGATCTTCTGGTTTCCACCCCATTTCTCTGCTCCTCTTTAACCTGCTTCTCAGTAGAGCTGTCTATACATGCTGTCTTTCAGTTACCAAATTTCACAGAAGCGTGACTCTCATTGCCTGGTAACTGGCATTCTCACAAATACTTCTTCTCTACTTGGCCGTACATTACTTGACCTCTCAGTAGCATTCAGCCCAGTTGATCACTCCTTTCTGCCTGAAATACTTCAGGCTTCTCTAATACCACACCAACTACTCAATTCTTGGGCCCCACTGGTGACTTCCCTCCTCTGTGTGGCCTTTGGATGTTAGGGCCCCTCTGACCCTGTCGTAGGTCCTGCTGTTATGCTTCTCACCAGCCTTGACCCCTCTACTGGAATGTACTGGAGATCACTCAGACTTAAGCCATCCATATTGCCCTTGATCCACTCACCTCCCTCACTCACCTATTACTTTTTTTTTTTTTTCGAGACGGAGTCTTGCTCTGTCGCCTAGACTGGAGTGCAATGGTGCGATCTCGACTCAGTGCAACCTCCACCTCCCAGGTTTCAGCAATTCTCTGCCTCAGCCTCCCGAGTAGCTGGGATTACAGGCGTGAGCCACCATGCCCAGCTGATTTTTGTATTTTTAGTAGAGACAGGGTTTCACCATGTTGGCCAGGCTCGTCTTGAACTCCTGACCTCGTGATCCGCCTGCCTCGGCCTCCCAAAGTGCTGGGATTACAGGTGTGAGCTACTGTGCCTGCCCGCACTCACCTATTCCAAAGCAATGCTCAAACTAGGAAGCCTTGTTGTTACCCTCAATGATCACTACCTCATACCCCATATCTAGTGCTTCAGCAAGTCTTGTCGATTCTAACACCAGAATACGTACATGGTAGCAATCTCATCCATTCTCTCCAAGTTCCCCTGCACTACCTTGCCTTAAAAGCCTTCTTATGCTAAAAATAAAAATCTTTAAAACAGCATGCAGGGCCACTGGGACCATCCTACAACCTCAACCTCATTCTCCCCCCAGGATCGCTATGGTCACAAAGCCCAGAAGCCAGCTTGAATGGGGCTCCTGCTGGCCAGAATAATGAAGGACAGTAAAAGAAATAGGAGTCATGAGTCCAGGCCCAGGAGCGATGGACAGATAGAATAAATGCAGGACAAGGGAGGGCACGTGCTTGCAGTAGCAGGCCTAGGGACAAATGGTCATGCAGGAGGACTAGAGCTGAAAAGCCATCATGTTGCAACCACTGAGTGAAGATTGATTCAGGCAAGGATCATTCACGGGTGCTTCATCTCGGGGTTCTTTGGATGGGGAGCAGGATATTTGCATTGTTTTAAAGGATAGTCCCACAGATCACTTATTACTTACAGGAGAAAAAGTAGTCATAATACAAAAGAAAAATGGACAATGCTTGGATACCATAATAAAAATTAACACTACCAACAAGGAGCATGGACATTGTGTGGCTTCAGATGTAATGTGAAGGACAACCTCCGTTGAAAAGGGCAACTGCTGTAGTATTCTAATCTGGAATGCATCACCTAATCCTATCATAAGAAGACATTAGGAAAAAAAAAATAAAGATAATTCCATTTTTTTAATGGTTTTTGGTGTTTTGTTTGTTTGTTTGTGACAGAGTCTCGCTGTGTTGCCCAGGCTGGAGTGTAGTGATGCGATCTCAGCTCACTGCACCCTCCACCTCCTGGGTTCAAGCGATGCTGCTGCCTCAGCCTCCCAAGTAGCTGGGATTACGGGCACACACCACCAAGCCCAGCTAATTTTTGTATTTTTAGTAGAGATAGGGTTTCACCATGTTGGCCAGGCTGGTCTTGAACTCCTGATCTCAAGTGATCTGCCTGCCTCAGCCTTCCAAAGTGCTGGGATTACAGGCATGAGCCACTGTGCCCAGCCTGTAACTTACTTTCAAATGCTTCTGAAAAAATTATGTATTGATAGATAGCAAATAATAAAGCAATTGGGGCAAAACGTGCACAGTTTAAGTGGATCTGAGAAAGGGAGTTGTATTAGATAGGGCTGCGGTAACAAATTTCCACAGACTGGGCAGCTTGGACAACAGAAATGTATTGTCTCACAGTCCTGGAAGCATCTTCAATCCAAAAGAACCTGAGGGATAATTTTAGGTGATAAACCCTGGCCAATGTCTGGCTGTGTGGGCAAACATGGAATTCTAGTAGGGAATACCTTAATGTCTTTTGCACTGGCCTGCTCTCAACAGTGAAGCAGGCCGGGCACGGTGGCTCATGCCTGTAATCCCAGCACTTTGGGAGGCTGTGGCAGGAGGATCACCTGAGGTCAGGAGTTCGAGACCAGCCTGGCCAACATAGTGAAATCCCATCTCTACTAAAACTACAATGATTAGTCAGGCGTGGTAGTGGGCACCTGTAATCTCAGCTACTTGGGAGGCTGAGGCAGGAGAATTGCTTGAACCAGGGAGGCGGAGGTTGCAGTGAGCCAAGATTGCGCCACTGCACTCCAGCCTGGACAACAGAGCGAGACTCCGTCTCAAAAAAAAAAAAAAAAAAAAAACAACAGTAACAGTGACGCACACATAAGTGGTGTACAACTGGATCAATGTAGCCAAGAACCCAGAAACTCAAAACCCTTGCTGATTTCCTTGAACCCAAGGATAATTTTTCTATATGTTGAAATGACTAATTAGATGAGTCCATCATGAAGTTTTGTCACGTGATTCTCTCTTTTTTCTCCTTAAAGATCATCTTCAATCCAGAGGGTTTTCCTTGTTCCAGGAAACGTCTCACCTCCATGTGCAGATTTAATTTTTACAGAAACTGAAATTTCCCTCATTTATTATCTAGATGAGCCCCTAAAATCTATTCAATAAGGTTTGATCTTTGATGGAACAGACCAGAGTTGTATAATGTGACAGTGGCCCCAAGGAACAGTTTGTAGGAGGAGATTGTTGTCTTCTCTGAAAAAAACTTCCCAGAAGACATTGATGGTTCCCTTAGGTGCCCTGCAGTGGGTCCACTTCCAACAGGCTGAAGCCTGGATTTGGTGGGTGAGGGTCCTACCTTTTCCTAGATACCATTCAGCATCACTGAAGCCAGTAAACTCACCTCCTGAGGAACCGTTACCATCTGTACTATTTACACCCATGGCATGAGTCTGCTGCTCAAGACCTTTGATGAGAATCTTGAAAAGGAAACCATGAATTGCTGGAGAAAATATCTTTACACTTATATGCAACAGATGGTCCATTCCCTCAGTATTCAAGAAGAAACTCTGGGATCATGGAGACCTGGGTGACAATCACCCTCTGCCCACCCTGCGGGTTTTGGGGGCTTGGAGCTGGTTTTCACCACAATTCTGTACACCTAAGAGACTGGGCCGTAAGATCGAGCCTGTAATTATCTCACAGGCATCAGTGATGATGTTACGAATGCAGATTATGCCTTCATGTGGAGAAAGAAACAGTAGGGGCTGATTAGCCACGAAGAAGTTAAGTACTGGTTTCCACCATGTCTATTAATAAAGAAGGGAAGAAGAGCAAGTACGTGGCAGGGATGCGTAGCGTGTCCACATGGAAGCGGAGAGCCTCTCCCTCTCAGAAATCTGCTTCCCTGACTGCTGTCCTTTTGGTAGTCTCATAAAATGGAGACAAGATTCTCTTCAGCTGTCCTGAGGAGGAAAAAAAAATATGACATAAAAATAAATGAGGTATAAGTAGCTCTTTTGGAAAAGCTACTGTGGTTATTTTTTCTTTATTAAAATAGCTGCTTTATCTCTCGAATATTTACCTTGACAGATGACGCAGCTGCTCGTTTTAGTTCAATCAGCCAGAAACTAAATTGCACATGTTAAACGTTGTCACTACAAATAATTGATGATTACTTGTAAACAGGGGGCCATTTGAGGATCTATCTGAGGATCCTCCATGGAGAGCGGCTCTCCACAGGCTCAGCAAAGCACCTAGGCATGTTCTCTTTCCCCTTTAAGAGACTGATATACTATTAAGCTCTTAATTTCCTTTAATAGCTACTGGTTGTTTCCTTTCACGGAAAGAAGAATAAAATCCACTTATGTTGCTCCTGAACAAGATTCCGTGGTGTCGAACACTGATATTTAGAATTTTAATGAACCCTGGCTGGGCGCAGTGGCTCACGCCTGTAATCCCAGTGCTTTGGAGACCGAGGCGGAGGGATCACCTGAGGTCAGGAGTTCGAGATCAGCCTGGTCCACATGGTGAAACCCTGTCTCTACTAAAGATACAAAAATTAGCCAGGCGTGGTGGCAGGTGCCTGTAATCCCGGCTACTCAGGAGGCGGAGGCAGGAGAATCGCTTGAACCCTGGGAGGTGGAGGTTAAGGAGAGCTGAGATCGCACTACTGCACTCCAGCCTGGGTGACAGAGTGGGACTCTGTCTCAAAAAATAATTTTAATGAAACCTGCCTCCCAAACATTATATTGCAGCAATCTTAGAAGAATGCACCACCTCTGGAATAGAGAAGCAGTTGGGAAAGAAGTGTTTCATGTTTCCTACACCTGGGCAACAGGCAGGCCCCTGACAACCACAAGTAATTCTTTCCTGAGAGCCGGGATCTTGCAACAGCTTGTCATTAGTGCTGTTTAGCATTTAATTTGCCTTTAGTTAGGTAACAAGCATTTATGGATTACCTGTTAGGAACGAATGCACAGTATGGGAACAGAGGGATGAATGAGGCACAGACTCTGCTCACAGCCTACTTGGACTAGAAATATCTACTCAGGAAAGAAAACTTGAAAGCAGTTAGCAAATGCAAACCGATATACCACTACAGGGAATCATCACTCTTTCCGAATTCAAGGCTCTAACTGCTGGCACACTTCTAAGGAAAAAAGATATGCGTTTCTGCATCCCGTCTCATGATGGGAGTGAAGATATGCCAGTCACGCCTTCTGTGGGCTAAGGAACGGTCCGGCCTTCTCTTCCTCTGCAGAGTCCGGGCGTGATGGAGACGCAGGATGGAGGCAGCCATCACCCATTGAAAAACAGCCTGTCTGCCAGATCTGGTGACCCCCCCCTAAGGTCCTTGGTAAAAACTGAGGCCTAGTTGTGTCCAGGATGGCAGTGAGCTGGGATTCATTCATGGCAGCCCCCAGGAGATTGCGTTTTTAAACCAGCCCAAGGCATGTGGTGGACATGGATTGGCAGCACCTACAGATAACGGGGAAGGCTTTCCAAGGGGCCAAACGGTCCATAGCAGTTAGGGAAGCGAACGTTAGAAGTGCAGGTCAAGGTCTCAGAGTGAGCAGTGTGGCTGGGCCAGAGAGGGCCTTCCAAGTGCATAGCCAGTGGAGGCAGCTGGACACAGCTGACATGACAAGGCAAGGCTGGATCCGTCAGACTCTGGGAATGCTCCCAGCCATCAGGCTTCACGGAGCACTGCTTCTGTGCTAAGTTCCTGATGCCAAGGAAAGTGAGAGAGACATGGCCCTGGCCTCAAGAAGCTTTCCCGGCAGATGGCCGTGTATCCGGGATATGTTAAGGGAGGTGTAATATTAACCAAAAGTGGAGCTCTGAGCTCCTACCCTTGGCAGAGGGCTTCTTGGAGTAGATCATGCCTGGACTGTGCCCAAGGGCGTCTTGGAGTAGATCGTGCCTGGATCGCACTGAATCAGTGTAAGCTGGGTCAAGTCGGGGAATGGCAACCCAGGCGGAGGGAAGTGCATACTTGGGACACGGAGGGCACAGACAAGCCGTGGTTCTCTGGCAGTGAGATGGGTGCCAGGCCACAAACTGGATCTGAGAGATTATTTCCCCATCTGGGAACTGCATGTACTATGGATTGTAAAGGGTCAACCTGAGAGACAGAAACAGGGAAAAGGCCCTCAACCATTCACTTCAGTGTCTGGGGATGCGTGGACTGGGGAAGAGTCTCTGGCTGGCTCCAATGCGGTCTCTGCTTCTGCAGAGGGGGCCTTGCTCACACAGTCTTCAGACTTGCATTCCCAGCTGGTGCCCAGCACCACGAATATATGGGAAGATAACAACTCTAAAGAGGGATAAAATGTATTTTTTGGTCGGTTTTTATTTTTCAAACACATTTAGCATTCTCTGGTTTTTAAAAAATGCTTTTAATAGAGCACAGACTCCTTTCCTCAGTGGTGAGGAGACAGATTTAAGGGCTGTAGCTCAGACAGTCAGTGCCAGCTAGCATTCAGGGATCCAAGTGTGAGAATCAAATTGTCGTTTGATGTGTGGATTTGGCAAAGGCTCAGCACGCCTTGGAGACGGTGCCCGTGGCCCACACTGGGTGGCAGGTGCTTCTGCCTTGGGCTCTCTGCTCCTGCCGGCCGGGCCTGTCATCGGCTGAAAAGCCGGCATCTCCCACACCCATCAGCTCCTCTCTGGAGCTGAGTCGCTGGACACTGTGACCACACTTAAGAGGCACAGCATGCTCCTGCTGGGTGGAATTTTAGGACACCTGGTCTGTGACCTCTTCATTATGACATAAAAGGGACCTTCCCTGCAGTCCCACAAATAGGAACAGAGCAGCACTGGAGCTGGCGCCCGACTCCCGGCAGGGAAGGGTTCTGTCCTCATTTGGGCGTATTCTGTTTCTGCCCACCTGGTGTGTGCCCTCCCTGACTCCTGCCCCATTTCCAGACCCGGCTCACGCGTACTTCTCACACTAAGCAGTCTCACTGAAGCCACCGCTTGGAATCTGCGGTGTTTACTGTCTGCCCCGCCCCTTTTGTTTGCCCGTTTGTTATGGAGGTGTGTGTTTAAACGGGCAAAGCAGCGTGCTGCCAGGGACACCAGGAAAGCCCACTTAGCCATCAACTGGAGACTCTGACAACTAGAAGAAACCTGGAAGGCCACGTGACAGATATGGAGACAGGCTGAGAGAAGGCAAGGGTCATACATGCCTGGGTCATGCAGCCAGCCAGGGACAAAGCCGGGACTTTAGAGCCCAGGTCCTCTGCTCCCTGCCAGGCCTCCTTCCACAAGGACGTGGGCGATTGCTGAGAGCAGAGCCCCGAGGGAATGGAATGGAGGGAACTTGATTAGAAGGGGGAGAATACCAAGCACAGGGCCTTGCAGAGCAGGTGCTCCTAAATGCCCAAGAGATGCAGGAAGAGAGGGAGAGATGGGAGTGTCAAGGAAGGGTCTCAGTAGCTCTATGGGCACCACGTTTCTGGGCTTGGGACAGAGAAAGAAGGGCAGAAGGAAGGGCACCGGAAACACAGCTACACCTAGATTTGGAAAGCCAGTGACCTCGGAAAGGATGGTCCGGACATGGGGAAGACCACGAGCCAGGCTGCACTTGTAGGAAGGACCAGGACCTGAGCCACTGGCAGTAAAGAAATGTCACTAAGGAAGTGGGGGCAATGGCAGGAAGTGGGGGTCCAGGGTAAGGAGACAGGAGGCCAGGCTGGGTCTTGTTTGGGAAGATGCAGCCTCCATGGGCCAAGCAGGAACAGTAGGAAAACCCTGACGGTGCAGTCCCCACTCTCAGGACGTCCCTGTCTCCAAAGGAAACAGCCACACAACACTGAGGTGGGGCGGTGAGGAAAGCAGGGATCGCTGGGGAGTGTGGGGGATGCACTTGTCCAGCAGAGGAGGCAGGGCTGGGCGGCTCAGTTGAGGGAAGTGATGATTCTGAGGGCCCTGGCTGGGGTGGCGGCTGCAGAGGGTGGCTCAGAGTGGAGGGGCTGTCCCAGGAGCTGGTGAGCTTACCGGGGACAAGATGTCCCTTGTCAGGGATGTCACAGAGGCTGTTCCTCAGCTGGGTCATGCTGGGTCACCTGACCCAGGGGCCCTCCCTGTCTTAAAATGCACGTTGTACAATAAAGAGTGGAAGAGGATGTCAATGGGCAGGAATGGAGCCAAACTCTACGGGAGAACGGAGCTGGCCAGGCAGAGCTGCTGGACACCTGAGGCTCCCTCCTTCCACCACAAACACCACTGCCCCATGGCCTAGAGAGGTGGGTAAAAACCGATCTCCACTGAGATCTCCCAGGACAGGGCCTGCACGTGGTGGCGCCTGTACCTGAGGGGGTCTCTCCGCAGTACTGGGGACATTGTGGATGCCCACCTAGCAGTGCTCACGCACCTCCCCCGGTGCACCACCCGCTGGCAACTGCAGCTTGGCCACTCTGGGAGCCTGGCTGGCCGGCAGGAGGATGGGGCCAGCACAGCCTCGTTTTATTTATGCTCAAAGGAGCGTCACTGTTCTTAGAACCATCCTCTGACGTGAGCAGGACAATGACGATCACCACTGTGTAAATCCTGACACTGGACCAGAGGAATTGACTTACCTGCTTCAGGTCAGAGAACCATGGAATCTGTGCTGATCCCTTTTCAGATGAAGAGCGGGGGGTCGAGGGAAAACAAGTGAACTCCAAATGACTTGGTGTCAGAGCCAGGAGGACAGCAAGGCGCGCCCAGCCCGGGCAGGGGCAGCAGCTGAAGGCTATCATTTGAGATCAGTTCAGGGTCTTGCTTGGCAAGAAGTGTGTGTGTGTGTGTGTGTGTGTGGCAATGCTATGTTGGTTGGTGTGTGTGTGTGTGTGTGTGTGTCAGTGCTATGGCAAGAAGTGTGTGTGTGTGTGTGTGTGTGTGTCAGTGCTATGGCAAGAAGTGTGTGTGTGTGTGTGTGTGTGTGTGTGTGTGTGTCAGTGCTATGTTGGTTGGTCCCCAAAATACTTTTTGGAATCTCAATTGGTCTGTGAAATCAAAATACCAGGCAACCACTGGCTTACGCTTAGAGGGCTCTGACATTCAGGAATGTTCTGTGGATTGTTGTGTAAAATAACAAAGGACTAGGCTGAGGGCTGCCCAGGACTCTCTCCCATTCCCTGCCTGTCCAGGTGACCCTCAACCTCAGGACACAGCTCAAATCCCACCCGCACTCCCATGCAACTGCCAACCTGATGGCTCCCTCCTCCTGACCCTGGCTCCCTCACAGTCCTCACAGCACCTTTTGCCTTGGCTTGTTTTCCCTGCCTTAGCTCCAGGTGAGCACAGCCAGAACCATGCTCAGAAGCCAGCACACGAAGGCCTGCAACTGCAGACCCCTAAGAAACCTTGGAGATGCTCTCAGACAGTGCCCACCTCACTTTGCAGATGGAGTGACTCACAGCTGGGACAAAGGTCCACTCGCTCTTGCCCCTGCAGTCTACCCACAAAGCAGCCAGGAGAGCTTCTAAAAATGCAAAGCAGGTGGCGTTCTTCTGAATAAGCCCTCCCATGGCTCCCTATCTTAGTACAAAAGCTGAAATCTCATGACCTGTGAGGCCCTCCAGCTGGCTCGCAGCCACCCCTCCAAAACCGAGTGCCTGCCAGCGCATTGCCCACCCAGCTGCAGCCAGGCCCCCCACTGCTCAGCACCATCTCCTCAGAGGCCCCCCCATTCTTCCACGGGCATGTTCCCTATCCCCTTAGAGCACGCTTGGGCCTGAACTGATCTTGGGTTCTGTCGCCTGTCTACCCCACTGGAATGCAAACTCCACAGAGGCAGGGCTTTCTCTGTCCCCTGCCGCATCCACAGTGCCGGGAACAGTGCCTGGCATGGAGCAGGTGCAGTCGAATGACCGACTCCATGAAGTGAGGTGAGTCACCCACCACGCAGGGAAGAGTGGACATGGGTAAACAGGCGCTGCCTGGGCTCCAGGCACACTGACTGCATCCTGGCTGCTTGACTGATGTGGTTAATAAATTACTAGAAGGCAAGCCCTCTAGGGCACAGCAGACTGGATACTTGATTAACCCAGGGTCTGTGTTAATTCCAGGTGCCAAAATAATTTCTAGAATTTCACCTGAGACCTAGAGGTAGTTCATTTGAAAATAAACATGATTTTCCAGAAGGCTCGAGCTTTCTCAAGGAAAGCAATGCCCTGGACTCTCCTTCCACAGGAAATCAGGAAGACAGGCTTTGGAATTCCCAGTGGGGAAGCACAGTTGGAGGGGCCGGCCTCGGGCACCACAGTGCGCAACGCTGAACACAGGGCTCCCAGGCAGAGACTGGGAGGTCCCGACACCTGGACCCACAGGTGCACCCGCATCTCCCATGCTTTTACCCTTTCTCCTCCACCCCATTTATAGAAGTGATCAGAGGTGAATGAGGAAATAGTGGGGGAACTGACCCCCTGGAAAGTCTGAATTTGAGTGAAATAATGGGGAGAAGTGAACCCCTGGAAAGTCTGAATTCTGCTTCATCAAAGCCCAACACGGGCCTGTTTCCCTCTGCTGTCAACCCCAGGGAATGGGGTGTCAACGGGGCCCACAGTCATATTGTCCCAAGCACCGACAGCACCGCTGCAGGGACCCCTCTACCCCCACAAGCAGAAACGCTCGACGCAACGCCGGGAACATGTCTTTATTAAAGATGCAAGCAAGCACAGAAGGATCATGTGTAGTGCTCAGTAACATCCATACAGTACTAAAAATAGAAAAATATAAATGAAATTTCACAGAAAGCAGCCTCCCTCACAGAAACACAGGCAAGGTGCTGCCGAGCCCACCATGCGATGCCACGTGCCACCTGCCTGGCCACGCTTCTCCCCATTACAAACAAAAACACAAGCTTCTCTCTACACCCGTTTCAAATACAGCACCAAGAACGGAGACCCCTTCCACAGCAGCGACCCTCCTGACCACCACTTTGGGTGCTTTCCAGCCACATAAATGACAGACAACCCCGGTCCCCACGGGGTTGGCTGGCTACTGGCCCCCGACTCTCCATCGCTTCAGCGAATGTGGGTGAGAAAATTAGGCAGTGAAGCAATAAAGACCTCACCTTTACTCCCTCAGATACACGGAGGGATGAGGTGGACAGACACGCAGGCGGCCGTGCCAACCTGATCCGAGTGAAACAGGGCTACACTCGCAAAATGGTCCTCCCACGGCTGAGCGCCTCAGGTGCACAGAACAAACTGAATGATAAAGACCCGGGGATTTTAGAAATTTACTATTAAGCATCTGCTTGCCAGCATTAGTAGGCTATCACTTCAGGAAACAAAGTAAGGCTGTGGAATTCAGCTCAAATTCCGAGCGCAACTCGGTCCTTTGGTGGCCGACTCTCCACCCACTGCATGCAAATGCTCCTGACTGCATTAGACTCCCACCTGCCAGCCTCACCAGGCAGACTTCCCTCAGCACATGCTCCGCGGGCTCCTCTGCATTGGGCCTTTGGAGCCGCCCGCTGGAAGTCTCTGGCAGAAGGACGTCCATTCTGAAGACCTAGTGAACAATTTCTGCTCATTTCAGGAAGGTTCTGAAGAAGTGAACTCCGTCAGAATAAACAAGTGTCCAGATTCCCCCCAACAGACCCAACTCATCCTCTGTTCTCACCACTATCTCAGAACCAAGTGAGAACAGAATGGCTGTGCCTTAGATAATAAAACTACAAAAATAAAGAGTTAACCCTGAGATCTTTCTACCATTCGGGTGTGGCTCGCTCCTGATTCCCCTTGGAAATGAACTTTTATTTGGTTTACTGACATTTATGTAGATTTCCAGTGAAAAGCTCTATAAAATACAATAATACGGGGTTGAAAAGGCAGACATTCTAGTTGCATATATTACAGGCTTTATCCTTACGGTCCAGGCCATTGGAACTGCAATGTGGAGACTGTTTGTAATCAGACATGGAGAGGCTGCACGTTCTAAAGGCGAGACAGCTGCTTTCGGTTGGGAATCATCACACTCCCTCCGCTCACGCCGCTCTTCCCTTCCCCCGCTGTTTCACACGCTGCTTCCAGAGTTTGTCCAGCAAGGAATAAATGAATGCATACAGGACTTTTGGCTAGTAGACTGTCTGGGTATTGTGAGCATGCAGGTTGTTGTTTCTGTTATTATAAATAAAAGTCAAACGTGAGGTCACACTTTCCCATCTTCTGTTTATACACCAAGTCAAACTTCTCATTCATGGAGACGGTGAAGATGTCCTTCCACAGCCCAACTCTTCCTGAAACGCAAACAAGAGAACTGCTGGGGCCACTTGCTGTCCGGCCAGCTACTGAACTAAAGGAAGCCTTGGAAATGGATCTGGAACATTCCAGATCTATTCCTGGATCCCTTTGAACTTGGCCTATGGGGGCAGGAAGGGCCGTCTGAGCTACAGACCAGGTGGTCCCCTAACATTTGTGAAACTACTGGATGCGGCAGAACATGACCTGAACCAGCTTCCCTCTGAGGCTGTGGCACAGTGAGCCACAACCACCTCCTGGTGCCATTCCACACCCCCCGCTGGGGCCCACCAGGGAGACTCTACTCCTGTTCAGTGCTGGGTCCCCAGCACCTAGAACGGCACCTGGCACGTGGCAGGTGTTTAATAAACATCCCAGGAGCGAGTATGATCTGCCGCGGGAGTGCACTGCTCTGGGCATCACAGGCAGCCCTGGCCCTTCCCACGCCATTATCCACTCACAGCTCAACAGTGCCACCAAGGCGTCATTGGCTTCGGGAGAATTTGAAAAGGAAAAAAAAATCATTCAAAGTGCAGAAAATTTTACACTAAGTAGGAAGCCCTCCTGACTGGGCCAAAGATGCAGATTTCAAGAAGCCTGCCCTGGCAAACCCTGGGGAGGAATTTAAAGTGAATCAAATAGTCGCAGCATTAGCTAGCTTTACAGACTAGATGCAAAACATGCACTGCAGTGAGAATTCCCTGAGTCAACAATAAAATGAGTCTGGGCACAGCCCCCAGCTGCTCTAGCCCAGGCTTAGTCAGAAACCCAGACCTCTTCCTGGCAGCCACAAGGGAGGGCTGAGCTGTGGGATAAACTGCAGGCACCGGTCTACGCTGGTTTATGAAGGCTTTGGAAAAACGAAAGACAGCTCAACATGACAAGAGAAGTTGTTGCTCCCATTGTCTTTGTTAATATAAAATCTTAGGTTGGTCTAGTCCAATAGCAACGGTGACCGTGAAGATGTCTGGGGCGGGGATTCCAAACTTCCCAGTTATGGGAGCTGTGAGCACATCACCCGAGTACTGCCTCCCTGCTTTTGAAGAACTGCTCGTTTAGAATTCTTTCCATTGTCAGCTCTCTGAGATCAGAGCTCTGTCTCCAGCAAATGTCCTTCACTAGCTCCGTTATTAACAGCGGTCCTTGTCCAGGCAGGACCTCAGGTTTTTCAAACTGCAACCCTGCAAATGCTGAGCTAAAATACCCAACGTAACACGGACTTTCTCTTTGGTAACAAAAAATTATCAGTGTTGGAGAGAAAAACAAGAAAAATTATTCTTGTAACCCTTTAATGATACCTAAGGGGCAAAATTAGAAGCTGCTAGAGCAACCAAACTATTTTTCCATGATTATTTTTCTCAGCTGAGACAGCTGAGAGCTCGTCAGAGGAGTCACCCACCTGGTTTAGGATTTGGAATCAAGACAATTTATGCTGTGACATGAATCAAATCTAAGCAATGCAGCTGGCTACTCGGCCCTGCATTCTCACCAACTCAAGAAGATCTTCCGAGCAAAGACGCAATGTGCTAAAAGAAAACAAATCAAAGAACTGAAATAAAGCAAAACCAAGGTAAACCATGATAAAGCAAACCCAAGGGAAGGAGCATATGGGCACACAGTATGTTCTCGACGCTGCTTCACCACACACACACACACACACACACACACGTGAACCAAAAGGGGTATTTTGGAGAAGGTCACATCCAAGGATAACAAAACACAGCAAAAGCAAAACTAAAAAAGAGCAAATAAATGTTAAATAACAAATATTTATGAAAATGCAGCCAGGAAAGAAGTCGAGAGGGACTGTGGTTCAGTTCACTTCCTCCTGAGGAGTCCACTGCTCTGCCTTTATAAGAGACGGCACTTTGCACTTGACCTTCAAACCGCCCTTAGCCGTGATCAGCCCCTTTTCAGAGAAGAACAAAAAGCCGCAGAAGCTGAAGGCCTGACCTATGTTGCGTTCCCAGAGGGCAGCAGAGCTGAGCTGGAGCCCAGCGCGTCTCTCATCCGCCCCAGGCATCTCCCACTCCATCTTGTGGGGCTGCTGCTGAACAGAGCCATCCACGTTTCTGGGCCCTCCCTGCAAACATTCTCAACCCAGGAAGTGCCCAACACACCAAGTGTCCATCAGGTTCATACTTACCAACAGGGGGCCTCCTATGGCCAAGGCCAGCACCCTGGGATTCAGGGGTTTTAGAGCCTGGGCTCTCCATCATCAAAGCCAAATGCCACACACCCTTAAGGACAGGGGGAGCAACCCAGGTGGATCTGGGGAGGATTCCTGTCAGGAACACTGTCCCCATCTCCAGCTGCCTCATGCCCACTGTCACTTGCCGCCAAGAGCAGGAACTGGCCTCCCTCTGTGCAGCGGCTTAGCTTGGTACTGTCTGCTTAAGTTCACCACCCCGAAGTGGGGCTAGGCCTCACCTGTGCTGCCTGCACCCAGAAGATGCTCAGTCAGCGTCCACTCAGTGAAGGAAGAAAAACGGTGTCTCCTAACTTCCCGCCCACTTCATTTAACTCTCCCACAAGTCAGTTAGAGACTGAGAAACCCATCAGCATGCTTTGCGCTTTGACATGTCATAGCACCAAACCCAGTCCCTGGATCTGCTCTGTGGGGCGTTTGATTTCAGGCCATCTGAGTAGACTCCCTGCTGAGAAACATCCCGCCCACAAAGCCTGAAATGCACTTTTTCAAGTCAAAACACTGTTTGCTTGGAGGCAATGCAAACACCAGCGGGCAGGGTACTCCGTCACTCCATGAGCACTGTGCCATCCATGGGCACCAGCTAACAGAGCACAGGCCATGGGCCAGCTACAGACTGCTGTAAAAGGAGAGCAGGGAGGGCAACAGGGACCGGACTCGGCTCCCTAAGCAGGCAGAGAAAGCAGCCTGGCTGGGGTGGGGAGTGCCTGGGCGGGAGGCAGGGTGGGGCACGTACCCCGGCCCACGGGCAGGGCCTCAGCGTTGCAGCACTGGTCCACCAGCTGGTGGCAGTGCTCCGTCAGGGCTTCCAGCTGGGCCTTGTCACAGGACACCCCCAGGAATCTGGCCAGCTGCTCCACCATCGTCACCAGGTCCTGGAAGACAAGTGCAGAGAGCAGAGCAGCCCATCAGAGGCGGGGCCTTTTACTGGACACGACCCCAGGCTGGGCACACGCTGAGGACTTTTTACACACGGCCTTCCTTACTTAATGCTCACAAGGCTGACATCAGCCTTGTCCAGAAATAACACTAAGAGGTTAAGAAATCGCCCAAGTGTGCTCAGCTCTCACGTGGAGATCTTGAATTCAAACCCTGGTCCTCCAGGGAATTGGGTTGCAGACATGAGGTCTTAATAGAGGTGTGGTTAAGTTTTAACAGGAGCAAGAAGTAAAAAACATATTTCAGAACATGGTTCTTGTGAGGAGCAAGACCTAATGGGCTCCTCTTTCCCTTCCTGCTGCCTGTCAGCTGGCGTCTGGGCTGGCCCTTGGGAGCGCAGGGAGGCCCCTCTGGTCTCCAGATGGCCCTGCACTGGGCAGGGAGCCCGCTTCATCACAGGCAAGATTCCGTCATGCCTGCCATACCCTGCCCCATTATTTTACCACGCCTGACAGCGGAATGTCACTGATGTGGCTAACCGTCTTGAGGGGGCCATTCCCCAGCCCCCCACCCCTGCCACTTTCTCCCCAAGAGATGAGGCTCCTCGTCTTCTCAATCACAGCCCTGAGCTGTCACCTAGAGGTGCCTTGGTCCCATTAGGAAGATGCTGGAGGCTGTTTCCTCTCTGGAAGGTTTGTAAAGCAAATTCCCGCATTAAAGCCTCTAAAAAGTCCTACAGTGAAAAGATGATTTAATTTCTTTATTGCAGCACTTCGGAAACCTTAAAAGACAATGTTCTCTGACCGCTGGTGTGGGAGTCAGCTGGTGTGGGCGCCAGCTCCTCCCTGGGTCCCCACAGTGCGCTGACTCCTGCAGCAGCGGTTGCAGGTCTGATTCTGGCCTCGCACTGCCTTCCACAGGCAGGGGTGTGGTGCATCCCGGGCGCAGGGCTTGACTCAAGAGTCAGAGGAACAGTTATTAGAGAATGAGCCAAGGAATACAGAGCTCCCTTTCCCTTGCCCTGCCACCAAGAACTCCATTTCAAAGAAAAAGGGTAGCAATGGAGAAAGAGTGAAGAAACCTGGCTCTCAGAAGAGATGCCGCAAGAAGGACACAGCTGGCTTAAAGTCAGCCTGCTGGAGCGTTCAGCAGAATCCTCGTGGGGCAGCTCACTGCGGCGTGACGTCCATCTCAGAGGAAGGGGCGTTTCTGCCAGGCTACATCCAGCAACATGTCACAGGACACTTGCTGGTTATGAAACCCAGCAGGGATCAGGCAGAACGCCCAGGTCAGCTGGCAGGAACGGCCCACTTCACCTCTCTGAGCCACACATTCCCCATCTGGAACTAGCGACAGGGCCGCAGCAAGAGGCCGCACACCACGGCACGGAGCCAGCGTGTTGGGGTCGTGCCTCCACATGGGCAGGTACTAGCTGGCCACACGGTTGCAGTCAGGGCACCCCGTGACTGGTGAGAACACCCTGCAAGATGACTGAGGATGAAGTGGGAATATACCCGGGGTGCCTGGCACAGTGCCCGGCTCGTGGGAAAGGGCCACTGTAATTGCGGTGCAGTGGAGCGCAGGCAGTGAGCGCTCTGGCAGGAAGCATTCCCTCTCAACCCCAGGGTGAGAACACATGGACCCACACCACAGTCCTGGAGACAACCATGCTCACTCGGGGCTAGTTTTCTGGAGTAAGATGTAAACAATATTAATTCCTAAAAATGTGACTTGACCTCCATTAAAACAAGCCATTACTGAGGTTCCTAAAAAAAGAATAAACCCATGCCAATTAGAAGGCGAAACGCTGACTGTCCCAGGGATGCCATTGAGTCACAGACCGGCTTTGATAGAAAATGAAGTCCCAGCACTGACCCCGGCAGCTCTTAAAGTTCCAGGCAGGGCTGGTGGCCTTGACCCTGACGGACTGAAAGCAACAGGTCTGACCACTTTCACTGGGGAGCCTGGAAGGCAGAGAAGGATGAACTTCCCTTTAAGGGCTTGGAGTAAAGTGTGTGTTTGGACCTTAAAACTTCAGTCCATCATTGCTGAGGAAACTGAAGCTCCAGGAAGAAACTGCTGACCCGGCAGCTGCCCCCGAGATGTGTGGGCAGCTGGCCAGCTGGGCGCTTTCCCTATTCACCTTCTCATGTTGGGGCCTCAGTGGCCCTGGGCAGTGCATGTTCAATGCTATGTCATTGGTGGCAAAATAGTGACCAGCTGACAAATGCACACCCAGGACCCCAGAAATTCCACTCCTGGGTATGGGCCCGATAAGCACAAGTGCTGACGTCCACCAAGACTCCAGAACGTCCACGGAGGCTTTATTCATGACCACCCCAAAGTGAAAATGGCCTCCACGCCCGGCAACACTGGATGGATGAAGCGGTGGCACATTCGTGCTGCAACGGAGCACCGACCACAGCACAGGAAAGAACAGAGCTCCGCGCCACGCAGGTGGAGGAGCCTCGCCATCTGCGCAGAAGCCAGACAGCAAAACCCATGCGAGTTCCACACCTGACAGGTTCCAAAGAGGCAACGCCAAGCTCCGGTGAGGGAGATGAAACCGCGGTGGCCTCTGGGAAGCAGGGGTATCAACTGCAAGAAGCTGGAATGTTCTGGATCTGGAAGGTGGCTGCCCAGATGTGACAGGTAAAAGGCTGTCAAGCCCCACGTGTGTGCCAAGTACACCTCACTGTGCATGACACCACCACAAAAAGGTACACACCAGGCGGGCCCGTGCCAGGCCTGCACGTAGGTGATGCTCACACAGTCCTCCCAGCCACACAGTGACGGGGGTGCTGTCACCTCCCCACTTTACAGAGGCTTGGGGTGGTCAGGACTTTGGCCTGAGCAGCCAGCATCCAGAGCCCACGTTGTTCCCCAGCACCACAGGAAACCACGGCCGACGGCTTCACAGAGGTCAGCGGCAGGACCAGGGTTCCAACCTGCTTGGGCTACACCTTCATCTCTACCACACCGTCCTCTGGGCGTGAGCAGGGACCCTAAATGTGGCTCTGTGTCAAGTTGTGTGGACAAGAGGCAGACAGGTGGAGGCCCATGTAGAGTCAGACAGGCTCACCCAGCAGTCGGCTCCATGGCGCGTGTGACCTTAGACCGCCACATGACCTTGCTCTTTCCTCACCATAACACAGAGCCATGGTGAGGACCCATGTGGGGAACCGACAGCATGCGCCAGCCGGCAGCAGACCTGCAGACGGGGTCCTTCCTGCACATCGAGCAAGCCCCGAAAGGCCACGCTCCTGCGAAGGCCGACCTGGCCCGTGCTGACCACAGGCCCCAGTGTGTGAGCACAAAGCAACCCAAGAACAACTGCAGGAAACGCAAGGCACACCCCCACACCCCAGGATCACAGTGCACACACCCCCACCCCGGGGCTACAACGCACACACCCCCACCCCAGGATCACAGTGCACACACCACCCGCCCCAGGGCCACAACAAACACCCCACCACCCCAGGGCCACAAGGCACAGCCCCCACCCCAGCGCCATAGGGGACCTCGTGTGGCTCTGTTCACAGCCAGGTCTGGCGTCTTCCTGCAGGTGTGGGGAAAGTACAAGGCTGGCCTTCCTACCCCTGGGCTTTCTGACCTCCAACTCCAGCACTGGCTCACCCTCCCCAGCACCCAGCTCTCCTGTCTGTCTCCCAGCAGACCTCCTCCCCATCCCAGCTCCCACCCACTGCTACTCAACCTAAACCTGCTTGTCTGTCAGCCACTGACACTAGCAGCCCCACAGGCTGGCCTTGTCTGTCCCCTACATCGACATGGTTTCCAGCTGGCACTCAGGCCTCTGCCCCACAGGAGCAACCTCACAGTCCACATCTGCACCCCATCGTCTCTCCTCTTTCCCATGGGCCAGGCCACAGGTGTCTCCTGCCTGTCCTGCCCCTGCCACCAGAAGCCCCTCTGCCTAGGCTCCAGCCCCAAGCCCTGCCTCTGCCTGGACTAAGACCTTGTCCCATTAGTTCTTTTCAACCCCTCCCCCAGCTCCTGCTTTCTCCCAACACCTAGAAAATGCTCAGTCTCTTCTGTGGTGACCCAGGCTCCCCAAGCTACCAGCTGCCTCGTGTCTCACTGCAGACAGTGGCCTCTCCTCAACGTCCCATCAACCACCACTGTAAAGCACTCCAAAGGCCCCCTGATAAGCCAAGCCCCAGTCCCCTCCCCACACCCGCCTTCCTGGGTCCCTCAGCCTCGCACGGCATGGCTGCCCTGCCACACCTCAGGCTTTGACAGGCTGCTCCCCACACCCCCAAGCCCCCTTCCAGCCCACAGACTGTCCCGCCCCCTCCTCTGTCCCTCCTCAGACCCCTCCTCCTCCTCCCACACGCCCACTGTAAAGGGCTCCTGCGTCAGGAGCTGCCAGGCCGAGGGCCAGGGCACCCGGAGGACAGCTGCTCCGGCAGCACTCACCCGATGCATGTCTTCATACTTGAGAAAAAGCACGTTCGAGTCCATGCGGTGCTCCCAGAACTCCTGCACGTGCTCAAACCAGGAGCCGTAGCCCACTGCGGAGACAGGGGACAGGGTGAGCCACACGGCTGGGCAGGAGAAGCGCACACATGGGGCCATCCCCACCCCACAGGGCTGCCCTCCTGCCACCCAGCAGCCGTGATGAGGACATCGTGATCCCTGCGGACAAGTCTGGCAAAGGCCCCCGAGGCACTCACGTCTTGAGCCATCCCAGCCCTCCCGCCTTCGGCACGCCTTGAAGGCCTGACCATGGGGGTGACAGCCTCTGAGAAGGTGGTCCCTGTGGTACCTGGCAGTGGACCGCAACAGTGCCCGTTACTTTATCCGCTTAACAAGTGGTCACCAGGAAGCCCTGGAACAAAGCCCAGAAGAACTGGGACAGGGGCCGCTAGGGTTGCTAGTGGGGACAGGGTGGGGTATAGGAAGCTGTAGGACAGATCCAGAACACGGGGCCCTGCTGGGCAAGAGGGCGACAGGCAGTAGCCTCAGTAAATCGAGGAACTCTCCATGGGACCTGAAAGCTGAAGACGGGCAGGGAGTCCTGTCCTGACCTCCAAGAGGCCGGCACTCCCGCACCCACACCGCGGCCCTGTGCTTCCCGCGCCCCCACCGCGTCCCTGTGCTTCCCGCGCCCCCACCGCGGCCCTGAGCTTCCCGCGCCCCCACCGCGGCCCTGAGCTTCCCGCGCCCCCACCGCTGCCCTGAGCTTCCCGCAGCCACACCGCGGCCCTGTGCTTCCCGCGCCCCCACCGCGTCCCTGTGCTTCCCGCGCCCCCACCGCGGCCCTGAGCTTCCCACGCCCCCACCGCGGCCCTGAGCTTCCCGCGCCCCCACCGCTGCCCTGAGCTTCCCGCAGCCACACCGCGGCCCTGAGCTTCCCGCGCCCCCACCGCGTCCCTGTGCTTCCCGCGCCCCCACCGCGTCCCTGTGCTTCCCGCGCCCCCACCGCGGCCCTGAGCTTCCCGCGCCCCCACCGCGGCCCTGAGCTTCCCGCGCCCCCACCGCTGCCCTGAGCTTCCCGCACCCACACCGCGTCCCTGTGCTTCCCGCGCCCCCACCGCGTCCCTGTGCTTCCCGCGCCCCCACCGCGGCCCTGAGCTTCCCGCGCCCCCACCGCTGCCCTGAGCTTCCCGCAGCCACACCGCGGCCCTGAGCTTCCCGCGCCCCCACCGCGTCCCTGTGCTTCCCGCGCCCCCACCGCGTCCCTGTGCTTCCCGCGCCCCCACCGCGGCCCTGAGCTTCCCGCGCCCCCACCGCGGCCCTGAGCTTCCCGCGCCCCCACCGCTGCCCTGAGCTTCCCGCACCCACACCGCGGCCCTGTGCTTCCCGCGCCCCCACCGCGTCCCTGTGCTTCCCGCGCCCCCACCGCGGCCCTGAGCTTCCCGCGCCCCCACCGCTGCCCTGAGCTTCCCGCAGCCACACCGCAGCCCTGAGCTTCCCGCGCCCCCACCGCAGCCCTGAGCTTCCTGCGTGGCCTGCGCTGCCTCAGAGCCCTTGGTGTGGGGTGGGGCACACAGGCAGGGACCAACTCATGGAGTCTCCAGCCTGCTTTGCAGTGTTCTTTATAAAAGCTATGGATCCTCCCCTGCCTGCCACATGCCGTGCCCACCACTGTGACGGTTTCTTCCACGGGGACCTCCATACGACAGAGAGCAAGGCGTCAGTTAAGGATCACTGGGCAGTCGGGGGCTGGCGGTGCTAAGCAGCAGGAAGCAGCCCAGCTGGATGAGGAGCGCTGGCTGTAGAGACTCCTCTGCTGGGCCCTGCCACCCGGCAGGATTCCCACGGAGGAGCTGCACCCACATCCCACCAAAACCTCCAATTTCTGCAGAATAAAGCTGAGTCCCAGAGAAGGGAAGAGACTTGCCCAAGTCACCAACAGGTCAATAATCATGGGGGCCCAGACAGGGAAGCCCAAGTGGCCCGACTGCAGCCCATCATCGGTAGCTAAGTCCAAGCAGATGAGTCCCTGGGGCAGAAGGAAGAGTCAAATGGCCCTGTGAACACGGAAGGTAAAGAAAAACCCCACTTCATTCCAAGGAAGCATGTAGCAAGATGTCAAAAACAGACATCCCGGTGACATGGAGTTGCAGGGGGAAATAGTGTGAGGACTCTGGAAGGAGCAAGGCATGAAGGACTGCACGTGTGGTCCTGCGCTGATGTGAGGAGCAAGTGCACGGAGTCCCCACAGCAGGAGGGGGGACGGGAATGAGCTGTAGGTTGCTGGGTGGAGAGCCTTCCCACCGGAATGCCTGAGAGGAGGCGAGGACGCCGGGCCCCTCCACGCTTTTCCCTGGGCTCCACGCTGCTCTGTGAAAGGGAAGGGAATCATCCATCTGGAATATGAAGGAAGAATAACAAAACCTCACTGTCCACCCCAGAGAAGACACGGTCACAGAGGCTGCATGCCACACTGCGGGTGCCACAGGGAGCCTGTCTACACAGCGTCCTCACACTGCAGGTGCCACAGGGACCCTGTCTACACAGCGTCCTCCGACTGCAGGTGCCACAGGGACCCTGTCCACACAGCGTCCTCCAACTGCAGGTGCCACAGGGAGCCTGTCTACACAGCGTCCTCCAACTGCAGGTGCCACAGGGACCCTGTCTACACAGCGTCCTCACACTGCAGGTGCCACAGGGACCCTGTCTACACAGCGTCCTCCAACTGCAGGTGCCACAGGGACCCTGTCTACACAGCGTCCTCACACTGCAGGTGCCACAGGGACCCTGTCTACACAGCGTCCTCACACTGCAGGTGCCACAGGGATCCTGTCTACACAGCGTCCTCCAACTGCAGGTGCCACAGGGAGCCTGCCTACACAGCGTCCTCACACTGCAGGTGCCACAGGGATCCTGTCTACACAGCGTCCTCCAACTGCAGGTGCCACAGGGACCCTGTCTACACAGCGTCCTCACACTGCAGGTGCCACAGGGATCCTGTCTACACAGCGTCCTCCAACTGCAGGTGCCACAGGGAGCCTGTCTACACATCAAACTGAAGGCTCCACAGGGACCCAGTCTACACAGCATCCTCACACTGCAGGTGCCACAGGGACCCTGTCTACACAGCGTCCTCACACTGCAGGTGCCACAGGGACCCAGTCTACACAGCGTCCTCACACTGCAGGTGCC
The DNA here is from genome assembly GCF_000001405.40 of Homo sapiens. Lineage (NCBI taxonomy): Eukaryota > Metazoa > Chordata > Mammalia > Primates > Hominidae > Homo > Homo sapiens. Next base: position 43,836,832 of record NC_000022.11, read on the forward strand.
ACAGGGACCCAGCCTACACAGCGTCCTGACACTGCAGGTGCCACAGGGAGCCTGTCTACACAGCGTCCGCACACTGCAGGTGTCACAGGAAGCCTGTCACGGGGCATCCTCACACTGCAGGTGTCACCTGCCTCCAGGGCCCTTTGCCCTCCAGCCTCGCAGAGCTGGTCACCAGGCTCACGCGTGGTTGTTTATGCAGGACCCTCCTGCTGTTGCCCTGTGCTGTGGCCTCTGATCCTGGCCTGTCTGGACATGGTGTGCTTTCAGGGTTCCCGTGCATATTAGTTTCCACCGTCTTCAGGACATCAGGGAGGGGGTCCAGCGGTCCTCAGTATGTGCGTGCTCACTGAGTGACAATGAAGGACGGAGCACAGGGGTGCTGAGTGGGCCTGTCTACAGGGTTTGCTGGGACCAAGGCACGTGTGTGGGACCTTGCACTCAGTGGAGGATGGGTCTGTGACTGTGGTGACATGGAGAGGCCTATATTAAGAGAACTGTTAACTGCTCTGGCCTGAGCAAGATGTTTGTAGCCTCTTCCACGTGCTGGTCTGAATGTGGGTGTTGTCCCCATGCTCTGCAGAGAGCAGAGTCCATGCTGGACCCTAGGAAACAGCTTCAGAAGTCCATGAGTGGGTTGCTCCAAATGCCTGGTGGACCACAAGAGCAGGTGCCAGGGCCAAGAGGCCATGGGAAGAGGGGCTGGACAGAAGGCCCAGAGCAGGCTCAGGGGGCTTCAGGGTGCGGTCTGGGGCCTCCTACCCCTTGCAGGCAGGGCCACTTCTCAGCAGGCACAGTGGAAGCAGAGGCTCAAGGGCAGGAAACAGAATCATCCCAGGGCTTTGAGGCCCTCGTGGGTTTTCAAACTGCAAGCAACAGAGTCAGCCTGTGGCGCCCTGCACCGCCCCGCCAAGAGGTCCCCTTCAACCAGGCCTGGCAGCAGCTCTAGGTCCACTGCCCTAAGTTCCACTTAAACTCGAGGGCATTACGTTCCAGGATCTCTGCTACATGATTCATCCTCATCCTGTCACATAAGCCCCCTGCAGAGCCCCCGATAAGCCACACTGAACAATGCGGCTCAGCATCACTTCCGTTGGGAAATAAAACAGAAAGTGTATTTTCAGCCTTGGGTAGGGAAGAGTCTCAGTGTAGATTTAATTAAAGTGCAGCTATTATGACACATTTCAAAGCTCCTCTGCCTGCACACCCTACACTGCCCACTTTCTGTCCCAGGACCTCCCAAAGCCATGGCTGGCCATGGGGAGCCCCCTCAGGAAGGCAGGAACAGAACTGCACTGAGGAGCTCTGCCACCACTCCCAAGGGAAAGGTGGCCCAGCGGGGCAAGAGAGTAAGGACTGGGAGCGAGTGGGACCAAGACAAGAGGCCTGGTCCCGCCTTCCTTGAGAGCAGGGCAGGGTGGAACCCAGCCTCGCTCCTCCTCAGGGGCTGGAATGGAAGCCAGAGAACAGCACATGGCACTCTCGGCCCGGCTGTCCTCCTCCCTGCGGGCACAAGTGTGCCCTGCCCCGGAGGCTTGCCTGTGCCTGAGGTTCAGCCCGGCTGTCCTCCTCCCAGCGGGCACAAGTGTGCCCTGCCCCAGTAGCTTGCCTGTGCCTGAGGTTCAGCCAAAGGCCCATGCCTGTCACACTTAGCTCCAGTCTCCACTCCAGGCCCTATCACTAACAGTAGTGATACCTGGGCCTCCATTTTTACTGTTTTCATTCTCTCCCTGTTTGAAACCCAGGTAGGAAGGATGGATGTTTTAACTGGGGAACTTCTCAGACACCCCGACAGTGTGGTAGAAGAGAAGGGCTCTGGGTTCAGATGGACCTGCTCTGACACACACCAGCTCTAGGATCTCGGCCACGTTCACGACCCTCGGCCTCAGTGTCTTCATCTGTAAAGTGACCGCGGGCCTGACCTACATGGTCACTGTCAGAACTGGAGACCGTGTCGGGGAAGCACCCAGCACCTGCCAGGCCGTCCACGACAACAGACGGCTCCGGTTCTAACATGCCGCCAGGCTGCAACACTCACGCTTATCATTCATAAACCTCCGGCAGAATTCTTGAAAGGTGCCTCGGTAGCTCATGGTCCGCAGAGAGCGGTGGAACTGATAATAAGACACCACCAGATCCTTGGGGTTGCGAGCCATATAGATGACCTGTGGGTGACAGGAGCAGGATGAGTCCGTGTCTCCTTCCCTCCCAGGCAGGGCTGCCCCGACACAGGCCAGCCTCCCTGAACCTGCTGGTGCACCTCACAAACCAACACCTGCTTCCAGCGTCCAGCTGGGGCCCATGTGCACGGCTGCTGGGTGCTGCTGCTTCGCTGTTTCAGCAGAAAGGTGCCCTGTCCATGCAGTAGAGCTGGCCAGGAAAATTACTTGAGCATTTTATTTCTGTCCTCTAGAACTACTTTAAAATCTGCAGAAGACAAAAAACTTACAACCCTGATCCTGGTGGTAAGAACACAGGCCTCTGGCCGGGTGCGGTGGCTCGCATCTGTAATCCCAGCACTTTGGGAGGCCGAGGTGGGTAGATCACCTGAGGTCAGTAGTTCAAGACCAGCCTGACCAACATGGTGAAACCCTGTCTCTACCAAAAATAGAAAAATTAGCCGGGTGTGGTGGCACATGCCTGTAGTCCCAGCTACTCAGGAGGCTGAGGCAGGAGAATCGCTTGAACCAGGGAGGCAGAGGTTGCAGTGAGCCATGCCACTGCACTCCAGCCTGGGCGACAGACTAAGACTCCGTCTCAAAAACAAAAAAACAAACAAACAAAAAAACCCCACAGGCCTTGGCATTTGATGCAATTGAAAAACAAAGAGAATTCGGCCCAAAGCAGGTACACGCCTGCTGGCCTGCTTTGGATTAGGCTGGCCACAGCCATGTTTGACTGTGAGGTAAAAACCAACCCGTCGTTAAAAACTTGGGTAAAATGCTAGAGACGCATGACCCAAGACCACCTCAGAAGGGATCTTCACGTGTGGGCTCCTTGGGAAGACAGCCCCCAAGGCCAGGTAAGTGCCAGGGACCTGCATGTGTATTGCACAGGGACCTTGGGCTCCTCTTGGTGGGGACTCATCTCGGGAGGCAGAGGAGGTGCCAGCTTACCTTGGAGTCTCCATTGTGGAGGTCAGAGGGCAGAAAGCGGTAGGGCAGGTGGCTCTTGATGAGGCGGGGAGAGGTCAGTTCCTGCGTGGAGTCAGAGGGAGAGGCAGGTCAGAGGAAAGGGTGAGACCAAGGGGAGGAGTGGGGCCAAGGGGAAGGGGGCCAGAGGAGGAAGGAAGGGGTGGGGTTCAGGGGAAGTGGAGTTATCAGAGGGAACGGCGGGTCTAGGGTAGCGGAGGGGTCAGGAGAGCGTCAGGTAAGAGGGAGGGGTGAGGCCAGAGGGAGGGGTAAGGCCAGGAGCAGGGGGACCAGAGGACGAGGGAAGGGGTGGGGGCCAGGGGAGAACGGTAGGGGTCAGAGGGAAAGGTGAGGCCAGGAGTAGGGAGGGGTCAGAGCAAGAGGAGGCAAGGCTGTCATGCCCTGGTCTCCTGTCCTGGAGAGAGTCTCGGACCCAGCCAGGACAGCCTCCCTTGTCACCTGAGACAAAGATTGGAGACATGAGCACACCCCGGCTGGACCCTGGCGGTAGAGACAAGGGTCCTTGACTTTGGCCTGGGGAGTCCACCCATCATAGCCACAGCCACAGGATCTGCTCAGGGGGCCTGGGAGCTACTGCCCCGGCTTGGAGTGGCGTCGGAGGGCAGCAGAGGCAGCAGGAGGCACCAGCCCCAGTGGGTGCTGCCAGGCTGGCGCTGGACCGCACAGCAACCTGGCCTGATGCGCTCACTGCTTCCACCTGCCCCTCGGGCCTTCCCATCAGCAGCCAGGGTTGTCCTGTAAAGCAGCCAGCACCGTGCTCTCTGCTCAGAGCCCGTCTTCCCAGCTGCCCTAGGAATGGGCCCAGCCCTCATGAAGCCAAAGAGCCCGGAACCGTTGCCTGCAACCCCCAGGCTTGCCTACTGCTCTGGAAGGCCAGGCCCCTCGTGCCGTGGGGTCTTTGCTCACGGGTCCCTCTGCTCCTCTCCTCTTTCAGGACCTGCCTCAGACATCCCCAGAGGAGACTGCTGGTCCCCCCCTGATCTGCTCCCCTCCCAGCGCTGATCGCTGGCTAGCTACTATGGCTTCCTGGGCTGAAAGGCCGGGCCTGATGCTGTCAGTCACTGCTGCCCCCAATGCCAAGAGCAGTGCCTTGAACGCGGTGGCCCTCGGCACGGCAGTACGGAACGACTCCCAGATGGTTCCGCACGGACAAGGAGAGCAAAATGGCCGTTCAGGCCCGAGAGGCTGGGGTGCAGACAGGGGCCCTGGAGGGCCACAGGGGTCTTGTGCCATGGGGAGGGATGGCACTCTCAGAGCATGACACAGGGTGGGATGGCACTCTCAGAGCTGGGTTTTGGAATGCTGCTCCAGAGGGAGGAGGACAGGTGTGGTGGAGGCTGCAGTTCTGGCCCATTCAGGTGTGAGGCTGGAACTAAAGAGGTGCAGCGGACGGGGTGGGGGTGCCTGTGGGTGTGTCTGAGGGGTGCGGGGAGCAGGGCTCTGGGGTAACATTTATTCATTCTTGATACCAAATATTTGATGCAAACACATCCTACCCAGCTCCCTCAGAGGAGGGCCCCCAGGGGAAAGCGAGGGGGAGGCCCAGGGCCTGCTCCCCACAAATGGCCCCTCAGCCCTGTGCCCCCCAGGCATTGACTTCCTTTCCACTTCACAGACTCCCTGACGCTGATGTGTCACCCACGCCCTCATCGGGTTCCAGGTCACTGCCAGCTCAGGCCTGCCAGCTTCTCCCCTGGCTATCTGGGGCTATCTGCTCTCCCCTAATCCACAGAGCCCCCAGGAGCAACTGTCAATCATCAGGGTGTAACGGTAGAAATACCCTAAAGAGGTGCTGGGACAGGTGCTGCTGGCCCTGGGTACCTTGATGATGTCCAGGCCCGGCTGTGGGTACTCCAGGACCGGGAGCTGCTCGTCGATGTTCATCAAGCCGATCTCATCGGGGTCAGCGCCCTGGCTCACCAAGTAGACCACCTCCTGCAGCAAGCTGGTGCCTGGAGGGGAGAAGCCCCAGCGCGGGGTGCTCAGAGGAGGCCCACGCGCCCGGCCCTGTGCTCGGGTCAACACCTGCTGCCCAAGAAGGGGCTCAAGAGCCCCAGGTGGGGCCCAGGGCGACTGAGTCTGGGAAGAGGAGCGCGCCCCGCACGGTCTCAGCCTGAATCCCCCGTGCTGGGTCATGGGCCAGTCGGCTCTGATTCTCAGAGGGGCCAGGATGCTTCACAGGGCTGTTAGGAGAACAGAACAGAACAGAACCCAGCCCCTGTTATGGAAGTGGCTCAGGGGCTGTAACAGGTGGGTGACTCGGCCCAACCTGAGGCTGAACTTGGCAGTTTACGCAGGAATGATGGGTCGGGGGAATGACCCGCTAGCCAAGATGAGGAAATGACGTCTGCCCAGTATCTACTGAAGCTATATACACATAGCCCATGATCCAGGAACTATCCTGGGGAGACACCCAAGGGAAGCCAGTGCTTGTCCACCAGTACGCAGGTTCTAGAACAGTCTTGGCCACATCATTCATAAAGTCACTTGGAAACACAAATACCCATCAGCAATAGAATGAGTAAGTTGTGACAGTCACCATGGTGTACTACACAGCAACAAAAAAGAATGAACTGCAGACATAGCACGGCCAAGCCCCACAGATAGGATGTGACGGAACTGCAGACACAGCATGGCCAAGCCCCACAGACAGGATGTGACGGAGTCCTCCCACCCCAAGGCGCTCCAGGGTACAATCCTGTATGTCCCATTGGCATGAGGTTCAAGGATGGGCAAAACTCAACTATAGTGACAGAAGTGAGAACAGTGTTTATATTTTGGGTTGGTTACTGATTCAGAGAAGACACAAAGGCGATTCCGGGGTCTAGAGCTATTAACTGGGTCTGGTGGGAATTACATGGAAGCATGCTACATTATGATATGTGCTGGTTTCCATCTATGGCTCCTGGCTCATTATCCCCCCAGCCCTTATTACAGTCTTTTGTCATAATATTGGACCACTCCAGGCCTTAGAAGCAGGTCTCAGTAAACAGCATCTCTCTCTCTCTCTCTCTCTCTCTCTCTGACCTTCTCCTGCCCCCACCCCTTTCACCTGTTCCTTTTTCTCCCCAAGGCAGGCCATACAAACTGAAAATATACTTGAATCTTCCCCCGCCTTTCTGTCTTGGAGCTGGCTATGAAGAAACTCTCTGGGCTGGGCACAGTTACTCATGCCTATAATCCCAGCACTATGGGAGGCCAAACCGGGAGGACTGCTTGAGGCCAGAAGTTCGAGACCAGCCTGCGCAATATAGCAAGACATTGTCCCTACAAAAAATAAAAAATAAAAACATTAGCTGGGCATAGTGGCATACATCTGTAGTGCCAGCTACTCAAGAGGCTTAGGTGAGAGGATCGCTTGAACCCAGGAGGTAGAGGCTGCAGTGAGCTGTGACTGCACCACTGCACTCCAGCCTGGGCAACAGAGTGAGAATCTATCTCAAAAAACAAAAAGAAAAATTCTCTGACCTGCCTTTTCTGACTGTGTGGGTCATGAGACCCCCAGTTCAGAAGGGGAGGAAGGAATGTCGCACAGGCAGGCCTTCCTGGGCTCCCCACTCCGACTGACAGTGTTGGGCTCACAGCCCTTTTGTCCAGTCCCATTTCTACATGCTTCCACCATGCCTAGCCAATGAGGGTTCCATAAAAGGCCCAAGAGGACAGGCTTTGAGGAGCTTCCAAAGAGCTGAACACATGGGGGTTCCTGGAGGGTGGCTTGCCCAGAGAGGGCATGGAAGCTCCGTACCCTCCTCCATCCTCCACAGACGTCTCTTCCTCTGGTATTCATCAGAAGCCTTTGTAACATCCTTTATAATAAACCAGGAAATGTCAGTGTTGCCCTGAGTTCTGTGAGCCGCTCTGGCAAATTAGTCAAACGTGGGCAGGGAGGGTGTGCGAACCCCAATTTATAGCCAGTGGGTGAGACACACAGGCAAAACAACCTGGGGCTTGTGGTTGGCATCAGAACTGGGGGCAGTCTTGTGGGACTGAGACCTCGCCCCGTGGGATCTCGTGCTGTCTCCAGGTGGGCAGTGCTGGAATTGAACTGGACTGGGGGACATCCAGCTGGTGCTGCTGCAGGACTGAGTGCCTGCTTGCTGGCGGGGAGAAATCCCCAGCCTGTCCGCCACAGGAGGCCTCTGTGTTGACTCTTGTGTGAGAGCAGAGGAAAAGCGGTTTGAGGGCTTTTCTCCAACTGATACGCACATGTAAGATATAATTCAATTAAAAAGAGACAAATCACCTCCGCCCGCCAGTGGCCTGGTCAGCATAACCTCCTCTCCTAAGACTGTGGGGAGATGTGGCCAACGGGAAGAGCCTGGGCAAGCCCAGCGTGCCGTGCCATTAAAGGCAGGGAGAGGCCTGCGGGGGAGCTCGTGTGTGCTGAGGACACCCTGGCACTCACTCACAGGACCACAGCTGCCCACAGGGCTAGAGACCTATGGACCAATTCTCCCTCCTCACAAATCAGCCACGCGGCTGAGCCAGGCCTCCTGCCTGGGTCTGGGAACCGTCCCTCTAGGACAAACAGCACATTTCGCACTCAGGTCCGACGGCCTCCAGCCCAAAACCCTTCCGTAGCTTCCCAATGTTCACACACTCAGGCCCAGGCATTCAATCATTTACTGAGGCCCTCTGAGCTCTGCACACCTGGTGCGGGGTCCAGGCTGCACCCTCCTGGGCAGGGCCAACCACAGCACTCTCCGCTCTGCCTGTATGCTCCTCCCAGCCTCAGCCTAGGCACAGCTGTCTCAGAGCCCCTGCCCCTTCAAGTCGGCCTTTTCTGATGGCCGGGATCACCTGCAGTGCACACCCTGGGATGCACGGGACAGGCCCTCTCCTCCCTGCTACGGCCCAGGGGAGCAGGCACTGTGACCGGCTCCACACCTGGTGCAGGCAGGAGGAAGCGGGGCCCCGCCTGGACCACACATGGGGCTGACCACATGCACTGGTGCCTTGAGTGCAGAGTCCCATTCGAGGACCCTAGGGCCAGGCAGGACACCCAACCAGAAGTGTGCCGGGACCAAAGGTAACTCCCAGGGAGAAAGGCGGCCCTCTGCGCCTTCTCCAGCCTCTATTCCCAGGCCCAAAAACAGCTCCAGGTCCCCAGTGATTCTCAGTCATCACCTTGTCTGACCTCCCAGAAGAAACGGGCACAGCTTAACCCACTGTGGTCCCTTCATATCGGCGGCTCCAGTTTCTGCCACTGGCTCCTCATCTCCCCGCCCTGAACGTGGTGACAGCCCGGAGTGCAGCCCTGGTCCCCTGCCCCCAGGCCAAACCCAGGTCCACCCCTCCACACATCAGCCTCCGGGGCACATGCCCACCAACTCCAGTACCTCACCCGCTGCCCAGCGCCTCAGTGGGACCCAGCCAGCTCTGGGGGCAGCATCCAAGGCTGTCTCCTCCGCAGCATCCGCAGCCCGTCTCAGCAAGCAGCCCCTCCAGCTGACAGAGGCTCAGGCCGGATGGTGGCCTCACTGTGGCTCACCCGGCTCCTCTCCTCTGTCCTTGCCTCAGTGAGCCCCGCCGACCCTGCCGTCGGGTGTGTCCAGAGCTGACCCTCCCCCTGTGACACTGCGTCCTCACACCTGAACTGCTTCCTACGAGGGCTCCTCCCTGGCTCTCTGCTGCCACCCAGCTCACTCTGCCTTCTAGTCCAGGGGTCCCCAACCCCCAGGCCACGGGTCTGTGGCCTGTTCCGAACCGAGACGCACAGGAGGAGGCGAGCACTGGGCGGGAAAGCATTCCAGCCTGAGCTCTGCCTCCTGTCAGATCAGCGGGAACACGAGATTCTCATAGGAGCACAAACTCTATTGTGAACTGCACCTGCGAGGGATCTGGGCTATGTGGTCCTCATGAGAATCTAACTAAACCCCGATGATCTGAGGTGGAGCAGTTTCATCCTGAAACCATCCCCATCACCCACCACCTGGGTCCATGGAAAAACTGTCTTCCGCAAAACCACTCCCTGGTGCCAAAAAGGTTGGGGACCACTATTCTACCTGTTTTCAACCCAGCGGCCAAAACTGTGGCTTTAACATGGAAGTCAGACTCCACCACTGTCCACTGCCGCCGTCAGGCAGCTCTGCCTCCCACAGAGTCAACGCAAGGCCTTCACCATGTTCCACTCCCTCACCACCTGGCTCTCCCCTGAGCTCCCTCCAGCCTCTGAGCCCAACCGGCCCTTCCCCAGGCTGCCGACACTGGTGTCCCTGCCTGGAGCCTCCTCACTCCCTGACTCCTCCCTGCGCCTGCTCAGATGCCGCTCAGTCAGCACAGTCTCCTTCACTAGCTGTGGGACTAACTCCCGTCCCTCGCCCTGTCATGCGATTCCAATGTGCTATCTACCTGCCCAGAAAAAGCCTGCAAATTCTTTTACATGCTCTCTCCTCTTTCCACCTTAAGGACAGAGGCTGTTTTGTCTTGTTCTTTGCTGCACCAGGAGAGCCAGCATGTGGCCATGCTCAATTCATATTTCCTGAGTGGACCGACAAACGCTGGTTGCTGCATAGACACTGAGTAATCAGAAGGGGATGTGTTGATCAAGGAAGACTTCCTGGAGGAGGGAGCTTTGGAGCAAAGGCACTGAAGGAAGGAAGTGGTCTGGCTTGGTGATGGAAAACAAGCTCTTTTCAATACACACAAAGAACTTCTCAGCCCATGGACTCTCCCACCAACCTGAGTAGGAAGTACCACCATCCTCATGGCAGACGAGGCTAAGGCCAAAATGTGCCAAGGGTTATAGAACCAGGGTGTGGCTGCCTTGCCTGTTCCTCCTGGTGAGGACCATCCACCCAGCAGCTCAGGACAGCTGCAGTGAGGGGGTCTTTGTCCTTAGAAATCAGACTGTGGGCAGCGTCCCTGAAATGGGCCTCTCCCAGTGACATTTTCATCACCTATTTTTCACGTTCCCCACCCGTGCAGCCCCGCAGGCCAACGACCCAGACAGACCTTCTCTGCACGTTAAAGTCTTCTTACATCAATATCGGCCACTTCAGTTCCACAAGTCCCGTCCTCACCCCCATTAAATATTTATGCCAGAATATCAGCCAAAGGAAGCTCTTGACTCGTCAGGTCCACCCGGCCCTGTCCCCGTGGCCCTTCTCTCCAGCCTGCCACATCAATTTCCTGGTTGAACACCTCCTGACCTTACGTTTTCCAGCTTCCAGGAGAATTCAACAGCAGGTCAACGTGGGCATCAGGGAGGGAGGGGCACCGAGAACACACACCACGAAACACGCAGGGAACAGGCCCCGGCCTTCCTAGGGCATAAAGCCAGCTGGCAAGATGTGATAACATGATCAAAGAAAAATGGTCATTATACTATCTGGTCACTTACCCCATTCCAGGCACACTTCTAAGCACTTGGAACCAAAGATCAAACCCAGCTTTGAAGACAGCCCTAGCTCTGCAAGGCCCTCTGCCAGACGCCAAGCTGTGGCACCCAGCACTCCTCCCACTGGTCTCTCTCCATGCTCCTGGTGGTGCCCTTGGGCATGGGCATGAGCCCTGCACAGCCCCTCCACCCACCCTTGCTGTGGCCATCTGCACCCAGGGGCTCCTGAGGTCCCAGTGATGTGGCCCTGCCAGCCCTCCACCCACCCCCTCTTCTCTGGCCAGCCTCCCACCCCCTTCCAAGCCCAGCGCCCCAGTGGCCCAAAGCCTTCAACAGGCTGCCCTCTGCCTGGCCAGCTTGGGCTTGCTCTGTGGGTCACTGCTCGCAGGAAGCCCTCCCTAACAACACGCCTCTCGATCAGGTGCCCCTGCCTGGTCCCACAGAGCCCTGGACACTGTCCTAGCACACTGTCACGCTGTGCCTGGCTGGGGCAAGCCCTGTGAGGGCAGGGAACTGGTCTTAGTCACTGTTTTAGTTTCCTGGGGTGCTGCTGGAGATCACCCAAAACGTGGTGCCTTAAAACAAAAGAAACGTATTCTCTCACAGTTCTGGAGGCCAGAAGTCCCAAAGTCGAGGTGTGGGCAGGGCTGCGCCCCTTTCTGGAGACTGAGGGAGAATCCTCTTCTGCTGCTCTCCCCTCCACCCGCCTTGCCACCACCCTCCTAATTCCTGCCTGGCGCTCTGACCCCAGCACAGGTACCCCCACCCACCCAGCGAGCCTTTTATTCACTCAGCAGAGGGCTCACTATGTGCCAGGCTCCAGGCTGGCCCAGGAGTCCCAGGAATGACACCATCCCTGCCACCTTCCAGAAAATGGAGGTGGTGATGCCCCTCCCTTCTTCACAGAGCTGCTGGGGTCAAAGGAGATGACACGCAGAAGGGCCACAAAGTGACCTGCTGAGGCCCAAAGAGAATCAATATAAACAAATGTCAACTCAGCAACTGAAATCAAGATGGGGCACCAGCAACAGGGCCTGCTCCCGTGCAAGGACACGCCACAGTCTCACAGCAAACCTGGCAACCCTCATCCACAGCACAGGACCGGACCCTCCTGGGACCTACCGATGAAGCCACACACCTGGAGCAGGCAAAGCAATGCCCACAGCCAACCCTGTGGTTCCCTCCACTAGCCTCGAGCAGGAGGGTCCACAAGCACTGCCCTTACTGACAGGGAAACAAGGCACTGGGAAGTGGGGGCCACGCCTGGAGCTGGAGTCGCTTCCCAGCAGGGCCAGGTGGGGCCAAGGCAGGAGTGAGAGGTGGAGGAGTCCTAGTGAGGCCTGTCATGTTGCTGTGGGACAAACAGGGGGCATGGGGCTGTGGCCACACTGGGCCCCTTGCAGAGCAGTGAGGGCAAATACACCGCTGCCGAGGTGGGGGCCTGGGAGGGCACCAATCTTCCTCATCACAGCTGGGCAGCTGGAAGCCAGCCCAGGCCCCAGTAGATCCACCCTGAGTGGGGAAGAGTCAAGCTTTCAAACAGAAACCAGGGGAGCCAACAGGGCAGAGCCACCTGCTGGCCAGTGACTCGAGCCAAACGCTCTCCAGCAGCTCTTCGCAAGTCGGCTGGAAGCAGTAATTCACAGAAGTGCTTCTGCTGACACCACTGCAATCACTTCTGAGTGGCAAACCGATCAATACCCCCTGCAGCAGCGAGCAGTGCACAGTGACACCTGGACTTGGGTCGAGGCCTGTGGGAGGCCACTGCTGTTCTGGGGTGGAACTCCCCAGGACTCTAGGGCATGGCCTGTCTCAACACCGGGCACAGAGCCCATCAAAATTCCCACCAGAACTCACAGAAAGCATCAGAACTGATCAGAATGGCCTGGAAACCACTAGGACCCTGTGGCTGAAACCCTCTGATTTTCACTCACAGGATTCACCAGTTGCACCTGTGATAGGGACAGGGGGCAGGGAAAGATGGGGCAGAAGACGGCAGGTCCCCAGCAGGGGTCCCACCCTCAAGCCAAAAGGCCTGATACCAAGACCCAAAGTGACAGCTTACATCCCCGTTTTCCCGCTCAGATGTTATCTCTTCCAAAACCACTCCCTGCCCCCAATCCTGTGCTTATAAAAACCCCAGAATTCAGCCAGCAGAGAGAGAAAAAGTAACTGGACGTCAGAGACTACGGTTGGACATCGGACAGAAGCAGTGTGACTTCAGAGGAACAGGCTCATGGTGTAGCTTCGGAGAGTCTGGCCAGGGATGGCCAGACTCCAGGGGAAGATAACCTTCCCACTCAGTCCCATTTTCAGCTCCCCTTCCCGCTGAGAGCCACTTTCATCAGCAATAAAATCCCCCACATTTACCATCTTCAATTCGTTCATGCAGCCTCATTCCTCCTGGATGCCAGACAAGAACTCGGGTGCCACGAGTGCAGGTGCAAAAGGCTGTCACACTGACCCTTAACCCTCGCTGGCAGAAGGCAGCCGCCTCACATGAAAAGGCAGAGGGGCCCACTGAGCTGGTAACACTTAAGCCCCGACAGCTGGGTTAAAAGAGCACTGGAAAACTTCCTCTGAACCCCAGGTGCTGCTGCGGGGCTGGTACAAAGTTTGTTCCTGCCTCGCTCACCTGCGTGCTCCCTCCCTGGAGGGTGGAACGAAGGAGGTTTGAGTGAGTGGAGTCCACCCCTGCCAGTGCCAGAGCAGCCAGCTGACTCCAGCACTCGTGTACTCCAGCTCCCGCCTGCGAAGCAGTCGGGAAATGTCTGGCTTCACCTGCACCTAGTTGAAAAAGTCAGTCCTGTAAGGCACAAAGACCCACGGTTCTCTCCTCCTCTAATCCCACTCCCCGGAAGGAGACCTTTGGTAGATTATTTTTACCCTCAAATTTCCAAAAAGTGTACTGATATCATTATTTTATGATCTGCACATTTTAGATGGGCTAATGATTTTCGACTACGAAAGATGAGGACTTAGCCAAGTTCCCTTACTCACAAGCTTCCCTCCTGCCGATACAGTCGCAGCACGATTTTGGATTTAATTCAAGGCTTAATTTGGTGTTTAATGCAAAGTACACCATGTAGTGATTACATTTCCTCTTCTGTATTCTATTTCACTTTTCCCAGAGTAGGTAACTGCCTTAGTTTGCTTATTTCATTTTCTATATTGCTATTAATCATTCCTTCCACAACTCTAACAAGCCTCAACGTGGCCAGAGACATGGGTGGGTGTTCGCTCGATCCTGTTTGCTGCTTGGGGACATGCCCCTGTTCCCTCTGCTCTCCCTCCCTCATCTGAGTGAACGGCCTGGCATGGCTGCACAGGATCTTCCTGGACCTCCCCCTACCTTGGGTGCACTGGTCCTTTCTCCACGTCCCCTGACTGCAGGTGCCCGGGCTGCTTCCTGGGCATGTGAGACTGAGGTGACTGCAAACGTCCACATCCACCTCCCATGTGAGGGACAGTCTGGTCGGGTACAGAAGCCCAGGCTGGAGATCGCTTTCCGTCATCCTGTCTTCTCACTGCCGATGGTGCCGCTGAGATCCTGGGGGCCCATTTTTCTCTCTGTGGGAGCTTTGAGATCTTCCCTTTGCCCCAGTTTACTCATTCACTAGGCCAGACAGTTGGCAAGGGTTGGGGGTGTCTTTTATTGAGCTCTGAACATTCTGAAAATCTAGCTTCAATAATTTTCTCTCTTCCGTACTCTGTTCCCTTTCTGGAACTCCAGGATTAATCTTCCATTTTTCTTATATTTTTGCTCTTGTTTGTCACCATTTTGTAAAAATTTTTATTCTACTTCCTGGGCTATTTTCTCAGCCTGACAACCCAAACCTCACAACTGTGCAATTAAAACCTCCACCATCACACTTTTCATCTCCAGGAGTCTTTGATGATCACTCGTTATTCCAGTCTTCACTGCTGGTTCCTTTAGTGAAAGCAACACGTGTCTTGACGCTCAGAGGATACTGCAAAGACTTATGAGTGGAGGTGGTGTTATTCTGGGTTTTTAGGTTTTCTTCTGCTCCTCACATGGTCTTTGCTTTCTCGGAGTTCTTTTTTCTGCTTTGTGTTTTGTCTCTGCAGATCTCTATCCTTCCTGTTGGAGACTCGCTACCTGGTGATCTTGAGTCCACTCACAGGTGAAGGAGAGACCGTGGGAGCAGCCCTGGGGGTCACACGTGCCTGGGGGAGCAGCCTTGGTGCTTTCACAGCTGAGGACCTGTCACTTCGGTGGGAGGTACAGGGCTCTGCTTTGGGGTCAATTTCTCAAAAGAGGGTGCCTCCAACCCCAGCCTGGAGACTGGAACCAGGTCACAGGCATCCTGAGAGCTGAGGAGAGGAGGGGCTGGTAATCCCACCCTCCAAGTGTGCAGCCTGTGGGAGATCCTACTTCCCACATGCCCTGTGTCCCAGCCTTCAGCTGTCACAGGACCCTCACATCACAGCCTCTCTGGTCCCCGAAGAAGAAAACTGTCTTGGTGACAGCCTCTAGTTTCCATCCCCAGTGTCATGGACACCACCTCAGCTGCTTCCTGGGCTGGGCTGCTGGAATTCGTTCCCACCTGGCCACCCTCACGACTGCGGCATTCAGGCTCCCCGCCTGCCCAGTGAGACAGCACTCAGCCCTGCCTGTGATCTTCTGGGTTTCTAATCCACCACGCCCTCCTCTCCTGCTCTGGGAGTTCAGAGCTTTCTATCCCTTTATTGTCACTTTAGTGAGGTTTCAAGAGGAAACAGACACCAGCGTGTGTGTTCAGTCTGCCCCACTGAAACACAGCCCCCTACAGGGTTCTGGAGTCCCGGGATATCCACAGGGATGCCAGAATCCCCCAGCTCCCTGAGAAACAGCAACAGCTAGACTTTTTTTTGTTTTTGGAGGCAGGGTCTCTCTCTGTGGCTCAGGCTGAACATGGCTCACTGCAGCCTCACCCTCCTGGGTCCAAGGGATCCTCCCACCTCAGCCTCCTAAGTAGCTGGGACCACAGGCACACACCACCACACCTGGCTAGGTTTTTTTTTGTTGTTTTTTTTTTGTAGAGATGGGGGTCTCCCTATGTTGCCCAGACGGTCTTGAACTCCTAGGCTCAAGCAATTCTCCTGCCTCAGCCTCCCAAAGTGCTGGGATTACAAATGTAAGCCACCACGCCTGGCCCACAGCTGAACTTTTAAAGGGGCAACCCATCAGGGCCAGGCAACAGCCCAGGACCTGGGAGCTCCTGCCCCCATCCAGGTGGGAACTGCCCCCCAGCAGACACTGAGAATGCTCCCCACCTCCAAAAGGAAAAGGAAAAGGTGAAGGACGTCTGTTAAACGCCTGCTGCGGCCAGTCCTTGTCCCTGTGCTTCCGCACACTGTCTCTCAGCTCTCAACACAATGCCCTCGACACAGAGCACGACGGGAAGCTCTAAGAGGAAAAGTAGAGTTCCTGGTCACCCGGCTGGCAACTAGATGGGGAACCAAGACTTCCGGAGCCCAGCTCACAGCACCAGCTGAGGACATGCTGACAGAGACCCAGGAGCTCGCTACGACTTCCCCCTTGGGTCTCACCCACCTCACTGGAGCTGCTATTACCATCCAGCTTCACACAGGACCACACAAGTTCAGGGATGGAATGTCCAGGGCCACAGAGGCCAGTGGGCAGTGAACCCAGCACCTCAAACTTTCGCTCCAGAACCAGAGTGCTTTACACACCCATCAGACACACAGACACACATGTATACTCACGCACACCACATACATAACACACAGACCACACACACTCCTCCAAACACAGCACGCACACACACACCAGACACAGACCACGTGCACTCACACTCACTCCACACACAAACACACAACACATGCACACACACCACACACATACACCCACACACACTACACACACACAGCACCAAGGCTCACAAAGCAAGTGAGCAGCGAAACAGGGCCACGTCCCATGTGTACTCACTTGCGGGCTAAATCTCTGACCATTTTCTAGCTACGATCAAGCAAGGGTGAAACAGATGGGGCAGTTGCTGGGACTGACCTCCACCCATGACAGTGGCAGCTCACTTCTGGGCCTGGGACCCTGGGAAACGAATTGCAGCCATCCCCACCCCACCCCTGCCCACTCTGGGCCACGTCCACAGCCAGACCCCTGCTGGATGCAGAGCGGAAACAGGCACAGTCACTGGCCGTGCCTCCCTCCTCCTGCTGGGGTGATGCCAGGCAGCTGTGGCATGCTGGGTTCCACAGTCAGGCCTGACCAGTCCAGGAAGCTCCGGCAACCCTGGCTTGGCCCCAGCCTCTGTCTGATGAGACTCTGACCTGGAGACCAGATTCCCAGCCTAGCTCTGCCAGTGACTCTGGGAGGCCTGAAAGTCACCGCTCCTCTGGGCCTCAGTTTCCTCAAAGTGAACTTCTCCTAGGCCTTTAGCTCTTCTGTTCCGGGTATACAACCCTGAGGCTGCCAAGAGGCTACCAAGAGGCTGCTGCACCTTCAGACAGAGCTGGCACAGCAAGCAGAGCGTGGCTCCACCCCAGGGAGAAGAGGCTCCGCCCCAGGGGGCAGAAGCTCTGCCTCAAGGGGAAGAGGCTCCGCCCTTGTGTGAGAGAAAGTCAGGGAAGGCTTTTGTAAAAAAACAGCCTTTGCAATGGGACCTTAAGGATGAGGGAGAAACTAGTTGTAAGAAGCTTTGGGGAAAGGAGGCTCTGGTGTGCGGCATTAAGGGCCCCAGTTTGCCCTCATGTAGCACTCTCAAGACATCAGTGGTGGTTTGCCCTCATGTAGCACTCTCATGACATCAGTAGTGGTGATGATGGTGCGGACAACAATGGCAGACAGGGCAATGACCCCAACACATGCCCCATGCACATCTTTGCCGCGGGACTTCACGGCCCCTCATAAAGGTCCTGCTCTGACTCTGGGCACGACCATGTGACATGGCCAACAGAGACCTTTGCATGTCTCTGCTTATTCTTCTGCACTTCCACTGTCGCCAAGAGAAGGCCATTGGCCCAGGCTAGGCTGCTAGTCCCAGGAAGAGAAAAAGAGGTGCCTGGAGCACAGCTGCCCCCGCCAAGCCCAGCCCGAAGCAGGGATCTAGTCAATCTGCACACACGGGGGACAGTCTGGCCAAGACCAGCTGGGAAAGAATCAGGGCCTTGCCCAAAATCAAAATTCAGACCTAAGTCTTTATAACTGGTCCCCTCCTCCAGCAGAGCCTACCAGTGCCCACCTACACCCCTCAGCTGCCCTAGAGGTCACCTGCAGCGCTGGTGAGGGCTTCTGACCTCAAGCACCTGCACCTGCTTCCCACCTGGCCACAGAGGAACAGGCCCAGAAGTGCAGGGAGCCGACGCCCTGAGCCACACCCAACCACTAAAGGACAAGAGTTGGCACCTGCCCCCCACACGCCAAAGAAGGCTCCTGGCTGTGTTCATGTCGTCTCTCAAGGGATCCTGGCAGGCTGAGCCCCAGGGTTCCACAGAGGAACCCCTTTCCTGGCTTCTTCCCCCCTTGCCTTCTGAGACCACCTCCCACCTGACTAGCGGAGGCCCACTCTCTAGTACGAAAGCACACCCGCTCACATGCCTGGGCAGGCCCTGAGAGAGGCGACAGTCATGAGGACTCTGGATCTGAGAGGCCTGATTTGGAAACCAGCTCGGCTGCCTCCAGACGACGGGACACTGGACAAGATCTGCCCCTCTATGTGGGTTCCTCATCTGGAAGGTGAGGACAGTGATGAACTCAATGTAATTCCCCACAGAGCACCCTCCAGGCATCAGCAGCAGCGACGATGGTGCGGACAGTCACAGTGGACGAGGCACTGACCCCACTCATGACCCCGGGGCTGGCACCACCCAAAGCCAGGCCCATTGGAAGGAGGTGGCAGCGCAGGGAGATGCCACCTGCAGAGTTGGGCTGGCCTAGGCCAGTTTCTTCTCAGGGTCTTGGTTCCTTACCCAAAAAATGGCCTATTTCATGGCAAAGTTGTGAGGATGGGGAGGATAAAACAAAGTACTTGGCACAAAGACAGGAAACCCGCTTTCCTCCCTGGTTGTTCTGAGGCTTGAGCAGGACAAATGCCAACCACCTAGTCCAATGCCCCTGCCGCTGGTGGGGTCAACAGGTCCCAGGAGAGTCTGGCTCATTTCAAGCTGAGCCAAGTCCTGAAGCCCAAGCCAGGGCCTCTGGCTCACCAGCCCCCACAAAATGACTGGTTTAGCTTCCAGAAAATGCCAGCAAGTCTCCAAAGCATGCTTTAGGGAGGCTTCCACCTCTCAATGGGCCCTCCACTCTCCTCTCGCTCCCTCCAGAAGCCCACGCTAGGAGCCCGCTCCCTGCTAACCATAACACAGTCACACTGTGCAACATCCTGTCCCACATCCCAGGAGCTACAGACATGCCCACCACCTGATCTAGTGGTCGGAGATCAGGAGGGACCACTAGGGCCACTTCCCCCTAGATGCAGGACACTGGAAAGAGCTGCCCCCACACTAACAGGGAGAGGTCAGATAAAATACAAGATCCTAGTTTCACTCAACCAAGATGGGCCCTTCCACAGAGTGGCAGGAGGCAAGCACCAGCTCACTTGAGACAGGGCCCTGGAGGAAGAGAAGCCAGCCCATGCAGGTGGCGAGAGGAATTCAGGTAAAATGTTTCCATGCTGGTAAAAGCCAAGGGTGAGCCCATGTGACAGCACAGAACCTCTGAAGCCAGAGAAGCCAGAGAATCTCACACTGAGCAGAGTTCACACCCAAACACAGGCTCTTCTCCAGACCTAGGCCAGGTGCTCAGGAGAAAGAGTTGGGGGCAGCATGCTTTGGAGAGAGCCTTCCTCAGTATCATGGCTGTAGGAAAAGAAAAACATCCTACTTGTACCCTTCTCCCTTACAGAAAAAAGGCTTTAAGTCACTGAGAGAGGGGCAGCAAACCGTGTCACCTCCCAGGGCACTGGTGAAGACCCAATGTGGCTGGAGATGGGCAAAAGGAAAAACCAAGACTCTGCCCTTGGGGGAGGGGCAGGAAACTGTCCCTGGGCCCTGACTACTAGAGATTCTCAGTGCTACAGAAGGGACATGAAACTCCTGCACAAGAGTTACCATCCAGGCAGTTTGGCTGCCACTCAGAGGAGGGCAGGATCAATGAAAAAGCCCTACCCAGACCCAGCAACATGGAGCCTGCAGAAGACTGCAGCTAGACAACACAACAGAGAACCCCAAACCCTCCCTACCAAGCTACTAAACCAAAGTAACAGATAACAGCAGAGTCGATCACTGGCACAGGGGCAAGAGTGTGCAGACAAAACTCCTCCAAGGTTCAGACCTACGAGGAAGACCAAAAGGTGGAGGTGGAGCAGGAACACTGAGAAAAAACCTCTGGAAACTCAGCCCCTCCACTGAACGCAAGCTAACACTACAATAATATGAAACCAGTGGTCACTCAAGGTAATCAGATCAACACCCGAACCCAAACCAGACCAACGAGGCGGGGTTAACTCAATTCCTTATACTAATGGCCTAGCAGTTGAAAAGCCGGCCTCATTTGCAAGCATAAATATGGCTGACCTTAGTCTCTACTATCTAATATGCTGTGTTGAGCAGTCAAAAGGTACTATTCACAAAAAAGGCACACGCGCACACACACAAACAAAACTGTCAAGAGACAAAGCAATCAACAGAATTAGACTCATGGAATTTTTAAGAAGTCTGATTAACATGTTAAAGGTTCCCAAGGAAAAGATGGACAACACACATGAATAGATGGGATTATTTCAGCAGAGAAATGGAAACTCTAAGTGGAAATGCTAGAGGGAAAAAAACATAACAGAAACATTGAATGCTTCTGACAGCTCATCAGCAGACTTGACACAGCAGAAGAAAGGAGCAGTTAGCCACAGATCGGTCCACAGAGATTACCCAAACTGGAACAAAAAGAGAAAAAGAAAGAAGCCAGGTGCAGCAGTATGCCTGCAGACCCAGCTACTCAGGAGGCTGAGGAAAGAGGACTGCTTAAGCCCAGGAATTCTAGGCCAGTCTGAGCAGCACAGTGAGATCCTGTCTCAAAAAAAAAAAAAAAAAAAAAGGAAAGAAAAAAGAGGGAAGAAAACAGAAAACAGAATACAACATCCAAGAGCTGGAGGACAACATCAAACAATCTAACATATATGTAATTGGAATCTCAAAGGAAGAAAGAATGAGGTAAAAGAAACATTTTCTAAGATAATGGCTGAGAATTTTTCCAAAATAATGAAAAGCATCAAACCACAGATCCAAGAGGCTTAGAGGAATCCCAAGTAGAATAATTAACACACACATACAAAAACCCTAGACATACCATATTCAAAGTGCTGAAAATCAAAGACAAAGAGAAAACATTGAAGGCAGCCAGAGGAAAACAGGCACATTACCCAGTGGAAAAAAGAACAAGCCAACATTTCAGCAGAAGCTAAACAAGCCAAGGCCTGGCATAGCAGCTCACGCCTGTAATCTCAGCACTTTGGGAGGCCGAGGTAAGAGGATCATTTGAGCCCATGAGTCCAAGACCAGCCTAGGCAACATGGTGAGACCCTATCTCTACAAAAATACAAAAAATTAGCCAGGTGTGGTGGCGCACACCTGCAGTCCTAGCTACTTGGGAGGCTGAGGCAGGAGGATTGCTTGAGCCCAGGAGGTGGAGGCTGCAGTGAGCCATGATTGCATCACTGCACTCCAGCCTGGGCAATAGAGTAAGATCCTGTCTCAAAAAAAAAAAAAAAAAAGGAAAGAAAGAAAAAAAAAGAAAGAAAGAAAAGAAACTATGGCCAAGCACTGTGACTCACACCTGTAATCCCAGTACTTTGGGAGGCCAAGGCAAAAGAAACTATGGCCAGCCATGGTGGCTCACACCCATAATCCCAGGACTTTGGGAGGCCAAGGCAGGAGGATTATTTAAGCCCAGGAGTTCAAACCAACTACAAGTTCAACCAGGGCCAACTACTCAGGAGGCTGTGCTCCCAGCAGCCCCATCTCCTTCTTCCTCCAGAAGTCATTCTGCAGGCTTTTGCCTCCCAGCCCGGTTGAGTGATGGGGAGAAACGTGACCCCCGCAGACCCAGGACACTTGCTTTGGCAGCCCCTTCCCCAGGTCAAGCCTCCTGAGTATGTGTAACAGCCGGAAGACAAAGGGGAAGGGATGAGGGAGCAAGAGGAGAAAGATGGGGAAAGAGGAACTTCTCAGTTCTTCTGGTACAAAACCACACGTTCCATTCTTCAGGCCTCTGCATTCCCTCATAGGACGCAGGTAACTCACCACACTGCTGTGGAACACTTTGTTACCCTGTGTGGTAAAGCTCAAAGGGCTCCGCATGCTCCCTCATCTCAGAACAAACTGGTAACCCAGGAAGCGCTGGCAGGTGCTAGCTCCCACCCCCACGCCTCTCTTACCCCCTCCTGTGGGTGGTTTCTCTCCAGGATCTACACTCGGTGCTGCCACTACCCCAGCCCTTTGTCCTCCCTAGGCCCTCATTTTCACATCTATAAAAAGGAAATAATCACAAGAGCACAGGGCCGTCCTGAGAATCAAAGTGGGTGGAGGGCAAAACAGCATCTGTAATGGGTAATCCACCCAACCTGTCTCCTCCTCCATGCAGTCTCCCGAGATCCTCCTCTTCAGAACCCTCATTACCAGGCCATTTACCTGACCCTGAGAACAGCCACCCTGGCTTGTCAGTTAACTTTTCAGTGTTAGGATTCTGGCTTCCCCCATGTCACTGCAAGTGCCACAAGGTCACCATCACCTCATGCCCAGCCCTTCTGAAACCTGTCTCTCCCAGGCACAGTGACATACACACCAAGAAAACTAGGACATCCATCTAGCCTGGGACCTGCACACCATGAGTCTCCCCTCAGCTTCAGCTCCCCTCAGCTTCAACCCCTGAGTTGTCTGAAAATGTAAGACTTAAATGAATCAATCTGGTCAAATCCTCTCATTTTTAATGAGCAAACTGAGGTTCAAAGAAACCAGGTGGCTCACCCACGCCCAGGCCCAGAAGCTTCCGTCTGCATCAGTGAGAATGCGCACACACTTCAGGACTGGCCGGAACCAGGGGCAAAATAAACTCAGGGCAGTGGGTGCTCTGGCTGAGCCAGGGACCGTATTTCAAAGCCCAAGCTCCATGACTTTGGGGCTGTGCCCCCTCGGGGACGAGCACCCAATTCAAATCAACCTGTTGACAAAACCAGTGGCAGTGATTGCATCAAACCAACACACAGGGACAAAATATTTTCACAGACACAATCGGATTTAATACAACCACCGTCCCAGGACCAACTACGCTGTAAGAATGAATAGGAACAAAGTCGGTCATCAACAGAAAGGTCCTTCTCAGAAGACACAATGGGCTCCTACTGTCTGGATCACGGTTTTACCTGGCGCTGTGCAGCAGAACTTTCAGCTGTGATGGGAACACTCCATATCTGCGCCACCCAATACGGCAGCCGCTAGCCCCATGTGGCTACTGAGCACCTGAAACATGGTGATGCTACTGAGGAACAGAATTTCCACTTTTATTTCATTTTAATTCATTAGATGTAAGCAGCCGCCTGTGGGCAGAGGGTCCTACGCTGGAGAGCACAGTCCTAACCCGCCATCTAAGCTAGAATGTCGCAAGCACAAAAAGAATCCGAGCAAGCAGCACGGGGTTGTGGGAAAAAATACCGGACAGGAAGCGAAGGCAGGATCTAATTATCATTGCCTTAGCCACCAGAAAGCCCCCACCACCCCTTTGAACCCCAGTTTCTCCATCAGCAGAGGGTGGGAAGGGGCTGACAAGGGACCAGGCCCTTCCGGCTCTGACCACCTGCAAGTTCATTAGGATCTCCTACACCTGGGCACTGGAAATCCAAGGAGGCCCGTGGGTTCCCTGCCATGGCAGGTGAATGGGGCACCTGTTAGTCCTGGCTACTTGCCCCAACCCCAGCACCAACCATGTCTCCCCCATCAGACTGAGAGCTCACTAAGGACAGGCACCAGATGGGGCCCTCTCGGCTTCCCCAGCCCCTAGCAAAGCATCTGGGCACAACAGGTGTTCAGGGCTTAAAAGTCAGCATTAACCACGAGCCTTTCCAGCGTGTGTCTGGACGTGGGCTAAGCGTTCTCACCCGCCATTTTGCTCATCCTCACAGCCACACATCAGCGGGCCGAGGTGGTCTCTTCTCCCTCCGCAGAGACCACAGCTCAATGGGATTCTATGATCTGCCCAGGGTCACTCTGCTGGTAAGCCGCAAAACTGCATTCAAACCCAGGACTTCCAACTCCGAAGCCAGGTTCTTAATGTGTAAGCACTGATGCCTGCTACAAATCCATCCCCAGTAGCAGATGGAAGGAAAGGAAAAGAAAATATGAACTGGGCTACCAGAAGTCCACTTGGAGGGGCCTCAGAGAAGTGACACAAACCTCAAAATCCCTAAGTGGCTGAGACTTCCAGCATTTTAAAGCCTCCAAGAAAGAAGGCTAGGTCCCCCTCCTTCTTGGGCCCTCACGGTTTTCCAAGGGCAACGGAGCACCCATAAGGCAGGGGAGAGGCTGGCCGTGGACCGGGAGACCTAGCTAGACCTGACCTCTGTCCCTCAGCAACTGTGTGACTCCGAACAATTTGTGCCTTCTCTGAGCCTCTGAAAAAAAGGTGTAAGAGTCCCTCACAGATTAACAGCGATAGAGCACTTGGCCCGCAGGACTTAATGAGTGGCCACAGAAGCCAACGACACGCTTAGCCATTCCTAAAGCATTTTA
Source organism: Homo sapiens (assembly GCF_000001405.40). NCBI lineage: Eukaryota > Metazoa > Chordata > Mammalia > Primates > Hominidae > Homo > Homo sapiens. Next base: position 43,861,078 of record NC_000022.11, read on the forward strand.
GGTCCCACCCCATGCGGCGACTGGCATGTGCTCAAGATAGCAGCCCATCGAACGCTCTGTTCTCCAACCAACACCCTCCACTGAGAGTCCCTACTCCAATCTTCCTCAGAAGAATGTCAGAGACCTGCCCTCAGGTGTCTGGAACTCCATACAGCTACAACAGCCAAGCCTACAGCTTTTCCTGAAACTGCCCGACTGCTGGTCCGGCGTGACCTTAGAGCCAGACACCTTCTAAACCACGCTGTGATTGCCTCAAATACAGTGGCAACAAGGAAATCCCAGGGCATGTTTACAGAACAGGAAAGCTGCTACCTCCTTTCCCTAAAAACCTCAGATGGGGTACTATACAATCTCCTACCTCAGGTCTGGAAACAGACCAGCCTAGCTTTAATTCCCAGGTCAGCCACTCACCAGCTGAGTGACCTTGGACCAGCCTCTTCCCCTCTCTGAGCCTCTGTGCCTAGACTGTAAAGTGGGAATGACCACCACTAGCTCACACAGCTGTTATTGTGAAAGTGACGTCAGCTAATGCTGGGAAATGTGAATGCCCCAGGTCCTGCCTCGGTGATGGAGGCAGCCCTGAAACAAGAGAATGTACAAGCAAGGCACTCCAGGCGGGGACTGGTCCCATCCCCCACCCGGAGCCCAGGCTGGAAAGGAGGGACGTTACGTTTCCACGCTGAAAGCCCTGACGCCCATGTTATCTCCCTTCCCAGGTGAACACCAGGACTTTGCACTCATCAAAGGTTGGGCAGGATTCAGGAACAGAGAGGTTGAGTGACCTGTCCAAGGTCACACAGCCAGCCAGGTAAAGGGAGAAGCAGGGATGGGTGGCGGCCCTGGGCCCATCCTCCTGCAGCGCCGGCCAAATAGGCTCCATCTCCACGGAAGGGGCCGCTCCCGAAGGTCTCTGACCTTGGTTTCCCCAGATGAGAACCAAGCCCCTTCCCACCCCCACCCCACCCCACCCCGCCCCGCAGGGATCCGAGCATCGGGAGAGCGGTGGGCACGGCAGGGGCGGAGGCCAAGGGCGACCACCCGGCCCAGCAGAAGCCCCGGGCGCGGGCGCGGCGTCTACGCGGCCGCGCTGCAGGGCTGGGGCATGGCGTGGCGGGCGCGGTCGGCGCGGGGCTCACCGGACTTGGGGTAGGTGACGATCCACACGTCGCTGGGCCGCACCGGGAAGTTGGCGATCTCCTCCATCTTCCCGCGGCAGAAGGGCGGCAGCCGCACGCCATGGAACTCGAAGTACTTGCTCTCGAACTCCCCCGGGGTGCTGGGGGTCTCGGCCTCGCTCTCCGCCATGCCGCCGCCGTCGCCGTCGCCGCCGCCGCCTCCCGGCTCGCAGCCCGCACGCGCCCGCGCCCGCGCCCGCGCCCGCGCCCCGCACACGCTCGCGCCCCACCGGCGCGCGGCGGCAGCTCCGCAGGCGTGACGTCATGGCGCCGCCGACGCGCGGCGGAGGCTCCGCGGGTATGACGTCATGGCGCCGCCCGGCACGCGGCCGCGGCGCTGCACGGGCGTGACGTCATGGCGCCGCGGAGCCGCGTCCTCCCCGCCCCGCCCCCGGCCGGGGTCACCCACCCGCTGCCGGGGCTGACAGAGACCCTGGCCCGCGGTCTGCAGCCTCCTCAGTCGTGCGTGCGTTCATTCCGCTCATAGCTTCTGTCACTCAGCAAGCGCTCAACACAGACGCATGAGATACCCTGGCTGGAAGGCCCTGAAAGGTAGTCGTCCATTCAACACGTGCTTAGCGCGCTGCTGATCTGTGCCAGGCACTGGGCCAGGGCCCCGACACGCGTCAGGGTAGAAGCAAGCAGAAGCCTGGCCCTGTTGGAGCTTACATTGGTAAATAACCAAGATAATTTCAGGTAAATATTAGGTCCTATTAAAAATATGCGTCTTCGCCAGGCGCGGTGGATCACGCCTGTAATCTCAGCACTTTGAGAGGTCGAGCACGGGCGGATCTCCTGAGGTCAAGAGTTCGAGACCAACCTGGGTAAATGGTGAAACCGCATCTCTACAAACATACAAAAAAAAAAATTAGCAGTGAGCTGTGAGCTTGCACCACTGCACTCCAGTCTGGGCAACAGGACGAGATCTTCTAACAACAACAAAAAAAAAGTATGGGCCACCTAGTCCAGCCAAAAAAACAAAGTGCTTTTTTTTTGCTTTTTTTTTTTTTTTTTTTTTTTTGAGATGGAGTCTCGCTGTGTCGCCCAGGCTGGAGTGCAGGGGCGCGATCTCAGCTCACTGCAAGCTCCACCTCCCGGGTTTACGCCATTCTCCTGGCTCAGCCTCCCGAGTAGCTGGGACTACAGGCACATGCCACCATGCCTGGCTAATTTTTTGTATTTTTTGTTTGTTTGTTTTAGTAGAGACGGGGTTTCATCGTGTTAGCCAGGATGGTCTCAATCTCCTGACCTCGTGATCTGCCCACCTTGGCCTCCCAAAGTGCTGGGATTACAGGTGTGAACCACCTCGCCCAGCCAAAAAGTGCTTCTTAATATCCCATGAGTAGGGGAGGGGAGTGTTGGATTGCAAATTCCAGGACCCCAGATCTATGGAGAAAAATTACAAAAATATACATTTAGTAAGGCACTTCTTGTGCAAACTATAATTTGAGAGCAACCGAGTTCTAGAGATCTCAGTGCAACCCCTTGCCAGTCATGCACTCAACAGACATATATGAAGCACCTACTAACATGCCTGGGGAAGCACAAAGATGAAAACAACACAGCCTGCTCTCATTCTCTGCAGCCGAGCATCATCAGCTGTGTAAAGGAAAAGAATGATTCCTACCTCTAAGTAGTGTAGCCAGGAAGATGGAAGGAGTTTACACCAACAAGAATCTGGAGCAGAGTGGCTGGACGGGACCTATTCCTACTCTCTCCTTCTTACTGTAGAGTGAGACACGTGCATTCTGACACCAAAGACATACACATGGGCTGAGAAGCGCAGGCCATGTGTACATAGCAGACAGAGAGAGGAAACAGCAATTAATCCTGACTTGGGAAGCTTGTAGATGTCTTTCCAAAAAAGAAAGAGGACATTCCGAGCACCCAGCCTTTATTCAGAATAATTAGGCCAATGGCAAAAGGGCATCTAGCCAAAAGCTAGAGGGATTGAGTGAATGAATGAATATCCTGATGTTTCAGGTGAGGGTTCTCACTGTGGGAGAAGGAAAATGTAAGTGGGGAATGCGAGAAGGCAGGGAAGAACTCTATGGTATTGGATTGGAATTGGAGGTATTGACATGAGTTTATGATATTTTAAAATTCCTATTTCTTATATTTGCTGGAAAAGCCTTTAGGCAGTGATATCTCAATAATACTAGGCATACCCACTGCCCAGATCTTTGCTAAATACTTCCCTCACCAAATGAACCTGGGGTTTCTTGGAGAAAAAGCCAACTCCAGGGCAAGGAAAGTACAAGATGAGCCTAAAATGTCTTGTTGAGTCTTGAACTCCTGCAAGTTCAAAAATGTTGGGAATAGGTCAGAAGGACACAGGGTATAACATGAAAGTATTATCATAGGTCAAATCGGAAACAATTTGAGCATGTTAGACAAAAATGGGAAAAAACCCACGTACCCAACAGTAGAATAGATAAATTGCGATATATTCATACAATGGAATACAGTAATTTTTTTAAAAAAGGAATGTAACTGAGAAGAATGTCACAGTCAAAATGATGAACAAACTAAGTCAAGCACAAAAAATGGTATGTCATATGATTCTATTTATATACAGTCAAAACCAAGCAAAACTGATCTATAGTGATAGAGGTGAGAATAGTCTTAACCTGGGGCATTGGAAAGAGGGTTGACTGGGAGCAGACTCAAGGTTACCTACCCTCCATAGTGTTGGAAACATCATAGCTTGCTCTTAGTGGCGGTTACATGAAGATATAGACATAGATAAAAGTACAGACATGGACATAGATGCAGGCCTTGCTTCACGGATACGCAACCAGGGGAGTCACACAGGGTTCTGTGCTCAGAAGGGCCCCACACTTTGGAATTTAATGGTCTGTGGTCACTATCTTGAAATTGTTGCATTTATCTTTGGGTTTGTTTTGTAAGTGAGGTCTGGTCAAAATTAGCTGGGAGTGGTGACACGCACCATAATCCCAGCTACTCAGGAGGCTGAGGCAGGAGGATTGCTTGAACCTGGGAGATGGAAGTTTCAGTGGGCTGAGATTGCACCACTGCACTCCAGCCTGGGTGACAGAAAAAGACTCCGTCTGAAAAAAAAAAGCCATAATGGACATTAATGAGATAATTTGCAATATTTGAATATAGACTCTAGATTAGATGATATTCTATTTTAAATTTCCTAAATTTGAAAACTGCACTGTGGTTATGTAAAAATGTCCATTTGCCTCAGAGGTACATGTGGAAGTATTTGGGGGTGAAGAATCATGATGTCTGCCACTTACTTTCAAATGGTTTTACAAAAATAAAACCACAATTATAACCCTAATGCAAGCACATGTATGTATACACATTGAGAGCGAGAAAGAAAATGTGGGAAAAGCCACAATTGGTGAATGTAGGTGATGATATATGTTCATTATGTAGTCATTTTCTATTTTGCTATAATGAATTACCACAAACTCAGCTCTGTAAGTCAGAAGTCTGATGCTGGTACCACTAGACCAAAAGGAAGGTGTCAGCAGGGCTAGCATTCCTTTCTGGAGGATCCAGGGGAGAACCTATTTCCTTGCTTTCTTTAGCTTCTAGAAGCCACCCACATTCTCTAGCTCATGGTCTCTTTCCATCTTCAAAATGGCAGACACAGTCTTTCTCACATCGTATCACTCTTTTTGTTTACTTGTTTATTTGAGACAAAGTTTCACTCTTGTTGCCCAGGCTGGAGTACAGTGGCACGATCTCGGATCACTGCAACCTCCGCCTCCCAGGTTCAAGCAATTCTCCTGCCTCAGCCTCCTGAGTAGCTGGGATTATAGGCATGCACTACCACGCCCGACTAATTTTGTATTTTTATTAGAGACAGGGTTTCTCCATGTTGGTGCAGCTGGTCTTGAACTCCCGACCTCAGTTGATCCACCTGCCTCGAACTCCCGAAGTGCTGGGATTACAGGCATGACCCACTGCGCTTGGCCATATCGCTCTTACATTGACTCTTCTTCTGTCTCCGTCCTCCACTTTTAAGGACCCTTGTGATTACATTGTACCCACCCAATAATCCAAGATAATCTCCCTATTTTAAGATCAGCTGATCAGCAACCTTAATTTCATCTACAACCTTAGTTTGACTTTGACATATAATATAACATATTCACAGGCTCCCAGGACTGGAATGTGGACATCTTTGGAGGACTGTTATTCTGCCTACCGCAATTGCAGTAAACTTTTCTATACATTTAACTTTTTTTCAGAATAGAAACCTAAAGAAAAACCTTTATTAACAGAAAATCCCTAGGAATTTGCAAAAAGGCTGCTAGAACTAATAAGTGAGTTTAGCAAGGTCATAGGATACAAGGCCAACAAATAAAAACAATCCTATTTATACATACTAGCAACCAACAATTGGGAATTGCAGTTTCAAAAATACCATTTTTAATAGCATTGAAAACTATTAAATACTTATAATATATGTAGGAAAATATGCACAAGATTTGTGTAGCAAAACCTACAAAACATGAGTGAGAGAAATGTTTTAAAACTTAAAGAAATGGAGAATTATACCCTGTTAATGGATTCAGCATTGTTAAGGTGCCCATTCTGCCCATTCTCACTTTTTTTTGTTTGTTTGTTTGAGACAGAGTCTCACTCTGTCGCCCAGGCTGGAGTGCAGTGGCGCGATCTTGGCTCACTGCAACCTCTGCCTCCTGGGTTCAAGCAATTCTCCTGCCTCAGCCTGCTGACTAGCTGGGATTACAGGCATGCATCACCATGCCCGGCTCATTTTTTTGTATTGTTTTTAGTAGAGACAGGGTTTCACCATGCTGGCCAGGCTAGTCTCAAACTCCTGACCTCGTGATCTGCCTGCCTCAGCCTCCCAAAGTGCTGGGATTACAAGCGTGAGCCACCGTGCCTGGCCTCCTCACATTTATCTATAGAGTCAGTGCAATTCCAGGTAAAATCCCACTGGACTCTGCTGTTGAAATTGACAAGCTGACTCTAAAATTTATATAGAAAAATAGGCCAGGCGCGGTGGCTCACGCCTGTAATCCCAGCACTTTGGGAGGCCAAGGCGGGCGGATCATGAGATCAGGAGATCGAGACCATCCTGGCTAAGACGGTGAAACCCCGTCTCTACTAAAAATACAAAAAATTAGCCGGGCACGGTGGCGGGTGCCTGTAGTCCCAGCTACTGGGGAGGCTGAGACAAGAGAATGGCGTGAACCCGGGAGGTGGAGATTGCAGTGAGCCGAGATTGTGCCACTGCACTCCAGCCTGGGCGACAGAGCGAGACTCCATCTCAAAATAAATAAATAAATAAATAAATAAATAAGAAGAAAAAGAACCTAGAATGGGCAAAATAATTTTTAAAAAGAATAGCAAAGTTTGAGGGCTCACACTACCTGATTTAAAGACTTATTATAAAGCTACTTACCTTAACACTGTAAATCAAAACAATATGTAACTGACATAAGCATAAACATGTAAATAAATGGAACAGAATAGAAAGCTCAAAAATATACCCAAACATCTATGACCAATTGTTTTTTGACAAGATATCCTTAAAGAGCAGAAAGCAGTAACTTCTCATGAGCCGAAAATGTCCATCAAGGCCTGAGCCTTTGAATAGAGAAAACCTCACCGCTGCATAAGAAGGGGCATAAGAAGGGGCTGGATAGCACTTTGTCCTGAAGAGGCTCTTCTTCAGTAAGCTTAATCTAGCAGATCTCCAAATCTCAGCCCTCTGATACCCATTCCCAAGGCTGCTGAGACAGCAGGGAAGGCAGGTCGCTGTCCGCGGTGCTGAACGCACAGCTTCCCCTTTATCCCCCTGCCCTTCCATCCTGGCACGCTGGGTGACCACAACTCCCGACGCCCCTGATTTTCCTTTGTTATGTTCTGTCTTGGGGCATCTTTTCCTATTTCTATGTGCTATCTTCTTCTTAATAGGAGAAAAGGCATACAAATTTAATGTGCATACACGGGAGCCTTCAGAATGAAGGCCCAGCTTCCCCATGAGTTACAGAATCTTACATACCATTTTGAGGTTACAGAAAGAACAGGAGCTTAGATTCTAGTAAAACAGATTATAAGAGGGGAAAAGAAGCTGGACTAGCAAAGATGTCCTTGTTATGTGGATGAAGCCTCCCTTGGAGAGAATAGATGGTAAAGGGTGTGAGAGTCCCAATCGCTCTTGGGTCTGGGGAAAGAATAGAAAGGTGGGGGAGGGGAAGGGCCTGGCAGCATGCATGAGATTCTCTACAGATGCAAATTTCCCCACTTAAGGCAGCTTTGCAAGGCCACTTCTGTCAAGATGACCAAGTGGCAGCCATTTCAAAATATGTCAAAGAAATATATTTTGATGTGAAATATTTTAATTTCCTTCAATTCCCCGCTTTGAAACTTCAAACAAGTTTCACATATCAAAAGCCAAGCCAGGATGGCTGCAGTGGCTCACACCTGTAATCACAGCACTTTGGGAGGCTGAGGTGGGAGGCTCACTTGAGCCCAGGAGTTCGAGACCAGCTTGGGCAACACAGCAAAACCCCATCTTTTTCAAAATAGAAAAAATTGACCAGATGTGGTGGCACACACATGCCCAGCTACTCAGGAGGCTGAGACAGGAGGATTGCTTGAGCCTGGGAGGTCAAAGCTGCAGTGAGCCAAGATCATGCCCCCTGCACTCCAGCCTGGGTGACAGAAAACAAACAAACAAACAAACAAACAAAAAACCCAAGCTGATGGCTTTGGAGAAATTTGGGTTAGAGGTTGTTAGATTGAGATAGAGAAAAGGGGAGAAAAGACAAATTGGATAAATAGGTGCAAATTGAAATGTATCATCCCATATTGTCAGAGGCATTCAAACCAGCGTGACTCCTTTTTGAACAGAGGCTGGGTAAAATAATGCTGAGACCTACTGGGCTGCATTCCCAGGGGGCTAGGCATTCTTAGTCACAGAATGAGATAGTAGGTCAGAACAAGGTACGGGTCACAAAGACCTTGCTGATGAAACAGGATGCAGTAAAGAATCTGGCCCTTGAGGCTGGGCGTGGTGGCTCATGCCTGTAATCCTAGCACTTTGGGAGACCAAGGCGGGTGGATCACTTGAGGTCAGGAATTTGAGACCAGCCTGGCCAACATAATGAAACCCCAACTCTACTAAAAATACAAAAACTTAGCCGGGTGTTGTGGCACACGCCTGTAATCCCAGCTACATGGGAGGCTGAGGCACCAGAATAGCTTGAACCTGGGAGGCAGAGGTTGTAGTGAGCCAAGAGCATGCCACTGCACTCCAGCCTGGGCAACAGAGTGAGATTCATCTCAATTTAAAAAAATAAAAAATAAAAAAGGCCGGGCGCAGTGGCTCTTGCCTGTAATCCCAGGACTTTGGGTGGCCAAGGAGGATAGATTGTCTGAGGTCAGGAGTTTGAGACCAGTCTGACCAACATGGCGAAACCCCGTCTCTACTAAAAATACAAAACTTAGCCAGATGTAGTGTGTGCCTGTAATCCCATGATTATATATATATATATATATATATATATATATATATATATATATATATATATATGATGGGAAGCAGTGGTCGGGCATGCCTCATTATATCCTACCCCCTTTTGGAATCACAGATAGAAAATATTCTTTTTTTAACGTTTCTAGTAGCTTTATTCATAACAGCAAAAACTGGAAACAAAGTATTGATATATTCATTCACTGAGCGAATGGTTAAACAAACTATGGTACATCCATACTATGGAATACTATTCAGCGGTAAAAAAGGAATGAACGATTGATAAATGCAACAACCTGGATGAATCTCCAGAGAATCATGCTGAATGTAAAAAGATAAGCCCCAAAGATTACATACTATATTATTCCATTTATATAGTATTCTTGAAATAACAAAATTACAAAAATGGAGAATAGACAAGTGTTTGTTATGGGTTAAGGAGAGGGTGGGAGCAGAAGGGAAATGAGTGTGCCTATGAAAGGAAAACATAAGGGACCCTTCCATGTGAATTGATCTATCAATGCCAGTATCTTGGTTGTGATACTGGACTATAGTTTTTTTAAATGTTTTATTTCCATAGGTAACTGGGGAACAGGTGGTGTTTGGTTACACGAGTAAGTTCTTTAGTGGTGATTTGTGAGATTTTGGTGCACCCATCACCTGAGCAGTGTACACTGCACCCAATTTGTAGTCTTTTATCCCTCACCCCCTTAGAACCCTTTCCCCCTGAGTCCCCAAAGTCCATTGTGTCATTCTTATGCCTTTGCATCCTCATAGCTTAGCTCTCATTTATGAGTGAGAACATATAATATTTGGTTTTCCATTTCTGAGTTACTTCACTTAGAATATAGCCTCCAATCGGCGGAGCTTTCAGTGAGCCGAGATTGCGCCACTGCCCTCCAGCCTGGGTGACAGAGCGAGACTCTGTCTCAAAAAAAAAAAACAAAAGAATATAGCCTCCAATCTTACCCAGATTGCTGCAAGTACTGCAAATACCGTCAATTCATTTCTTTTTTATGGCTGATGGCTGAGTAGCATTCCATCATATATATACACCACAGTTTCTTTATCCACTCATTGATTGATGGACATTTGGGTTGGTTCCACATTTTTGCAATTGAGAACTGTGCTGCTACAAACATGCATGTGAAGTATCTTTTTCATATAATGACTTTTTTTCCTCTGGGTAGACACCCAGTAGCGGGATTGCTAGATGAAATGGTAGTTCTACTTTTAGTTCTTTAAGGACTCTCCACACTGTTTTCCACAGTGGTTGTACTAGTTAACATTCCCACCAGCTGTGTAGAAGGGTTCCCTGTTCACCACATCCATGCCAACATCTATTATTTTTTGATTTTTTGATTATGGCCATTCTTGCAGGAGTAAGGTGCTATTGCATTGTCGTTTCGATTTGCATTTCCCTGATCATTAGTGATGATGAACATTTTTTCATATGTTTGTTGGCCATTTGTATATCTTCTTTTGAGATTTGTCTATTCACGTCCTTAGCCCACTTTTTGATGAGATTTTTTTTTTCTTGCTAATTTGTTTGCATTCATTGTAGATTCTGGATACTATTCTTTGTCAGATGAGTAGATTGGGAAGATTTTCTCCCACTCTGTGGGTTGTCTGTTTACTCTGCTCACTGTTGCTTTTGCCATGCAAAAAGCTCTTTAATTTAAGTCCGAGCTATTTATCTTTGTTTTTATCGTTTTTTCGCTTTTAGGTTCTTGGTCATGAAACCCTTGCCTAAGCCAATGTCTAGAAGGGTCTGTCTGATGTTATCTTCTAGAATTTTTATAGTTTCAGGTCTTAGATTTAAGTCTTTGATCGATCTTGAGTTGATTTTTGTATAAGGTGAGAGATCCAGTTTCATTCTCCTACATGTGTCTTGCCAATTATCCCAGCACCACTGTTGAATAGGGTGTCCTTTCCCCACCTTATGTTTTTGTTTGCTTTGTCAAAGATCGGTTGGCTGTAAGTATTTGGGTTTATTTCTGGTCTATGTGTCTATTTTTATACCAGTACCATGCTGTTTTGGTGACTATGGCCTTATAGTATAGTTTGAAATCATGTAATCTGATGCCTCCAGATTTGTTCTTTTTGCTTAGTCTTGATTTGACTATGTGGGCTCTTTTTTGTTTCCATATGAATTTTAGAATTGTTTTTTCTAGTTCTGTGAAGAATTATGCAGTATTTTGATGGGAATTGCATTGCATTTGTAGACTGTTTTGGCAGTATGGTCATTTTCACAATATTGAGTCTATCCTTCCGCAAACATGGGAGGCATTTCCATTTGCATGTGTGGTCTATGATTTCTTTCAGCATTGTTTTGTAGTTTTCCTTGTAGAGGTCTTCCACCTCCTTGGTTAGGTATATTCCTAAGTTGTTTTTGGTTTTTTTTGCTTTGTTTTGTTTTGTTTTGCAGCTATTGTAAAAGGGGTTGAATTCTTGATTTGATTCTCAGCTTGGTCGCTGTTGGTGTATAGAAGAGCTACTGATTTGTGTACGTTAATTTTGTATCTGGAAACTTTGCTGAATTCTTTTATCAGTTCTAGGAGCTTTTTGAAGGAGTCTTTAGGGTTTTCTAGGTATACAATCATAACATCAGCAAACAGCAACCGTTTGACTTCCTCTTTACCAATTTGGATGCCCTTTATTTCTTTCTCTTGTCTGATTGCTCTGGCTAGGACTTCCAGTACTATGTTGAAGAGAAGTGGTAAGAGTGGGCATTCTTGTCTTGTTCCAGTTCTCAGAAGGAAGAAAAGCTTCTTTAAATCTGATAGGAAATATTTACAATCTATTCTCTCTGAAGCCTGCTATCTGGAGGCTTCATCTGCATGATAAAACATTGGTCTCCACAATCCTTTACCATAACCCAGATATTCCTTTCTATTGATTCCTTGTTATTGATAATAACTCTTTCAAGCAATTGCCAGTCAGAAAATCTTTGAAACTGCCCTCTGACTTGGAAGCCCCCACCCAGCCGCTTCTAGTCTTGCCTTTCCTGACCAATATATATCTTACATGTCTTGATTAATGCCTTATGTCTCCCTAAAATGTATAAAACCAACTTGTGGCCCAACCACATTGGGCACATGTTCTTAGGATCTCCTAAGGGCTGCATCACAGCCCATTGATCACTCATATTTGGCACAGAATAAATCACTTCAAATATTTTACAGCGTTTGACTCTTCATCGATAAGTATCTGTATGTACTATCAAATTTTTAGGATTAAGAACTTGTTGATTATAGAAATGTCAAACACATCCAAAATTAGAGGGAATGGTATAATGAACTTCTATTTTTTTACACATCATTCAAATGACAATGAACTTCTATATACTCATCACCCAGTATCAACTATTATCACTTCATGTTTTATCATCTCCCAAATATCCAGATTGTTTTGAAGCGAACCCCATGTATTCTGTAATTTCATTCATAAATACTTCAGTATGGATCTCCTCTTTGGAGGATAAGGGCTCTTTGAAAACATATTCCCAATACATTAACACATCTAAGAAGTAATGATTTTTCCCTTACATCACTAAATATCCAGTTAGTGTACATGATTAGATTTATGAGTGGGATGCTATGCTCAGAGGAGTTAAGGCCTCTGCCTAGGAATGACTAGTATAGCCAGATGATAAGGTTTGGCTGTGTCCTTACCCAAATCTTGAATTGTAGTTTCCATAATCTCCAAGTGTCATGGGAGGGACCCAGTGGGAGGTAATTGAATCATGGGAGCAGTTACTCCCATACTGCTGTTCTCATGATAGTGAGTGAGTTTTCACAAGATCTGATGGTTTTATAAGGGGCTTTCCCCCTTTTGCTCCACACTTGTCCTTTCTGCTTCCATGTAAAGAGGGATGTGTTTGCTTCCCCTTCTGCCATGATTGTAAGTTTCCTGAAGCCTCCCTAGCCTTGCTGAACTGAGTCTTTGCTTTATAAATAACCCAGTCTTGAGTAGTTCTTTATAGCAGTGTGAGAACAGACTAATACAGTAAATTGGTACCACAGAGAGTGGGGTGCTGCCATAAAGATACCCAAAAATGTGGAAGAGACATTGGAACTGGGTGATAGGCAGAGGTTGGAAGTTTGGAGGGCCAAGAAGAAGACGGGAATATGTAGGAAAGTTTCAAACTTCCTAGAGACTTGTTGGATGGTTTTGGCCAAAATGCTGATAGTGATATGGACAATGAAATCCACGCTGAGGTGGTCTCAGATGGAGATGAAAAACTTCATGGGAACTGGAGCAAAGGTGACTCTTGCCATGCTTTAGCAAAGAGACTGGTGGCATTTTGCCCCTCCCCTAAAGATCTATGGAATTTTGAACTAGAGAGAGATGATTTAAGGTATCTGGTGAAAGAAATTTCTAAACAGCAAAGTGTTCAAGAGGAAGCAGGGCATAAAAGTTTGGAAAATTTGCAGCCTAATGATGTGATAGAAAAACCCCATTTTCTGGGGAGAAATTCAAGCTGGCTACAGAAATTTGCAAAAGTAACAAGGAGCCAAATGTTAGTCATCAAGACAATGGGGAAAATGTCTCCAGGACATGTCAGAGACCTTCCTGGCAGTCCCTCCCATCACAGGTCCGGAGGCCTAGGAGGGAAAAATGGTTTCCTGGGCCAGGTTCAGGGCCCCCCTGCTGTGTGCAGCCTTAGGACTTGGTGCCCTGAGTCCTAGCCACTCCAGCTGTGGCTAAAAGGGGCCAATGTACAGCTCATGCCATTGCTTCAGAGAGTGCAAGCCCCAAGCCTTGGCAGCTTCCACATGGTGTTGGGCCTGCTGGTGCACAGAAGTTAAGAATTGAGGTTTGAGAACCTCCACCTAGATTTCAGAGGATATATGGAAAGGCCTGGATGTTGAGGCAGAAGTCTGCTGCAGGGGTGGAGTCCTCATGGAGAACCTCTGCTAGGACAGTGCAGTAGGGAAATGTGGGGTCAGAGCCCCCACACAGAGTCTCCACTGGGGCACTGCCTAGTGCAGCTGTAGGAAGAGGGCCCCCATCCTCCAGACTGCAGAATGGTAGATCCACCGATAGCTTGCACTGTACGCCTGGAAAAGCCACACACAACACCAGCCTATGAAAGCAGCAAGGAGCAGGGCTGTACCCTGCAAAGCCACAGGGGTGGAGCTGCCCAAGGCCATGGGATGCAAAGCTGCCACCTCTTGCATCAGTGTGCCCTGGATGTGAGGCATAGAGTCAAAGAAGATCATTTTGGAACTTTAAGGTTTAATAACTGCCCCGTTGGATTTTGGACCTGCATGGGGCCTGGAGCCCCTTTGTTTTGGCCAATTTCTCCCATTTGGAATGCATGTATTTACCCGATGCCTGTACCCCCGTTGTATCTAGGAAATAACTAAGTTGATTTTGATTTTGCAGGCTCATAGGCGGAAGGGACTTGCCTTGTCTCAGATGAGACTTTGCACTTGGACTTTTGGGTTAATACTGGAATGAATTAAGACTTTGGAGGACTGTTGGGAAGGCATGATTGTGTTTTGAAATGTGAGCACATGAGATTTGGGAGGGGCCAGGGGTGGAATGATATGGTTTGGCTGTGTCCGCACCCAAATCTCAGCTTGAATTGTAGTTCCCATAATCCACGCATGTCATGGGAGGTACCTGGTGGGAGGTAATTGAATCACGGGAGTGGTTACCTCCATGCTGTCTCATGATAGTGAGTGAGTTCTCATGAGATCTAATGGTTTTGAGAGGGGCTTTTCCCCCTTTTGCTCAGCACTTCTCCTTCCTGAAGCTGTGTGAAGAAGGACATGTTTGCTTCCCCTTCCCCCATAATCGTAATAACTTTCCTGAGGCCTCCCCAGCCCTGCAGAACTGTGAGTCAACTAAACCTCTTTCCCTTTTTTTTATTTTGTTTTTTGTTTTTTTGAGACTGAGAATTGCTCTGTCACCCAGACTGGAGTGGTGCAGTGAAGCGATCTCGGCTCACTGCAACCTCTGCCTCCCAGGTTCAAGCAAGTCTCCTGCCTCAGCCTCCTGAGTAGCTAGGATTACAGGTGCCCACCACCATGCTGAGCTAATTTTTATATTTTAAGTAGAGACAGGATTTCATCATGTTGGCCAGGCTGGTCTCTAACTCCTCACCTCAGGTGATCCACCCACCTCAGCATCCCAAAGTGCTGGGATTACAGGTGTGAGCCACCACGACCGGCCAACCTCTTTCCTTTATAAATTACCCAGTCTCAGATAGTTCATAACAGCATGAGAACAGACTAATACACCAGGACATAGGGCTGGAGCAGACAGCGCTTTACTAGCATCACGTGATTCCAGCTACACATGGGCATATAGCAGCCCCCTTCCCACAGATGACATGGAGCAAGTCTGAAGCACATGGCACTGGCTCAGGCAGGTGGTCATATCAATGGGGTGGTCCCCAAGGACACCAGTGCTCAGGAACCACAGGCCCCAAGCACACTCCTGCCAAGACAGGTCTAGGTCAAGATTAATTGCATTAGAATCTCTGCAGAAGAGCCCTCAGCATCAGTATTTTGACCCAAAATTCTAGTATCCAGACAGCGGAAGCACAGCCTACCCTAGGCTTGAATACAAACTTCACCATTGAATGTATAACCCGAGACAAGGAAGCTCAGCTCTCTTAGCCTCAGATTCCCTGTCAGTTTAATTTACTATGGGTCACCCCCATCCTACATTTGCACTTGCACTTTCCCTTCCAGAATGACTTCCCTGCCAACTCATATTCTAGTATCCACAAAGACCCAGTTCAGAAACTAGTTCCTCTGTGGCTAATCCCGTCCTGAAATCATTTCTCCTTCCCCTGACATGGTGGCATTTATTACACGTGTTATGGGCTCGGAGAGGAGCTGGGGGCTCTTTAGAAACCAGCTATTCCAACCCTTGACTTTCATGACAAGAAATTGAGGAGCTGATCGAGGAAAAGACTTGCTCAGTGTCCTAGAGCAGGTGCACAATGAAGCTGTGATAGTCGGGGATCTTTCTGTTGCCCGGAGCATAGACTCGGGCATTTCTAGATCAGCCACTTGCCTCTCTGAGCTTCAGTTTCCTCACCCATAAAATGGGGAGGATAATGCCCACCTCTCAGGGTTGCAGTGAGATTTAGATGATGGGCTTTGTAAACTGCAAGGTGATGTGTACTTGTGAGGGCTGCATTACCTGTTACCTCCATGGAGACAGCATTAAAGGCACAGGAGCTCCTTGGGGAAGGGATCTGCCTCAGGCAGCAGGAAACACCCAGCACACAACTGGTGCTCAGAAAGCCAGGCAGGGAGGCTTGTAGCAGGCCCAGGAATGTGGCCCACAAACGGGCACCATAGCTGCTCCAGGGCTCCAGGGCTCCAGGGCTCAGAGAGGTTTCTGGCTGGGATACCAGGGGAAAGAAGAGGGTGGAAGACCCAGAACTTTAGCAGACTTGGTGGGAGACCATGATACAGGGGCCAGAGAGAACTCTGACATCACACAGGGCTGGACTCCAGTGGCAACTCTTCTGTGTTTTGCCTGGACTACTCTCCACCCGGGGGCTGATGTGAGGCTCACAGGAGGCCCCCAGTGGGTGACACACCCAGTCTGGTGCCCAGCACGCTGTGAAATGTAATTAACACAGCTTCACTCCCCACTGCCCCTTTCTGAGCAGTCATCTCCATCATTTGATATAGTCTGCAGTAAGCACTTAATTTTTTTTTTTTTTTTTAGACAGAGTCTCACTCTGTCACCCAGGCTAGAGTGCAGTGGCACCATCTCGGCCTGCTGCAACCTCCGCCTCCCATGTTCAAGAAATTCTCGTACCTCAGCCCCCTGAGTAGCTGGGACTACAGGTGCCCGTCACCATGCCTGGATAATTTTGGTATTTTTAATAGAGACGGGGTTTCACCATGTTGGCCAGGCTGGTCTTGAACCCGTGACCTCAAGTGGTCTGTCTGCCTTGGCCTCCTGAAGTGCTGGGATTACAGGTGTGAGCTACCGTGCCCGGCCATGAGCACTTAATTTTATCAAGTAAATATTCCATGAGGCGTGTGTTATCATCTCCATTCTATCCAAGAGTGGCCTGAGGCCTGGAGAGGTGAGGAATTTCCCTGGGTCACATCAATGCTGACTTGTAGAGATGGGACTCAAACCCAGGTCAGCCTGAATTCAGAGCCCAGGATCCCTTTTCTGCTCCATAATGTGGGGCTGTGTCAGGAGGATCCTGGTAACAAGTTGGGGATTCTGACCTGGCTCGGTTCCTAGGCTGTCAGCTGGGCCACCTCTAGGCTCCAGGAAGGGCATGACACCAATGGTAGATGATGGCTCTATAAGCCAGGTCAAGCTCATTCATTCTGAGGCTACATTAATAGAGGCAGTGGTCAGGAGGTGGGAGGTGAAAGACAATTTAGAAACAGTACTGGTCATATCACCTCTGGGGCACTGCTGGACTCCATGCTCCCAGAAGGTTGTGAACAAACTCAGGGTATGGGGCTGGAGCTCCCTGAACAGCATCACTGGGTTGGCGACGTCCCTGAGGAGTGGTTGTAAGGCGTGAGCTGCTCACCATGGAGAAGAGTGACCTCAGAAGATCAACACCCTTCGTCCCCTCTCTCCAGGCAGGCAGAGCAAGCAGAGTCTGTGGGTCCAGGGTGCAGAGCTGGGATCCATGGGGAAGACGCAGGCAGTTGGATTTTAGCACCACGTGAGCAAAAATCTAAGAGTTAAATAAGATAAAAACCAGGGAAGTGCTTAAAAACAATGAAGTCCTGCCAGGGATGCTTGTTAACGGACTCTGCCATTGTCAAGTTGCCAGCAGATAACTTTGACGCATAAGCCACAAATAATAGAGACCAAAGAGACGTTTTCAGAGCAGAATGTTGTAAGCAATTGAGATATTCAACCATCTGAGCCAGAAACATTTCCCCACACGCTGCTTGGCAAAGGAGGGTGATGGAGAGGGAGGTGGGAGGGGCCAACTATCTTTCCCCGGTCTAAGTCACAAAGCAAAGCAATGGGGATAAAGCACAGGTCAAAGCCCCTGCTATGTAAAGAACTGACGAGGGAGGGGTGATCAAGGGAGGCTGAGTGCCTGTGGGCATGGAGGCCTGTGTCCGTGACAAGGGACAAAGGACAGGGAGCAAGAATGTTCCTAAAGGCCTCTAAATCCTTCACCTGGTGACCCAGGTGGCCAGGTCTCCCCTCTGCACTGGGGGAGGAAATCCCGAACCCAGCTGCTGAGGGTGGGGGCAGTGCATAGAGCATTCCAGCTCTGCAGACAGTGTTGTGGGAGCCGCCGCGGACCACCTGGCTCCAAGTGGGACAGCCTTTTCCTGCTGCAGGGACAGCGTCCGTACCTGCCCCCACCCAGGAGATGGCCAGAGGGGCAGAGTCCTGCTCAGACCCAGGGGGTCCTGGAGGGAAGGGGACAGCCTCCTGCATGCTCACTGTCTGCCCCTTCCTCCTCCTTTTCCAATCCCACTGCAGCACTGGGCCCTCCTTTCCTCTGCTTGCTCCCTTTTCTCACATTTGCTCCCCAAAACCAAACTCCTCGCCATGCCCCAACAGTGCCCTCCTGACCCAGCCCCTGCCTGCCCTGCTCCCCCCGACCCCCACCCACTGCCGGCCCTTCCCTCCTTCAGTCTCACCCCAGGGCCTTTGCACCTGCCATTGCCTTCACCTGCAAAACCCAGCCTCTCATCCTCAGTCTCAGCTCAGTTGTCACCTCAGGAAGGCCTTCCTGGGCCACCCGGGCCAATGTTGCTCTCACCCCCACCCTGCCTCACTCTCACACGATCTTGTTTTCTTCACGGCCCCACCACTCCTGGAAAAATCTCATATTTACATTTTCCCGTTTGTTGTTCAGCATCTGCTCCCGCACGCCCACCAGAATGTAAGGTTTCTTCAAGGCAGTGTCTCCAGGGCCTATAACTCACTAAGCATAAGCTGATAAATGAATGAAAGAATGAATGAGTGGCTTATTGTCTCTTTATTTATTTAGAGACAGGGGCTCACTTTGTTGCCTGGGCTGGGGTGCAGTGGCGTGATCACGGTTCACTGCAGCCTCGACCTCCTGGGCTCAAATGATCCTCCATCCTCAGCCTCCCAAGTAGCCAGGACCACAGGCATGCACCACCATGCCCAGCTAAGTTTTTATTATTTTTTTTAGAGACAGGGTCTTGCTATGCTGCCCAGGCTGGTCATTTTTCTCTTTAGTTCCCACGTGTATTCCTTTGCTTCCCGTTCTCACTCACGCCTCCATCTCTCTAACCTCCCCATCTCCACTGAGGCTGAGCATTTCCTCAGGGCCTGGCCGGGGGCACAGCATGGGTCCCGTGCTGCCAATGGGGAGAGCAGTGACTCGTGGAGAGGCCAGAGGCCTGGTGTCCCTGGCATCCTCTCTGCCCCAGGTACAGGCACAGCTACGTCACAAACCTTCTGCAGGAATGAGGCTGTGGGGATAGCAGGGGCCACTGGGCCCAACAGAAGCACCCACAGCTGGGATCCTGAAAAGACCTGGACCCCCCTCTCCTCCTCCTCCTGCTTCCTGCCAGGGCCTTCCACCCTCTGGACCTGATAGGAATTCAGAAGTCAAGGTTTCCTGAGTGGGGTAGATGCCGGGGGTCACCCCCAAGGGCCGCTGCAGGACTGAGAAAGTCTGGGGGGAGCACCCCCACCCCATCATCTCAGTTGGCTCCTCTGGTCTCTGACGCGGGCATCAGGCACTTTCTCAATCTTCTGTGAGGTGCTCCGTGGGCAGCTCCACGGCAGAACAGGAGCCCCTCTCCCCAGCAATGCTGCCCTCCTAGTCCCCCCGTGGAAATTCTGAAAGTAAGACATGTGTCTCTGTGGCTGTCCTCCTTTCTCTCCCTGATGAGACGGGGCAAGAGGGAGGGCAGGTGACCTGGGTACACAGTGACCGGGGACATGCTGACAGGCTGCGCCCCAAGGAACGGGCTCCAAGCTGCAGGGTCTCCACGGAGATTGGCAGGGCCTCTTCCCGCTGGGGCAGATGTGGGCACACAGGACAAAGGCCAGAGCAGGAATCAAGGGACACCAGTCACTGGGCTGGCCCTGCTCGGCCCCCTCAGGCCTGGTGGGTGGGCCCGAGCTCCTCTCTATGAGGAGCTATCTGGGGTTGGAGGGGGCTTGTTTCCAGGACGCGAGTGGCCGGAGGGCTGTGGAGGGAGGAGAAGCCACGGGTAAATGCCTGGGGCTCGGGAAGGGTAGGTGAAACCACGTGGGTGCAGGCGCAGCCACAGTGAACCCAGGTCACTCTTCCCCCAAATCCTGCTCTGAGGGAGGACATGTGGACCTCAGTGTGGCTGAGCTGGAAGTGTCAGGGAGGTCCTGGGATGGCCACTCCCCAGAGAACTGCACTGATGTCCCTGCTAAACAGATAACTGTCGAGTGGGTGGGGGAGGGCCACACAGGACCCCCCAAGTCTGGAGGGCTGGTCAGAGAAGAGGGACCAGGCCACTGCAGGCCAGACCACACACAGGGCCAGCCTCGTCCAAGGTCACGTGGGGACGTCTGGAACAATGGCAGGAGGACTGGCAGGGAGCTGGTGAAGCCGCAAGAGGCACCTGTCCCATGGGTGGCCCAGTGACTGCACCTGGCAGGTCATGCAGACTGACCAAGGTGACTGTCATAGAGCGTCTAGCACAGGTCGGGCGCACAGCAGTGACCAACACACGTGCCAATGGCTGCATGAGTAGGCCAGAGGGACGCAGGTAAGCAGGTGGGCAGGCAGATGGCATGGCCGGCCTACCCAGGGTCCAGGGAAGCAGCTGGTGCGTTCCCCCCAGCACAGCCACCCCCTCTCCATCCCTGCCCTCTGCCCACCTCACCTGATGGGCCCAAGGAGCTGGGCCTTGGTCCTGGAGAAAACCTCGAGGGCCATGTTCCTCAGCAGGCCCTGCATCCACCACAAGTCCGCCGGCACATCGGGCAGCCACACCACCAACCTGGAGGAAGGGGCAGGTCAGCTTTGCCCAGGTGAGCCTGGGGTGTGGCCCCACCAAGCCCACCCTCCCCATAGGCCCAGAGCACAGCCGGGAGCCCTGCTCCTGAGGGCTGCCCAGGTTAGGGAAGAAGGGCCAGCAGCGTTGGCCACTGTTGCAGAGCAGGTCAGAGCCACAGGGACACCTGCAGGGTTGGAAAGATCCAAAATGGACTTTGAACTTGGCAGAGGTGGCCAGGCCTTAGGTTCCTTGACTCCAGAGGAAACAAGTAGGAAGCGCAGGGAGGGAGAGGGTGGACCTTTGGGGTCAGGCTGGCTTGAGGCTACAGCCCAGCCTCCCTGCCCATCAGCTGGGTGACCTGCACAGGTCAGGGAACCTGTCAAATGAGGACAGTCACCTCACCCATAGTTCCTAATGTCCTCCTTATCGCCGTCCATTTCTCTCTCTTCTCTCCCAGCTAGCCCCTGCCCTCCCTACCCCATGCCCCTTCGTCCACTCTCCTCTCAGAAGCTGCTGGCCCTCCGAAAACAGCTGACAGAGCCCCCTCTTGCTCAAGATGTCCCCGTGGTTCCCCACTGCCTCCATGATGGAGCCAGCCCCAGATTCAGGGTCCTTGGAACTGCGTGTTATCCCAGCACAGAGGAGAGACAGCATGAGTCTGTCTGCAGAGCCACAGCCCTGTGGGGCCAGGCCTGAGAAAGCCCTGGCCGGACACCTCAGACACTGGCCACTGCAGGGCCTCAACCTGCACCACAGCACCCTTGGAGGGGCCCCTACACCAGACCTCAAACTAGGCATGCAGTCCAGAGAGTGTGGTGTGACGGCAAGACATAAGCTGGACTGTCACCTCCCTTGCTCTGGACCTCCTGCCTCTATTAATGCAACCTATGTGTTGAACATATGTATTGTGAAATATGCCAAGAGTGAACTTCCCTGTGGTCTGGGCAGGCTCCCCTTTGGGGCTCACACAATGAGTTTCTTTTTTTAACTGAAAACTGGACTTTACATTTATACTTTTGGATTTCAACTTGTGGTTTCCGTAAACAGCTCAGCGTGAGGAGAATCTGTCGGTAGAAAGCTCTCTCCTGGGTTTGGGCCACTGGCAATTTAAACAGCAGGGCTGACCCAGTCATTAACTCAACATTGAGCAGGACAGAGACCTGTGGTTCACCATCATAGACCTTCTTCCAGAGAATTTTTGAAAATACAGGTCCCCCCATGACACCTCCCTGCTTAAACCCTTCCCAGCCTTTCCACCACTCTCCAGACAAAGACCACGCTCAGCTGGCTCCAGAGCTCAGTGCGTCTGCCCCACCAGCCTCCCCTGCGTCGTGTACGGCACACTCCCTGAGGCTCCAGCTTTACTGGCCTCCCTTCCTGCTCCTCGAATGGGCCTTTCTCCCTCCTGCCTCTGGATCTTTGCACATGCTGTTCCATCTGCCGAGAACATTCTCCTTGTCCTCTTTGCCTGGTGGACGCTGACTCATCCTTCAGATTATAGCCTAAGAGTCATCTCCTCCGGGCAGCCTTCCCTGGCCAGAGAGTCCCTAGATTGAGCTGTGCAGCTGGAAGCCAGTGTAGACCTCTCCCAGGGAACCTCTAGGTGGCGCTGTAGTTACAGGTGAGTGTGTGATAATTTGTAGGTCGTGAGCTCCACCAGGCCAGGAGCTGGGTCTGCGTCGGGGCTGCTTCCATGGCCCCCAGCCAGGCCTTGGCCCCTGAGAGGTCCTCAGCAACTGCTGGTGGGATGAATGAACAACTGATGCAGACGGGCACATTAACCAGCAAGTCAGAATGTTACTGAGAGCCTAACCACAGCCGGCCTGGCTTGGAAGGGGCTTGTTTTACAGAAAAGGAACCTGTAGCGGTGGCTCATGCCTGTCATCCCAGCACTTTGGGAGGGCGAGGCGGGCGGATTGCCTGAGCTCAGGAGTTTGCCACCAGCCTGGGCAACAAGGTGAAATCCTGCCTCTACTAAAATACAAAACAATTAGCCGGGCGTGGCGGTGGGCACCTGTGGTCCCAGCTACTTAGGAGGCTGAGGCAGGAGAATCGCTTGAACCTGGGAGGCAGAGGTTGCAGTGAGCCAAGATCATGCCATTGCACTCCAGCCTGGGCAATAGAGTGAGACTCTGTCAGAAAAAAAAAAAGAAAAGAAAAGAAAGAAAAGAGAAGAGAAAAGAAACCTGTAGCCCAGAGAGGTCAAGAGACTCAGACCCAGCCACACAGCCAACCTGAGATTCTGATGGGTGGAGCAATGGTCAAAGGTCACGGAGACAGTGTAGGGCCCAGGAGGCCGACCAGGAAGCCCCCGACTTCCAATCCTACCCACCATGCCACTTCTCCACCAGTCTCATTTTGCAGAGGAGATCACAGAGGCTCTGAGTCATGCAGTCAACACCACACAGTGTGGGGACACCAGCCGGGCTCCCCCCACCCCGCCGAGCCCTACCCACCCAGTGTGCCAGCCGCCCCTCCTGCCATGGGCACCAGTCTCCGCCACAAGCCAGGCCCTTCCCAGGCCCCCTGGCCGAGCCTTACCTTCTGCTGCGGAAGTAGATGTACTCGAAGGGCAGTGTGCAGGGTAGCAGCAGGTACGTCAGCACCTGTCCAGGCCCCGAGTGCCAGAAGCGGGCCCACCGGCTGGGATCCCTCGTACATGCTTTCTTCAGTGCTGCAAGAGAAGCCCTGGCATGGCCCTGCCCACCTGAAGTCTGTGGGCCAGCAACCTGAGCCCCCCCATTTCACACAGTAAGAGACTGCACCCCCTCCACCTTCTGCAGATGAAGAAGCAACACTGAGCAAGCCCCCACCACAGGCCAGCAGGTAGCTCTGCGCTCATCGTTGTCCGTGAGACAAGGGGTGTATGCCCTCTCGTAGATGAGGAGACTGAGGTTCAGAGTGGAGAAGTGACTTGCCTAAGGACCATCAACAGGAAGTGGCAGGGCCAGGATGGACTTGAGGACTCTCAGGCTCCTGAGTTGTTTCTACCTCTTCTGCCCCTCTAGAAAGTCTGTGGCCTGCTAGGCTGGGACAGATGCTCTCACCACACTCTCTCATAACAGTAACACGACAGTGTTATTAATAACCACAGCCACAACTATGACCGCAGCAACCATTTCCTGGGTGCTCTATTCACTGACCTGACCAGAGTGGAAGGGACCAGCATCTGGGCTGGGACAGAGCCGGAGCCCAAATCCCAGCCTCCAGACACAGCCCAGGCCACAGCTCAGGCCACCACGTCCACTCTGGCCACTGCCCTCTGGAGACGGAGGATTACAAGGATTCACAGATAGCACAGGCCAGAGACCCTGCTCCACATCCACCTGCCGAGTGTCCTAGGACGAGTCCTAGCTTCCTTCTCCATAAACTGGGGATCCCAGCAGGACATTCCTCCCTGGGCAGGCAGGTGAGGATTAGAGATGAGATTCACAATTCCCTTCCCAAATGGCGAGGGCGCAGCGCCCAGGAGTTGGTGCTCCACCCGAGGCAGCTCTCTGGTGCCCCCGTGTGGCTACAGGTACACTGCCGGGTTCCAGAATCCCAAGCTTGGACCTCAGGGGTTCCGCACAGGTCCCCGCCCATTTCTGCACGTCCTCGTGTGGTCTCCGGCATGGAAAGGGGCCCCCTTCCTCATCCCCTTGCCCACCCCACTCTCCCTGATCTGGCCTCGACCGCCATCCCTCTCCTCCCAGCCTCCCACCCCTTCAGCCTCTTCCCACCCAGCTGGGTCCACCACCCCCTCCCGCCCACCTCACTTGCTCCTCCCACAGCTTTTGAGACCACCTGCCCACCCTGCCAGCCTCCCAAGCTCACCTCTGCTGCCTGTCCCTCATGCCGCAGCCACAGGGACCTCCTGGCTGTCCCTCACCAACCCCAGGACCTTTGCACGTGCCATGCCCTCTCCCCGATGCTCTTCTGCCTCTTGGCCTGGCCAACATCTCTTTTCCAGCTTCACTTAGATGCTGCTCAAAGTCACCCCCCACCATCGTTACATGTGCCTGTGGGACTCTGTACTTTCCTGTTGTTGCAGTTGTGACATTTAGTCACACAGCGGGCGGGCAGACTAAATGGTTCCGAGTAGAACCCCTAGTTCTGCCATTTGCTACTGTGTGACCTTGGGCAAGTCGCTTAACTTCTCTGTGCTATGGTTTCCTCATCTGTACAATGAGAACAATTCTGTACTATCCTCAGATGGTTGTTGGAAGGATGAAATGAGTTCATTTTCATCTGGGGAATCCAGAACCCTCTGTGTGTGCCTCTCCTATGTCTGTCAACACTCCCGCCCTTTCCGGGGCAGTGGGCAAAGACCTGGCTTTCGCAGGCACAGGCTTGGGTTCAAATCCCCTAGTTGCAGGCTCTGAGCCCTTGGTGAGTCCCTTCCTTTCTCTGAGGTTTGGTTTCCTCATCAGTGAAGTGGGTACGAATAATGCCTAGGCCCAGGGTTGTGGGGAAGAATGAACGATGCCACATGTGAAAAGCCCATAGTACCACACTTGGCATTTAGTAGGTGCTCAGTAAATGAGTCCTGTCCTCTTCCAGACCACGAGTGCCTTCAAGGCAGGGTCCCTGAGCCCGGGCCCCTGAGTGCAGGGCCCTGGTAGGTGAGCAAATGCAGGTAGAGTCCCTACCAGCCTCCAGCTCTGGTGAGAGCTGCTCAAAGTTGGGTACATCCTTGACTTGCACATGGGGCACTTTCCAGTTGAGAGACAGGCCCCCCTTCCAGCGTTGGTCACAGCCAGCATCCCAGTTTCCGTCAGCCGGGGCTGGGGGTTCCTTAGACACCAGCGTCCATAGCACTGGTTCCTTGGTGAGTCCTGGGTCAGGGGAAGGGAGAGGATAAGTCAAGCATCTGAGCCTCCCCAAGGCGCCCCATGCTGCCCACATCCCTCAGAGCCCAAACCCAGTTCTGGGGATCCACTGTGCTGTGGGACGGACCCACAGCTTATTCCGGATGACTCCCTTCTGCCTTCCCCTGGCCCTGCTCTGCCCTGCTCCCTGCCCACTTTCGAGTGGCTCATCAGAGCCCAGACCCCAAAGACACAATCCAGAGTTCGAATTCTGGCTCCACCACCTGCAAGCTATGTGACCCAATGCCCTTTGCCTCAGTTTCCCTCTCTGTAAAAAAGGAAAAGTAAGACCTGCTTTATACAGTTACTCTGAGAATTAAACAAGATAAATACATAAAGCTTAAGCTCACGTCTGGGCACATATTAAGCGCTCGCCAAATGCCTCCTGATTGTGTGTTTTTGGTTGTAACGTAGGACTTGAGCACATGAGTTCTGGAGCCAGGTGGCCTGTGTCTGAATGTCTATTGCACCAATTTGAAGAGCTCTGTCCTGTGGATGATGTTCAGGCTCTCCAGCCCAGACCTCTCTGGCACACCCACTGCCCCATGAACACACACACACACACACACACCCCTCCTGCCATATTGAGTTATGTGCCCTCAAGGTGCCTGCCTCTGTCCCTTCTCTCTTGTTTTTCCCTCTGCCTAGAATGCCCTCTTCTTTTGCTGGAATCTTCAATTTTGCTGGTGTCTTCATAACTAGTCAAAACCCAGCTTATCTGTCACTGCCTCCAGGAAGCCCTCCTTGCCTACCCCCAACCCCCAGGCTGAGTCCAATGCCTCCTCTGGACTCCCACAGCCTTGAGCATCCCTCTGTCACTACACCCATCTCCCTGGGTTGTCTCTCTCTGAGTCTGTCCCCCTGTACCAGGCTGCGGGCTGCTCAACAGTGGAACTTGTATGTGATTCTTCTCTGAGTCCCCAGTACTCAGCTCAGGTCCAGCACAGAGCAGATGATGAGGAAGAGACTGAGTTAGCCCATGTCCCTAGCAGCTCAAAGGCCCAAGAGGCAGGGTCTACCTGGCACCATGTGGGACATGATCCCCAGCCACTGTGGGACTGCCACCTACCACGTCTCTCCAGGAACCTCAGGGCATCCAGGTAGCCTTGTCTGCAGTTGTCGGCCACTACCTGCCAACACACAGGGCAAGGGTGAGATGGGCAAGGCCTGGACCTACCCCTCGAGTGGATGTCACAGGCCAGAGACTTATCTTCAACTGGAAATAGTCCCAGCCCAGCCTATTCTCCCCAAGTGACCATTCAACAGGGCTCAGGGCAGGAGCCTGGGCAGGACCTTAGCACTGGGCAGGAGGGGCCAGAGGCCTGCAGGCAGAACAGATCTGCTTGGCTAGTTCTGTCCCTGCAGGACCATTGCATCTCCCCCCTGAGACACCCTGGCTGCTCTTGCCCCAGCCCCTCCCCTCTCTTGCCTCAGTTTCTGTCTCTGGAAAATGGGATAACAAGGCCTGGGATGGCTGGGACTTTGTCTGGCCCCTTGTAGGGCAGTGGATGGGGGTTCCCTTTGCCCCTTCGATGTTTACTTCCAGTACCAGACTGAGGTGGGCTGAGGAACCAGGAGCCCCACTTGCCTGTCTGATTAAAGTCCCACTGGTGGCAAAGGGTGCTGTCCCCCTCACATCCTTGCTGTGAGACTTCAGCATGGCAGTGCCAACTCTCTGAGTGCCTCAGCTTCCTTATCTAGAAAATGGGGCTGGGGTTTCCTGCCCGCCCAGGGGTGTGGGGAGTACCGGAGTAAATGAACATGACTTTGTCTCGTGACTTAGAAAGCACTACACAAACCTGAGAGGTAGAAGGGACAAGGAAGAGCCAGGATGTGGATGGGGCAGAGGAGTGTGTGTGTGTGTGTGTGTGTGTGTGTGTGTGTGTGTGTTTCTTTCTTTCCTTCTTTTTTTTTTTTTTTTTTTTTTTTTTGAGATGGAGTCTCACTCTGTCACCCAGGCTAGAGTGTAATGGCACTATCTCGGCTCACTGCAATCTCCACCTCCCAGGTTCAAGCAATTCTCTTGCTTCAGCTTCCTGAGTAGCTGGAATTACAGGCATGCGCCACCATGCCCAGCTAATTTTTGTATTTTTAGTAGACACAGGGTTTCACCATATTGGCCAGGTTGGTCTTAAACTCCTGACCTTAAGTGATCTGCCAGCCTTGGCCTCCCAAAGTGCTGGGATTATAGGCATGAGCCACCACACCCGGCCAGGAGGAGTATATTTCAATAGTTGTCAAATTATCTGTTTTCCAGAAATACCAAGGGGTAAAAAAACGCTTCCTTCATTTTTTTCTTTGCATTTGTGCCTTGCCTCTACAATGGATGGTCAATTTGGCCACAGTCAAGGACGGTGGTCAAGAGCATGGGCCTGAGCCAGCTCTAGGTCTGAATCCTGGTTTTGCTGCTTCCAGTCTGTGTGACTTTGAACAAGTTGCTTAACCTCTCTGAACCATAGCATCCTCCCCTGAGAAATGGAAATGATAACGGTACCTGCCTACAGACCCTGGCCCAGAGGAGCACAGGCAAAGGCCCTGCTCAAAGGCCAGCTAAGCAGAGTTGGCGTGAGTGTGTCCCATTGACATGGGGCCAGTCCTCATTCATCACTGGCTCAGGGCAGCAAGAACAGTAAGGACACAACTGAACCCCAAGCTTAGGATTCAGGTGTTTGGCTGTGAGACTCGGGACATGTGTTGTAACTGCCTTCAGGCTCGGGGGGCAGTGGGGGTTAGGAGCACACAGAGTCTGACTCACGGGGCCCTTGACCTTGGCCAAGCCTCTAACACCATCACAGGGCCAGACCTACCTCGAGGCTGGGGGGTATGAGACATATGAGCCCCAGGAAGAAGTTCTCAGTGGAGATTTGGAAGCTGAAGTTGAAGACGTTCAGCTCATGCAGGTTGGGGGAGGTGCTCTGGGGGCAGATGTCCACTGTCCCATGGAAGGGCGACACCGTGATGGTGGAGGGGCAGTCTGCAAAGGGCAAGTTGTTGCTCAGAGCCCCATCGATGTAGCGCTGCAATTTGTGGGGAGCAGGTGGGTGGTGCTGCCCTCTCAGAGGGCCTCCCACACTGGCTGCAGCCGGTGACCCTCCAGCTGTCCCTGAGTCACCAGGGCCACTCCAGCCCAGGAGGCTGAACGCCCCCCAGGAGCAGGGGGAGGGCCTGGCACACAGTAGGTGCTCAAGGAGCGCTGGTTTCCTCCACCCAAGCACCTCTCCACGGTGTGCACCCCAGGCTGCCCAGAGCACAGAACGGGGTTCCAGAGTGCACTCACCTCCCCTCTGAACTCGGGGGGGATCAGCCCGCAGTAGAAAGGAAAGTATAAGGTGCAGACCAAGGCCTAGGAAGAGAAGAGTCAGCAGGAACACAACTGTGCATGCTTCTTGCATTCAGAACCTTCCTAGGCACGGTTTCTAATCCCAACAGCCTGCAAAGGAGGTGTCATCAGTCCCACGTCCAGATGAGGGAGCTGAGGCATCACCTCCCAGCCAAGCTCTCCAAGGGAAGCAGGGATTGGAGCACCTCTGTCTTGACACCCACCTCCTCTTTCTGTGGGTGTGCAGGGAAGGAGGCCAGGTGCAGGCTCCTGAGGAAGCCAGCCGGGGACCCCAAAGAGTGGCCCAGACTCCTTGCCTGTGTAGCAGTTGGGATGGGGCCTGGCACATAGTAGGTGCTCAGTACACATTAGCTGCCGTGACTGTTATCAGTCTGTGGGAACAAAACTGTCACCTGCATCTCCATCTGGTCAGGGCCAGGATGGGTTCTGCACCTCCCAGAGAGAGTTGGGACGTTTCCAAGGGTTCCATGAGACAAAGTCCTATATTCAAAAGTTTGCAAGCTCTGGGTTGGTGGTTCTCAACTAGGAGTGATTTTCTCCCCTACAGGACACCTAACAATGTCAGAGACATTTTTGGTTGTCACACTGTGTGCCTGCACTTGAGCGTGCGCGTACACACTATTGGCAAATAATAGTGTCAGGGTGTATGTGAAGCATCTTTTTTAGACATCCTATTTCATTTCAATACTGGATGGTTCCTTACCTCCTTACTTGGAGATGAGTTCATTATCGATACCGCCTGCCCCCCAGAACCACTGAGCATAGAAGCCCCAGGAAGGCAAGGGTTTCTGTCTGTTTTGCTCCCTGTTACAGTCACAGTGCCTAGAATAGTGACTGGCACATAATAGGTGTTCAATAAATGTCAACCCACCGCCAAAAAGCGGCGGGAGGATGGAGTGGGGTGGAGGCTGGGGCTAGCCAGCTGCCCTCTGGAAAGAGCAGTCCCTGTGGGGGCCCTGACTCAGCAGCCTGACTCTGCCGGGCCCCAGCCAGACCCTTCTGTGTGCAGCAACCTGGAAAGTCTCCAGACCCACCCTGCCGACCCTCTCTGGGCCTCAGTTTCCTCACCTACAAACAGGTCCACCCGCCCTCCCTCCTTCCGCCCCTGCAGAAACGTCTGACGGGGAAGTACCTGGATGTCACTCTGGACTAGATGGAGCCCGCCCACCAGCCAAGCCCTGGGCACCCCCCGCCCCACACCTGGATGAGCTCATCGCAGGTGGCGAAGTCAGTGACCAAGAAGTTGCGTCCGTCAGGCCAGCGGGTCAGCGAAATGCCCAGCCGCTGGGAGGCCAGGACGTGGGCGTCGGGGGGCAGAGCATCCTGCAGCTGCTGCTTGACGTGCTCGATGGGCGCGTAGGCCGGGTGCAGGATGCTTAGGCTCAGCCGCTCCAACTGCCCAACCATGCCCAGGAGGTGGGAGCAGCAGAAGTCTGCAGTGGGGGCAGGGAAAGGGAGACCTCAGCGCCCAGGGATCCTGCCAGTCCCTCCACACCCCCACTGCCCTCCTAGGTGCAGTGGGAGCGGGGTCCTCCCCACTCCAGCTCAGAATTTCTGGGCTCGGCCCCGGATTCAAATGATCCGTTCACCTTTTCACTTTTTGCCCCGCCGACCTGGGAAACAGAGTTTCTGGCTCTGAGCCACGATCCCTCCTCTGCAAATGGGGGTCACCTAGTCCCCAGCACTCGGTGTTCTCATGGGATTAAATGAGGCTGTGCCGGGGGTAGAGGGCGCAGAGCACAGCGCCAGGCACCAGCGTCTCTGGGCTCGATCCGCTTTCATTAAGCTGTCCCCGCCCCTTTTCGCCCCCGCGGTCCGGGACTCACCGACCGACTTGCCGCAGACGATGCTGACTGCGTTGAGCGCCCCAGACGAGGAACCGTAGATGCGGCGGGCGCCCTGGAGGAGGCGCGGGGCTCGCTGGCGCAGGCATTCGGTGGCGCCCACGTGGTGGGCGCCCAGGTAGCCGGCGCCGGAGAAGGACAGGTTCCATCTGCCCTCCTCCTCTAAGAAGCCCATGGCGGGTGGACCGGGCGGGGTGATCGGGACGAGGAAGGGTCACTCCGTGACCCGGGATAGGGCCGGGATGCAGCCTTGGACGGGGCTGGGCCCAAATGTGGGCTCTGGAGGGAGCCGGGCTGGGGCTGGTGCTGGTGCTCCCTGCGCCGCCCCCGGGCTGCGTCACCTGCGCCCCAGCCAATGAAGTCCCCGGGTCGCGATCAGCCCCCACTCCAGTTGTGCGCCAGGTGTGCCCCAGAAGTGCCCGCGCGCTGTGTATACGCTGGCGCCGCCCCCACGCGCCCGCCCCGGATCCGCATCGGGTCATAGATTTCTGGGTGACACGGCAGGGGAGTGGGACCAAATCTTGCCTGATCTCTGGTAGTCTGGGCAGATGTTATTCCAGTCCTCATTACGCAAATGAGGCAACTGAGGCGCAGCCCAGGATGGTGACAGCCAGGAAGTGGCAGAGTCGGACCCAGGACACCTGGTCTTTGGGGTCAAACCAGGCTTAAGTCCGCAGCTGTGCTGGTTCCAGGGAGGGACTTGAGGGAAAGAGAGGTCTCGGGGCCAGCCTCCGCTCCAGCCAGCACCACTGCACCTTCCCCTGGCTCACCCGCTCTCCAAGCCTCACCTACCACTACAGCCTGCTCAAACATCCCACCTCCTCCCTCCTCCCCTAATCAATCCATTGGAAAGTGCTTTATAAACTGCAAAGCTCCAAGAACTTGGGTTTGTAGTGATTAGGGCTGTCTGGGCTCCAATTCTGGCTCCAGAATGTCTTGGCTGGTGACCCTGGATAATTTAACTGATCTGTGCCTCAGTTTTCTCATCCATCAAGTGGGGATAATAACATTACTTACTCCATAGGACCGGTAAGGATTAGAGTTAATGCAAGTAACGTGTTTGGAATAGCGCCCGGCACTGGATAAGCACACAAACAATGGTTACTACGGTGATTGTTTTAATCAAGTGGCGCACAATCAATGGCAACCGCTATGTTATTTATTTATTTATTTAATTTTGAGGCAGAGTCTCACTCTGTCACCCAGGCTGGGGTGCAGTGGCACAATCTCGGCTTACTGCAACCACCACCTCCCAGGTTCAAGCAATTATCCTGCCTCAGCCTCCCAAGTAGCTGGGACTACAGGCACGCACCACCACGCCCAGCTAATTTTTGTTATTTTCGGTAGAGACAGGGTTTCACCATGCTGCTCAGGCTGGTCTCGAACTCCTGGCCTCAGATGATCTGCCCACCTCAGCCTCCCAAAGTGCTGGGATTACAGGCAGGAGCCACTGCGCCCATCCCTGTGTTACTGCTTTAATCACATGGCACATATCAGTGCCTTCTCATGTGAGCTCCTTGAGGGCCAGGTCCTCCATCTGTGCCTGGAAGAAGTGTGGCACAGTGTTTGTGGACTGAATGCTCAGCCCATGGCCTGGGTGGGTCATTTTCGGAGGAAGAGGTGGGAGGATCTGCTTCTCTTAGCCTCACACCTACCTCTTCCTTGACCTGGGAGTGAAGGGCAGCTTGCCCATGGGCACTGGGTGCAGAAGGCACCCTGGGACAGGCCAGCCCAGCCTCCCCTCCCACAGAGGTGGGCGGTACCGGGCTTTGCTGATCCCACACCAGGGGCGGCATCCTTGCCTCAAAGACCATGGGCCTGCACAGACTCACCCACCTGGTGGCAGGTACCCCAGGCTATCTCCATTGCGGGAAGGACCCAGCCCCAGCTGCAGGGGGTAATTAGAAGCCATGTGCTGACTCTGCTCCAGGAGGGAACCAGGTCACAGCAGGCACAGCCAGGAACATTTCACCCACAGTTGTGACTGTGCCGGAGGCAGACTGAGCCTCCCTGGAACAGTGGACCACCAGTGTGAGTTCAGGAAGGGAGGAGTTCAGGGGCTGGGAGTTCAGCAGGGACATGTTCCGGAGGTTTCGGAGAAAAAGCAAGGTTTGAGCAGGACCTTGGAGGTCGATCAAGGGTTCACCACGGGGAGAAAGGGAGATGGGCACAGAGGGAAGAGTTTGAGCAAAGGCACCAGGCAGGGAGGAGTAGGGAGGAGTGAGAAGCCAGCCAGCGGGAGAGAGCAGTCATGGCGGTGAGGGCAGGTGGTGCGGGGCTGTGGGAGGAAGCGTAAGGCCTGGAGCCAGGCTGAGTTTCTGCGTGCTTGATGCTTCAGGAATTGGGTCTTGCATTTTGGTGTGGGCTGTCTGAGGCCCCCCAGAGACAGCAGGCAGCACAGAGCTCAGGGTGGGTGACTGGTCAACATCAAGTGGGAAAACAGTCTGGCTGGTGGCATCACCAGAATGATGGGGCTGGTGGCAAGTCTAGCAGAAAGTGTCCAGAAGCACGGCCTTCCCCAGCAGCACCATCTTCTCAGGGAGCTGCCCTGGAACCAGCAGCTGAACCAAGGCAGGCTCACTTCTGGGGTGGCTTGGGAGGTTGCAGGAAGGCCAGGAGCCTGCAAGGGAAGATGTCGGGAGTTCAGGCTTGCTGGCTGTGTGACCCTCAGCAAGTCTCCTACCCTCTCGGTGTCTGCCTGACCTGGCCATCCACAGGACAGTTGTGGGCGAGCTGGTGTCAAGGAAGATGCACCTGGTCCACCCGGTCCTTTGCCATATTGTCCAGGCCTCTGGGCTTCCCATTCTTGGAAATAATGCTAATTCTATTATACCTCCCTAAATCCAAAGCAAGCATAACCAAACGTACTGGGCCACCCTGAGGCCAGTCTTGCACGGTAGTGTCTCCAAAAGGAAGTGAGGTTTGCTTCCACA
Source organism: Homo sapiens (assembly GCF_000001405.40). Classification (NCBI taxonomy): domain Eukaryota; kingdom Metazoa; phylum Chordata; class Mammalia; order Primates; family Hominidae; genus Homo; species Homo sapiens. The sequence continues at coordinate 43,894,639 of NC_000022.11, forward strand.
GAGCACTGGAGGCCCCTTGCAGGTTCTTCAAGGCAATAGGGGGCAACAGGTGGGTCCGTCCTAGGGCCCTGCACTTACATTCTTAGTCTCCCAAACTCCCTGCTACAGGAAGAGGTGACTGGGAGGGGCTTGGGGGCTTCTTGGATGCTGGAAATGCTTCGTAGGTCGCTCTGATTACATGGTTGTTTACCCGCAAAAAACTTCCCCATGTGAATGTGATTGCATTCACAATCCACGTACTTGACCATGTGAATGTCATAAAGCTTAAAAAATAAGCCTTGGGCTGGGCAGGGTGGCTCACATCTATTCTCCCCGCCCTTTGGGAGGCCGAGGCGGGCGGATCACCTGAGGTCGGGAGTTCAAGACCAGCCAGCCAACATGGCGAAACCCCGTCTCTACTAAAAATACAAAAATTGGCCAGGTGTGGTGGTGTGCGCCTGTAATCCCAGCTACTCGGGAGGCTGAGGCAGGCAAATCACTTGAGCCAGGAAGCAGAGTTTGCAGTGAGCTGAGATCTCACCACTGCACTCTAGCCTGGGTGACAGAGTGAGACTCTGTCCCCCCAACAAAAAAAAAAAGAAAAAGAAAAATTCAACGAATCCCTCACAAACTCTTATGAAAAATAGAGGAAGAAGGAACATTTCCCAACATATCCTATGAGGCCAGTATTACCCAGATACCAAACCAGACAAAGACATTAGAAAAAAATAAGGTTAAAAACCAATATTTCTTATGACTATAGGGAAAATTCTCAAGAATAGGAGTTCCAGACGAGCCTGGACGATAAAGCGAGACCCCATCTCTACAAAAATAAAAATTAGCCAGGCTCACAGCTGTGGTCCCAGCTACTTGAAAGGCTGAGGCGGGAGGGTTGCCTGGTCCCAGGAGTTGGAGGCTGCAGTGAGCCGTGGTTGCAGTACTGCACTCCCACCTGGGCAACAAAGCGAGACCCCATCTTGGAAAAATAAAAAGCCCCTCCCCACCAGCCACATGATTCTAGCTTGTCCCCTCCAAGCCCCCTCCCCTGCCTCCTGGACTCCACCTTTTCTTTTCCATGAGTCCCTCTGCCCCGGCATTTTCTCCCCAGGTAGAGCACCTGCCTCAGTCCCCCCGTTACTCCACTCAGTAGAACAGTGGTCCGAGCACGTCATGTTTGGGGCCTGGCCACATTCACCGATTGCTTACAGGCCTCTGGGTGTCACACACCTCAGTTTCCCCTCTGCAAGTGGAGATGTGGCAGGACGGCCCTCATAGGGTTACCTTTGGGGTTGCAAAGGATGACTGATGTCTGTAAAACACTGAGCAGGGTCCCTGGTACGTGCTAGTTATCACTTACTCTTTTTAAATTCCTGTCACAATGTGGAGCCTGCCTAAAGTCTGGGGAATTTTAGGTAAGTGGATTCAATCCCAGCCCCAGAAAAGCTCCCTCCTCCAATCTGGGAAACAGGTGCTAATAACTGGTTTGACTAGTGTGCAAAATCAGCCAGGGGCCTCAGCACTTGCTGCTCTGCCCCAGCGGACAATGGGCACCCACGCGTTTGCACTGCAACCCTGAGAGTGAGGGGAGGGTGTGGAGGATTGAAATGGCTCCTGTTGGGGGAGGGACATGGGGCAGCACTGGCTTCTGGCTGGGGCCCAGGGCGCTACCCAACTTCCACTAACCCGGGGTTTTCTGAGGGCAGGTCTGGGAAGGTGGGTGCTTGGTGTTACCAAGTGGGGAAGGGTGACCAGGCATCCATTATTTGGTGATAGGGACTGAGGGCTGATGTGTGCATGGTGACCTCCAGGAGGCACTAGGGGCCACGTGCACCGTGGCTTGTTTCCCGGACAGCAGAGGCACAAGCATGAGGGGCGACAGTCAGGTGGGGAAGGGCCGCTCCTGAGACCAGCCTGGGCAATGGAGTGAGACCCTGCCTCTCACCAGCCACATGGCTCTAGTTCGTCCTCTCCAAGCCTTTCCTCTGCCTCCTGGACTCCTGGACTCCACCTTTTCTTTTTTGAGAGTCCTTCTACGCCGCCCCCCCCCCCCGACCGCCCCCGTTTTCTTCCCAGGTACAGCACCTGCCTGGGAGCTTTTTATTTTGATATCATCTCCCATTTTCAGAAAAGTTGTGAGAAAAGTACAGTGTTCATGGCTACCCTTTGCCAAGATTTCCTGATATTAGCATTTGTATTTATTTATTTATTTAAAAAAAATTTTTTTTTTGAGACCGAGTCTCACTCTGTCACCCAGGCTGGAGTGCAATGGCACATTCTTGGCTCACTGCAACCTCTGCCTCCCGGGTTCAAGAGATTCTCCTGTCTCAGCCTCCAGCATAGCTGGGATTACAGGCTCACGCCACCATGCCCAGCTCATTTTGTTTGTTTGTTTGTTTGTTTTTGCGGGGGACAGAATCTTGTTCTGTTACCTAGGCTGGAGTGCAGTGGCTCCATCTCAGCTCATTGCAACCTCCGTCTTCCGGGTTCAAATGATTCTCCTGCCTCAGCCTCCTGAGTAAGTGGGACTACAGGCATGTGCCACCATGCACGGTTTTTGTATTTTTAGTAGAAACGGGGTTTCACCATGTTGGCCAGGCTGGTCTCGAACTCCTGACCTCAGATGATCAGCCTGCCTCGGCCTCCCAAAGTGCTGGGATTAAAGGTGTGAGCCACTGCGCCTGGCCCTGATATTAACATTTTTAAATAGGTTTGTTTAATACCAAAAAAAAATTTTTTTTAAGTGGGTTCCAGCAGAGATGGGCAAGGCAGGAGCTGTGGAGTGGTTGGTACTGCAGGGGCCGGGTGGTAAGAGCAGTGCTGGGGGTGGGCACAGAACAGCCACAGGCGTGGGTGAGCACCAAAGGCCCTGGATGCTGGAGCTGGGCACTGCTGTCAACTTCGTAAGATAAGAACAAGGAGTGAAATGTGGGGTCAGGTGTCCCCAGATCAGCCACCAGCTAACAGGAGGGGAAACTGAAGTGCAGAGGGAAACTGCTTAGTCAAGGTAACGTGGAGACTCCCAGTTCCTCCTCCTCCTCTCACTGCCTCCATCCCCAGGATTGGGAAGACCTCATCTCCCCTGTGCCCTGTCCGCCTTTTTCCCTGATGCCCTAGGGCATAGGGCCAGGCAGCTGGGCCAGCCCTGGAGCAAGCTACGGACTAGACGAGGGATCAGACATTGTAGAGAGGCAGCAAAGTCCCAGGGCCTGACACAGCTCACCTTGACGGGTTGGTATTGATCCCGCCCTGCACCCTCGCAGGAGCTGACGCCACAGAAGCTTGCACAGCACTTGCTCTGAGTCATGGCTCCCACTCCACTCACTCCAGGACCTGGTCTGAGTCACGGCTCCCACCCCACTCACTCCAGGACCTGGTCTGAGTCACGGCTCCCACCCCACTCACTCCAGGACCTGGGCGCCCAAACCCCTTTCCCCACATTCAAGTCCAAATGTCTCCTGACCCCTTTGAATTTCTGCCAGTCTCCTCCTCTGACCAGTCCAGGACTGCAGGCAGCCGGTTCCAGGATGCTGCCAAGTCTGACAACCGTTCTTCCAGCCCATGGTGCCCTAGATACCAGGGCACTAGCTAGCCAGGCCACAAAGCCAGGAGCAGCCACGGCCTTAGGTCAGAGGCCCTCCTTGTGATCGGGATGGAGGGCAGCTTCCCACGGCCCTGGGCAGCTGTTGACAGCCCAGTGATGGGTGTGGAGCTGGGAGCTGGCCTTTTGGGGAACTGAGGACTTACCTGGCCTGGGAGAGCTGCTCAGGGCTGTTCTGGTTTCTGGGAATACAGCTGAGACCCAGACTGACCACGAGTCTCACGGGGTGTCCATCCTGTGAAACCGACCAAAATGAAATGAAAGGAAGAGAATGAAATAAAAGTCAGCAAGAGATGGGTCAGCTAGTGAGAAAGGCTGTAGCAGAGGCGTCATGGAGAGGGAGCTACTCCATATTTCGTGGTCAGGAAGGCTTCTTGGAGATGATGGGTTTGAAGCTGACACCTAAATGACAAATAGGATATCTGGGGCTAGGGCCTCTGCCAGGCAGCAGAAGCAGCATAAGCAAAGATGTTAGAGCAGATTGGCTGTTCAAGGAAGCAGGACCCTGTGTGGGGAGTGATAAGGAGGAGGGGGCCAGGCTGGAGAGATGATGGCTGATGCAGATTGAGTGTGTAATGTCCCAGGCACCCCTGGAAGCATTTTACCCGGGTTAATTTCTTCAATCCTTTCAGCAAACCACTGCCGTCAGCCCTGATTTACAGATTGGGAAATAGAGGCACAGTGAAATGTGAGATGAAGTAACTTTCTTTTTTTGTAGGGCAGGGGATGGAGTCTTGCTCTGTCACCAGGCTAGAGTGCAGTGGTGTGATCTCGGCTCACTGCAACCTCCACCTCCTGGGTTCAAACGATTCTCCTGCCTCAGCCTCCCACATAGCTGGGACTACAGGCACCTGCCACCATGCCTGGCTAATTTTTTTTTTTTTTGTATTTTTATTAGGGACGGGGTTTCACTATGTTGGCCAGGATGGTCTCGATTTCCTGACCTCATGATCTGCCCGCCTTGGCCTCCCAAAGTGCTGGGATTACAGGCATGAGCCACTGCGCCCAGTGGAGGTGAAGTAACTTTCTAATCATTAGCTGATTACCTCATGACAACTCAGGAGGTGAGGTGCTTGGATTATCTGCATTTCGCACTGAGGCCCAGGGAGATGAAGCAACTTGCCCAGGTTAACCCAGCTGGGAACTGGCAGGCAGAGTGGCTCCAGTCTGTGCCCCAGGCTGCCACCTGTCTTTTCAGGAGGCCCTGTTGTGCCAGAAAGCATTGCACAAGGGCTCTGGGTGGGCTGTCTCCTTCCCCTGGCCCCGGAAGCCCTCTCCTTGCCTGTCTTGGGTGGCTGTGTTGCCAGGCAGTCAGCATGGGCTTTGCAAACTGACAGACGTGTTTCTAATCTCAGCTCTGCCACTGACCAGGTCAGAGACCTTGAACAAGTCACTTGACCCTGCTGTGCCTGTGCCTACTGTATCCCCTCCAAAGCTCAGGTTGAAATTTAATTGCCATTGTGACAGTATTAAGACATGGGACCTTTAAGAGGTAATCAGGGCCGGGTGTGGTGGCTCACACCTGTAATCCTAGCACTTTGGGAGGCCAAGCTGGGTGAATCGCCTGAGGTCAGGAGTCTGAGGCCAGTCTGGCTGACATGGCAAAACCCCATCCCTACTAAAAATACAACAGAATTAGCTGCGCGTGGCAGCAGGTGCCTGTAATCCCAGCTGCTTAGGAGGCTGAGGCAGGAGAATTGCTTGAACCTGGAAGGTGGAGGTTGCAGTGAGCTGAGATCACGCCATTGCACTCCAGCCATTATCCTGTGGGTCCGGCCTGTCTTGCTCTCCCTTCCTCTCCCTGTGCCATGTTATGATGCAGCCAGACATCCCTCACTTGATGTGGCTCCTCAGTCTTGAACTTCCCAGCCTCCAGAACCGTGAGCTAAATAAGTCCCTTTTCTTTATAAATGATTCAGTCTCAGGTTTTCTGTGATAGCAGCAGAAGACCGACTAAGACAGCACTTCAGTCTTCCCATCTGTGAAATGGAGGTGTTCAGGGCCACCTCTCCCTGAGCAATTGTGAGGATGAGATGAGGGATGTGCCAAAGGTGCTGGGCACAGCAGTGGCCGTCACGTCCCAGGACATGGGGATGGTGACTGTCTCCCACAGCAGGTTGCTCTACCTCCAGCTGCCAATCATGACAATAACCAAGCCACCAGCTCCTGGTGCCTTCTGAGGACTCAGCTCCAGAGAGCACTTAACCCTCGACACCCCTGCTGAGTGGCAGGCATATCACCCCCGCTTAACAGGGAGCTGAGACTCAGAAAATTTGCGTAAATAACCCAGGGCCCAGCAGCCAGGAAATGTCAGTGCCAGGATCAGAACGGGGGGGTCAGAAACCCTCCAGTCACACTTGCCCTGTGGTTCCAGAATCGTGCTTTCCTTTCTGTGCGCACCCCACACTCCCCTGCACAGGGAACTGGAAGCCACTAGGCCCCTCACAGAACCTGAGCTCAGATAGGAGCACCCCATGAAGCCTGGGCTCCATCCTCCTGGAGGGGGAAAATAAAGCTTCCTGGCTTGGAAGACAAGGAGGAGGGGATGGGGACTGAGCCCCCAGCAGAGCCCTCTCAGGGCCGAGAGCCAGCCAGCAACACAGTCAGGGAGAAAGTTGCCCAGGAGCTTTGTCTCCAGCACTCTCTGGGTACCCATCATGGGTAGGGGTGGGCCTGGGGGGCTCCAGGTAACCAGCCAAGGGCTGTATGGACAGACCACCCCTGGAACCCGGGCTGCCAAGAGACACGGCACCCAGTGGGGGAGGTGCCAAGCCTGGCATTGGCCAGGGTGCTGGACAAGCCATAGCGTGGCTTGGTGGCCCAGTGAGCAGGCAGAGGAGGCCACAGGAGAGACAAAGGCAGCTAAGGAGTGGGAGCAGGAACCAGGGCCTTGTCACCCTGCCATCACCTTGTCACCAAACCCACGAGTACCTGTCACCCTGCCAGGGCAGACACCTGAGAGGGGCTTTTTTTTTTTTTTTTTTTTTTTTTTTTGAGACAGAGTCTTGCTCTGTTGCCCAGGCTGGAGTGCAGTAGCACGGTTTCAGCTCGTTGCAAACTCCACCTCCCAGGGTCAAGTGATTCTCCTGCCTCAGCCTTCCAAGTAGCAGTGATTACAGACACCTGCCACCATGCCTGGCTGATTTTTGTATTTTTGGTACAGATGGGATTTCACCATGTTTGCCAGGCTGGTCTCGACCTCCTGATCTCCTGTGATCCGCCTGCCTCAGCCTCCCAAAGTGCTGAGATTACAGGTGTGAGCCACTGCGCCTGGCTGAGAGAGGCTCTTGATGCCTTCTCACTCACCCTTGGCTGGTGGCCACCTCCCGCCAATGCTCCTTCCTCAATCCTGACCCGGTCTTTGCTCCATGGTCCAGCCACCCTCCCTCTCAACATGAGTGCCTGCTGGTGCTGTAGCCTTCCAACTGGACCACCCTCTCTCTCCCCCATTTCCCCACTGGATTATTTGTGGACCAGCCCACCAAGGACAGCCTTCAGCTTCTGTGTTCTTCCAAGTGCTTGGCAGAGGTTGGAGCCCCTTTGTGTTTCCTGCAACCCCGGTTCTCACTTGTGCTCTTAAGAAAAAACTCATCTGAGAGTATCCACTTGTTCTCACACAAGGACCACTGCGCTCAGGTCACACAAATGCAGCGTGGATCCCAGCCTGGCTTCTGATTCCCCATGACCTTCAGGAGCCGACCCTTGCTCCCTGGTCCTGGGCATCTGTGGAGCCCCAGCTCCGAGCCAAGCCACCGGGGTCTCTTGCCCCACTTTCCTCTCTGGGTGACAGGCACCCTACCCCACCTCAGGACTATTTCTAGAGGCTAGAAATTCCCCTAGCAGGCTCAAGTTCCTGCTGCTCTTTATTTGGGAGCAGCTGCTTGTTTCTTGCTCTGTGGGATAACCTGAAATCTGACATCTGCCCCTGCCCATTGGCTCAGCCTAAATGCTCATTTCCGGGTGCTGCCTTTTCTGCCAGAAAGAGGGCCAGCCATTTCCACTCTGCCTGCGCCTCAGAAAGCCTGGGCAGCAGTCCAGGGCTCCCCAGTGGATTGCACCCAGCTTGCTGCCGGTGCGGCAGGGGTCCTGGTCTCAAGGGGAAGATGCATCCTTAAGGCTGGTCTGGTCTCTAGCTGCCCTGTGTCCCTCTTCATGGTTTCTCTAAGAGGCATCTGTTTTGCTCATCACAAATGACTCCAGGTCACTTTAAATGCATGTGAGGCTTTTCAGGCTGAGCCCAGTGGCTCATGCCTATGATCCCAGCACTTTGGGATGCTGTGGCAGGAGAATCTCTTGAGGCCAAAAGTTTGAGGTTAAATAAGTAAATAAATGTAAGACTTTTATAAAAAGATTACTTATGTGTTTCTACATACTGATCCACATTTTGAAAACAAATTCCAGTCGTTTTGGTATGCCTAAAATTGTTCCAATTTTGTTTTGTTTTGTTTTGTTTTGTTTTTGAGACAGGGTCTGGCTCTGTTGCCCAGGCTGGAGCGCAGTGGTGTGGTTATGGCTCACTGCAGCCTCGACCTTGTGGGTTCAAGTGATCCTCCCACTTCAGCCTCCCGAATAGCTGGGACTACAGGTGCGCATCACCACACCCAGATCGTTTTTTAAATTTTTTTGTGGAGAAAAGGGTCTCCCTATTTTGTCCAGGCTGGCCTCAAACCCCTAGGCTCAAGCAGTCCTGCCACCTCAGCCTCCCAAATGCTGGGATTACAGGCATGACAGCCACTGTGCCCGGCCTAAAATTGTTCCAGTTATAAAGATTGGATTTCAAGGGGGTGGGGTTGCATTAGAATCACCTTCCCCAAACCACGTGTTCCCTATGCTGCCCCCGACCCAACACACACAGATTCTCAAATACCTCCTCCTCCCCACAGCCGTGGCCCAGTCGCCTGTCAGAGCTGACGATCCTTACTGAGGACTGCGGTTGCAGCCCCCGGGGGCCAGCCTGCCCTGCAGACACACCGGGGTGGAAGAGGGTTGAGAGCAGGCCCTGAAGCAGCTTTTTTTTTTTTTTTGAGACGGAATCTTGCTCTGTCACCCAGACTGGAGTGCAGGGGTGTGGTCTCGGCTCACTGCCAGCTCCGCCTCCTGGGTTCACACCATTCTCCTGCCTCATCCTCCTGAGTAGCACCCAGCTAATTTTTGGTATTTTTAGTAGAAATGGGGTTTCACCATGTTAGCCAGGATGGTCTCAATCTCCTGACCTCGAATGATCCACACACCTCGCCTCCCAAAGTGCTGGGACGCCTGGCCCTGAAGCAGCTTTTATGGAGAGGCACAGTGAAAGGAAAGATTGGCTGAGAGATCATGGTGGCCAGCCGGGGGCAGAGGCAGTGGGGAGAGACAGGGCTGATTTGCGAGGGACGTGGTGGGGACTGGAAGGGCTGGGGTGGGAGCTGGGTGTGGATACCAGGTCAGGAGGAGTTGTTTTCGCAGGCCGGACTCCTTCTGTTCATTAAAAGTATTTCTAGGCCAGACACAGTGGCTCATGTCTCTAATCTCAGCACTTTGGGAAGCCAAGGCAGGCCGATCACCTGAGGCCAGCAGTTTGAGACCAGCCTGGTCAACATGGTGAAAACCCGTCTCTACTAAAAATACAAAAAATTAGCCGAGTGTGGTGGTGCACCCCTGTAATCCCAGCTACTGGAGAGGCTGAAGCAGGGGAATTGCTTGAACCCAGGAGACAGAGGCTGTAGTGTGTAGGGACCAGCCCCACAGGGTCGGTGGGTCTCTCCCTGTGTGCGGTGACGAGAGAGTGTAGAAATAAAGACAAGACAAAAAGATAAGAGAAAAGACAGCTGGGCCAGGGGTACCACTACCACCAATGCGTGGAGACCGGTAGTGGCCCCGAATGTCGGGCTGCGCTGTTATTTATTGGATACAAGGCAGAAGGGGCAGGGTAAAGAATGTGAGTCACCTCCAATGATAGGTAAGGTCACGTGGGTCACGTGTCGACTGGACAGGAGTCCCTTCCCTGCCTGGCAGCCGAGGCAGAGAAGGAGAGGAGACAGAGAGAAAGACAGCTTACACCATTATTTCTGCATACCAGGGACTATTAGTATTTTCACTAATTTACTACTGCTATCTAGAAGGCAGAGCCAGGTGTACGGGATGGAACATGAAGGCAGACTAGGAGCGTGACCACTGAAGCACAGCATCACAGGGAGACGGTTAGGCCTCTGGATAACTGCAGGCGAGCCTGACTAATGCCAGGCCCTCCACAAGAGGTGGAGGAGCAGAGTCTTCTCTAAACTCCCCCGGGTAAAGGGAGACCCGCTTTCCCGGTCTGCTAAGTAGCGGGTGTTGTTCCTTGACACCTTTTGCTACCGCTGGACCACGGTCCGCCTGGTAACAGGCATCTTCCCAGACGCTGGCATCACCGCTAGACCAAGGAGCCCTCTGGTGGCCCTGTCCGGGCATAACAGAAGGCTCGCACTCTTGTCTTCTGGTCACACCTCACTATGTCCCCTCAGCTCCTATCTCTGTATGGCCTGGTTTTTCCTAGGCTATGATTATAGAGAGAGGATTATTATAACATTGGAATAAAAAGTAATTGCTACAAACTAATGATTAATGATATTCATATATAATCATATCTAAGATCTATATCTGGTATAACTATTCTTGTTTTATATTTTATTATACTGGAACAGTTCGTGTCCTCTGTCTCTTGCCTTGGCGCCTGGGTGGCTTGCCACCCACAGTAGTGAGCCGAGATCACACCATTGCACTACAGAGTGAGACTCCATCTCAAAAAAAAAAAAAAAGTATTTCTGGTCTCTTCCCATCCAGCCCTGAGGGAAGCCGTGGGGCAGAGAGTTGCTTCTGGCTCATGCCGGCCGCCTCCTACCAGTGCGTCCTGTCTCGGCACTGGCCACCTGGTCAGAGGTGAGCGGCTCTGCCCAGGGGCTTGTCAGTCACCAGGGGAGGGGACTGTGGCATTGAGGACAATGGGTTGTGCTGCTAAGCCAGAGAGGCTGGCAGAGGGCACAAGGCTGGCAGGGGCACAAGGCTGGCAGAGGGCACAAGCCTGGCAGGGCCAGACACCAGGGGGTCTGAGGCCAGGGCCAGGAGGGATGCTTCCCTCCCGCACTCATCCATCAGCCTCCTTGGCCTGCCCCAGGGGGTGTGTGCAGGTGCATGCAACGTCACCTCCTCCGAGAAGCCCGCCCTGACTCCCTTTCCTCCCTCCCACCTGAGGTGGCCATTCCCTTAGTGAGGAGATAATCTGACAACCTGGGTTCAAACGCTGGTTCCACCTCTTAGCTAGCTGTGGGTCCTGGGTACGATGCTCTGGGCCTGAGTTTCCTCATCCATAGAAGAGGGGTAATAGTACCACGGATCTCACGGAGTTACTATGATGAGCATGACACAAAATCCAGGTGCACCTCCTGCCCTCAGTGCCTACGACGTAGCGTGCTGTCACAGTACACGCCGTTATAATTCGTTATTAAAGCCACAATTGTCCTGTGCTACTCTGCTAGAGCTCTTCCTATTTTTGATTATAAATTTATGTGTTTTGGCCACCAACCCAGAAACTTCCAGAAAGCAGGGACCATGAATCCCTCTGGAAAACAGTGTTAATTATAATCTTAGCAGTCACAGTGATTGTAACGCTAGCAGTTACTGTTTCTTGAACATCTACCCCATGCCAGGCGCTGTCCAGCATGTTCTGTGGAGACATTAATGGAATCGTCACAGCGACCCTTCCAGGGAGGAGGTCTCATCCCCACTTCTCAGCCCTGCCCGAGGTCACAGAGCTGTCTGTGGTGTTAAGCTTGCTTCATCTGACCCTGTGGCCAATCCCCACATCCGCCACACCATCTGTCTTCCACGAGGCTGCAGAGACTCAGTAAGTGTTGGATGGAATAATTGTTTATTTTTTGGTGGGGGCTGGGGGTGGGAGCCCAGTGTTTTAGATAATGAGAAAACAGATAAATTCCTGATAAACATGCTCCCAACAGGTCTACAGCGATGTGCTATAATATGTGTCCTTTAAGCTGTAAGAACTAACAGCAGAGCCCAGATGTGCAAGGCCCCCTCAATCTAAGCCCTTAATTATCATTTATTTATTTATTTTATGTTTGAGAAAGGGTCTTCCTCTGTTGTGCAGGCTGGAGTGGAGAGGTGCAGTCATGGCTCACAGCAGCCTCAAACTTCCAGGTTTCTAGCGATCCTCCCACCTTAGCTTCCTAACTAGCTTGGACTACAAGTGCGTGCCTCCATGTCCTGTTAATTAAAAAATAAATTTTTTTAAGAGATGGGGGTCTCACTGTGTTGCCCAGGCTGGTCTCAAGCTCCTGGGCTCAAGTGATTCTCTCTGGCCTTGGCCTCCCAAAGTGCTGGGATTACAAGCAAGAGCCACCACACCTGGTCCTCAGTTTTGTTTTGTTTTGTTTTGTTTCATTAAAAAAAAAAAAAATTCGGCCGGGCACAGTGGCTCATGCCTATAATCCCAGCACTTTGGGAGGCCAAGGCGGGCGGATCATGAGGTCAGGAGATGGAGACCATCCTGGCTAACACAGTGAAACCCCATCTCTACTAAAAATACAAAAAAATTAGCTGGGCATGGTGGCGGGCACCTGTACTGCCAGCTACTCGGGAGGCCGAGGCAGGAGAATGGCATGAACCCAGGAGGTGGAGCTTGCAGTGAGCCGAGATGGCACCACTGCACTCCAGCCTGAGTGACAAAGCGAGACTCCATCTCAAAAAAAAGAAAAAAAGAAATTCACCTCTGTAGCAGCCAGAAGCCTTTACTTTTTAGCACAGAGCAAATGGAAAGTGTGCCTGGGACAGCACGAGGCTTGGAGGTTCTGCAGAGCTACCCCAGGCACCTGTTTCATTTGGTCCTCTGTGTGTGGCTCAGCTGTGACGTTGGAGCTCTGGCCTTCTTATTCCCACTTTATAGGTGGGGAAACTGAAGCAGCAAGGGCGTGGCTCGGCCAAGGCCACACAGTGGGTCTGGGCCAGATCGGAGGCCTCTAATTAGGAGGTCTGGGCCCTAATTGGTGTCCCCTCCCTTTGCCTAGAGTAGTGATTGGGCCCTGCCCCAATGGGTGCCAACCTGTTCGGGTGCCAGGGTGCCTGTTGGTTCAGAGGGTTGGGGATGGAGTTGTTTCATGTCCTGCTGACCCCTCCCCTCTTTCTTCCTACAGGTTGTGCTTCAGGCCCCCCTCTTCCCAAATGGCATCTGAGTCCTGCGGTGGGCTGTGGGCTCTCTCTATACTCATACCAAGCAGCTGTGGCTCCTCCATGGGATGTGGTCAGGCCCTGGGGCACCTGAGAACCCTGCCCCATGTCCAACCTCCTGTGGGGGCTGGCCCAGGGCTCCACAGCAAAACCCAGGCTGCCTCTGAGCCCTGCCAGAAGGTGGGCATCAGAGACGCTTCTGCAGAATGTGGAGAAGATGCAGGGATGGGGAGTCCCCAGGTCCCCGTGAACTGACTTCTCTCGGCTCCACACGACGCAGAGTCTCCGCTCCATGTCAGCCTCAAGGCTGAGACTGGTAAAGTATGATTTCTACCTCCTGCAGTCACAAACCCCTGTAAGAGTTTGAAGAAAGCCTCCGCGGGAAGGAGCATATTTGTCCCGACTCACAATGTTGGGACCACAGCGCCAGGGGAACCTGCGGGGCCAGTCTCCAAAGTCAGCCCAGAACCCCAGTCTGCAGTGAGTGGCTGGGACCTCGCCCCGGTAGACACACTTCTGGGTGTGTTTAAAGAACGCTGGGTGAAATTGACTCCTGTTTTTTCAGACAATCCTCTCTCCAACAGAAGATTATGGCAGTGGATGCCCTTCTGAAGAGGGAAGTGTCCAGAATGGTTGAATGGAGGGTGTCCCCATTTCCGCAGCGACTGTCCCTGCGTGAGTTCTTGAGTTGAACATGTGTCAACTGGATGTCACAAGGGTTCACTTGTCAGGGGGTTGGGGTGTCAGCAATGGGGTGTCGTTTGCCTTTAAAAAAATTTCAGGCCAGGTGGGGTGGCCCACGCCTGTAATCCCTGAACTTTGGGAGGCCAAGACGGTTGGATCCCCTGAGGTCAGGAGTCCGAGATCAGCCTGGCCAACATGGTGAAACCCCGCCTCTACTAAAGATACAAAAAAATTAGCCGGGTGTAGTGGTGGGTGCCTGTAATCCCAGCTACTCAGGAGGCCGAAGCAGGAGAATCCCTTGAACCTGGAAGGCAGAGGTTGCAATGAGCTGAGATCTCGCCATTGCACTCCAGCCTGGGCAACAGAGCAAGACTCCATCTTAAAAACAAACAAACAAACAAAAACCCCACAAATTTCAGATACCTAAGAAGCCACAGAATGTTCAGATATCGACATCATTTTCCTATCTTAGATGGGCTCAGCTCTGCCCTCTGCCCAGGGGTGAACACCAAAGAGCTAGGACTGTGTCTTCAGCATAGTCTCCTTTTACAGTTGCAGAAACTGAACCAGCCAGATTAACTGTGATTAGCCAGTCAGTGTGGTGTGGACTTGGCATTCCACCTGGAGCCTTTCTGGAGACCTACTTGGTGAGGGAGAATGACGAGGGCTGGGGGAGGGGCCCAGAGAAGGGGCCGGGGTGGGGGCCATGGCTCAACCTGGAAAGCAGGGAGAGAGGATGAGGACCTGGCTGCCACTTGGCCACAGCTCTGGGCAGGGTTAAAAACACTCCCCGACTCCCTCCACCATGCTCAGGATAGAAATGAGCAGACTTTTCTGCATCCCGATGCCCAGCCTACCTGGGCCAGGTCTTTGGGGCTCCATCCTCTCCTTAATGGCAGGGGGGTGGTGGGGAGAAGCACCACTCCATACGCATCTCAGGACCCAGCAGCTCTGCCAGGACAAGACCTTCGGAGGGTGCCTTATGAGGAGACATGGGCTGCATCCCACCAGGGGTGGGTACCACAGCTTCCAGCTGGAACCAGCCCTCAACAGGCCCATGCTTGGATGTGTGGGCAGGTTCTGTGCCGAGGAATAAAATTTCAGCTGCTAGCAACCCCAGGTCTGCACTGGACTGCCAGGGGAGGCGGAGAGGGTCTTGTGGCCTAGGCATTACTTTGTAAATACCACGGAGGACAGCAGGTGTTGGGTGCAGCCCGGGAGGCTGAGCAGTGATCTTATACATCACCATCCCCACATTGCTCCAAACCTGCATCCTCCGCCTAAGGTGACAGGGACCCTCAGTCACACACCTGCCTCTCCACTAAGCCCCGGACATCAGAAACATAGTAAGGTGTCCCCTCCTTGGGGAAAAGATGGAGATGCACCAGTTGACTCCTCTTGTCACTTCGGTCCCTTGATGTGTTTGCACCTCTCAGAAGGACAAATCCCACACCGTTGCTGCCAGCTGACCATTGCAGTGCTCACAGGCTTCCCGTGGGAAGCCTTGTCTCAAAACACTGCCAGCTTGAGCTTGGCTGGTGCTTCCAAGGGGCCCCTTGACAGAGGGATGTGTGGGCTGGGCGCAGTGGCTCACACATGTAATCCCAGCACTTTGGGAGGCCAAGGTGGTAGGATTGCTTGAGCCCAGGAGTTCAAGACCAGCCTGGGCAAGATGGTGAGGCTTCGTCTCTATTGGAAATAAAGAAATAGAGGAAGAGGGAAGGAAGGAAGGAAGGCAGGAAGAAAGGAAGGAAGGAAGGAAGGAAAGAAGGAAGGAAGGAAAGAAGGAAGGAAGAAGGGAGGGAGAAGGGAGGGACAGAGGGAAGGAAGAAGGGAGGGAGAGGGAGGGAAGGAAAGGAGGGAGGGAGGAAGGGAAAGGGAGAAAGAGAGAGGGAGGGAGGAAGGAAGGAAGGAAGGGAAAGAGAAGGGAAGGGAAAGGAAGGGAAGGGAGAGGGTTGAGTGGTTGCCTTCAGTGGGTGGTCAGTAGTGCCCCAGGCCCCTACCCTCAGCAGGTGCTCCTGCTCCTTCAAGGGAAGACCAGTCCTAGACCAGGGACTCCCTCCCTTTGACTTCTAGAAAACCTGCAAATGAGCCATTGTCCCACCCCCTTCCTGGCAAGACTGAGGGGCACCATGCCCCTGCCCCCGTGCCCGCTGCCAATCCTCTACCCCTGCTGAGCCCCCTCCAGCCCTGACTCTCCCACCAGTATCATTAGCAACCCCCTGCCCTCTGCTTCTGCAGCCCTTCTGCCAGGAAGCTGCTTCACCACCAGGAGGCTGGGATCTCTCCTGTACGCATCCTCCTTGCCCCTCTCCTCTGCTTCCAGACTGCCTCCTTCCCTCCTCCTGCAACCCACCACCTGCTTTGACTCACATGCCTACTGCACCATCCACACCTGTCCCTGTGGTTGACAACACCCTTTGATGACCTCATCCCCTGGCTCCTTGCCTTTCTTTCTGCCCCTTTCGTGTCCCCATTCATGGAGACCTCAGCATCCACATCCTAGCCTCTCAGGCCTTGAGTTCTCAGATGACCTTGCCCTCCAACCCACCCACTCCCACCCACCTTCGTGTCATACCTTCACTTGGTCACCACCGGTAACTCCTCTGCCCCCAGGATCTCATTACAATCCTCCCTCCCAGGACCCCCAGCTCTTCCTCTGCAGGAAAATCTTTCTCCTCTCCATTTAGGTTCTATAATCAAGGGCCTGCAAATTAACTGACAATAGACAGATGAGCAGGAGAAAAGACAAGGCTTATCTACATATGCACAAAGGAGTTACTCAATAGTGAACACCCACAGGTTAAGGTTTATATACCAGCTTAACAAAGCATGGCAGGGCTGGGAGAAGTTTGGAACTTCAGTGAGGAAGTATGGAAGGTTCCATGTTCTGGTAAGATTTCAAATGTTTTCACTTTAAAATCGTCTTTATACCCAAACTGTGAGCCCTTCACCAGAGATGCTCCAGCCCCTCTGACGCTCCAAGCCACTGGCTTTACAGGGCTCCTACAACCCACAGCTCCCCGAAAGCCCTCCCCTCCCTCCTTTCTCAGCTTACATTCATAGCCCCCATGACACCCTTGCCCCTGCAAACACCTTCAACTCTTCCATCCCTCTCTCCCTCAGTCATGCTACCTGCAAAAAATCCTAGCCCTCTCCAAGTATTCCATGCTGTCTTGAGAACAGGTGGAAGTTGCTGGAGAAAATAACACAACCCTGTTGGCTATCCTTCAGTGCATGACCACTGATCTCATGGGGCCCCTCAGTGCTGGTGGACAACCCCACTAAACTTCTTGGGTAAATCTGCTCTTTCTCCTTTCACCTTCTCCACCCTCCCTATGTTGCCAGCACCCTCCTGTTCATCTGGTGACCTGGTGACCTTATGTCATGCTTTACAGAGAAAACAGATACAATCTCATCTCTCGTTTACAACAGGCCTCTGTGTTCACACCCAGGCCTCTGCCCTCTCAGTCACAATGGATGATTGCTTCCTGGCCTCGGTGCTAGCCCGTGGGCACATTCCTCCTCCCACCATTCTCCTCTTCCCTAAAGATTGGCGCCAGCAAGAGCCTTTCTGTTTTGGATAATCCAGCTCTTCATCTCTCCCTGGTCTCCCAGTCCCTCCCTGGTCTCCCCATCCCTCTTTGGTCTCCCCATCTGCATACAAACCCACTTTAATGCCTCTGCCTTTTAAAAAGCCCTCTAATGACCCCATCTCTCCCTCCAGCTTCTGCTCCTTTCCCTCTTCCCCTTCACAGGAAACAGAGCCAAGGCCACTGACAGTCCCTATTCTCTGCTTGAACCATCCCTAACTGGTATTTGTCCCAACCTGAGGTTGTGTAGTCTGTATTGCCAAAGCCAGTGGGCATTTACCTGTCCTTGCTGCTCTCTCAAGGCTTCCATGCATCCACTGGCTGTGTTCTCTCCCTGCTTCCTGGCACCTCCTCCCCTTGCAGACCTCCCCGTGGATGTTGCCCCAAGACTCTGTCTTCTCTGCTTCTTTCTCCCACGCTTTCCAGTCTCCTGGCTTTAAATATCATCTCTACCCAAGATCCTCAAATTGCTCCTCTGGTTTCTCTGAGCTCCAGACCTGGACATCGACTATCTGCCTGACCGCTGCACCTGGCTGTCTAAGAGGCGTCTCCAGCTCGGTGTAGCCAAGCAGAACATTAAGTGACTCTCCAAATCTACTGTTCTTGAGCCTTCTCTATCACCATTGTCCTTGCATCTTCTCTTCCCTCACATCATCCCCGGTCCACCAAGAAGCTCCGTTTTCTCTACCTCCAAAGTAAGTCTCTGATACAGTTTGGACATTGTGCCCTCTAAATCTGATGTTGAATTGTAACTACCAGTGTTGGAGGTGGGGACTGGTGGGAAGTGGTTTGATCATGGGGGCAGTTCCCTCATGGGTTGGTGCTGCCCTCGAGATAGTGATTTCTCTTGGGATCTGGTTGTTTAAAGTGTGTGGGATTGTCAGAGGCCTTTGAACCAGAGCATCTCCTCCCTGGACAGGGGCTAGGTAAAATAAGGCTGAAACCTCCTGGGCTGCATTCCCAGATGGTTAAGGCATTCTAAGTCACAGCATGAGACAGGAGGTCAGCACAAGATACAGGTCATAAGCACCTTGCTAATAAAGTATGTTGCAGTAAAGATGCTGGCTAAAACCCACCAAAACCAGGATGGCCATGACAGTCACCTCTGGTTGTCCTCACTGCTACACTCCCACCAGCACCATGACAGTTTACAAATGCCATTGCAACATCAGGAAGTTATCCTATATGGTCTAAAAAAGGGGGGCATGAATAATCCACCCCTTGTTTAGCATATCATCAAGAAATAACCATAAAAATGGGCAACCAGCAGCCCTCGGGGCTGCTCTGTCTATGGAGTAGCCATTCTTTCATTCCTTTACTTTCCTAATAAACTTGCTTTCACTTTATGAACTCACCCTGAATTTCTTTCTTCTTCCTCCACTACTTCTTCTTCTTCTTCTTCTTCTTCTTCTTCTTCTTCTTCTTCTTCTTCTTCTTCTTCTTCCTCTTCCTCTTCTTCTTCTTCCTTCTTCTTCCTTCTTCTTCTTCTTCTTCTTCTTCTTCTTCTTCTTCTTCTTCTTCTTCTTCTTCTTCTTCTTCCTTCTTCTTCCTTCTTCTTCCTTCTTCTTCTTCTTTCTTCTTCTTTCTTCTTCTTCTTTCTTCTTCTTTCTCCTTCTTTCTTCTTTCTTCTTCTTCTGATGGAGTCTTGCTCTGTTGCCCAGGCTGGAGTGCAGTGGCGTGATCTCGGCTCACTGCCAGCTCTGCCTCCTGGGTTCACGCCATTCTCCTGCCTCAGCCTCCCAAGTAGCTGGGATTACAGGCTCGTGCCACCAGGCCAAGCCAATTTTTGTATTTTCAGTAGAGATGGGGTTTCTCCATGTTGGCCAGGCTGGTCTCCAACTCCTGACCTCAGGTGATCCACCTGCCTCAGTCTCCCAAAGTGCTAGGATTATAGGTGTGAGCCACCATGCCCGGCCAAGTCTCAGATATTTCTTTATGGGCTTGCAAATGGCCTAACAGAGGCTCAACTCCATCCACTTCTCTCCATCTCCAGCTCTGCCCCACTAGTCCAAGCTGCCACCTCTCTGGGCTCCTGCAGTACCCATTATGTGGTCCTCCTGCTACCAGTTCCACCTCCCCAGAGCCCCTTCTTCACAAGCCACAAGCCCAGCTTCTTCACTTATTCCCATGAGCAATGCAGTGGAACCTTGCAAAATTCTCTGGAGAACTATTTTGTTCATTTGTTGTCTTTTATTTTTTTTCCACAATCCCTATTTTTTTTTTAAGATGGAGTCTCTCTCTGTCGCCAGGCTGGAGTGCAGTGGTGCAATCTCGGCTCACTGCAACCTCCGACTCCCTGATTCAAGCAATTCTCCTGCCTCAGCTTCCCGAGTAGCTGGGACTATAGGCGCCTGCCACCACGCCCAGCTAATTTTTGTATTTTTAGTAGAGACGGGGTTTCACCATGTTGACCAGGATGGTCTCAATCTCCTGACCTCGTGATCCATGCGCCTCAGCCTCCCAAAGTGCTGGGATGACAGGCGTGAGCCACCGCGCCTGGCCTGGAAAGGGTATCATTTTAGTATTCACTCGTTCATTCATCACCTGTTGAGAGCTACTGTGGACTAGGTTCAGGGCTAGAAGTTGATGACTCTGTACCGAGCAAGACAGACATGGTCTTCACTCTCTTGTAGCTTACAGTCAGGCAGACAGTCAGCCGGAGAAAGCAATTTCTCATGTATTTTATCTGAGTCCAATGAATGCGTGCCTTGAAAGAAAAGTTCAGGGGCCAAAAGAGCTTTAATTGTAACTGGGCCAGCAGGGTGTCTTCCCTGAGGAAATGGCAATTTGATGACAACCTGAGGCCCCGGGAAGTTACAGAACCCAGAAATTGGGGAACCTGGGTCTCAGGGGCAGACCAGGCTTAGAGGCTTCGAAGGCCTTTGAACTTTACCTTGAGAGGAAAGAGGAGCTAGGGAGGGACAATATTCGCCTTGCATCGTAATCAATTAAGCAGGGGCCAGGTTGGAGGTGGGCAAGCTTGAGGCAAGGAAACTCATTAAGAGGTTACTGTAGTAACCTGCAAGAAATGACACCTGCCAGGGACAGTGGCCTTGCAGCAGGGGAACACATGTCTCTGGGCTTACGTAGGATTTTCCAAGGGGTGCACAGGCACAGCTAATGTTAAGGGAGTCGTTTCCTGAGTTCTTTCCTAAAACCATCCTCCTGAGACCCTGCCTCTGTAGAAGACCCAAGGTCTGTTTTCTTTCTCCCCCTCCCTCAGCATTGTCCCTTTTCTCCACTACTCACAAGAAAAGCCTTGCCAGGGGAATGTGGGGCTGGGATGGGCTAGGGAAGTGGCCATTTAGGTGCAAAACAAAAGGACGATGGAGGCACCAGGGTTGTGTTGGACTCTGTTGCCTGAATAACAAATCCTTTTGCAACTTAAGGGACTTCTAATGCTTCACCTTCCACAAAGCTGAATGAGACCCTAAATAAGTTTGCAGCTGATAAATCATTAAAAATCTGGCCATTTGAGTATCACTTGAGCCCAGGAGTTCAAGACCAGCCTGGGCAACATGGCAAGATCCTGTCTCTACAAAATATTTAAAAAGTAGTCAGGGATGGTGGCACACACCTGTGGTCCCAGCTACTTGGGATGCTGGGGTAGGAGGATCACTTGAGCCCAGGAGGTTGAGGTTGACATGAACTGAGATAGCAGTGCTGCAGTCCAGTCTGGGCAACAGAGTGAGATCTTGTCTAAATAAATAAATAAATCATAATCATAATAATTTTTCTAGACAGATTTCTATGTCATTTTTGGATAAATGAGTGACCCTGCTATGACAAACTCTCATTCCCACTCTTTTATTTATGTGGGTGGCTTCTTAGCATTTGCCTTATAAAAATTAAGTTATAAGCATGAACCCGGGAGGCGGAGCTTGCAGTGAGCCGAGATTGCGCCACTGCATTCCAGCCTGGGCAACAGAGCTAGACTCCAGAGTCTCTGAGTCATGGAAAACTTATAGTAAATAAACTGGTATGTTTTTATCTTGTGAATCTAAATTTCATCAGTCCAAACTACAGGGCCCCAGCCAAGGAACCTAAGATGGTGCTATTGTTTGAATGGTTTTAGTCCCTCCAAAACTCATGTGGAAACTCAATCCCCAATGCAATGGTATTGGGAGGTGGGGCCTAATGGGGGTGTTTAGGTCTTGAGGGTGGAGCCTCAAGGATGGATTAGTGTTGCTATAAAAAGAGGTCGAGGGAGTGGTTTGCTCACTTTCAATCTTCCACTGTGTGAGGACACAGCGTTCCTCCCACTCCCCCTTCCCCCTTCCATCTTCTGCAGTGTGAGGACACAGCAAGTGGGCCCTCACCAGACACCAGATGCTGGTGCCTTGATCCGTGTGAGGACACAGCAAGAGGGCCCTCACCAGACACCAGATGCTGGCGCCTTGATCCGTGTGAGGGCACAGCAAGAGGGCCCTCACCAGACACCAGATTCTGGTGCCTTGATCCATGTGAGGGCGCAGCAAGAGGGCCCTCACCAGACACCAGATGCTGGCGCCTTGATCCGTGTGAGGGCGCAGCAAGAAGGCCCTCACCAGACACCAGATGCTAGTGCCTTGATCCTGGACTTTCCAGCATCCAGACTGTGAGAAATATATTTTTGTTCTTTACAAATTATGCAATTCTTTATAAATTATAGCAGCACAAAATGGAAAAAGACAGATGGCTAGAAGAAAATTATCTTTTTCCTCCCCCCACCATTTTTTTTTTTTTTTTGAGATGGAGTCTCACTCTGTAGCCCAGGCTGGAATGCAGTGGCGCGATCTCGGCTCACTGCAACCTCTGCCTCCCAGGTTCAAGTGATCCTCCTGCCTCAACCTCCCAAGTAGCTAGGATTACAGGTGTGTGCCACCATATCTGTCTAATTTTTGTGTTTGTAGTAGAGATGGGGTTTCACCTTCTTGGCCAGACTGGTCTCAAACTCCTGACCTCAAGTGATTCACCCACTTGGGCCTCCCAAAGTGCTGGGATTACAGGCATGAGCCACCACACCCTGCCAATGAAAGTTTTTTATATTTATTTATTTAATTTTTTTGAGATGGAGTCTCACTCTGTCACCCAGGCTGGAGTGCAGTGGCATAATCTCAGCTCACTGCAACCTCTGCCTCCTGAGTTCAAGCCATTCTCCTGTCTCAGCCTCCCCAGTAGCTGGGACTGCAGGCGCACGCCACGATGCCCAGCTAATTCTTGTATTTTTAGTAGAGAATGGGTTTCACCATGTTGGCCAGGCTGGTTTCAAACTCCTGACCTCAAGCAATCCACCCACCTTGACTTCTCAAAGTGCTGGGATGATAGGCATGAGCCACTGCGCCTGGCCTGCTCCCCTATAATATTGATTTTAAAATGCATAAGGGAATACAGTGTTTTTTTCCAGAGTTTTTGGGGGTCCAGGAGCAAAATTCCTGGAGGCCCGATCCAGATGAGGATAGCAGCAGAGGAGGTGGAGAGAAGCAAATGTTTGGAGGGTCTTTAGGAGGGTGGTCACCAGGGCCTGAAGGCAGGCTGGATGTTGGGTGGGAGAGAATGAGGTGGACCAAACAGGGTGCTTAGGTTACTGGCTTAAGGACATGGGGAGGGGTCACTGAGATGGGGAAAATGGGAGAGTTGAAGGTTGGAGAAAGAAAGTGATGCTCTTCTAGCTGGGTGTGGTGGTCTGTAATCTCAGCTCTCTGGGAGGCCAAGGAGGCAGGCAGATCAGGAGTTTGAGACCAGCCTGGTCAACACAGTGAAACCCCATCTCTACAAAAAATACAAAAACTAGCCAGGTGTGGTGGTGCACGCCTGTAATCCCAGCTACTTGCGAGGCTGAGACAGGAGAATTGCTTGAACCCGGTGGGGCAGAGGTTGCATTGAGCCGAGATCGTACCACTGCACTCCAGCCTGGGCGACAGAACAAGATTCCTTCTCAAAAAAAAAAAAAAAAAAAAGGAAATTGATGGTCTCCCTCTCCCCTCTCAGTCATCCACATGCCCAGCACTACTGGGCTTCAGCGGGTGTCAGAGAGACTTCCAGCTTCCTGCCGTGTTTGGCCCTGTGGTCAGCTGCCCTGCTGACCCTGTTTCCTTGGCTCCATGATCCACTCTGCTCAGGAGATATCCAGAGGAACTTACAGCCCCAACATGGCCCCTGTAGGGCCTTTCCCCCTGTGAAGACTTGCTGGTCCCATGGAGGCTATCTCCACAGCCTCCTGCCTTGTCCCTCTTCCCCCAAACCCATCTCTCCACTCTGGTGAACTCACAGACCCAAGACTTCTGAGCAAAGCTGCTAAAGTGGGGATAGGGAGGCTCCACATATTCCAGAAAAAGGAGGGGTAAGTTGTCAGGGGGGTTGTAAAATACTGAGTTTGGTTCGGATGTGTTAACCTGGTCGTGGCCACAGCACATCCAGGAAGACAGCCAGGGGCAGCAGGCTCTATTAAACAGTGGGAAGGGCTCAGCAGAAGTGCTTGGCAGGCACAGCCACTGTGGCTGCTAAACCCGGCTCTGTGGCCATAGATGCTCTGGACCTAGAGATGGCCCTCGTCACATGATGGGCAGAAGGCATGGAGCCCAGGCCTTGGCCAGCACTGACTCCATCACCCGGGCTAGCTAAAGGACAACGTCTGTGTGGAGTATCCTGAGGGGGGATGAAAAAGGCAGTGCCTACTGGGGACCATGCTGCCTGGGCAGAGGAGAACCCATCATCATTGACAGACAGGAGGATGCTGGGCCCCAGCAATGTGGCCTCTGGCGTGTGTCAGGGAGTGTCCATCTGACTTCACCATGACCGGTAAATAAGCCCTTCGGGTCACCCAAGACTCTACACTTTCCCAGCACTGCTAATGTGAGCAATTCTCTTCCCCCAGAACCAGGACAGTTGGAGGGAAGGTGTGTAAGACAGGGAACTCCCTGGGTTTTATTCTGGGGACAGAGCCAACCTGAGAAGCATCCCAGCCAGAAGGACTAGTGCTGATGGGTGGGGACCTGAGGCCTGGATGGAGCTGGAGGGGAGTTTGTTCACAAATGCGAGAAGGAACCACATGAATGGATAGACCCAACAGGGTCCATACATACAGCGGAATATTATTCAGCCCTAAAAAGGAAGGAAATTCTGACCCCTGCTACAACATGGGTGAACCTCGAGGACATGATGCTCCGTGAAATAAGCCAGACACAAAAGGACAAATACTGTATGATTCCACTCACAGGGAGCCCCTAGAGTAGTCAGATTCATAGAGACAGGATGGTGGTTTCCAGGGGCTGGGGGAAGGGGCATGGGGAGTTAGTGTTTAACGGGGGTTGTTGCAGTTTGGAAAGATAAGAAAGTTGCAGGGATGGATGCTGGTGATGTTTGCACATGACGTGAATGTACTTAATGCAACTGAACTATACGTTTAAAATGGTTAAAATGGCAAATTTTATGTCATGTATATTTTACCAGAACTTTAAAAGGAAAAAAGAGAGCACTGCAACCAGAGCCAGGACACTGGGCCAAGGATGGAGGCGCAGAGGTGAGGCAAGGCTGGCACTGGGCCCATCAGTGTTCCCTACCTGTTGCTGCCAGCGTGGGTTGGGAAATGTCGGGCCAGGTGTGTGGACGTGGAAGGTCCAGATGCAGCCTGGGGCACTGGGAGGAGGACAGCAGCAGGCAAAGGGCTGCTCTCACGTATGTTCTGTCCCCCACCCTGAATCTGGTTCCTATCCCGTTTTTGCCCATGGCTGGAATTAGCCAGTTCTCTCATTGACAGAAATGTCTCTGTGAACAGATCAAGGTGTCTGGCAGGTTGGCAGAGAAGCTGAGACCTCCCACAGAGTCAGTCCTCATGGTGCTGGGTTTGGTAACTGGGTGAGGGATGCCAGCTTTCATTTTCCCAGTGGTGTAGGGAGAAGAGGTCAGGCTGACACTGTCTGGACGCAGTGTGCCCACACAGAGCTGGCATGGTCAGGGGTGGCAACGATCTGTATTTCCAGCTTTAGAGAGGAAATAGACACTGGAGTTCGAGCACCTCCTTGCTCCCCTTCGTGAATGTTGGGGTGACGTACCATCAATTCTTGTGATTCATGGTGGTTACATTTATAAAGTCTCCACATACACTGGATCAGCCAAGACTGAGTCATTGCTCCTAGGGGACGGATGGGGTTAGGTTCCATCCAGGCTCTGGGCACATTTTTGACAAATGATCGATACATAACCTTGTTTTATGTGTGTTCCTGGTTAAAGACACCGTAATCGATAACTTGTTTTTTTTTTTTGTTTTGAGACAGAGTGTAACTCTGTCGCCCAGGCTGGAGTACAATGGTGGGATCTCTGCTCACTGCAAACTCCACTTCCCGGGTTCAAGTGGTTCTCTCACCCCAGCCTCCCAAGTAGCTGGGATTACGGGCATCATGCCCAGCCATTTTTTGTTATTTTGTAGAGATGGGGTTTCACCATGTTGGCCAGGCTGGTCTCGAACTCCTGGCCTCAGGTGATCCACCCACCTTGGCCTCCCAAAACGCTGGAATTCCAGGCGTGAGCCACTCCGCCCAGCGGATAACCTGTATATTGTTGATTCATTAACCTTGAACCCACAGCAAACAGCACTAGAACTCATGCCTAAGGAGCTTCTCTAATGCATGGACTTTTTGTTTTTATCTGAGACAGGGTCTCCCAAAGTCTGATATTGAAAAGTGGTCCTGGACAGGCGAGGTGGCTCACGCCTGTAATCCTATCACTTTGGGAGGCTGAGGCGGGCAGATCACCTGAGGTCAGGGGTTCGAGACCAGCCTGGCCAACGTGGTGAAACCCCATCTCTACTAAAAATACAAAATTAGCCAGACATGGTGGCACATGCCTGTAATCCCAGCTACTGGGGAGGCTGAGGCAGGAGAATCACTTGAACCCAAGAGATGGGGGTTGCAGTGAGCTGAGATCGCACCACTGTACTCCAGCCTGGGTGACAGTGAGACTCCATCTAAAAAAAAAAAAAAAAGGAAAGTGGTCCTTAGCGTTCACTTATAGACGTTGCCAATCAGTCCCACATCATATCACAAGTACTGGGAACTGAAATTTGAAGACCGCAAGGAAATGAACATTTACGACTCCTGGAAAATAGCACTTCCTTATGCAAGCATCCATGCCATCTGATGATGTTTTGACACATGAATTCACTTTTCCTCCTTCCCAAGTGCCTCAGCCACCAGTCCTCTCCATTCTTCCAAGTAGTGTCTGTGTCTGATGTGAGCAGGGCACAGCCACAACTCTTTGTACCATGGGCAAGGCAGTAACTTCTCTTTTGAGAGAATTGTTCAAGAGATACAAAGAAGTCTCCCTGGGGCCTGAACACTGAGTTCAAGATAAGAAATGTTTATAACTCTGTGCTGGCAGCCAAGAGCTGGATCCCAGTTGCAGATGGGGCTATGCGTAGCAGTGAGAGTGGGAGACACAGAGACAGGGACTGAGAGAGAGAGAGAGAGAGATGGGATCAGGGATAAGGGCAGTACTGCCAGGCACTGGGCTGGGTGCTTTCTGTTCATCACATTTAACTTCACAATGCCCCTCACACAACTGTTTTCTCCCCCATGGTACAGATATAAAAAGTGAAGCTCTGAGAGATGAAATGATGCTTGCGAGTCTTGTGCACTGGCTGTCTGATGCCAAAGCTTGCAGTCTCAACCATGATATCATGTGCCTGTCCCACTGGAGGCTGGATGGGGGGCTGAGAGAGCTGGACCATGAAACCCTTGCCCAGCTGGGTCCTCTCTTTGTCTCTGGAAAGTGGGGAGGGCCCCCAGCTGCTGTCTACATGCAGTGACGAAGAGGGGGTGAGTCCTCAGCCCTGCTCCTGTCCTGCCCACATCTGGGTCACACTGGGGATGACAGATGTCCAGTGTGGCTGGCCAAGAATGAATGCCGGTGGACAGGAAGAGAATATGAATGCCTGTGGCTGGTGGCAGGGTGACTCATCTCGGGCCTTCGGTCACAGCCTCAAATTCCTGTGCCAGAGCCTGGCCCTCCTGTCATTAGTCCTAAGACTGGTCATGCAATGCAGGAGGGATGGATGGGTACAGGAGGCTAGAGGTTCTGACCCCAGCTGTCCCCTCCAGAAGCCTCAGTTCCGCCGCAGCCCTGAGCGTGAGGTGGGGGTGGAGGGCAGTTAGGGCAGGACTGTAGGTAATGCCCCTCTCCAGCAAAGCCAACACGTCAGGAATAGATGGGACCCCCTGTCTGCTTCTCAGCTCTCCTGACCTTCCCCGGGACTTAGGACCTGACCCTGCCTTGCTCTGGGCCTCCATCTACAAAGTGTCTATGTGATGAGGCAGTCAGCCCAGGTATTCACTAAGGCCTGAAGCTCCCATGCCCTGGGATTCCTGCCCAGAGAAAGGAGGCAGCCCTGCTCCCAGCTCCCCTACCCCTCCAGGCAAGGCAAAAGCAAGGACTGCAGCAGAATGGGGAAGCTCAGTTGAACATGAACCACCCAACCAATCCAGGTGCTTCTCAGGTGACATTTGGAATCCTGACAGCAATGTCACCTGTTTTACAACACCACCAGTCATTCTGCAGTTGAGGACACTGAGCCACAAAGAGGGCAGAGGCCTGACCCCAAAGCTCACATACTCTGCATTCCTCCAGGTCTCACGGAGAAGGGGGAGGGCTTCCTGGTCCACTCCAGCTGGGGGCGCTATGGCCCGGCAGACCAGGGTCCTCCAGTGAGGAGCTCTGGACCAAGGTCTAACTTGGCTCCATGTACTGCTGTGGGCTTGCTCCACCCAGTGC
This sequence comes from Homo sapiens, assembly GCF_000001405.40. Classification (NCBI taxonomy): domain Eukaryota; kingdom Metazoa; phylum Chordata; class Mammalia; order Primates; family Hominidae; genus Homo; species Homo sapiens. The sequence continues at coordinate 43,922,437 of NC_000022.11, forward strand.
CAGGGGTAGGTCAAGGTCAAGGGGCCTCTTAGGCATCTCCTAAGGGCATGCTACTATCCAAATGTTTGTGTCCCCACTAAAGGTCATCTGTTGAAATCCTACACCTTAAGGTGATGATCTTTGGAGGCGGGGGCCTTTGGAAGGTGATTTGATGAGAGGGTGGCACCCTTATGAATGGGATTGGTGCCCTTATCAAAGAGGCCCAGAGGTGAGGATGTGGCAAGATGGCACCTTCTACGAGCCATACCTCTCACCAGGGACCAAATCTGCTGGTATCTTGAACTTGGGCTTTCCAGCCTCCAGAACTGTGAGACAGAGAAATAAGCCAGGCGAAGTGGCTCACCCCTGTAATCCCAGCATTTTGGGAGGCTGAGGTGGGTGATGACTTGAGGTCAGGAGTTCTAGACTAGCCTGGCCAACATGGTGAAACCCCATCTCTACTAAAAATACAAAAAATTAGTCAGGCATGGTGGCGCATGCTTGTAATCCCAGCTACTCGTGAGGCTGAGGCAGGAGAATCCCTTGAACCCGGGAGGAAGAGGCTGCAGTGGGCCAAGATCGTGCCATTGCACTCCAGCCTGGGGGGAAAAAGATAGAAATAAATCTCTTGTTTGTAAGCCCCTCCGCTTTAAGGTGTTTTGTTTTCGCACCTGAACGGACTAAGGGACTAAGGGACCAGGAATCATCCAGGCCTCAGCTTCCCAAAGCACTCCCCACTCCCCAGTTCCTACAGGGCCCCGACCCCAGCCCCAGCACCCGTCATTCACATTTTTTACTTACAAAGGAAACTTTGAAATGGACACTTCCTGTTACTTTCATTCAATGAAAAAAATCCCCAGCACTTGAAGGCAATCATACAGAAAGCCTGCAACAACGCAGAGAGTAGACTCTTCAGGTGGTGGTGCCTGCTTTAGGCTGGCTCTCCCCGGGTCAAAAGGGACGTGATAAAGTGTTAAAGTGATGTTAAGGATCAAGTGGGCACCAACTGCGACTCCCCTCCCACCCCCCGACTTAACAGATGTCAAGGAAAACAGAAGGAAGCCGTTTCTCTCCAGGACATGCAGTGTCTGCTGGAGTTTTGGAAAAATGCTTTCTCTCGAGTCGCTGCGGGGAGCTCCCAGGCTGGACCCCCCCGCACAGGTCCTCCGCCATCGCCCTCCCAGCCCCCGCCCCCAATCCCCCTCCCAGACCCGGTCCCCGCCCCCATCCCCCGCCAGACGTCGTCCCCACCCCCATCCCCCTCCAAGCCCCGCCCGGGAGGGCGTCCTGCCCGCTCATTGGGCCTCCCGCCGGCTCATTTGCATGGTCCGAGGGGGGCGGGGCTGACGTCGCGCTGGGAATGCCCTGGCCGAGACACTGAGGCAGGGTAGAGAGCGCTTGCGGGCGCCGGGCGGAGCTGCTGCGGATCAGGACCCGAGCCGATTCCCGATCCCGACCCAGATCCTAACCCGCGCCCCCGCCCCGCCGCCGCCGCCATGTACGACGCAGAGCGCGGCTGGAGCTTGTCCTTCGCGGGCTGCGGCTTCCTGGGCTTCTACCACGTCGGGGCGACCCGCTGCCTGAGCGAGCACGCCCCGCACCTCCTCCGCGACGCGCGCATGTTGTTCGGCGCTTCGGCCGGGGCGTTGCACTGCGTCGGCGTCCTCTCCGGTATCCCGCTGGGTGCGTCTGGGGACGCTGCCCGGGCTCCACGTGCGGAGTGGGTGCCCCCTAGGCCGGGGAGCGGGGGATCCCCAGGGGTCGCGGGGCCCTGGAGGAGCGGGCATCGGACGCGGACACGGCGGGGTGCATCCCGAGGGCCCCCTCCGAGGCAGATGCTTCCTGCGGGGGCGCTGTTCCTGGGCCCGGGAAGGGGGCGTTGGAACCCCGAGCGGTCCGGGCCGAAGCCTGGGACTCTCGTGCGTCCCCACCCCTACCCCCATCAGGCGCCCGTGCATGAAGGGAGACCCTCACCTCCGGACTGAGAGTCGGAGCGTCTCGGAGCGACGGGGAGTAGGGAGCGGGACCCGGGGCGGAGGGTAGTGCTGGCCCCTGCGGACTCCGGGTCCCCTGTGTCCTCTCGGGAGGGGCTGGACGGGCTGAGCTGCCGAGGGGCCGATTTGCCCTGGGCCGGACAAAGAGTGGGGCTTTGGCCGGTCCCCCACGGTGGGCTCCTTCCCTCTGGGGATTGAGGGACTCAAGACACCCCGCGCCTGCGCTTTTCTTTTCTTTTTTTCTTTTTTTTTTTTTGAGACGGAGTTTCGCTCAGTCGCCCAGGCTGGAGTGCAGTGGCGTGATCTCAACTCACTGCAAGCTCCACCTCCCAGGTTCACGCCATTCTCCTGCCTCAGCCTCCCGAGTAGCTGGGACTACAGGCGCCAGCCACCAAGCCCGGCTAATTTTTTGTATTTTTTAGTAGAGACGGGGTTTCACCGTGTTAGCCAGGATGGTCTCGATCTCCTGACCTCGTGATCTGCCCACCTCGGCCTCCCAGAATGCTGGGGTTACAGGCGTGAGCCACTGCTCCCTGCTGCCTACGCTCTCTGGGTCGCAGCCCAGCCTTCTGGGGGCTGGGTAGCCTCCCAGAAGGGCAACCCTGGGCATCCTCCAGGGCAGGCTAACTGGAGTCTAGTGGGGAGGGGTACCTTGAAAGAGGAAAGTTGTTTCCTCCTCCTCCTCCTCCTCCAGTGTTTGGGACCCTTCCTGGGGGCTGGAGTGCATCCCTGGACACCCCCCAATCCCATCCTCTTCTCTAGTTTCCACTGACCTAGGCCCACCCTCCCCTCTCCGGCTCAGTACTCCTGGAAATGAGATTCCGTACATTTGAATCTTGTCCTAATGAAATATTTGTCCATGTGGGTACCTGTGTGTGTGTGGTGGGGGTGCAGACGGAGGGTTTGTTTCTCACTAGCTGGAACTACTGGGGTGTGGTATGCTTCCTGGGAATTTGTGTGCCACAGTCCTGGAGGCGAGGAGGGGGTTGTGAGCCAGTAGGCAGGGGCTGGGGCAAGTAGCATTGTGAAGCTATTGACACCCAGACGTCCCCAGGCAGGAGATTATGCCCCCATTAGCCCCCTTTTATCTGGGCTTCCTTAACAATGGACTCTTTGCCCTGCCTGCCAGAGCCAGCAGGGAGTGACTGTTCAGTGGTGAGGAAGCGGGCAGAGGAAGCCCTGCCATTGGGTAGGAGCAGTGGGCAGCCCCTGGGCTGACTGGGAGGTGGGGATTAGGGATTAGACAGTCCTGGCTGTCTGCCTTCCCCTAAGCCAGGGGGAGAGGAGCAAAGGGCACGAAATGTGGCCTCCAGGAGGATTAGACCGCCACATGATCATTTGCACACCCTGGGGTTTAGCAACAATAAAAGTCAGCTTTTTTGTATCCCAAGGTGGCCTGTGGACACCCACATGGACAAATGTTTACACTGGGACAGAATTCAAATGCAGAGGTCCCAGGAGCCTAAAGTACACTCACTCTGGTATAGAAAGGATTCCTTACTGGGCAGAGGACAGGTGCAGCCTGGGGCTTTCCCAGGCAGGACACAGGGAGGCTCAGGAACCACCAAGTCCCTGGAAGGTGGATCTGGAGGCGTTGGCAGGAGCCACTCCCTGGGTTCCAGGGCTCCAGGTTCCTGCTTTAACCCCCTGTCTCACAGAGGGCTGTGCACTTGGGGGCTGCTGAGCATGTCCCAGAGGCTGCATCCTGGACACAGCACCTCAGTGCATCTGAGCTGAGGCTAACTTGGCAGGAGGGACAGGCAGAACCTGCCAGCCACGTGCAATTCCACCCCTCTGGCCACTCAGGGAAGGAGAGCTGTGAGTCAAGATCAGATTTGGGTCAGGACAGGCTGGGGCCTGCCTGTCCCTGTGCATCCCAAGATTTATGGCTGGCCAGGGGTTGGGCTGGGAGGGGTGGTCTTGCATGCCAGGAGAGTGCAGATCAGCCTGAGAGGCCAGGCCAGTAAGTGAGGTCAGATCTCCTGCACCTGATAGCATTAAGGCCATCTACACCAAAGCTCTAATGCTGATATGTTCCTGGCCTCTATGTGGGGCATGGAGGTGGGGCATGGAGGTGAGGCCTGCTCGCCTGGGCTTCTGGAAGTGGGAGACTCATTCCTGTGGCTGAGGCCTACAGCAGTGCTGTGTGGTAGGAATACACTGGAAGCCATGATGTCATTGTGCATTTTCTAGAAGCCACATTGAATAAAGTAAAAGACACAGGTAGAATTAATTTCATTGAGCCCAATATATCCAAAATAATATCATTTTCACATCTATTCAATATAAAAATTTACTAATGAGATATTTCATACTAAGCCACTGAAATCCAGTTTGTATCTTACACATCTCAGTTTTGACGAGCCACATTTCAAGGGCGTGATAGCCACATGTGGCTCCCATAGTAGACAGTACTGGTCTAGAGAAATGTTGGTGGCATCCTTGCTGTCTGGTTTCTGGCCTTGCCAAAAGTATTACCATCCCAGTGTGGTACATTCTTTCATGTATTTGTCTCCTGTCCCCAGAGCAGACTCTGCAGGTCCTCTCAGATCTTGTGCGGAAGGCCAGGAGTCGGAACATTGGCATCTTCCATCCATCCTTCAACTTAAGCAAGTTCCTCCGACAGGGTCTCTGCAAATGCCTCCCGGCCAATGTCCACCAGCTCATCTCCGGCAAAATAGGCATCTCTCTTACCAGAGTGTCTGATGGGGAAAACGTTCTGGTGTCTGACTTTCGGTCCAAAGACGAAGTCGTGGATGTAAGCAGTTTGCTTATCTGGACGTTGTCAAGTTAGAAAAGCTGTTTTGGGATGGGTGTGGTGGCTCATGCCTGTCATCCCGGCACTTTGGGAGGCCGAAGCGGGTGGGTTGCTTGAGCCCAGGAGCTCGAGACCAACATGATGAAACCCAGTCTCTACAAAAATTACAGAAAAATTAGCTAGGCATGGTGTTGTGGGCCCATAGTCCCAGCTACTAGGGAGGCTGAGGCAGGAGAATTGCTTGAGCCTGGGAGGTGGAGGTTGCAGTAAGTCATGATCATGCCACTGTACTCCAGCCCGGGTGACAGTGAGATGCTGTCTGGAAAAAAAAAAAAAAGAAAGACTGTTTTGTTTTGGAAGCAACACAGGCAGTTGTAGGCCCCCTGTGCCAGAGTGACATAAACTCTGTACACCTCCAGTGATTTGGTCCATGTTTGTAAACCCTGAATGTTCCAGGGCAGTTTCTTTTCTTCACTTTTTATCTCTTTTTTTTGGGTGGGGGGGCGGGGTACAGAGTCTTGCTCTGTCTCCCAGGCTGGAGTGCAGTGGCGCAATCTCAACCTCCCGAGGAGCTGGGACTACAGGCACAGGCCATCACACCTTGCTAATGTTTGTACTTTTTGTAGAGACGGGGTTTTGCCCTGTTGCCCAGGCTGGTCCCAAACTCCTGCACCCAAGTAATCTGCCCACCTCTGCCTGGCAGTTACAATTTCAAATAATTCCTCCCTTTCCTTCAACACTTGGCTCATGACCGTCCAGTCCAAGGAACCTGTCCTGCAGGTGTGCCTCTCCCGAGCTTCCTCTATGCATCTTCCATAATGAAGATGCCTTCTCACTGGAAACCCTACAAGGGTGGGAACGTGCCTTATTTGCCTGTATCCTCAGGGTCTAGCAGAGAGAAGATAATTTGTAATACCAAAACACCATTAAATTCAGCTGATGCTTTCATAAGCGCTCCTTGGAGGAAGGACTCCATTTACTTGACAGATCTGTGCAAGACAGCAGCCTGGCGCGTCTAACCTGCAGCCAGTTGCATCCTCTGTTTAACCTTGTTTGCGGAAGCTTTCTCTAAACAGCCAGCACTTGTCTGTTCCCACATGGGTCCGTTCTCCCAGTGAATCACCGTGGTGCCTGCTGACTGCTCTGTAGCACAGTGCTTCGCAAAGTGTGATCCTGGGACCAGCAGAGCAGCAGCTCCTTTGAGCTTATTGGAATGGCAGACCCTCAGGTCCCACCTCTGACCTGCTGCATGGGAATTCTGGGGAGGGACGCAGAATCTCTGGTTCCACAGGCTCTCCGGTGATGCTAATGAATACCGGCATTTGAACAGCACCGATCTAGCCCCTTTCAGTCCATGAGCCAACAACCCTTGGTCCTGTCTGTGGTGACCCAGTGTGACTCTCATGGGGAGCAAGGAGAGGAAGTTGAAGTTCACTGACAGGGTTGTTAAGGGGATTATGCAATAGATGAGACCCATGGGCCTGAAGTCCGAGGGTGTATGTTAGTTCCCCGTTCTTTTGACCCATGGATTAACCTACTCTGTGCAAAGGGCATTTTCAAGTTTGTTGCCCTGCTCACTTGGAGAAAGCTTATGAAGGATCAGGAAAATTAAAAGGGTGCTCTCGCCTATAACTTCTCTCTCCTTTGCTTTCACAGGCCTTGGTATGTTCCTGCTTCATCCCCTTCTACAGTGGCCTTATCCCTCCTTCCTTCAGAGGCGTGGTAAGTCGGCTTTCTCTGCTAGCGCTGAGTCCTGGGGGCCTCTGAAGTGTGCTCACACATCTCCTGCCTGCAGGGCACTGGTGTCGGGCACCTCAGGGTCTGTCCCATGGTGGAGCCCCATGCCTCACTGCCTTTCAGACAGAGTAGCCACAGCTGGCCCTATTTCCAGGCTACCCGGGCAGCAAAACTTACTGCATGTGTAATTAATTATTTGGCTATCTGTAAGGTAAACTGGCTGGTTCACTTAATCTGCACCTTAAGCATCAGATAGCTTCTCAGTGATCTAGTTAAACTATATGATGTTGGCCAGGCGCGGTGGCTCATGTCTGTAATCCCAGCACTTTGGGAGCCTGAAGCAGGCAGATCACTTGAGGTCAGGAGTTCGAGACCAGCCTGGCCAACAGTGTGAAACTCTGTCTCTCCTAAAAATACAAAAATTAGCTGGGCATGGTGGTGTGCACCTGTAATCCCAGCTGCTCGGGAGGCTGAGGCAGGAGAATTGCTTGAACTTGGGAGGCGGAAGTTGCAGTGAGCCAAGATCGCACCACTGCACTCCATCCTGGGTGACAGAGCGAGACTCTATCTCAAAAAGAAAAAAAAAAAAAAGGTAAATAAAGTATATGACACTGAAGAATCTGTTACCCCTGGAAGGTGGAGCTTTACTCTTAGGGGGAACTATAACAGTCATATATATATATTTTTTTCTTTTCTTTTTTTTTTTTTTTGAGATGGAGTCTGGCTCTGTCGCCCAGGCTGGAGTGCAGTGGTGCAATCTCGGCTCACTGCAACCTCCACCTCACAGGTTCAGGCAATTCTCCTGCCTCAACCTCCCGAGTAGCTGGGATTACAGGTGCCTGCCGTCACGCCAAGCTAATTTTTGTATTTTTAGTAGAGACAGGGTTTCATCATATTGGCCAGGCTGGTCTCCAACTCCTGACCTCAGGTGATCCGCCCGCCTTGGCCTCCCAAAGTGCTGAGATTACAGGCGTGAGCCATGGTGCCCGGCCAACAATCACATGTGTTGTAAACAACAACAAAAATCTGTCAGCCTGGTCTAACCTAGATTTGTGCTTTGTTTTGTTTTGCCACTTTGTGATGCACAGGAGGAAGTTTAGGCTGTAAAATACTAGCCTTTTAGGGTAATTTTTGAACTCACAAGAGCAGCAGCGGAACCTTTGATGCAATCCTGTATGTAGCACCAGCAGAGCCACGTGGCAGAGGGACTCGCATTAGGAGCCTCCCATTACAGACTACGTGCTCCTGTGCGTTATCTTATAGGGTCCCCACAACCAAGGGGAGATGTGATTATTCATCCTGTGTGGCTGTGGGGAACTTGAGAGTCATACTTGCCCAAAGAGCACGGCCAGCGAGCTTGCACCCAGGTCACTCTCTGCTCCTCTGTCAGAACAGGGCATGTCTTGGTTCACTGCAGGGCGGCTCTTCTCATTCTCTGTAGTTTGGGGTCCAGGATAGTGGTCCACGGAGCCACTGGAGTGCCCAGCTACTGAGTGACCAAAGCATATTTTGGATTTCCGACATTGCCACAGCATGGTTGGGCATCAGCAGGACCCCAACCCCTTGTTATGCTGGTGGCTTTATGTGGTTATTTGATCTTCCCCAGAACTCAGCAGGAGTGCACCCAGCAGCACCGTAGTGATGCTCTCTGGCTCCCCAGTGCACGGTTCTGGCTTTCCTTCCTGGTCGAGAGTTTCAAGCCCTCTGGGTCCTACTCTGTCCTTTTCAGCCCATAGCTTTGTTCAAAAGCTGCTGGCAGTGTTCAGATTTGGCTGAGTTCAGTGAATATGTGCATTGGCTGATTTCTGAGCCATGCCAGGGGGATGGAGAAGCCGAAGCAGGAGTGTTTGTTCTGCAGGCTCTGGAGTAGGCATTGGGTCTGTGCCGGCTCACTTGCTAGTCTTGCATCCTTCCCCAACCCCCTCTGGGGATGTCTGGCCACATCAGAAGACAGTTTGGGTTGTCAGAACTGGGGGAGTACCAGGCCGAGGTGGGTGGATCATGAGGTCAGGAGATCGAGACCATCCTGGCTAACACAGTGAAACCTCATCTCTACTAAACATACGAAAAAAATTAGCTGGGCGTGGTGGCGGGCGCCTGTAGTCCCAGCTACTCGGGAGGCTGAGGCAGGAGAATGGTGTGAACCCGGGGGGCGGAGCTTGCAGTGAGCTGAGATCCTGCCACTGCACTCCAGCCTGGGCAACAAAGCGAGACTCCGTCTCACAAACAAAACAAAACAAAACAAAACAAAATCTGGGGGAGTGCCACTGGCATCTGATGTATAGAGGCCCGAGATGCTGTGTCATCACCCGTTGAGTGCGCTCATAGGCATCTTCCTGACAATTAGAACCCATTATTCTTCAAATTCAATGCAAGCAAATTCAAAGCATTACTGTGTACATACCGCATGCTAATCAATTGCACCACTGGAGCTCCTAAATTCAAAACATTACTATAAAAAAGTTCAAAATGCATGGAAAAGTTGTACATGGCAGGAGAATATTTGGGCTTCTGACTACCCCTTGAATGAAGATGATCCACCAGCCGCCTTCCTCCTTGGTCTTCACTCCAGATTCCTAGCATTTCATTCTGTGTCTCTTTATGCAGTGAGGTTTTTGTTTGTTTTTTGAGACAGAGTCTCACTGTATCACCTAGGCCTGGAGTGCAGTGGCGCGATCTCAGCTCACTGCAACCCTCGGCTCCTGGGTTTAAGCGATTCTCCTGCCTCAGCCTCCCGAGCAGCTGAGATTACAAGCACACATCCCCATGCCCAGCTAATTTTTGTATTTTTAGCAGAGACAGGGTTTCACCATGTTGCCCAGGCTGGTCTCGAACTCCTGGCCTCAAGTGATCCATGTGCCTCAGCCTTCCAAAGTGCTGGGATTACAGGCGTGAGCCACCATGCCCAGCTCCTAGTGAGGTTTTTGATGCCTTGCTACATCTGCCCTAGAAATTGTGTGACTACGATTTTGGAAATGTTGCTGTGTAAACTTGTGATCATTTCTGGACTCCAGGCAAGAATCTTGATGGCTAAGGTGTGGCTGAACATGTCTGATTCTCTCCTGGACCTGTTTTAGGCCAAACTCTGCTCTGAAATTCCTCCGTGTGGAAGGGCGGGCTGGGGAGAGCCTCCCAGCTGGAATCTTTTGGATGCCTTTCTCTGTGGGTATCTGATGGCTGGCTCTGATGGCTGGCTGTGATGGCTGTGGCTGGAAATCATTGTTGACATGAGTTTCACAGATGCAGGCTCTGTCCAAATTGTAGCAAAAGCTGCCTGCCCCAGCCGAGCTATGGGCAATAAGGTGGTTTAAGGATATAGATGAAGGAAAACTCACCCTTAGAATAATTTATCCAAAATGCTGCTGTGTTGTGGGTTAGAGGACATTTTCTGAGGTCCCAGGTTCATTGTTTCATTTAAGTCTCAAAAGTCCCTCCAGGTGTTGGTTCTAATTGTCAAAGCATGGGGGGAGATGGGCTCATGGGTTAAAGGTCTTATCCCAGATTTCTGTATCCTCCTTGCAAGCAGCAAAGGGGTCTGGATTTGAATCCATGACCATGTTTCTCCTTTGGGTTTCCATCACACTCTGTCCCCGTGCACTGAGCACCCTTTAGTTCATATGACCCCCTTAGGCATGTTACATGGGCACTCCTATAGGTGCCCATCTGGCCCTAGGACTTGGCCAACACAACATGGACTCCAGTTTCCATCTGCCTCTTTGCCAGGCACTTTTGTGCAGTGCACACACTGTACAACAGTAGACGGCAACCCTGAGAGCCAGAGTAGAGCCTGTCCTAGCACCGGAATGCTCGGTAAGGATTTGTCGCAGGAGTGATTCCAAAGCCAATGTCCTCCCTCCATATCAGCCTGTTTGTGGCTCTGAGAAGCTCTGCCCACATGTGAAAGCTTGTTAAGCACTTAAGCACTAACCCAGAGCTTCAGACAGTGCCAGTCCTTTTTCCCCTTCTTTAAAAGCGATATGTGGATGGAGGAGTGAGTGACAACGTACCCTTCATTGATGCCAAAACAACCATCACCGTGTCCCCCTTCTATGGGGAGTACGACATCTGCCCTAAAGTCAAGTCCACGAACTTTCTTCATGTGGACATCACCAAGCTCAGTCTACGCCTCTGCACAGGGAACCTCTACCTTCTCTCGAGAGCTTTTGTCCCCCCGGATCTCAAGGTGAGTTGGTGGTGAGGGGGCAGGTGTTCTGGGGTGCAGCTCTTCTTTGCCTCCCTGATTGCCAGGAGCTACCAGTTACTGTCTGCACAATCAAACAGAAATAGACCTGTCCTTGATGGTTAACGGAAATAAAAGGCGCTTGTCCCAGAAGCTCAGGTGAGGCACCACCCTGATTATGGGAATCACCTGGGAACATATACCCAGACCTAAAACTCAGATCCACTTCCCAGGCTGTGGTTATATAGTCAGGGGGGTGCAGTATGGGTATTAGGATTTTTTATTTTTTAGTTATAAAGATTTTTTTTTGGTTTGTTTTTGAGACAGGGTCTTGCTCTGCCGCTTAGGCTGGAGTGCAGTGGTGCAATCATAGCTCACTGAAGCCTCAGACTCCTGGGTTCAAGCAGTCCTCCCACCTCAGCCTCCTAAGGAGCTGGGACCCACAGGCATGCAGCACCACACCTGGCTAATTTTTAAAAATTTTGTGGAGTGTTGCCCAGGCTGGTCTCACACTCCTGGCCTCAAGCGATCCTCCCACCCCAGCCTCCCAATGTGTTGGGATTACAGGCATGAGCCATTGTACCCAGCCACTAAGATGATTCTTATTTGGAAACACGGTCAAGAACAACTGCGTTCGGTAGTTTAACCTTTTTTGATTGTGGTGGTTTTAGTATGCCTTACCACTCTACCATAGTAAGAAATTTGCAGACCATGTACACCAACCTTTGGTGCTCCTGGGGAGAAAGAAAGAAGGCTATGCAATGCAATGCATGCTCACAGTCCAAGGGAGAGGGAAAGCTGTCTAACAGGATTGGTTTTCCCGTGTGCTTTATAAGCAGATGAGTAGAGGAGACAGCTCTTATTGTCCTAGTGGCAATTGGGATAGGCTGCAAAGTTTGTTAGGGTGGAGGCTTATTCCGGGACCAAGGGAGCCCAAAGAAACAAGCTCCTGCCAGGCGCGGTGGCTCACGCCTGTAATCCCAGCACTTTGGGAGGCTGAGGCAGGTGGATCACCTGAGGTCAGGAGTTTGAGACCAGCCTGGCCAACATGGTGAAACCCCGTCTCCATGAAAAATACAAAAATTACCCGGGCATGGTGGCGGGCACCTGTAATCCCAGCTACTAGGGAGGCTGAGGCAGGAAAATGGCTTGAACCTCGGAAGTGGAGGTGGCCGTTAGCCGAGATCACGCCACTGCACTCCAGCCTGGGCAACAGAGCAAGACTCTGCCTTAAAAAAAAAAAAAAAAAAAAGAAAAGTAAAAGGAAAAAAAAGAGGCTCTGGCCTGCTGGGGTGCCTGCAAAGTCTCCGTGGAAGGGTGACATTCAAGCCGAGACCTCCAGGGAACTGTCTCCTGGGAGCACAGAGCCCTTTGCTCAGCCCCCAGGTGGCTCAGTGCCCCCAGCCAGCAGACTCAGAGCTTGCATGATTCTTTGGTGCTCTCTGCGGTCTTCCAATGATGCTGAAATAAATGGTGCTTGGTGTCTCCCTGCTGTAGTCCCCTTGCTTGCTTTGCTCACAGGTGCTGGGAGAGATATGCCTTCGAGGATATTTGGATGCATTCAGGTTCTTGGAAGAGAAGGGTATGTATGGGCTGGGAGGATCAGCCATGCCCTTTTGACAAGCATTTACTAGCGGTCTTGGTAAAGACTTGAGATTTGCCTTAGTTCTAACACTTAGTGCCCAACGCCTTCCTTGTGTTGCTCAACCTACTCATGAGCCCAGGAGATAGGAAATCTCCGTCCCATTGTACAGATGGGGAAACAGAATTTTGGAAAGGAGAGCCAAGCAGCACACACCCCTCCCTGAGGGGCAGAGCCGAGATTTGAACTGGGATGTCATGACTCCAGGGCCCTCTCCCTCCCCAGGGTCCCCTTATCTGAAGGCGGTTTTTCTTTCCAGCTCGACCTCTTGTGACCCTTAGTTTAACAAGGGCCGAAGTTAAAGAGTTTCTGCGCCTGGACCCCAAATGAAGCAATCAGATTTCTCATCTCCAGTCAGGTGTGGGTCCAAGCCCACTAGACAAGTTTGCTCTTCCCAGAGCACATTTCTGCCTTCAAGTCATCCTGGCTTGTCAGGGCTGGGGGAGTTCTGCTGTAGAAATATTAGAGTGGAAGGAAAAAGATGTGTTGGGAGCTATTTTTCTTTAATACTAAAAGTTGGTTGATGAATTTGTCGTTGGCCAAGACCAAGGAGACTGCATTTTTAAGGACATATGTGTATTTATCTGCTCAGAAAATGTTCATTGCTGTGTGCTAGGGATACTGCAGTGAACACAGAGGTGTGACCCTTGCCAGCCTTGTGAGAGAAGTGAGCAGATAAGTAAGCAGAAGGGTGATGCTGTGTCGATGGGAAAGTACAGGTGCCAATGAGAAGGCACAGGTGTCAAGGAGAAGACACAGGATGCTGGAGGCTCATGCAGGATGGATCTCCAAGGCCCAGGGGAAGAAGGGCCTCTCGGAGGACGTGAATCCACATTAAGACTTTGGGGATAAGTAGGAGCGCCTTAGGCATGGGGACCCATGGATGCGAGGCCTGTAGGACACAGACAGGATGGCATGAAGGCCTGTGCAACTGGAGGGGTGGGGATGGGGACACTAAGAGATGGCTGGAAGTGTGGGGGTGGGGACACTAAGAGATGACTGGAGAAGAGGGGGTCAGGAGTGGTGAAAAATGGGAGAGGAGGGCAGGCTGGGCCTTTTGGATACAGGGGGATTGCATCCTGCAGTGGTAGGGAGCCACTGAGGGCTGCTGCAGTAGGAGTGAGGGGATCAGAGGAGAGCTTTGGAAGCCCCCTGGATGCGGGACAGGAAGCGAGATACCAGTGTCTAGGAGGCCAGTGAGGCAGCCACAGGCTCCACCAGGATCAGGGCTGCGAGGGTCATGAGGAGGAAACCAATTTGAAGGAGTCCAGGGGAATAGGACTTGGAAATGACCGATGGGACATTTGGGAAGAGGAAGACAGAAGAGCGCAGTCCCGGCTTCTGGCTTTAGCAGTTGGGCAAGGGGAGATGGGGAGATGTGCCCATGGGTTGAGGGTTGAGGACATTAGGAGGGAGCCGGTATGGCAGGAAGAGCTGGTGTGCCAGAGATGCTGGAAGCAGCATCTGCCTGAGAACAGATACCTGGCAATATTCCTAAGGGAAAGTGACATCTCGGAGGGTGAGGAGGGCATCTGATAGGGCCTGGAAAGAGCCGGGGCAAGCATGAATGTGAGGTTATCTTGGGGGGCAAGGCTCAGGCGTTGAGGAGCAGCCCCTGGTCTCTTCAGCCTGAAGTTGGAAGCCAGAGTTGGGCCAGGTGCAGCTGTGGTTGTCTGAAGTCCCCCTCCCCCAGCCCAGTGTGCCAATGCTGTAAGAGCAAGGGCCGCTCACTGGTGCTGGTGGCTGAGTCCCAGCACCCAGGACAGGGCCTGGCACATACTGGTGCCCAATCCTCCCTTCTGGGTGCTTCTTCCAAGGCCTTGTGATGGAAGTGAGTACCCTCTTCGACATCAGACCCAGCTTCAAATCCTGGCTCTGCTATGTATTGGCTGCGTGGCTTTAGACAAGTCTTTTAACCTTGCTGTGCTTCTGATTTCTCAGCTGAAAAATGGAGATGATGATAGTGGTTTCTGTAAGGCCTTATGGTGAAGCACCTAGCTCAGGGCCTGGAAGGCAGGTGTAACCAGTGGTTCAGTTGTTATAAACCAACACTAACCCTCGCCTTTGCACCTCATGAAACCAGATATGTAGATGGAGCCCACAAAGCTAGCAGGAGCCAAGCTCACGTGTGTCCTGCTTTAAAGCCCCATACCCCTTTCTCCGGGTGACAAACACCTGTGCTCGTTCTCTTCCCTTCCCCTCTTCCCCTTGCATTTGGCTAATAACAGGCCAGCTGCCTGCCTCCCTGCAGTTTGGTAGATGGGTGGGTAACGACCACCACTCCCACGTTCGCCTGATGGGCTTGTTTTCCGTGCCCTTCACAGGCATCTGCAACAGGCCCCAGCCAGGCCTGAAGTCATCCTCAGAAGGGATGGATCCTGAGGTCGCCATGCCCAGCTGGGCAAACATGAGTCTGGATTCTTCCCCGGAGTCGGCTGCCTTGGCTGTGAGGCTGGAGGGAGATGAGCTGCTAGACCACCTGCGTCTCAGCATCCTGCCCTGGGATGAGAGCATCCTGGACACCCTCTCGCCCAGGCTCGCTACAGGTACCCACTCCTCGGGGTGAGCACGGGCAGCACCTTGTTTTCTTTCTTGTGCATTATGGAGGAAGATGGTACTGCCACATGGGAGCGATAGGGTGAGGCAACCATGACAGGTGGTTGGGAACATCTCCTTCCATGTGTACAGCCTGGGCTGCTGCCATCACTCCCAGCACAGCCCCCAACCCCCCCAATCCTGGAACCTTGCCAAGTCTCCCTTCCCATGGGGTCATGACCAGGAGGAAAACAAACTCCAGCTGAGCCCCTTGGGGTTCCCCATATAGGCTCCTGCCTGTGGCAGCTGGGCCCTCTGTACCCCTTTCCAACTCTGTCTCCCTAACATGGCACCTGAGCTCCTGCCATCCTGGATTTCATGGACCCCAAGGATGGGGGTCCTGCATCTGGGACTTGGCCTATTACTCGGAGCTCCTTTTCAGCCGCCTCCCTCCACCTGTCCACCCACCTCAAGGCTCCTTTCTTGAGACCTCTCCTAATTTCTCCCTTCCCCTAAACCCACAATTTTGAACCTCCATCGAATGGTGCTGTATTTTATAATGTCATCAAATATCAAATGGAGACAGTGCTATGGTCCAAATGATTGTGTACCCCCCAGAATTTGTCTTTTGAAATCCTAACCCCCAACATGATGGTCTTAGGAGGTGGGGCCTTTGGGAGGAGATTAGGTCATGAGGAAAGGGCTGTCATGAATGGGATTGGTGCCCTTATTAAACAGACCCAAGAGAGGTCCCTTGTCCCTTCTACTGTGTGAGGACTCAGAAGGTGGTGTCTATGAAGAAGCAGGCCCTCACCAGACACCAACATGTCTGCTGCCCCTTGATCTGGGACCTTGCAGCCTCTAGAACTCTGAAAAATCGATGTTTGTTGTTTTATAAGCCACTCAGTTGGTGGCATTTTGTTAGAGTAGCCTGAACACGGACTAAGTCAAACAGAAGAACCCACAAACCAGCTACAGAGTTGGGCATTTGGAGAAATTCAAAAATGAGTCAGACATAACTCCTTATTCTTGAGGTGCCCTAAGAGATGGGACACAGCAGCTGCCCAGGTGCATTAGTTTGTTCTCACATTGCTATAAAGAAATACCTGAGACTGGGTAACTCATAAAGAAAGAGGTTGAATTGGCTCACAGTTGCACAGGCTGGACAGGAAGCATGGTGCTGGCATCTGCTCAGCTTCTGGGGAGGCCTCAGGAAACTTACAATCATGGCAGAAGGTGAACGGGAAGCATGCACATCCCATGACTGGAGCAGGAGTGAGAGAGAGAGGGAAATAGAGGGAAGGTGCCATACACTTTTAAACAACCAGATCTCATGAGAACACATTCACTATCAAGAGAACAGCACCAGTGGGGAAATCCGCCCCCATGATCCAATCACCTCCCATCAGGCTCCGCCTCCAACACTGGGAATTACAATTTGACATGAGATGTGGGCAGGGACACAGATCCAAACCATATGACCAGATTAATACGATTTGAGGCATCACGAGGTCATTAAAGAGAGGGAATAAAAGACTGGGGCTCCAGGAAGAAGGCTCTGGAATCCAGCAGAGGGTCAAGGACCAGCTTGTAAAGCTGGTGGTGCCTGAGAAGTACCTAGGAGAACATAGATGCTGTGACGTTTGATGTAGCTGTTTTTTGTTTTGTGTTTTGGTTTTTGAGACAGAGTCTCACTCTGTTGCCCAGGCTGGAGTGTGCAGTGGCGTGATCTTGGCTCACTGGAGCCTCCATCTCCCAGGTTCAAATGATCCTCATGCCTCAGCCTCCTGAGTTGCTGGGATTACAGGTGCACACCACCACGCCTGGCTAATTTTTGTGTTTTCAGTAGAGACAGGGTTTCACCATGTTGGCCAGGCTGGTCTTGAACTCCTGACCTCAAGTGATCCAACAACTTCAGCCTCCCAAAGTGCTGGGATGACAGGCATGAGCCACCATGCCCAGCCTGATGTAGCTGTTTCTGTGCACATTATTTGCTGTGGGGTATATTCAGATTTCTTAATACAAGATGATTCTTTGCCTCATGACTTACACACCATTTTCTATTTAATTTCAGCTATGATATTGGAAATGGACATGTCTTTTCAAGGAAAATAAAAGCAGGCTTTCTGGAATGGCGACTTCCAAACATATTTGTCAATTTAAAGGAGCTGGGAGTGGGGACCCTATGCTCCGTAAGCACTCTCTTAGCTGTTCTTGGCTGTGCTCCCCGCTTCAGCTTCACACTGCCCTTGCTGTGAAGGGAGCAGCCTGGGCCGGGCGCGGTGGCTTACACCTGTAATCCTAGCACTTTGGGAGGCCGAGGTGGGTGGATCACCTGAGGTCAGGAGTTCAAGACCAGCCTGGCCAACATGGTGAAACTCCATCTCTACTAAAAATACAAAAAATTAGCTGGGCATGGTGGCAGGTGCCTGTAATCCCAGCTACTTGGGAGGCTGAGGCAGAAGAATCGCTTGAACCCAGGAGGCGGAGGTTGCAGTGAGCCGAGATTGCGCCATTGCACTCCAGCCTGGGGGCAACAAGAGCAAAACTCTGTCTGGAAAAAAAAGAAAGGAGCAGCTTGGCAAACCCCACCTTGTCGCTTTTGTGAGTGCCTCTGACCCTTTGGCTGCCAGGACGGGCGTATTTTATGGAAATGCTAAGCACCAACAGAGTAAAGTGGTTTGGTTTTTCACAGTGGTGGGAGATAATAGCTCCAAATTGTCTTTTTCAGCACTGAGTGAAGAAATGAAAGACAAAGGTGGATACATGAGCAAGATTTGCAACTTGCTACCCATTAGGATAATGTCTTATGTAATGCTGCCCTGTACCCTGCCTGTGGAATCTGCCATTGCGATTGTCCAGAGGTGAGCATTTTAGGTGGCTCCGTGTCTTCCTCACAGGGTTGATATGAGGATGAAACAAGATGATAGATCATGGTGGCATGTAGTCTGGGACCTGGATTGTCGTGCCACAGATCACAGCTCACAGTCTATGTGCAATGCCCCTGAATGTTGCCCACCTGTCCTCAAGCCACACATGCACCTGTAACTCAGTGCAAGCCCAGAAACTCCCCGTGGGGACTCCTAGAGCTGTCAGTGGCCTCACATAGCAGCTGGTCCAGTCTCTTGTGATTGCCCAAGGAAACTGAGGCCTGGAGAGCTTGGGGTCACTGCTCTGAGGCCATAGAGATGCCTAGTAGAAGGGCCAGGCCTAGAAGCAGGATCCTTGCTGCCCCTCTGAGCTGTTTCCATTTAAAATCACATGAAGGCCGGCGCCGTGGCTCACGGCTGTAATCCCAGCATTTTGGGAGGCCAAGGTGGGTGGATCATGTGAGGTCAGGAGTTTGAGACCAGCTTGGCCAACATGGTGAAATGCCATCTGTACTAAAAATACAAAAATTAGTGGAGCATGGTGGCACGTGCCTGTACTCCCAGCTACTTGGAAGGCTGGGGCAGAAGAATCGCTTGAGCCTGGGAGGCAGAGGTTGTAGTGAGCCAAGATTGTACCACTGCACTCCAGCCTGGGTGACAGGAGAGAAACCCTATCTCAAAATAAAATGAAAGGTAATGAAATGAATAAAATAATAAATCAAGTCACGGCCGGGCACGGTGGCTCACACCTGTAATCCCAGCGCTTTGGGAGGCCGAGGTGGGTGGATAATGAGGTCAGGAGTTCAAGACCAGCCTGGCCAACATGGTGAAACCATGTCTCTACTAAAAATACAAAAATTAGCTGGGCATGGTGGTGCATGCCTGTAATCCCAGCTACTCCGGAGGCTAAGGCAGGAGAATTGCTTGAAGCAGGACCTAGGAGGCGGAGGTTGGTTGCAGTGAGCCGAGATCATGCCACTGCACTCTAGCCTGGGCTACAGAGCGAAACTCCGACTCAAAAAAAAAAAAAAAAAAAAATCAAATCACATGAAAGTAGAACATAGGGAATTCCATCTTTCGTTCTAGGCATAGTTTGTTAATATGATTCAGAGCCAGCAGTTAGGAGAACACAGTGTGACTCTCCTAGAACTTCTTGATTGGGCTTCCTCTGATTGGGTTTCCTCTGATTGGGCTTCCTCTGAAAGTGGGGGGGATGGGGGGTGGGGAGCAGAATGGTCAGAGCTTGGCTCAGCAGTCAGACTGCTCTTCTTCAAATCCTGGCTGCATTGCTTACTACAGCTGTGTGACTCCAGATGACTGAATCCACCTCTCTGTGCTGCAGCTTCCCGTCTAGAGAGATCACCTGGAGCAGAGGGTGGTCAGGAGACTCAATCTGGTTACTGACTCACAGTGCAGGAGTACTCATCCCATAGTAAGCATCCAGCTAGAGATGTTGATTTCTATTTTCAGGTAATAATGATGATCGTAAAATTAGAGACAGATAAAAGGTATGGGCATTAGGCCAGGGCACTGCAATTTCTAAGCTGTGTGACCTCAGGCAAGTTACTCGACTTCTCTGAGCCTCAGCGGTTTCATCCGCAATATATGGATAGGAAAACCGACCTCAGTGGGTTGTCTGACAGTGGAGGGCACTTGATTAAAAAAAAAAAAATTACCCTGGTCTGAATATTACCCTGGACTGAAAGAAAAATATTGAGCTAATACAGGCATCAGGAATGGGGCTGCAGGGAGTCCAGGGAAGGGAGAACGAAGAGCCTGAAGGTGTGAGGAGGTGCGAGTGCTGATCTGTCTGCTACAAAGAGGCTGCTGAGCCTCCTGTGGATGTGGCCCTGGACTTGGCAGTTTAATACCTGAGCTGTTAAAATAACCTCAGATGCTGTGTTCTTTAAGGGGTAGGATTCAGATTCCTGCTGAAATGCTTCTGAAAGGGAGGGAATGAGCCAGCCCATCCCCAGTTGCTTTTTAAGATCATTGGGAAGTTCTGGTCTTGCCATTTGTCCCTGGACCACTCTTAGGTCCTCCTGCCCCACTTCCATCTGGGTGTGTGCCCTGGGCTGTCCACCACACAGCTACATCCTGCCATCTTCCCTCCTGGAGCCACTGTGCCATGCATGGATCTGTAGCTTCATTTTTCTTGGCTTTTCCCTGGTTTTTCTGGAGCAGAGTCTCTAGTAAACTCCCAAGGAAGAAAACGTTTGACTTTATGTGTGTTGGGAAACGTGCTTTTTTTCTATTACATCTCAGTGATAGGTTGGCCATGTCTAGAATTGCAGGTTGAAAATCATTTCCTCTCAGTATATTGGTTAGTGAGAAGCCTGGGACTGAGACAGTCACATTCTCACTTCTTTGCAGGTGAGTGCTCTTAGGACTGTCTTTTTATCCCTTATACTCTGAAATGTCATATGTCTTGGTGTAAGTCCTTATTTCAGTTATTGAGCTGGACAAGTACTGGAGACCCCTTCAGTCAAAGCCTTCTGTCATTCTCCAGCTCTAGGAAATTATCTTCTATTGTTATTTCTGTTATTCCTTCCCTTCCATTTTCTTTTTTCTTTTTTTTTTTTTTTTTTTGAGACAGGGTCTTACTCTGGTGCCCAGGCTGGAATGCAGTGACCTGATCATGGTACACTGCAGCCTGAACCTCCCAGACTCAAGTGATCCTCCCACCTCAACCTCCTAAGTAGCTGGGACTGCAAGCACACATCACCACACCCAACAAATATTTTTTAAAAATTTTGTAAGATGGGATCTTACTATGTTGCCCAGACTTTTTCTTCCTCTTCCTGGGGCTCTTATTAGGAAGATGTTTGACTTCCTGGGTTGGATTCCTGTCTCCGTGTCTGACTTTCTCTCTTTGTCATATTTTTCATCACTCGTTGTCTTTTTGCGTCTGCTCTGACAGATTTCCTCAAATTTTGTCTTCTAGTCCTATCCTACAGTTTTTACTTTCAGCAAATATAATTTAATCTCCAAGAGTACTCTCTTGTTCTTTTTTCTTAGCATTCTGTTCTTGTTTTATGGATGTAACATTCTCTTGGAATATTTGCTGTCCTCTAGATCATCCCTTCTCCATTTCTTCTTGGGCTAGTTTTTCTGTTTCTTCATCTTTCTCTTTTATGCTACTTATTCTGGGCGTGTTCTTGGTGGGTTTTTTCCCATATAGCAACAGAGGACTTGGAGCTCAGGGAGAAAAGGGTAGGTGCATCACCTGGCAGAGCTCCCAGACAGTGACAGGCAGGCTGCGGGAAGGATGTCTACTTGGCGGTGCTACCGCTTTCCTAGAAACCCTTTCCCTGGAGCTGGTTGAACTGTTGGGTTTTGCCCTGGTGGTGAACGCTGGCTCCCCGTGCTCTGCCTGTTTCATCACCAGCCCCCTCCCCTTCTGCCTGGGGTCCAGTAATCTGTTGAAATATATATCTTGCTCATTGGTGAGCTCCTGCTCCTTCCTCGTTGCTCTTGCAGATTTATCACTTCTCGTAAGGCTGCGCTTGTACTTCGGGATTTTCTCTGTGCCACACTGGGAAACATAGGGTGGTTGCATGCTGCAGTCCTGAGCACTTATTTCACTCACATCTTTACACGAAGATTTGGTGGGTGTTTACTTTGTTTTTAGTAAGTTAGTCTGTCATGTCCTTTGATCCTTTTTTTTTGTTTTTTGAGATGGAGTCTCTCTGTGTCCTCCAGGCTGGAGTGCAATGTCGCGATCTCAGCTCACTGCAACCTCCACCTCCTGGGCTCAAGAGATTCTCCTGCTTCAGTCTCCTGAGTAGCTGGGATTACAGGCATGTGCCACCACACCTGGCTAATTTTTGTATTTTTAGTAGAGGTGGGGTTTGGCATGTTGGCCAGCCTGGTCTCAAACTCCTGACCTCCTGACCTGCCTGCCTTGGCCTCCCAAAGTGCTGGGATTACAGGTGTGAGCCACCACACCTGGCCCTGATTAATCTTTTAATGCCCAGTCTCTCCTTCAAAAGCCGGCTCCTTTCTCTCCCTCGCCTTCCTAGATTCCTTCTCCACTCCCCAGGATCAGCCTCCTCCTCCCCACCCCACCACTGCCGGGGGGATGTCTGTGGTCAGGCATTTATCAGAGACCCTGAGGTGGGGGTCCTTTATGTGTCTGGGGGATGGAGAGTCTAGAGGAGGTAGCGTTCAGACCTCTCCATGGTGCCTCTGCTGGGCTCACATGTGACCAAGCACAGCAAACCATGAGGCAGGGGATGGTCTTGACCATGAGAGCCCTTGCAGCAGCTGCCATGGGCCTCAGCTCCTCTCCAAGCTGGGAAGAGCCCTGAAAAGCCAAGGTGTTTTTTTTTCCCTCTTTATTTCAGTGTAAGTCCCTTGAGCTTTCTTGAACCAGAAGTGGGCTCATTTTGCTTTAGAGATTTCAGGTGGGCTTGTCCTTGTCCTAGCATCCCAGATCCACCTTCTGGGAAGTCATCAGATTGGAGGTGATGTTGGCAGCTTTTGTAAACAAAGGGTAGTGTTGTAAGCTGTTGTGTCTGCCTATGTGTGTGTTTGTGTACTTGGTCTCATCTCTGCAGACTGGTGACATGGCTTCCAGATATGCCCGACGATGTCCTGTGGTTGCAGTGGGTGACCTCACAGGTGTTCACTCGAGTGCTGATGTGTCTGCTCCCCGCCTCCAGGTAAATACTTTGGCTGTGGGTGTGTGGGCCGGACGGGCACCTCTCTCATCTGATGAGGCCTCACACGACATTCTAGAAACAGCTGGCTGAACACCAAGCAAGGAGCTTGCCCTTGGGTGTGGGGACCCTGTCTCATGGGAGGCAGCTGAGTCAGTCAGAGGTCCTGGCACACCTGCTGAGAGCTGCCACCCAGGCCAACCTGAACCGGAGCCTGGGAAGACTTCCCGTCGGATGAGTCTCTTTGAGTGCAGCATTGATGGTGGAAGAGCAGAGAGGCCCCAGATAAGCAGGGAAAGGTGCTTCAGACAGAGTGGCTGGGATGAGGACTGGGGAGTGTCAGATAGCGCTGGCGTGTCTGAGCGAAGGAGCTCTGGCACCCATGGCACAGGAAGGAGGTGGGACCCTGGAGGGGCAGGGCTAGCAGAGCTCCTCGGAGCGTGTGGCTAGGTGCCTGGTAATGCAAGCCCCCTGTCCTCCACCCTCTGTTGTACTGAGTCACAGTCTCCGGGGTGAAGCCTAGCAGTCTGCGTTGACAGGCCCCAGGGGATGCCGCTACTTCCTGAATTCTGAATTCTGGAAACTGAGCCGGAGTTCAGGGCCTGGCTCCCATTACCAGGGTTGGGCGTTATCCTGAAAATCATAGGCCTTGGTTTCCTCACTTGGCTAACAGGGGTGATCCCCATCCCCTCAATGGGTTTCCGTGAGCTCCTGAGAGCCCGTAGCATGGTACTTGGCACATGCTGGGCATCAGGAGGTATGGCCTCTCTTGCTATTGTTGTTATTGGTAGACACAGAAGGATTTAAAAGTAGGGGAATGCAAAGATCCGATTTGCTAGGGAAGAGGGCAGTAGTGGCCAAGTAGAGGGTGGATCCTGGGCCCTGGCTGGCAGCAGGCAGCAAGGGGGGCTGCCAGGGCCCAGGCAGGGACGATCTGTAGACCGAGAGGCTTCCTAAGGCTCTTGGACAGGAGGAGGTGTCGGTTCCAAGCCTAAGGAGTGGGGCAGCCCTGGTGACTGGTGGTCAGTGGTGCCAGGCGGTGGGTGGTAGGACACCCTGGCAGGCAAGTAGGTTTGTGTGGGGGAAACTGATAGGCCCCTCCAGGGATTCGTTGGTGGACAACACCTGTGATGTCCAGTGGGAGGTGTCCAGGTAGCTGGGAGGGCCACAGGCTTGGAAGACCTAGGTGGTGACATCAGCCCAGCACTGAGGGCTAGAAGAAGCTGTGTCTCTGGCTGTGACGGCACCCTAGAGTGTGTGTGGTGCCCTCTACTGGCCGGCAATGTGGGTCCACCGTAGCTCAGACTGCACACTGCAGCAGCGGGAACGGCCTCTAAGCCAACTTCCTCCATGTGTTTCAGGTCCCAAATGCCAGTGAGCAGCCAACAGGCCTCCCCATGCACACCTGAGCAGGACTGGCCCTGCTGGACTCCCTGCTCCCCCAAGGGCTGTCCAGCAGAGACCAAAGCAGAGGCCACCCCGCGGTCCATCCTCAGGTCCAGCCTGAACTTCTTCTTGGGCAATAAAGTACCTGCTGGTGCTGAGGGGCTCTCCACCTTTCCCAGTTTTTCACTAGAGAAGAGTCTGTGAGTCACTTGAGGAGGCGAGTCTAGCAGATTCTTTCAGAGGTGCTAAAGTTTCCCATCTTTGTGCAGCTACCTCCGCATTGCTGTGTAGTGACCCCTGCCTGTGACGTGGAGGATCCCAGCCTCTGAGCTGAGTTGGTTTTATGAAAAGCTAGGAAGCAACCTTTCGCCTGTGCAGCGGTCCAGCACTTAACTCTAATACATCAGCATGCGTTAATTCAGCTGGTTGGGAAATGACACCAGGAAGCCCAGTGCAGAGGGTCCCTTACTGACTGTTTCGTGGCCCTATTAATGGTCAGACTGTTCCAGCATGAGGTTCTTAGAATGACAGGTGTTTGGATGGGTGGGGGCCTTGTGATGGGGGGTAGGCTGGCCCATGTGTGATCTTGTGGGGTGGAGGGAAGAGAATAGCATGATCCCACTTCCCCATGCTGTGGGAAGGGGTGCAGTTCGTCCCCAAGAACGACACTGCCTGTCAGGTGGTCTGCAAAGATGATAACCTTGACTACTAAAAACGTCTCCATGGCGGGGGTAACAAGATGATAATCTACTTAATTTTAGAACACCTTTTTCACCTAACTAAAATAATGTTTAAAGAGTTTTGTATAAAAATGTAAGGAAGCGTTGTTACCTGTTGAATTTTGTATTATGTGAATCAGTGAGATGTTAGTAGAATAAGCCTTAAAAAAAAAAAAATCGGTTGGGTGCAGTGGCACACGGCTGTAATCCCAGCACTTTGGGAGGCCAAGGTTGGCAGATCACCTGAGGTCAGGAGTTCAAGACCAGTCTGGCCAACATAGCAAAACCCTGTCTCTACTAAAAATACAAAAATTATCTGGGCATGGTGGTGCATGCCTGTAATCCCAGCTATTCGGAAGGCTGAGGCAGGAGAATCACTTGAACCCAGGAGGCGGAGGTTGCGGTGAGCTGAGATTGCACCATTTCATTCCAGCCTGGGCAACATGAGTGAAAGTCTGACTCAAAAAAAAAAAATTTAAAAAACAAAATAATCTAGTGTGCAGGGCATTCACCTCAGCCCCCCAGGCAGGAGCCAAGCACAGCAGGAGCTTCCGCCTCCTCTCCACTGGAGCACACAACTTGAACCTGGCTTATTTTCTGCAGGGACCAGCCCCACATGGTCAGTGAGTTTCTCCCCATGTGTGGCGATGAGAGAGTGTAGAAATAAAGACACAAGACAAAGAGATAAAAGAAAAGACAGCTGGGCCCGGGGGACCACTACCACCAATGCGCGGAGACCGGTAGTGGCCCTGAATGTCTGGCTGCGCTGTTATTTATTGGATACAAAGCAAAAGGGGCAGGGTAAAGAGTGTGACTCATCTCCAATGATAGGTAAGGTCACGTGGGTCACGTGTCCACTGGACAGGGGTCCCTTCCCTGCCTGGCAGCTGAGGCAGAGAGAGAGAGGAGACAAAGAGAAAGACAGCTTACGCCATTATTTCTGCATATCAGAGACTTTTAGTACTTTCAATAATTTACTACTGCTATCTAGAAGGCAGAGCCAGGTGTACAGGATGGAACATGAAGGTGGACTAGGAGCGTGACCACTGAAGCACAGCATCACAGGGAGACAGTTAGGCCTCCAGATAACTGTGGGCGAGCCTGACTGATGCCAGGCCCTCCACAAGAGGTGGAAGAGCAGAGTCTTCTCTAAACTCCCCCAGGGAAAGGGAGACTCTCTTTCCTCGTCTGCTAAGTAGCGGGTGTTGTTCCTTGACACTTTTTGCTACCGCTAGACCACGGTCCGCCTGGCAATGGGCGTCTTCCCAGATGTTGGTGTCACCGCTAGACCAAGGAGCCCTCTGATGGCCCTGTCCAGGCATAACAGAAGGCTCGCACTCCTGTCTTCTGGTCACTTCTCGCTACGTCCCCTCAGCTCCTATCTCTGTATGGCCTGGTTTTTCCTAGGTTATGATTGTAGAGTGAGGATTATTATAATATTGGAATAAAGAGTAATTGCTACAAATAATGATTAATGATATTCATATATAATCATATCTAAGATCTATATCTGGTATAACTATTCTTGTTTTATATTTTATTATACTGGAACAGCTCGTGTCCTCAGTCTCTTGCCTCAGCACCTGGGTGGTTTGCCACCCACAATTTTCCACATGCTTCTGGTCTGCGTTCTTTTTTTCTCCTTGCATCTTCTCATTCTCTGATCACCCCAACCTCTCTCTGTCTTCCCTACTCTGCCAGCCTTGATGGAGACAAGCCCTTGAGACCAGAACTCACCTTTTCCCCAGGTGTGATAATCTATTAGCAAGGTCAGTGTAATATGACTGACGGTGAAACGTGTATTTTTTTCTATTTATGCATTTGAGTACAGTACGTACAAGAAAAATAATGGTGTGCTCAAACTGTTAAATGTTGGAAAAGAAAGATACAACCCTTACCCATATTGTGTAAGTGCCCTGGAGTAGAAGAACCAGCAAGCTCAGACAAAGCACTTGACTGAGAAGACAGACCCTTTAAAGGAAACGGGTTCTAGGGACAAACTCTACGTGGGCCTGTTCTCTTGATAAGACCGTGAACTCTTTGAGAAAAGAGGCTACTTGTGAAAATAATGAGCCCCCTTCGGGGCAGGAGTTCCGGGGTTTGAACCTGCCTTCTTACATCTTGAGGGCTAAGTGAGTTCCCAAGGCCTCTGTTCAGTGGTTGCTCCGTCAGTGAGCTCAGGTCTGGTGAGTGGCAGGGTCTTCCACCCCCAACCCCACCGGGTGTCAGAGCAAGACACTGTCCCCCATGGAGCTGGAATGGGGTGGAGGAGCCCACATCTGGCACCCACGTGGCCTCCTTGTGACGGACCCACCCTTGCAATGTTGGAAAGGAAAGTTACAAGTTTCTTTTCCCAAGTTTCCCAGTAGGCTTTGTTCTGTTAGCTTCACGCCTTCGGTCATTAGCAGACATAAATAAACTTTAACCATTGTTTTTTATCTTTTTTTTTTTTTTTTGAGATGGAGTTTCACTCTTGTTGCCCAGGCTGGAGTACAATGGCACAATCTCGGCTCACCACAACCTCCGCCTCCCGGGTTCAAACGTTTCTCCTGCCTCAGCCTCCCAAGTAGATGCCAAGCCTCCCAAGTAGATACAGGCATGTGCCACCACGCCCAGCTAATTTTTTGTATTTTTAGTAGAGATGGGGTTTCTCCAGGTTGGTCAGGCTGATCTCGAATTCCCGACCTCAGATGATCCACCCGCCTCGGTCTCCCAAAGTGTTGGGATTCCAGGTGTGAGCCACCACGCCCGGCCAACAGTATTTTCTAATAACCAGTATATTTCCATATACATGTGTACATGGGTATTGTGATTGTTATCAGGAAAAAATATATTAAATGGCTGATAGGAGACCATGGGACGTATTTTCTTTCTGCTTTTAAAAATTATTCAGGCCGGGTGCGGTGGCTCATGCCTGTAATCCCAGCCCTTTGGGAGGCCAACGTGGACAGATCACCTGAGGTCAGGAGTTCGGGACAAGCCTGGCCAACATGGTGAAACCCTGTCTCTACTAAAAACACAAAAATTAGCCAGGTGTGGTGGCAGGCGCCTGTAATCCCAATTAGTGGGTTGGCTGAGGCAGGAGAATCACTTGAACCCAGGAGGTGGTGGTTGCAGTGAGCTGAGATCGTGCCACTGCACCCCAGCCCGGGTGACAGAGTGAGACTCCATCTCAAAAAAATAAAAAATAAAAAATAAAAAATAAATTATTCAATCTTCTTTATTTTTATTGTTTTAATGACTAAAGTTATTTTTAGTAGAAACAGGGTCTTGCTATGTTACCCACGCTAGTCTTGAACTCATTGGCTTAAGCAGTCTTCCTGCCTTAGCCTCCCAAAGTGCTGGGATTACAGGCATGCCTGGCTCCTCCACCTTCTTAAAATAAGCATTTGTTTTATAATTTTTTCCAAGTGTGTATCAAGATAAGGAAATCAGGAAGTGTAATATTCTTATAGAAATGGCCAAGGCCTCCCCCTTCACCTGTGCCTCAGATGCTACCCAATCCCGCCTTCTCTGTCCCTCCAGAAGGCACCCTTTGCTTAGGCCTCCCTCTCTTCCTGAACCACCTCTGGAAGTTTCTTATTGGCCTATGAATGCATTCTTATTTCTTCTTATCAAATAAAGCCTTCCCTTTAATTTATGGCACATTTATGCTTTGGAATCCACTCTCAGGAATAATCAGTATGTAGCATATTACACGTCAGGCGGCAACATTCTTTTTTTTTTTTTTTTTTTTTGAGGCAGGGTCCCGCTCTGTCATCCAGGCTAGAGTACGGTGGTGCAATCATAGTTCACTGCAGCCTCAACTTCCTGGGGTCAAGCCATCTTCCCACCTCAGTCTCCCAAGTAGCTGGAACCACATGTGTGCACTACCACACCCAGCTAGTTTTTTTTTGTAGAGACAGGGCCTTGCCTTGTTGCCCAGGCTGGTCTCCAAGTCCTGGGCTCAAGTGATGCTCCTGCCTTGGCCTTCCAAAGTGCTAGGATTACAGGTGTGAGCTACCATGCCTGGTCCAACATTCTTCATTTGGTAAATGGCTAAACTTAGTGCAGAGTATGAGCCTGATTTTGTTTAAAAAAAAAATGTGTGTGGGTGTGTATATGTATCTTTGAGTGTATATAAAAAGACTGAAAGAGGGCTGGGCACGGTGGCTCATGCCTGTAATCCCAGCACTTTGGGAGGCTGAGGGAGGCGGATCACTTAAGTCAGGAGTTTGAGACCAGACTGGGTGAAACCCCATCTCTACTAAAAAATGCAAAAATTAGCTGGGCATGGTGGCGGGCACCTGTAATCCCAGCAACCAGGGAGGCTGAGGCAGGAGAATCACTTGAACCCAGGAGGTGGAGGTTGCAGTGACCCGAGATGCAGTGAGACTCCACCTCAAAAAAAAAAAAAAAAAAAAAAAAAAAGACTAAGGATATATATCAAAACCCTTATGGCAGACTGTTATTTGTAATTGTATTTTATTTGTCGTGCTTATATGTGTTGCCCAAGTTTCTATGGTGAACGGTATGCATCACTTTCAGCATGAGAAAATAACTCCTAATAAACGTGATTCTTAAAGGACTCTCCCTGTGTACATCCTTTCCAAGGAGCCCCGATGTACCCTGCTTCCCTCACAGCCAAGCTCCTCTAGGACAGTCCTCCCTAGGGGGTTACGGCCTTGCTCCTTTGATGGCCCTGCCACAGCCCAGGGGCTCTTTCCTGGGCACTGTGGACCAGACCCTCCTAGAATCCCTCTCCTTCCTCAACCCCAGACTCTCAGGCACCCCATCTCTATCCTGGACACCGAGCTTGTCACCAAGGCCCAGCTGCAGCTGCTGTGCTGAGTGTGCACAGCCACCTCTGGGAAGGCTGTGCTCCCCCTGAGGACCTGGGTCCTCAGTCTCTGACTCTGGGGGGATTCGGGGCCACCTACCCACCTTCTGGCTCTACTCAACACCAGCAGCCCCTCAACATCAAGCCCTCCAGCTCACAGCACCTCAGCTCTGCAGCTCCAAAGCCACCCCAGCCTGGAACTGGGGACTCAGGGAGACTCCCTCGCTCCAACTCCAGCTGGTCCCAGCACTGCCTCTGCTGTCATCTCTGGAATCTGGTCTCTTGTCCCCAGCCCACTGCTGCCAGGGTCAGCCCTGGTACTTTCTACCTGGGTTGCTGCAACAGCTTCCCTCTGGGGGCCGCCTGTTTTCAGCCTTGGGCCCATCTGCCCTCCACGTTGCTGCTGGGCAAGCTGAGGCCCCACCACACCCCCAGCACCTTCCTGTGCCTCCAGGCCTTCCCTGCCAGTACACCCCCTCCAGCCCCTGAAGCCCTGTCAGCAGCTCAGAGCCTTTCCCCGGAGTCACCCTGCTTCCCGAGGGGACCCACGTTGCTGCTGGGCAAGCTGAGGCCCCGCCACAACCCCAGCGCCTTCCTCTGCCTCCAGACTCCCTCCTAGCACACCCTCTCCAGCTCCTGCAGTCCCACCAGCAGCTCAGAGCCTCTTCCCTGAGTCACCCTGCTTCCCGAGGGGACCTCCACCCAGGGAATGCCCTTCCAGGCTCCTCTCACTGATTCACCTTCACTCCTCAGAGGTCAGGTGCTGGCTGATAGAGGCAATGAGGTGAGCCCCTCACCTCAGGGCGCTCAGCCCCTGGGAAGGTGATGAAAAAGGGCACCCCAAGGGGTGTCCCAAACTAATAGGTGGATGACTCCCGTGGGAAGATCCAGTCTCCCCTCCCCATGGCCAATTAAATTTGGGGTGTTTTTCTTTACTTTTTTGAGGCAAGGTCTTGCTTTGTTGCTCAGGCTGGAGTGCAGTGGCACAATCACAGCTCACTGCAGCCTTGACCTCCTGGGCTCAAGCAATCCTCCTCCTTCAGCTTCCTGAGGAGGTTTTAATTAAATAAATTAAAAGCTAATTAAAAACATTTTTTTTTTTTTTTGGTAGAGATGGGGTCTCACTGTTTTCCAGGCTGATCTTGAACTCCTGGACTCAAGCAATCCTCTTGCTTCAGCCTCTGGAGTAGCTGGGACTACAGGTGCTTGCTACTATGCCCAGCTATTTTTTTTATTTTTTATTTTTATTTTGTAGTGATGGGGTGTGTTTCCTAGGCTGATCTTGAACTCCTGGGCTCAAGCAATCCTCCTGCCTCGGCCTCCCAAAGTGCTGAGATTATAGGTATGAGCCATTGCACTCAGCCTGGATTGTATTAAGGAAACTAGCTTAGTCACTAAACTGCACTTCTACTTCTGATTGGACAAGATTGGCACTTTGTAAACCAGGTTTTCTGGGATGCTGGTTTCCTTGAAGATGTTTCTAGCTGGTATTATCATATAGGATAGGCTGAGTTATGCTGCATTAACAAGCAAAACCCAAAAGGTTTATTTCTCATTCGTGCTGTATGTCCAGCAAATGTGGCTGGGCTTCATTTTAAGTCGTCCTCACTCCCAGACCTAGCCTGTAGGTGCCCCACCATTGGGGGATCGCTGATTGCCATGGCATGGTTAGAGAAATATGGTTCTTAAAGGTTCTCATCCAGAGTGGCACATCTCTCTTCTGCTCACAATGTGTTGACCAAAGCAAGTCACATGGATGGGAGCAGGGAGATGCAATCCTCTCTTGTGCCCAAAAGAGGAGCACAAGAAATACTGTTGAATAGCATTGCCAGAGGCCACAGAAAAATCTCCAAAACCAAAAATCTCTATGACCCAATAAATTCAAGAAATACTGGGTTAAAGAGAAGGAAACCAGTATATGCACTGTGAGACTTCTCAGTCTTTATTATATACATTGTAACCATCACAGACAGCCTTTAATATATACATCTTAACTATCACAGACAGCCTTCAGTATATTATATACATTATAACCATCACAGACAGCCTTCAATATATTATATACATTATAACCATCACAGACAGCCTTTAATATATACATTATAACTATCACAGCCTTTAATATATTATGTACATTGTAACTATCACAGCCTTTAATATATTATATACATTGTAACTACCACCGCCTTTAATATAGTATACCCATTGTAACTATCACAGCCTTTAATATACACATTGTTAACTACCACAGACAGCCTTTAATATATTATATACATTGTAACTATCACAGATAGCCTTTAATATATACATTGTAACTATCGCAGACAGCCCTTTGTTTGAGGGTAAAGCATGTGACTTTGTTTTCCTCCTGTTCCCTCTGCCATCCTCCAGGGCCTCACACACAATAGGCTCTCAAATATTGCAACCATCTTGCACTCTGCAGGGCAACCTCATGGCTTATCCTTTACAAGTGGCATACTCAGAAGAATAACGAGGAAGAAAGTGTAAGAAAAGAGGGCTGTTTGGGCAAAGAAAATCTGGTTGATTCGATGTTTACAGAGTGCCAGGCCCCATGCTTGATCTCATGAGGTCCTCAGACCTTATGCCTTAGGCTATCATTTCCATTTTACAGATAAGGAATTGAGGCTCAGGGAACTGAGAGTGAGGGAAGGGCAGGGGCCTGGCTGGTGCTGGGTTCTGTCTCTTTCCAGGCAAGAAGGGACATGTGGACTTGAATATTTAGCTCAGGGATGTTGGAGGCCTAGGGTGCTGCTATTTAAATGGAAAGGGTGTCAGGGTTTCTGGGAGGGAGTAAGGGGACAGAAGAAAAGATGCTTCTGTTATCAGAAGGGAGTGGCAACGTGACAGGATACTGAAGCTTCCTCTTTTCTTATTCTGTCTCGTTTCTTTCAATATACTTATCACAATGTGTGGCTGATATTTATTATGCCTTTTTCTTTTCTATTCTCTTTTCTTTTTTGGGGCAGGGGAGCTGTTTTGCCACCAAAACCTAAGCCCATGGCCGTCTTCTTCACCGATATGACTGGTTCTCATGCAAGCACCTAGATGGCCCTCGCCCATAATTACTGGCTGCAGTTGAGTGAATAGCGGTCATTATCTAGCGCCCACCGTGTGCCCGGCCCGGTGCCGGGAGCTTTGCTTTCCGTCTCTCACATTAGGCCCTTTTAATCCAACCCCCAAGAAGGAGACACGACCATCGTCTTCATTTTGACGATTTTGAGTGGGGGTTCCAATGACTTGAACGAAAGGAGCCAGGGCACCAATCCGGGTTTGTGTAGCAGATGCCGGTGAGACCCGACTACTGCAGCTCGGGGGTGGCCGGACCCGGGGTCTCCCCGCTGAGTCTCGGGGCTTCACCGGCGCGTGGGCACAAGCACAGCACCCTCGGGTCGGGGGTGCTAGGAGGGCTAAGAGCAGCAGGACTTGAGTGACACCCAACAGCTGGTCTGATCTCTTTCAGGCGCCAACGCCAGACGCCAGCCTCCCAGCGGACCCTCTCGCAGACCCACCTTCACCCCACGCGCCCTCCCCACACAGTCCACGCGCCAGCAGCTTCGCGGATGTCAGTGAACGCTCTTCGCTTGCGCAGTCAGAACGTCCTCCGCGGCCGTGTGAACATCCGGGTCACAGGCGCATAAGGACCAATGAGCGAAGGCATCGCGAGCCAGGGGGCGCGGAGAAGGCGGGGAATCATGGCCGCCCCCAGTGTTCCGCGTCCGGGGGTTTGTGGGAGTTGCCTTGACCTGCAGCTCCGCCACCGCGGACCCGCCTTCTGCCCTCAGCAGCAGACGCTCTGTCCCGCCCGGGCAGCTCTGCGAGGCAGCGGCTGGAGAGGGAACCATGGGGACTGTGCACGCCCGGGTAAGAGGCCCAGCGACCCGCGGGCTGCGAGGCCTCTGGGCCAGCAGGGCAGACGGGCGCCGCGGGGAGACGCTCTCGTGGCTGCGCCCAGGGTTCACCGGGAGAGAGGGTGCCAAGGGTGCCGGGCTGGGTGGAGGAGGCCGAAAAGAGGTCGCCTCGGGCCAGCGAGTCTTGCAGACCTTCGAGCAGGAACCTGATAGGAGGGACGAGACTTGGCTAAAGGTCACTCGGCGAGTCCGTGGCCCAAAGGACTTGCCAACTTTCTGTGATGTCTTAGACCGCAGTGAATGTGCTCTTTCTTTGCATGATTTTAAGTTTTCTCTCTTTACTGGTCACTTCCAGCCTTTCCCCGCTCAGCCGCTGCTGGAGCCATTGTAGGCTCCTAGAGCAACAAGAATCCTTTGAAGTCTTCTAACTCAAACCTATCTAGGGGTCCTCTTTTCTCCTGTCTACCGTGCAAAAGACGGAACCGCTCTCTGCCTTACTTCCTGTTTTAAAGTGGAGGTAGTAATAGTACCTACCTCGCCTGGCTTAAAAGAGAATTAAAAGACAATGCATGTGAATACTTGGGTGCCTGGCGCCTGACTAACTGTACTGGTTGCCAAACTCCTCTCGTTTATCCTAATCTTAAATAAGGGCCAGATAATGAGTTACTTCTCCAAGGTCACATAGTTACTGGTTCCAAATGGCCTAAAACCTCAGATTTCCTGAGTCTCAGCCCCAACACTACTTTTCTACTGCAACTTTGATTGCTTCACTTGACCTGCATAGACGTTTTCAGTAGTTCCCCATTAACTTCCAAAAAAATTTAGCACAGAAGTCGCAGCCTGACATCGATAATTGGACTTAACTTCCCTTTATATGTCTTTCATTCAGATCAAACACCGTTTCTCTTCTGACATCTCTTTGTGTAACTGTAATAGGTCTGTTGCTCAGTGTGCTCGATAAGTCAATACACTCAGACAGTGGGTTGCAGCAGAGAAAGAGTTTCAGTTGCAGGGCCGCTGAACGAGGAGATGGGAAAAGAGAGGAAACCTCAAATCCATCTCCTTCAGGAGTTTGGACCTCATGTTTTTGCTGAAGTGTGGAGATCCTTGATTGGTGGAAGAGTGAAGGGTGAAGTTATGGGACAGGGAGATGAGGAAACTTCTCATGCTGATTCCGTTCCTCTGTTGCGGGGAGGAGTCTTCAAACTGGTTGGCAGCATCAGTTTTGCTGGAATTCGAGATCTGAAAAACATCTAAAGCAACTCTTAAGCAAAAGCCTTATGATTCTAATTTTAGAAATCCTATCTGTAAAATCAATGGGGATGCAAATAGTATCTGTGACTTTTGGTTACTAGCAAGTAGGTCAGAGTGCAACCTGAGCTCTTCCTGCCATCTTGGCTCCTGTGGCGGCCTGCCGGGAGCAGGACTTCTGAAAGGAAATATGTCTGGAAGGCTGTGGTCCAAGGCCATTTTTGCTGGCTATAAGTGGAGTCTCCGGAACCAAAGGGAGCACACAGCTCTTCTTAAAATTGAAGGTGTTTATGCCCGAGATGAAACAGAATTCTATTTGGGCTCATGTATACAAAGCAAAGAACAACATAGTGACTCCTGGCGGCAAATCAAACAAAGCCAGAGTAATCTGGGGAAAGGTAACTCGGGCCCACAGAAACAATGGCATGATTCGTGCCAAATTCTGAAGCAATCTTCCTGCTAAGGCTGTTGGACACAGAATCCGAGTAATGCTGTACCCCTCAAGGATTTAAACTAATGAAAAGTCAATAAATCAATGTGGATTTGTGCTCTTGAAAAAAAAAAGGCAACTTGATTAATGGTTAATTGTAACTACATTTCTTTTGAGATGGAGTCTCACTGTGTTGCCCAGGCTGGAGTGCAATGGTGCAATCTCCACTCACTGCAACCTCCGCCTCCCAGGTTCAAGCGATTCTCCTGCCTCAGCCTCCCATGTAGCTGGGATTATAGGCGCACGCCACCACACCCAGCCAATTTTTGTATTTTTAGTAGAGACGGGGGTTTCATCATGTTGGCCAGGCTGGTCTTGAACTCCTGACCTCAAGTGATCATCCCGCCTCGGCCTCCCAAAGTGCTGAGATTACAGGTGTGAGCCACTGCGCCCAGCCAATTATAACTACATTTCTGTCCAGATGTCCAGAATAATTTTTTTTGTTGTTGTTGAGACAGAGTCTTGCTCTGTGCCCAGGCTGGAGTGCAGTGGCACGGTCTTGGCTCACTGCAAGCTCCACCTCCCAGATTCACACCATTCTCCTGCTTCAGCCTCCTGAATAGCTGGGACCACAGGCGCCTGCCACCATGTTCGGCTAATTTTTTGTATTAGTAGAGACGGGGTTTCACTGTTAGCTAGGATGGTCTCGATCTCCTGACCTTGTGATCCGCCTGCCTCGGCCTTCCAAAGTGCTGAGATTACAGGCATGAGTCACCACGCCTGGCCTTTGTCCAGAATTCTTGTTAGCCCTGTGAGGATGGCTTTATTTGGACCGCACTATTGCACTTCATTCCCCCTCCCATCATCCATCTTTAGCATCAAAATATTCCCATCTTTTAGAACTCCGTTCTGAAAGTTCTTTATCCCCTGCATTTGGATGGGCTTCGCCTTTCCGTGCCATTTCCTTTGGTGCCATTTACATTTTGGCTTGTTTTGGGTCTGTTTGCATTTTCGTCTTATCCTTTGATCCTAAATTTCTAGATGTAATGGTAGGAACTGCATCTTCTTGGCTTGCATCCCCTGTGGCATCTTGAACAAAGTAATCACTCATTATTTATTCAGCTCATATTTATTGATGGTCTGCTATGTGCCTAGCACTGTGATAGGTGCCAGGGATACAGGGAAAAAAGTATCTGCCTTTATGGAGCTCTTTTTTTTTTTTTTTTTTTTGAGGCGGAGTCTTTCTCTGTCACCCAGGCTGGAGTGCAGTGGCGCCATCTCGGCTCACTGCAACCTCTGCCTCCCGGGTTCAAGTGATTCTCCTGCCTCAGCCTCCCGAGTAGCTGGGACTACAGGCGTGTGCCATCACACCTGGCTAATTTTTGTATTTTTAGTAGAGACAGGGTTTTGCCATGTTGGCCAGGATGGTCTCAATCTCCTGACCTTGTGATCCACCCGCCTCAGCCTCCCAAAGTGCGGGGATTACAGGCATGAGCCATTGCGCCTAGCCTGTGGAGCTCTTTTTACATTAAAATTGCTGCTGCTTTGATGAGTGTTTTGAGAAAAAAACGTTTTCAGTTCTTTTATTTGACTTTTTCATCCCACTAGCCAGTGTCTTTCAGACTTTTTGATCAAGACTCAAACAGTAAGAAAACATTTGCCATTTACCACCTAGTACTCATGCTTATGTCAAACAAAATTTTGTGCAATAATACTTAATATGTGTTATGTATTGTTATATTTTCAGTTTTCTTTTTTTTTTTTTTTTTTGAGATGGAGTCTTGCTCTGTCTCCCAGGCTGGAGTGCAGTGGCGTGATCTTGGCTCACTGCAACTTCTGCCTCCTGGGTTCAAGCGATTCTCCTACCTCAGCCCCCTGAGTGGCTGGGATTACAGACAGGTGCCACCACACCCAGCTAACTTTTGTATTTTTACCTGAGATGGGGTTTCACCATGTTGTCCAGGCTGGTCCTGAACTCCTGATCTCAGGTGATCTGCCTGCCTCAGCCTCCTGAAGTGTTGGGATTACAGGTGTGAGCCACTGTGCCCAGCCTGTTGTTATATTTTCTCTTGGATTCTAGTCTATCTCACTTTAAAGATGCTGTTCATAACTCATTCATTTCATGTCCCATACCCGCTGCCTTGCACATGGTGCTCAATACACACTTATTGACTGACTGGTAGACCGATCTGCTTAAAGGTTAAAGGCTACATCCAAATATTTATTTTATTTTTTTATATTACACACACACACACACACACACACACACACACACACTTTTTAATAGAAACAGGGTCTCACTATGTTGCCCAGGCTGGTCTCAAACTCCTGGGCTCAAGTGATCCTCCTGCCTTGGCCTCTCAAAGTGCCAGTGCTAGGTACAGACATGAGCTACTGTGCCTAGCCCAAATATATATTTTAGCGCATTTTACCAAACACTCACCCCATGCCTATTATTCTAGGCATAGAATTTATGGGATGTACATTCTATGAGGGTGAGGTTCTTATAAGTGCTTGTCACACAGTAGGATCTTAATATTTGGTGAATGAATGAATATTAGTAACACAGTTACTAATATTTTGATTAAAGTATATTTACAGGGTATTAATCCTATAATGACTTTAGGGTTTAGAGATAATAGAAAAATAGATGTAAGATGTATGAATAGGTATAAGAGGTTGTAACTGTGAAACTTCAATGGTGTCATCTCTTGAAGTCTGGATTTTAGATTAAAGAATACGGATGGACCTGGAAGATCTTTGGTGAACCTTGTTTCATGCTTGGAGATTTTAGAAAGTGCAGTGGAATTTTTTCAGCGTAATGGGATATAAACCTTTGCCTAGATAAAGCATTTTTGCTAGGCATTCAGATTAAGATGAGTATGTGCACATAATCTTACTTTGTTCATATTTTTGAGAAATATAATAATTCCATTTTGAAAATACTGCACAACAAAATTGAAAGGATAGAGATGGGAAATTATCCATTCTTTGCCTAACATGATCTTCCTTACCCACAAGGACCCGGTCTTGGTCACTGCTGTGAACCCAGCACCCAGCACACAGTGGACTTTCAGTACTTATTTGTTAAATGAAAGAACGGAAAAGTCGTTCATTCCCCATTCCACAAATATTTATTGAGTACTTCCGAGGTGCCAGGGCAGATAAAAATAAGAAACAGGTCAGGCGCAGTGGTTCACGCCTGTAATCCCAGCACTCTGGGAGGCTGAGGTGGGTGGATCATCTGAGGTCAGGAGTTCAAGACCAGCCTGACCAACATGGCGAAACCCCGTCTCTACTAAAAATACAATAATTAGCCAGGTATAGTGGCACGCACCTGTAATCCCAGCTAGCTGGGAGGCTGAGACATGAGAATGGCTCGAACCCGGGAGGTGGAGGTTGCAGTGAGCCGAGATTGCGCCATTACACTCAAGCCTGGGCCACAGAGCAAGACTCTGTCTCAAAAGAAAAAAAGAAACAGAAGGGGTACCTGTGAAGGTCACAGACTTCAAGTATCAAGAGGTGTCCCTGTGAGAGAGGAACCGATTCTCCCTAAAGAAGCCAGGAATGGCTTGCAGGAGATGACATTAAGGTGGATCTTGAAGCTTCATAGGGGCAAGTTATTCTGGAAGAGGGGGCAAGGTATGCAAAAGCCTGAATGTGCGGGTGGAGCGGGTGGTGGAGATGGAAACTGGAGTAGCAGATGCAGGCCTTACGGCAGAGTTCCTTGTACCCTGCTAAGGAACCTAGATGGATGCTCTTCCTTTAGGTACTTCTGAGGATCATCAGAGGCTTTTAGGGAAGGGCCTGGAAAGGGAATATGATACTGGCAGGTCAGTTACCTTTCCGGGGAAAAGTGGATAGTAGCCCAGAGGCCCCACTGCTCCATATTTGCAGATGTTAAACACACACTTTAAAAGTGCCTAATTGTAGAGAATTCTTGGAGCAAGGAAATAGTCAGATATTGGTTCACATAGTTTTCTCCAAACTTGCTGATTTGTAAGAATCGCTTGGTGCCACACTAGACCTTCTGTGTCCATCTCTAAGAGGTGACTGGGAATCCTCGTGTGGTTAAGCATGTGTCCCAGAGACTTATGGTCAAGCAAACATAGGAACAAATAAGAATTGAATAAATAGTATATGTTAAATATGTAAGTATATATAATACAATGTATACATAAGTATATTTATTTTTATTTTTGAGATGGAGTCTTGCTCTGTCACCTAGGCTAGAGTGCAGTGGAGTGATCTTAGCTCACTGCAACCTCTGTCTCCTGGGTTCAAGCGATTCTCCTGCCTTACCCTTCCAAGTAGTTGGGACTACAGGCACACACCACCACACCTGGCTAAGTTTTGTATTTGTTTAGTAGAGATGGAGTTTCACCATGTTGGCCAGGCTGGTCTCAAACTACTGACCTAAAGTGATCTGACCTCCTTGGCCTCCCAAAGTTCTGGGATTACAGGTGTGAGTCATTGTGCCTGGCCTATTATTTTAAAATAGAGACGAGACTTCATTATGTTGCCTAGCATGATCTTGAACTCTTGGGCTCAAGCAATCCTCCCATCTGGGCCTCTCAGAGTGCTGGGATTACAGGTGTGACCCACCATACTTGACCTTTCTTTATGTTTTATTTTTACTATTATTACTATTTTTAGTAGAGATGAAGTCTCCTATATTGCCCAGGCTGGTCTCAAACTCCTAGGCTCAAGTGATTATGTGTGTGTGTGTGTGTCTGTGTGTGTGTGTGTATGTGATATTATGTTTATGTAGATGTTTCTCAACTATAACCCAATAAACTCATCGTAAGTTGAAATGTAAGTTGAAAATGCATCTAATACACATATCCGACAGAACATCATAGCTTAGCCTAGCCTACTTTAAACGTGCTCACGACACTTACATTAGCCTACAGTTGGGCAAAATCATCTAACACAAAGCCTATTTTAGAATAAAGTGTTGAAGATCTCATGTAGTTTCTTGAGTACTGTAAGTGAAAATCAGAATGGCTGTGTGGGTGCTCGGAGTGCAGTTCCTCCTGAACGCATATCACTTTGGCATCATTGTAAAGTCAAAAAACTGTAAGTTGAAGCATTGTAAGTCAGAGACTGTCTGTCTTAACTATATGTAGATATATATAGAGAGATAGATAAATAGATAGATACAATGTCTTCCTGGAAATATTAGATGAGACACAGCCTACAGAATGCTCATTCAGAAGTTGCTTTAATATTTTGAGGTAATATCAATTCAGATTATAGAAAGAGATGCTTTCGAGTCCATTTTGTGAGCATATGCAGTTCCCTTTAATGTGAATGAGACTTTCTGAAATGAAAAAACCTGTCAGGGTCTACATAAAATGTTTTCTTAGTAATCTGGTTTGTCAAGGTAGCTATCCTAACATGTGTACAATTTTAATTCTAAAAATTAGGATGCTTTCTGTAACAACAGGAGAGCAAATTATTTTCCTTTTTTCCCCTGATAAATGCCTTTGTGGCATTTTATTTTTAAATGATTTTTTAATTTCCATCGGGCCTCAGATGTCCAGAATTAGGTTGGTCATAATCCTTCATCCATGACATGTCATCATGGATTTGTGCGTGACCCTTTTGGTTAATTTTTTTTTTTTTTTTTTTTTTTTTTTTTTTTTAGAGATGGGGTCTTGCCGTGTTGTGCAGGCTAGTCTCAAGCTGCTAGCCTCAAGTGATCCTTTCTCCTTGGCCTCCCAGAGTGCTGGGATTACAGGCATGAGCCACCACACTCCCCCTGCCCTTCCCTGTTAATTAGTTTTTATATTTTATTTAGTGACCACCAGTGAGTTAACCACCAAGCCAAGAACTTGCTCATTAGCAATAGCTGACGGCACCTTTTTACTCCCTGGTCCCTATTCCTGCCCCTACCTCTACTTGAAGGGAACAACTACTGAATTTTCTGCAGCACCATCTAAAGACAAAACTCAAAGGTAAGTGTGTGTATATATGTGACAAAGTCATTTATCTGTGGTCGCTCCCTCCCTTTCAGAGTTTGGAGCCTCTTCCATCAAGTGGACCTGATTTTGGAGGATTAGGAGAAGAAGCTGAATTTGTTGAAGTTGAGCCTGAAGCTAAACAGGAAATTCTTGAAAACAAAGATGTGAGTTTTCTGTTGAAGGTCTTGATAGAATTGTTAGTGGAAACATTCACTTCCATACACCACTAGGGAGATGTAAAGGAATTAACCTGTTTCCGTGCCTTTATCAAAGAAGAGTTTGTAACCACCTACAACTAGAAAAACTGATGACTCTTAGAAAAACAGTTTCTATTTTTAAAGAAGTCGCTCTTCCTTGGTGATTTTTATGTGGGAGGTTTAGACAAACACACTTTTGTATTTATGACAAAAACCAAAAATATATCAAGGACAAACTCAAACTATACTTAAATTTATATTTCCATTCCCTACTCCCAGAAAAAAGACTGTGGGTCTCAAATGAAACTTTTCCTAAATTTATTACCTTTGAAATTTGAATATGCTTTTCCAGTTCTTGAAGAGTTTACTCTCTAGCGAGACTGAGAGGTGAGGGCCAGTTTGAGTCAGCATTTATTGTGCCACCTGAAATCCCTGCGGGGTCTTTAGAGGATGCATACAGTTTTGTTTTGTTTTTTTTATTTTTAAAATTTTTTTTGAGATGAAGTCTCACTCTGTCACCCAGGCTGGAGTGCAGCGGCACAATCTTGGCTCATTGCAACCTCTGTCTCTTGGGTTCAAGTGTTTCTCCTGCCTCAGCCTCCAAAGTAACTGGGACTATAGGCGTGCACCACCACACCTGGCTAATTTTTCTGCACATAGTTATTAAGTCAGGGGTCATGGCCAGCATTCATTCACAGGCCAGTGCTCAGCATGCATGTTAGGAAGGACAGAGGGGTTGTCTGTGGCCTGCTCGGGTTTAGGGCTCACCTGGTCCTGGGTCATCTGGCTGGAGAGGATTTGTAGCTCTTGTTCACAGAAAGTACATAACGAGCAAAGGGGAAGTCACAGTGACTGGTTTTTTGAAAAAATGTGAAAGATAGTAAAGTCCAGAGGTAAGAAGTGTGGATTATTAAACTTGAAGAAAACCTTGACATTAATTAAACCTTGACATTGTCTTTAGTCTTGACACCTAATCTGTTTGCCTCATGTCATCCCTAATACTGTCCCTGTGTGACTTTTAGGTGGTTGTTCAACATGTTCATTTTGATGGACTTGGAAGGACTAAAGATGATATCATCATTTGTGAAATTGGAGATGTTTTCAAGGCCAAAAACCTAATTGAGGTAGGTGTGGTCTCTACATGGTGTGCTTTCCCAGTCTCTTCTGAAGAACTCGTAAATGTCCCCATGTGAAACCACAGAGCACCCTGCGCCCGGCCTCTGTGCCGGAGATCTGCCTCCTACCCCACAGGGAGCCTTGGCACCCCCAAGCTGAACCCCCCGAATTCCTGTGGTGCCTCCTACAAACTCCATGTATTCGCATTTGCCTTTTCCTCCTGTCTCTTATCCTGGAGAAAGAAGTGTCTGTCCTCTTGCGTTCCTCATAACTCTCCCAGCGCCGTAATGCGAGCCAGTGGGGTTAGTGCACAGCCGTTCCCAGGCACCGCGCTGAGTTCCTGAGAGTGTACTCTCCCTTGCCAACCCCGTGGGGTGGGCGCTTATCTGGGACACACTCCCTGTCTCCTCAGGGCCCTGGCTCTGTCTGTGGAGCAGTCTCCTTCCTGCACTGCACCCCGTTTCTCATCTCCACTGTGGGTGGTTTCCTCTGCCTTTCTGCCCGTGGGACCATATTGAACATGCCCAGACAGAGGTCACCAGCAACTTCTTTGTGGCCGGGTCCAGCTGGCTCCTTTGTCTTCATTTCACTTGACCTTGCAGCAGCAGCAGTGTTTGGCACTGTGGACCATTCCCACTTAAAAAAAAAAAAAAAAAAGAATCTTTTTTCAATTTTTTTTAGATAGGGTCTTGCTCTGTTGCCCAGGCTGGAGTGCAGTGACACAATCTCAGCTCACTGCAACCTCTGCCTCCCAAGTTCAAAGGATTCTCACACCTCAGCCTCCCAAGTAGCTGGGATTACAGATGTGCACCACCACACCTGGCTAATTTTGTTGTATTTTTAGTAGAGATGGGGCTTTGTCATGTTGGCCAGGCTGGTCTTCAACTCTTGGCCTCAAGTGATCCACCTGCCTCGGCCTGCCAAAATGCTGAGATTACAGCCATGAGCCACCGTGCCTGCCCAAATTTGTATTTTTAAAAAATTAAAGTAACATGTAAGCACAGTAAGAAGGAAGCATAGAAAATCAAATGGTACAGAAGGGTATTGAAATGAAAAGGACAATTTTCCCTACCCCGGCCAATCCCAGTCTGCTCTCCAGAGGTAACGTGGCTGACAGTTTCCTAGATATGTTGTACGAGTGTATAAACATGTATGTTCCTTAAACAGTAATGCCATTCTCTACATTTTTTTTTCTTTTCTGACATAAATTATGGAGATCTTTTCACATCAGTACATACCAGTCTGTTGGCTGTGTGGTACCTCGTTGTACACACTTTCTAACTTTTTTAAATTTTTTTTTCTGAGATAGGGTCTTGCTCTGGTGCAAGTCCTGCTCAGGCTGGAGTCCAGTGGCGTGAACACAGCTCACTGCAGCCTAAACCTCTTGGGTTCAAGCAATCCTCCCACCTCAGCCTCCTGAGTAGCCAGGACTGCAGGCACACATCACCATGCCTAGCTAATTTTTAAAGTTTTTCTGTAGAGACGGGGTTTTGCCATGTTGTCCAGGCTGATCTGGAACTCCTGGCACAAGGGGTCCTCCCAACTTGGCCTTCCAAAGTGCTGGGATTACAGCATGAGCCACCTCACCTGGCCCTCTACATTTTATTATAAACAGTTCTCCATTGATGGGCATTTAAATTAATTTTCACTCTTACAAACAATGCTGTACTAAACATCTTAGTGTGTCTTTGTGTACATTGACTGTGTTTTAGGATAAATTCCTGGAAGTGGGATTCCTGGGTCAAAGTGTGCGCACTCTGCAGTGTTCACTGATGCAGCCGTATTGCTCTGCAAAGAGATTGCACAAGTCCACTGTCTTTTTTTTTTTTGAGACGGAGTTTCGCTCTTGTTGCCCAGGCTGGAGTGCAATGGCGCGATCTTGGCTCACTGCAACCTCCGCCTCCTGGGTTCAAGTGATTCTCCTGCTTCAGCCTCCTGAGTAGCTGGGATTACAGGTGCACACCACCACACCCAGCTAATTTTTTGTATTGTTAGTAGAGATGGGGTTTCACCATGGCCAGGCTCGATTTGAACTCCTGACCTCAGGTAATCCACCTGCCTCGGCCTGCCAGAGTGCTGGGATTACAGGTGTGAGCCACTGCACCCGGCCCACAAGTCCACTCTCTTACAGCAGTCCATGAGACGGTCTCTTTCCCAAAATTGGGTTTTATCACAATTTTTAAATTCTTGCCATCTTGTTAGAAGAAAAATGCCATCTCATTGTTTTAAATTGTATTTATTTAATTATGAATGAGATCCAGCATTTTTTTTTTTCTGTTTAGTGTTCATTCATATCTCTCTTGTGAATTAACTTGGTGTCTTCTGTCTTCCATTGGGTCATTTGGCTTTTGTTGATTTGCAATAGCTCTTTGCATATTGAAGAAATGATCGCTTTGTAGCCTCAGCTGAATGCACCTGTCCTGCTTTGTTATTTGCCTTTGAATGTGTCTGTCCCTCTTCTTGCGCTTGCCTCTTCCCTGGGCTTTGGTGACCATTTTCCTGGGTTGCTTTTTCTGTCTCATCACAGTCATTCTCAGGCTCTGTTGTCAGCTCCTTTTCCCTGTGAGCATCCTTAAGTGTTGCTTTTCCACAAGGATCAGTCTCCTGGGTCATCTCATCCACATCCCAGGTTTCAGTTACAGCCTGAATGCGGAGGGCTCCCCATGCTGTCTTTCTAGCCAGCTCCTCTGTGTTGAGCTGTAGCCCTGACTATGCAACTGCCGACTCATC
Organism: Homo sapiens; assembly: GCF_000001405.40. NCBI lineage: Eukaryota > Metazoa > Chordata > Mammalia > Primates > Hominidae > Homo > Homo sapiens. The sequence continues at coordinate 43,967,276 of NC_000022.11, forward strand.
GTTTCCTCATGGCATTGCCACAGCCGTCTCCAGCTCCATGGGGCTGAGACCTGAAGTCATCCCTTTTCCATCTGTCTGCTCTGCCTGTCTTCCCATCTCTATTCCTGACTTCTCTAATGGTGTTCAGCGCTAGCCCAGTGCTAAGCGCCGAGCTGCAGTTTCAGTAGCTTCTTTCTTAGCCTCTTTCTTCTTCTCATGCACTCTACCTAGGCAGTGGCAGTGTCCTCTGACCCCTGCCTGTGAAATGTCTCCAGGGTCTGTCCTCCCCTCCAATACCATGGCCTGCACTGGGCCTGCCTTCACCCTAGCCCCTGAGGCTGTTGCCAGAGCACCCCCTGCATCCTTCACCTGCAGGCTTCTCCCATCTGGGCAGAATACCGCATTCGTCTGTGTGATCCGTTCTTTCTCACAAGGAAATGTGATCCTTTCTGTCTCCTGCTGACAGTTCTACAGTGACTCCCTTTCACCTGCAGGGTGGAATCTCAACTTTCCTTATCACACGAGGGCCTTTCCTTCTCTGTGTCCTCAGCACTTGCTGCCTTACCTTCCTTCTACCTGTCCTTCCAATAAGAATGGACTCCGTGCATCAGAAGGAACTGCTGTTGACAACAAAGAAAGGACACAAAGTTGAACATTTCTAACAGTGGTTAGAGATGGTTAGAAAGGCCGGGCGTGGTGGCTCATGCCTGTAGTCCCAGCACTTTGGGAGGCTGAGGCAGGTGGATCACCTGAGGTCAGGAGTTCGAGACCAGCCTGGCCAACATGGTGAAATCCTATGTCTGCTAAACATACAAAAAAAAAATTCGCTTGGCGTGGTGGTCTGTGCCTGCAATCCCAGCTACTCAGAAGGCCGAGGCAGGAGAATGGCTTGAACCTGGGAGGCAGAGGTTGCAGTGAGCTGAGATTGCACCGTTGCACTCCAGCCTGGGCAGCAGAGCGAAACTCTGTCTCAAAAAAAAAAAAAAAAAAAAAGAAAAAAGAAAAAAAGAAAAAAAAAGAAAGTAAAGAAATGAATAGAAAATTGAAACACCACAAGAAGATGTGCATTTCTTCCTCAAAGGGAGAGCTGAAAAAAAAAATGAAAAGGTGTGCAGACACACGTGTCTTTCTTTTGCCAGACATAACCACTGTTCACGATTGTGATCTCTTCCAGCACAACGTTCTAGACTGTGTGTTAGGTTTGTGTATCTGCGTTAGTCTTGTTGTTTATACGAAGGGGATTATATGTTGCACACTCTTGATGCCAAGGCTTGGTTTTGCACTTGTGAATGGGCATTTTTGTTGCCCCTGTGGTGCTTTTCCCTTCTGTCATGTGGCTGGTCTTGGTAGTGCTCTCTGCTCAGTGATCTGACTTAGCACCGAATGGTAAACTACCAGCCTCGCCGTGTGGCTGCCATTTGCTGTTTCTGTATCGTAGAAGAATATATTCCTTGTTTTTCTTCCCCCATTTTATAGGTAATGCGGAAATCTCATGAAGCCCGTGAAAAATTGCTCCGTCTTGGAATTTTTAGACAAGTGGATGTTTTGATTGACACATGTCAAGGTACATATTGTGGTGTAGTATCTTTATAATTCCCTTTCTGTCCATCAGAGAAAAGCTGTTTTTATGGCCAGATGCAGATCTGGGCAGCAGAGCACTGCTCCCTGCTGTGTAGAACCTGAAAGTTGATCAAACAGGTAGTCCTTGAGTTAGCAGTCTCAGGGAAGGGATTGGATTTTTTGTTTGTTTTTGGAGAGGGGTCTTGCTGTATTGCCCAGGCTGGTCTGGAACTCCTGTGCTCAAGCGATCTACCTGCCTCAGCCTCCTGAGTAGCTGGGCTTACAGTTGCGGGCCTGGATTTTTGTATGAGGCCGGGGAGGAGTGGTGAACTTTGAAGATACTGTTGTGTGAAGCCCTGGACTCCACGGGGGCCTGAGAGTGACTCTGAAGGAGGGGGCCAGGCTTCGTTCACATAGCCCAGCCCAGCACTGTGCAGACCCCCATCTCAGTGTATGCTTTAAAAAGAGGAGGGAATCCAATTTCCATTTTAGTTTTTGCCCATTTTCTTGTTGCTGTGTGATACTGGGCACGTCTCTGAACATTTATTCTTTGGCTAGTGAGCACCTGCTTCGAGGCCAGCCCTGTGCAGGCCCCAGAGGGAGACACAGGGCGTGGTCTCCTCCTGATGGGCTTCGGTCATAGCAGCACACAGGGCGTGGTCTCCTCCTGAAGGGGCTTCGGTCAGTGGGGCTGGGTTGGGGGCAGACCAGTAAGTGATGGCAGCACAGTCGCTATGTTGTGCTGTAAGAGGCTGAGGGAGGAGACAGTTCACCTGGCCAGGGCATGAGAAGGGGATCAGAGAGGGTGTCCCTGAAGGGGCGATGTCTGAGCTGAGACCTAGAAGATGCATCTGAGCGAGTATGGGGAGAAGGGCTGGTAGTGAGGTGGGGTGAAGAATGTTCTGGGGACAGAGATAGCACTTATCAGGCCCACGCCAGGGGAGAGTGGCTCGCTGGGTGGACCGCAAGTGTAGGAAGAGCTGGAGTGCAGGTTGGGGGAATGGAGTGCTGGAAGACAAGGAAGAAAAGCCGTCAGGAGCCCAGACCGTGGTGGGCCTAACATGGCGCGGTAGAGTTCCCACTTTAGTCAGAATTCAGCAGACACCATTGAAAAATAAAATTTGGAATGAATCTGTGAATGAGTAACTCTTCAGAATTGAATGGGGGGTAATTTTGAGAAGGCCTAGATAAGACAATATAGGAAAATGCTTGCAAAAAATAAGGTGCTAGATAAACTAAGGACATTTTCATTATTTGGAGTATAGTTTCAGCCAACACTAACAGACCTAAAAGAACAGTGGCTTAGACAAGAGAGAAGTCTCCATCTCTCCACACAGCTGGGAGACTGCCAAGGGCTGGTGTGGTGCTGCGTTCCCTGAGGTCACCTTGGGCTGGCGTGGTTTCCTGTGGTTCCCTGGGGTCACCTTGGGCTAGTGTGGTGCCTTGTTCTCTGAAGTCACCTTGGGCTAGTGTGGTTTCCTGAGGTCACCTTGGGCTGGTGTGGTGCTTCGTTCCCTGAAGTCACCCTGGGCTGGTGTAGTTTCCCCCCGTGGTGTCTTGTTGCTTTGTCATCCCTAGGGTCCCTGAGTCCCTCTGATGGCTGAGCACCGTGTCCTCATTCCAGTATTGGAGGAGCACAGGAGATTGAGAGGGCTTACCCCTCCCTTTAAGCACCTGTCCTAGGTGTTGTACACGGCACTGCTCTCATCCCATTGGCCAGGACTTAATCACTTGGCCACACCTAGGTGCAGGGGAGGCTGGGAAGTCACTGGACTTGAGTTAATAATTGGTGTATGGGTTTATCAGTTGTGACAAATGTACCACACATGCGAGGTGTTAGTAAGTGTGTGTCGGGGTAAGGAGAGGTTCATGGAAACTCTTTGTACTTTTGTAGTTTGTACAAAAACTTTGTACTTTCTGCTTTATCTTTTTTTTTTACCCGCAACCCACTGTTGCTGGCTTCAATTCTTTATCTTTCTGTGCGCCTAAAGCTGCTCTAAGAAATAAAGTCCACTAAATAAAAAATAAAGTAAAATAAAAAATAAAAAAAGAAAAAGAAAGAAAAGATGGTGCCAGGCGGGGTGGCTCACGCCTGTAATCCCAGCACTTTGGGAAGCCAGGGCGGCTGGATCATGAGGTCAGGAGTTCGAGACCAGCCTGGTCAACATGGTGAAACCCCGTCTCTACTAAAAATACAAAAAATATTGGCAGAGTGTGGCGGCGGGTGCCTGTCATCCCAGCTACTCGGAAGGCTGAGGCAGGAGAATTGCTTGAACCCGGGAGGTGGAGGTTGTGGTGAGCTGAGATCATCCGACTGCACTCCAGCCTGGGTGACAGAATGAGGCTCCATCTCAGAAAAAAAGAAAAGACAGTACTGAGGCTCCACCCTAGAACTGTTGGACCTGAGTTCCTAGAGCGGTGCCTGAGCATCAGCATATTTTGACAGTTGCCCAGATGCGTCTAGATGTCCAGCCAGGGCTGAGCACCCCTGTGTACAAGGCAGGAGTCGCCTTTCCTTCCTGTGAGAGGCCACTCATTCCTACAGAGCCCAGCCCGCTCTGCACAAGGCACCCCAGGGCCATGGTGGGTCACGAGGTGGCTGCTTCCAGCTCAGACCCAAATCATACCTGGTGCGGGGGAGGACAGACATGCCTCTTACACACAGTAACACAGTAAACAATCTCACACTTATCTTCGAGGGTTACTGACACCCCTATTGTCATGTGAGTTCCCCATTTTCATGTCGGTTGAATTGAGAACCCAAATATTTTCAAGGACCTCTCTAATAGGAGAACAGATTCCTTTAGCAAATATTGTTTGCTTAAGTTTGCTTAAGTGAATAATGCTGCTTATAGTTATCTCCTTGTAGCAAAGGTAGATTGTTTTTGTTTTTTGGTTTTTGGTTTTTTTTTTAGAGACAGGGTCTTGCTCTGTCGTCCGGGCTGGAATGCAGTGGCACAGTCATAGCTCACTGCAGCCTCCAACTGCTGGGCTCAAGTGATCTTCTCACCTCAGCCTCCCGAATAGTTGAGACTATAGGTGCTCGCCACCACATCTGGCTAATTTTTAAAATTTTTGTAGCTATGTTGCTGGGGCTGGTCTTGAACTCTTGGCCTGAAAGTGATCCTCCCACCTTGTCCTCCCAAAGCACTGTGATTACAGGCCTGAGTCACTGTGCTCAGCCCTGTTTATTGATATATTCTACCAGAGAAACTAGAAACATTATTTTTTGGTGTAGAGGTGTGCAATATTTTGATTTTGTGTGGGAGTGTTCTTAAACGTTTCTCATGATTATATTATTTTCTAAAGGAGATTGTAAAATAGAATGAACCTTCAGATTGCTTTTTGTCTTTTTTAGCAATGGGAACCCAAAGTAAAATAACATCCTGGCTGTCTTATTGTTTAATATTTTTTTATTTAGGTGATGACGCACTTCCAAATGGGTTAGACGTTACCTTTGAAGTAACTGAATTGAGGAGATTAACGGGCAGTTATAACACCATGGTTGGAAACAATGAAGGCAGTATGGTATGCTACAGGCTTTTTACTTTCTTATATTGGAACTTAGAGTTGGGAACTTTTACACTATGACTGCATTCTAAAAGCTGATGATAGTTTCAAAATTCGGTCATTTCATTTACCTTAATCTGTTGTTATTTGTGGTTTCTCTTTAATCACCGTAGAATTGGTGATAATATGTTTTGGGTTGTTTGATAACAATGTTAACGTTAGTAATTAGGAATGATTTGGAGAATGTTCATATTAATAGTCTCTTGTTCAAATTCCTTTAAACTCTAAATCTGTAACATTCTTGAGCCTCACGGGTGGCAAGGTTAGCTTGTCCCTTGCATTAATCAGGTTTGAATGCAGGATGTGAGCACTCAGCAGCGGCATGTTTTAAAGAATGAAAGTGATTACAAATGAAAGACTAGATCTGTAGTTAGCATCTTCCTTCTGTTTTTATGAAAGTCCCTTAGCTAGCATAGTCTTTATCCAATCCAAAGTTCTCATTCCTTCAATGTAGACCACTGCTATTTTTTTTTTTTCCCCTCCTAGGTACTTGGCCTCAAGCTTCCTAATCTTCTTGGTCGTGCAGAAAAGGTGACCTTTCAGTTTTCCTATGGAACAAAAGAAACTTCGTATGGCCTGTCCTTCTTCAAACCACGGCCCGGAAACTTCGAAAGAAAGTAGGAAGCCCAACAGATCATTGAGTACACTGGCCTGATAGAAAAGTTAAAATAGGTGGCTTATTTGTGAAAAGAACCATGACAGAATCAGCTGCCACTTCTGCAGTGACCACATGCTGTAGATTTCCTCTTGAAGATGAGCCCTACGGGCGTAGTGTTAAGTCTGTTGATTTAAATGTGTGCAAGTTCTAATCACTGTTTCAGCTTTTAAAGCTCTATCCCATTGTCTCCTAGTTTCTCTGTAAACTTATATAAAGTTACTGGACAGTTCCCTTGGAGCTCACTGCGGGAGACGGACAGAGGAATGTCAGCTGAGTACAGTGTGAGTAGCATTTCAGTCCTTCCCTCTGGGCTTGGGGGAAAACAGGGTGGCTTTTTCACTGATTCCCAAAGGCAGCAAGAGGGCAGCGTGGAAAGCACAGGCCCTCTGCCCTCCGCACCAGGTACCTCCTGGCCAGGTGCCTCTTCTCTAGCCGAGTACAGGCTACAGGGACCCGAGAGTGGCTGATGCCCATGTTAGCAGCTCCTTAACCTGGTCCTGACTACCCGAGGCACCATTGGTTGTCCCTCCCCATATGTGTGGAGACTGACAGTTTCTCATAGTCAGCAGAGTTGGTCAGATCACTGGAAGGTTTCTTTTTTGTTGTTGTTGAGACAGAGGTTTGCTCTTGTCGCCCAGGCTGGAGTACAATGGCACGATCTCGGCTCACTGCAACCTCCGCCTCCCCGGTTCAAGTGATTCTCCTGCCTCAGCCTCCGTCACCGTGCCCAGCTAATTTTTGTTATTTTTAGTAGAGATGGCGGTTTCCTTATGTTGGCCAGGCTGGTCTCGAACTCCCGACCTCAAGTGATCTGCCCGTCTCAGCCTCCCAAAGTGCTGGGATTACAGGTGTGAGCCACTGCACCTGGTCCGGAAGGTTTCATTTTTGGTTCACACCTAAGTTTACACCTAGAAGGGTGTGATTAAATGCCACCATTGGAATTCGTATCATTTGGCCTTTTTGGGGCTTTATGATAACCTGCTTTTTTTTTTTCTCCTTCCTTTCGCCACTGTTCCTGACTCCTCTTGTTCTGGGCTTTAGTTCTTGCGGAGAGCCCTGAGATAGAATACTATGTAAGAGTCGTTCCCCACATGTGGTCTTCAGACCAGCAGCATCGACCTCAGCTGTGGGCTTGTTAGAAATGCACATTCGCGGGCTCCACCTTGAGCTGCCAAGTCCGACTCACAGAGAGTGGGGCCCAGGAAGCTTTAAGTGTGCTCTCCCTCCAAGAACCCAGCAGAAGCCCTGGAGGCGACCACCTGGGCTTGACTCCCCCGTCTCCCTTAGGGCTGTGCGACCTCAGGCAAATGACTCATCTGTGAAATGAAGGACAGGAGCGCGGGGTCTCCCAGGGCCGTTGTGAGGGTTGGATGAGAGGCGTGGTAAAGCTCCTGATGCGGCGCGTGGCGCAGTTTAGGTGCTTGAGGTGCGTTAGTGCCCCAGGCCTCTGGTCCTTGCAGACCAAGGCCATGAGAACTCAGAGCACACAGAGCTGGGCCAGGTAGACTCCAGGTTCAAGATGGAGATAGGAGAATCCAGGCACATTTGCACTTTCATTTCCTTTTCTCCAAATTTTCTTGTCTGGAAGGGAGCAGCCCTGAGACACCTTTCTGCTTTGAAACCGTCCTCGGATGCCCTCTGGTGGGGCCGTGGAGGGGAAACCTGGGCCACATGCTGCTCTCTCCAGCCTGCTGTCCTCCAGCAGGTCTCCAGGTGCCTGTGTGCACCCACAGTGGTCGGGCTCCCGGGAGCTTAGCCACCCTTCTCCCCAGTGTCATGCTTCATTTCTTTCTAAGCCTTTTTAAAGAGCAGATTTTTAGGAGAGTAGAAATACCTTATTTTTTCACAAGGAATAGCAGAGATGAAAGACACCAAAGTGTAGACTCGGCCCTCGGGTGGGTGCAGGTAGAGGGGAGGAGGAAAGGGGAGGGCAGACACCTTGTCGCCGGCAGCCCTGAAGCTGAGCTCCTAGAGGAACGGACCAGATCATACTCAGTGGTATCCTTGGGGCCCATGTCAGGCCTTCTAAGGAATGAAGAAATGATTTAGGAAGCTCTACACCTCCCGTAGGAATTTGGGAAAGTGCCTGAATCCCAGGTGGCCCTAAGTGTAGAGATGGTGGCTGTGCAGGCTGCCCCTCCTGTACCATCTCCCCAGTGCCTGGCATGGTGCCCTGTGGGTGCTGAGGTGGGTGCCTCTCACCATGAAGGCGGGATGGAGTGTTCTGGGCCTGCTGGTGACCCACTTACCCCATGGCCTGGAGTTCAATTGCAAGCCTGAGGGCTAGAGAGGGCCCAGCATGGGACACCCCCTGGGGAGTATGGGGTGACGTGGCTTCCTTGTGAGAGTTAAATCACTGTCCTACCACTTCTCAAAGCCACCAAACATCGTTCACTGTTCAGAAAACATTTCTCTGAGATAGAAATCTAAGATGAGCTGTCCTGGCAGCAGGAAAGAGAGCGTCAGGCTGGGAAGCAGGTGCCACCTGCTTGGACCCCAGAATTCACCCGGCTCAGGCCTCTGCTGCAGGAAGGATCCCTCGCCTCCCACATAACTCTCGTCTCTGCCACCTTCTCTCTGGGCCGGTGCAAGTCGCTGGGTTGCCAGGCCTGGCTTCAGACAGGGTCGGGTGGACCAGGTGGGGTTTGCGCCATCAGATCATCTTAGGTGTCTTACCCATTACAAAGAAGTGGGAAAGAGATAGCACCTGTCGATGATAGAGCTGCCTGCAGCCCTCAGACCAGCCCTGTCCCTCACCTGGGGTGCAGTCCTGCTACTTAGAGCAGTACTGCCTTTGATTCCCTTCACAGCTTTCCCCCTTTCTTCCTTTGTCCTTCTTCCCTCTGGTTTTCTCTTCCCCTTCTTCTCTTCTTCCCCTTCTCCCTCTCTCTCATCATTAAAAAAAATTAGATATTTAGTTCATTGTTTCATGATGCTTCATTCCAAAAAATGATTTGCAACAAGTTCCTAAGTATGTGTGGTCCGGAAAGATGTCTGATCTCCATGTTGCAGTTTCCCATATGGAAGACCAGCCACACTGTCAAGTGGGAAGGCGTATGGCGAGAACTGGGCTGCCTCTCAAGGACGGCGTCATTTGCTGTTCGAAAAGAAAGCGGACATTCACTGAAATCATCTCTTTCGGTAACGGTTTCTCTTAGTTGGAGTAAATAATTTTGTTGATGGAACCATGCTATGCATTGGGAAAACAGTCTTTGCCAATATCAGGGCTGACTGAGAAGCGTCACCCAGATGGGGTGTCCACAGTGGCGGCCCCCACTCCCCGAGGGCTTGTGGTGTCCTGCCTCGCGTGGTCCTTTCCGAATAATGTCAGTGGTAACAGGAAGAGGTGTGCTTCAGAGCTGACTGTGGAATTTCAGCTTTCAAAAAGAAGGAGGAACCAGGCTGAGCCGACTGAGGCCAGGGCGTCGAGCTCCTTGAGAGAACGAACCCGGTGGTGGGTGTTCAACTCCCACGTAGTGAGCAGGAATCGTTTATTCAGTTGAAGCTCAAGTCTCAGTGTGGACGTCTCAGTGTCCTCCTATGTAAGATAGGGACAGTCACCCTCACTTCCTCCAAGGGCTCTGTGAACACGAAATGACATGATAGTTGTAGAGTGCTAGCGTGGTGTGGCCCACGTGCTGTGAGTGCTCATGGTTATCTAATAGAACTTCTTAAAGTGAAAATATCCCCATTCAAATTTCTTTCAGCACGCCATGGTCATCGATTCTCGGAATTCTTCCATCTTACCAAGGAGAGGTGCTTTGCTGAAAGTTAACCAGGTAGTGTTGTTTCACCTGTGACCCCTGCAGGGTGAGGGGAGCCAAACTTTGGACAGTAGATAAAGTCCCGGTGGGCTGGGTGGGCCTGGGGGTGGGCAGTCCCACAGAGTAATCGCACATGCAGTATCGCTTTTGAAGGTCGCCAGCTCCACTCTCAGGGCTTCCAGCCCGGAAATTGCTCCCTACCCCCTGCAGTTCAGTCTTGTGCCTTCACAGAACCCAAGGTGGGGGTAAGGCTGTGGCATCCTTGATGAGGGCCTGTAATAGGCCAGGAGGAGGGCTGTGACTTGGTGTTACCTGGGAGAGAGTGTCCGAAGGCAGGGGTCACCCCTCAATGGCTGCAGGGCAGGTGCATCGTGGCAGCAGGAGGTGCTGGAGGAAGGTCTTCACCACCTTAGAGGAGCGTGCTTCTCTGCTGGTGTTGGAGGCGGGCTGTTAGTCTGTCTTTGGGTTGCCCTCTTGTTGGAGGCAGGGGGATAGTTCTTTACTGTAAGGTACCTACAAGGTGCAGGCACAGTGAGGAGCCCACCTTGGTGGCTTGAGAGTGAGGGCAGCAGGGGCTGCACTGAACCTTGAGGCTTCCCCGAGCAGCTACCCTCGCTCTGGCCGGTGGTACTTAGGTGTTGTCAAGCAGGGCAAAAGCCCGGGGGTGCCTGACCTTCAGTGTCAGAGGAGCAATTAGAAATCAGGTTTTTATACAAAATAGCCCACATTGTGAAAGGTCAGCTGAGTTTTTCCCCAAATGCCGATGAAGCCAACGAGCCAAGCCGTCTGTGCTGAGCTCTGTGTTCAGACACTCAGGCTGCCAGTGCTCCCTGCACACAGCCAGAGGGCAGCCTCTGCACCTCTTGGATCTGCTGATCCTCCATCCCAGTCCGTCCACTGTTGCTGTCCGCAACAATTAGGATGTGGCTTCTAGGAGACAGAATTTTCTGTAGCCTTTAAAAAAATACAAAACGGCAAAATTAAATCCTGATGCAAAAACATGATTCTGTAGCCCCTGTAATAAGTCTGTTTGCTCCCTTTGACCTGAGTGCTCCTTCCCTGCAGGAACTGGCAGGCTACACTGGCGGGGATGTGAGCTTCATCAAAGAAGATTTTGAACTTCAGTTGAACAAGCAACTCATATTTGATTCAGTGAGTATCTAACGGATGCTGGCACCTGCACTGTCAGCCCTTACTTTGGGGATCTTACCACAGAATCTTAGCTCCTGAATATCTAAAGCACAGAGTGGAAGCCTGGGCGGTAATGCTTAACCTTTGATGTTTCCAGTTTAGCCAGATTTGCAGGTAGTCTGGGGAGAAGCCATAAATATTTTCTTTTAAAAGTAACCTCTGATGGCCGGGCGCAGTGGTTCACGCCTGTAATCCCAGCACTTTGGGAGGCTGAGGTGGGTGGATCACAAGGTCAGGAGATCGAGACCATCCTGGCTAACACGGTGAAACCCTGTCTACTAAAAAAAATTAGCCGGGCGTGGTGGTGGGCGCCTGAAGTCCCAGCTACTCGGGAGGCTGAGACAGGAGAATGGCATGAACTCCGGAGGCAGAGCTTGCAGTGAGCCAAGATCACACCACTGCACTCCAGCCTGGGTGACAGAGAGACTCCTTCTCAAAAAAAAAAAAAAAAAAAAAGTAACCTCTGCTAATCGTTACACATAGGACCATGAGAGAGCCCCTCCCCGTTTATCATCTCAGGGCCTTGGAGGAGGGGTGGCTGGAGGACAGAGGGGTGTCTCCTGCCCTTGAAATGCTGTTCCGTGGACCTTCTGAGTCTTCACTTTGCTGGGTCTACAGGGCTCTGGGTGCTTTCAGAAATTTTTTTTTTTTTTTAATCTTTAGTCCTGTTGGGTCAGTTTCTCCTGATTCACTCAGGAGTGAGGAGAAAGTGACTGGATTCTGGTCTCGCCAGAGGAGCCCCAGGCTGGGAGGGCACCTGGCATATTTCTCACGTCTTCCCAGCACCCAGTGGCTGGGGGCAGCTCTGCCCTGCCTTTGCTGCCTAGGTCCTTATCTACCTTAAAACCTGGGGGCAAGGATTGAGTGTAATGAAATGGTGCATGCGACTGTTTCTAGAGAGCTCATTTTAAAATAATTTGTTACTGCCCCTATTCAGCCCTTGACTCTGCACTTTGAACTTGGTTCCTGCCTTCCTCTGCCCCTGCCACCACAGGCCTCCTTGTTGTCCGGCACGTGAGCCCATCCTGATCCCTTCTGCAGCACTGGATGTTGTCGCCTGCTCGCCTGTTCTCACTTTATCTCTCTTGTTTTCTTGACTCATCATTGCTGCGCTCTTCCACTCCTCAGTTTTCTCTTCTCAGGGCCCTTTCTGCCTCATAGGCATGGCTTGCCCCTAGATCTCTGTTGCCATCTCCCCACCCTGCTTCTCTCTGGGACAGTCTCCTACAGCCCTGTGGCTGCAGCTGCTGCCTGTGTGTAGCAACTCTGGTTCTCCTGCCTCCTTCCTGGGCCCAGATTCAAGTGCTCCTGGCTGTCTCAGCCCCTACCTTACAGACACCTCATATCAACAGAGCTCATTGCCTTCCCCACAAATCTGTACCCACGCCTGGGCTCCCCATCCACTGACCTGCACAGTGCACCCGGCTGCCCTTGAACTTAACTCCCTGGCTGCTCTCAGTCCTCCCCTCAGCCACCTGCCACCCACTGGGCGCTGCCCTTCCTCCTCTCAGCACTGCTCATCCGCACTGAACCAATGTCGCGTTCTGAGTCGTCTCTGCTCCTCTCCTACTCCCTGCCTTCCCCTTCCCCCCTCTACACTATGGACATATTAGTCTTTTTGAGTCGTCTTTACTCCCCTTCCACTCCCTGCCTTCCCCTTCCCCTTCTCCACACTGCAGATGTGTTAGTGTTTCTGAAACACAAGCCTTACCATATCACTTTCCTACACAAACTGCTTGTGCTGTTAGGGTGCCTGTAGCCCTTGATCCTTCATCACTGTGCCTGTCTCATGCTTCGGCTCTGTGGAAATACTTTTTGTTTCCCAGAAGGCATTGGCTCACCCTGACTTTCAGGCACTCGTATTCACTCTGTCTGCCGCTGGCTGTAACTCCCTTTTTTTCAGTTGTTTCCTTGGCCTCCCACTCCCTGCCTTTAAGACTTTGGTATAGGTGTGTCTCCTGCAAGCCTTCTTCAACCTCCTAGATGGAAGTGGGGGCTCCTCCACTGTGCCCGTAGCTCCTGTGCTTATCCTGTGGTAGTGCCCATCCATCTACCCACCCATTTACCCATCCATCCATCCATCCGTCCGTCCATCCATCCACCCATCCACCCATCCACCCACCCACCTACCCACCCACACATCCATCCATCCATCCATCCATCCATTCACCCACCCACCCACCCACCCATCCATCCACCAGTCTAACACATGTATGCTGGCTGCCAGGCACTGTCCAGGCACTAAGAATATATCAGTGAACAAAGCCCAATTCCTGCTCTCAAGGAACTTCCATTCTTGAGGAGGGAAACCTATAAGCTAGTATCTTTATATATCATTGAGGAGGCGGTGACAAGTGTTGTGAAGAAAAATAAAGCAGAATTAAGGGGTAGAAAGTGACCAGAAGGGGATGCCATCTAGTTAGGATGGTCAGGGAGGGTGGCTAGTAAGGCAACCCCCGAGCACAGCCCAGAGCACGGTGAGGGAGCAAGGGTAGGACAGCGGGACACCTCGGGCGGGAGCATGAATTCCAAGAGCAGTAGTGGCAGGAGGGCCTTGGAGGCCGGATGTGGGCTCTTGCTTCCACTCTACATGAGAGGGAAGCCCTGGAGCCTTCTGAGCAGAGTCCGGACACCTGGCTGAGAAGAAAATGCCAGCTGCTGTGGGGACAGAAGCTTGTCCTTCCTACAGAAGCTTCTGAGAAAGCCATTTCTGAGCAGCTTGGAGGGACATAGGCATTTGCAAGGCAGAGAACGTGTGAGGCTCGGCCAGCCGCCCGAAAACATGGGGTGCAGGGGAGCAGGAGAGCCTCTACCTGGTTGAGGACATTGTTGAGAAGGTTTTGTGGCATGAAGATGGGCTCACTGAGCCAAGACTGGCTACTGCCTCCTGCCCTGTAAGAGACAAGGCTCTGTCCTTGAGAGTGGGGTTGGGAGTGCGTCTCTGCATTGGGGGAGCCTTGCAGCCGGTACCTTCTTTCAGCCTAAAATGCGTGTGCCCTGAATCCTTCCACATTTTGAGGCCGCGGCAAAGAGGCCTGAGCAGGTGCAGGGGGCCTGGCTCCCTCCTCTGTGAGGCCTTGGCTCCTGCTGCTGGGCGTCACTTCCCGTTGCAGAGCAGGGGCCTGCCCTGTGTCCGAATGGAAGCCGGGCCCTGCTCGCCTTCGGTGTGTCTTGATTTGGACTTTGGAATTGCGTGTTTTAATAGAATCCACGTGGCCCTTCGAAGGGTAGCTCTGCAACGGGACAAGCCAGGCATTCTCCTGCGGCCCTTGCACCCCATCGCGGAGCTCTGCACGCCACGGGCATTCAGTGTGTGGCCAGTTGCTAGTTGCTGATGTTCCTGGAGTGAAAGGAATGCTGGGAGAAAACAACCATTTGTTTCTATTTGAACAGGTTTTTTCAGCGTCTTTCTGGGGCGGAATGTTGGTACCCATTGGTGATAAGCCGTCAAGCATTGCTGATAGGTAAGTACTAATCAATGAATGGATAATTTGCACATATTTTCCTTTGGATCTTTTCAGTTGTTTTTTATAAGATATTTTAGAGAAGTTTATTTAGGAGAGCATAGTATTTCAAATATTCCTTTAGTATTTATGTTTAAGCTAATTTCTAAATATCGGGTATACCTCACACTTAATATTTTTTGCTTTTGTTGGGGAAGTTACTTTATTATATTTAAAATGTATTGTTCCCTTTTGATTATGAAGGAATATAGTTCATACTCATTGCAGAAATGCAAAAATGGAGAAACACTTAAAGAAATTAGAGAAAGCACTCACTAAGTCATGAGAAATTCTTTATAAGCAGCATTGTAGTGGCATATGTTTCATTATTTGCATATACCATAACTTTTTAGCCTACCGTGTATTTTTTGATATTTCATTGGTTTCTAATTTGTGATTTTTGTAAATAACATTGTAAATAATAACTTTTAAGATAACTTGTTGTTTATTTTATTTTCTGTGGTATTACTCTCTCAAAGTAAAACTCATAGTATTGCTGGGTGCTGCTTTTAGGAAGCTTACAGCAATTTATACCCCTACCAGCAGGGTATGAACTTGTACTTGTTGCTTCGAAATACTAATCATTGTCCTCTAGGGCAAAAAAACTTTTTTTTCAACCCTGCATTAGTTAAAATATACTGGTACAGCTTTTTTGGATGGTGGTTTGGAAGTAGAACAATTTTAGGTTTATAAACTCTGGATCCTAACAGTTTCACAAAACTCCATGAATCTAATTTACAAAAGTACTTTTCTAAGTGTGTAAAGATTTATGTGTAGAAGGATGTCCATTGTAGCATTGCTGATGAATAGCAAAGAATTTGAAACTGCCTTATGTAAGTTCCGCAGTAGGGAAATGGTGAAATTCTAGCACAACCATTCCAGATCTATGTAATTATTAAAAATAAGGAGATATGTGTTCATAAGTTAACATTTTGCACATGAATATGTTTAGTGGATCCCTTTCCAGCGTGCATGCAGGTGTAGCACCGAGGGCCTGGGAAGCCAGCCACCAAAACAGTGACGGTGGGCACCCCAGAGCCTGGGATGCAGCAGGCAGAACCATTTCACTCGTTATGTTATATGCATCCTGGATCATTTGAATTCAAATGTGTGATTTATCGTTTCTTTTTTATTTTATTTATGTATGTTTTTTGAGACAGAGTCTTACTCTGTCACCCAGGCTGGAGTGCAGTGGCACGATCTCGACTTACTACAACCTCTACCTCCCGGGTTCAAGCTATTCTCCTGCCCCAGCCTCCCAAGTAGCTGGGACTACAGGCACCCGGCACCACGCCCAGCTAATTTTTGTATTTTTAGTAGAGGCGAGGTTTTACCATGTTGGCTAGGCTGGTCTCTAACTCCTGACCTCAGGTGATGCGCCCACCTCAGCCTCCCAAAATGCTGGGATTACAGGCGCGAGCTACCGCACGTGGCCTGATTGATCATTTCTTTAAAAACGAAGCTTGCTGTTTTTGCAATTCATGTTAATGGGGTATTCAGAAAAGCCTTGCTTAGAAATCCCAAGTAGTAAAAACATATTTATAGGTTTTAAAACTCAAATTAAAATGAAAAAATTCATAAAGGCTTTTATTTGGTAGGAAAACCAGAAAAAGCCGCGCCCTGTTCCCTTTGTGCTGTTGCAGACCTGCAGGGTGTTCTTAGCCTCCCGCGGCCTCAAAGGTCAGAGGGCTCTGAGGGCACCTGCCGGGGTTGTGTCCTTGGCTGCCTCTTGGCTGGAAAGATTACACAGAATTTCTCTTGTCATTTAAATTCATTTTTTAGTAATTATCATAATCTAAAATCGGGTTCTAATATGCTGTTCAATTTTTCAGAAAGTGGATGGGTTTTTATGTAATTAATTTTTAATTCACGCTTTTCATATTATTCAGATATGGTTGGTGAGAGTGTGACAATCCAGTTCATTAGGGAACAAGAGGAGCTCATATTTAAAAATTATAAACCTAACAAGAATTCTTTTTTGGTCTGTTTCTAGTATTATAGCCCCCCTTTTTGTAATATTGGGATTATACTATTAAATAATTTGTATCCTGCTCTTCTTCCCCTAATATCGCACTGTGAGCCAGTAGGAGGCCCGCCATGAAAAGGAACTGCGTCATGAATTCTCACAGACAGCTGATAGTTCCTTTGTGACAGACAGTTTGCCCTGCCCCTCTCTCCTAGTGTGTTTCTTGGCATCTTGTGTCTCACCTGCATCTCCAAAGTTTGCAGTGTCTCCTTAGATGTTGAGATTTTTATGAAATTCCCCTGTAGTGTGCACCCTCTTGGTCTTTCTCAAAGGTTTTGCCTTGTAAAAATGCTGTCGATAATCTAGTATCGAATGTGAGTCTGACATGTGTTTCCTACGCGTTCCGTGTGTCATGTCGTTTCTCACCTCCTGACTTTCCTCTGACCTGTGTGCTGTTTTGTCCTAGGTTTTACCTTGGGGGACCCACAAGCATCCGCGGATTCAGCATGCACAGCATCGGGCCACAGAGCGAAGGTCTGTCCTTTCCCCTCACGGCGCCAAGTCTAGAAGGCTCGCGTCTCACTTTGGAAACCATGTACCTGTTATTAGCTTACAGCGATAATAGACATTCCTCTTTCACGGTGGTGGAATTAGCACCTAACACAGAACTTACCATGTAGCAGGTGTAGAACATTTATTGAGAGAATTGTAGGAAAATGAGAAAATATATCTGAGCAAAAACTCTGTGAAAATGACCCGCAGTCCTACCCAGAGAGAACATGTGTAAACGTGTTGTTGTCTGTTCCCTGCAGGTTTGACATGTGCTTCCTACTCTTCCTTTGTTTACATATTATTATTTTTTTTGAGATGGAGTCTCGCCCTGTTGCCTAGGCTGGAGTGCAATGGCGCGATCTCGGCTCACCGCAACCTCCGCCTCCTGGGTTCAAATGATTCTCCTGCCTCAGCCTCCCAAGTAGCTGGGATTACAGGCACCCGCCACCATGCCTAGCTAATTTTTGTATTTTTAGTAGAGATGGGGTTTTACCATGTTGGCCAGGCTGGTCTCAAACTCCTGACCTCGTGATCCGCCTGCCTCAGCCTCCCAAAGTGCTGGGATTACAGGTGTGAGCCACTGGGCCCGACCCCTATGTATTATTATTAATATTATCATTATTATTTTGAGACAGAGTCTCGCTCTGTCGCCCAGGCTGGAGTGCAGTGGCACGATCTCGGCTCACTGCAACCTCCGCCTCCCGGGTTCACACGATTCTCCTGCCTCAGCCCCCTGAGTAGCTGGGATTACAGGCACACACCACCACGCCTGGCTAACTTTTTGTGTATTTTTAGTAGAGACGGGGTTTCATTATGTTGGCCAGACTGGTCTTGAACTCCTGACCTCGTGATCCACCGGCCTTGGCCTTCTAAAGTGCTGGGATTACAGATGTGAGCCACTGCGCCTGGCCCCTACGTATTATTTTTAAACCCATTTCTCTCATCACCTCCCATAAAAATGTAACAGTATATTTTTATGCGAGTAAATGCCATTTTTAACAGGTACATATTTCATATTATTGACATCCTATATTTTAGTTAATAGGCTTAATTTGTTAGAGCAGTTTTAGGTTTACAGAAAAGTTGGGCAAAAAGTACAGTGTTCCCGTATAACCCCCATAGCTTCCTTATTATTAGCACCTTGTGTTAGGATGCTTCATTGGTTAGGATTGGTGAAGCAATATGATAACCTTATTAACTCAAGGCCATAGTTTACATGAGGGTTCACTCTTAGTGTTGTACCTTCTGTGGGCTTTGACAAATGCATGATGTCCTGCATTCACCATTCCAGGATCACACAAAGTGGCTTCACTGCGCTAAAAATGCTGGGCTCCCTTCATCCCTCCCACCAGACCACTGGAAACGACAGGTCTTTGAACTATCCATGGAGTTTTGCCTTTTCCAGACAGTTTGGGAGTTGGGATCATACAGTTTGTAGCCTTTTCAAGTTGTCTTCTTTTCCGTAGTAATATGCACTTAAGGTCCCTCCATGTCTTTCTGGGACCCAATAACTTGTTTCTTCTTATTGCTGAATAATATTCCTTTGTCTGGAAGTACCACAGTTTGTTTGTCCATTCAGCTGCCGAAGGACAGCTTGGTTGCTTCTAGTGTTTGGCAGTGATGAGTAAAGCTTCTATCAACATTCACGCGCAGGTTGTTGTGGACAGCTTCTGGGACATAAGTTGTCACATCTGCTGAGTCAGTGCCGGGGAGCGCAGTTGTTTGGTCACGTGTTAAGAGCACGCCTCCCCTTTGTAAGGAGCTGCCAGGCGAGCTTCCGGGGTGGCCGCGTCCTTTTGCATTTCCCCAGTGAGGAATGAGAGAGAGAAAGTTTATCATCTTAATGGCTGCGTGTTTTGTCTTATGACACACTATTATCTTTTTAAAGACCAAATCCCAAGCTTTGGACATTGAGTTTGTGTTTTTTTTTTTCTTTTATGATTATAAAACAATGTATTCACCTTCGAACTGAATGTTGGTACTCATCTGTAAGTTTTATTTATTTATTTATTTTTTCTTTCTTTCTTTTTTTTTTTTTTTTTGAGATGGAGTCTTGCTCTGTTGCCCAGACTGGAGTGCATTGGCGCAATCTCAGCTCACTGCAACCTCCACCTCCCAGGTTCAAGTGATTCTCCTGCCTCATCCTCCTGAGTAGCATGATTACAGGTGCCCGCCACCATGCCCGGCTAATTTTTCTATTTTTATTAGAGACGGGGTTTCTCCATGTTGGCCAGGCTGATCTCAAACTCCTGACCTCGTGATTTGCCCGCCTTGGCCTCCCAAAGTGCTGGGATTACAGGTGTGAGCCAGCACGCCTGGCCAAGTTTTACTTTAATATGAAATTCTAGATGTGAAATCGCCAGATCTTTTAGGGCTTTATCGTACTTTCTGGGAAGGTTGTCTCATTTATACTCCTAGAACCGTCTCTGACATGCAACATCCGTCAGAGGTATCTCCACATGCTATGGAACTTTAAAACATCATTTAAGTGGATGCATATTATTCCATTATTAAACATTCTCCCCTGATTTTCTTACTTTTTTTTTTTTTGAGACGGAGTCTCGCTCTGTTGCCCAGGCTGGAGTGCAGTGGCGTGATCTCAGCTGACTGCAACCTCTGCCTCCCAGGTTCAAGCGATTCCCCCTGCCTCAACCTCCTGAATAGCTGGGATTACAGGTGCCCGCCATCACGCCCAGCTAATTTTTGTATTTTTTAATAGAGATGGGGTTTCGCCGTGTTGGCCAGGCTGGTCTTGAACTCCTGACTTCAGGTGATCTGCCCGCCTTGGCCCCCCAAAGTGCTCATATTACAGGCGTGAGTCACTGCACCCAGGATTTCTTAAAATCTTCAGCACCTTTGTTGCTTCCATTTTTATGTCATTATAAGCAACAACTACACTCTGCATAAATTTTTGTCGAAAGTATAGATTATTTCTTTTCACTCGTATTTAGAGTGCTTCATTACAGTGTAATTTTTAAGAAAAGTAACTTAAGTTTTTGATGGTTTTATTTCATCTGTTTATTATAAGCAAGTGTGATATGCCGAGTCTATGAGAGCTGAGCCTTTACCTACCTGAGAAGTAAGGCATGCTGGTGTTCCACTCACCACCTCCGTGCGGTTGGCCAGACTCTGTGGGCAAGAATGTAAATTGCTATAATTTTTTTGTGAAAGTGGTTTGATGTATCAAGAGCCTTAAAATGTGTATGTTCAAGAATTGTTAATAATACTATTAATGATAGCCCCAAGCTGGAAACTGGAAACCGAAATGCCCATCAACAGTAGGAAATGGTCAGATAATTATGGTATCTTCTACTGTAATGAGGAAGAACAAGTTACAGCCACTGGCTGAATGATGGCATGAGTAAATCTCAGAAACATGTCGGGAGGAAAAGCTAGACCCAGAGGAATGCCTCCTGGAAGATCCCATTTATAAAGCTTGGAAGCAGGTGAAGTGGCCTGTGCTGTGAGAGGGTGGGGCAGTGGCTGCATGTGGTATGGGCACCAGGTGGTGGTTAGAAGGGAAGGCAAGGTCTGATGTGGGGTGTGCTTGGTTTCTTGGTCCTGGTGCTCTCTGGGCAGATGTGTTTCAGATATAGAAATTCATTGAGCTGTACACTTAGGATGTGTATACTTTCCTATGGGTATGCACAATAAAAGCTTAAAAAAATACATGTTTGTGCCAGGAAACTCATCATAGGTTAATGTCCATGATAAAGGACTTAGAAACCAGTATGACAATAGAAGAGAAATAGATCATTAAATATTGGTCCACCTATGTTGTTTTTCAGGCATAAAAACCCCATTTTCAAGGAAGATAAAGCGTTAGGAGAAAGTGTTTACAATATATTAAAACTGAAAAAAAGTAGGACTGGAAACTGTGTATATATATATATATACACACACAGAGAGAGAGAGAGCAAGCAAGCACCACATTTTATTGGCTTGCTTATTTGGTTTTACATTTACATTATAATCCACTGGAAGAAAGGACATCAGGATGTTAGCTGTTTATTTCTGAATGGTAGAAATTAAAATATTTTCATTTTTTTCTCTTTATGTTGATCAGATGTTCTACAATGAGTATATTTAACTTTTATGTTCAGAATAAAATCAGTTATTTAAGAAGAGAGAGGAGGAGTGGTTTCTGGGAAACAAAAAACAAGGTTGTTCTCCTGCAATTTGTTCATTCTCTGTTCCCATCAGAGCTCTCGTGTTGAAAGGGATTAAGGAGATGTTGGTGTCTTTTTTTTCCTTCCTCTGGATTGTGAGGAACTGAAGTCTTTAAATGAATCAGCAGTTCATTCCTTGAAGTTAGTCTTGAAGACATCAGTATTTTCCCATTTCATGGTCTGTCATTTTGTATTAGAGGAGAGTAAGACACTGTATAAATGGTATTTTGCAACAAAGTATAAACCTTTGGGTTGTATGTTTTCTGTTGCTTTATAGTTTAAAATGGAATGGACAGGAACGTTTTTAGAAATATGCAAATACATGCTCTCAGTGGATAGGCTTACACTTTGGCAAAAGTAACCTAAATCCAAGCGGTCATGAACCGTTGAGAATTGTCTCTTCTCTGGAGACACTGAGCTGGAACCTGGTCTCGCTGTGCAGTGGGTGGCAGGCAGCCTCTGCCTTTTGATTAATCATGTGCAGCTGTCTCCACACACTGCAGAGACGCTTTCTGCATTTTGTCTCTATTGCGCTCTCGAAAATTTGGCAAAATAATGCATTTCATTTGCAGGTGGAAGTGAGTTGGTCATCTACATTTGTGGATAAAGTTATTGTCATGAGACTCATTTCTTCAAAGCATTTCACAGATACGATGAATGACAGAGTGCATTCCTTCCTCAACGACATTGGCTTTGTTTGCCTCCTCAGTTAAATCAAGGTGTGAAACAAACCAGGAGAAAAAGAAAGATTATTTAAAATGAGGCCATCAGTATCAGGAATGAGAAGAACAGCTGCTTGCAAACTCCAGCACTGTGTGGCGTTGTTTACAGGACAGAAATCTTGCTTCTGTAAGTTGTGGAAAGTTAACGTGATGTTAACCTTGTCGGACCTTGTTTTTGTTCTGCACCCCTCCTTTGCTTAGGAGACTACCTAGGTGGAGAAGCGTACTGGGCCGGCGGCCTGCACCTCTACACCCCATTACCTTTCCGGCCAGGCCAGGGTGGCTTTGGAGAACTTTTCCGAACACACTTCTTTCTCAACGCAGGAAACCTCTGCAACCTCAACTATGGTAAAACTTGCGCTATTCAAGAAACCATTGTAGTACAGTTGTTTTCATGTTTAAAAGCACAGTACACAAAGAGGTGTCTGTCTTTTTTTTTTTTTTTTGAGATGGAGTCTCGCTCTATTGCCAGGCTGGAGTGCAGTGGCGCAATCTCGGCTCACTGCAACCTCCACCTTCTGGGTTCAAGTGACTCTCTTGCCTCAGCCTCCCGAGTAGCTGGGACTACAGGCGCGTGCCATCACGCCCGGCTAATTTTTTGTATTTTTAGTAGAGACGAGATTTCACCATGTTGGCCAGGATGGTCTCGATCTCTTGACCTCGTGATCCACACCCCCCTTGGATTCCCAAAGTGCTGGGATTACAGGTGTGAGCCACCGTGCCAGGCCATGTCTGTCTTTTTAGATTACATAGTCATTAAAGTTAGAGACTGTGCCTTACTTGAAAAAAATTCTTACAACAGCTAACATAATGCCCAGCATTAAGTGGTTGGTTGAGCGAATGAAGCATACAAGAAAAATAATCATCTAATGCCCTTACGAAGAAAAATCTGTTTGTCTATTTAATAAACAAGTCATGATGGCCACAGAGCTGAGTAGGATTGGGTGCCTTCCTCAGGGAGTTCAGGTCCAGAAGAGACTCCCAGCAGATGCCTGGGTGCTAGGGGTGCCTGGAAAGCTTCCTAGAAGGCATGGAAGTCTCCAAGCTGAGACTCAGAGTGGGGCTTCCCAGGTGGTCAGGGGATGGGGAAAAGTCATTCTAAGCAGAGGGAACAGAATATGCCAGGCCCAAAGAATTGAGAAGGCGTGGCTCATTCTGGATGTGAGTAAGTGTGGCTCCAAGTCCTCTCTTGACCTGGGTCCTAATCTCACTTCATGCATCCTCCCTAATCTCTAGGCCTGGCTTTAAAAACAACTGCAGGGCCCAGCCAGGGGGAGCCAGGGCTTGTCTGGGAGAGCTGGGAGAGCTTGGAAGGACGGGCACGCACTGTTGCTCACAGGTCTTTCTCTTTTCAGGGGAGGGCCCCAAAGCTCATATTCGTAAGCTGGCTGAGTGCATCCGCTGGTCGTACGGGGCCGGGATTGTCCTCAGGCTTGGCAACATCGCTCGGTTGGAACTTAATTACTGCGTCCCCATGGGAGTACAGACAGGCGACAGGTACGTGTTGGGAATTATTTTCCACAATCACATCCCACTCTCCAGTAATTTTATTTTGTTTTGGACGTGGTTAATTTCATTAGTGGCTTTTAAGCTTGAAGATTTTAAGAGAATTAAATAGTTGCAAAATAATGAAAACACATGTATTTTCCTCCTTTGCGTTTTTCTCCATCTAGCTGGGAGGAGCAGGTGTGAAGCGTTCCCACCCCCTCCCTCAGGTGCTTTGTGCTTATTGTTCCCAGGGTAGTGGGAGCCCCTGCCAGGGTCTGGCTGGAGGAATTGACAGGTGATTTGGTTCCTGTGTGCTGAAAACAGAAGGCAGTGTTTTGAGCAGTTGACTTTGCAGGCCAGGGTCTCTAGGAAAGTTGGGGTGAGTGAAGCTTTGTTCCTGACCACAGAGGACACGATCTTGAGAACCCCTCTCTCTACAGCAGAGGAACCCACCTTCTTGGCTTTTCTTCACCCCTTATTTTATTGAGGAAAGATTCCCTAAATGTTACATGGGTGAATATGGTATAGGGCTAGTTACACAGTTATATAAACAAATTCTATTTCTTACATGCATTGTGTAAAATTTTTTTTTTTTTTGAGACAGACTCTCATTCTGTCGCCCAGGCTGGTGTGCAATAGCACGATCTTGGCTCACTGCAACCTCTGCCTCCCAGGTTCAAGAGATTCTCCTGCCTCAGCCTCCTGAGTAGTTGGGATTACAGGCATGCGTCACCACACCCGGCTAATTTTTTGTATATTTAGTAGAGACAGGGTTTCACCATGTTGGTCAGGGTGGTGTCAAACTCCTGACCTCGTGATCTGCCTGCCTCAGCCTCCCAAAGTGCTGGGATTATAGGCATGAGCCACCACGCCCGGCATTTTTTTTTTTTTTTTTTTTTGAGACTCGGTCTTTCTCTGTCACCCAGCTGGAGTACAATGGCCTGACCATGGCTCACTGCAGCCTTGACCTCCTGGGCTCAAGTGATCCCCCTGCCTCAGCCTCCCAAGTAGCTGGGACTACACACCAGGCTAATTTTTGTATTTTTTGTAGAGACAGGGTTTTACCACATTGCCCACCCAGGCTGGTCTTGAATTCCTGGGCTCAAGCCATCTGCCCGCATTGGCCTCCCAAAGTACTGGGATTACAGGTATGAGCCACCGCACCCAGCTGCGTTGTGTAAATTTTAAGAGATTCAGACGTGTTTTCATTATAGTGTATCTCGGTCAGCTCAGGCTGCCATCACAAAATACCATGGAGTATTTAAGAGTGACTTAAACAACAGATGTTCATACTCTGCCAGTTCTGGAGGTTGGAAAGTCCAAGATCAGGGTGCTGGCAGATTTGGTTGCTGTTGGGTTCTCTTCTTGGCTCGCAGATGGCAGCCTTGCCACTGTGTCCTCACTTGGAGGAGGAAGAGTGCAGGCCAGTGCCCCGATGCCTCTTCTTATGCGGCCCCTAATTCCATCACGAGGGCCCCATCTTCGTTACCTCGTCTGCACCTCAGCACCTCCCAAAGGCCTGCCTCCAGGTATCAACACCATCCTGTCAGGGTTAGGGCTTCAGCATGTGAATCTTGTGGGGACATGAATGTTCAGTCCACAACAGTGTTCATACTGTCTCTTATTTTTGTATATGCATTCACAGCACCCCAGCCTGTTTTTTCTCTTCATTTTTGTGTCTACCTTTATGTTGCCACCAAATGGTGGTGCTGTTGGAGGCTTAACCCGGTTTCAAATAGGTTGTAGTTTGTGCCAGTTGAAGGAAATGCTGTATCATTTTTACTCTCTCCGTCTTCCGCATCAGCATGTAGGGGATGGTGCTTTGTAAAGGGGAGCCGCATTCGCAAGTGTTTCTGAGCATCGCCTCTCAGGTGCAGTCTGCGTCTGTCATTCAGGTCCTTTACGGTTATTGCTTCAGCGGAATCTGCTCCTTACACTCTTGCCAGAAGGCCCTTCAGCATCTGCTCCGCGTCTGGGGACACGGCAGGGGCTGCCAGGCTGCTGCGGCTCCCTACTGATGACAGGGCCTTCAGAGATGGCGGCGGCTGCTCCCACAACCGCCAGCTCCCATTCCCCTCCACGCCTCTCCTGTTCTCCACACAAAGCCCAAGCTGGAAAGGGTGTAGTCACGCAGGCTGCATGCATGTGTGCCTGGGGGCCCAGCTACCCGGGCTTGGGGCCCAGCTTGGCCACTCTGTGTGACTGTGTGGCCCGGGGTGAGTCACAAAACCTCTCTGGGTGTCCATTTTCATGCCCAGAGGATGGACGATCATGATGGTGACTGTTGCAGTTTGGAGAACTCAGTGAGTTACTGCATGCAGAGCCCTTGGCGCACCGCCTGGCCTGGGGTTGGGAAGTGGTTATTTTTCCTGGGCTGCTCTGCTGCTGATACACCCGGCGTGGCCAGCCCCTCACACAAGGGAACAGGTTCCTGTGGGAGGTGTTGCCCCTCCCCCTCCACATCATCTCAGCTAACAGTTTGTGACAAGCCATAGATGGGATGATGCATCCTGATTTTGGAGATAATAAAGTGAAAAAGTGGGCACCTTTTTCCAGAGCGAGACTGCATCAGATAACTCCACGCCGTTACTGTCTTCAGCAGACCAGGCTGGTTTTGCAAGTTTCTTTCTATGAAGCCCTTATTCCCTCTGCAGTTGGGAGTGTTGGGCTCCCTGGCCTAACAGCCAGGTTCTCATTTGAATCCTTGCAGGTAGCCCCAGAGGCGCTGTGACGCTGCTGCACCAACACCTAGCTTAAGTGGGTGGTTTTGAGTGGTTGACTGCAGGCCCGGGGCTGGAGGGGCGTTGGAGCGAGGGAAGCTTTAGATACCGCTCTCTGACACAGTCCCTGCTGCTCTGGGACCCGCCACTGTGCACGTCTCGGGCAGGGAGGGTCTGGGCAGCCCACGCTGCCATCACCACCATTGCAGTGCTCTTTGTAGCCACTGGGTGTCAGTGTGCCCTGAGAAGTCAACGCGGCTTTTAGGAGCTCTGTTGAATTGACCCTTTCTGAAATAATTTTCATATGAAGTGGTTACATTTACCTTTCAGCTTTACTTCCGTCTCTTCAGGTTAAATCTAAAAAACACGTTTCAGAGATTAATTTCAAAATATGGTTTATTCCGGGAGGAAGCAGCATCCTAAGCACGTGACATTTAAAGACCAGGCTATAAGGAAGTGCCTCTGCCCCCAGGCCAGGTGGCAGCTGTTCAGATGTTTATTATGGACAGTGAGCTCTGAACGGGGTCAGCCTGGCACCCCGAGTGTGGAAGACATTTTCGCTCAGTGTGAGGCCTTGTTTGAGGTTGGTCATCAATATTGGAATTTCGTGAAGTTGGAGTGAGGTTGCCAGATTTAATCTTCATTTCTAAAATTTGGTAGCTGGCAGGATGGGGTATCGTGTGTGTAGAAATTATCCACAGGTTTCCCCCATAACTGAGGCAGGCACACTGTAAATAGGACTTCAGACATTCACAAAGAAGGAAACAGTTTTGAGATGTTTGCTTACTGTTATGTCGCAAGTGATTTGTGGCACCACTGTCTCTGGGATCTAACAGCATTCTGTCAGTTTGTGTCTTAGGAGTCCGGTCTCTGGAGACACAGGGCTGAATCAGGCAGGCTCGCTTGGGAGAGCAGCTCACAGTTAGCAGCAGGAAGACAAGAAAGTGGATCATCTTGGTTGTTGGGGAGGGTGCTGAGAGGGCCCCCTGGAGCAGGTCCCTGAGCTGAATCTTCCTAGAGGACAGACAGCCAGGTGCTTGCAGAAGACACGCAGGGACAGTGGTCCTGGCTAACAAAGGCAGGAGCAAAGCTGTGCAGGTGTGCGCTGTCGGCGGGCACCGGGCAGAACCGCGTCCTACAGGAACAGAAGGGGGAGTGGGGAGGTCCAGGCCCTGAGCTCCCACGCCTTTGCCTTCCAGCCCCGCTGACCTTTTTCCCCTTGGGTATATGCCAGGGTCTTTGAGCTCAGGACTTCATCTGCCTTGTTCACCGCTGAGGTCCCCATGACTACAACTGCACCTGGTGTTGGAAGTGAGAGCCAGGTGGAGAGGCTCCTGGCGTGTGGTGGGAGGTGGGGTGCAAGGCGCCAAGGGTGCTGTTGGCATGACCTTCCTAAAGCACCCCATGCTGGGTGCTTCCTGGCCTCCAGCCTCAGAGTCCAAGTTCGTCAGAAGCCTTTGAACATCAGACTCCAAGACCCTGTGCCGGCAGTGGCAGTGCTGGGTGAGAAGAAGGTGGGAGATGACCAGGAGCCCTGCACCAAGACAGCGGCCGTGAGGGAGGGAGAGAGCGTGGGGTGCACAGCAGAAGGTGGATGTTTGGGGCTGTCTGGAGGATGCCAAGGCTGGCTTGCCCCTGGTCTGGTGGAACTTCGCAGCGCTGCTTTGAATGTTTGCAGTGGGTATTTTGTTCTGTGACATGTTTATGTGGTCTCTGAGCATAAACCTATGCTTGTGAAGTTGTTTAATCTGTTTGTTTGTACTTAGAGTGACAGGCCTTTATTAGAATGCTTGCTTGTTTTCTGAATTACATATGCCAAGAGCTTGACTTCCTTTTTAGCTCCTAGCTTATGTTCAGGCATTTTTCTAAGTAGCGAATGTAGGTATAGACTAGTTTGAAGGAGCTGAGAGTGTACAATCTAAAAACAGATCTGAACACAACTAAATGGTACAAATGCAGCCCGGGTTTTGATGTGGATTCTGGTGTTTTAAGGCCATGGATGTGGCTTACTGTAATCTTGAAGGGGCTGCAGTCCTGGCTTCTGGTGAGAGGACTGCAGTGCCGGGGCTGGTTAATAAGCACCCTTCATCCTGCAGGAGGCCGGCGCAGCATTTGTGAGTATCTGTGTTGAATCTCTTCGTGGATCAGATATTGTGTCTTCTTGCTCAGAGTCAGGTTGGAAAAGGAAAACTTGCCGCCGGTGTGCATGTGCTCCAAATCCTCAGCTTGGGCAAGGGCACGGGCGTCGTGAATAAAGGAGCCATTCTTGCTGGCCTTTTCTAGAAATTGCCCACAGCTTGCAAAAAGGCTGTGTTCCCTGGCCCCGGCTGCGGCTGTGTAGGAGTCTGAATATCATTTTCCCCAGAAGTTGAGGTCCCTAGGTTAGGCCCACCTTGTCCCAAATGGGCAGCATTGGCCTTGCCCCATGCACAGGCTCCAGGCGGACAGAGCTGCTGCAGGCATGCTGTCAGGGGGACAGGCTGCCCCCCAGCTGTGCATGGCAGTGTGTCGGAAAGAACAAGGCCTGTGGGTGCCCCTGAGCCGGGTCTGGAGTCCTGTCCTGCCACTTCTCAGCCGTGTGACTGGAGCCTCTTTGCTCCTCTCTGAAAATGGGTCTGGTGGTTTGTTCCCAGGTTCTTAACCACTGTGTGGAGTCACACCTGCAGAAGGTCAGCTCATAACAGATATGGCAACCAATGTGACCTTTGCATCCTTCCTTCCTGGGGTCAGGAGCAGGTCTAAGAGGTGGTCAGGCTAAACCCCTGTAGGGCTGTGGGTACTGCTGGTTTCCTAAGCCCCGGGACCTTCTGGGGGCCGGGCGGACCTTAAGTTCTGTCCACCTGCCTCTCCTCCATCCTCACTACCCACCTTGTCCTTCCGGCTCCTTCCCTCCCTGCTCCGCCTCTCATCGGCCCTCTGTCCTCTCCGTCCGGAGAGGGGAACGTGAAGGAGGTGAGGAGGGAGTAGTGCAGGAGGATTTGGGTCTCTCCTTCTTTCCCTTTTCCATTCTCCGAGGGCTTAACCAGCTGGTGAAGGTTCTTAACCAGCAAAGGAGGAAGCAGCCGGGGCCGGTGAGGGTGAGGCCGGCAGCCAGGCAGGAAGGCAGCAGGAGGAGGAGGAAGCGGAGGCGGCACCTTCTGAGAGGCGCATGCTCAGTGAGTCGTGAAGATGGCAGGGCTGGCGGAGCGGCCGCCGCATCTGATCTCTCCCCTTTTTTTAGGATATGTGATGGCGTCCAGTTTGGAGCTGGGATAAGGTTCCTGTAGCCGACACCCCTACAGGAGAAGCTCTGGGACTGGGGCAGCAGCAAGGCGCCCATGCCACACACCGTCTCTCGAGGAAACGCGGTTCAGCGATTCTTTGACTGCGGACCCTGTGGGAAACCCCGTCAATAAATGTTAAAGACACACTCCGAGGCAGCGTGGATGTGGTTTGCTTTCACTCAACAGTATGGCCCGCGTGGCCTTTCCCCGGGACCACCCGTGTTCTCACACACCCGCCCAGTGTCTGCGAGTCTCCGTGTTTGGTTCCCGTGTACCAGACATGATGTATTCAGAGCCAGGCAGCAGGAGGGAGCTTTGCCCCAGAGGAAGCTCAGCCATGCTGTTACGGAGAGGGCGCGCTCCCCTCGATGCACCAGCCGTTGTCAGAGGAGGCCCACGGCAGCGGGCGCTTGGAGCCACAGTGCTCGAGCCATTTGAGTGTGTGAGTGGCAAGGGAGAAATACCCAAACCGTGTAACATTAGGGACACTGAAGCAAAGACGGAGCCTGGTGTCTACAGACGAATGGCAGCATGAATGAGTGTGCGTTTTCTGGGGCTGCTCTAAGTCACCACAAACGTGGGGGCTTAAAACAACACACATTAATCCTCTTGTAGTCTGGAGATCAGAGTCCAGAATGGGTCTTGCTGGGCTGCGTCCTCCTGGAGGCGCTAAGGGGAAATCCCCCTCCTTTGCCAGCAGTGAGAGGCACCACATTCCTTGGCCGACGTCACCTGCATCTTTAAAGCCAGCCATGTGGTGTCCCCCATCTCTCCCTCTTGCCTCCTCTGCGTCTCTGCTGTCTTTGAAGGACCCCTGTGGTGACCTCGGATCTGCCCGGGGAATCCAGGGGTCTTATTTCTAGGTCAGCAGATGAGCGTCCTTAATTCCGTCTGCAGACTTAGCGCCCCCTTGTCATGTTATCGTCACGTTTACACGATCCAGGGATTAGGAGGTGTGCGTCTTCGGCTGGGTGGGAGTGCGGGACATTATTCTGTCTCACACAACTAGTATCTCTCTAATATTTGGGGGATAATCTTAAATTGGTCACACATAAAAAAAGTTTTTGAAGAACGTGAAACCTCCTTTGAATTGAAAAAGTGGTGCCATATGGAAACGTCTAGTGTTGCAGGTGATGCCCCGCAGGGCTTCGCACATGCATTACTCTCCGATTTTTTCTCTCTCTCAGCTGGGGCTGAGTCCCCGTCACTTTCAGTCCTCCCCGTAACTTGTTGTTTATGTCTTTGCCAAATGACCTGAAGATTTGGGCCTCAGTCTGGGGACCCATGTTATCCCTGGGCCACACTCTCAGGTGCCCCGGGACTGTCTCGCCCTCATTACCTGCAGAAGCTGCAGGGATTTTACAGAGAATATATAAAAAGAGACAGTTTTGGTTGGGCGTGGTGGCTTGCACCTGTAATCACAGCAGTTTGGGAGGCCGAGGTGGGTGGATCATTTGAGGCCAGTAGTTCAAGACCAGCCTGGCCAACATGGTGAAACCCCACTTCTACTAAAAATAGAAAAATTAGCTGGGCGTGGTGACAGATGCCTGTAGTCCCAGCTACTCGGGAGGCTGAGGCAGGAGAATCGCTTGAACCCATGAGGCAGAGGTTGCAGTGAGCTGAGATCCCGCCACTGCGCTCCAACCTGGGCGACAGAGTGAGACTCTGTCTCAAAAAAAAGAGTTTTGCCTTCCTTATAATAGTTAGGAACATGGAAAAATGTGCTTTTTCCCCCTAAATGATTTATTCTTTACAGTTTCACGCTTATGCCTTTGAGAAAACCAGAAACCCATGTTTCAACACTGTCATGATCAGACCATCAACTTAGACCAGTGAAATCTGAATAATACAGACTCAGCACTATGATCTTTGAGAAATCATCTACTACATCAGTGGAGAACCCAGCGAAAGGGTCACCTGAGAAAAGTTACCTGTTTAATCAAGCAAGTCTGGGGTACCCCAGGTCGCTACAGCCAGCTCCTTAATGAAAGCTCACCAGGGCCAGCTGTCTCTCGTGCGGCTGCAGCGTGTTTAATTTGCAGGTGGACTCCGCGGGCTGCTCCTCCACAGGTGAAGTGAAAACAGTGGAGGTCCTGGGTGAAAATGCGGGTTCTGTTCATCCTCAGAAGGTGGTAAGTGGGCAGACTAGAGCGTGAAGCCAGAGGCACTTCATCAAGTGCTTTCCACAAAAGACCAAAAATAAGGCACGTTCATTGTGGGAAGGAATTTCATAGCTGCTATTTTAGAGAGCTCAGAGAGCAAAGAAAGATGGAAAGCCTCACAAAATCCCCCATGAAATCCTCCCTTGGCTCAGTGATTCTTTGCATCTTAATGTTACTCCGTTTCTTCTCTAAATACCTCAATTTTCTGGACTGGAAGAGAGCTGGGTATTTGTTTAATTAACCTCTTGCTTTACTCGGCGAGGGATGGGCCATGAAACCAGTGGGCTGCTTCCGCTGAAGAATGCTGCCGGCTCCGTGCCGGAAGCCTGCTGGCTCGGTCATCTTCCATTTGTAACAAGAAGATTGATTTTAGTGAACCTAATCTTCACAATGCTTCTGGAAGAACAGCTGTGATGGATCACTCCTCTGTTATCGTGAATCTGCGGTGCTCTCGGTACACACACTGTGACCTTTAACAAACGGTTTCATCAGTGGTGTGCCTGCCACACTGTGCCACAAGGCTCTTTTGTACCTGGCTGCTGTCTACAAGTCTTATGACCCAGTGAGGGAGCAGACTGTTCTGCCAAATGCCATCGCTACTAGGACAAAGGACAGTCACCTGGTGAGGATCTGCCATCAGGCCACATTTTCCCATTGGGTGACTCCTGCAAAGGCCCTACACTTTGACGTCCTCCCCATCTCCGGCAGCTCCTTAAACTAAGAACTCATTTTAATTTCTGAATTCTCCCTTTTTAAAGACCAGATAAATTTACCTTTGGGACAGTTAGATGTGCACAAATGCACCATGTGTTTAAAGATCACCAAAGAGGAGAGAAAAGGGGATTCCTTAGTCCAGAGAACAAAAACTGGTGAGCTGTGATTTAAACAAAACGAATGTTGTTAAAATCAGGTTGTACTCAGAAGTCCAAATTTCTAGCTTCTCTTGAGAAACTGGATCCGACAAACAAAAAATGTTCATTCCTACCTGCAGCAGGAGGCTGGAGCTGAGACGTGGGTGTTCCTGCAGCTGGGGCCTGTGCTCCCAGGCACTCATGGCTTCTCTGGCTGGTTCACTTCTCCCTGGCTCAGACAGATCAGGAGTGGAAACATCTGAATATGCTCAAGGAGGAGGTAAGTTTTGGGGGAAAAACTGTCAGAAAGTGGATGAGGGCTGGGTGCAGTGGCTCATGCCTGTAACCCTAGCACTTTGGGAGGCTGAGGAGGGAGGATTGTTGCTTGAGCCCAGGAATTTGAGACTACTCTGCACAACATAGTGAAAACCCATCTATATGAAAAAAAAAAAAAAAAAAAAAAAACAGCTGGGTGTGGTGGCATGCATCTGTGGTCTCATCTACTTGGGAGACTTAGGTGGGAGGATCACTTGAGCCCAGGAGGTTAAGGCTGCAGTGAGCCGTGATTGCACCACTGCACTCCAGCTGGGGTGACAGAGCGAGACCCTGTCACAAAAAAAAAGAAAGAAAGTGGACTAGCAGTGAGCCCAGGGTCAGGGGCCCTGGCTCTTGCCCTGTTGGGGCTGTTTACCAAATCCACTCACTGCTTTCCTCAGGTTTTTCTTCTACCAAAGGAGAAGATCTTGGTGTATTCAGCAATAGATTCCACTCTTAGTGGATGCCACTCATGAGCTTTCTAGGGCTTTCTACCCCCAAGGTAAAGGCTAGATGATTTTTAACACCAGAGATTGATTGTTTTGCCTGTCTGAGGACATTATGTACAAGGAGTTGAACAGTGGCTCTTTGATTGTGATTCAGACTGGAGGTGAATCCCAGCTCTGTGGTTGACCAGCCGTATGACCTTGAGCATGTTCTCATGTGGGTTCAAATACTGGGCCACTGTGAATATGAGGCACAGTCCCCTGTTTCCCAGTGAAGAAAAGCCAGGTGGAGGAGAGTGGCCAACCTGAGTAAATAACTTTTAGAAATACAGATGAAATAGGCCGGGCGTGGTGGCTCACGCCTGTAAAATTTTGCAGATCTTTTAATATCTGTCTTCAAAACCAGAGGGATTCTTGCATCTGGTTCTGCATTCAGTTTGTTGCATTTGAAGTTGTTCGATTGACGCATATGAAGAAAATGTGTTTTCACATAGATACGTATTTGGAAAAGAGAGTATTTTAGTAGCCTTTTCAGATAACTGTGAACATTCTTTGATACTTCACCAAAACTCAACTAATGAACGGTTTTGAAAGGTTAGTTGCAGTGTGGAATCTGAAACCCCGTCTATGTCTTTTTCACACTCTGTTCCATTAAGATCCCCTGGTCTACCTGGCACTGTGATTGGATTGTTTACCCAGGCATGCTTTTGTAACATCATATGCTAGTCATTTGCAAAATACTGGTTCCCTGAATTAGGCACATCTTCCAAATGTCAACATGTCTTCATTATGCAAAACAGAAGATCACATTTGGCCAGGTGCGGTGGCCCATGCCTGTAATCCCAGCACTTTGGGAGGCCCAGGTGGGCGGATCACCTGAGGTCAGGAGTTCGAGACAAGCCTGGCTAACACAGTGAAACCCTGTCTCTACTGAAAATACAAAAAATTAGCTGGGCGTGGTGGTGGGCGCCTGTAGTCCCAGCTACTCAGGAGGCTGAGGCAGGAGAATGGCGTGAACCCGGGAGGCGGAGCTTGCAGTGAGCCGAGATCACGCCACTGCACTCCAGCCTGGGTGACAGAGCGAGACTCCATCTCAGAAAAATCAATCAATCAATCAATAAAAGATCACATTCATTAATATCAGCACCCGTTGGATCAGGAAAATCTAAGTACAGATGCTCGTTGACTTACATTTGATAAACCCGTTGTAATTCAAAAATATTGTAAATTGAAAATGCATTAAGTACACCTAACCTACTGGACATCGTGGCTTAGCCCAGCCTCCCTGGAACATGCTCAGAACACTTATATTAGCCTACAGTTGGGAAAAATCTAAAACAAAGCTTATTTTATAAGAAAGTATTGAAGATCTTGTGCAGTTTGTTGAATACCGTACATGACATAGAAATTGCAACCATTTCACGCTGTTGTAAAAGTCAGTACATCGGAAGTGGGACCATTAGAAGTTAGGGAGGTATTGGGAAGCTGCCAAGCTCATGGTGCTGGATCCAAGTTTCCAAAAATTCCAGTTTTCACTTGAAGCCCGCATTTTACCATTGGCAGCAAACACTTGAAGCTCACTTTGTCCATTTCCAAGGAAATGTCTGCCAGATACCCACGTCTGAATCACCATAGTTTGTTAGTCGCTCTTCCAGGGAAAAACAATGTTCCATGAACACAGCGGCAATTCAGGCCTGGACCCAATCACCCAGGGCTTTCCTTGAGACATATGAGCCCCTGTGAGCAGCAGAAGTGTTCTCTGCTTAGGATGTTTGAACACAGGGTAAAAGCGCTGAGATGTAATGACAGGGAGCATTTTGCTGCTTCATTCATGAGCGAAACTGGCATTTGTGTTTCCCTCCCCAAGCACAGTGGCGAAGAATACAATGGCCATAGGGGTGTGTTGCCTCTGCCATTCTCTGCCAGGGTGCAGGCACTTTCACCCACAGCTGCTTTTGCATCGTGAGTGCAAATGTCAACCCAGTGAACCAAGTAACTAAGTAATGTCTTTGCATTATTATAAATATAGTTTTAACCCAATGGACTCCCTGGAGGAGTCTCAGGATCTCCAGGGGGCCGTGGACCACGCTTCGGGAACCACTGATCTATCGTTGTCCAAAGCTAATTTTTTCAGCTTTCGGGGTCCTCCCCAGGTGACTTGCAATAGAGTAATTGTGAGAATGCCCATAAGGGCTAAGCTGGGACTTAAGCACCCTCCTTTTATTTTCAGATGTAAATCATATTCACCTCCCTGCCGCAGATCCTTTGTGAAATGGGGTAGTCGAGCCTATCAGTATCGAGAGAAACAAAAGCGAAGTGCCTGGCACGTGGTAGGAACTCAGAAGTGGCAGGAGGGGGCAGTGGGTGTTGGTGGAGGGGCAGAGGCGGGTGCGTGGTCTCTGCGCTCCGTGGGGTGGGTAAGAACCTGCCAATCCCAGTGGGTTCTAGTAGGAGGGATGTCTTTCCTGCGTGGCTGTACACAGGAGAACACTGTAAAGAGCAAGGACTGGCATTAAATTCTGCATTAAACGTGAGGCCTGTTTTTACATTTACACATACAGATTTCAGTTTGCGTAGTGAACCGTGGGAGGCTGTCTCAGTCGTGCCTTCCTGGGGTCAAACCAGTTGGCCTGTTTTCAAGAATGAAAAATGCTTTGCCCGAAAGTGGGGCGAATGGTAATCACAGACACACACGTCTCGGTGCCAGAGTTGTAGCTTTATACATAGTGCCTTCCTGACAAGTAAATTACTGGATTCCTTTGCCAAATCATTAGATAACTTTTAAGAGCAACAAACATTCATGCAAAAGGAGATTCAGCATTATCTTGTTAGAAAAATAGTCATGATTTTTGAAAAGCAAGGACATTCTGTGAAGTTTGACCAACTGTGAAAATTACAGCCTTTCTTCCCCGTACTTCCCCCGTGCTTTTCAATCAATCAGTTTCTAATGGATGAAGCATTCCCTACATTTGTCACTAGATGGATGTGCCGGTCAATTAAAATATTCTGACTTCGCAGGGTTGAGATAATAGCCAGCCTGGATCCATCCGTTACTGTGAAATAGAAGGTGACCTTCCTGTATTGAGTCAGAGACCCAAATACAATTGCTTTGATCTTATTATCATAGCCAGAAATTACCGTTCATCTAAACGTAATTTCCCTGAAATACTGAGCGGGCAGAGCTACTGCTGGAAATACCAGAACATCATAAAGAGACTGTGATGTGGCCTTGGGGATGAAAGGTGACATCTTGACTTGACATCCATTCCACCTGACTGCAGAAATCAAGTGGAATGGAATTTCCTGGGATGTTCTGTATCTAGTAAAGGCTAAGTAGGATTCATCACCAAACCTTAACCCAGAGAGATTAAGCCCTGTTATAATGTGCTGCGGCAGCCACGCCAGGACTGGACTCCCTGGAATCTGACCCTTTCTTTCCATTCCCACACTCCCAGGCCAGGGTCCTAGCCTTTCCTGTCTGTCTGAAAACTGCTCTTCCAGGGGTGGGGAGCAGGAAACCTTGTGTTGGGGTGGAAAGAGCCTGTGTTTAGGAGTTGGAGCTGGCTTTGGATTCTCACTTCCTTTGTTCGCTTATTCGTTCCTCCAACATGGACATTGGGCCAGGTGCAGGGTGTTGTACAGGTGGCTCTTCTGGCAACTGCCGTCAGGTTTACCCTCCTCTTTAGCCCCAGAGGTCCCACAGCCTCCTGTGTCTGCCCATCCCTTACCTCCGATGTCCCCTTCCCTGAAGTTGTTCCAAATGACCTGTAGTTGCCGCTGCTGGGCCTGGCTTCTGCAGGGCTGGCCACTCCCCTTCTCCAGGGAGCCCCTAGTTCTGTTTGGAGAACTTTGCCAGGTGCTGGCCCTTCCCCACTCTTGGGATGGAAGCCTCTAGAACAGGATGGAGAGGGGTGTATCCATCTGCATGTCATTCTCTGGTCAGAGAAAATAAGTTCCACCTTTTCTGAGCTTGAGTGAGAAAAAAACAATCAAACTAGATGTTTGCCAAAGACATCACAGCAGACACGAAGTAGCAGAGCCATGGGCACAGAAAAGGGAGCCTGGGTACCCCCTGCTGGCAGAGGTGCTGGGGCAGGAGCAGGCGCTCCAGGTCGCGCGCGAAGTCAGTGAGGACCCTTTTGAGCTCCCCGCAACTGAAGAAGGAATTAATAAAATCAACTATAACCTAACAGTAGTAGTAATAGAAATTTTAAAATCCTCTCAAAGTTGCTGCAAAGTGTGACCCCCCCCTTACTCTCAAGTTAAAAGAGAATATTAACAGTCTGTCTTCTCTCTGTGGACAGTGGACCTTATCTATACTCCCCAACTCCACATTCCTCAAAGTTTGTTACAGGCCCAGCGAGTTCCTGCTTACCTCCCTAGCATGGCTGCAGGGTCACAAGACCAATAAGTTTAGGTGGCAAGACATGTTTCTCTCAAGATATAAGAAATGTAATGCTGTCTTTGTTTCTTGCTTCTGTAACTTGCTTCCCGCCTCACGTAGTTCCTGCCTTAAGATGTTTACAAGTAGAAAAAGCCCTTTGTTCGGGGCTCAAACTTTCTGGACCTATGTCCGGCTGAGCTGGTGATCACCTTAATTTAATAAACTCTCCTGAACCTTTTCCGTCTCTCCAGTCTTTGATTGTCCTGCAACACAACGTCCGGTTTGTGAGCATGCACTGCTTTTGTCTTCTGGGCTAAGCCAGAACAGGCAATAGGGTTAAGCACCTGAAGTACATTTTAAGGAGAATTAGGAGCCATTGTTCCAAAAAGATTCTAAAAATGGATGATTGATTTAAAAGGTTCTCAGGGACAGTGCTGTGTACTCAACAGACTCCTGACCGACCTGCTTATGAGCCTTGAAAACAGAAAATCTTTATTTTGCAATAAAGGTGGGAAAAATACAACAGCTCTTTAAAAATCAATGATTAAAAAAATTTTATAGTTTTATTTATTTATTTTTGAGAGAGGGTTTCACTCTGTCACCCAGGCTGGAGTGCAGTGGCACAATCACGGCTCACTGCAGCTTCAACCTCTTGGACTTAAGCAATCATCCTGCTTCAGCCTCCCAAGTAACTGAGACTATAGGCGTGTGCCACCGTGCCCAGCTAATTTTTTCTATTTTTTTTTTTTTTTTCTGTAGAGACAGGGTGTTGCTATATTGCCTAGGCTGGTGTCAAACTCCTGGGCTCAAGCAGTCCTCCTGCCTTGAACTCCCAAAGTGCTGAGATTACATGTATGAGGTACCACGCCTGGCCGTTTTTTTTTTTTTCTTTTTACACAAATAATAGCATACTGTAGTTCCTGTTACATGCTTTTCTCTTTCTTTTCTTTAATTTTTTCAGAGACAAGGTCTTGCTCTGTCACCTAGGCTGGAGTGCAGTGGTGCTGAGGCAGGAGAATGGGTTCTGGAGGCAGGGTACCTAAGGCTGATTTGCACTGATTTCCTAGAGCTGAATCAAAAGGAAAACCCCACCTCTCCACACCCAAGTAACGAAAGGATCAGAGGCTACTCAACCCTCCCACCTTTCCACTGCATGGCAGATGAAAAATGGGAAGTTCCTCTGATTGGTCCCCTCCCACAACCAATCAGACTGGTCGCAGGCCACTTCTTCATTTACATCGGTTGTAATCAAGTAACAACCTAGAGGGTATTTAAACCCCAGACAATTCTGTAACCAGGGCTCTCAGCCACTGCTAGAGCCTGCTCCCACTTTGAGGAGTGTACTTCTGTTTCAATATATCTGTGCTTCCGTTGCTTCATTCTATTGTTTCTTTGTTTGTGCGTTTTGCCCAATTCTTTGTTCAAAACGCCAAGACTCATAATCAAGACCCTCCACTGGTAACAGCGCTATCATAGCTCACTGCAGTCTCAACTCCCTGGCTCAAGGGATCCTCCCACCTCAGTCTCTGGAATAGCTGGGACCACAGGCGCATGCCACCATGCCCAGCTATTTTAAAAGTATTTTTTATAGAGGCAGGGTCTTGCTATGTTTCCCAGGATGGTCTTGAACTTCTGGGCTCAAGTGATGCTCCTGCCTCAGCCTCAGCCTCCCAACCCTCTGGGATTACAGGCACAAGGCACCACACCAGGCCCATGGAATGCTTTCAATAGTGTATATCCTAGCATCTTACGCCACTCCAAGTGTAGTGCAGGAATCTGACGATACATTAGAAATGCAGAGTCCTGGCCAGATGCCGTGTCTCATGCCTGTAATCCCAGCACTTTGGGAGGCCAAGGTGGGCAGATCACGGGGTCAGGAGATTGAGACCATCCTAACCAAAATAGTGAAACGCTGTCTCTAACTAAAATACAGAAAATCAGTCGGGCGTGGTGGCATGCGCCTGTAGTCCCAGCTACTTGGGAGGCTGAGGCAGGGGAATCACTTGAGCCCAGAAGGCAGAGGTTGCAGTGAGCCGAGATCGTGCCACTGCACTACAGCCTGGTGACAGAGCGAGACTACATCTCGGAAAAGAAAAAAAGAAAAAGAAATGCAGAGTTCCAGGCCCTGCCCAGCCCACCCTGTGGTTTTGCAAGATTCCCAGGTGGCCTGTGTGTGCAGTCAGGATTGAGGAGCACCCTCTAGGTTTGAACTCAGCACACTTCCATACCTTCAGCCCTCTCCTCTCATAGGTAACTCAGCTCCCACCTGCCACGTGGCAGGATCTCCTGGACAGGCAGCCAGAAAGCTAGTAACAGCAAAGCTTTGTTACCTAACATTTCCTTCTATTTGTGTGCAGTACCTCCCCCTGTCATGCCCCGTGTGAGGGCAAATCACCTTCATCGCTGAATCTTTCACCTGGGCAAGTGCAGGAGGGGAGCCCCAGATCAGCTGCTCCCATCCATGTGAGTTCTGCTGCGCGGATGCAAAAGGCACAAAGATCCCAGGGACCCATAGGAAGCTTCACAATGGTTACCATCCACCTACTGTCAGTGGCCACTACCTTCCGTTCATTCAACCGTTTGGGGGACAGCGATCAAGCTCTTAGTGTGTGCGAGGCTGCGTTTGCGGGTACAGCGGGCGGAGATGACACTTCAGGTCTAGTGGGGAAGAACAGGTCAGCAGGGGGTACCCAGGAAAGATGGGGAGGGGGTGCCCAGCTCCGCCTATGGGAGGAAGGTGGGCTGGGGGGAGTGGAGTCTCCTCCGAGAAGCCCATCCTTTCCCGTGCTGCTTTGCAGTTTAGCATGGGGCCTGCATCAGGCTCTGCACTCCCACGCTGGAGGCCAGAGATTCATGTGAATTTCCAGTCGTGGGTCATGGCCAGAGCATCCTTTATTCTCTTTCCCAAGGTCGGGCTCTCTGTTCACCCTCTTCTGCCTCTGGGAGCCTCTGGACTCATTTCTTCCCTCCTGCGCTCCTCAGCGGGAAGTCTCCATCTCCTTCCTTCCTGTAGATTCCTCTTCTCCACGAGAAAGTTTTAGAGGCTTTTCCAATCCCCCAAGGCAAGACTTTGAATTACCTTTAGTTTTAGGCCCTGATTTATGTGGGTTTGACAACAGGCTTTAAAAAAGTTTTTTTTTGGTAAAATGCACATAAAATGTACCATTTGAGGTCTACAGTTCCGTGGCTTAAATCCATTTACACTGTTGAGCAACCATCACCACCACCCATCTCCAGAACTCTTTCATTCCGAAGCTGAACCTGCACCCATTAGGCACTCACTCCCAATTCGGTCCTTCCCAGCCCCTGCAGCCACTGTTCTACTTCCTGTCGCTATTAATTTGACTCCTCTAGGTGCCTCATCTAAGCAGGATCATACAGTATGTGTCCTTTTGTGACTGGCATATCACACTAGCATCATGTCCTCAAAGTTCATCTGCGTTGTAGGCTGAGTCAGAATTTCATGTATATACGCATGCATACACCACATTTTCTTTATCCCTTCATGTGTCAGTGGACGTTTGGGTTGTTTCTACCTTTAGAGACAGGTTTTTTTTGTTGTTGTTGTTGTTTTGTTTTTGAGACAGAGTCTTGCTCTGTCACCCAGGCTGGAGCACAGTTGCATGATCTCGGCTCACTGCAACCTCCGCCTCCCAGGTTCAAGCAATTCTCCTGCCTTAGCACCCCCGCCCGCCTCCGAGTAGCTGGGATTACAGGCGCGCATCACCACGCCCAACTGATTTTTGTATTTTAGTAGAGATGGGGTTTCACATGTTGGCCAGGTTGGTCTCAAACTCTTGACCTCAAGTGATCCACCCACCTCAACCTCCCAGCATGCTGGGATTTCAGGCGTGAGCCACCACGCGCGGTCTAGAGACAGGATTTTATGATTGAGTGAATATACCTGGATGCCTACTATGTGCAAGGAAAGCATGCTTCTGAGAAAAAAAGATTCATTTTGCATTTTTCTTTTAGATTTTGAGAAAACCATACCATTTAGTTATAGAAAAGTATTTATCTTTTGCAGCATACTTTGGCTGACTTTGATAACACTCAGACTGTATTAGAGATAGATGCTTGGGTCTGCCACTCTGAGGACACGGATCCAAGAGTGCTGCCACAACCTGCCTGTCTTTCTTGCTTGCTTATAAAAATAGAGATGACAGGCTGGGCATGGTGGCTTATGCCTGTAATCCCAGCGCTTTGAGAGGCCGAGGCAGGCGGATCACGAGGTCAGGAAATCGAGATCATCATGGCTAACACGAGGAAACCCCATCTCTACTAAAAGTACAAAAAAAAAATTAGCTGGGTGTGGGGGTGGGTGCCTGTAGTCCCAGCTACTCGGGAGGCTGAGGCAGGAGAATGGCGTGAACCCGGGAGGCAGAGCTTGCAGTGAGCCGAGATCGCACCACTGTGCTCCAGCCTGGGCGACAGAACGAGACTCCATCTTAAAAATAAATAAGTAAATAAATAA
Organism: Homo sapiens; assembly: GCF_000001405.40. Taxonomy (NCBI): domain Eukaryota; kingdom Metazoa; phylum Chordata; class Mammalia; order Primates; family Hominidae; genus Homo; species Homo sapiens. Next base: position 44,009,013 of record NC_000022.11, read on the forward strand.
ATAAAGCTCCATATTTTAAAAGCTCATTATAGTATTTAAGTAGCAGTGATGTTTGAATAGTCTTTTCATGCCTTCCCTTTTACTGATTTCCTTGCGAATTTGAAATTTTGACTGTCTTAAGATAATTTAGCACACAGAATTGAGCTTTACATTTTAATATTTTCCTGATTTAAGAGGATAATTTGCTTACAGCTGTTCAGACCTCTGATCTCAATTGGTAATGAGCTACAGTAGGTATGCTATGTGGATGAGCATGGGACAGATTTTAACATACAAGTTGCAAACCCAAACCCATGAAAGTTTCTATCACTTTTATGTCAGACTGAGTTTTTAACTGATGATAATGCCTGTCTGAGTATTCATTTTCTCAATCAAAATGTATTCTAATCAGTTTTGAAATCAGTTTTGAAATCAGTTCTATTTGCTCTAAATAACATCAACTTGTTATTTTTTTGTACGGACAGATACAAAGGCAGAGTTCAAATCAGCAATTCCCCATTGACAAAGTATTAAGGTAAAGTGGCATTCTGCCATAAAGGTTTATATATATATGTAAAAACCTATATATATACACACATATGTATGTAATATATAATATATGTGATATATGTAATATGTTTATTACATATATATAAAATAGGTTTTAAAACCTATTATATAAACTCTCTTGTTAATATATAAACCATTATTTAACCCTTTAAAAACCCTCTTTTATATAATAAACATTATATATGTAAAAACCTATATATACACATATATATGCTCATATATGCATACACATGTGTGCATATGAATCTTTTTTTTTTTTTTTTTGAGACGGAGTTTTTCTCTGTCACTGAGGCTGGAGTGCGGCGGCGTGATCTCAGCTCACTGCAACCTCTGCCTCCTGGGTTCAAGCAATTCTCTGCCTCAGCCTCTCGAGTAGCTGGGATTACAGGTGCCCACCTCCACGCCCAGCTAATTTTTTGTATTTTTAGTAGAGACAGGGTTTCACCATCTTGGCCAGGCTGATCTTGAACTTCTGACCTCGTGATCCACCCTCCTCGGCCTCCCAATGTGCTGGAATTACAGGCATGAGCCACTGCGCCCGTCCCCATATGAATCTTTAAAATTGCAAATGTAATTCCCATTAGAATGTAAGCTCCGCAGAGGAGGTCTTGTTCATTTTGTTCACGAGTGCACCCCACGGCCTGGAATCACACATAAACTGGCACTCAGTATTTGTGGAATGAATGAATCCATGAGTGTGCAAAGGAGAAAGCACAAGTTGCTTTTCTGCTTAACCCCATGTGATGAATGGCACCACGTCCCACTAAGATCACTCTGCCCTTTCCCCTGCCAGGGTGTCTCATAATGTTCCCTGGGGCGGCTGCACTGTCCTATAATTTGTGTAATCAAACAGGCACATTTAGGTGATCCCCATTCCCCTATATGACAAGCAGTCCTGCAGTGTGCTCATACCTTTGTATAATTGTGCAGAAACTTTCATGGAATAAATGATGAGAAGTGGAGTTGTTACTGACGCACTTTTGGAAGTACTGTGCTGATGCATTCCTAATGAAGCTCCCTTAGAGTTCAGAACAACAGAATCTGAATCACTGTTGTTTTCAAACATCGGTTTTTGGTGGTACCATCAGCATCACCACTATTAGGACTTTCAGGTAAAATGTGCAGTAAATGAATTGAATTTTGGTTGCTCTCTGCTCCCGAATCTGCATAGTATCTGATTTTGTATGGCCTGCGAGTGAAGGATGAGTTTACGTTTTAAATGTTTGGGACCAAAAAAATCAAAAATTTTACGACATATGAAAATTATGTGAAATTCACATTTCTGTGTTCTTAAAAAAAAGTTTTATTGGAATTAGGCACCATGCCTATTTTTTTTTTTTTTTTTTTTGAGATGGAGTCTCGCTCTGTCGCCCAGGCTAGAGTGCAGTGGCGCAATCTCAGCTCACTGTCATCTCTGCCTCCTGGGTTCACGTCATTCTCCTGCCTCAGAGACAGGGTTTCACTGTGTTAGCCAGGATGGTCTCGATCTCCTGACCTCGTGATCCTCCCGCCTCGGCCTCCCAAAGTGCTGCGATTACAGGCGTGAGCCACTGCGCCCGGCCATGCCTGACTAATTTTTTAAAAATATTTTTCATAGAGATGGACTCTTGCTGTGTTGCCCAGGTTGTTCTCGAACTCCAGGGCTCAAGTGATCCTCCTGCCTCAGCCTCCCAAAGCCCTGGGATGAAGGTGGGAGCTGCACGCACCTGGCCTGCTTACACATCATCTGTGGCTGCTTTCAAGCTACAATAGCAAAATTGGGTCCTTGTAGCCAGGCACGGCGGCTCACGCCTATAATCCCAGCACTTTGGGAGGCTGAGGCAGGTGGATCACTTGAGGTCAGGCGTTTGAGACCAGCCTGGCCAACATGATGAAACCCTGTCTCTACTTTATACAAAAGTTAGCCAGGCGTGGTGGTGCATGCCTGTAATCCCAGCTGCTCGGGAGGCTGAGGCAAGAACATTGTAAGCCTGCTGGTGCTTGAACCTGGGAGGCAGAGGTTGCAGTGAGCCAAGATCACACCACTGCCCTCCAGCCTGGGTGACAGAGTGAGATGCTGTCTCAGTAAATAAATAAATAAATAAAATTTAAAAAATTGAGTCCTTGCATCAGAGTCTGTCTGGCCCCTTACACACCCCTGCCGTAGACCACTGTGTCTTCCCTGGCCACAGCAATGTTCTCATGATGTGCTATGGCCGCCACATCCTTAGCTCCAGCATCGTAGAGCAAGTTCCCTCCCACAAAGCCCTACACTTCAGTTCTCCCCTACCCCCGTCATCATTCTCTCCTTCATCCAAAACACCACTCTCATCCCCTCACTGCTCTCAAATTGGGTGGGAGGAGAAAATAAAAACCTTTCATTTTGCAAGCAGGTGATACCTGGATGGCAAATGAATGGCAAAAGAAATTCAGACTAAGGTGTGAATGTCTAATAGACTTGGCCTTTGTTCTCCCACCCACCTAAGAGGTCCTGGCATGTTTCAAGGAGCTTGCTCATCCCCCATTTTCTCATAGCTGGTCAGAGGGGAGTCTTTTTTTAAAGGGGGCATAATCTTTGGGGGACTTTCCCAGTTTTCCCCCATGGAAGACTAGGAACCAATAACTTGGTACCATGTTATTTATTCCTTCTTCATCTATAAAATATTTAAGGGAACAAAACGCATATGTGGTTTACTCTGCCTGGTATGCAAAAAGAGAACTCGGAGGAATTGCTAATAAATGAAAATCCAACTTCCCTTGTCTCAGAGTTTGCTGATGCTTCCAAAATCATTTGAGTGAAAGACGGTTGATCAGTGTAGTTGGTGATTCATGTTCTGCTCACACGTGGCATGGGCAGAAGTGTTTCCATCACAGTTTTAAAATTCTAGGCAAGTCTGGTCATCTCCTCCTGCTCTTAGTATTTACTGTGAACATCGCAGGTTACTCTCTTGCCAGATCACTAAATTAGCAGACTGATTAAATAACACCATTTCAAAATGCTAGTTTAGATATTATGGTTACAGCGTGCTTGAAAACCCTACCCCAAAGTGCAGTAAGATTGCCTCAAAAGTATAACCTGGGGGAAATAAGGCATTTTCTCCATCGCACATCAATTAAATATTTCCATCACTTCTCTACACACTTCTAACTCGCCTAAAATTGCTTGGAGGTCTGAAAATGAACAACACAAGAAGACATTTCACAGTCTTAAGTATTCCCTGGAATGAGTTCCCTTTTCTCTCCCAAAGAGCTACAGGCGGTTTTTATTTATTTATTTATTTTGAGAAATATCAGCTTCTTTTTAGTTCTATTAAAGAGAAGTGAAAGAAAGCTGACAAGCTTTATTTATTTAACTTTTTTTTTTTTTAACTTTTTTGAGACAGTCTCGCTCTGTCACCCAGGCTGGAGTGCAGTTGCGCGATGTCAGCTTACTGCAACCTCCACCTCCCGGGTTCAGGCGATTCTCGTGCCTCAGCCTCCCAAGTAGCTAAGACTACAGGCACGCACCACCACGCCCGGTTAATTTTTTTGTAGTTTTAGTAGATAAAGGTTTCACCACGTTGGCCAGGCTGATCTCAAACTCTTGACTTCAGGTGATCCGTCTGCCTCGGCCTCCCAAAGTGCTGGGATTACAGGCGTGAGTCACCGTGCCTGACCGCTTGCAGCTTTTAAGACCCTCTTTAAGCACTTAGAGTGCTGCCATGTTATCCAGAAGGAAACTCACACATGTAAAGAATCCAAATTATCCCATCCAGGGGTATCACGTATTGACTTTCTTTTCCCCAAGAATTTATTGTGGTCTAATTTATATAGAGGGAAATGCACACGTTTCAGTGGAACGTCTGTTGACTTTTCACGTTTGTGTACACTGTGTGACTACCACCAGATCAGGCTGCACATCACCCAGCCAGCCTGCTGGTGCCCATATGCAGGGGAGATCCTCAGTGCCCCTCACCACGCCGGCGAAGCCACTATCAACACAGAACAGAGGTCGCCTGCTCTTGAACTTCAAATAAGTGGATTCACGCAGTCTGTGCTCTTTTGCATCTGTCTGGCCTCTTTCATTCAACATAATGTTTTGGAGATACACTACATTGTTCTTTTTTTTTCTGGATGGAGTCTCACTCTGTCTCCCAGGCTGGAGTGCAGTGGTGCGATCTCGGCTCACTGCAACCTCCACCTCCTGGGTTCAAGCGATTCTCCTGCCTCAGCCTCCTGAGTAGCTGGGATTACAGGTGCCCGCCACCATGCTCAGCTAATTTTTGTATTTTTGGTAGAGACAGGGTTTCGCCATGTTGGCCAGGCTGCTCTCGAACTCCTGACCTCAAGTGATCTGCCCACCTCGGCCTCCCAACGTGCTGGGATTACAGGTGTAAGCCACCATGCCTGGCTCGGTGTAACTTCTATTGAAAAAGATTTTTCTCAGCACTCTGGGAGGCTAATGTGGGTGGATAGCTTGAGGCCAGCAGTTTAAGACCAACCTGGGCAACATAGCAAGACCTCCATCTCTGTTTGAAAAAGAAAAGAAGAGAAAAAGATCCACATGTAAGTGGACCTGCACAGTTCCAGCATGTATTGTTCAAGGGTCCTGTGTTTGGGTACTATACACAGAGGAACAATGTTTCCGTTTGTTCAAACACACTGGACTCAGGTCCCTCTTTCTGCAGGCCCAGATTCTCCAAGGCAAGAGTGTGGGTAAGGGAGGTTGACTGAGATCACACAGTGCAGCCCCCAGCATGGGGCACAGAGTGCATGCAGCACCAGCTCAGGAAATGTTTCCTCCTTGTCCTTAATTAAGATTATATGGAACTGGCCTCTTCAGAAGCCACAGTTCAAAAGCAAACCAAATGGTTTTCTTTAATAGGGGCAGCTGCATGTAATCTGATTTTCATAATCATTCTCCAAGTGTACAATGTATGCATAGCCCTGGCACGAGGCATATGTGGGGAGCATATTAAGAAGCAAAGACGGCATTGATGGAGAAGGAGCTAAGTTCATATTTCTGCATCTCATTAAATTCTCTCTTTTTATTAGAAAGTGGCACTTTCCAATCTTGAAGTTAATATTTATGTTTGCTGCTCTGCAAAGCAATTTGGAAAGTAGTTTTAGTGAGATTACCCCAGAGAGAAAGCTAGTTATGTAAACTCCACAGGAGCCAGGCCAGGAAGGAGGAAAGTTTTTCCGGTTTGATCATTGTCCTTCCTTCCTCTCACCTTGAAAAGAAATACAACTTAGTCCACAGCCATCAAGCCAGTTCTTGATTGTCATCTGTAGCACATACAAGACAAAAAAATCATTACAACAGACACAACAATTTTTTTTTTTTTTGAGACGGAATCTCACTCTGTTGCACAGGCTGGAGTGAAGTGGTGCAATCTCAGCTCACTGCAACCTCCGCACCCTGGGTTCAAGCAACTCTCCTCCCTCAGCATTCTGAGTAGCTGGGATTGTAGGTGCCCGCCACCATGCCTGGCTAATTTTTGTATTTTTAGTAGAGATGGGGTTTCACCATGTTGGCCAGGCTGGTCTGAAACTCCTGGCCTCAAATGATTGGCCTGCCTTGGCCTCCCAAACTGCTGGGATTACAGGCGCGAGCCACTGCGCCTGGCCCAGACACAGCAATTAAAAAAAAAAAAAAGTTCTAACCTGCATTTAATAATGATACAGGAGATAGAAAGAAATTATTTAGACAGATAGTGAGGGTGAAAGAGTCCTTGACAAGATCTCTCTTCTAATAAAAAGCAGCCCCCAAAATTATTTTTTTTCTAACAAAGAGCAGCCTGAAAAATCAAGCTGCAAACATAGATAAACATGCTAAAAACTTACATGGGTGAATGCAGACAGCTGTGCCAATAGAAAAGGGCTACCTGGGGCCAGGCGTACCCAACATGAAGACTCCATCTTTCCTTTTCTGTTGTTACCACGTATACAATAAAGAAACGAACAACATGACACTGGCCAGACAGAGAATCCATCTACATAATACATAGGATTGGGGCTGGGCGCGGTGACTCATGCCTGTAATCCCAGCACTTTGGGAGGCTGGGGCGGGCAGATCACCTGAGGTCAGGAGTTTGAGACCAGCCTGGCCAACATGGTGAAACCCCATCTCTACTAAAAATACAGAAATTAGCTGTGGGTGATGATGCACACCTGTAGTCCCAGCTACTTGGGAGGTTGAAGCAGGATAATCATTTGAACCCAGGAGACGGAGGTTTCAGTGAGCCAAGATTGTGCCACTGCACTCTAGTCTGGGCAACAAGAGCAAAACTCTGTCTCACAAAAACAAACAAACAAAAAAAGATTAGGGTGCAGACAGCCAACTTTTAACACCTTATACAAATGATACACCTAGCTCTAACCAGTTTTTCACGCCTTATACAAATGGCACACCTGGCCCAACCAATCGTTTGTGCCCTATGCAAATCAGACACCACCTTCTCAAACTAATCTGTAAAATCCCCTGACATTTCACCATGGAACCAACAACGCATTTTTTTGGGATTTCTCTCTGGGCAGAGAGCTCTTCTCTGTCTTTTTCTTTTTCTTTCTTTCTTTCTTTTTTTTTTTTTTTGAGATGGAGTCTCGCTCTGTCGCCCAGGCTGGAGTGCAGTGGCGTGATCTCGGCTCACTGCAAGCTCCACCTCCCAGGTTTACGCAATTCTCCTGCCTCAGCCTCCCGAGTAGCTGGGACTACAGGCACCTGCCACCAGGCCCAGCTAATTTTTTGTATTTTTAGTAGAGACGGGGTTTCACCGTGTTAGCCAGGATGGTCTCGATCTCCTGACTTCGTGATCCGCCCGCCTCAGCCTCCCAAAGTGCTGGGATTACAGGCATGAGCCACTGTGCCTGGCCTAGCTCTTCTCTTTCACCTATTAACTTCCACTCTAAACCTCACTCTCTGTGTGTCCATGTCTTAGTTTTCTGTGGCTGTGAGACAATGAATCTCGGGTATCACCCCAGACAAATGAGGCCACTTCAATAACACATCATCCTATCCAAGTGTAAACATGAAATTCGCTTATGTTTCATATACACCTTGTACACAGAGTCTGAAGGTAATTTTATACAATATTTTAAATAATTTTGTGCGTGAAACAAAGTTTATGTACAAGAGATATTACAGCTGAAGGGGGCTGGAAGGGTCTTTTTTCCCCTGGGGCTGCTGAATAAACTGTGTGTTATGTGCCTGGTGCTTCAACTGTAACCTGTCATGTGAGGTCAGGTGTGGAATTTTCCACTTTTGGCATCACGTCAGTGCTCAGAAATGTTCAGATTTTGAACCATTTCATTAGGGATGTTCGACCTGTGGCTGTTTTTACTTCCCCATTTTATTTTATTTTATTTTTTTTGAGATGGAGTTTCACTCTTGTTGCCCAGGCTGGAGTACAATGGCATGATCTTAGCTCACTGCAACCTCTGCCTCCTGGGTTCAAGTGATTCTTCTGCCTCAGCCTCCCGAGTAGCTGGGATTACAGGTGTGCACTGCCATGTCCAGCTAATTTTGTATTTTTAGTAGAGATGGGGTTTCGCCCTGTTGGCCAGGCTGGTCTCGAACTCCTGACCTCTGGTGATCTGCCTGCCTCAGCCTCCCAAAGTGCTGGGATTACAAGTGTGAGCCACCGTGCCTGGCCACCTTCCCCATTTGAGATGTGAGAGGTAATCCACCCTAACCATAAATTAGTTTTTCATAGTGTTAAATAAGAAATAAATCATCTTAGTCTCTAGACAAAGAGGTGCAAGGAAAATTGAGTGAATGAATGCAGTGCTTTGGGTCTGAGAATACAAAAGGTGAACGATGATAAACTTTACCAAGAAGGCCCTATTTACATGGGATTTCTTAGTAGCGAGTACCACGCTTGCATTTAACATAGGATTCCATCTGTATACAAATTAGGTCTATAAAATGCCAGGAACCCTCCAGTAACGCAAAGCCCAAGACAGTTCCTCTTACAATTAAGCACCACTTGGTTGTCACTAGTTCTGCTTGAAATGTGGGGCCACTGTTCTTTCACACTGTAATGGCATATTCAAACTGTCTCTGCCATGTTCAAATTAGCAATAACCAAATGAAAATTGTAAATTCTGTGTGTTCACTGGCAAGCCGGAACCACTGACGAAAGCTTCAAAAATCCATTATTTCCTGGGCACTCACCAGACCCCCCACAGATGCATCTCTGTGTCTTCAGCCTCTGGACCTCGGCTTTTGCCCATTCACATCCCCCATGAGGATGGCTCTTGTCCATTTTCTCTCCCAGTTGGTGTTTCTTCTCCCCTTGCTCTCTCCTGGTTAGAGGCTCTTCACTGGGGGTCCGTGGGGTGCCAAGGGCAGTAGGGGTGTCAGGGGGGCCTTCCAAAGCAGGCTATTGTTTGAGAATGATGTTGCATGTCACGTGTCACACATGTGACATTGTGTGTGCTTCTCCAGACTAGAGGGTCTGTCCCATGCACCAGATTCTCAAAGAGGCCAGAGACCCCTGCCCTAGATGACAGTCTCACCCCAGGATACAGAGAGTACCCGGATCTCTGTTCAGCCCTGCTATGTCACAATCCCACTGAGATGTCAATAACCACATCTCGGCCAGGCACAGTGGCTCACACCTATACTCCCAGCATTTTGGGAGGCTGAGGCGGGTGGATCACCTGAGGTCAGGAGTTTGAGACCAGCCTGGCCAACATGGTGAAACCCTGTCTCTACTAAAATTACAAAAATTAGCTGGGTTTGGTGGTGGGCATCTGTAATCCCAGCTACTTGGGAGGCTGAGGCAGGAGAATCACCTGAACCCAGGAGGCGGAGGTTGCAGTGAGCTGAGGTCTTGCCATTGCACTCCAGCCTGGGCGACAAGAATGAAACTCCATCTCAAACAAACAAACAAAAAACTAACCACATGCTCGATGTTTCTGTGTCTTCCCTGCTGGTTAGTGACATCCAAGGCAGGCCACATGAGTAAGAACCCTCTGAGATCTTCCACCCTTCACTTCCCTAACCTGGAATCCAGTCATTCTCCAGGTTTTGGGGCTCCCAACTCCAAATGTTCATTCCTCTTTGTCCCCCACTTCCATGTGACACTGCCTGGGTGTGTAGCCTCAGCACCCCTTTTGTCGAATTGGTCTCTGGCTCTGGGGTTTCCTCGCTTGGTCCTCCACACTGGGTCAGTTCTCTCAATGGCCACCTCCTTCCTTGCACAAGATCAAGTGCAGACTCCTGACCTGGGTGCTGGAGGGCAGTCCTTTCCATCGCCCCCGTTCTCCTCACCCAGATTCTCAGGCCACATGGGCGGGCTTGCCATGGTTATGGTTGACTCGTGCGCTGCCCCCATCTTGGTCCATTTGCATTGCTATAAAGGAACGCCTGGAGCTGGTTAATTTTTTATTTTTATTATTTATTTATTTAGAGACAAAGTCTCGCTCTTGTCCCCCAGGCTGGAGTGCAATGGCATGATCTTGGCTCACTGCAACCTCCACCTCCAGGTTCAAGCGATTCTCCTGCCTCAGCCTCCCCAGTAGCTGGGATTATAGGCGCCTGCCACCATACCTGGCTAATTTTTGTATTTTTAGTAGAGACAGGGTTCCACCATGTTGGCCAGGCTGGTCTCGAACTTGTGACCTCAGGTGATCTGCCCGCCTCGGCCTCCCAAAGTGCTGGGATTACAGGCGTGAGCCACCACGCCTGGCCTATTTTTATTTTTTTATTTTTGAGATGGAGTCTTTCTCTGTTGCCCAGGCTGGAGTGCAATGGCATGATCTTGGCTAACTGCAACCTCCGCCTGCCGGGTTCAGGTGATTCTCCTGCCTCAGCCTCCCGAGTAGCTGGGATTACAGGCATGCATCATGACACCCAGATAATTTTTGTATTTTTAGTAGAGACAGGGTTTCACCATGTTGGCCAGTCTAGCCTCAAACTGCTGACATCAGGTGGACTGCTGGCCTCGGCCTCTCAAAGTGCTGGGATTGCAGGCATGAGCCACCGTGCCCGGCTGAAGCTGGTAATTAATAAAGAAAAGAGGTTTTGTCGCTCACGGCTCTGCAGGCTGCACAAGCAGCATGGCACAGCATCTGCACGGGTGAGGGCCGCAGGCTGCTTCTCCTGGCAAAAGGAGCAATGGAGCCACATGCACAGAGATTACAGGGCAAGAGAGGAAGCAAGAAAGTGCGGGGGACGGCCAGCTCTCAAGGGAGCTAACAGAGTGCAAACTCACTCATTACTATGAGGATGGCACAAAACCATGAGGGATCCTCCCCAGGACCCACACACCCCCCATCAGGCCCGACTCCCAACACGGGATTGAATTTCAATATGGGGTTTAGATATTTGGAGTCAAATATCCAATACATAGCACTCCCAAAAGATGCTGAAATCCTAATCCCCAGTACTGTGACTGGGACATTATTTGGAGGTAGGGTTGTATGGAAAAATCAAACTGCCTTTCCTCTTCTCTCACACCACAAGTGTCAACACTCCTGTGACTCCTGTGATGAACGGGCTGAGGATTTCTCCCCGCCAGCAAGTCGGCACTCAGTTCTGCAGCGGCGCCAGCTGGGTGTCCCCCAGTCCAGTTCAATTCCAGCATGGTCCATCTGCAGACAGCACAAGATCCCACAGGGTGAGGGCTCAGTCCCACAAGACAGTCACCACTTTTTTTTTTTTTTTTTTGAGGCAGGGTCTGGCTCTGTTGCCCAGGCTGGAGTACAGTGGCATGATCATGGCTCACTGCAACCTCGACCTCCTGGGCTCAAGTGATCCTCCTAGCTCAGCCTCCTGAGTAGCTGGGACCCCAGGCATATGCCATTACACCCAGCTAATTTTTTATTTTGTACAGAGGGGGTCTTGCCATATTGCCCAGGCTGGTCTCGAATTCTTAGCCTCAAGTGATTCTCTGGCCTCAGTCTCCCATAGTGTTGGGCTCTCAGGCATGAGCCATTGCATCCAGCCACCTGCCACCACTTCTGATGCCAGTCACAAGCCCCAGCTAGTTCTGCCTGTGCTTCTGACTGGCTATAAATTGAGATTCTTACCCCCCTCAGGTTTGATTAGCTGGAGTGGCTCACAAAACTCAGGGCAACACTGACATTTTCTGGATGATTACAAAGGGTGTTACAAAGGCTTCTGATGAACACCAGAGGAAGAGACTGGTAGGGCAAGGATGGAGGAGGGGCATTAAGCTTCCTTGCCCTCCCCAGGTGCACCACCCTCAGGAACCTCCATGTGTTTAGCTATTTGGAAGCTTCTCCAACTCTGTCCTTTCTTTTTTTTTTTTGAGACTGAGTCTCACTCTGTCGACCAGGCTGGAGTGCAGTGGCGTGATCTCGGCTCACTGCAACCTCCACCTCCTGGGTTCAAGCGATTCTCCTGCCTCAGCCTCCCAAGTAGCTGGGATTACAGACATGCACCACCATACCTGGCTAATTTTTGTATTTTTAGTAGTGACGGGGTTTCACCATGTTGGCCAGGCTGACTCCTCCAACTCCTGACCTCAAGCGATCCACCCACCTTGGCCTCCCAAACTGCTGGGATTATAGACGTGAGCCACCACGCCTGGCCCCCCTTTTGGGTTTTTATGGAGCCTTCATTGGCTAAGCACAATTGAAGCTGGACAACCATGTCGAAGTGTGATTGGACAAAAACAGTATGACTCAACACCATCAGTCAGAGTGGTGAAGCCCCGCAAGGCCTGTCTGTATAGCATTTCTTCCTCCTGGGCGGGAGGCTGGACTCCTCCTGAAATGGGGGTCCCGTGACCCTCAGTCAGACAAGGCAGGTCAGAGAATTTCTCCACGGCCAGCTCCAAGATGGAAAGGTGGGGGAAGATTCAAGTATATTTTCATTTTCTATGGCCTGACTTGGGGAGAAAAAGGAGCAGGTGAAAGGAGGGAAGGAGAAAGAAGGTCAGAAAGAGAGAGAAACTACACCTGAAGCCTGCTTCCAAAGATCCAACATGATAACACAGGACTATCGTTCCCCTTTATTGCTCTGAAGCTGTTTCCACACTGCTTCAGGAACCAAGGAAAAAAGAACAAATATTGTAACAAAAGATCTGCTTATTGCTATAGTCACTGAGGAAATAACAAGGGTGATGGGAATTATGAGCCAGGCATGGTGGAGGAAAACCAATGCATAAATATCATCATCTCACAGGGTCTTTGCAGATGATGAGGTGAAGATGAATCACCAGGATGGGCTCTAATCCAACATGACTGTGTCCCTGTAAAGTCTAGACTCACACACACACACACACACACACACACACACACACACACACACACACACACACACACAGGGCCTAGTAGAGACGGAGGCAGAGACGGGGCAATGCTTCTACAGGCCGAGGAACATGGAAGATTTGCTGGCAAACCCCAGGAGCCTGGAGAGATGCAGGGAACAGATTTGCCCGTGCAGCCTCCAAATGGAAATGAACCTAGCCTACACCTTGATTTGGATTTCTGGCCTCCTGCTGAAATCCTAATCCCCAGTACACAGGGGTATTACAAGGACACGGTCATCTTGGATTACAGCCCACTCTGGTGACTTCATCTTCACTTGATCATCTGCAAAGACCCTTGTGAGATGATGATATTTATCAATTGGTTTTCCTCCACCGTGCCTGCCTCATAATTCCCGTAGACCTTGTTATTTCTCTCCAAACTGTGAGAGAAGACGTTTCTGTTGTTCTGAGCCCTCCAGCTCATGGAACTTTGTGCTGGCAGCCCCAAGACACCCCAGTGTCCTCTCCCTGTCTCTTCTGCCTGGTGGGTCTTCTCCTCCTTTACTGAAAGGAAAAGGGCATTTGATCCTTGTTCCAGGTCAAATGTCCCTTCCCTGCAAGCCTCCTCTGCCCACAGCACTTCTCCCCCACCCCATCCACATGGTCCCTGTCCCTCCTCCATGCTGGCCACGCTACACGGCCACTGTGTCCTGTGCCCACGTTCTCCTTGACCACAAACTCCTGGAGGACAAAGCTCTGTGCCCTTGGTCTTCACGCCCCTGGCTGAGGACTGGGCCTGGCACCAACTTGACCAACAGAAACATGTACTGCACTGGGGGGACTGGGGGGCAGCCAGCACAAAGGGAGACAGAAAAACCATCTCAACCCACACACCCAGAGCTGAACCCACTTCTCCCCAGGTGCCGTCCTCTGCTGAGTGATCCACCATGGCCTGGCAGGACACCCAGCCTTCACTCCTCCTACTTCTTTTTTTTTATTTTTTATTTTTTTTTTATTTTTGGAGACAGAGTCTCGCTCTGTCACCCAGGCTGGAGTGCAGTAGCATGATCTCTGCCCACTGCAACTTCCACCTCCCGAGTTCAAGCGATCCTTGTGCCTCAGCCTCCCAAGTAGCAGGGATTACAGGCATCCACCACCATGCCCCGATAATTTTTGTATTTTTAGTAGAGATGGGGTTTCACCATGTTGGCCAGGCTGGTCTTGAACTCTTGACCTCAGGTGATCTGCCTGCTTTGGCCTCCCAAAGTGTTGGGATTACAGGTGCGAGCCACTGCACCTGGCCTACTCCTCCTACTTCTTCAAGGCTGGGGCTTCTGGCTGTGAGCATCTCAGAAATCTGTTTGCTTTTCTCCTAAGTCACCGTCCGCCTGCCTGTGCCTTCTCTGTCTCCAGCACCTGCTGAGCAGCCATCAGCCAGAGGCAACATCTGTGACATCACAGCTCAAAGCCCTGCCTGGGTATCTAGGCTGGGCATGGTGGCTCACACCTATAATCCCAGCACTTTGGGAGGCCGAGGCAGGCGGATCACCTGAGGTCAGGGGTTCGAGACCAGCCTGGCCAACATGGCAAAACCGCATCTCTACTAAAAATACAAAAATTACCCGGTCGTGGTGGCGTGCACCTGTAATCCCAGCTACTCAGGAGGCTGAGACAGGAGAATCGCTTTAACTCAGGAGGTGGAGGTTGCAGTGAGCCGAGATTGTGCCACTGCACTCCAGCCTGGGCAACAAAGCAAGACTACGTCTAAAAAAATAAAATAAAATAAAACAAAACAAAATAAAATAAAATAAAATAAAATAAAATAAAATAAAATAAAATAAAATAAAATAAAATAAAATAAAAATAGCCCTGTCTGGCAGTCCTCGGGATGAAGCCGTTTCCTCTGCTTCCAACACATGCGAGGCCTGTCTCCCCTCCTCTCCCCTCCCTGGCACCCCACACTGTCCCCAGGGCCTGCTCTTCTGCTCACCTCATGGTACCGGCCTGCAAGCCATTTCCTGGGGCCTCCCCGTCGCCTCTTCCAGAAACAACTCCTGGAACTCCCCTTGGAGGTCAGGCCAATGACCTGTGCCCCGCATTGCCCTCCATCCTCTAAGCTTCCCGTGGGTAGGGACAATTCCCAGTTCTGAAGGGCTCCCCCTGCCCCGGGCCTGGCTCTTGGCAGAAGCTTAACAACAGACCGGCCACGTTCGTGTGACCTGATTCTCTCCGGCTTTCAGGACGTCCTGAGGCTGCACCCACGTGGCAATGGTGTCTGTCGCGCTGTCGCCTGGATCCGGCACCACTAGCGGAGCCGAGCAGAGCCCAGGGCTCCAACGCGTAGGGAAAAGGCTGCGCCGCTCCCGGGGTGGCCCCACGCCCCTTCTCTGAGCTTGAGCGGCGGCGCGGGACGGGGACGGCTCTGGCCGGGACCAGCAGGCCTCGGGCATCCGGGACGCCGGGGCCGCGCTCCAGGCCAGGGGCGGGGGCGGGACCGGGGCGGGGGCCGGCGGCGGGGCCGCGCCCTCGGCCTCTCCCCGGGGCGACCGGGCGGCTCCACACGCGCTGCGCCCGCCGCCGGCCCCACGCGCGGCCCATGTCCTCCGCGCCGCGCTCGCCCACCCCGCGGCCCCGCAGGATGAAGAAGGACGAGTCGTTCCTGGGCAAGCTGGGCGGCACCCTGGCCAGGAAGCGGAGGGCGCGCGAGGGTGAGTGCGCGCCCGCGCCCGCCGACCCCCGGGGACCTGCCCGGCGGTGCCCGCCCTCGGCCCTAGAGCCCCACGAGGCCGCCCCCGCCCTCCCCCACGCACCCCGCCCGGCCCACGCGGCTGCGCGACCTTCGGGACAGGCCAGGCCTTTGACCCAGGACCCGTAAACAACGGCCGGGACCTGGCGCGTGGGGCCGCGGTGGCCTCCGGAGTCTGCCAAACGCGCGTGCGGGCGCCTGCGCGGCGGGGACCTCGGGCCACCGTGCGGGGCCCGCGCCTGCTCTGCCTGCCGGGTGTTCAGCTCTTCCCTGGGCCAGCGGCATAGCCAGCCGCGCGGGGTGACCGTTCATTCCATGAGCAGTGACGCTCACGTGTGCAGGGCACTCTGGGCAGACACGGCCTGGGGGACCCACTACTGGGTGTTGCGCGGGCGCCCTGCAGGGTGCGGGGCTCAGGGCGTGCAGGGCTGAGGCCTGGGAGGCCTGCGAGCAAGAATTGCAGAGATCCCATTAAAAATTTTTTTTTTTAAATTTTTTACTGCGTGTGCTCACGAAACACTACCAACCTCGTACGTTTTAAAGATTGTTAGAGTTGCAAGGGATAGTCTGGTGTCTTTAAGTGTACCGCTTGCCCAGGGCCTCCTGGGAGATACATTCTGGAATTTTCTGCTTGGGTGGGGAGGTTCTGCCCCGGGACCATGCCCTATAGTGAGATTTCGGATTGGTGAGAGGTGAGGGGAGCTGCTGTGGAAAGGCAGATGGAGAAAGGCCGGCCTCAGGTGGGTCCCCGGGAAGGAGCCCTCCCATAGCGGGTATGCAGTACGGTTTCCTTAAACCACCTGGGCCTGACATATCCCCTGGGAACTCTTCCTGTGCCTCCAGGGATTAGTGTACCCCGGGATGCAGGTCCCCCATTCATTTCTTCCCTGGGACTCTTGTATTCCTAGGGATGTGTGTGCCCCGGGAAGACATATGACAGATTTGCCTCTAGGCATGTGTGTGCCCCCATGCACCTGCTCCCCAGGATTTTTGTACAGTGCAGGGAACGCTTGGTTCCCCAGACATTTTCTCCCAGGGATGCCTGTGCCCCCAGGGATGCGTGTCTTCCCACCCGTGATCCTGTTCCAAGAGGGCAGGGTCTTGTCCCCTTCAGTAGGTCTCCTGGCGGATAGGTCACTCTTCTCTCAAGCCTTACACTGGAGGACCCACTGTAGCTTGTATTGGTCGGTGTTGGTCACGTCTCCTAAATGACATGATTAGTGGCTGTCACCCTTCTATCATCCCCACTGTTCTTCCATGCAGTCATCAGCACCCTCACCAGAAATCATTTCGGTTCCTCTTTATGGCTTGCAACGATTATAGACGCAAGTGACGCTCCCCTCCCAATTCAGCCCACAGCCTGTGGAGCGCCCGCCATGGGCCAGGTGCTGCTTAGACCCCAGGAAGAAAAGAGCGGGGGCGGGGTGCTTGCTTTCGTGGAACGGGGAATGAATACATAGACAACTGGCGCTGTGATGACGTGCCCCGGAGCACATAGAACAGGGCGATCAGAGCCAGGGGAGGCCTCTGAGGAGGGGACACTTGAGTGGAGGCCAGAAGGAACCAGAGGAAAAAGTCTTTCATAGAATGGCAAGGAACCGGAATGTTCTGGGCTATTGCAGCTTTTTCTAGGTGCCGTTTACGCTCTCGGAATAGGAAGAACACACACCCAAAGTAATGGACTGGGCCCAAATTCCAAAGTACGCAGTGCTTCTCCTCCTTGCCTGTATGAATTGATGTGTGTCTAGAAAATTCAGGCCCAGCCTGGTTTAATTCAAATGCACCAAGAATTCCGGTAGCAGGAAGCATCCTGTGCTGAATAGAACGGGCGTGGAGGCAGGAGGAGGAGCAGGACGCCGGGCACTGCTGATGCTGCTTTCGCTGGGGGTGAGCTGGGCGCCCTGCCTCGGTTCTCAGGGTTGGGGTGCCTGGCAAACAGAGGGCCACAAACCCTCCTTGGATCTAGGCACAGGAATTGAGGGACAGGCTGGATTGGGAAGGGTTTAGCGGCTTCTGTGTGGTCTCCTGGGAAGTGGAAGAGTCAGGAAGACTGGATAATGAGGGCTTGAATAATTGAGAGTCGCTGGTATTTCCGCAAGCCCATTTGCCTTGGCAACATGCGCTTCTGCCACTCCAGGGTGGAGCAGCCCCTGGCCCTGACTTTGGGCCGTCAGAGCTATGCTCGGTTGCCTACCAGGGAGTGACAGGGCGCTTGGGAGGTTTCCACGACCCTGCCTGCTGCACCGTCGGCTTCATTTCCTCCTTTGTTAGAAAGTTGAGGGTGGATTTGGGAGAACGGATGTGGCTCCGACATGTTCCTGAGTTGAGGACTCTAAGGGAGGAGGGGGAAGCTGGGGGAAGGGGCGGGCTCATCGGTGAGGTTCCAGATTCAGGCAGGGGTGTGACAAGGCACGGAGGGACTTTTGGGAGGGATGGTTGGGATGAGTGACGTGGCCTGTTCCAGAGGAGAGGGGTTAGGAAATGTGGGGCCCTGGGGTTTGGAGGAAGCAGTGCAGGAAGTGTCTGAGAATGAGCTTCACGGTGGGCGTGATTAAGGCTGATGTGCTACGGGAGGCGTGTCACGTGGTGGCCTGGGTCAGAAAAGGGAACTGTGACGAACTGTGGGCATTCAGAAAATGGAAAGGAACGCCGGAAACCCCCAGGGCTCCCCACAGAAGCTCTGGGGACGTGAAAGGACAGCGTGTTTCAAACTTGGGTTCAGCTTTACTGGGGCTTGGAGGAGCCCGTGTGCAGAGAAGACCAACAACACACAGGGTTCCCCACTGTGACCATGTGATGAGAGGCCCTGTAGGTCCAGTGGGCCAGGATGGAGGTCGGGGACAGCCCAGCTGCTGCTGGAAGTCCTCAGAGGCGGATGGCCGGCCCTGGCCAGTGTGGAAGAGGTCGGGTGGAGTGCTCCACACATTTGCCACAAGAGGCCTGTTCTGTGCTGCACCAGGCACTGGACCTCAGGCGCCACTGCCCAGTGGCCAGGGTCAGGTTTCTCAGAGACAGCTGAAGGCAGCGGGGCGAGAGCAGCCAGTCTGGAGGTTCTGTCCCTCTTTTCTGAGCAACACATTCAGGAAGTTTCTATCCCCTGATTACCTTAAAAAATATGTATGTGTGGGCCAGGTGAGGTGGCTCACGCCTGTAATCCCAGCACTCTGGGAGGCCGAGGTGGGTGGATCACCTGAGGTCGGGAATTCGAGACCAGCCTGGTCAACATGGTGAAACCCCATCTCCAGTAAAAACGCAAAAATTAGCCGGGCATGGTGGCGTGTGCCTGTAATCCCAGCTACTTGGGAAGCTGAGGCAGGAGAATCGCTTGAACCTGGGAGGTGGAGGTTGCAGTGAGCTGAGATTGCCTCACTGCGCTGCAGGCTGGTCAACAGAGTGAGACTCCATATCAAATAGAAAAAAAAACCATATATATATATATATATATATATATTCATGTGTGTGTATATATATTCACATATATATATTGACGTATATTTTTAAAGCAGTTTTAGGTTTACAGCGAAATCTAGCAAAGAATACAAAGTGTCCCCACCTATCCCTTCTCACCTCCATCAGTGCCCCCCGGCTGTGTGGTAGAGTCGTGAGCCAACGCTGAGACATCATTATCTCCGCAAGCTCATAGTTTACATTAGGGGTTGCTCTTGCCGTTGGACATTCTGTGGCTCTGGATGGATGTAGAGTGACATGGACCCACCATTACAGTCACCTCTGGAGCAGCGTCACTGACCCCAGAATCCTCTTTCTGCTGCCTATGCATCCCTCCGTTTCCCCAAATCCCTGGCAACCACGGATCATTTTTTTGTTTTGTTTTTTTGGTTTTTGTTTTTGTTTTTTTTACTGTATCTGTGTTTTTGCCTTTTCCAGACTATCATCTAGTTGTGATCATAAAGTGTACAGTAGCGTTTTCAGATTGGCTTCTTCCACTCAATGATATACATTGAAGGCCCTTCCATGTCTTCTCAGGGCTTGGTAGCTCATTCCTTTTTTGACTGAATAATATTCCGTTGTCTGGATGTGCCAGTTTGTTGATCCATTCACCTGCTGAAGGACATCTTGGTTGCTTCCAAGTTTTGGCAGTTATGAATAAAGCTGCTGTGTACATCTACGTGTAGGTTTTTGTGTGGAGATAAGGTTTTAATTCATTTGAGCTCAATTGCTGGATCGTATGGTAAGAGTGTGTCTCGTTTTGGAAGAAACTGCCAAACTCTCTTCCAAAGTGGCTGTGCCACATTTATTCACCGGTGGCGAACGAGAGTCCTGGCTGCTCTGCATCCTCACCAGTATTTGGTGGTGTCAGTGTTCTGGATTTTGGAATTCTGTTAGGTGTATTGTGGTGTCTTGTTGCTGTTTCAATTCGCATTTCCCTGATGAGGTATGAAGTGGAGCATCTCTTCAGATGCTTATTTGCCATCTGTGTATCTTCTTCAGTGAAGTGTCTATTAAGGTCATTGGCTCATTTGTATTTTATTTATTTTTATTTTTATTTTATTTTTGAGATAGGGTCTCACTGTAGCCCAGGCTGGAGTGCAGTGGCACGATCCTGGCTCACTGCAGCCTCAATCTCCTGGGGCTCAAGTGATCCTCATGCCTCAGCTTCTGGAGTAGTTGGGACTACAGGCACATACCACCATGCCCAGCTAATTTTTCTATTTTTTGTAGAGATGGGGTCTCGCTATGTTACCCAGGCTGCTCTCAAACTCCTGGACTCAGGAGATCCACCTGCCTTGGCCTCCCAAAGTGCTAGGATTACATGCGTGAGCCACAGTGCCCGGCCTTGGCCTATTTTTAAATCTGCTTGTTTGTTTCCTTACTGTTGAGTTGGAAGTGTTCTTCATATATTTTGGATACAAGTCATGTGTTTTGCAAATATTTTCTCCCAGCCAGCGGCTTGTCTTCCCTGTCTCTTGATCCTGATATCTCCTAAGCATTTGATGTAGAGTTAATGATTAATGAGCAAGATATTGAGACCTCATCAACTAGATCTAAAGAAATCACTAGGCCAGACACATAATCCCAGCACTTTGGGAGGCTGAGGCAGGTGGATCACCTAAGGCCAGGAGTTTGAGACCAGCCTGGCCAACGTGGGGAAACCCGGTCTCTACTAAAAATAGAAAAATTAGCCAGGCGTGGTGGCTCACGCCTGTAATCCCAGCACTTTGGGAGGCTGAAGCGGCAGATCACCTGAGGTCAGGAGTTTGAGACCAGCCTGGCCAACGTGGTGAAACCCCATCTCTACTAAAAATACAAAAATTAGCCGGGCGTGGTGGCACACACCTGTAATCCCAGCTACTCAGGAGGCTGAGGCAGGAGAATCACTCGAACCCGGGAAGCAGAGGTTGCAGTGAGCTGAGATCGCGCCACTGCACTCCAGCCTGGGAGACAAAGCGAGACTCTGCCTCAAAAAAAAAAAAGAAAAGAAAAGAAATCACTAGGTAGCTGCGACATTGAACTGAAGGTTGAAAGTATTAAGTTTCTTTGTGGACTTTAAATAACCTTCAGGAGAGAAATCTCAAAGCTCTAAACCAGCAACCGAGAATTTCCTTCAGGGCATCCATCTTTTACACGGAGCCATCAGTTGTGTAGATGATGGGTTGCCCCAAAACACTAAGACGCACCAGTGAAGGGAGGGGAGCTGTGGCAGGGGGGCCTGCACTGCCCCCGCCTTTCCCCCCAGCAACGCCTGGGCTGGGAGCTGGGGGTGGGTGAGACCCTGGCTCAGGCCCCACTCAGGACAGTTTGAGGGACAGGCAGATGGGGGGACTGAGCCATGGGGGTCTCACCACCCAGACTTGGGGTTTTGGGCCTCCCTGGAGGAAGTGGTCCTGGCTGAATGTCTAGGATGGATGTAAATTAGCCCAGGGAGGGGGAGGGGGCTCCTGAGGAGACCCCCAGGCAGGCTCCCAGTGGCTGAGCAACGGTGCAGCCTGTGGGCTGTGGCCAGCCCTGGTCGGGGGCTGGAGAGGTGAGCAGCCCTGGCGTCCCACAAACACAGGAGCTTGGAACCCTTGCTGGGGCTTGGCAGGGGTGGCCGATTTCAGTGGTGCTTTGGGGAGTGGGGAATGGACGGAATGGGGGAACGGCGGGGAGGCAGGCTGGCAGGAATGTGGCACGGGGCACAGGCAGTGCCCCGAGGAGGTGGCGTGGGTGGGCGCAGGCGTGGCTGTGATTTCCACGCTGTTTTCTAGCGGGCTGCAGCCCCTCTGATGCTGAAATGAAAAAGGACCCAGATCCTTGTTTGTGGGAGGGGTGGGAAAGGATTTGCAAGGAGTGTGGTCTCTTTTGGACGATTTTTCAGACTTCTTCTCGTTTCCAGGCCCTCTGTGCTCACGTGACCCCTCTGATAGCGTCAGGGCCCGTAGAAAAGTGGCTGTGGCATGTTGGGAAGGCCAGCGGGCCTCCTAGCCAACGAAAAGGGGGAGTGGCTGGTCCGAAGTTGGGGGATATAGACAGGTGAGGGACCAGGGCCATAGTCACTGTGGTTTCTATGGGGAAGAGGGGATGGTGGAGGTCCTATTTGGAGCTGTTGTGTTGTGAGGCTCTTTACAGACCCTGCCAACAAAGAGAAAGACAATTCCACACTGTTATCTCTAAACCCAAACCTCCTTCGAGCAGAGGCCGTCTCCGTTTGGGGATGGACAGCTGTTGGTCCAAGAAGGAAAGGCACAGTGAGGTCACTGCGACGCTGCCCAGCACCTTCATGGGAAACGCTCCTCAGGGTGGTGAGTGGAACTCCCTGGAGACCATTTTCCAGTGAGGGCCTATCTCTTTCCTCTTGGGCTGAGAGGAAGTGGGTGGCTCAGCTACATTTCCTTTGATTATTATTCTGACTATAATCTTCAAACCCTACATTTCTCATTGTGTGTTCCGCCCATGCGTTCTGTTGTCCGGGGCAGCAAAGTCGACCTGCACCACGTGGGTGTTTTTGTTTTCTTTTGTTTTGTTTTGTTTTCTTGAAGGCCTACTAAGAGCTGTCGGAAACTCTGCTTCTGTAGAAAAGGTAAAGGCACTGCTTGGCCACAAGTGATGACTCTTCCCTGCCTTTCGGGGCTTGGGGAGGAAGGGCAGGTTCTCGGTGGTTCTCCTAGCACCTTGGTTACAAACCTCCCAGCAGAGTCAGATCACCTTGGCAACCCCACACTCATCAAAGGGACTCTGCCTTGATTCCCTCCCCACCGCTGTGGAATTAATATCGATTGCACATCCTGAAATTGCTTACCCTCGCGCTCCCTGTCCAGTCGTCAGAATAATTAAGGGGTGTTTATTGGATGTAAGTGGGTTCATCCCTGCTGCGAGTATGGATTTTAAGTGCTCCGTTGGATTGATTCCTCCCTGCTGTGGTTGGCACAGGGCAGGTACCTTTACCGAGCTGTTTTCTTCTTTTCGAACATGCGGTTCCATCACATAAAAGACATACCCTATGAAAATGTCTCTGCCTTAGCTGTACATGTTACACTTTAGGTTTCAGGTGAAAAATTGGTTTATCTCCTAATATGTCTGCTATTTGTTACATCACATAGAGGCTGCAAAACAGATTAATAAGCTTTGGAGGATATTATAAGCATACGTTGGCCCAATGGTATTAATTTGCTTATCCATACTAATTGCTGTCTTGGTAAAAGAAGGCGGACACAATGCAATCAATCCTAGAAGTGTTCTGTGGCTTTGCAACTTTGAGATACCTCAGGCTGACATATTCAAATGAGAGCCTTCTCTCTGGTTACAAGAAAAAAATGGAATGAGCAGCAGTTTTGGCCTCGTCCAGTCTCTAGGGCTCCCAGCATCTGGGTAGTAACATGATCAGCCCTGGGAAACCAGCGGAGTCTTTTACCTCCTCTGATGTTCTGACTAAGAGTGTCTGGGCCGTGGGGACTGAACGCACCCTTTGAGGCTATGTGTGTTAAAGTTTGGGGGCCCATTTCTTCATTTCTAATATGGGGCAGTGTGGGCAGATCCCAGCTCTGCGTTTCTGAGCTGCTGAGTTTGCCCTGGTTCTGAGAATGCCCGTCGCGGTGGTGCAGTCCGCCTCCTTGCACTGGATCTGTTGCTTCTTCTCTCTAAGCCTCTGTTCCTGATGGTCCCTTGTGGAGCAAAGCAGCACTTGTGGTGTAAGGAAGGAAAGCCTCATCAGCAATTGAGTGAGCGCTCAATCAGAATTCGTTATGGATGAATGTGGATGACTGGAGGCATTGACGCAGACACCAGAGTCCAGAGCTGGTACGTGGTACAGCAGAAGTGGCAAGTCAGCTCAGTTTAGGACAAGTACCTAACCCTGTGTTGAGAAGGATTCTGTGGCTGAGTCTGGGCTTAGGGAAAAAGAATGCTGGGACCAGTCAGCCACACTACCAGTGTGTATGGAGGGTTAGTTGCTGAGTGGCTGTCACCCCCAGAACAGGAGCCTTTTCCAGCTCTAGTGCTGTGTCATTTCAGCAGCACTGGCTGCTTTATTCCCATTGAGTGCCGTGCAACAGCTAGTTGGCTGTTGGTAACAAAAGTTGTGTGAATCGTTTAAGATATTGCAGTGAGAATGTTGGTATCTTAACTCTTCCCCTAGCTGTCTGTGGCTAGGAAGCATCTCCAGTGCTATTGTTTTTTTCTTGAGACAGAGTCCTGCTCTGTTGCCTAGGCTGGACTGCAGTGGCATGATCTCGGCTCACTGCAGCCTCTGCCTCCTGGGTTCAAGCGAGCACATCCAGCTAATTTTTTATATTTTTAGTAAAGACAGGATTTCATCATGTTGGCCAGGCTGATCTCAAACTCCTGACCTCAACTGATCCGCCCACCTCGGCCTCCCAAAGTGCTGGGATTACAGGAGTGAGCCACCACTCCCGGCCCCCAATACTTTTTTGAGGTATACTTGGCTGAGTAACTGTTTAGCGTGTGCAGAGAAGCAGGTGTTTCTGAGCTGGAATTCCTTGTACCCAGAAATGTGAGGGCAACTCACATGGGCACCAGGAGGCATTTTTGCCTTCCTCACCAGCCTACGGCATCAGAGAACATTTGGCAGTCTCTGAGTGGGAGTTCTTTACGCTTGCCTGATAGTAGTTGGAGGCCTGCTCCTTTAAGCTTTGCCACTTGAAGTGATGAGCTTGGTTTTGGCCTTTGAACCTTTACCTGCCAGCCACCCACAATCAGTCGGTAATGTTGGTTTCCCCAAGCAACGCCATCTTAGGAATTTCTTTGCTTGTTCTCTTACAAAGTCATGCATTATTATACGTGTTTTCATTTGAAAAATTACAGTTCCACAGGATCTAGACTTGAATGTTAAGCTATTAAAAAGTTAAAGAGGGAGTGAAAATGTTAGCACTCCTAGGGCCTGCGTACGTTGCTTGCTCAAATCCAGACGCTCCTGGAAGCAGCTGTCTCAGCGGAGCCCTGTCTGCCCTTGTTGTTTTCTGCTTCTCAAGTTACTCCAGACTCCAGGGAACTAGAACTGACCAGGCCCCACTTTAAACATGTGGATGGAGTGCCCCTGACAAGGCTGGAGAAAGGGGGAGGTCCGGGGCGGGGCCTCATGCGCATATGGTATTCAGAGTTTATTTTTGCTATAAATGGAATTTGAAGAATATATATATATATATGAACATACAAATAAAAATATATAAAGAATATATGTATAAAGAATATAAAGAATAATTTTGGAATTCATTGCATTGTGTCTGCATTCTTTTACTGCAACAGCAATTATAATTATAATTATATTATAAAGAATATATATTCTTTATACATATATATTTGAGATGGGTGTCTTTATACATATATATGTTTGAGATGGGTGTCTTTATACATATATATGTTTGAGATGGGTGTCTTTATACATATATATGTTTGAGATGGGGGTCTTTATACATATATATTTGAGATGGGGGTCTTTATACATATATATATGTTTGAGATGGGGGTCTTGCTGTGTTGCCCAGGCTGGAGTGCAGTGGCTGTTCACAGGCCAGATCATCAGACACTGTAGCCTTGAACTCCTGGCCTCAAGGGATCCTCCTGCCTTAGCCTCCTGAGTAGCTGAAACAATAGGTGCACACCACCATGCCCAGCTCTTGAGAAGCATCTGGCCCATAGCTTAATTTGAAGTGTCTTCATCCCTGTCTTTTTTCTTTTTGTTTTAAAATTAATAGAATTGACCCTTGAACAGCACAGGGGGAAAGAGGCACTGACCCCCATGCAGTCAGAAATCCACGTGTAACTTTTTTTTTTTTTTTTTTTTTTGAGACGGAGTTTCGCTCTTGTCACTAGGCTGGAGTGCAGTGGTGCAATCTTGGCTCACTGCAACCCCTGCCTCCCAGGTTCAAGTGATTCTCCTGCCTCAGCTTCCCGAGTAGCTGGGATTACAGGCGTGCACCACCACACCCAGCTAATTTTTGTATTATTAGTAGAGACAGAGTTTCACCATGTTGGCCAGGCTGGTCTCAAACTCCTGGCCTCAGTTGATCCGCTCACCTCAGCCTTCCAAAGTACTGGTATTACAGGCATGAACAACTGCACCCGGCCACCATGTGTAACTTTTGACTCCCACAAAACTTAACTAGTGATAGCCTGCTGTTGACTGGAAGCCTCACTGATAACATAAACAATTAACAATATTTTGTATGTTCTATGCATTATGTGCTGTATTCTTACTACAAAGTGAGCCTGAGGAAAGAAAATGTTATTAGGAAAATCATAAGGAAGAGAATATGCATTTATAGTACTGTGCTGTGTTTATTGATGCTGCACGTTTACAACATGCGTTTACAAGATGAATGCTCTGAAGTGGCCGGCAACTGCAGCTGCAGACCTCACCCTACCATACAACATCTCAAGCTATTCAGCTTCTTGGAATGTCACGCTTTTCTTCTTTTCTTTTTCCTTTTTTTTTTTTTTTTTTTTGAGACGGAGTCTCGCTCTGTTGCCCAGGCTGGAGTGCAATGGTGCGATCTCGGCTCACTGCAGCCTCCGCCTCCTGGGTTCAAGCGATTCTCCTGCCTCAGCCTCCCAAGTAGCTGGGATTACAGGCATGTGCCACCGTGCCCGGCTGATTTTTTTGTATTTTTAGTAGAAATGGGGTTTCACCGTGGTGGCCAGGATGGTCTCGATCTCCTGACCTTGTGATCCGCCTGCCTCAGCCTCCCAAAGTGCTGGGATTACGGGTGTGAGCCACCGCGCCCGTCCGTCAAGGCTTCTTGGGAGCACTTACAGCAACACAAGTGGTGCTTTGTATGAGTCCCATAGTGTTATTCAGGGTTTACGGTATTGCACTAAACATGATGAAAAATACGTGGGAACCCAAACAGATCACTTTTTTTTTTTTTTACTATGATATGGAATTTACTGGAGCGGTGAACTGCTCAAGTGGAGATAATTAACATCAAATAATGTTCTAAGCAATGCAATAGCAACAGGAGGCGGCTACTATTACAGTGGTGCAGTATGGACTGCAGTTAATTTTATGCAGTTATTATTGAATACTGCATCTTGGCTGGGTGCAGTGGCTCACGCCTGTAATCCCAGCACTTTGGGAGGCCGAGGCGGGCGGATCACTTAAGGTCAGGAGTTCGACACCAGCCTGGCCAAATGGTGAAACCTTGTCTCTACTAAAAAGATAAAAATTAACCAGGCGTGGTGGTGGGCACCTGTAATCCCAGCTACTCAGGAAGCTGAGGCAGGAGAATCACTTGAACCCAGGAGGCAGACATTGCAGTGAGCCAAAATCATGCCACTGCACTCCAGCCTGGGTGACAGAATGAGACTGTCTCAAAAAAATAAAATAAATACAATAAAATAAATAAATACATAAGTACTGCATCTTTACATTTGTTTACATTTCTCTCAACTGTGAACACAGTCTGTGTGTGTGTGTAAGTTTTGATACATTTTAACTTTTTATAGTAGATTTGTATGTATTTTATGGTGGTAAATGATAAAACAGATGAGTATCTACATATATTTTATGCATTTGTCGCATATCTAACTTTTTCTTAATTTTTAAAAATATTTCTGGGCTACGTGGTTTGCAGTTTTTTCAAATTGTCACAAATCTCCAAAAAATTTTCCAATATGTTTATTGGAAAAAATCTGCATGTAAGTGGACTCATATAATTCAAACCTGTGTTTTTCAAGAGTCAACTGTAATGTCTTTCAAAGTAAAATCTAAATGAGTTTATACTTGATATATATAAGTTTAATAGAAGGAGTGCGTTGGCTCATGCCTGTAATCCCATTTCTCTGCGAGGCTGAGATGGGCGGATCACTTGAGCTCAGGAGTTCAAGACCAGCCTGGGCAACATAGAGAGAACCCCTTTTTATTAAAAATTAAAAAAAAAATCAATCAGGCGTGGTGGTGCACGTCTGTGGTCCCAGCTACTTGGGAGGCTCAGGTGGGAGGCTCAGGTGGGAGGCTGGCTTGAGCCCAGGAGATCAGGGCTGCAGTGAACCATGATTGCGCCACTGCACTGCAGCTGTGTGACAGAGTGAGGCCCTGCATCAAAATAATAATCATAATAAAGATAATCTGAGAAGTGAGGGTAAAAGTTAAAGGAAGATTAAAAACAAAAAAAAAATGCTTATAATCCCAGTACTTTGGGAGGCCAAGGCAGGAGGATCGCTTGAGCCCAGGAGTTTGAGACTAGCCTGGGCAATATAGTGAGACCTCGTCTCTGCAAAAGAAAACAAAACAACAACAAAAAAAGAAAAAACAGCTGAGCATGGTGGCACATGCCTGTAGTCCCAGCCTGGCCAACATGGTGAAACCTTGTCTCTACCAAAAATACAAAAATTAGCCAGGCATGGTGGCTTTTGCTTGTAGTCCCAGCTACTCGGGAGGCTGAGGTGGGAGGATCGCTTGAGCCTGGGAGGTGGAGGTTGCGGTGAGCTGAGATCGTGCCACTTTGCTCCAGCCTGGATGACAGACTGAGACCCTGTCTCAAAAAAACAAAAACAAAAACAAATCAGAATGGAGCTTATAATAATCACACCGTAGCTAAGACTTGGGCACTGCTGATGTCCCAGGTGCTGTGCTAGATGCTTCCTGCATTATTACCTTGTTTACTCCTCACACCAAGCTGGGAAGTCGGTGTTATGTGGTTATTCCCATTTTGCAGATGGGCAAACACAGGCTTAGAGAGGATCGAGGTCATCCTGCCAGCAGGTGAGATTTAACTCCAGGCAGTGTGGCTCTTCATTGCCGCTGACCCTGCTTAAACTGGAAGAATGATTCAGATGGGAGTCATCTTCCCAGCTGGCTCCTAGTAAGCTGATGTCATTCCTGGCATTTAAGCTGCACCCAGCCCCAGTGTTAGGAAGACGCGCTAGAGGAGACACATTAGATCCTTTTTGTGCTGAATGAACTTGTTGGTGTTTATAAGAAGAAGACAGAACCCTAGTGGCTTCATGCTACTCCAGGACCAAGTCCAGATTCTCGCCAGCCACCCAGCGCCTGTCCAGCCCAGCCCAGCCCAGCTCCAGCTCCAGCTCCCAGGTCTTCTCCCTTGGCCTGGCCATGGGGTCTTCGTTTGCTTTCTGTGGGTCCCATGATCTTCCTTGGCTGAAAGCCCTCACGTCCCCTGTTCTCTCTGATCTGACAACTCTCTGCCCTGTTGACTTAAATGTTGCACCTCCAGCAGGGTGGGGGCCCCTCTTTGCCCATTGGCACCATCATGTCCCTGCATTCCTGTTTCAGGTTGTTGGCACAGTTCCTGTCTTCCTGGGGTGTGGTGCATTCCCATTTCACTGGGAGATAATGATGACCATTTACAGTGATCTTTGTGTATTTGCCCAGCAAGCAAGAGGCAGTCTAGTGTAGTGGTTAGGGTGACTGCTCTTGAGGCCAGACTGCATGGGCTTGAACTGATCTTTCTGGGCCCTGGAGCTGTGACCCTGGGGAAGGTACTTCCCCACGCTGTGCCTCAGTTTCTTCTTCTGTAAAGCCTACTTAACTCATAGGGTCATTAGAGAATTGAGTGAGTTATTAAATGAAATGATGTACTTAAAACTGGACCTGGGGCCGGGCGTGGTGGCTCACACCTGTAATCCCAGCACTTTGGAAGGCTGAGGTGGGCGGATCACTTGAAGTCAGGAGTTCAAGACCAGCTTGGCCAACATGGCAAAACCCCATCTCTACTAAAAAATACAAAAATTAGCTGGGCGTGATGGTGTACGCCTGTAATCCCAGCTACTCGGGAGGCTGAGGCAGGAGAATAGCTTGAACCCAGGAGGTGGACGTTGCAGTGAGCTGAGATCACGCCACTGCACTCCAGCCTGGGCGACAGAGTGAGACTCCATCTCAAAAACCAAAAACCAAAAAACAAAAAAGCTGGACCTGGTCAAGCCATCGAGTGGGAGAAAATGTTTGCAAAACACATGTTTGATAAAAGACTGGGGTCCAGGAGATGGAGAGAACTTCCGCAACTCAAGAATAAAAACACAGTCAACGCAGTAAAAGAATAGATAGATAAAGGGTTTGAACAGACACGTCACCAAAGAAGATTGACAGATAGCCAATATGCATCTGGAAAAGTGCTCCCCGTCACCAGCCACCTGGGAAATGCACATGAGAAGAACAGGGAATGCCCCGCAGACCCATGGGAAAGGCTGGAAGATGTGGTGAGAATAGGACAGCTGCTACTCACTCAGGCTGGAGGGATGTGCAGTGGTGTGGCCCCTCAGGAAATCAGCTTGGTAGTTTCTTTTAAAATCAAGTAACCATCCTTCCTATGACCCAGCAATTCCAGTAAATCTTAGATAGATTTGCTCAACAGAAGTAGGAATCTGTGGCTGAGCACGGTGGCTCATTCCTGTAATCCCAGCACTCTGGGAGGCTGAGGCGGACAGATCACCTGAGCTCAGGAGTTCAAGACCAGTCTGGCCAACATGACGAAACCTAAAAATATAAAAATTAGCTGGGCGTGGTGGTGCATGCCTGTAATCCCAGCTACTTGGGAGGCTGAGGCAGGAGAATCACTTGAACCCGGGAGGTGGAGGTTGCAGTGGCAGTCAATATCGTGCCACTGCACTCCAGCCTAAGCAACAGAGTGATACTCTGTCAAAAAGAAAGAAAAAAAAAAAGTAGGAATCTGTAAGAAGACTCTTGTACAGGAATGTTCATAGCAGCTTCATTCATAAGAGCTGGTACTTGGAAACAGCTTGGGGACCATCAGTAGGTGAATGGATACACGGACAGCAGTAATTGACAGGACGGAATGATCCTGGGCAGTGTCAAGGAACAAGGTGCCGGTACAGGAAATCACCCGAGACTCTCAAAACCACTATGCTGAGCAAACCAAGACAGACCAAAAGAGTACACACTGTGTGATTTCATTTCATTTCATTTTTTTCAAAGATGAGATCTCACTCTGATGCCCAGGCTGAAGTGCAGTGGTGCAGTCATAGCTCACTGCAGCCTCGAACTCCTGGCCTCCAGTGATCCTTCTGCCTCAGCCTCCCAAGGAGCGAGGACCACAGGTGTGTACCACTACACCCCGCTAATTTCACTTTTACAATGTTCTACAGCAGACAGAGCTAATCTGTGGTGGTTGCCTCTGGGGCTGTGGGCAGGAGTTGCTTGGGGAGGAGCAGGAGGGATTTTCTGTTGTTATGAAAATATTCTTTACAGTGAGAGTGGTTTGAGATACGCAGGTGCAGCATTTGTCAAAACTCTGCATGTGTACTTTAAATTTGTGCATTTCATGGCATGTACCTTTTAACTCCAAGGAAATAAAAGAACTATAAATAAATACTGAACTCTAATTAGTGATGTGTGTGATTAGAGGGAAAAGTACTGATGTCTGCAACTTACTTTGAAATGTGTTAAAAAAAGATGATATGGTAGACTGAATAGTAGTACCAAAAATGTCTATATTCCAATACCTGGAAACTGAGAATATGTTCTCTTATGTGGTCAAAGGGAATTTGCAGGTGTGATTAAGTTAAGAACCTTGAGATGGAATTAGCCTGGGTTATTTGGGTGGGCCCAGCGTGATTACCAGGGTCCTTATGAGAAGGAGGCAGGAGGGTCAGAGTCAGAGAGAAGTGACCATGGAGGTGGAAGTTGCAATGATGTGGGGCCAGGAGCCAAGGAATGTGAGCAGCCTCTGAAAGCTGCAAAAGCCAGGAAATTGATTTCCTCCTGGAGCTTCTAGAGGGAATGCAGCCCTGCTGACACCTTGATTTTAGCCAGTGAGACCCATTTTGGAGTCCTGGCATCCGGAACCACAAGATAGAAATTTGTGTCGTATGGAGGCCGGGCGCGGTGGCTCACGCCTGTAATCCCAGCACTTTGGGAGGCCGAGGTGGACGGATCATGAGGTCAGGAGATCGAGACCACGGTGAAACCCCGTCTC
Source organism: Homo sapiens (assembly GCF_000001405.40). Taxonomy (NCBI): domain Eukaryota; kingdom Metazoa; phylum Chordata; class Mammalia; order Primates; family Hominidae; genus Homo; species Homo sapiens. Next base: position 44,040,836 of record NC_000022.11, read on the forward strand.
TACTAAAAATACAAAAAATTAGCCGGGCGTGGTGGCAGGCGCCTGTAGTCCCAGCTACTCGAGAGGCTGAGGCAGGAGAATGGTGTGAACCCGGAAGGCAGAGCTTGCAGTGAGCCGAGATCACGCCACTGCACTCCAGCCTGGGCGACAGAGCAAGACTCTGTCTCAAAAAATAAAAAAAAAAAGAAAGAAATTTGTGTCGTATGAAGTCCCACAGTTTGTGGGAATTATTTCCAGCTGCAATTGGAAATGAATGCTGATGGATTGCTGGATAGATAGAGGGATGGACGGATGTGGAATAAAACAAGTATAGACAAAGGTGGGTGGTGGACTGTAGGCTGTGGGTATACAAGTGTTCACTTCAAACTTTACTTGGCTGGGAGTGGGGGCCCATGCCTGTAATCTCAGCACTTTGGGAGGCCGAGGCGGGTGGATCACTTGAGGTCAGGAGTTCGAGACCAGTCTTGCCAACATGGTGAAACTCCATCTCTACAAAAATACAAAAAATTAGCTGAGCACAGTGACATATGCCTGTGGTCTCAGCCACTTGGGAGGCTGAGGCAGGAGAATCGCTTGAACCCGGGAGGTGGAGGTTGCAGTGAACTGAAATTGTGCCACTGCACTCCGGCCAGGGTGACAGAGCAAGACTCCCTCTCAAAAAATAAAATAAAATAAAGTTCTTTAGATGTTTCTATGTGTTTGAAACTTTTAATAATGAAATACTGGGGGGAAATGACTGGGCCTGATACATAATAAAAGCCCTACAGGCCAGGCACAGTGGTTCACGCCTGTAATCTCAGCACTTTAGGAGGCTAAGGCAGGAGGATTGCTTGAGCCCAGGAGTTTGAGACCAGCCTAGGCTACATAGTGAGACCCCCTCTCTACCAAAAAATAGAAAAAAATAGCCAGGCGTGGTGGCCCATGCCTGTGGTCCCAGCTACCCCGGAGGCTGAGGGGGAGAATGGCTTGAGCATGGAAGGCTGAGGCTGCAGTGAGTCGAGATTGCACCACTACATTCCAGCCTGGGTGACAGAGCGAGACCCTGCCTCAAAAATAAATAAATAAATAAATACATACATACATTCATACATACCCTACATAGGTGTCAGCCTTTGTTCTCATTGGCATCTCATCTCCATTCTTATTGCCACCACGGCCACTCCCCCACTTTATCCATCAGGTGGAGAAGAGGCCTGGGAAGAGAAGAGACCAGGGGCTGGGTTGGTGGTGAGCAGACGAAATAATAAACATACAATGAGGCCATATGACATATTGGGAGAATTGCTTTCACTTAAGAAAATCTAGGCTGGGCGCGGTGGCTCATGCCTGTAATCCCAGCACTTTTGGAGGCCGAGGCAGGTGGATTGCCTGAGGTCAGGAGTTTGAGACCAGCCTGGCCAACAAGTGAAACCCTGTCTCTACTAAAAATACAAAAATTAGCCAGGCCTGGTGGTGGGTGCCTGTAATCCCAGCTGCTCAGGAGGCTGAGGTGGGAGAATCGCTTGAACCCGGGTGGCGGAGGTTGCGGTGAGCCGAGATTGTGCCACTTCACTCCAGCCTGGGTGACAGAGCGAGACTCCGAAGTGAAGGGGCTGGGGCTTTGGAACTGTAGAGGCTCATCTCCCCAGTAAGCTGTCACTTGTGATGTGGTTACAGCTGTAGGCATTTGCAGAGATGGGACGAGAAGACACGCCACCCTGGGAACTGGCCCGTGTCTTCACACGTCCTGCACTGCTGCTGCTGAGAACGTCTGCACTTTGTTAGGGGAAGAGAGTGTTTTAGTTAAATTTATCTGGAAAACATATTATTAGTATAATGAGATTTTAATGATTTGAAATTTTGTTGGAGCAGCGCAGGGAGAATTTCAATCTTAACTGTGTGTGCAGCTGGGCATTGTTTCTATTTTATTTTGTTTCTTTGCTTGGGCCTCATTGCAAGGACATGTTTCTACAATTATTATTTAGTTTTTCTTTCCTAGAGCCCTGCTTTGTTACAGCTCTTAATTTTCTTGTGTAGAAGATCTGCTGGAGAAAAAAGAATATCCTTTTTGTAAATACTTAGCTGGCTTGATCAGAACCAGAGAATGAGCGTTGTTACCGAAGGAGACTTGTGTTTGTTTAAGGTTTACTGGCGCACTCTGTGGTTGCCGTGGAGTGGACCCAACCCAGATGTCCGTTAACTGATGAGTGGATAAGCAAACTATGCTCCATCCATACGATAGAATACTATTCAGCAACGAAAAGGAATGACATATGGATCCATGCTACAACATGGGTGAATCTGGAAAACAGGCTCAGTGAGGGAAGCCATTTGCAAAAGGATAAATACTGTGTGATTCCATTTATTTGAATATCTAGAATAGGCAAATTGATAGAGACAGAAAGTAAGATTAGTGGTTCCCAAAGCCTGGGGAAGGTACAGTGACCCCTCATGGGTACAGGGATTATTTTGGGGGTGACGAAAATGTTCTTACATTGACAATGGTGATGGTTACACAGCTCTGTGAATTTACTAAAAATCATTGAATTGTACACTTATTTATTTATTTATTTATTTATTTTGAGACGGAGTCTTGCTCTGTCGCCCATGCTGGAGTGCAGTGGTGCGATCTCAGCTCACTGCAAGCTCCGCCTCCCGGGATCACGCCATTCTCCTCCTTGGCCACCCGAGTAGCTGGGACTACAGGTGCCCGCCACCACGCCTGGCTAATTTTTTGTATTTTTCGTAGAGACAGGGTTTCACCATGTTGGCCAGGATGGTCTCAATCTCCTGACCCCGTGATCCGTCTGCCTCAGCCTCCCAAAGTGCTGGGATTACAGGCGTAAGCCACTGCGCCCAGCCGAATTGTACACTTTAAAACGGCAAATTGTATGGAATGTGAATTCTGTCTCAATAAAGCTGGTAAAAAAAATAGCGTGGTACTGAGAGGCAGCGCTCAGAGCTTGTGAGATGTTTTTCTCCAGTTGGTATTCGTTGCATGTTTCCAAGGTGAGATCTTTCACCTTGGGGTGAGGGCGGGTGGATCCGGGACAGACATGGAATTTTCAGTCTTCCTCCTCCTCCTCATCTTCCTGTTCATTGCCCCTGCAGTGGTGGCAGCTGTCCCATATCAAGGTCTCACACTGGCCAGGGGCTGGGCTTGGTGCTGTACGCAGATTGTCTTATTAGGACTATGAGGCTTTTGAGATAGGTATGATAATATGTCCTCATTGAGCAAGTGACAATAGGAAACCCCCAGAAATTGTGTGCACTGTTTTGCCTGATCTCACACACTTTGGACAGAGACTTTGATCACATTCTTAGGGGCCCACAAATGGTCAAAAACCTCTGAACTGAGACAGCAGCATTTTTTGTGGTTTTTTTTTTTTTTTTTGAGATGGAGTCTCGCTCTGTTGTCAAGGCTGGAGTGCAATGGCCCGATCTCGGCTCACTGTAAGCTCTGCCTCCTGGGTTCACGCCATTCTTCTGCCTCAGCCTCCCGAGTAGCTGGGACTACAGGCACCCGCCACAGTGCCTGGCTAATTTTTTGTGTTTTTAGTAGAGACAGGGTTTCACCGTGTTAGCCAGGATGGTCTCGATCTCCTGACCTCGTGATCCGCCCGCCTAGGCCTCCCAAAGTGCTGGGATTACAGGCGTGAGCCACCACGCCCGGCCTGTTTTGTATTTTTGAGATGGAATCTCGCTCTGTCGCCCAGGCTGGAGTGCAGTGGCATGATCTTGGCTCACTGCAACCTCTGCCTCCCGGGTTCAAGTGATTTTCATGCCTCAGCCTCTAGAGTAGCTTGGACTACAGGCATGCACCACCACACCCAGCTGATTTTTGTATTTTTAGTAGAGACGGGGTTTTACCATGTTGGCCAGGTGGGTCTCAAACTCCTGACCTCAAGTGATCCACCTGCCTTGGCCTCCCAATGTGCTGGGATTACAGGCATGAGCCACTGTGCTTGGCTTGGGAGAGCAACTTTTAAACTCTCTTTTTATTTTGGATCCATGGTAAGAAATATATTTCCATAAAAACCCCAGTTCAAGCATACATTTACCTATATCCATGAATAAAAGTTTCATGAAATGATATCTTCCTATAAGCACACTGACGTTTGCTACTCTACTGTTCTTTCATTTCATTAAAGAAACGTGCTGTCCAGGCAATCTCAGTACTTTGGGAGGCCGAGGCAGGAGGATTGCTTGAGCCCGGTGGTTTGAGACCAGCCTGGTCAACATAGCAAGACCCCATCTCTACAAAAAATAAAATTAGTCTGGCGTTGTGTTGTGTGCCTGTGGTCCCAGCCACAGGTGCCCCTGCAGGGGCAGGGGGCTTTCAGGTGGGAGGATCGCTTGAGCCCAGGAGTTTGAGGCTGCAGTGAGTTATGATTGCACCACTGCACTCCAGCCTGGGTGACAAAGAGAGAGTCTCTGTCTAAATAAATAAATAAATACATACATACATAAAATATGCTAGTCACAGTTTCCTAAATGGATTTTATGACTCATTGAGTCAAAATGATAGTTTTAAAATGTTGCTAAGAGAGATGTAAGGAGGAAAATGTGTTGGTGAGTGTTGAGGAGCCCAACTTCTTTTGAGAAATCATTGTTGGATCTGGTGTCTCATGTGTTACCCTGGGGTTTCAACTCCTGTTTGCTCATTCAGTTATTCATTGATCACCCTGTCTTCCAGGCATGCAGTCATTCATTCAAGGTGATTATTGAGCTCCCCTTGAGAGCAGGTATGGGGCTGGGGGTTGGAGATCCAGTGAGTGGTCCTGCTTGAGAGACTGGCCCTGCCCACATGGCACTAGTGGGCTGGGACTCTCCCATCACTCTTGTCTCCATCTTGTTGTGCACTGTTGATGCTCCATTGAATGATCTTGGCATCTTTGCTGAAAATCAGTTGATCATCAATGTATGGATTTATTTCTGAGCTTTCAATTCTATTATGTTGATCAACAGGTCTGTCTTTATGTTAGTACTACACTGTCTCTATCACTGTAGCTTTGCAGTACGTTTTGAAATTGGCAAATATGACACTTCCCACTTTGTTCTTCAACCTTGTGTTGGCTATTTGGGATCCCTCGAGATTCCGTATGAGTTTTAGGGCGTGATTTTCTATTTCTGCAACGAGCCACCATTGGAATTTTGGGAGGAATTGTACTGAATTTGAGAATTGCTTTGGGTAGTATCTTTAACAACACGAAGTCTGCCAGTCCATGAACATAGGATGTCTTTCCACTTCCTTAAGTCTTCTTTAATTTCCCTTCGCAATGTTTTGTGGTTTTCAGGGTACGAGTCTCTTGCCTCTCCAGGCAGATTTATCCCTGGGTGGCTTATGCTTTCGGATGCTGTTGTCAGTGGGATTGTTGTCCTTGCCAGTGGTCGCTGAGCCCAGCTGCAGCCTTGTCTTGCACTGCAGGGTGTCTGTGTCACCTACTTGCCTAGTTCTGGCCACTTTTCTTGCAGGAAGTCAGAAGTGTACTGATCTGGAGTAGGACCCTTAGCACAACAGAGCTGCTCCTTGGTGCTAGGAGATGCGTCCTGAGGCTGGCCATCCATGTCAGAGGACCTGGCGCCTCACCCTCATCATGGGATATCACTGACCACCAGTGGGGGATGCATCTCTGCTGGGCTTGGCCTGCAAGGTAGGAGCTGACTGCAGGAGTGGGAAAGAGCCCATGGCCCCTGAGGGGGCCTACAGTTGGCTCTCCTGTGGTTACTTGGCATGTTTGATAGACGCCTGGGTCTGGCACAGAGAACACTGCCCGCTGACAATCATTGAGCCTCGGCAGGCTGGCCCCGATGACATGTTATCTCCCCACACAGTCCCTGGACACACTTGATTAAAGGTGCTTATTACTTTCATAGTGTTGGCTGGAGTGATGTGATAACTCCACAAAAGGTTCTGGCAGAATCCCAGACCTTGGGGTGTTCCCACCAGTGTCTCTGTGTTCAAAGTTCAGCACAGTGTGGGGTGGCAGGAGATGGGAACTTGGAGACTGAGGCCAGAGTCTGCTGACTTGAGCCTCTGCTGAGGTCCTTATCAGTGCCGGGAGAGCAGCAGCCTAATCTCAAGATGGTTTAGAGGATTTAGCGGGGGCGTGCATGCAGAGTTGAGAACTGGCTCCTGGGTCGGTGTGCGGGGGGTGGGGATGGCCCGGGGGCCGTAGCTACAGTTTGTCTTCCTTCCCCCACCGGCAGAGGTGAAGAGAGGTGTTTTGTCCTGGAGCCACCAGGCCTATCCATGGAGGAGCAGAGCTTCACATGGAGCCTGTGCCCCGTCTTAGTCTATTTCGTGTTGCTATAAAGGAACACTAAGGCTGGCTAATGCATAAAGAAAAGAGGTTTACTTGGCTCCTGTTTCTGCAGGCTGTACGTGGCACTGGCATCTGGTTCTGGGGAGGCCTCAGGGGCTTCTCCTCATAGTGGAAGGTGAAGAGGGAGCAAGAAAGGGAGAGGAAGGAGGTGCCATGCTCTTTTCTAAGAAAACAGAAACACAGCTGCATTATTTTAAGCAAAACACATATTGGCTTAGGTCGCTGTATTCATCTCCCAGGGCTGTGGCACCAAGGCACCAGACACTGGGTGGCTCTTTGGGAGGCCAAGGCAGGCAGATCACTTGAGGTCAGGAGTTGGAGGCCAGGCTGGTCAACATGGCGAAACCCCATCTCTACTGAAAATACCAAAATTAGCCGGGCATGGTGGCATGAACCTGTAATCCCAGCTATTTGGGAGGCTGAGGCAGGAGAATCACTTGAACCCAGGAGGCGGAGTTTGCAGTGAGCTGAAATTGTACTATTGCACTCCAGCTTGGGCAACTGAGCCAGACTCCATCTAAAAAAAATAAAAAATAAAAAACCCAGCAGAAGTGGATTCTCTCACAGTTATGGAAGCCACAAGCTTCTAGGGGTTAGAATTCCAACATATCTTTTTTTGGGGAAAGAGGGGCATAATTCCCCATAGAAGAGCCTGTAATCTCAGGGAGCCTTGACCCAGGTATTTGACGTTGGTGTAATCTACTTGTGTATGTGTATTGGTGGACAAAGGGGATGGCCTCACATCCCTTCAGCATCTTGGGGGTGGGCGGTGCCTCCCCTCCGGCTCCCCTGAGTCAGCCCCGGGGAAGACCAATTGTGGGGCTGGATGGTGTGGGAACCCCCAGCTCCGTCCTGTCTCCAGCCATCAGTGAGGTGTGCTTGGCCATTCCCCACAGGACCAGTGGGCGGGATGGGGCAGCTTTGCAGTTGGAGAGGATGGGGGTTCAGGCAGGCAGAACAGATGCGCGGACACAGAAGAGCTGTGCAGAATGTGGAGTTGAGCTTCCTGGAAGGCCCATAGGAGAGGCGAGACTGAAATCTTCTTGATACTTTTTCACTGGGGCCTGAAAGCCTGGTGCAGAATGAAACTGAAAGCACTTGTCTCGTTGAGCAAATCATTCAACTTTGTTATTTCTGTAATTGAAATAATTCCTGGCATTAATTATGTGGAGAGCACTCATGACCATGTGGACATATCTTTTGGGGGCACATGAACTGAGGGTAATAATTTCGCTCGAATTTTTTTTTTGAGATGGAGTCCTGCTGTGTCGCCCAGGCTGGAGTGCAGTGGCGTGATCTCGGCTCACTGCAACCTCCACCTCCTGGGTTCCAGCAATTTTCCTGCTCTAGCTTCCCCAGTAGCTGGGATTACAGGTGCCCACCACCATGCCCGGATAATTTTTATATTTTTTAATTTTATTTTTATTTATTTATTTTTTGAGACGGAGTCTTGCTCTGTCACTCAGGCTGGAGTGCAGTGGCACAATCTCAGCTCACTGTAACCTCCGCCTCCAGGCTTCAAGCGATTCTCCTGCCTCAGCCTCCCAAGTAGCTGGGATGACAGGAGTCCGCCACCATGCCTGGCTAATCTTTGTATTTTTAGTAGAGACAGGGTTTCACCATGTTGGTCAGGCTGGTCTCAAACTCCTGACCTCATGATCCGCCTGCCTCGGCCTCTCAAAGTGCTGGGATTACAGGCATGAGCCACTGTGCCTGGCCTAATTTTTGTACTTTAGGTGGGATTTCATCATGTTGGCCAGGCTAGTCTCGAGCTACTGATCTCAGGTGATCTGTCCACTTTGGCCTCCTAAAATGCTGGGATTACAGGTGTGAACCACTGCGCCTGGCCTATTTCACTCCATTTTGCCGAGGAGGGAACAGAAGTGTGGAGTCCTCCCAGCCACATGGCCTCGGATCCGGGCTGCAGGTCCAGGCTTTCCGGCTCCAGGGCTGGTGCCCTCTGTCCTGTGCCACTTCCCCTGCAAAATGAGATGAAAATGAGTCTCATTTTACGATGAGGAAACTGAGGCCCTGAGAGAGGGTGAGAAACCAGGTCTCTGGCTGAATGCACCTCTCACTGAAGACATCTCCGGGTGGAAATGTTCTGAGAGCTGCTGTGTGTGCTGGTGTCAGAATGAACAATACCCATAGTGCTTGGCGTAGACAATCAGCAAAGCTAGGGACCCGTTTTCTCCTCCCAGCCCCCTTTCTCACTTCAGGCCCTAGACAAGAATCGGAGGTCCGTTTCTCAAGTTTAGCTCCTGTCTGATTAAATTTGAGGTTCGTTTCTCAAGTTTAGCTCTTGTCTGATTAAATTTGGATTTGCTCCACTCTTTTTCACGGGCATAAAAATATCTGCGGAGTGAAAATGTGTGCAGAGGATGCACTGCGTGCAGGCTGCGGCTCGAGGTCAATCAGATTCCTCCAGCGATAAAAGGCCTGCTGAGGAAGCGGCCCCACTCCCAGCACAGCCCCATTGATTGGCTTTTATTTTCCTCTGTTGCTGGAGTGATCCAATTTGAAGCCCTGTTTCTGAGCATGTTGCAAGGAACCCTAGGGGCTGCCATAGCCCTGGAGATACTGGCTGGAAATCAAATTCAAATTGGTGCTTTCTTCCTATTAAAGCAGGAGACCTCTGCCCGGGAACGGGCCATTTGGGGGCTCAGCCATCTGGCACATGGAGTGAGTAGGTTTTATTGCCAAAGCCGTCCCGGCCTTGGCCTCAGCCTCTGTGTGGCTCTGGTGGGGAGTGTGTCTCGATGTTGTACTGTGAATAAGCCCCATGCCTACTTGAGTTTGGGGTTTCTGTTTTACCTACACTTCCATATTGTGGGCATGTGGCTGCGGAAATGTGCCTGCACCTGGACTCGCTGTCACTCACTGGCTTCTCGTGGTACAGCCTAGGGAGGGTTGCCCCAGCCGTATTTAGTTCTTCCTGCCTCAGATGAACGGGCCTCCTCTCCCAGCTCCTAATCAGGAGGGCAGAGTCTCGTTGGCGGCTCTCCTGTCCTGCTGCCACTGCCTTTACACTTCTTCAGATATGCGGCCGTCTTAAGGTGTAAATGCCTTCCTCTGTTTCCCAGTGGTTATCTAAAGCAAGGATTGGCAAACAGAATCCACACCATAGATTTGAGGTATGTTTGTTGTCCTCTTTCCTTCTTAAACTGTTAGTAAACAAGACATTCCTACAGGTGACCCCTTTCGGCCTTTTTTTTTTTTTAAGACTGAGTTTCGCTCTTGTTGCCCAGGCTGGAGTGCAATGGCGCCATCTCAGCTCACTGCAACCTCCGCCTCCCGGGTTCAAGTGATTCTCCTGCCTCAGCTTCCCAAGTAGCTGGGATTACAGGTGCCTGCCACCATGCTAATTTTGTATTTTTAGTAGAGATGGGGTTTCTCCATGTTGGTCAGGCTGGTCTCGAACTCCTGACCCCAGGTGATCCTCCCACCTCAGCCTCCTAAAGTGCTGGGACTACAGGTGTGAGCCACTGCGCCTGGCCAGTCCTGCACTCTTCAAGTTTCTATGTGTTGCAGACTGGTGGGGTAGCAATATCAGTTAGAGAGACAGGACTGGGGTCACTTGTCCCCTGTTAGCTCAGTGACCTTGAGCTCAGCTTAGACACATTGTCTCTGAACACTGTGCTGATGGCAACACCTCTCTCACCTGTCTTGCAGTCTTATTTGAGGAATTAAATGCAATAACCTGGGAGAAAGTGCAGGTATGAAGTCAGGGCACACAGCCCGTCACCAGGAGCTTGAAGGAGGAGAAGAGTGGGTGGGGATGTGAGCACAGAAGCTGAGGCGGGGGCTGAGCCGGGTGTGTATTTCTGCCTGTGCCACAGGGACACCCCTTTCAGGCACTGGGCGCCTAGCTCCTGTTGTCTCATCTCCTAAGAGAGTCTCGGGAGGCCTGAGACTCCCTCACTGCTGCGGGCTTCAAGAGCAGCATCTGTGCTGAGTAACAGCCATGGGGGCAGAAGCAGAGATCTCCCGTGACAGAGTAGTTAGGCAGCCGTAAAAATCCTACCACCAGCTCGTGGAAAAGGTCTCATTTGACAGGTGCCATGCCGTCAAAGACTTGTGCTCTGCAGCTGCAAATTCCCAACTGAAAAATATCAACAATTCTTACGAAGAGAGAAGGGGAGCCCTGCAAAGCTGTTGTGTCACCCCGTCTGTTTGTAGGCGCTGGGGGGATTGATGATGAGGTGGGGACTGTTCGGCTGGCCACACTGCCATTGTAGATAGCCTGTGACTCTGTGGCTGGCGCCTGGCTGGCCTCAGTGAAGCCCTTCAGTCCCAGCTCTGACCATGTCTCTGTGGAGAGACAAGCAGGTGATAGTGTTGGGTGGGCAAGGCTGTGCTGGTGGCCTGCTTAGCAACAGCAGGAAAAGGAAGGAGATAACCACCCCAACCTTTCTTGCTGGAAGGAGCCCTTCCTGTTGTCGGCGCTGTGTGTAACCAATGAGGCGAATGCCGGGAAGCGCTTGGTTTGTGTCAATGAGGGGAGAGGATTGTGCAGAAGTGCAGGAAGGGACCATGGGAGGAAATTGAGTGAAGGTCTCTGTTAGGGGTTTGTGTTCCCCTAAAAGGTATGTCCAGGTCCTAGTCTCCAGCCCTTGGGACTGTCACCTTATTTGGAAATAGGGTCTTTGCAGATGTGCTTAAGACGAGGCCTGTCTGAAGTAGGGTGGGCCCCTAATTCAATGTGACTGGGGCCTTTATGGGGAGAGGAGGCAGGACACAGACAGACACGGGACACAGAGGCTGGACAGAGATTGGAGAGATGCTGCCACAAGCCAAGATGCACCGAGGACTGATGGCCACCACCAGAAACTGGGAAGAGGCCAGGACGGATCCTCGCCTGGAGCCCTCAGTGAGAGCACGGCTCTGCCGACACCTTGATCTCAGACTTCTGGCCTCCAGAACTGGGAGAGAATCGACGTCTGTTGTTTTAAGCTGCCAGTTTGAGGTACTTTGTTAAGGTGGCCACAGGATGCGAATACAGTCACCATCTGGCCTTTGATCTTCTAATTGCCTCGGCGGTTCTCCTGCCAGTAAGGGTTGTGAGTGAAACTTGAAGGTCACAGTTGGAAATCAAGTTAAAAGAATTAAGCTGGAAGTGCAACATGAGAGTCCGTCACCCTGAGAGGCGGTGTGAATGCCAAACACAGGCAGGCAGGGCTGGACCTGCATAAATTGTGGTTCGACAGCACCGGGAGAAAGAAGGCCCGGGCCTGCTCTCCTCACCTGATTCTGGGAATGCCGAACCTACCTGTGTTCCTGATATCACCCCAGTGCTAACTTCCCACCCCTTGAAAATGTCAAAACATTGTGTTATGAATGTTCTTCATTGAGCAACTGCGATCTCTTTCTGTAAAGATCCAGAGAATATTTCAGCCTCTGTGAGCCATCCTGCCTCTGTAGGAATGAATCAACTCTGCCTTGGAAGCATGAAAGCCCCTATAGACAGTTCATAAGCATAGCCGTGGCTGCGTCCCCCTGAAGCTACAAAAGTAGGTGGGGGGCTGGGTGTGGTGGCTCATGCCTGTAATCCCAGCACTTTGGGAGGCTGAGGCAGGCGGATTGCTTGAGCCCAGGAGTTCAAGACCAGCCTGAGCAACATAGCAAGACCCTGTCTCTACAACAAATACAAAAATTAGTTGGGTGTGTTGGTGCTCACCTGTAGTCTCAGCTACTTGGGAGGCTGAGGTGGGAAGATCCCTTGAGCTCAGGAGGTTGAGGCCACAGTGAACTGTGATTGTGCCACTGCACCCCAGCCTGGGAGACAGAGCAAAGCCCTATCTCAAAAAACAAAACAAAACAAAACAAAACACCCAAAAAGACAGGTGGTGGGCCAGATTTGCTCACTGGCTGCAGTTTGCCAATCTATGGTTTAAACCAACAATTTAAATAACACACACACATCTTTGTATGATGTTACACATCTTTTTTTTTTTTTTTTTTGAGATGGAGTCTTGCTCTGTCTCCCAGGCTGGAGTGCATTAGTGTGATCTCGGCTCACTGCAACCTCTGCCTCCTGGGTTCAAGCAATTCCCCTTCCTCAGCCTCCCGAGTAGCTGGGATTAGAGGCATACACCACCTCGCCCAGCTAATTTTTGTATTTTTAGTAGAGACAGGGTTTCACCATGTTGGCCAGGATGGTCTCGAACTCCTGCCCTCATGATCCGCCCTCCTTGGCTTCCCAAAGTGCTGGGATTACAGGCATGAGCCACCGCGCCCAGCCTGATGTTACATTTTCTAGAAGTTCTCAGTGATGGGCATTTAAAGGATTCGGCTGCTGCTCCCTGTGGCTTTCACAGCGCTGCCCTGAATGGGTGTTAGGGCACCGTACAGGTAGCGGGGATGCCTGGGAAAGCCCAGACTCACAGCAACACAACAACAGTTAACAGACTCCAGTGACCAAATGTGTGGGTTTTTCCTGCACCAACTGGCGGATACCAGCTGGATGTCCCCTAGTTCAATTCAATTCAGTTCTGACTCCACCTACCTGGAGATGGCATCAGATCCCACAGGGTGAGGGCTCAGTCTCCCAAGACTCTGAACAGTGGCTGTAAGTCAGGGTTCCCACAGCCCCATCTTTGGGTTCAATTAATTTGCTAGGGTGACTCACAGAACTCGGGGAAACATTTACTTATATTTCCTGGTTTATTATAAAGGATATTACAAAGGATACAGATGAGGAGATACATAGGGTGAGGTGTAGGGAAAGGGGTGCAGAGCTTCCATGCCCTCTCTGGGCGTGCCACTTTGCCAAAACCAAGCATCCAGTCTCTGGAAGCTCCCTGAATCCTGCCTTCCTGGGCCTTTTATGGAGCCTCATTGGATATGCACGATTGACAGCCATGTAGAAATAGGATTGGACAGCAAGGGTGTGATCTAACACTAACAGATGGACTGGGGAGGCCCTGCAAGACCTATCTGTGCAGCCTTCCTTCCTCCAAGGTGTGGGGGCCCCTCTCTGGAGTGAGGGTCTCATTACTTACAATCTGATGAGAGTCCTGCCTTGGGCAGGTGAAAGGAGGGCAGAAGGTTAGAGAGATTCTGTTTTCTGAGGCTAAAGTGCCCCAACATCTTTTATTATTATTATTATTTTTGAGACAGGGCTGGAGTACAGTGATGCAATCTTGGCTCACTGCAACCTCACCTCTCGGGCTCAAGTGATCCTCCCACCTCAGCCTCCCTAGTAGCAGGCACTACAGCCGCGCACTACAACGCTTGGCTAACTTTTAAATTCTTTTGTAAACACAAGGTCTTGCTATGTTGCCCAGGCTGGTCTCGAACTCCTGGGCTCAAGCAATCCTCCCGCCTTGGCCTCCCAAAGTGCTCAGATTACAGCATGAGCTCCTCAGCTAGAAGAGTTAAACTCATAGAGAGAGGAAGTGGAATGGCAGTTGCCAGGGGCAGGGGTTGGGGGCTGGGCAGGGAGGGGACAGGGAGTTAGTGTTTCTGCCTTGCAAGAAGAAAAGAGTTTGGCGGATAACAGCGATGGTGGCACAGCAGTGAATGTCCTTAGTGCCACTGAACCGTACACTTAAAAATGGTTAAAGTAGCCGGGTGCGGTGGCTCACACCTGTAATCCCAGCACTTTGGGAAGTCGAGGTGGGCAGGTCACCTGAGGTCAGGAGTCTTGAGACCAGCCTGGCCAACATGGTGAAACTCCCTCTCTACTAAAACTACAAAAATTAGCCGGGTGTGGTGGTGGGCGCCTGTAATCCCAGCTGCTCGGGAGGCTGAGGCAGGAGAATCACTTGAACCCAGGAGGCAGAGGTTGCCGTGAGCCGAGATTGCGCCATTGCACTCCAGCCTGGGCGACAAGAGTGAAACTCCATCTCAAAAAAAAAAAAAAAAAAAAAAGGTTAAAGTGAGAAATTTTATGTATTTTATGTTAAATGTACCTTACTACAATTGAAAGAATGAAAAAAAAATACTGGGAAATACATTACACATACAAAAGAGTGTACATATGTATAGTTTACTGACTAATATTAAGGAAGTACCCACGTTCCTGCTATCCAGCTTAAGAAATAACATTACCTGTTCCCCGAGCCATATGCCCCGTACCTCCTGTGCGCCTCCCTCCCCACCAGAGGTGACCAGTGCCGCCTTGAACGTTGCATTTAGCATGTTGTATTAGTTAGAGTTCTCTGGAGAAACAGAACCAATGGGAGATATGTAGCTCTCTCTGTCTCTTTTTTTTTTTGAGACAGAGTCTCACTCTGTCGCCAGGCTGGAATGGTGTGATCTCGGCTCAGTGCAACCTCTGACTCCCTGGTTCAAGCAGTTCTCCTGCCTCAGCCTCCCCAGTAGCTGAGATTACAGGCACTGGCCACCACACCCGGCTAATTTTTGTATTTTTAGTAGACACGGGGTTTCACCATGTTGGCCAGGATGATCTCGATCTCCTGACCTCGTGATCCGCCCGCCTCGGCCTCCCAAAGTGCTGGGATTACAGGCGTGAGCCACCGCGCCCAGCCTGTCTCTCTGTCTGTCTCTATCCATCTCTCTCTCTCTCTCTCTCTCTATATATATATATATTTGAAGAGATTGATTATAAGTTATTGGCTCATGTGGTTACGAGACTGAGAAATCCCAGGATCTTCAAGCTGGAGACCCAGGAGGGCCAATGGCGTCAGCCCAAGTGCGGGAGGAGACCCACGTCCCAGCTGAGTGAATCCCCTTACCCTGCCTTTCGGTCTATTCAGGTGTCAAATGGATTGGCCGAGGCCTATCCGCACTGGGGAGGGCCATCTGTTGTACCCAGTCTACCGATTCGAATGCTAACCTCATCTAGAAACACCTTCACAGGCACGCCCAGAATAATGGTTAGCCAAGCACCAGGCCGCTCCCCACCCAGTCCAGGCAGCTAGTCAGCAGGCCCTGCCCCACTTGCTTGTCTTTCCTTGCGTTTTGCACACGCATGCATCTCTGTCCCTCACTTTCTTTAGTTTTGCCCGACTTTGACCCCAATATGACGGGAGCCCCACCGTGCGTGCTGTCCTATGACTCGAGTTTACGCAGTAGCCTAGCTTTGGGGCACAGCCCCATTTACTTGGGGCACCGCTGCCTCTGCTGTGTGGCCGTGTGGGATCCCACACCAGGAGCACCGTCCCTTTGTCACCTGGGAGGGGTGATTCTGTGCCTGAGTTGCATGTGGATTTCCTCCTGCTGAGTTTTAATTAAGAGGCAGGGAGCAGGTGGGTGAAGGGCACACACACGGATGCAGCGTTGCCCGGGTTCGAATTCTGCCTGCGCCATTTCCTGCCTGCTGAACCAGATCGGACAAATTACTCTACCTCTCTGTGCCACAGATTTTTTGTTGTTGTTGTTGTTTTGTTTTCATTTTGTCTCGTTTTGTTTTTGTTTTTGAGACAGGTTCTCCCTCTGTCACCCAGGCTGGTGTACAGTGGTGCAATCACGGCTCACTATAGCCTCGACCCTGTGGGCTTAAGCAATCCTCCCACCTCAGCCTCCTGAGTAGCTGGGACGACAGGCGTGCACAGCCACACCTGGCTAATTTTTTAATTATTTGTTGAGATGGGGTTTCACTATGTTGCCCAGGGTGGCCTCGAACCCCTGGGCTCAAGTGATCCTCCTGCCTCAGCTTCCCAAAGTGCTGGGATTAAGTGTGAGCCACCTCATCTGGCCTTTGTGCCCCAGTTTTCTCAATCAGGTAATGATGATAGCTCTCAGGTGGTGAGGGTGACTGTATAAAATGTCTGGAAATGGCACCTGCTCTGTGCCCAGGGGTTAGAGGCTTGGGACCGAGCTGGGGGCTGAGCTGGGGGTGGAGCTGGGGGCTGAGCTGGGGGTGGAGCTGGGGGCTGAGCTGGGGGTGGAGCTGGGGGCTGAGCTGGGGGTGGAGCTGGGGGCTGAGCTGGGGGCGTTTTTGTTCCAAGGCTTTCTTGCTGATAAGTTTCTCTTTCTCTCTCTCTCTTTTTTTTTTGTCCTGCGTGTCTCAACCTGACAAAAATGCTCAGTTTAGAAGCGTGTCGTTCCATTTGTGGGAAAATTAAACACATTTAAGAGTAAATTAAATTAGGGGACTTGTGATCATTAGCTAAGTAAATTATTTTTTAAAAATGTGATGTACCAAGCATAGCACATGTGGCACGCTCAATAAATATTTGTTAGAATGAATGATAATTTTATGAGCCAGTCGAGTCATATATAATGGGATTATTTGGTTCTAGAACTAATGAAGTGACTGTAGAGCAATAAAGCTTCTAAAAAGAATCTCCGTGCTCGCAAAAAATCCAAAAGTGGGGGAAGAGGCTCATGCTGGATTTCACCCAAGAGCGAGGCCCGAGGAGAGCTGGGACGCTGTGTCCTGAGAGCTGTCCAAGGGGGGCCCTTGTGACTTGGCAGGGGTGGTTTTGGAGCCTGAGTTTATCCGCACTCTGGGTGGACTGGGTCTCGGGGGAGGCCTGCCTTAGGTCAGCTCAGGAGACCAGTGGATATAGCAGGAGGCCCACTTGCAGTTCACGGTTTGTCTTGCCAGATGTGCAGGGGGCCCGGTGTCTCAGCACTTGGCACCTGTGGGACTGAGAGAGGAGTCAGTCTAGCACCAGACACCCGCTTGGTGGGGGAGGGGAGTGGAAGAGGAGGGAGAGGAGAGAGAGGGGGCTGGAGCCCCAGTCCCACAGCTTAGGTCCTGGGAAGCCCTGTGGGTTCATGCTTGCCTTGAGGGGAGGTTGGACGGCTCAAGCAGGGACCAGGAGCCTCCCAGTGTGGCATGAGCTTTGCTGGAAGCCTGGGCTCTTTGAGAGGGGTGGGGCTGAGAGCCGCTAGACCTGGCTTCATCCTCCTGCCTGCTTTCCTGTCTGGGGTGTACCCTGGGAAGGGACATAACTTCCCTGAACCTCGGTTGCCTCCCCTGTCCAGTGGAGGAAAGGAAGGCACCTGCCTAACTGGGCTCTTGAAAATAATAAATTGAGATAATACAAAATCTGCATTAATTTCCTAGGCCTGACATAAAAGAGTACCCCACACTGGCTGGCTTACAGAGCAGAAGTTTATTCTCTCCCAGCTCTGAAGACCAGAAGTCCAAGATCAAGGTGTCAGCAGGGCCTTGCTCCATCTAAAGTCTCCAGGGAGGGATCCTTCCTGACTCTCTTGGCTTCTGGGGACGGTGGGCAGTCCTGGCATATCTTGATTTGTGGCCATGTCACTCCAGTCAGCCTCCATTGTCACAGGTGTCCCCCTTCATGCCCCTCTGTGTCTTCCTATGGTCTTCTCTCTGCATGTCAGCATCCAAATTTCTCTCTCCCATGTGGACACCAGCTGGGCCCACCGCAGTCCAGTATGACCTCATCCGAACTTGATTACATCTGCAAAGACCCTGTTTCCAAATAAGGCACATTCTCCAGTTGTCCAATTCCAGGTGGACGTGGATTTTTTTTTTTTTTTTTTTTTTTGAGATGGAGTCTCACTCTGTAGCCCAGGCTGGAGTGCAATGGCACGATCTTGGCTCCCTGCAACCTCCTCCTCCCGAGTTCAAGCGACTCTCCTGCCTCAGCCTCCTGAGTAGCTGGGATTACAGGCACCTGCCACCACACCTGGCTAATTTTTGTATTTTTAGTAAAAATGGGGTTTCACTCTGTTGCGCAGGGTGGTCTTGAACCCCTGAGCTCAGGCAATCCACCTGCCTCAGCCTCCCAAAGTGCTGGGATTACAGGCATGAGCCTCTGCGCCCATCGGACGTGGATTTTGGATGAGACACCATTCAACCCACAGTACCTGGTGCTCAGTTAGTGACTAAAACCCACTAGTTATGGTCACTCAGTCACCCTTCTTGTTATTACTTTCATAGATGAGGGTGTGATGGGGGGGGGAAACAGAAGCAGAGTTGATTGTATCTTCTTAGTTCTGCACACCCTGTGGCTTTTTTTTTTTTTTTTTTTTTTCTGAGAGGGAGTCTTGCTGTGTTGCCCAGGCTGGAGTGCAGTGGCACGATCTCAGGTCACTACAACCTCTGCTTCTCACATTTAAGCGATTCTTCTGCCTCAGCCTCCTGAATAGCGGGCATTACAGACATCCGCCACCACACCCAGCTAATTTTTGTATGTTTAGTAGAGACGGGGTTTCACAATGTTGGCCAGGCTGGTCACGAACTCCTGGCATCAAGTGATCCACCCACCTCAGCCTCCCAAAGTGCTGGGATTACAGACATGAGCCTCTGTGCCCAGCCCCGTGGCTAGTTATTAGACTGTTCTAGGTCTTGATGGGAAAGGGGAGGAGGACTTGTTCTTCTCTTTGGATTAATAAAACACCGTGAGGCTTGTGTTTGCACAGTGCCCACAGCTTGCACACTGACAAGCCCTTTTAGGTTGACTTCTGCTGAGTCATTTCATCCTGTTCCATTTGTCAGCCATAAGGTAAGGAGCAGTTTTTCTGATGTACTCCTTTTGCATAAATGCTACTCTCCATCAGCCTCGAGAAGTAGAAGGCACCGGTATGGTATCCCAAGCTCATTCACAGGGGAGAAGAGATGCCTGTTGCCACAAAATGTGAATGTTGGGTGTACATTCAGGTGTCACGTACGTGGTGTTGATTGTCTCAGCTTAATAAAGAAAGATGCCGTACACATTTTCCTTTAAAAAGTCTCACTTGGCTTGTTTGACAGGCACAGAAGATGTGTTATTAAACACTTGCAAAGCCTGCTGTCATTTGGTTTTAAACAGCACTCGTCGTCTTTGGCGGGGCGTGTTTGCTCAGCATCATGGAAGGGGGATGTGAGGTACCCAGGTGGCAGTTTCTCTACCACGATGCTTTCTCTGCTTGCTATCGGGAGAAATGTTCTTTCCTATGTTGTGGGAAGGCGGAAAGGGCACTCTGAAATGTAAGGTGGCCTTTTGTATTAGAATTTCATGGCTGAGACCAGGCGTGGGGGCTCATGTCTGTCATCCTAGCACTTTGGAAGGCCAAGGCAGGTGGATCACCTGAGGTCAGGAGTTTGAGACCAGCCTGGCCAACATGGTAAAATGCCATCTCTACTAAAAATACAAAAAATTAGCTGGGTGTGGTGGCAGCCACCTGTAATCCCAGCTACTTGGGAGGCTGAGGCAGGAGAATCACTTGAACCCAGGAGGTGGAGGTTGCAGTGAGCTGAGATTCTGCCACTGCACTCCAGCCTGGGCAACAGAGAGAGACTCTTTCTAAAAAAAAGAAAAGAAAAGAATTTCATGGTTGATTGTCACAGGACCATCTTTAGTCCCAAGATCTGAGGCAAGGGAATCGTTTTCAATAGGAAACTTTTAAATGTTTGAGCAGCAGAAAGGGAGATTGAGCCAGAAGAACTTGCTGGTGGAAAGATGGTGGAAGCTGGGAGCTTTGAGGTTCTAAAAATCCTGGTGTGTCAGGTCAGGTAGTGGGGCAACCGGAGCTTAGGGTGAGTTATACCTGATGGGACTTAACTGGGTAAATGTCATCTAGTAACCCAACTACATTCGGCATTAATATCTGGACAAAAGGTGGAATACACCCGGGTTCTTTGGGCACAGGCGAAGGAGAGGTCTCATAGTTTGATGTTGCTCAAGAAGGGAAAACAAGCAGGATGGGAAGAGGTCTAATCAGCCGGCTGGAGTGGGGTGCTGGGTTTAGTTCATTCCTTCTTAAACTCAGCCAGTTCTCATTATTCATGGTGGTTTTGATCTATAAAGTTGCCACAAACCCCAAGTTAGCCAATACTGAGCCATCACTCCTAGGGCAGTACAGCGCTCGGTTCCTGCGAGCCTCTGGTCACAACATTTTCAGCAACAGATCCATACATAACTTTTTCTTATATATGTTTCTTTTTAAAGATACGTTATTTAAAATGTATTGTTGATTGATTAACATTGAGCTCACGGCCAACAGCAGTATAAGTGCTGCCTGAATGAAGCTTCTCTGACCTGTGCGTTCTCTGCAAGGCATACCTCAGCCTTCTTGCACTTGGGAACACTAGGAGTACCCCTCGCCACGCGTGGGGACCCATTTTAAACAGCAAAGTTGGCTGGGCACGGTGACTCATGCCTGTAATCCCAGCACTTTGGGAGGCCGAGGCAGGCAGATCACCTGAGGTCAGGAGTTCGAGACCAGCCTAGCTAACATGGGGAAGCCCAGTCTCTACTAAAAGTACAAAAAAATTAGCTGGGCATGGTGGTGTGCTTCTGTAATCCCACCTATTCAGGAGGCTGAGGCTGGAGAATTGCTTGAACCCAGGAGGCAGAGGTTGCAGTGAGCCGAAGTCACGTCACTGTACTCCAGCCTGGGCATCAGAGCAAGACTTCATCTCAAAAACAAAACAAAACAAAACAAAACAAAACAAACCAAAACAGTGAAGTCACCAACAAATAGCAGAAAAATGTGAAAAACATGGCATTAAATAGACCATGAAATGGACACTTGTTTATGATGTGAGACCTCAGACAAGAAGGCAGAGCGCCCCGTGTTTGACCTCAGGTGGGGACACATCCGGCAACTCAGATTCTTTTTTTTTTGAGTGGAGTCTCACTGCGTCACCCAGGCTGGAGTGCAGTGGTGCAATCTCGGCTCACTGCAACCTCTGCCTCCTGGGTTCAAGCAATTCTCCAGCCTCAGCCTCCCGAGTAGCTGAGACTATAGGTGCGCACTACCACACCCAGCTAATTTTTGTATCTTTAGTAGAGACGGGGTTTCACCATATTGGTCAGGCTGGTCTCGAACTCCTGACCTCAGGCGATCCACCCGCTTTGGCCTCCCGAAGTGCTGGGATTACAGGTGTGAGCCACCACACCCAGTCAGATTCTTTGCTTCTGTGTGCAGGTCTGTGAATGAATGTAGGCCAAGAGTATTGATTCTGAGCTTACAAATTTTAGCCAGTAGACACATTTACACATACAGAATCCATGAATCAAGGCGATTGACTGTACTTTGACAATTATTTGTTTAGCACTGTAGGAGGAACCTGCAAACTGTTCCTTCCCTCTGCTCACATACTGCCCAGGGTAAGACTTCTGACACCAGAGGTGCAGGGATGCTTCCTGCCGCACCTGGCAGTTCTCCAGCAGACACCAGCTGGGTGTCCTGCAGTTCAGTTCAATTCTGACACCATCGACCTGGAGAGAGCCTCAGACCCCACAGGTGAGGGCTCAGCCCCACGAGACTGCACCCCAAATCAGGGTCCCCACGACTGCTTCCTCGGTTTTGATTAATTTGCTGGGACTCAGAACTTGGAAATGGGCCAGGCACGGTGGCTCAAGCCTGTAACCCCAGCACTTTGGGAGGCCAAGGCAGGTGGATTGCTTGAGGTCAGGAGTTCGAGACCAACCGGGCCAACATAGTGAAACCCCATCTCTACTAAAAATACAAAAATTGGTTGGGCATGGTGGTGGGCACTGTAATCCCAGCTACTCGGGAGACTGAGGCAGGAGAATTGCTTGAACCTGGGAGGTGGTGATTGCAGTGAGCTGAGATCGCACCACTGCACTCCAGCCTGAGCAACAAGAGCAAAACCCTGTCTGGAAAAAAAAAAAAAAGAACTCAGGGAAACACTGCATTTGTGCTCCCTGGTCTATTATAAAGGAGATGATAAAGGGTGCAGGTGAGCAGAACAGGAGGAGGCACACAGGGTGAGGCCTGGGAGGGCCCCCAGCACAGGAGCTTCTGTTGCCCTGGAGTTGGGGTGTGCCACCCTCCTGGCACCTGGATGTGTTTACCCACCCGGAAGCTCTCTGCACCCTGTAGTTCAGGGATTTTTACGGAGGCTTCATCATGTAGGCATGTCTGGTTATTAGTTCAATCTCCAGCCCCTCTCCCCTTTCTGGAGGGTGGGGTTGGGGGGTGTGGAGCTGAAAGCTCCAGGCTTCTAATTGTGTCTGGGTCTTTCTGGTGCTCAGCCCCCACCCAGGAGCCACCAAGAGTCACCTCATTAGAATAAAACATCCTTTTATCTCCCTGGAAATTCCAAGGGATTAGGAACTTTGTGTCAGGAACCAGGGTCAAAGACTAAATATTAGAACAAAAGATTGTCCTGGCACCTGGAAATTACAAGGTTCTTAGGATCTGTGTGCCAGGGACTGGTGGCAGAGACCAATATGAATATTTCTTTTCTTTTCTTTTTTTTTTTTTGAGATGGAGTCTCGGTCTGTCACCCAGGCTGGAGTGCAGTGGTGTGATCTCAGCTTACTGCAACCTCCGCCTCCCGGGTTCAAGTGATTCTCCTGCCTCAGCCTCCTGAGTAGCTGGGACTACAGGTGTGCACCATCATGCTGGGCTAATTTTTGTATTTTTATTAGAGACGGGGTTTCACTATGTTGGCCAGGCTGGTCTCAAACTCCTGACCTCAGGTGATCCACCTGTCTTGGCCTCCCAAAGTACTGGGATTACAGGCGTGAGCCACCGCGCCTGGCCCAATATGAATATTTCTTATTATTTTACAAGCACTTGCGGTGTGTCCTGTGGTCTCCGTCCTCAGCGTCGTGGTTTAGAGGGTGCCTGACAGGCAGGGTGTGGGGTTAGTGGGGTTGGGGAGTGATTTCCGGGGCACAGTGATCCCCAGAGTATGTGTGGTTGTCCAGTTCACTCACTCCTCGTGGCCTGCTCGGTGCTGGGGGTCCACACTCACAGAGGGCATGGTCTGTGCCCCTTGGGATCAGGCAGCTGCTCCTGGTACAGATGAGTTGGGAGATGACTTCCTCCAGGGCATGTGAGAAGCTCTCAATGACCAGGCCAGCTCGGATTCCCAGTTCTGGCCGAGCCGATGTGCTCTCTGTTGCCACATTCCGTGTCACTTCCCAGGCCTCCCCGGCTTCCCATTCTCGGGGCCAGGTGTTCCGTGGATGGGGTGCGGTGCGGCCTTTGATACCAGAGGCCTGGGATCGCTTTCCTCCTCGGTTTCTGTGTGGTCAGTGGCGCCTTCACCTGTCTCATGCCCTGCCATGCTGCCATGCAAGGGCAGAGGGCTGGTGTTGGGGTGGTGCTGGGGCCTGGGGAGTGGAATATCCTGCTCTGTTAAGATGCTGGGGATCGCATGTGTGATGCTGGCCACGTCAGCCAGTCTTCCTTCCTGCCGAGACCACCAGCCCTCGGTGCAGCCAGCCGTATCACCTGGTTATAGTCACGCCGAAACCCAGCTGTTTGGAAGCGTGGCCGTGGGGCCTTGGATCCCTTTTCCTTTCCACGTGTTTTGTGGAGACGAATAACACAGGCATGCGCCGTGCCCAGGTGGAGGCAATGTTAGGAAAGCAGGAAGGAGCTCAGAGCAGGAAATGTGTGTGGACTCGCGTTTGTTGAAGGGCCTGGCCGAGTTCCCCAGAGGCTGGGGTCAGTGTTCAAGTTCTGATGCTTCACGTCCTTGGAGGCCAAAGGACGTGACCTTGAAGAAGGGGCAGTTCTCACCTGTGGGCCTAGGAGAGGTCGTTGGCCTTAAGACATTACTCCAGGTAATTATATGTGGTTCCTACCTATAATCCCAGCACTTTGGGAGGCAGAGGCTGGAGGATCGCTTGAGCCCAGGATTTGGAGACCACCCTGGGCAACAAAGTGAGACTCCTGTCTCTACAAACAAAAACAAAAACAAAAACAAACAGTTGGCTGGATATGATGGCATGCACCTGTAGTCTCAGCTACTCAGGAGGCTGAGGTGGGAGGATCACTTGAGCCCGGGAGGTGGAGGCCACAGCAAGCTGTGATGGCACTAATGCACTTCAGCCTGGGTGACAGAGTGAGACCCTGTCTAACAGCAACAACAGCAGCAGAACATTAATCCGGATAGTTCTAGGATGAGGGTTCTCAGAGCTAGATGGGCCTTTGCAAGTTCTTTCCACTGATCCCCAGGTTTGGTTGATTGTATGAAACCAAGAGGAAATGTACAGGGTTTTTGTGAAGAAAGGAAAGTGTCATTTCTTTGGGTTTTACTTTGAATGGCATTGGATGAGGTCCTCAGAGCTTATGTGGGGCCAGCCCAGCCTGCCCCATGTGCCCCACTGAGACCCTGGAAACTTGGCTTTCTCCCACTGCTCCCCCAGTGCTCACTGACTAGTTTTGGGGTTTTGTGGGGACCCTTTGTCTATCTGCTTCGTCTTCCCCAGATGAATCAGGGGACGTGGTGGTACCATAGTGGTGCTGAGGGCAGCTTCTGGGTGGGGGTTCTCAGAAGGAGAAGTCTGTCCAGGAAGATTATATTTTATTACCTTCTCCCTCATCTTATTTATTTTCTGTTTTTTTAGAGGCTGGGTCTCTATGTTGCCCAAGCTGGTCTCGAACTCCTGGGCTCAAGCGATCCTCCTGCCTCGGCCTCCCAAAGTGCTGGGATGCAGGTGTGAGCCACTACGCCCAGCCTCCCACCTCTTTCTTATTTCTTTATTGTTTATTTCAACAGGTTTTTGGGGAACAGGTGTGTTTGGTGACATGAATAAGCTCTTTAGTGGTGATTTGTGAGATTTTGGTGCACCCATCACCCGAGCAGTGTACACTGCACCCAATATGTAGTCTTTTTATCCCTCACCTACCTCCCACCCTTTCCCCAAGTCCCCAAAGTCCATTGTATCATTCTTATGCCTTTACATCCTCATAGCTTAGCTCCTGCTTCTGAGTGAGAACATACGATGTTTGGTTTTCTATTCCTGAGTTACTTCACTTAGAATAATGGTCTCCAGTTCCATTTCCATCCAGGTTACTGCGAATATCATTATTTTGTTCCTTTTTATGGCTGATTAGTATTCCATGGTGTGTGTGTGTGTGCATGTGTGTGTGTGTGTGTGTGTATACACTGAAATTTCTTTATCCACTCATTGATTGATGGGCATTTGATTGGTTCCATATATTTGCAATTGTGAATTGTGGTGCTATAAACGTGTGTGAAGTATGTTTTTTGTCTGATGACTTCTTTTCCCTTGGGTAGATACCCAGTAGTCTCCTACTTCTTTTTAAAGGAAGCCTTGCTCTTTCTTAAAAGCTGCTAAAAAGGAATGAGAGTGGCGCTACAGCAAACATCTATTGAGCGCCTACTGTGTACCAGGTGGGTGGCTATGGTGGAATCTACCACTTCTTAAAAGTCACCATCCAAGTTACCGTTTTTCTGAAATACTTTGTCTTTCAACTGAGTGCTTTGTTTTTAGTGATGGCCAGTGAAGGGCCCAATTCAAACAGAAGCAGAGCCGGGGGATACTGAAGGGCCTTTCTCCCTGTGAGCCCCTTAGAACTCAGGCAGAAATATTTTAGCAAAAAGTCGAATCTGTACTTCTCTGGCTTTTAATGGGTTATATTGAAAAGGATATGACCTGCCTCTAAGGTTGTAACTTACGTTTGGCTCAGTCTTAATTATCTTAACAAGGGGTGCCTCCCCACCCATCATCCCCATACCTTGTATTTATGCATGTATTGACTTTTCTCCCACTTTGATAGCTTGAAGGCAGGGCTGCAGTGTTTCTCACCTTGGCACCCCAGGCTTGAGTGATGCCTGGCACACAGTAGGTGCACGGCACACATCTGAGTTGAGATCCTGATACGCACCCTGTATAAGACCTTCAACAGCCTGTCGACCACTCACTGCCTCCGTTTCCTCATCTGTTAGATAGGGATGATCATAAGGGTTCTTTCTTGCTTGCCTTATGGGGCCTTGATGAGAATCAAATGAAATGATGACATCAGTCCCTTAATTATTTCTCCTCCTCCTCCTCCTCCTCCTCCTCCTCCTCCTCCTCCTCTTCCTCCTCCATCTCCTCCTCTCTTCTTCTTCCTTTTTTTTCTTCTTTCTTCTTTCTTTTTCTTCTTCTTAGGCAGGGTCTCACTCTGTTGCCCAGGCTAGAGTGCAGTGGGATGGTCATAGGCTCAAGTGATCCTCCTGCCTCAGCCTCCTGAATAACTGGAACTACAGGTATGTGCCATTGTATCTGGCTAAGTTTTTGTAGAGACAGGGTCTCACTATGTTGCTTAGGCTGGTCTCCAACTCCTGGGCTCGAGCGGTCCTCCTGCCTTGGCCTCCCAATGTGCTGGGAGTACAGGTGTGAACCACTGTGCCAGGCCCCTTTAATTTATTCTGAAAATGGCGTGTCAGGAGCTGGGTCTTGGCTGCCTTGCTTGCATTGTGAAATCCCCTTGCCTGGCAGGTAGGAGGCAGTCGATGCATACAGGGTGAGTGAATGAAATGTTAGTTAGTTGCATTACATTGAAGTGGTCTAAACCTGACTCTAAGATGTGACTACTAGGCTGCTGATCCTTTTATGATTTTTCAAGTGCGTAGTTATTTTCCTTTTAAAAGCTAATCACATTTCCTTTCCTGACTGATCCTCTGTTATTTCTGCCTCCTCCCCCAAGGGGCTGACCACCAGCCCCAGGCATCTCCTTGGCCAGCTCAGTGGATACACACACGTCAGGAAGACCCTCCCTTGCCCCAGCCTTCCTTCGTGGGTGGCACTGGACACTGGGCAGATGGAAAGGCCCTCTCCATGGAGCACTGGGCTGGCGAGGGCCTTCCTGTCTGTGCCCTCATGATGTCCTCACTTGGCTGTCGAGGCATCTCCTGGGCCATGAAGTGCTGTTTGCTGTCCTGGCCTTGGATTCCTGCATCAAGTCTCCCAGCAGGAAAACTGTTAAACCAAAACCAGTGTTGGGAACTGCATCAGAGCTGGGGACCACATCAGTGCTGGGGACCTGGATCAGCATTGGGGACCTGGATTAGCCCTGGGGACCTGCATTAGTGCTGGGGACTCGCATCGGCATTGGGTGTCTTTTTGTTGCTTCCTCAAGTCCTAGTTTTGACTCTGGATGAAGCTTGGTTTGTGCCGTGGGAGTGGAGTGTTGGGGGACAGGGGTGACCGGCGGGTGAGCCCTCACTGTTGATCCTGGCCTCGAATGGGAGAGGGGCACTAGTGCCCCTGGGAGTGGGCCAGGCATGTCCCAGTCCACTGCCTGCCCCAGAGCCCCGCCTGGAGCACCTGCTGGGTCGGGACATGGGCCTCCCGTGGGCCTCACCGCTTCCTGCTTCAGCAGAACTGGGATTGTCAGTTAATCGAGCAACACCTCCAGGAAGCCAGCCTCAGGAAAGAGCTTCCACAGGGAGTTGGGGGACTGGTAATTGGAATAAATAAAAGCTAATCGTGCTTCCTGGATGCCAGGAACCACTGAAATTTGTGGATTCCCACAGCAGCACATGAGGCTGGTCATTGTTAATAACCCCTTTTTACCGACGAGGAACCCAGACCAGACAGAGAGCCCGCCTGTGTCACCTGGTAGGGAGGGGCTGGGCCTGGTGTTATAAACCAGGAGAGGGTTCAGGCCGAGGAAAGGGGGAGCAAGTTGCCGGCCAAGGTAGGTATCATGCGAGTCCTACTTCTCCCCTCATTCAAGGACCTTCCTTTGGGGAAGTGAGTGCTCCCGAGAGCAGCCTGCCGCCTCCGTGTCGGGGCAGCCTCAGCTTCTTCTTTCTGTGTCCGATATTTGATTTCTGTTGTCGTGGAAACGGGGTGGCAAGTGTTCCATGTGTTAGCATTTGGTCCTCCTGACGTAGTCGGCACACGGGAGATGCAGCTGGGGTGGCACGTGCCCACAGTGGTGCCACCTCTTGCCGGGGGTCAGGCAGAGGAGACCCAGCTCCGTGCCAGCTTGCAGACCCCCAATCACTTCTCCTGTCTCAGGGCCCAGAGAGCAAAGGCAGTGGGAGGCCAATGTCTGTTGTTCAGTTTAGCTCTGAGCCACGTGCATCTTCAGTCAGCCCAGGGGCCTGGGCGCGCCCTTCCTTCCTTCTTTGTGCATGGGGGTTTTCCTGGGGAGCAGTTGCCCTGGCCCATGAGGCTGATGGGAGTCAAGACAGAAATAGTGGTCTGTGGTCAGCAAGGAGCTATCGCTGGAAACACCCCGGTCCTTCCACAGCCTGACCCTCTGTGACCTTCCTCAAAGGCTCCCCAAAGAGGCTTTCCCTTGAAGTGCAAGTCATAGTGGCGCCCCTGCCACGTCCCTATATGAACGGGGTGTGTGCCCGCCTGCCCTCCGACGTCCGCCGGCTGTGCTGGTCTGCAGAGCTGCCGCCAGCTGCACCCTCCTCGCCAGTGAGTTCTGTTGCTTTCGTATCATTTTCAGCAGGAGCTAAACCCAGGCCAGCCCTTCTTTTCTTTTCTGCTTTATGGCAGAATTTTGTTTTGCAAGAATGGACCCTGGGTGGCTGCTTGACTTTTCCCAGGAAGGTGATGGGGACGTTGGTGTTAGGACGATGGGCAAGGGGGTCCAGGTTGTCTCACTGCGGCCCCAGAGGGATGAGGGTCTGACTTGTGGAGTGAAATTTCCAGCACTCTGCTGGGGGCGAGTAGATCATTGGGCCCAGAAGAATGGGATTTGGAACATTCTCAGGCACATGCTGCAATTAAGATTTTCTTTTTCATAGGGGTACCTGATACTGTGGGTTTCTCTCTCTCTGTCTTTTTTTTTTCTCTCTGAGATGGAGTCTTGCTCTTGTCACCCAGGCTGGAGTGCAATGGCGCGATCTTGGCTCACTGCAACCTCTGCCTCCCAGGTTCAAGTGATCCTCCTGCCTCAGCCTCCCAAGTAGCTGGGATTACAGGCTCCCGCCACCGCGCCTGGCTAATTTTTGTATTTTTAGTAGAGACGGGGTTTCATCATGTTGGCCAGGCTGGTCTTGAACTCCTGACCTCAGGTGATCCACCCACCTCGGCCTCCCAAAATGCTGGGATTACAGGCATGAGCCACCGCGCCCGGCCATGGGTTTCTCGTTAGTGGTCTTCGGTTCTGTGTTTCCCCTCTAAGTAGCTGATCGTGGCCGGTGCCTGGCTTTCCCCTGGTCACCACTAGATATTCTGTCTTGTCTTTGGGAGGCAGAGTCAGTAGAAGGTGCTTTGCACTGGGCATGCCTGGGAGTGAGCCCAGCCTTGCTGTTATTAGCGCCCATCGTGACGGTCGGCCAGGCTGCCCTATGTTCGATTTTTCCTCCTGTGAAATGGGAACAACAGTAGAGCTGATGTGTCCTGGGCTTTCTGCATCCCAGGGACTATCCCAGCTCCTTAACGTGCTTTGCTCAGTGCTATCCTCCTAAAAAGTTTTCTTTTACAGTTGAGTAAGCTGAAGCCCAGAGAGGTTAAGTAACCTGCCCAAGGTCACACCGCAGATCGGAATGGGAGTCAGGAGTGTACCCAACAGCCTGGCTCCCTAGTCAGTGCTCTCAACCTCAGCTTGAAGGCCGCCTCCCTGGGCCCTGCTAGGGGACCCAGTAAGATGACAGTTATTCACATTCTCCTTTGTTTCTGATACCAAGCAAACTCCTGGTAAATGCTCCTTCCCCACTTTTGTGGAATAAAGAATGCACATTTTTTTCTGAGCTCTGCCTGGGTATCCTTAAGGAGAGGGACGCTGTGCCTGGGACGCAGATGAACAAGATAGGAGCTGTTTCCTGGAGGAGCTCCCAGGCTGATTTTTGCCTTTGATGTTCTGCATCTTTTTCACAGGCTTTTTGTAGATGTGTGGGGATATTTCTAGAGGAGAAACCAGAGGTGGAAGGAGGGGCATAATGAAATTGAATGCTGGGCATCTCTTAGCTCACATTATATGAGGCTCTTCAGGGACAATAGACCTTGCAATAAAAGGCAAAAAGGTGATTGCGCACAGAGTGCTTTTCCTGCACAGTGCTGGGCGGGATGGGGTGGATGGGGCTTGGCGGCTGGAGGAGGGTAGACCCTGCCCGCACCTCCTGGGACCTGTGCGGGACTTTGCTCACCTTGCTGTTTCTAACCAAGGTACCAGATTCTCTTCACTCAGGTGTGTCAGATTTTAACCCTTGAGGCTAGAACCTTGCCAGGCTTATTCGAAGTCAGTGGTTCCTAGTAGTCACAGGGCCCCTGCCCTAGACCCCAGACCAGGACCCCCCGGCCCCTGCCCGCCCGCCTTGGCCTGGTGGGGTAGGAGTCACTGTGAAAGGGGTCCTGGAGCCCAGTATCACTCCAGCGACATTTCCCAGAGAGCATCCTGGGGCCAGTGTGGGGTGTGGGGGAACAGATACTGAGCGCTCTGTCCCCTCCCCTTGGAGAATCTCACAGTACATTAGCAGAGTCAAGACTCTGAGAAGTCCGGTAGGAAAAGACACCTGCTTAGCTTCCCTTAACTTCACGACTCCTCCACCTCCTTGACCTTTGCTTGATTCATGTGTGACCTGTGAACGTCTAAACTGCAGGACTCACTTTGGGAGATACTGATGGAGACCAAATAGGTGTCCTGCTCATATATCCTCCACTTCTTCAGTTTTGCTCAGGATCCACTGGGCTTCCTAAAATGCAAACGAATTGAAAAGCTGTGCTGAATGTGTTTTTCTCTGTCTGAAAGTACAGCCACCCACGAAAGGAGGAGGTCTGCTAAGTTTTCTTTTAGAAAAGGGGTCCCCAGGCTCTGAATGCTTGAGGACCTCATTGGGATCACCCCCTCCATTGTGGGCTACCCATCCTCCACCCGCTGTGGCCTATTGATAACCTCCCAGCCACCACCTATGCTCCTAGAGGCCCTGACTGGAATCCCTGTCCTCACCCTGAGTTTGTCACCTCCTTCCAAACTTCGTGTCCTCTGTTGCAGTTGAGGACCTGGAAGTCATGATTGGGCTGATTAGTGATGGGTGTTTATTTTGAATTCTTAACTAAACAAGGAGGAATCACATCCTAGCTCCGTATTTTACTAGTTATGGGACCTTGACTTTCCCAAGATCTACTTTCCTTGTCAGTAAAATGGCAATAATCGGGGTAACCCATACCCTGATTGCTGAGAACCCCTGTAGGCGTCCATGCCTGGCCCAAAGCCAGGACCCAGGAAGGGAGGCGCAGCTGGGCGGCCTCTTCTGCGTCTCTGCCAGTTGCTGGCTTGGATTCTAACACCCTCCTTCCCTCCCTCCCTCGCTCTCTACCAGTGGGATCTGAGACCATGAAAACGTTTGAAGGTTTCTCAAGCGTCTGTGACTGCCCCACGTCTGTCGTTGGGTGGAAAGGACTTTGTAATTGAACGGAGTCAGTTGTAATGTGAATGTCATGTGGAGCTGCTTTTCCTTGGCAAGTCCTTGCTGTGTGAGCCATTGTTTCCAGATCTGTAGAACCCTCCCTACCCTGTCCCCCTTTCCGGGCTATTGGGAGGCTGAGCGAGCTCATCATGAGGCCCCTGAAAGATAGTTTCTGTGCCCTGTGGAGCTGAGTCCCCGAGTCTCTGTCCCCACCTCACAGGCCCCCTCTCACCACCCTTTTGGGTTGGTAAATTTCAAGTTGGGCATCAGATAGGACAAGGGAAGGGGACTGGAGAAGGAAGAGCCGACAGTTTGCCCTCAGGACTTCAGAGTCACTCTTTTTTGTTTGGTTGGTTTTTTGAGATGGAGTCTTGCCCTGTTGCCCAGGCTGGAGTGCAGTGGCGTGATCTCATCTCACCGCAACCTCCATCTCCCGGGTTCAAGCGATTCTCCTGCCTTAGCCTCCCGAGTAGCTGGGATTACAAGTGCATGCCATCATGCCTAGCTAATTTTTGTATTTTTAATGGAGACGGGGGCTTCACCATGTTGGCCAGACTTGTCTCGAACTCCTGACCTCAAGTCATCCACCCACCTTGGCCTCCCAAAGTTGCTGGGATTACAGGTGTGAACCATCGCGCCTGGCCCAGAGTCACCCTTTCTTTTTGTGCCTTATTAGACATCTTCCTGCTACAGGATAGCCCAGAAGAAAGGAACAAGTTTCCGTCATGAATAAGTCCCCTACCTACTAGGGATGTAGGGATAAAGGACTGGAACTCTCTTTCTTCACCCTGCAGGGCAAACTCCTTCAAGACTCAGCTCCAGGAAGCCTCTCTGGACTACTACACTCCCTCCTGAGCCCCCAGCCTTCTCACATACCTCCCTTATGTGTCTCCTGGGTGCTGGAGCCCTCAGAGCAGGGCCTGTATCTAAGTCCCCCTGTGGCCCACCCAGTGCCCCGTGCCAGGCCTGACCATAGTGGATGTCACTAAGCAGTTGTTCAATGAGTGAATGAACAAATGCAAACTAGGCCCAATCTTATCAAATTATACTAGAATAATTGTATAAAAAACCAGACTTCTTTAAGTGGAGGAAATTTAAAGTCAGAAGTGGGCTGGGCACAATGGCTCACACCTATAATGCTAGCACTTTGGGAGGCTGAGGCGGGCGGATCACCGGAGGTCAGGGGTTCGAGACCAGCCAGCCTGGCCAACATAGCGAAACCCGTCTCTATTAAAAATAACAAAATTTAGCTGGGCGTGGCGGTGCATGCTTGTAATCCCAGCTACTCTGGAAGCTGAGGCAGGAGAATCACTTGAACCCAGGAGGCAGAGGTTGCGGTGAGCGGAGGTCGCGCCATTACACTCTAGCCTGGGCGACAGAGTGAGAGTCAGTCTCAAAAAAAAGAAGTGAATGAATACGACCATACCTGCTTTTCCAGCTCCTGACTCTTAAACGTCTCGAATACCAATGCCAAATAAAGGGAACCGAGAGATGAAAGGTGTCACTGTCCTGATCTTCAGATGCAGAAATTTCTGTGTAGCTGAGGAGGTGGGGCCCGCTTGCCCCCCTTTGAATTTTGGGTTGTGCTTGAGCAGAAGCATTCATTGCTTGGAGAAAGCAGAGGAGACCCCAGAAGCACTTCCCTCTGAAAGGGAGAAGCAGGTAGGCCAAGGCAGCGGTTCTGGGACCAGCTCTGGGGCCACCTGCTTTTCCCACACTGGGTCTGTGGTGGGCTCGGCAGCTGGCCTGCACACAGGAGATCCTCAAAACAGATGAGCGAGCATGATTGCCATTTTTACACTCCCTCATTTAATCCGCAGCACTGGAGGAGGTGTGATTATGGTGTGTATTTTGTGCAGCCATTTGGTGGACACCTACCGAGGACCCGCCGTGGGGCAGGCTGCTGGCTGGGCTCTGAGGATGCTGACGAGGACCCTTCTTTGGGATCCTCTGTTCGGGTTGAAGACAGTTTATGAAAACATAAGATAACAGAATGGCCGACTCTGAGGCAGGAGCCAGGGGTGTGTGAGTGGGGGTCCTGGAAGGGGTCTCTGGAAACCAGAGGAGGAGTGGTCCTCTGAGGCTGGCCAAGGCTCCCAGCAGAGAGACGGGGGCATGGGCAGAAGCCTGTCGTGCCAGTGAGCCCTGGCATTTCTGAGCCCCTGATCGGTTCTGTTGCCTGCACGACGGCCTGGGTGAGCAACACTGACAGGAGACCCCTGCCTTAGTACCATGTCTCCTGGGCTCTGGCTAGTGGCGCCTCCTGGCAGCAGCTGCCCAGGCCACACAGGATGCTGGCTACATGCTTGGCTGGTCTGGCCATCCCTGCATGGCCCCGCTGTCACTGGTATCTGGAGATCACACCCAGCCAGAGCCTAGTGCCACCCTCGGATGCTTCCTTGGGGAGGGAGGATGCCCTGTTTCCATGGCAACCCTAGGTGGGAGGCCAGGGCTTCAGGCAAGCTGCTGAGCTTTTCACAGCCCTGGGAGTGAGGAGCAGGGCAGGCTGACCCTGGCCTGTGGGGCAGAATTAGTAGAGGAGGAGCCCCACCATCCCTGAGAAGAGGAGGGGAGTGGGGTGGGGAACATTAGACAATGTTCACTGCCCCTCCCTCAGCTTCCCAGCTGCCCACGGCAGTCCCAGGCCAGGCCAGTGTGGGCGTGGGGGGCAGTTAGAGCGTGGCCGTGTGGTGTGCCAGCACGCAGTGCAACAGCCAAGACAATGGAGTCATCCCCTGCCCCTGGGCCCTTCCCTCCACCCCACCTCATGTCTGCACTAGGTGAGGAAGCAGAGGACGGAGGAGCCCAGTGGGCTCTGGGAGCTCCTGGGACTCCTGAGTCGGTGGGGACGGGGCTTCCCAGCCTCAACACTGAGGATTCTTGGTTGTGGAGCTCTCCTGAGCATTGCGGGGTGTTGAGCGGCATCCCTGGCCTCTACACACGAGGTGTCAGTTGTGACAACCCAAAGTGTCTCCAGATGCCACTACGTACCCTCCCAGTGTGGGGGTGGAGGAATCGTCCCCAGTTGAGATCCGCTGAGCTGAGAGGCTCCCCGGAAGCAGGTGGTGAAGGAAGGGAAGGCCCTGGGCCCTGGAGACATGGATGCCTGCCTGGGACACACACAAACACGCACGCACATGCACGCATGCATACACTCACTCATATGCACACATGTTCATGCATGCACCCGCAGTGACCCTGAAGGGACTAGACTATTTTTAGAGCACTTTTAAGTTCACAGCAGAATTGAGTGGAAGGTGCAGAGATTTCCCGTGACTGCACGGCCCCACCACGCACACTATCAACATCCTCCCCCTCTAACAACGTCCAGACCAGAGGGTGCATCTGTGGTACCTGGTGGACCCACATGGCCATATCAGGGTCACCCAGAGTCCACAGTTTCCATGAGGGGCCCCTCTTGGTGCTGGACATTGTGTAAGGACAGGGACCCCCATGGTAGCAGTGACACTGCCCTGAGATCCCCGTGCCCCACCTGCTCATCCCTGTCTCCCTCTCACTCCTGGCAACCTCTGCTCCTTTCACTGTCTCCGTAGTTTTGCCTGCCCCACAGGGTCGTGCAGTTGGGATCACACTGTCTGCAGCCTTTTCAGACTGGTTTTTCACTCAGTGAGATGCATTTAAGTTTCCTCCACGCCTTTTCACAGCTGACGGCGCGTTTCTTCTTGGTTCCAAGTGGCTCTTTCTGCATTGTCTGGACGGATCCATTTGTTCCCTGTTTGCCTCCCAGAGGATCCGCTGCTCTTGCTGCAGATGTATAGCCCAGGTGCTGTGGAGTTGGGATGGAGCAGTCGAGCTGGGATCAGAGCCCAGGCCCCTGCCCTGAGGTTGGAGCTCTCTGACTGCACCTGGCCTAGGCCTGTGCATTGTCTAAACTGATGGCCGTGGGGCAGGGGACCTGGAGCGCAAAGCAGGAGAGGATGCTGAAGGGGGCAGGTGGGGCCGGGACTTGGGAGTGTCTGGAAGGAGGACCGCCTGCCTCAACCCAGGGCTGGTCTGTGGAGGCCAGAGCGCTCAGCCCCTCAATGCTAGGCCTGTTGTGAGTTTCTCCATGAGGTGGCCCTCTCAGAAAGAGTGGCTCCACAGCAGCTGAGTTGGGGGCCCCATGGCAGCTGAGTCGTGGACTCCATGGCCGCTGATTTGGGGGATGCCTGTCCTTGTAGAGACTGTCACCTCTAGGAATGGTGAAAGGGCGGCCACCCGCAGCCCTGTGTCCTCTTTCTAGTCCTCTGTCTTGTAAGCCCGGTCCCCACAGTGGCCCCAGTCCTCCCCTGCCAGAAATTCGTTCTCCTCAGAAATCCGTTCTCCTCTCTGATCTTTCAGGCCTAGAGACAGGCTCTTCCCTCCGGAGGGTGCAGCCCAGGGGTTCTGGTAAGATACAGAGCCCAGCCTCAACATAGCAGGAAGTTTTTCCACAAATACACAGTTCTTCAAGACCACATGCAGCTGTGCGTGGGGTGTGTTTTGAAGGGCAATGGCAGGAGCAGTGTATGCCTCGTGGTGCAGGGAGCACGAGTTGTTTATAGGCGTGCCTGGGTCCTGGGTCTCTGTGCACCCTCCTCTAGATTCATGGGGCATCTGCCCACCGTGAGATAGATAAGCCAGGGTGCCTGCCCCTTTCTCAGGTGAGATGCTGAGGGCCAGAAACATGCTGCTGTGTCCCATGGAGGAGGTGGCCTGCCCCAACTCCCCTGCACCCTAGGGAGAGTGCCCACAGGCTGGGGGCTGGGGCTGGGTCCTGTGCCCCCTCCCCAGCCCTCGGTATGTGGCTCGCTGAGGTGTGCGCCGGAATGTTGGGCACATCCTGTCTGATACCAGCTTGGCTGGAAGTCGAATTATGATCAGAATATCACATGATGTGTGGCCTGGGTCCCCCTTTGGTTGACACTCTTGAGTATGGGTCCTGTGCCTGCCCGGGGCCAAGCAGCAGGTGCAACCGGGCCTGCCCTGGGGCAGCATGGGGTGTGCTAGTGTCCTGGGGCCACTGTAACAAAGCACCACAACCTGAGTGGCTTAAACAACAGAAACATAGTCTGTCACAGTTTTGGAGGCTGGAAGTCCAAGATCAAGGTGTCAGCTGGGCTGTGCTCCCTCCAGGGCTCCGAGAGGATCCCCCTTGGCCTCTT
The DNA here is from genome assembly GCF_000001405.40 of Homo sapiens. Lineage (NCBI taxonomy): Eukaryota > Metazoa > Chordata > Mammalia > Primates > Hominidae > Homo > Homo sapiens. Next base: position 44,077,243 of record NC_000022.11, read on the forward strand.
CCAGGCTGTGGTGGCTCTGGTGTTCCCTGCCGTGGGCCACATCACTCCAGCCTCTGTCTCCCTCTTCACGTGGGCCTCCTTCTCCGTCTGTGTCTCTGTCCTCTCCTCTTCTTGTAAGGACGCCTGTCATTGGATTAGGGCCCACCCTAATGACCGAATCTGCAACTTGATTACATCTGCAAAGACCCTGCTTCCAAATAAGGCCACAGTCACAGGTGTTGGGGGCCAGACTCCAGTGTGCCTTTTAGGGGAGATACAGTGCAATACACAGCACACAGTGAGGTCTTCCAGATCCCCAGACCTATCTTCTTCCAGACCGCCAGACAACACCGATAAGGGTGAAGTTGGCTTACGAGTCCTGGCCAGGATGTGACGGGGAGTCGCCAGGTGGGTGCCGGGGAGGTGGGAAGCTCTGCAGGGGATTGGAGAACCACACGTCATTGCCCACATGTGACTTTAAACCTTAGCAATGATATTGGAGGGGGATAGTTACTCTTTTTTTTTCTTCTGAGACAGTGTCTCATTCTGTCATCCAGGCTGGTGTGCAATGGTTCTAGCGATTCTCCTGCCTCAGCCTCCCGAGTAGCTGGTATTACAGGCACCTACCATGACACTCGGCTAATTTTTGTGTTTTTAGTTGAGACGGGTTTTCACCATGTTGGCCAGGCTGGTTTCGAACTCCTGACCTCAAGTGATCCGCCCACCTCAGCCTCCCGAAGTGCTGGGATTGTAGGCAGGGGATATTACTCTTTACAGCTAGGGAAACAGTTGGGCTTGGTGACATGATAGAGACACCAGGTCCCTTGAGGACAGGGGGCCATTTGCAGAGCCGTGTGGTGGAAGGAGCCTGAATTTGGAGCCCCAAGCTCACAGCGTGGGTCCTTGTCACATGTCCTGTGAGCTCTGTTTGCATCCTTAGCTCAGGCAAGCTACTGTGTTGAACTGGCTGGACACAGTGTGTCTGTCTCTCCCTCTTCCAGAGAAGTCCTCACTTAAGGTTGTGTCACTGTTTTTACTGATGTTGGAATTGGCACTTGGAGATGTGAACTTTCCCAAGGCCACACACCCAGATGAGTGGTTAGACCCGGACCTGCCTAACTCCAGCATATCTTTTTCAGGGGGACACAATTAAATCCACAGCATGGACTGAGTTCCCCTCTTCTCTGCCACCATCCTGACCTTTTCCTGGCCAGGGTTACCATGTCGGGGCAGGCATGGGGGAAGTGGTAAGGGAGGTATCTGGACCTAGTAAAAGGCTCTGGTCCTCCTGCTTCCTCTTGTAAGGACCCTGTCAATCACATCGGGCCCCCTGAATAACCAGGCTAATCTCCCACCCCAAGGTCCTTACCTAATCACATCTACAAAGTCCCCCTCTTGCCATGTGAAGTCACAGGTTCCTGGGACTTGATGTGAACATCTTTGCAGGGACCATGATCCAGCCTTCCATAGAGGCAGTGACAGATGGAGTAGAATATAGGTCCTTTGAGTATTTATTTATTTAAGATGGAGTCTCACTCTGTCGCCCAGGCTGGAGTGCAATGGCGAGATCTCAGCTCACTGCAGCCTCTGACTCCTGGGTTCAAGCGATTCTCCTGCCTCAGCCTCCCAAGTAACTAGGATTACAGGCGCAGACCACCAAGTGCAGCTAATTTTTTTGTATTTTTAATAGAGATGAGGTTTTACCATGTTGGCCAGGCTGGTCTCAAACTCTTGACCTAAGGTGATCCACCCGCCTCGGCCTCCCAAAGTGCTGGGATAACAGGCGTGAGCCACCGCGCCCGGCCCCTGTGAGTTTTTACAAGAGACACTGCAGTAGAGAGAATGGTAGAGTCCTCAAACCCTGATTCAGTCGTTCATGAATTCACTGAGCACTCAACGTTTCCCGCAATGTGTGTCCTCTTCTTTGCCAGCCTGCTGGTGTGCTCCTGGTGCTTGGTCCACCATAGATGGGTGTGCTTGGTCCAGGAGGCTGATGGTGCTGACATCTGGGCTGATATTCACCGTTTTTAGTGACTTGAATGACGTCCATGCAGAAGAGCTAGTGCACCATCCTTGTGTTTGAAAATGCCCGGGCTCCAGCCTGAGAACCTGGTAGGCCAGTAATTGGAGGGACAGTAGCAGGATCGAGAAGCCATCTGTGTCACGTGTTCTTGGGGACAAAGAGGAGACACAGGCTCAAGGAACAGCAAGGTTTGTGGGACACAGCTGTGTCTGAAAACGTCAAGCAGTTAGCTCATCCCTGGCTACTTCCTGTGAACCCATTAAATCCCCAGGCTGAGGAGGACAGAGGGTGAGGGAATCTGACCCCTTACTCAGCCCTTTAGCCAGCGGCTGCTGTGCTAAGCCATTCTGAGAAGCCACCGGTGGAGAACTGACTTCAGGTCGTGCTGACTGTGAGGCCATCCAGTTGTTTTTGCACATTGAAAACAATACATTACACTTTGGGAGGCCGAGGTGGGTGGATCACTTGAGGTCAGGAGTTCGAGACCAGCCTGGCCAACATGGTGAAACCCCGTCTCTACTAAACATACAAAAATTAGCCGGGCATGGTGGTGGGCGCCTGTAATCCCAGCTACTTGGGAGGCTGAGGCAGGAGGATCGCTTGAACCCAGGATGTGGTGGTTGAAGTGAGCCGAGATTGTGCCACTGCACTCCAGCCTGGGGGACAGAGCAAGACTCCTTCTCAAAAAAAACATTGTTCCGGATTTGCTAATAAGGAGGCAACCTCCTCAGACCTTGGTGTCACAGGAGAATGGCCCGCGGCAGCCTTAGGGCCAGTTGTGATTTTATCCACAGTGTTGGTCAGATGCGTCCTCTGTGCTTGTTTAATATTCATTCTGCTTGCGTGAACAAAGCCATGTCAGTTTCAGTAACGCTTGTGCCAGGGGGCACCCGGTGTGGAGCAGGGCTCAGTAAAACTGCTGCAAAGAATGTTCCAGGCTTTTTGAAATTACGTGGAGTTGCTGGGGCTCTCTTGAGGCTGTTAATTTACTTAGGGCTGCTGTGACAAAATACCACAAACCCAGTGGTTTAAACCAACACAAATCTATTATTTTACAGTTCTGGAGGTCAGGAGTCCCAACATCAAGGTGGCAGCAGGGCCGGTTCCTTCCGGAGGCTCCAGGGGAGAATCCCATTCCTTGCCTTTTCCAACTTGCAGAGGCACCTGCGTTCCTTAGTGCCTGGCCTCTTCCTCTGTCTTCAAAGCCATCTCCCGATCTTTCTCTGTCTCCTTCGCCACACCTCCTCTGGCTCTGGCCCTCCTGCTTCCTCTTGTAAGGACCCTGTCAATCACATTGGGCCCCCTGCATAATCCAGGCTAATCTCCCACCCCAAGGTCCTTACCTAATCACATCTGCAAACTCCCTCTTGCCATGCAAAGTCACAGTTTCCTGGGACTTGATGTGGACATCTTTGCAGGGACCAAGATCCAGCCTTCCATAGAGACAGTGACAGATGGAGTAGAAAGTACATCCTTTGAGTTTTTACAGGAGACACTGCAGTAGAGAGAATGGTAGAGTCCCGAAACCCTGATTCATTCATTCATGAATTCACCGAGTGTTCACGGAGCACCTGCCTCAGTCCAGGCGTCATGTTGGGAGCAGGGGAGACAGAGCAGGCCATGCATCTGTCCTTTCAGAGCACTGTAGACGCAAATCCTGTAGCACAGATGTGCCTTAGACTAATAGTGCCTCGAAAGGAGAGGAAGGGGAATGGATGCGGGGAGTGGGGAACCTGACCTGCTTTGTGGGGTCATGGAGTGACTCTCCACCTGCCGTCATCCCTCCATCCCTTGTTTGGGGCTGTTCCTCCAAAGGTGCAGTCTCCAGCAGGGGTGTGGGGACCCCTGTGGGCCGTGAAGGCCTTTCTCCTTTTCTGCTGTGGGCATTGCATCTGTTCCTGATGGGTAGAGTTGTCTGTGCCCGGTGGGGCCCAAGGCAGTGCCATGGTGGTTCTTTGAGTATCTCAGGTGGGAACTGAGCTGCCAGCACCAGAGGCCAATGGCTTCCAGCACTCCCCAAATCCACCTGCTTTTGGAAGGGGCCTGTCTCCGAAGCAGGCCGGGTCCTCCTGTTGGGGGAAGCTTTCATGGAGGCATCTGTGTCACTTCTGCAGGGGAGACAGCCGCTAGAGGGCACTGTCCTTCTGGCCTTTCCCACATCCCCGTTTCCATGGCAGGTGCATAGTAAAGCCTTTCTTTTTCTAACGACTTAATGATTTAATCTTCTTATTTTCTCAGCAGACAACGCTTTGGACTTCCCTGGATACATTGGGACGTTACCAGTCACATTAATTAATACGAGTTTCACAACTTGGGAACCAGCGAACGTGCTTCTCCAGACTTAGCTTCTGCACGGCCGTTTCTGCTTTCCTTTATGAAGTGCGTTTCTCTAAGAGCCTGGCAGTCTCATGGGGCTCGTCTGTTGCTGGAAGTGAGCAGCGGGTTCCATTGCCCCCCGCCTCGGTGGGGCTCATTGTGCAGCTTGCTGGCAAGTGGCTGGGCTCGGAGGGGCGGTGACGGTGACACACGCCAGGGGAAAGGTTGGCATCCTCTTCTGAGAATTGTTTCTTTTGGGTTTCACACCCTGCCCCCACCTTCTGCTGCCTCGAGGCTCTTTTCTTCTTATTATTAGCTAATGACAGATTTCATGACCAGTGACTGAAATCATTTGGAAGTACCCCCTGAAAGCCAGCGTGATGGGTTGGAGAAATGTGACAGACGCAGCCTCTGAAAATCACAGAGGCAGAGGCTTGCGTCGAAGGACTTGCTAAGGAATTAGGATGAGAGTGGTCAGGAGGCAGTGGCTGCTGGGCACTGGAGCTGAGGGTGAGGGGCCGAGAAAACGGGAGGCAAATGGGGTAGCTCTTTTTTGGGGCGGGGGAGGCTGGCTTTGGGGATGTGTATCCCACTGTGCACCGCAAGGTGGGGGCACTGGGCGGTAGGTTCCCGTGCTCCGGAAGGGTGGCAATTGAAGGGAGGAATTAAAGAAGTTGGCCAGGTGCGGTGGTTCGTGCCTGTAATCCCAGCACTTTGGGAGGCCGAGGCAGGTGGATCACTTGAAATCAGGAGTTCGAGATCCACCTGGCCAACATAGTGAAACCTCATCTGTACTAAAAATACAAAAATTAGCTGGGTGTGGTGGTGCACACTTGTAATCCCAGCTACTCAGGAGGCTGAGGCAGGAGAATCGCTTGAATCTGGGAGGTGGAGGTTGCAGTGAGCCAAGATCGAGCCACTGCACTCCAGCCTGGGCGACAGAGCAAGAGTCCGTCTCAAAAACAAAAACAAAAACAAAAAACAAAAAACAAAAACTGACTCATGTGGCTTTCAGTCTGAGAAACCAATCAGATCATCATTGTCTCTAAAGAATGTGTCCTCCTTTGTAGACAAGAAGCTCACCGGCCCCTCCATGCCCCGGTTTCTCGCCCAGGTGGGTTAGACGGCCAACCTGACATTTTACCGTGCACCTGGAAGTCTTTCTTCCTGTTCTCCTTCCCACAAAGGATTCATTTTTCTGTGGTTCTAACATTTTCCTGATCACCCCAGGGACAAAGGGGAAGAAAAGACCGTGTTTCTGGGCCAAGGGAATCATCTGTTTAACATGGGCTTCGGAGCTTTTTTTACATTTCTATGTAAGCAACTTTTCGTATTCAGAAGACCCAGTTTCCCTGAGCCAGATGGACTCCTTCCATCTCGGGGTGGTCTGTATTTCAGATTCCTGCAGCAGGTGGCTGGTCGGAATGCACACCCCAGGAGGTGAGGCTGGGGGGATGTTGGCTCCTGGGCTGCTTGTACTAGCAAGTCCCTAATTGCGGAGCGGACTCCTTCCTCCTGAGCCCATCAGCCTCTACGTGGCCACATCAGGGTAATTGGGTTCCTTGTGAAACACGACTGCCAGGCTAATGTAAACCTTAATGGAAACCCTCTTTTTCCACCCAATTAAGTGGCTGGAGGTGGGATGCTGTGTGAGAGCCGTCAGTTCAGTTCCCTGACTTTCTCTTGTAGAAATTATCTATGTAGCTCCATTTGGCCTACATAAGCTTAGCATTTGTGTTCATTCATTCATTCATTCCACAGATATTCAGAGAGCAGTTATCCATGTGCTGGGTTTTATGCAGGATGTGAGGCCATGGTCATGAATGGGACCTGGCCCCTGTGCACTCCTTGCGGGGTCGGGGGGTGCAGGGAGATGAGCACAGTCCACAATCACATGATCGGGGAATAGGGTTTGTCATTGTCATGTGCACGGGGAGCTGTGGAAACCCAGAGGAGGGGCCCGAACTGCACCCAGGGATAGAGGATGTGCAGAGTGTGCTTTCCAGACGGTGGGAAATGGGTGGAGCTAGCTGACCTGAAGTGAAGGGCATTGCAGGTTGTGGGGACAGTCGAGCAGAGGGGCAGAGATATGACCTACAGAAGTGGCCTGGAATGGCCTCATCAGACGATGAGTGTGGAAGCATGGTAACTGCAGCTGTATTGATGAGAGGAGGGGTCTGCTCATTAACAGTCATCGGGTACCACTATGAAGGTTTTGCGTTTTACCCTGGAGCTGGTGGGAGCCATGGGGTGCACTGCAGCAGGGAGTGACCAACGCCAGCTTTGTGTATTGGAAGGATTTCTACATCAGACAGGACTCTCTTGGTTTGCAAAGGACAGAAAACCCAACTCAAAATGGCTTAAAAGCAAAACAGAATTCACTGGTACATTTGACAGAATGGTCTGTGGGGTTGGATGGCCTCAGGTAAGGCTTGATCCAGCACATAGAAGGTGTTGCTAGATCCTAGATTCTGTTCTCCCCTTCCCCGAGCTCTTTCGATCTGGTGCCTTCATCTCCAGGCTCTGTATAGTGGTAAGATGATGGGACGGCTTCAACCTCCATCCTTTCTGGGTCAAGGCCAGTGGGAAGGAGTGCCTGTCTCATTCTCTATTCCTGGTAAAGTCTCAGTGCAGTTCATTAGCTCTAACTGGGCCATGCCCATCCCTGACTGTGTTCCTGGGAGGCCAGTGTGCCAGCTGGCTTTGTCCTGGGATGCCTGCTCCACCCCAGAGCTGAACTACAAGGCCCGAGCATGGTGGCAGGAGGGGTGGCTCTCTCTGAGGGAGGCTGAGTCTTGTTTGCCTGAAAGGATCAATGGATGCTGGAGAAGAAAAGCAATGGTGTCCATAACAGTCACCTCCAGAAGGGGAGAGGCTGGGCTGGGGTGGGAAGAGTTTAGGGCAGGGCTTGCAGGGGCCAAGGTGGCCATCCTGGTGAGAAAGCCCCACTGGCCAATCCAAGAATAGGGCACGAGATGTGAGCCTGCCAAGGGTACTCCCAGGTCTGGCATCTTGGTTCTTTCCGCTGCGTTCTTGGCACAGACACTCATGCCAGGGCCTTTGCTGTCACCCATAGTCTCAGAGTCATGTTATTATTCTGCAGTCATCTGTGGGGATGGGACCGTGCAGGACTTTCCCTCCCCAGCTTCCTCCCTCCTTCAGGGTAGCTCACTGTGTCCCCCGAGGCAGCCAGTGCTGCCGGGAGAGGCCCGAGACTCCTTCTGGGTCTCAGAGCCATTTCTATGGTTGAACCCAGTGTGTGTCCTTCCCTGTAGAATTGGCTGCCACTTTGTTTCCTTTAGGGTCCCCACTGCACCCTGTACATAACCCTGCCAGGACATCTGTTTATTTTCCATTCTTGTAGCTTTATTTTTATTTCAAAAGGAGTACAAGAACACAGTCTGGTGGCAGAGCCTCCCTCTGTCTCCTCCTTACCTTCAGCCACTGGGCCTTGCATCAGTAATGCTGCTCTTGTCATTCTGGAGCATGCCCTTTCATTTCTTTTTCTGTGAATTTTGATACGTACACATAGAAATACATAGTGGTGAGTTTTCTAGTTGTATTTTTTACATAAATATCATGCTGTATTTATTTTAAAGTGTCTCACCATGTTGCCCAGGCTGGACTTGAACCCCTGGGCTCGAGTGATCCTCCCACCCCAGCTCCAAGTAGCTGGGACAACAGATGTACACCACCACACCCAGCCTTTGCTGTATTGTTCTGCAACATGGTTTTCTTTTTCTTTTTCTTTTTCTTTTTAATTTTTTGAGACAAGATCTGGCTCTGTCACCCAGGCTGGAGTGCAGTGGCGTGATCTTGGCTCACTGCAACCTCCGCTTCTCGGCTTCAAACTTTCTTCCCAGCCTCCTGGGTAGCTGGGACTACAGATTCACACCACCATTCCTGGCTAATTTTTGTATTTTGTGTAGAGATGGGGTTTTGCCTTGTTGCCCCGCTGGTCTCGAACTCCTGAGCTCAAGCCATCCACCTACCTCAGCCTCCCAAAGTTCTGGGATTATAGGTGTGAGCCACTGCAGCTGGCCCAACCTGCTTTTGCTTTTTTAAAAAATCTCAACACCATGCTATGTATTGCACTTAATTAATTGTGCATCGAATCCTTCACGAGCCTTCTGTGCCAGGTGCGAGGTCGGCTGCTGGGTGGAAGTGACCAGGATACGTCTTCCCTCGGCTACACGCAGACTCTCCACGGTGCAAGGGCAGGGCCTGCCCAGCCCCATGCCCAGCCCTTTGGCATCCATCCACCAGTGTTAGTTAGATCAGCAGGCTGTCATGCCCAAGGCTTGCTGCCATCTGAATAGGACAGGGTTTCAGCAGTGAGCTCTTGATGTGGAGTCTGCGCCACCTGTTGACCTTCTTTGGATTTACCTTATTGAAATGTTCACACATTTCTTTTAGCTTCTCAACTTATTTCATCTTGAGAAATGGGCTGGAACCTCATGCCCCAGCACAACAAGCCCCATAAATCAGATGTTCAAGCTGAGCGATCCTTCCGGTTTGGGCCACAGTCACGGGGCTTTCTTACTCCTCTAGTCATGTCAGCACCGTTCAGAAACTCATCCTTGGCTTAGAGATGATAGTGAGTTACATGTACATAAATACACCGAGCTCATTACCCTGGGCCGGCATCCTGCATGACAAGGGCCCACATCCATTTCTCGGCAAAAACAAACTACATCTGCCACTTGAAACGTCAAGAAGCGCTTTCTTGTATGTTGTGCTCCATGGATCACTGGAAGTCCTTTCCCTCTTTTCCCATGTCCGGGCCAGGAGGAGCAGCTGCTCTCTGGCACTGTTAGCCTTTGCTGCCTTTTATCCTAGGCAAGACACTTTGTTATTCCTCCGATTTGTAATCCCAAGAACCTTGGAGATTGGACTTGGAGTTCGTAACCTCCTGGGGAGGGCCAGGCCTCACATTTCAAGGCCTTTGCACGCGTGATGTGCCAGCAACAGCTCAGCCCTTTGAATTATGATCCGCGACTCCCTCCAATCACCTTCCTTCTGGATGTCAGAAAAGACTGCCCAACAGCATCTCCTCCCAGCTGCCGAGGCTGATGATGTTTTTATTCTGATTTAGATCTCACTTAGGTCTTATTTTAACTCCACTGAGCTGCAAGATCTTCACTGAAGTACAACTGGACTTATTTTTAGAAAAACTGCTCTGTTAAGAAGACCTTCGTGCCTGATGAAGTTAGTTATTCTGATAAATTACAGCTTCTACGAAGAAACCACACCCCTCTGAGTACGGATGGAAGTTGGAAAATTCATAGAAAGCTGTCATTTCCTGGCAGAGGCCTGGAAAACCTCATTTAACAGAGATGTCTTTGGGTTCCTGCTTAAGCCCAAGCGAAGGATCCCGATGCCCCCTCCCCAGCTGGGAAGAGGAGCTGGTGGCGTGAGTTGGCACAGAGCCGCACCTTTCTTTCTCCTCCTGTATCCTCCCGCAAGCTCTGAAGACCACTCTGTTTCTTTGAGCAGGATCAGTTGTAACTAGAAGTGGGTAGGATTTGAAAAGGGCTGGTTAAGTGTTTAAAACTGGGGCAGCTTTCCTGCCATTTTCCAGTTCTTTTAGATGTGCAGGGATGGAGAATGGCTGTTTTTGTTGGGGTTTTCTCTTTGATCCTGGTTCAGACGGGGCCCTCTGAAATTTCTCGCCCTGATCTTTTGTTCTCTATGAAAACCAGGAATTGCACGGATGGTGTAGAAAGTCCCCGTAGGTGGCAAAGCATCTCTGCTGTGTTGAAATGACACACTTAGAAAAGTGTCAGAAAATGGAGTTGCCATTGCTCTGGCCCCCCAGGACCTGTGGCTCAGCCTCCATTGGGCCTTTGTGTCTGGGCCAGACCCTCCAGGCAAGCCCCCAGTGAGGCTCTTGGGCCCGTGATTGCAGGGGCGCCTTGCCATCCCCCGTGTCCTGCCCTGGTTCTGCTAGTGGAGCAAGAAGCTGATCAGCCTTTGTGTTTTCAGATTTCTTCTCTCCGTTAAGGTAACCTTGTTCTTTAAACCAGCTTGCTTTCAAAGTTGTTTTCCTAATAATATCAAAAGGGGGAAAAAAAGCTGCCTGAAAATCCTTTTTTGGGAAAGAGCCTGGGCATAAATAAATAAATACAACCATACAAAGAAGAAGATTAAAAAAAAAAAAATCAAAGATGGAACTTTCGCATTTGGCCTGAGGTATAAATGGCAGGCTTCTGATGACATGCTTTTAGTTTTTGATTCTCTTTCTTTCCTTTTATGTTCTTGTAATTCCAAATCAGGAACGATGGTGTTTTTTTTTTTTTTTTTCTTTTTTCTTTTTTTTAAACCTTGCCCAATCTTTGGGTGGAGGCTTTGGAAGCCGCACATATTCCACCATTATAGTTACTCAAAGCTGACGCTTCCCGAGGGGTGGCTGCATGCTGGCGACTGTGCCGAGGGTGTGTGTCCCTGAATCTTTGTGATCTCTCTGAGGTGTGTTAGGCCCCACTTTACAGATGGAAACTGAGACACACAGAGCCGTCAAGCAGCTTGCCCAAGGTCACACACCTTGTCAGTGGTCAAGCTGGGATCCAAAACCAGCAGCCTGGCTCTGGGATTCTAAGCTCTCTGTTGTGCTGCTCCTTGAATATATTAAAAGGCCTACTATGTGCAGGAACTGGGTTGGCACTGGCAGGAAGGCAAGTTCGGGAAGGAGATAGTTACATGGCTGTGTGGCTTCAGCTGGGGAGAGGGGAACACCCAGGAGGGCTTCTTGGAGGAGGCGGCCAGTAAGATGAGGTTGAAGATAGGTAGGATTTAGTAGGGCACAGTGAGGTGCAAGATCAGGTAGAACTGGCTTTAGTCCTGACTCTGGGGCTTCACATCTAACAGCACAGGACCAGCCACTCCCTCACAGACTTGTTTATTTATTATTATTGTTATTATTTTTGAGACAGACGGAGTCTCGCTGTGTTGCCCAGGCTGGAGTGAAGTGGCACAACCTTAGCTCACTGCAACCTCCACCTCCCAGGTTCAAGCAATTCTCATGCCTCAGCCGCCCAAGTAGCTGGGATTGCAGGCGCCCACTGCCACGCCTGACTAATGTTTGTATTTTTAGTAGAGACAGGGTTTCATCATGTTGGTCAGGCTGGTCTCGAAGTCCTGACCTCAGGTGATTTGCCCACCTTGGCCTCCCAGAGTGCTGGAATTACAGGTTTGAGCCACCGTGCCCGGCCTCCCTCAGACTTGTTAGGAGACAAGGTGAATGGCTGGCATGGAAGATGCCCTGCACATAGTAGGTGCTCAGGAAACGTTAGTGGTGCTCTCCCCCTTTCCAATGGACAGTCAGCAATATGGGTTGGACAAGTATGTTCTGTAATCCGAGGTTGTGTGCCCTCTGGCTGGCCCACAAAATTTGAATTAATGGCTCGTATTTATAAATGGGGAGATTCCACACCAAACCCCACATTTCCAGCTTTTCTTGAAAACTCAGATCTGGTGACTGCAGCCTGCACTTCCCACTCTGCCATCCCGGGCTGAGCGAGGAGTGCCCGTCTCCAGAGACAGTGTGCCAAGGGGCCCTCCTCCTATCAAATGCCCTCCTGTCTCTCTCTTCCTACCTGGCCCCCCGTGCAGGCCACAGAGCGTGGTGCTGCAGGTGAACTCTGCTGCGGTGGGAACGAGTTGGCATCGACTCCCTCGTGGCTGGCTGCTGGGTTTCGTGTGGACAGAGACATTCATCTTAGAACAATGCAGACACTTAGGAAAACAAGCACAAGGCGGTCTTTTTCCCTTAATCACCCATCTCATGAAATCAAGCCCCAGTCCCTTGGAAGCTCACACCCTCCACACCCTCCAGACACTGAGAGAATGCATGCCAGCATGCCTGTGCCAGCGCGCCTGTGCCAGCACACCCGGGCCAGCACACCCGGGCCAGCAGATCTTTCTCTGTGACTGAAGACAGCCGGCACTTCACATCTTTGAAGGGTTTGTCTTTCTGGCAAGTAGACCGGTACTTTAAAAACCAAAACATTCCTGGGATTCACTGAAAGCCAGTAAACTGGCACCGTTCAGGTGGCGGGGGGGTCGGGGGAGGGGGGAAGCCAAGGGTGTGAGAGGAGCCCCTCCTTCCAAAAATCACACCGATCCTCTGAAGGTGACGATCAGATCCAGGCTGCAAGTTCTTCTGCAAAGGAGCTGTGTCCATAAGGGAACCCAGGCTGCAAAATATAGCAAGGCCCAGAAGGGCATCCCTCAAACCTTCATGGGGTTCAGCTTTGGACATGCTGGCTGTGGTTTGTCTCCACTGCACTCTGCAAAGAGCCCCGAAGGCCCTTTCCTTAGCCTGGCCATATTTCAAGGCCAGTTCAATTGCTGCCTCCTCCAGGAAGCCCTCCATGCTTCTCTGTGGAATAGGGGACCTCGCCTGCCTTGTGGTCACTCTTCCTCCAGTCTGTGTCTCTCTTGGAGCCTAATCACAGAGACCCTGTACATCCACAGCTGCCTCTCCCACTTGCAGGGAGTAGTTTGTGGGCCATGTGTGGGTGCTCACGGTTCCCCTTATTCCTCAGGAAATGTGAGGAAGTTCCTGTGAGGCCGGTATTCCCACCACCCCATGTTACAGATGGGGAAACTGAGGCTTAGTGCGGTGAGGGGACTTCCCCGAAGCCACACACCAACAAGTGGCAATGCGAGATTTGGACTGGGGCTCTGTGGCCACAGGCCTGGGCTCCTCCTGCCAACCGAGGGGTCTGCCAGCCTGTGCCCCCCTCCTCCTGGTCCCCGAAGCCTTTGCTTCCCTCAGGCCATCGTGCATAACCAGCCCCTTCAGAATGCGCTGCTGAGCAGTCCCTGGGCGGTGTTCGTGAGCACGTTTCTCATTTATTAAGGTCACAAAATCCCTGGCCCTGTTTAGTGTCATCTTTGATGTTCAAGGGCGGTGTGGAAATCTCTGTTTTGATATGACCCAATTTCTAGGCTTTCAAAATGTGGCTTCTCTCCTCCTCCCTCTCTGTGTTTTTGAAATCAGGTGAGCAGGGCTGCCTCGAAGCGTTGACCACTTGCCCCGAGGTCTCCCTCCCCACCCCTCAGGCCCAGGCACATGGGTGCAGTGCCAGCTCTCGGGCCTTGCCAAGAGGACTCTCGGGCGTAGCCCACCTGTGTAATCCTCCACACATAGGGAAACTGGGTCTTTTGTTCTTCCTCTGCCATCAGCGTGAGCACTGCAGGCAGCTGTGCTGGACGGGACCTCCCTGCCCCTGTTGTGTCCTCCTATGATGCCAGCCAGGACATGGAACTTCCACCCCGACCCCCTGTGCTCCAGGGCTATCATATTCCCAAGGATTTCTGTGAAAAATCACTTTTCCCTGTTTCCTTTCTGCCTTTTAAGACTCTCTGCTGGTTACAACTCTCTTTGTAACTCGTCATGTGGTACAAATACTTGCTGAAATTTGGTCCCTGTTTTCTCAGCTGATCTGGGTGACCTGTGGGGGTTCTTCTGGATTATTTTTAGAGAGGTGGGGCAGAGGGAGTCTCAAAACTCTATGTCTGTATCATTTCCCTGTGAAGGTATTTAACATTTGTCCACTGCTGGTGTAGCGTTATGCTAAGGATTTTGGAAATTCAAGGATGAGTGGTGCCTGGATCTTCCCTTAGGATGCTGGCTGTGGGTGGAGGACAGTGTGTGCGGCAGCCAGGCTGGCTCGCGGCTGGAATGTGGGTTACCTGGAGAGGGCCTGCTTTTTTTTTTTTTTTTTTTTTGCTATTTAAAAAAATTGTTGTAAAATAGGCATAACGTAAACTTTACCATCTTAGCCATTTTCAAGAGCAGAGTTCACTGGTATTAAGTACGTTCTCATTGTGCAGCCATCACCACCACCCACCCACAGAACTCTTTCATCTTTCCAAACCGAAACTCTGCCATCATTCAACACTACCTCTCTATTTGCTACTTCCCCCGCCCCTGGCATCCACCAGACTGCTTTCTCCTCTATGCATTCGCCTACTCGAGGGACCTCCTACTGGTGGAATTGTACAGTGTTTGACTTTCTGTGTCTGGCTTATTTCACTGAGCAGAACATTCTCAAGGTTCACCCATGCGGTAGCCTGGTCCGAATGTCCTTCCTTTTTAGGGCTAGATAATATTCCGTTGTATACGTGGACTACCTTTTGCTTACTCATTCATCTGGTGTTCTCAAATGCCAAGACTCAGTGACTGCAGCAGTGCCCGAAGGTTCCCTCGAATCAAAGAACTTCCTAACCCCAACCTGTACCTAGGCTCTGATACTCCTGCATCAGGCAGTCCTCTAGGATAAGGTGCCTGTTTAAAATGCAAATATATTACCTTCGGGGGAGTGGGTAACTGGCATCCTGGGGCCCCGCTGCCATTGTCCTTATGAGGGAGGGAGGTTGTGTTGTCCTGGAAGTCGGGTCCACGGTCACGTCCTGAGAGTCCCATCACGTGCCATGCTCTGGGCTGGGGACTTGATGTTCATTGTTTGGTTACATTTAGCCCTTCCAAAGACCCTGGCATTTTTGCAGTGTTACCTATAAATTCCATGTGCGGAAACATGGGTTATTTCCACTCTTTTTTTTGAGATGGAGTCTCGCTCTGTCACCAGGCTGGAGTGCACTGGTGTGATCTTGGCTCACTGCAACCTCCGCCTCCTGGGTTCAAGCAATTCTCCCACCTCAGCCTCCTGAGTAGCTGGGACTACAGGCGCACGCCACCACGCCCAGCTAATTTTTGTATTTTTAGTAGAGACAAGGTTCCACCATGTTGGCCAGGATGGTCTCGATCTCTTGACCTCGTGATCCACCTGCCTCAGCCTCCCAAAGTGCTGGGATTACAGGTGTGAGCCACCGCACCCGACCTGGGTTATTTCTACTTTTGGGCTATTTTGAGTCCTGCAGCTATGAAAATGGGAATAAAAGAGGGTCCGCTTTTTAAGAAGCTGAATATCGGCCTTTGCTGACATGAGAGGAGCTGGCATCCTTGGGCCCTGCTGCCATTGTCCTTATGAAGGATGGAGGTTGTGTCGTCCTGAAGGCTGGGTCCACAGACGTGTCCCAAGAGCCCATCATGTGCCATGCTCTGGACTGGACGCTCAACATTCATGGTTACATTCAGCCCTTCCAAAGGCCCTGGCATTTTTACAGTGTTACCTATAAATGCCATATGGAGAAATAGGTGCAGAGAGGTGAGTGGGATGTACCTGGGGTCTCACGGCCAGCATGAGTGGGGCCCTGTTGGCCTGCTGCTCCAAAGCCATCATGCCACACCCCCTTGCTGTTCCATCATCTGCCGCTGTGGAGGCTGGATGTCCAGAGCTAGAGGTGTTCAAGGTTCAAGGTGATTCTGGTGTTAAAAGAGGAAATACCATTTTACTTCTGAACCTGTTTCATGGAGAAAGAGGTACAGCTCCGGGCACACTGGCCTGGGTACCTTTGCAGCATGTGATCAGGGACTGCTCCCCAGCGGCCCTCCACCAGTGCCATGAAAGTGGCCAGGGCCCTACCTGCACCCGGCACCATGGATGCATCTTGGGGCTGGAACCTCGAGTCTTACATGCAGCAGAGGCTGAGGCTGTGACTGTGGAGAAAGCGTGACATTACAGAAGCAAGGGTTTTGGCACCTGGTGTCTGTGTGGGTGGGTATTCCTCCCTGGTGGATGTGGCTGAAAGGCCTGCAGGGTCTCACTGGTGCAGGGAGATGAGGGGTCATTTCTGGTTCTGGGATTGTCCCTAATCACTGGGCGTTCCAGATCCTGTAACTGTTCAGCACTCCCTTGAGACAGGAGGTCATGGTGTTTCTGACTTGGAGCCTCTGGCTCTCTTTATTAGATTCTGTTGCATGTTCCAGCCATCCTGACCCGGGTGTTCCATCAGATTTCTGTGCCTGTGAATGTGGCCATCACCAGTGACCCCACTTTAAACTCCAGATTCACCTGTATGCATGACCGGAGGGGGTTAGCATCTTGAGTCCGTGGTTCAGGACGCAGCCCCCCGGCAGAGGGAAGGCAGCCCCACTCTCTCATGCCCCATCGCTGTGGTCCATGCTTTGTCTGCCTCAGCAGTCTTGGTCAGATCTGGAAGCATCTGGAGGCATCTGGAAGCTTTGGTGTCTTAGTTATGAGTTTCAAAGGGCAGTGAAAACAGACTGGCAGAGCTCAGCGAGACCTGGGAAATATTTGGGGTGGGGAGGAACTGCAGAATGTATTCTTGGTTCAGAGCATTTTTCCCTCTGACTCTTTCTGGGCAACAGACCTTTTAGGAATGTTTGTTAAATGCTGAAAAAAACAGGAATTGATTTCTCTCTGCGTCCACAGCCAACATGTGAGGCCACGGCACTCCGTGTATACTAACCTGGTTTTTCTTTCCTTTTGCTCAACAGTGAGTGACCTGCAGGAAGAAGGCAAGAATGCCATCAACTCACCGATGTCCCCCGCCCTGGTGGATGTTCACCCTGAAGACACCCAGCTTGGTACGGGGGTTCCTCCGCTCCCTGCCCTGAGACAGTTGAGCTTCCGTGGCACTAAGTTGGTCTTGGGGAGGCCAATGAGGAGCCCGATAGATCTGGCCTCTTGATCAGATGCTGGGGGCATTTGGGAGTCTAAGTTCTTAGCTCAAGGTCATCTTTAGAAAAGTCCATTGGGAAAAGCAAGTCCTTCATTAAGGGTTTCTGCCCTAGTCTTAAAACGTAAGTTTTATTTTTCAGGTGGTGAAGCAAACAGATTGGGAGAAGACTGACTTGAAAAGATAGTTTGTTAAACTCATAGTTCTGAAAGGAGGTGTAGCAGGCCACTCAGGGCCATGCCATGCCACGCCATGCCACGCCACGCCACACCATGCCAAGCCACGCCACACCATAGCACACCATGCCACAGAAGGCCACATGGAAAGCACTAGTGTGAGGCAGAGGCAGAAGGAGCAGGGCTAATGCCTTTATTTGATATTTTATGTATATATTTTTTGAGATAGAGTCTCACTCTGTTACCCAAGCTGGGGTGCGGTGATATGATCACAGCTCATGGCAGCCTTTACCGTCCAGGTTCAAGTGATCCTCCTGCCTTAGCCTCCTGAGTAGCTGGGACTACAGGCATGTGCCACCCCGCCCACCTAACTTTTTAATTTATTTGTAGAGATGGGGTCTTGCCATGTTGCTCAGACTGGTCTCCAACTCCTGGGCTCAAGCAGTTCTCCTGCCTCGGTTTCCCAAAGTGCAGGGACTACAGATATGAGCCACTGCGCCTGGCCCCAACACCCTTACTGTGGCTTTCTCTGAAGGAATGGGCAAGGCTGGGTGAACAGGCCTAGGCCTGGCTTGTTGGAATCGTTTCACTGGGCTTTGCGGTGCAGGAGCTGTCCTGAGTCTTCTCAGTAAGAAGACTCTTCTTCTTCCACACCACGTGGCGTGGCGTGGTATGGTGTGGCGTGGCGTGGCATGTCCCCAGGGCCAGGGGAGATTAGGGTGAGGATATTGGCTGGGAGTGTAGGAGCCCCGTGAGAGCCCAAGGAAAGAGGTGGCTGGGGACTCTGGGCTCTGCGGCTCAGGCTCTGAGTGGTTTTCATATGAAAGGTGTGCTCACAGAGGGTGGTTTACCATCTCTAGGAATTAGCTTGCCCTGGAGGTGCAATCTCTCCAGAGTCAGCAAGGCCCCGAGATGCCAAGCACCAGAAAATACAGAAAACAGGGCGGGCACGGTGGCTCACACCTGTAATCCCAGCACTTTGGAAGGCCAAAGTGGACGGATCACTTGAGTTCAGGAGTTTGAGATCAGCCTGGCCAACATGGCGAAACCGCGTCTCTCCTAAGAATACAAAAATTAGCCGAGTGTGGCTAGCCTGTAATTCCAGCTACTCTGGAGGCTGAGGCAGGAGAATCGCTTGAACCCGGGATTGGGATGTTGCAGTGAGCCGAGATCGCACCACTGCACTCCAACCTGGGTGACAGAGCGAGACATCTCAAAGTAAAAAAAAAAAAAAGAAAAAAAGAAAATGCAAAACACAATTAATATGCTTCTTCCCTTTGGGCCAGCCAGAGCTGCCCGCGGCCTGGGCTTGCAGGGTGGGCTCTGCCAAGTGGCCCAGGCCCCTGCGCTCACTGCCTGATGTAATGGGTAACAGCCAAGACACATTTTCCTTAAAGTGTGTTTTGGGATCTAGCTGATCTGGAAGGCATTTATGGAACATTCTGCGTATTTCCAAACCCTGGTTCGAAGGGAAGTCCCGGTTCATCCCTTTTTTGTGGTTTCCGTGACGAGGCCAGGCCAGCAAGAGCTTATGGAGAAGAAACGCCGATGCAAGTTCAGCCGCCAACCGACCCGAAGCCAGAGCTGGTGATGCTGCCTGAGGTCGCACCAGGGTCCACGGGGCTTTCTCTCCCTCCGCTTAGAAGAGAGTGGCCCCACCAGGCTCGGTGGCTCAGGCCTGTAATCTCGGCACTTTGGGAGGCTGTGGCAGGTGGATCACCTGACGTCAGGAGTTCGAAACCAGCCTGGCCAACATGGCAAAACCCTGTCTCTACTAAAAAATACAAAAATTGGCTGAGTGTGGTGGCAAACACCTGAAATCCCCGCTACCTGGGAGGCTAAGTCAGGAGAATCGCTTGAATCCAGGAGGCGGAGGTTGCAGTGAGCCGAGGTTGCACCACTGCGCTCCAGCCTGGGCAACAAGAATGAAACTCCATCTCATAAAATAATAAAATAAAATAATTAGCCAGGCATGGTGGCACACGCCTATAGTCCCAGCTACTCAGGAGGCTGAGGTGGGAGGATTGCCTGAGTCTGAAGAAGTTGAGGCTACAGTGAGCCAAGATCACACCACTGCACTCTAGCCTGGGTAACAGAGTGAGACCTTGTCTCAAAAAATAATAATAATTGAACTCACTCACTGAATATTTGCACAGCACCTGATTCTTTCTGAAGTCCTCTTTGTATATTTCATATCCTTTGGGCTCATAAATGTCATCATTGTAGCGAATATTGGGGGTCCACTGTGAATGCTTCTACTCCTCAGTCCCTTCAGTGACCCTGTGAGGTGGGTTGTATCATTATCCCCATTGTACAGATGGGGAAGCTGAGGCACAGATCTAAGATCACAGAGATCACTAGTAAGTGCCAAAGTCTTGAACCCCGGGCATTTTGCCCCCAGAGCTAGGCTCCTCCCCCTGCTCTAGACCCTCTCAGTGAAGATGGTGGCCCTCATCAGAGGTGAGTAGGACAGGTCCCTGTCCTTGGGCACGTTTTATTGCAGCTGGCTATGACGCACAAGGTGGGGAGGGCGGGGGCTCGGTTCCCACAAAACACTGGCACAGAGATACCACCCTGGCCTCTGGGCACTGCTTCTCCTCTGACTGAAGTGGAGAGAAACCTGAACCAGGCCCACCTAGCCTGTGTGGACCCAGACCTGCTGAAGATTCTGAGCCCATGTCTGACCCCCCGGCACCCCCTGGATGGAGCAGCGCTTGCTGTACCCACTGTGGTGTCCCGGGACTGTGGGCTCCTCGAGGGGTCCTGCCTCAGTCTTGGAGCCACCGAGAGGAGCATGGCACAGTTTAGCGACCACTAAAGTCACACAGCTCAGAGATGGCATGGCGGCTGGTGTCTGCTCTCAGCTTCCTTTTAGGAAAAACAAGGAGCCTCTCACAGCCCTTTTCTTCTCTCCCAGAGTCCCTGGAGTCCTGTTCCTCAATGCAGGATGTCAGAAAGTCCCAGGGCACTTGGCAGTGAGGGTTCCTGGCCACCCGAAGACCTACCAAATGGGAGTATGCGGGCCCAGGCCCCTCTGCTTTAAACATGCCTGCAGTGACTCCGGGGCCCACTGAGGTTTGGGAATTGCTCCCCTCTAGGCCGCGTGAGCAGCCCGTAGCAGACTGAGGGCCATGATGTGCAGTGGCCTGCGGGGGTTTCATGTCCAGGGTCCCCGGTCAAGGCTAGCAGGTCATGAATGCTGACAGGCAGCAAGGGCTGACTGTGAGCTCTGGAGCCCCCAGATACAGAGGTGTTTCTCATCTGGAGCAAGCGCCTGCTCTGAATCAGGCCCCTGCCCCGTGAGACGCAGCTGCTCCCTGGTCTGTGCAGAGCCTCTGATTCTGGCCTACTGTCACCATCACCAGGTGACCAGGAGATCCCGGCGGGATCTGCAGACATGGACACACTGCCACACATAGCTGCCTGCCTGGGGCCTGCTGTCCACCCTCTCAGGCCCACTGTTCCCCTCTAGGCGGGGTCAGGAATGAAAGCTACCCCACGGGGACAGGTAAAGACCGGAGATGCCTCTGAGAAAGTGTTTGGTAACAGTAAGCCTCGAAACGGCATCTCTGTCCTCCACCTTTCACAGTCTCTGGGTCAGACGCCCCATTCCTCTCAGTGGTCCCGCCGACTGAGGCAGGACCCCTCAAGAAGCACACAGTCCTGGGACATCCGAGCCACCATGGCATGCTGCCCAGTCTGGGGTCAGACGTGGGCTCAGAGCCTTCAGGAGGGAGCAGCGAGTTCCCTGTGGGGGCCACATGAGCTGGGCGGGCCCGAATCTTGCTTCTCCTCAGTTCAGCGAGAGCAAGGTGTGGGGACATGCTAGATAGGGCAATGCTGAGATTTTTAGTGTGGGTTGAAGGGGATGTTTCCAGAAACGGGCTCTCTGAAGGCTGGGATTGGGTAGTGACCTGCTCACTCTCCGTCCTGCACCCCCTCTCATACACGTGTGGACTCACGGCCTGGCCCTGCTCCTTGCCCGCCTGAGATGGGTGGTCCAGAGGGGGTCTCAGACATGGGTCACACAGGCACACAAAGTCCTCTTTGGGGCTGGAGAGCTTGGAAGATTTGGCATTCGGGCTCAAGGATCTCAGCTGGGGAGCTGAGGTCTGAAGGGTGAAGGAAACATGGGCCAGGGAGAGAGTGTCAGACAGCGGGAGCAGGTGCCAAGGCTCAGGGCAGGTGGCAGCAAGGCTTCAAGGAGTGAGGGAAGGCCGGATGGGCTGGAGCAGATTGCACCAGGAGGGCAGGAAATGAGGCGGGAGAGGGGCCTTGGAGGCCACATGGAGGACGCCGGCCTTGATCCCAGCAGGAGTGGGAGGCTGCGGAGGCCTTTGCAGAGATATCATCAGGACTCCCGAGAACTCCCTGCACATTACCTGGAGTGTCCTTTTCAGGCATCAGATCTGTATGACTTCAAAATTAGTTTCTCCATGTTGTCAGAGTTTACACTCTGCTGCCGGGAAGTTGCATCACATCCGTGTCAGCAGCAAAGTTTCACTCAAAGCCATTTTCTTTCTTTCTTTTGTATTTTATTTTATTTTATTATTTTATTTATTTTTAAAAATAGAGACAGGGATTTCACTATGTAGCCCAGGTTGGTCTGGAACTCCTGGGCTCAAGCAATCCTCCCGCCTCAGCCTCCCAAAGTGCTGGGATTGTAGGCAGGAGCCACTTACGCTCAGCTTCAAAGCTGTTTTCATTCTGACCGACATGGTCAGTGTCCCCAGCCCCATGGGAGCCTGTCTGGGCTCTGGGACCCTGGTCTCAACTGTGTCCTGGCCATCTCCACTTGTATGTCCTGGGGGTAACTGGCTTCTGCCTGGAGCCCCTCTTGTGCCTTTTTTCCTCTTTAAGAGAGAGGTGTGGTATAGAGCCTCCCGGTGAGTGGAGCCTGGGCCCCACCCGACCCATGCTCTGTGCAGGTCCCGGAGCTGGACAGTGTGGCAGCCTGAGACCCCCTTGCCCTTCCCTGTGTGTGTTCAGAGGTGCTCGGCGCCCGCTGGCTTCTGTGTGGTGCTGGGCATTTCTGCTGTGGAGCACGCCTAGCCTTGGTGGGTGCCCCCTCCGCAGTCCCGCCTCCCCACTGTCTCCACGGCACTGTCCTCCATGACGGGCTCAGCTGGCTGCCTGGTGTCTGTGGGATCCAGGCTGAAACGTGGAGGGAAAGCAAACAGGTAGAGAAATAGAAAGAGGGTGAGGCTGAACACGTTTTGCTGTTACACATCATCCCCCCCCACCTTTTTTTTTGCTATTTATTTCTCAATATTTTTTCTGCATGTTATTTTACATACAACATTGCATATTGATTCTTTTCCATGGAATGTACCAAACATTTTCCATTTCATTATAACCATCCAGACTCTTCAAATGTATTTATAAATAGTGGCCACAGGGAACTACCTGGTGCCTGAAGCTTTCCCACATACCAGATTCCGGCCAGCGGAGGCATCTCATGCCCTGTGAATGCTGCTCTCTCCTTATTTCTCCTGAAAAATGGAAATGGTTTGGACCAGCTGCTGGCGGAGTCTGGGAGGAGCGAGGCCGGGCAGAATGATGAGTTTGACTTCATCCCTTTCCAGAAGAGGGGAAGGCGGGAGGATGCCCCATCCACCTTCCAGAAGGCGGTTCCTTGCAGTCACCCTCCCCTAGTGCTGGGTTCTCTGCTTCTCCATTTGTCAGAGATGAGTTGGCCTCCCCCTGGTTCCCCGTGTCCCTGCCACCCCCACAATCGCTGACCGTGACTTCCTTTTGTCCCTGGCAGAGGAGAACGAGGAGCGCACGATGATTGACCCCACTTCCAAGGAAGACCCCAAGTTCAAGGAACTGGTCAAGGTAAGGAGCTCCGTCTTGGTTGGAATCTTCCTCTTAGGGCGAGGACTTGGCTTTGGGGTTCAGGGCTCTCATGGACAAAGGGAGCTAAACCCGGGGCTCCTGAAAGGGATGTTGGTGCTGCATGAGAAGGTGGGCAGACATGTTGGCAGAGGAGGACGGCAGAGAGGATCCAGCCCGAAGTGCCAAGCGCCTCCCATGTGCCCTGCTCGGCTGGGGCTTTAACGACCAGTCTTGTGAACTCTTTGCTGGACAGAGCTCGGCAGGAGGGGATTTTAGGATTAGGAATGAGTGCTGGCGTGAGCTAGTGTAGTACCTTACAGATGGAGTTGGAACTCCGTCTGGAGCCTGGTGGGGTCTAGATTCAGATTTAACCCTGAAAAGCAGGAGGGGTCACCCTGGCCACTCCTGGCCAGGAGCCATCTGATGCCGATGCCTGCGCTGAGTGGACAGTCAGTTTCCACCACGTCTGGAGGCGTGAATCCCAGCTGGGCGAGGAACCTGGCTGCCCCGCTCCCAGAAGTCAGGGAACAGTGAGGGAAGGGGCCCATGGTGCTGGCCTTCTTGGGCAGCGGCTGTCCTTCTCCAGCGTGGCTCCTGCTCACCGTGAGGCAGTGCTTGTGTGGGTCCAAGGACAGATTGCAGTTTTGGTTGCTCTGATCGAAACCACGGTAGGGCTTGAGAGAGAATCCCCTGAAGAGGAGAGGCTGTGGGCTCTGCCTGACCTTGGTGAACCCAGGGTGGGCTCTTGGGCACACGGCTGTGGCAGACACTTGGCTTCCATAGCCCACGGCGAGCTTGGGCACCCCGGGATTCTTGAAAATGCCGATGGTGACAGTGTCTGCCAGAAACAGACATTTTTCTATTAAAAGTGCTTTTTAAAAAGCTTCTCCACCTTCACCACCACAGTGGACCCAATGCTGGGCTGTACAACTGTGTTTTCATGAGGGCTCATTCAGAATAAGTAAGACGGCTTGCAAGTTATGTTCTTTTAAAATCTACATTGAGGCTGGGCGCGGTGGCTCACGCCTGTAATCCCAGCACTTTGGGAGGCCGAGGCGGGCGGATCACGAGGTCAGGAGATCGAGACCATCCTGGCTAACACGGTGAAACCCCGTCTCTACTAAAAATACAAAAAATTAGCCGGGCGAGGTGGCGGGCACCTGTAGTCCCAGCTACTCAAAAGGCTGAGGCAGGAGAATGGCATGAACCCCGGGGGGCGGAGCCTGCAGTGAGCCGAGATCGCGCCACTGCACTCCAACCTGGGCGACAGCGAGGCTCCGTCTCAAAAAAAAATAAAAAATAAAAAATAAAATATAAAATAAAATAAAATAAAATCTACATTGAGACCGGGCGCAGTGGCTCATGCCTGTAATCCCAGTACTTTGGGAGGCCAAGGCAGGTGGATCACCTGAGGTGAGGAGTTCGAGACCAGCCTGGTCAACATGGTGAAACCCTGTCTCTACTAAAAATACAAAAAATTTGCCGGGCATGGTGGTGGGTGCCTATAATCCTACCTACTCGGGAGGCTGAGGCAGAATTGCTTGAACCTGAGAGGCAGATGTTGCGTTGAGCCGAGATCTCGCCACTGCACTCCAGCCTGGGCACCAAGAGTAAAACTCCATCTCACAGAAAAAAAAAAAAAAGAAATTCCAAATGTCAGTTTTAGGGTCCACCCAAAGATGTTGATTATTAATAACTTAAATTATTTAATTTGTTTTATTTTTTCCCTCTGAATACCCACTTTGTTATTTCAAACAGAAGAACGTTGATGAGGAAAGTCACTGTCTTTTAGCCACGAAAATGTTGTTCTTGGGGGATATTTAAGCAAGGGATGCATGAGAATTATCAGGCTTCTACAAAGAAACAGACCCAATTGTGTCAATATCTAGAGAGAGGTTTATTATGATATTGGCTCACTTGACTACGGAGGCTGAGAAGTCCCCCGACCTGCCATCTGCAAGCTAGAAAGCTGGAGGGCCAGTGGTAGAGATGCCAGCCTGCGTCTGCAGCCCTGAGTACCGGGAACAGGGTGGGAGAAGATCCAGGTGCTGGCACTAGCAGTCCCCGGCAGAGAGAGGTGAATCCCAACTTCCTCCACCTTTTTGTTCTATGGGATCAGATGAGGCCCACCCGCTTTGGGGAGGGCTGTCTGCTTTACTCTATCCACCAATTCAAATGCTCATCTCCTCTGAACACCATTCCAGACACACCCAGAAACAATGTTTCATTGGCTATCTGGGCACCCCAGAGCCCAGGCAAGTTGACACAGAAGATGAACCATCCCATGCACCTTTCTAAAGATTTTTTTCTTTGATTTTTGAGCAATGCTTGAGAGTTCACAAACTCCATTCACAGGATTATCTCCTTGAAACAACACCCTGGGGAGCTGTGTCATTCTTGCTTCCATGTGGAGACTCAGAGAGAGGTGAAGGGGCTGGGCGCCATGGCTCACACCTGAAATCCCAGCGCCCTGGGAGGCCAAGGTTGGGGGGAATCACTTGAGCCCAGGAGTTCAAGACCAGCCTGGGCAACATGGTGAAACCCTGTCTCTACCAAAAAAAAAAAAATTAACTGGGTGTGGTGGGAGGCACCTGTAATCCTAGCTATGCAGGAGGCTGAGGTGGGAGGATTGCTTGAGCCCCGGAGGTCAAGGGTGCAATGAGCTAAGATTATGCCTGTGAATAGCCACTGCACTCTAGCCTGGGTGACAGAGCAAGACCCTGTCTCAAAAAAAAAGACAGGTTTAAGTAACTCCCCACCCCCAGGTGCTGGGGTTAGTGATGTGTCTGGGCTTGAATGGCTCTGTCCATTTGGTGCTGTGTTCACTGAGCCAAGTTGAGTGCGTGTGGGGTCCTGTGCTGGGCCCTGGGATTCGGGGATGGATAAGTGACTTCCCTGCTATGCAGGATTTGATTTATGTTCCTCCTGGATGTCTGCAGTGCCACCCACCCCTGCCTTTGCTGCTTTGCTGCCAAAGACCCCCAGGCTGTTTTGGCCTTGGTGGGGCGAGGGCTGGCTGCTGCATGTCTTCCAGGTTTCAGATTGAGAAGAAGGCCACATTGAGGGGCATGGGGTGGACTGATGGGAAAGCTAATTAGCATCCTTTGGGGCAAAGTACAACTATGGGGCAAAATACAACTAAGAACAGGAAGGAGCTGAGGAATAAATGCCTCTCCCCGACTTCCCTGATGTGGGCTTCTGAGACCATGGCTCATGGAGATGGGCTGCATGGCTGATCATCAGCTGGGTTTTCTTCTGAAGCCATAGCCAGCTCATGCACCTGCCTCACCTCCCTTCCCCTCCCTGTTGCTCGTCTAGGGTGCCCTCCCCTCACCCCCAAACCCCTGCCAAAGAAAAGGCATCAGCAGTGAGCTTTGTCCTGGCTCTGTTTTTCAGGGAACCTGGGCCAGAATCATGGTCCCCAAAGATGACCATGTGATAATCCCTGGAGCCATTGACTATCATCTTACATGGCAAAGGGACATGGTGGGTGTAGTTAGTGACCTTGCAATGAGGAGGTCATCCTGGATGATCCAGGCGGGCCCAGTGTGTTCGCTAGTGTCTGTATAAGAGGGACATGGGGAGCTTTGACTGCCCATGAACATGGCAGCTTGACCCTGGAGGCAAGGTGGTAGCTTCTGGCTCTGAAGATGGAAGAAGGGGCCATGCACTAATGGATGCAGGCGGCCTCTGCCTCTAGAAGTGGAAAAGACAAAGAAATGGATTCTCCACTAGAGAACCCAGAAGGAACCCTGGAGCCTCCAGAAGGAACCAGCCCTGCTGACACCTGGATTTTAGCCCAGTGGAACAGATTTTGGACTTTGACCTCTAGGACTGCAAGAGAATCCACTGAGCCGTTGGAAGCCCCTGGGTTTGTGTTAATTTGTTACAGTAGCCACAAGCAACTAACACCATCCTGTTCTCCAGGCTGCTGCCTCCAGCTGCAGCTGGCGTGCCCTGGCCACTGGGGCCAGGCAGGGTGGGTTTTGATACCTGCAGCGGCAGCATCCTTGGCCATTTCCTGGAAGGGCCAGTTGCCAGACACTGAGATGCCTGTTACTGCAACTGTCCCACCAGCCTGGAGCACGTGTTTCTGGAGACAGGCAAATTCTGGAAGGCTCCACCTGCTCTCAGACTGCAGGTTGCGTCTCAAAGCAGGCTGGCAGACATTTTCCACTCTTGATCAATCATTTTCCAAAATAAGCATAGACACAGCAACCCGGAGAGCAGCTTCGGTTTGGCTGTCGGTGGCGTGTTAGTTACTGTAGTGGTGGCACAGAGGCGATATACGTTAAATATTAGTTCTCACTGACTATAGCCTTTTAAACAGAGCAGCGTGTGGGTGGCAGCAGGTGAGTTGGCTATACTGAGCTTGGGCTGCCCTTGGTTGATTCTTGTTTGTCAGGCATGCAGGGGGCTCTCTGTGCGTCCAGGCATATTCCCTGTCTGGATTTGCTTGTGTTCATGGATTTTCAGCACCTCCTTTCTTCTGGTTTGGGAATGAGTCAGGTCCTCACTACACAAGGCCAGAGCAGTATGCGTGTGTGGGTAGGGGTGAGCAGGTGTCATTCCCTGCCTCCCCTCCTCCTTCACTGCCCCAGCCACCCTGACCACCTTGCTGTTCTGAGGACACACTGAGCCAGTGCCCACTGGGCATCAGGTGAAAGGGGACATCCCACAAGCCCACCCTCACTTCTGACACCAATGGCAAGTTCAGGATCTCCAACACTGCCCTGAGGTTTGGTCATTTGCTAGAGGGACTCCCAGAACCCACTTAAAGCTGTCACCCTCACAGTTACAGTTTCTGATGGTGAAGGGATACACATGAAAATCAGCCGAGGGAAGAGTTGCCCAGGGCAGAGTTGAACGCACCCACACAGCACCTCCATTGTCCTTTCACCATGGGGTCATAGGCAGCGTTACTCTCCCGGTGATGTGGGACAATGCGCATGCAGTATTGCCAGCCGGGGAGGTCATCTGAGCCTCCGTGTCCAGAGTTTCTGCTGGAGCTCACTTGCATGGGTGTGGCTGACTGTCCACATGGCTCATCTGTCTCCAGCCCCTCCAGCAGCTGGCTGATAGAGTGCAACCCAAAGCCCCCTCCCTGAATGACATAGTTACTCCCTGGCTGGCCCGAGGGCCCCAGGTAAGCAGAGGTACTTTATCTGGCAGGGCATTTCGGAGCTTAGGAGATCACCTCCCAGGGGCTGAGGTCACAGGCCCAACCTCTCTGTGGGCAAGGTTAGGTTCATTATCACGTACCTGGTCTTTGGACTTTCAAAGGCCCATGCCTGGAGCTGTCTTCAACACTTCTTTCAGTTTTCTCTCAATGCTTCCTCCTTGGAGACGTATTTCCTGCCCCTGTCACTCCATCACTCTCCTCCTAACCCCAGTTACTTTTTCTTTGCTGGGCTTGCTGCTGCCTGGAGTCATTTCCTATTTACTAGTTTGTTTTTGGTCTTTCTCCTCCCCTAGAATGTAATCTTATGCTGTGAGGGACCATGACCATTCTCTTCCCAGCTAAATCCCCAGGGCTGGAGTTGTGCTGCACATGCAGAGCTAATTCATCCTTGATAGATAGTAAGAGAACCGATGGGGGTCTGTGTCAGCAGCACCAACATGAGGTTCACACCAGCGTCTCCCAAGATGGCATGCGGCTTAGAGACAAGACAGATGTGGTTGCTTTTTGTTGTTGTTGTTTTGTGTTGTTGTTTTGAGATAGGGTCTTACTCTATCACTCTATCACCCAGGCTGGAGTGCAGTGGCATGATCTCAGCTTACTGCAACCTCTGCCTCCCAGGCTCAAGTGAGTCTCCTGCCTCAGCCTCCCAAGTAAATGGGATTATAGGTATGCACCATGATGCCCGGCTAATTTTTTGTATTTTTAGTAGAGAGGGGGCTTCACCATGTTGGCCAGGCTGGTCTCAAACTCCTGACCTCAAGTGATCTGCCTGTCTTGGCCTCCCAAAGAGCTGGGCTTACAGGCGTGAGCCATTGCATGCCCAGCCAGATGTGTTTTTTTTTTTTTTTTTTTTTTTTTTTGCTCTACCCCAAACCTGTGAGATGGCAGGGAGGAGGCTCTGGGAAGAGGGGGTGAGGGTTGGGGTAAACCTGTGGATTGGATGCTGATGTAGGTGGTCCCAGGTGCTCCCTTGGGAGGAGATGGACAGTCCGGATGGTGCAGACAAAACACCTCCATCCACATTACCTGCGTAATTCTCTTTGCTTTCCAGAACATCCTTTGTGTACTGTGGACTGTGATGATCTAATGCTAGTGGATTACATCTAAGTAGGCCTTAGTAGAAGCCACCTCCCAGTGGTTCCTCGGAGGCATTTGGTCCAGAAGCAGATGATTTTAGTGCAAAGCACAGACCGTATGCAGGCCTGAGCAGATCAGGGGACAGACAGATCTGGCTGACATCCTGATCCGCTGGCTGTGGTGGTGTGGCCATTGCTTGTAGCCACATTGCAGTCTTGAATGTCCCCCTTGGAAATGGGGGACATTTCCAAGGATGCCTGCCTGGTCCTCTAGTTTTCTCTTTCTCTGTTCTCTGTCATCTGCACTTTTTTCCTCTTGTCTTGATTGCTTGTCCTGTCTCCCCTAGTAGACACCCCCTCTGACCTCTGCTGCCTCAGGACTGTTGCTGTATAAAATATTGTGAGATGCCCTCTGCTCCTGTTTAAAAAAAAAAAAAATCCTTAGCTCTGGGTAAGCTAGGCACTGAGAATGAGGCCAGTCATTCAAAACTTGTCTCTGAGCATTGATTATACTCATGTATTATACTGTTAAGGGGTGAAGGTCGGCTCTAGGGTCAGCTTCCTGGATTTAAATCCCAACTCAGATTAAAGTGGGAGAATAATAGCACCAACGTGACAACCTCAAAGTGTCATTTGTAAGGATAATGTTAGATCATACACTTGATCACCCGTTAGCAGTGTAAGGGCAGTGTGGGAACATGAGCATGAACAGGGCAGCCCAGAAGGGAGTTGAATGGACAGATGGGCAATGCCAGTTTGGAAGTGGGTGCATGCATCCGGTGGGTTCAGGAGCCTGGAAGACTTATCCAAAAGTCATCTTTGCTGGTGTTTCTTCCTGTGTATTTTCTCTAACCTTCTCCAGCAGTGACCTGAATTACTTATGGGTGAACACTGAATGCTGCCCAGGCAACTAGAGGTTTATAGATGAGATACTTTAAATTTTTAATGATTCTTAAAAGAGGGAGTGGCTATTCTTATGCTTTCCAGAATGAATAGCCAAGGGAAACCTGTACAGTTGCCATATAAGGAGAAACCTAGACCTGGCCTTAGCCTCTAGGTCCTGGTGCAGATTCTTAGCACGTAGCGCCTAAAACCTTTGCGATTTCCTGAGTGATAGGAGCGTCTTTTGTTATTCATAATGAGATCTGGGTTTATGCTAACGAGGTGACTCAGGGTGGGGGCTGGCCCCAGAGTAACCAACACAGGATTAGAGGGTTGGGTCTATCAGTCCTACCCACCCCCAGCCTCTGGGTGGGGTGGAGAGGGGCTGGAGAGTGAATCAAATCACCAATAGCCAATGATGTAATCAGTCACACTTACATAATGAATCCTCCGCAAAACCCATCAACAGTGGGGTTCAGAGAGCTTTGGCGCTGGGAAACACACATGGAGGTGCTGGAGGGGGACACGCAGGGAGAGGGCATGGAAGCCCCGCCTCCCTCCCCGAAAACTCTGTCCTGTGCAGTGTTTCTTATTAATTACACTGTCCCTGAGTTCTTTTTTTTTTTTTGAGACGGAGTCTCACACTGTCGGCCAGGCTACAGTGCAGTGGTGCAATCTCAGCTCACTGCAACCTCTGCCTCCCGGGTTCAAGCGATTCTCCTGCCTCAGCCTCCCAAGTAGCTGGGATTACAGGCGCCCGCCACTACGCCCAGCTAATTTTTTGTATTTTAGTAGAGATGGGGTTTGACCATATTGCCCTGGCTGGTTGCGAACTCCTGAGCTCAGGCAATCTGCCTGCCTCAGCCTCCCAAAGTACTGGGATTACAGGCATGAGCCACCACCACGCCTGGCCTGCTGTGCCTGAGTTCTAACCTTTATAGTAAGTTGGTAATCCTCAGTAAAATGCTTTTCTGAGCTCTGTGTGTTCTGCCAAATCACTGAACCTGAGGTGAGGGCCCTGATTTGTAATCAGTGGGAAGAGGCTCAAGTAGCCTGGGAGCCCCATCTGCAGCTGGTGTCTGGAATGAAGTCAATTTGGTGGGACTGAGCCCTCAGCCTGTGGGGTCAACTGTAGCTAGTGTTAGAATCAGACTGAACTCTAGGACACCCCATTGGTATCAGATAATCAGAGAATTGCTGTTGGAATTTTCATGTGCGTCCGTGTGAAGAGACCACCAAACAGGCTTTGTGTGAGCAACATGGCTGTTTATTTCACCTGGGTGCAGGCGGGCTGAGTCCGAAAAGACAGTCAGCGAAGGGAGATAGGGGTGGGGCCGTTTTATAGGATTTGGGAAGGTAATGGAAAATTACAGTCAAAGGGGGTTGTTCTCTGGTGGGCAGGGGTGGATCTCACAAAGTACATTCTCAAGGGTGGGGAGAATTACAAAGAACCTTCTTAAGGGTGGGGGAGATTACAAAGTATATTGATCAGTTAGGGTGGGGCAGGAACAAATCACAATGCTGGAATGTCATCAGTTAAGGCTGTTTTTACTTCTTTTGTGGATCTTCAGTTAATTTAGGCCATCTGGATGTATACGTGCAAGTCACAGGGGATGCGATGGCCTGGCCTGGGCTCAGAGGCCTGACAGGAATGACACGTTGGGTGTCAGAAAAAAAACACAGAAAACTCCCTAAGCAGATTGGTTGAAAGCAGGCTGACTGCATGTCATCTGGGGGTGCGTCTCCCCCCAAGAGCAGGTTTCACATCTCATTCCCCGGTTGATTGGACAAGACCCTTCCTGTCTTTAAGTTCTGTTTTCTTCCTCCCTTTGTCTCTCCGAAGAAAATCAGCTGCATGAAAACGATCCTCTGGGCAGAAATTGGTGCTGTTGGAGCCGCACAGAGGTGCCCTCCCGTGCCCCCTGGCCCCCACCGGGCCGTGTCTCCTCCTGCCTGTTGCAATCAGCCCTCGTCCGACTCTTTTTGGAAGTGATTAAAACATAACTGTCATAGCTCTGGGGGAGACAGGCTGCAGATCCTGATTATAATTCAGAAGGATCTAAAGAAAAAGTAATTTTTTAAAAAAATTCTGGTTAAAGCCAAAGCTCATAAGACGTGTGTGATGGAGTGGTATGCAAGAGCACAATTAATGTATGTCCTAGACATCTGCCCACAGGATTCAGGGCTGGCAAATGAGTGCGTCCCTAAAAATAATGACTAGTGCTATCTTTAAAAAGTCTTTTGTGGCATAGCAGATTAAGATGGATGGCCTGGGAAGTACAGTGGCAGCGTGTGCTGTGGTATCCAGGAATAAGTTGTACCTCCTCGGGGTGGCAGTGGAACTGGGCCGTGAACAGCTTTTGCTTCCCAGAGAGGACTGCCATGGCCTGCTGCATGGAATTTGATTTTAATCTGTTTGTTATTTTTGGGTTTGGTCTTGGACTGGGTTTGAAATCCAGATGTGACTTTTTTTTTTCTTTTTTCAGTTTTCTTTATAGCAGCAATGTTGTATCTTGTGTGTTTCCTAACAAGACTGAGCTCTGAGCAAGGCAGCCTCTGGAACCAAATGTCTGCAGGCCCAGGAGACCTTTCTAGAAAGTTCATAGGTGGGAGGCCGAGGCGGGCGGATCACGAGGTCAGGAGATCGAGACCATCCCGGCTAAAACGGTGAAACCCCGTCTCTACTAAAAATACAAAAAATTAGCCGGGCGTAGTGGCGGGCGCCTGTAGTCCCAGCTACTTGGGAGGCTGAGGCAGGAGAATGGCGTGAACCCGGGAGGCGGAGCTTGCAGTGAGCCGAGATCCCGCCACTGCACTCCAGCCTGGGCGACAGAGCGAGACTCCGTCTCAAAAAAAAAAAAAAAAAAAAAAAAAAAAAAGAAAGTTCATAGGCGGTTCTGCAGTTTGAGCCCCTTCTGTGGGTCTGTGCCTGCTTTAGCCGCTTGAGATATGGCATTGAACAAAACACAGGCCCCGCCTGGGAGAAGCTGCCAGGCCAGCTGGGGAGACAGACCTGATAAGTGAAAATGAGATCGCGTGGCCTGCATGCTCCGAAGAAGACTAAGGCAGGAAACAGGACTATTTTCTCCCGACTGAATTGTCCTGGTATCCTTGTTAATATCAGTTGACTGTGACTTGAGACTTATCTTGGACACCCCTTTCTGTTCCGTGGGTCTGTGTCTGCCTTGATGTCAGTCCCACAGTTTCGACGACTGGAGCTTTGTAGTCAGGTGTGAAACAGTGGAGTGTGGGTCCTCCAGTTTTGTTCATCTTTTTCAGATTGTTTTGGCAATCCAGGAGTCCTTTGAATTTACATATGCATTTTATTTTATTTTAATTATTAATATTATTATTATTTTTTAGATGGAGTCTTGCTCTGTTGCTGGAGTGCACTGGTGCAATCTCGGCTCACTGCAACCTCTGCCTCCCAGGTTCCAGAGATTCTCCTGCCTCAGCCTCTCGAGTAGCTGGAATTACAGGCATGCACCACCATGCCCAGCTAATTTTTGTATTTTCAGTAGAGACAGGGTTTCACCATGTTGGCCAGGCTGGTCTCAATCTCCTGACCTTAAGTGATCCACCAGCCTCGGCCTCCCAGAGTGCTGGGATTACAGGCGTGAGCCATTGCGCCCGGCCTATATATGCATTTAAGACCTGCTTGTCAAGTTCTTTAGAAGCCATCTGGATAGTGATTAATTTGTAAAAATGATACTTATTATCTTTTTGAACTGCCAAAGTAATATATGCTGCTGAAAACCTGGAAGACAGAAAAATCCAATAGAAGGCAGGGCTAATTTTTTTTTTTTTTCCATGTATGTCCCTTCAGGCTTCTCTGTGTTTTTCATTTTTCCTACACAAATTTGGAATCATTCCAGAGCTAGTAAGCATCTAGGGCCACATTTGGACTAGTACCTTGGGATAAATTAGAGCTGGAATTGCCGGGTCATATAGTGTGCACAGGGCTAGGGACTGACTTATTTTCCTTTCTGAATGAAGACTCTGAGGTCTAGAGAGGTTAAATGAGTGACTCAAGGTCACACAGCTAAAACTCTGGTGGAGCTGGGTCTTAATGCAGACCCTACATATTCATGCCATGCTGTATTTATACAGGCATGTACACCAGCGGGTCGGGATTTTAGGGGGTGTTTTAAAATTCTGCCTGCAAAACCTTTTTTTTTTTTTTTTTTTTTTTTTTTTTTTTTTTGAGACAGGGTCTTGCTCTGTTGCCCAGGCTGGAGTGCAGTGTCACCATCACAGCTCACTGCAGCTTCCTCCCAGGCTCAAGCAATCCTCCTGCCTCAGACCCCTGAGTAGCTGGGACTACAGGTGTGCACTGCCCCACCTGGCTAATTTTTAATTTTTTTTGTAGAGATGGGGTCTCATTTTGTTGCCCAGGGTAGTCTCAAACTCCTGGGCTCAAACACTCATCCTGCATCAGCCTCCCAAAGTGCTAGGATTGCAGGTGTGAGCCGCTGCCCCAGGCAAACCCATTTTAAAGCCATGAGCCAAAAATTATAAAAGACATGCAAAATATTATGAGTAGTCACTTATCTAGTATTTGCGGCATCTCTCAGGCTTGGGGCTTTGCTGGGAGCTCTGAGGGGGTGGAAGAGGCTCTGTCACTGGCCTTACCTGGCTGTCAAGGGCTGAGTGTTTGGTGGAGGGAAGACGTCTGCAGCCTGGGAGGCTGCGGGTCAGAAGGAGGTCAGCCGGGGAGCTGGGAGGATCGTGGGGAACCCGTGGTGGAAATCAGCATGGCGAGAGAGTGGAAGCAGGCAGAGGAGGGCTTTGAAGACCAAAAAGGGTAGTTAGGATTGCTGCTCTGTGTGTCTGTAAACTTGGTGTTGTCTCTCGAATTTAAATGACATGCTTTGAAAACAAAAAAACAAACAAAAACCAAACCCATAAAATCTCACTAAGTGGCCAGAGCAAGTTCCCGGGGGGTGGCGCATAGATGCAGCGGTCTGGGTTCTGTGGCTGGGGGAGTTGGCTTGGGGTCCGTGGCTGGGTCAGTCTTCAAGAGCCACCCTGGGTGGCACTCCAGGTCTCTTGGTCTGGGGGGAATACCCTGACCCCAGCGGTTTCACGGCCTCCTCCCCACTCAGCCTGGGGGAGAGTCCAGGGTCGGCCCTGTCCCCCTCCCCCCACTCCTGTCACTATCAGTCCCCTGTGCTCAGCTTACTGGCAGGGTTCCTCCTGGCTGTCCCCTCTGCCTCCAGCGCTCTTTCCTCAGGTGTCCACGCAGCTCGTCCTCACCCTTTTCTGTCTCTGCTCAGATGCCGCCTGAGGCTCCCAAAACAGGGTCTCACTCTGTCACCCAGGGTGGAGTGCAGTGGTGCAATCACAGCTCACTGCATCCTTGACCTCCCAGGCTCAAGCGATCCTCCTGCCAGCGAGCTTGTTACAATTCCTGCACCAACACGGATACATTGTTACTAACTAAGGCCCTACACCAGCAAAGATACATTGTTACTAAGTAAGGCCCTGCACCAACACAGATACATTGTTACTAAGTAAGGCCCTGCACCAACACAGATACATTGTTACTAACTAAGGCCCTGCACCAACACAGATACGTTGTTACTAAGTAAGGCCCTGCACCAACACAGATACGTTGTTACTAAATAAGGCCCTGTACCAACACAGATACATTGTTACTAACTAAGGCCCTGCACCAACACAGATACGTTGTTACTAAGTAAGGCCCTGCACCAACACAGATACATTGTTACTAACTAAGGCCCTGCACCAGCACAGATACATTGTTACTAAGGCCCTACACCAGCACAGATACATTGTTACTAAGGCCCTGCACCAACACAGATACGTTGTTACTAAGTAAGGCCCTGCACCAACACAGATACATTGTTACTAAGTAAGGCCCTGCACCAGCACAGATACATTGTTACTAAGGCCCTACACCAGCACAGATACATTGTTACTAACTAAGGCCCTGCACCAACACAGATACGTTGTTACTAAGTAAGGCCCTGCACCAACACAGATACATTGTTACTAACTAAGGCCCTGCACCAACACAGATACATTGTTACTAAGGCCCTGCACCAACACAGATACATTGTTACTAACTAAGGCCCTGCACCAACACAGATACGTTGTTACTAAGTAAGGCCCTGCACCAACACAGATACATTGTTACTAAATAAGGCCCTGTACCAACACAGATACATTGTTACTAACTAAGGCCCTGCACCAACACAGATACGTTGTTACTAAGTAAGGCCCTGTACCAACACAGATACATTGTTACTAACTAAGGCCCTGCACCAACACAGATACGTTGTTACTAAGTAAGGCCCTGCACCAACACAGATACATTGTTACTAACTAAGGCCCTGCACCAACACAGATACATTGTTACTAAGGCCCTGCACCAACACAGATACATTGTTACTAAGTAAGGCCCTGCACCAACACAGATACATTGTTACTAACTAAGGCCCTGCACCAACACAAATACGTTCTTACTAAGTAAGGCCCTGCACCAACACAGATACATTGTTACTAACTAAGGCCCTGTACCAACACAGATACGTTGTTACTAAGTAAGGCCCTGCACCAACACAGATACATTGTTACTAAGGCCCTGCACCAACACAGATACATTGTTACTAAGTAAGGCCCTGCACCAACACAGATACATTGTTACTAACTAAGGCCCTGCACCAGCACAGATATATTGTTACTAAGGCCCTGCACCAACACAGATACATTGTTACTAACTAAGGCCCTGCACCAACACAGATATGTTGTTACTAAGGCCCTGCACCAACACAGATACATTGTTACTAAGTAAGGCCCTGCACCAACACAGATACATTGTTACTAACTAAGGCCCTGCACCAACACAGATACGTTGTTACTAAGTATGGCCCTGCACCAACACAGATACATTGTTACTAAGGCCCTGCACCAACACAGATACATTGTTACTAAGTAAGGCCCTGCACCAACACAGATACATTGTTACTAACTAAGGCCCTGCACCAACACAGATACATTGTTACTAAGGCCCTACACCAGAATGGATACATTGTACATTGTTACTAAAGCCTTGCACCAACATGGACACATCATTACTAACTAAGGCCCTGCACCAACACAGATACATTGTTACTAAGGCCCTGCACCAACACAGATACATTGTTACTAAGTAAGGCCCTGCACCAACACAGATACATTGTTACTAACTAAGGCCCTGCACCAGCACAGATATATTGTTACTAAGGCCCTGTACCAACACAGATACATTGTTACTAACTAAGGCCCTGCACCAACACAGATATGTTGTTACTAAGGCCCTGCACCAACACAGATACATTGTTACTAAGGCCCTGCACCAACACAGATACATTGTTACTAAGTAAGGCCCTGCACCAACACAGATACGTTGTTACTAACTAAGGCCCTGCACCAACACAGATACGTTGTTACTAAGTAAGGCCCTGCACCAACACAGATACATTGTTACTAAGGCCCTGCACCAACACAGATACATTGTTACTAAGTAAGGCCCTGCACCAACACAGATGCATTGTTACTAACTAAGGCCCTGTACCAACACAGATACATTGTTACTAGCTAAGGCCCTGCACCAACACAGATACATTGTTACTAAGTAAGGCCCTGTACCAACACAGATATATTGTTACTAACTAAGGCCCTGCACCAACACAGATACGTTGTTACTAAGTAAGGCCCTGCACCAACACAGATACATTGTTACTAAGGCCCTGCACCAACACAGATACATTGTTACTAAGTAAGGCCCTGCACCAACACAGATACATTGTTACTAACTAAGGCCCTGCACCAGAACGGATACATTGTTACTAAGTAAGGCCCTGCACCAACACAGATACACTGTTACTAACTAAGGCCCTGTACCAACACAGATACTTTGTTACTAAGTAAGGCCCTGCACCAACACAGATACATTGTTACTAACTAAGGCCCTACACCAACACAGATACATTGTTACTAAGTAAGGCCCTGCACCAACACAGATACATTGTTACTAACTAAGGCCCTGCACCAGAACGGATACATTGTTACTAAGTAAGGCCCTGCACCAACACAGATACATTGTTACTAACTAAGGCCCTACAGCAACACAGATACATTGTTATTAACTAAG
The DNA here is from genome assembly GCF_000001405.40 of Homo sapiens. Classification (NCBI taxonomy): domain Eukaryota; kingdom Metazoa; phylum Chordata; class Mammalia; order Primates; family Hominidae; genus Homo; species Homo sapiens. The sequence continues at coordinate 44,115,422 of NC_000022.11, forward strand.
GCCCTGCACCAACACAGATACATTGTTACTAAGTAAGGCCCTGCACCAACACAGATACATTGTTACTAACTAAGGCCCTGCACCAGAACGGATACATTGTTACTAAGTAAGGCCCTGCACCAACACAGATACATTGTTACTAACTAAGGCCCTACAGCAACACAGATACATTGTTATTAACTAAGGCCCTGCACCAACACAGATACATTGTTACTAACTAAGGCCCTGCACCAGAACGGATACATTGTTACTAAGTAAGGCCCTGCACCAACACAGATACATTGTTACTAACTAAGGCCCTACAGCAACACAGATACATTGTTATTAACTAAGGCCCTGCACCAACACAGATACATTGTTAGTAACTAAGGCCCTGCACCAACACAGATACATTGTTACTAAGGCCCTACACCAGAATGGATACATTGTACATTGTTACTAAAGCCTTGCACCAACATGGACACATCATTACTAACTAAGGCCCTGCACCAACACAGATACATTGTTACTAAGTAAGGCCCTGCACCAACACAGATACATTGTTACTAAGTAAGGCCCTGCACCAACACGGATACATCCCATTACTAACTATGGAGGTGCTTTATTCAGATATCCTCAGTGTCACCTGTTCTCCTTTGGCCGTCTCAGGGTTCCTCCCAGGACACCACATTGCATTCAGTCCTGAGGCTTCTCTGGGCTCTGACAGTTTCTCAGACTTTCCTTGTTTCTGTTGACCTTGACAGTTTTGAGGATTACTGCTCAGAGAGTTTGTAGACTGTCCCTCTGTTGGGGTTTGTCTGATGCTTTCTTCATGATTCGATCAGGTTGTCACTTTGGGGAGGAAGTCTGTGAGGTCAAGTGCCATTTTCATCGCATATCGGGGCACACCCATCTGCACACCTTCGCTATTGGCGTCGGTCGTCATCACCTGTGCAGGCGTGCTCACCCGGTTTCTCCACTGGATCCAGCTTTATTTTCCTTTCTATCAACCATCACAACCTGAAACTGTGGGCGTCCGTGTGTCTCTTGGAGTCTAGTAGAATGTAAGGCCCTCAAGGCAGAGGCCTCGTCTGTCCTGTTTGTCACCAGAGCCTGGTCCGCAGTGGTGCCTAGTAAGTTAGTCCACCCATTCACCACATCCTTACAGAGCTCTGGCGCCAGGCAGCAAGTGCTGGTGCTGCGGACAGAGCCACAGACAAGCCGGTCATAGCTTCTGGCCTCATAGACCTTGGAGTCTAACAGGGGAGAGCCTTTCAAAGATTTGCTCCCATTGCTAATGGGACAGGATGAGACAGGGTGCTGGGGGACTGAGAGCTGTGATGGGGGATGCTGCCTGGAGGGCTGGGGTGGTCTGAGCTCTGGAGGAGGAAGTGCTGCTCAGGTAGTGAGGGAGGGGGTGGTATCTGGGTTAGGGGAAGTGGCGTGTGCAGAGGCCCCGTGGCGCAGATGAGCTTGGGCTATTTGAAGAACCCCAGCGAGGAGGCAGGGTGTTCAGGTGGCTGTGGCTGTGGCCCAGGGGCAAGAGGGAGATGGGGAGGAGTGGAACTGGTTAAGAAGTGGACAGAAGTAGGGTGAGAAGGCAAAGTCCAGGATCTGAGACAGGAGGATGGTGGCCTTCCTGCCTCCCTTCCTTCCTGCCTTCCCTGGAAAGGAGCACGCCTGGGGTGTGGTGAGTCCTGTTAGAGATGCTCACGGAACCCCCTCTCCCCACCCCGCCCCGTGGCAGGGGCATGGAGAGGCGGGCCCTGTGCTTAGGGGGTCCTGGGTTAGGGACGGCGCTGGAAGTTGCAGGAGGGCAGAAACCGGCCTCTGAAGAGAGTGGGGAGGGAGAAGGGGAGCTGTCCAGGGCCCTCAGGCATGCATCATGTAAGGGTCAGGGGAGTCAGGGAGGATCCCCCAAAGGAGGCTGTAGAGGGTGAAGGAGGAGGGCAGGAAGCCAGTGAGTGTGGGGGTCTGTGGGCCATGGGGGGTGGGGGAGGCAGCTCTTTGGGAACTGAGGGGGTTCGGGTGCAGCCCTGGGACTCCCAGGCCAGTGCTCTCCCTCCCCCTGCCAGCCACCTCGCAGAGAGAGCCCGGGGTGGAAGCAGGGTAGTTGGTGCTGTGCCCTGACCTTCAGAGGTGGCATTGACAAGACCAGAATGCCACAGGGCCATGCACCTCTCCCTGCAAACTGCCCTTTAATTTATTTTTACCTCTGTTCCTTGTGGGCTTGTGTGTCAGGTTCGATATTTTTATGTTACTGGGAAAATAGAATGTGCTTCACAGAAATTTGCCTTGTGGCCAATATTGCAGGTTGCAGCTGTTTCAGAGTGACAGGGGACGGTATATTCTGGACTTGTGCCCTTTTGTTCATCTCTGAGAGGGGCCATAAACTCCCATTTCCGAGAGGTTACTGGGACCAATGAGATCATTTATTAGTTTTCCTTGCACAGGAAAATCACACACTCTGTGCCATTGATTGAGTCCATTTTATTTTGTGGAATAGACATGTCAGAAGCAGGATTGGCCAGGTGGAATTGTGTTTGGCGGGAGTCCTGTCTTTCCATAGGTACTTTCATAATGGAAGCAATCTCCTTCTGAAGTGTATCACCCGGTGAACTGAATGGAAAATCTCTTGTGAAAAGGCTTAAGAGGAAGGCTGGCCTGGAAAAATGAAACTCACATCCACAGAGAGACTTGTACCTGAATGTTCATGTCAGCACCACTCACAATACCTAAAAAGGGGTGATAACCGAAATAACCATCAACCAAGGGATGGAGAAACAAAATGTGGTCCCCCATGAGATGGAATATGATTCAGCGTAGGCACGAAAGAAGGACGGAAACATGCTATAACATGGATGAACCTTGAAAACATGCTCAGTGAAAGAAGCCACACATGAAAGGGCAGACATCATCGGCTCCTATTAATATGAAATGTCCAGAAAGCCAAATCCGTGGAGAGGGGAAGTAGATCGAATCACACACTTTTAAAGGATGAATTGTGTGGAGTGAGAATTCTATCTCAATAAGGGTGCATACAAAATGCAGCTGACGGTGGTCACACCAAGCCTGTCAGTAATGATGCATAACTTCCCTTTGCTGTCCTGGGTTAGGGTGGGTTGAGACTTAGGGTGACCAGGGAGGAATGGATATCTTGTGGGTCACCTTGACTGTCTTGGGGTGATGAGAGGGCAGTATTACCAATGCTTAATCATTTGCCCCCATACCAAGGTGAACACGAGATGCTCTGGTCCTAGTGGCTGCAGAGTTGTGCAGCCTCTGTCCCTGTGCTAGCTCTGGACCTGGTGGTGGCCGCAGAGCTGTGTAGCCTCTGTCTCTGTGCTTGCTCTGGTCCTGGTGGCCACAGAGCTGTACAGCCTCTGTCCCTCCGCTTGCTCTGGTTCTGGCGGCTGCAGTGCTGTGCAGCCCCTGTCTCTGTGCTTGCCCTGTCCTTGTGGTGGCTGCAGAGCTGTGCAGCCTGGCCCCAGAGCTGTGCAGCCTCTGTCCCTGTACTTGCTGTGGTCCCGGTGGTGGCTGCAGAGCTGTGCAGTCTCTGTTTCTGCACTTTCCCTGGTCACTGCCTCATTGCCGTGGCGCTGGTGGACTGAGGCCATAATGCCTGCGTCTCCTGCAGGTCCTCCTCGACTGGATTAATGACGTGCTGGTGGAGGAGAGGATCATTGTGAAGCAGCTGGAGGAAGACCTGTATGACGGCCAGGTGCTGCAGAAGCTCTTGGGTGAGTTCACAGCAGGGACAGCTCTGTCCCACCCCCATCTCCCTGCAGCGGCCCTGGGCTGGGCCAGGATTCTCTGCATAGTGACATCGGCCACAGGTCCTAGGAAGACACTCAAAGCTGCAGTGTGCATCTCCCAGGTGGTGCCCAGGCCCTGGGCTGTGGCTTCAGGGTCCTCTCTCCCCTTGCCGTTTCTACAGAGCACCCAGCCATGGGGCAGCAGCAGGTTGGGGACAGCTTCCAAAACTGCCTGCGGCTCCCATCCTGTTGGGTCTCAGGCCCACTTTGTGTCCCTGCCACCCTCTTTTGACTTGAACTCCTTCGGTTCAGGATGGGAGGCAGCAGGAGGGAAGCGGGTCTGCAGCAATATTCTGTGAGTGAATGTGTCACCAAATACATGATAGCTCATGTTCCCTCACCAGGGGCGGGCTCTAGTGTCTGCATTTGCTGGGTGAAGGCAGTTTAGTGATCTTCCCGGGACTGACTGATGCATGGTTTGATGTGCAGACAAACCGGTTGTTTATTCATCAGATGTTGGATGAGTCCCGAGGGCTGGGTACCAGGGATACGGTGATCTTTGAAACAGACGTGGTCCCTGTCCTCAGAACTTACAGTCTGTCTGAAAAGACAAATATTTTTGAATGGTTACAGTTACTGTTCAGATTGCTTGTGATGAGGGCCTTCGGAGATGCCGCAGGTTCTGAGTAGAGGACGCCGGCCTGGCCTGGGGGTGGGGCGGCCTTGCAGCTCATATGGAAGAACGAGCGAAGAGTTGCCAGGCAAAGAACGGAAGAGCAGAGTTCGCAGATGATGCATGAGAGGAATTCTTGGACTTGTAGTGGGTTCTCACGATGCCTGGCACTGTCATGTCTCATTGTCACAATGGTCCTAGGGGGCAGTACTGCCATCGCCTTCGACAGGTGGGGACGTTGGGGCCCACAGTCTCCTGGTGAACAGCCGGGCAGCCTGGCCCCAAGCATAGCTCTTGAGCCCGGCCGCGGGGCCTTTCTCTGACCTGTCTACGGAGCAGCCCCAGGTACAGGGCCTGGGTCAGGCGCTCCTGCATGATCACAGCTGGTTCTCACAACAGCCCTGGGGGTCTGGCTGAATGAGCAGATGTCCCTGGTTGTCCCCACGATGCCTTTTGTTTGGATCCAGGAGTGAATCACACATGAACGTTTGTCTCTTCTTTTAGGCTTCTTTCATCTGGAACCGCCTTCCCTTTCCCTCTCTCCGTTCTGTTCTGTCTTTCTGTCTTTTATGACGTTTTGGAAGGGTCTGGGCCTCTTGTCTTGTAGAATATCCTCCCATCGGGATCTGTCTGTCTCCTCACGATGAGATCTGGGTCACATGTTTCTGCTGAGAGTGTGACTGCGCTGCCTGCTTGTCCTCCTGGGGGCATCGTATCAGGAGGAGCACACAATGTCAGGCTGCCTGTCATTGGTGGTGCTGACAGTTTGATCACTGGGTTAAGGCAGTGGCCTATGGGTTTCTCCATTGTAAAGGTGCTTCTTTCCTGTTAAAAAAACCACTTTTTTATTTGTTCTATTTTGGTAGAGTCAGGATCTCACTCAGTTGCCCAGGCTGGAGTGTAGTGGGGTGAACATAGCTCACTGCACCCTCAAACTCCTGGGCTCCAGTGATCCTCACACCTTGGCCTCTAGAGTAGCTAGGACTACAGATGTGTACCACCACACTTGGCTGTTTTTTTTTTTTCTTTTTTTGAAATGGAGTCTTGCTCTGTCACCCAGGCTGGAGTGCAGTGGTGCGATCTCAGCTCACTGCAACCTCCGACTCCCTAGTTCAAGTGATTCTCCTGCCTTAGCCTCCTGAGTAGCTGGGGTTACAGGCACATACCACCATGCCCAGGTAATTTTTGTTTTTTAGTAGAGATGGAGTTTCACCATGTTGGCCAGGATGGTCTTGATCTCCTGACCTCATGATCCACCCACCTCAGCCTCCCAAAGTGCTGGGATTACAGGTGTGAGCCACTGTGCCTGACTGGCTAATTGTTTTGTATTAAATTTTTAAATTTCATTTTTTTGTGTTAGAGACAGGGTCCTTGCTTTGTTGCCCAGGCCTGTTTTGTACTGGCCTGAAGCAATTCTCTCATGTTGGCCTCCCAAAGTGTTGGGACTACAGGTGTGAGCTACCATGCTCAGCCCTTCTTTCCTTTTTAATACATGGTCTCTAGAGGGGCAGACTCTGGGACTTTGTGAACGTCCTGTTCACCCATGATGCGCTCCCCATGATTTTATCATCCGCTGATTATCATTCTCTAAATTATGCTAAATATCATCTCTAAATATTATGCTGGAGGTTGCAAAATAGTGATTTCTGTATCTTTATCATGGCTTCCCCACTTATTAGCTGGCATTTTCTTCTGTAAATAAGTGCTTTTCTTCTCCTGTGTCCTTTTTTAAAAAAAAAAAATCCCCTAAAATAGAATAACACATTCCCCTGGACTGATGAATTATTTTATGTTCAAAAGAGAATGGTAATTAGATAGCAAAATCTGGGCCTTATGGGTGCTTGTGGCTCCTGGGGTGTCATTGCTTCTAGTCTCTTTAAGCCAAAAGAGGTAGCAAATATATAGTTTTTTAAAAATTGTGAGTTCACACTGCTACTTCTAATTCCAGTTCAATGCTACAAGTTTATCCCTTAACTGTCAGCATTCAGTATTCCAGTCTCCAGGGAGAACCTTGGTTCCAGAAATATATTTGCTATTTACTCTGATTGCATACAAAAATAGTGTCAGAATTACAATACCAATACCTCTATCAACTACAAACATGCTAGGTACAAGATTTCTTTGCCATTATTTTTTAAGTACAATATATCCACTAAGAGTATATAGTCAGAATTCTGTGTTCAGAACTTAACTGAATTATTTTCTTTTTGAGTGGTCATGTCATCCATTTAATGTATAAATAAATTAATTTGTTTCTCTCTGTATTTAGTTTTTGTGTATATGTTTACATTTAATTTTATTTAATATTACTTTTAAAAATGTAAAGCATTTACATGCTTCAAAAGTCAAAACTATGGAAATGACATACCTTGAAAGGTCTTAGCCAGGTGTGGTGGCTCAGCCTATCATCCCAGCACCTTGAGGGGCTGAGCCAGGAGGATCACTTGAGCCGAAGAGTTTGAGACCAGCCTGGGCAACATAGTGGGACCTCGTCTCTACAAATTACCAGTCGTGGTGATGTGCACCGTGCACCTGTATTCCCAGCTGCTCAGGAGGCTGAGGCAGGAGGATCACTTGAGCCTAGGAAGTTGAGGCTGCAGTGAGCCATGATTGTACCACTACATTCCAGCCTAGGCAACAGAGTGAGACCCTGTCGATCAAGAGAGAGAGAGAGAGAGAGAGAGAGAGAGACAGAGAGACAGAGAGAGAGAGAGAGAGAGAGAGACACAGAGACAGAGAGAGAGAGAGAGAGAGAGAGAGAGAGAGAGAGAGAGAGAGAGAGGTCTCACTGCTTTCTCTCCCACGTATACACTCCCAGGTAACAATTTTCAATGGATTCTGATTTTATCCTTCTTATGTTTCTTTACAAAAATGTCCATATACACACCTACTCATTTCCCTTTTATTCCTTGCATAAAAGGTGATGTATTTTGTACATTCTTTTACACACCCTGCTTGTTTCGCTTAATATGTTCTAGGAATCCTTGCATGTGGAGATCACCTTTCTTTTTCTTTATGGCTGCATTGTACTCCACTGTGTGGATGTTCCTTCGTTTATTCACCCAGTCTCCTATGTGGGGCATTTTTGTCATTTCTAATATTTTTCTATCACCAGTAATATTGTGGGAATATCCTCGTGCAGATGTTACAGAAACTAGAATTGTTGACCTCAAGTGTAATGGGTTGCTTCCTTGAGCTGACCACTGTAGAGGAAGGAATTCTCAAATTCTGAGAGGCTTCACCTCTCTCACCTCTGGCCTTCCCAGGTCTGTTGTGCCTTGGTTGATCTTTCCTGTAGCCACTTTCTGTCTTCCCTGGACTGTTCAGTGTGCAGACATGATGTAATATTTCCATTAAAAAATGGCTCCCTTGCTCCTGCAACACTCCAATTTCTCTGCATCACTCAAATGTATTGACCATTAGATTTGGCACCGGATGGGTCATTGGTGGCCCAGATGAGAGCAGTTTTGGCGCAGTGGTGGGGGTAACACGCTGATCGGGGAGGGTCCAGGGGCAGAGAACTGTGCCTTTGAGGTACATAATTTTGAGAGGGAGAGAGAGGAAGGGAGTGAACCTGTGGTTGCTGCAGCTGCTTTTCTTTTCAAGACAGGGTCTCACTCCATTGGCTGGCCTGGAGTGTGGGGGTACAATCATGGCTCACTGCAGCTTCCACTTCCTGGGCTCAGGTGATTCTCCCACCTTAGCCGCCCGAGTAGCTGAGAGTACAGGTGCATGCCACCATGCATGACTTATTTTTTGTATTTTTTATAGATACGAGGCTTTGCCATGTTGCCCAGGCTGATCTTGAACTCCTGGGCTCAAGCAATCCACCCACCTCAGCCTCCCAAAGTGTGGGGTTTACAGGCATGAGCCACTGCGCCTGGCCAATACGAGGCTTTGCCATGTTGCCCAGGCTGGTCTTGAACTCCTGGGCTCAAACAATCCACCCACCTCGGGCTCCCAAAGTGTGGGGTTTATAGGCATGAGCCACTGCGCCTGGCCATAGTAGCTCCTTTTCATGTCTGTCCACTGGGAACCATGCAAGCTGCCTGCTGAAATTACGTGGATGGAGCCCCTGGCACAGTGCCTGGCACAGGTCTGTCGTCAATAAGCAGGAGTTGTTATTGCTGTTGTTTTTTAAACAGACAAATAAATGCCAAGAGCAGAACTAAGGAGTATCTGGCTCGCTGCTGGGTACCCCATCCACCCCAAGTCCCCTGGGTGACTGGCACATGACAAATATTTGTTGATTAAGTCAATGAAAGAATTCCTGCAGTTTCATTACCTATGAAGATTGTGGGGTCCTCTTGTGGGACATGAAAGGGGGACAGATAGATGAGTATTGTTTGGATTTTTGGTCCTCAGTGCCATCCACAGACTCCAGAAGGGATCAGCTATTTGCTGAACAATCTTTCAGTTCTCATAGAGCCCTGATATGTTTTCAGGGTCCACAAATGCCTGTGACGGTGGCCTCAAGAACCCAGTGTCCCCTTGTAGGTGGGATAGCATACCTCTTAAAGGTCAGCATGAGATTCCACCCATGTCATCCCCAGCATTGGTGGGGTCAGCAGATCCTCTCTCTGGGGTTTCTTTTCTGCTCAACCTCCCTGCTTTGATGGACTGCACAGACAAGCCCCATCTTGGTGGAAGGGTCTCCCCATGGGCTGTCCTGGAGGGTCACTCCCACAGATATGCCCCATCCTGGTGGAAGGGTCTCCCTGGGGGCTGTCCTGGAGGGTCAGTCCCACAGACAAGCCCCATCCTGTGGGAGGGTCTCCCCGTGGGCCATCCTGGAGGGTCAGTCCCACAGACAAGCCCCATCCTGGTGGAAGGGTCTCCCCGTGGGCCGTCCTGGAGGGTCACTCCCACAGACAAGCCCCATCCTGGTGGAAGGGTCTCCCCATGGGCCATCCTGGAGGGTCACTCCCTCAGGGCAGGGCTGGTGACTGGGGTGGGATCATGTTTTTCTCCGCTGTTGTGACAGAGGAGTATCTGCTGCAGGGGATACGTGGACTGCGGGGGGACTGCCACAAGGATGTGAATGGGTAGGGGGTGGGGTGCTGTTTAGGAGAGAGAGAGACTAGGGGAGCCCCTGCCAGAGAAACTTGGCCCTGAAAACACAGGGGTGCAGCATCTGTAGCTGCCTCTGGACAGAGTTTGCACACTCTGCACAAATGGCTCTTACAGACCAGCTCTTGGAGGGAAACCTCCTAGGCTTGTGACAGGTGGTGGTGAGGGTGGGGGGATGAGGTGCTGGGGAGGCCATGTCCCATAACTCACTCTGAAGGACACAGTGATGCTTGGACCACATTGTTTGTCCTTATTCATCTGGCCCTCAGAAAGTATATTTGGAGGGAAACATGTCTGTGTTTGTTTTGGTCACACATTCATTCATTCATCTGATGAATGAATGTTCATTGGCTTACATGTGTCGGGTGGCTCTTGGCTGTAGAGACACAGTGGGAAACAAGAGAGATGAGCCCCGCACCCTGCGCCTGCCCACTCCCCCAGCACACATTCTAGCAGAGTGAAGAAAGAGAAGTATTATGGGGTGGAGTGGTTCAACCTGAAACCTAGATGATGTTTTAAAGGAATGACAAGTGCTAGGAGGAAAGTAATAGAAGGTTATGGGGTACAGTGGTGGGTGGGGGTTGGGGAAGGCAATCCAGGGAAGCTCCTCTGGGGAGGCGACATCTGAGCACATGTCTGCACAGTGAGCTTGGGAAGGGCGTTCTGGGCTGAGGCTCTAAAGCGAGAAAGAGCCTGTTGTGTTGGAGGAGCAGTGAAAAGAAGCGGAGGCGGGGCCCAGGTGGCAGAGAGGGAGGGAGAGAGCCAAGAGATGAGGCTGGGGCCAGATCTCATTCAGCCCTGCTAGACAACAGTCTATTCCAAGTGACAGGAAGCCATTGGAGGTTTTGGGTAGGGCTGTGACGTGGATTGGGTTAGAGTTTAAAAGGTCACTTAGGCTTCTGGGTGCAGGATGGATGGGGAGGAGAGTCAGGAGTTGGAACTGAGAGATCAGTCAGGACACCATTGCCATGGCCCAGGCATCTGATGAAGTAGCTCAGCCCCCAGAGTGGAAGGGCAGACATGGGGAGGTACTGTACAGTTAAACTGCCATAGGAACCAAGACTGATGGCCAGGTTTGTGGCTTGAGCAACTGGTAAATGGGAAGCCGTTGGGAGTAGGGTGGGAGGTTGGGAAGGCGGGGGTCTGTGTTGTACATGCTGGGGCTGAGATACCTGCCCTTTTGGAGGTGATGCTGAGCAGGTGAGCCTGGAGTCCAGGCTGCAGTGTACGTGTGAACCCAGCAGCACTGAGCTGATGTTTAGCACCGTGGGACTGCACGGCTTCACCCAAAGAGGGTGTTCCAAATTTTATTTGGCTGAATGCCGAATGCCCAAGAATTAACATCTATATTTGGCTAAGGTGAGAATCCCCATCTTAGAATGAGATCCCATGGTACAAGAATAAGTCTGAAATGTTCATCAAGATTGTGTCATAATTATCACAATTTTATTATTAAAAACGTTAGTGGCCAAAGTTTTGATGTTTTGCATTGCAGTATCAGTACAGTCACACCCAGCACTGTTGGGTACCACTTGCTCTTGAGGTCTTCAAACCAGACATTTGTGATGCTAGATGCTCACTTTCAACTCAGAAGGCTGGAGGAGCACGTGGACCTTTGGCTGATGCTGTCTGAAGGGATACTCCTCATGTGAAGCTGCCCCTGGGCTGTCAGTTTTTCTCTCTCTGAGTGGCTGGTTATGGTAGAGACTTACCTCCTCTTTGATCTTGGATGTGAAGATTGGGCTGTTGCTGGTGATGGCCCTCTGTTGAAGCAGTCCCCCCAATTGGTACTTTGCTCCCTACCTGAAGCAGATATTTTCTAATATTTTCAGAAGCAAACTTGAGTGTTTTGTTCACTTTCATTTTTTATTTCTGATTCTTTTGCCTGCACCTGTGGCTTCTCCCACCCAATGACTTGAAACAGTATGTCAGCAAGCCTTGTATCTGGCAGCCTGGCTGTGGAACTGGCCCTCAGAATCTCAGGACAGGCTCTGAATTTGCATCTGCATCTCAGCCGTGGTTGCCTGTAAACCATGCCAGTGCCTTCTATAGAGCAGAATTACAGGGGCATCTTTAAAGCTGCATCTTCCCCTCTCAAGGCACATCCTTTTGGTTCCCTCTTCAGTTAGTGCTAGCAAATGCAGCACTTACTCCGGAGTTGCTGTGATTGTCCATGAGTCCTGCTATATCAGTTGTGTTATCCATAAAGTATAACATGAGGCTTCCTTTGGCTCAAGCAGCCTTTTTCTTGTGGAGTAGCTGCTGTTCCATCTTGTTTGAATAATCACATAAGCACTTGAGAAGGCAATTCTAAAATCTCTTGAGTGTCAAGTGGTTTGACATATTAAAACCACTTTTTTTTTTTGTACTGAAAAAAAGAACAGTGGACTAGAATATTCAGATAGTAACACAGCATCAGAATGTCTTGCCTCATTTTGTGAATGTTGTTACACTGAAATGACATAATATACTGTTGATGTGAGATCCTCTTGATGTGATACTACTGATGTGATCACCTGATCCTTGAGCTCCAGGATGCCAGGAATGACACTGATGTAGGCATTCAGCTCTTTGGCTTTCCAAAGGCAGAAGCCCAAACCAAATAGGAGATTTTAGCTGAATACCAAGGTCAAAGCCAACTTCTGTGCATCCGTAGTAGAGAAGAGGTCTGAGGACTGGGTCTGGGCTGTCAGCCATTAGTGGTCAGGAAGAGGAAGTTCTGGCAAAGGTCAGTCACAAGGGAGGGGGAGCCAGAGGAGTGTTGCATTCAGGAAGGGTAAAGGAGGTGTTTCTAGGAGGTGAGAGGAGGAAAGAGAACAGACTTCTGGTTTGGCCATGTGGAAATTGCCCAGAGTGAACCAGCAGGACCCCTGAGGAGTCCCTCTTCTTTTTTTTTTTTTCTCTTGAGATAGTGTCTCACTCTGTTGCCCAGGCTGGAGTGCAGTGGCGTGATCACAGCTCACTGCAGCCTTGACCCCTAGGCTTGGATGATCTTCCCACCTCAGCTTCCCCGGGAAGCTGGGATCACAGATGCATACCACCATGCCCAGATAATTTTTGTATTTTCTGTAGTGCTGAGGTTTTGCCATGTTGCCCAGGCTAGTCTTGAACTGGGCTCAAACGATCCTCCCACCTTGGCCTCCCAAAGTGCAGGGATCACAGGGATGAGCCACTACACCCAGCCGAATCCCTCTTCTTGAGAGAAGATTCTGGAAGCAGCTGCCGGGTTCTCTGCCACATGCCAGGTTTCTGGGGGTGTAGCTCCCCTGTGTTTGCAGTGCAGCCCTCAAGGTAGACTGCATATGGCCAGAGTGAGGTGCCCGTGCTGTGGGAGCTCCTGGCTGTCGTCCTGCTGGTCACTCACGGGCACACCCTCTCCTTGTGAAGGTGAAGTTCTTCATCACATGTGTACTCAACCCCCATGTGGCCATCACTCAGGGTCACCTGCTACATGGGAGAATCCTCCCCAGTTTTCTCTCTTTCTGTGCTAGGAAGATAGGGGTCCTGGCCACAACAGAGCCCTGAGCTGCTCCTGCGGCCCCCGCCAGTGGGCACAGTGATGTCTGATGATGCAAGTGATCATGTGCCGTATTCTCTGTTGCACAGGAGTCACCCAAGACCCAGCCTAAGGCAGCACACAGGCATGGCCAGTCTCTTTGGTCTCTGTTGCCTGCTGTTTCCACCACCAAATTCATATTTTCAAGTCCTACATGCAGGGCCCACCCATGTGACCTCATTTTACCTTAACTGCCTCTTTAAATACAGGCACATTGCAAGGTATGAGAGCCTCGCCCACTAGGAGAGATGGGTAGCCTGGCAGCCTCCCACTGTCCCTGCTACCAGCCAGCCCTGCAGGTTGAACCTCGGAATGTGACTGTATTTATAGAGATAATAATAGGCTGGGTGTGATGGCTCACACCTGTAATCCCAGCACTTCCGGAGGCTGAGGTGGGCAGATCACTTGAGGTCAGGAATTCGAGACCAGCCTGATCAACATGGTGAAACCCTGCCTCTACTAAAAATACAAAAATTACCTGGGCGTGGTGGCACATGCCTGTAATCCCAGCTACTCGGGAGGCTGAGGCAGGAGGATCGCTTGAACCTGGGAGGCAGAGGTTGCAGTGAGCTGAGATGGTGCCATTGCACTCCAGCCTGGGTGACGAGAGTGAAACTCCATCTCAAAAAAATAAAAAAATTAAAAGAGGTAATGAAAGTAAAATGAGGCCATACGAGTGGGTGGGCCCTAATTCAATATGTCTAGGGTTCCTATAAAAAGAGGAGATTAGGACACAGACATGCACAGAGGGAGACCAAGTAAGGACACAGGAAGGAGAGGGCAGCCATCTACAAGCCAGGAGAGGGGCCTCAGAAGGGTCTACCCTGCCGGTGCCTTGATCTTGGACTTCTGGCCTCCAGAGCTGTGACATAAATCTCCGTTGTTTAAGCCGCACGGTGTGTGGCATGCTTCGTTGCAGCAGCCCAGACAAACGAATCCAGTGTCCTCCGCTCCTCTGCCGACTCCTCTTCCTCCACCCTGGGTGACGTGGCCATGTTCAGTCTGCGGGGCCGGATGGTGGCAGGTGCAACGGGGGCGCGTCAGGCTTCCCATCTCCCTGGTGGGCGAGGCTCTCAGACCACCCAGTTCTGTATGATCCTATCTCTCTCCTTCCTTCTCCAAGCTGCCCTGCTCTGCCCTTTCCATGGTTGTTGAACACCTGTGGGACCTACTTGCTCTCTACTTCCAGGGCGCAAATTCAGACAGACAGCTGTGGATGACTCAGCGAGGAGCTGTTAGATCCAGATGGAGGGAAATCAGATGAATAAGCGGGAATCGTTTCCACTCCCCTGCAGGATGTGTTTTGTTGGGCTGCTTTGTTTTTTCTCTTGCAGTCATTGCCACCCAATCAGATGTTTTTTACGGGTGTTTATCTCCCCACTAGGGACCTCTGTTATCTGTGCCATATCCAGCACCTAGGACAGTGCCTGTCCCATAGTAGGTGTTCAGTCCCTATCTGTGAGCCAACAAACGCATGATCGAAGGGGTATTCCGAGCCCAGCAGGCCTTGCTCTAGAATTTTATTATCTTGAAAGGGATGCCAAAGCTGTTTGTTTTCTAATTGAGGGAGGGGAGGCTGCTGGGGAGATAACACTGAAGACATGGGGGCCTCCAGCTAAAATGTTTTAAACAGAACTTTGTGCTGGGAACCACTTGCAAAACAGAAACCCCATTTGTGACTGGCCTGGACTTGATTGCTTTCATGATGGCATGTCAATGCCGCGTCACTGACAGCAGCTGTGTATTGAAGGCTCTGTGCTGAGTGCTTGCAGTCACCCTCCCAGTGAACCATCTCACGATGCTCTGTGACGTCGCTTTTGTTGTTTTGCAGAGTGGATCTATCAGTAAACACTGGAGTCTTAGAATCGAAGACTAGCAGGGAAACTGGGGGTCCTTCCTGCTGTGTGGCCCTGCAGCGGGCGTGGGGTGGGGCGCTGGTGGCCGGCACCTGCCAGTACCTACTGCTAACAAAAGGGAAATTGAAGGAGGTGCAGGCTGGGCTGGAGCTCAGTCTCAGTAATTGAATCTTGATGAAATGTGACAGTTCTTGTCTGTGCTCCTCCGGATTGTTTCCTGTTCATTCTTGGTAATAAAATCATCGCCAGTTCTGTGAATATCTAATCTAACTTCCTATTGTGGCATTAGAATGTTTAAGAAACAAGAATGGGAGCCTCAGGTGTGTGGGGAGGCAGAGGCAGCTTTTAAGACCTTTTTTAAAATTATCTTTATCAGTCCTCTCCCTTTTGGGACCCACAGGGACAGTCTTCTCACCTCCTGACTCCCACTTTCATTCTTCCCAGGTAACCTCCTTGCCTCTCAACTACATCTTATTATGTTTTTTCCATTTTGTATGCATAGAATGTTCCCGAGTATAACACCCACAGTTTTATCCTTAACTATTCTTCCCTTTTCAATCTGGCGTCATTCTCTAAGGAAGATTAGTGACCTGGAAGCTCAGCGTTCATGGTTCAACATCTCAAGACGCCCCCATGGCCACATGGTAACCTGCCCCGCTTCGGGGACCTCCTTGAGGCTGGGGTCTTGGTGGTTTTGAGTTCCTCCAGTATATCTCTCTCCCCTTCCTCCCTCCCTCCCTCCCTCCCTCCCTCCCTCTCTCTCTCTCTTTTTTTCTTTCTTCTCTCTCTCTCTCCTTCCTTCCTTCCTTCCTTTTTCTTTCTTTCTCTCTCTCTCTCTCTCTCTTTCTGAGGCAGGGTCTCACTCAGGTTGCCCAGGCTTGGGTGCAATGGCATGATCTTGGCTTACTGCAACCTCCACCTCCCGGGTTCAAGCACTTCTCCTGCCTCAGCCTCCCGAGTAGCTGGGATTACATGTGTGCGCCACCACGCCTGGCTAATTTTTATATTTTTAGTAGAGACGGGATTTCACCATATTTGCCAGGCTGGTCTCGAACTCCTGGCCTGAAGTGATTCACCCACCTCGGCCTCTCAAACTGCTGGGATTACAGGCATGAGCCACTGCGCCTGGCCCTTCCAGCTTTTTCTGACCCTCTTCTCTTGTGCTTCTCATTGCAGAAAAACTGGCAGGGTGCAAGCTGAATGTGGCTGAGGTGACACAGTCCGAAATAGGGCAGAAACAGAAGCTGCAGACGGTGCTGGAAGCAGTACATGACCTGCTGCGGCCCCGAGGCTGGGCGCTCCGGTGGAGCGTGGACTGTGAGTTCCACGCCACAGGGGGAGGGACTGTCTGGAGGGAGCCCGTCCTCTCGACATTCGTCATCCACATTTGTCATCCACATTCATCATCATCCCATCTGGCCTTGCATCTTAAAATTGGGTTCATCTCCCTGCTCTGTAAGAGGTAGAACATTGCAGGGGAGAAGAACAGGAGAAGGGTTAGGGAGATCCTAGAAAAGGGACCTGGTCAGGCCACAATTCTCCATCCTCCCCATGCTGCAGAGGAGAGAGGCAATGTTTATGGATGGGTGGATCAGAGGGACTTTGAGAGAGAGAAGCAGCCTTGGGGGGTTCTTGTTGGGACTCAACCCCAAATACTGGTGGCAGCAACACCTAGTGGGCTGTTTGTCTATGACCCTGGCATTATGAGATGTGACATCACGGTATTTTCAGCCAAGACATGAACCCGGCAGGTGAAAGACTAAACCAGGAGAAGCTGGAAAGTTCTCCTCGGTCCTGCCCACTCCTTCCCCACCTCCCTCCCCTGGAAGCAGGGCCATGAGGGTGTGGCTTCAGGGCTCTCTGTGCTGGGCCAGAGGTCTCCGTGCTTTGGTGAGCTGGGCTCTCAGTGGTAGGCAGGAGACCCTGGAGCCTGGCCTTGCACCCGGTTTCTTGGTATCGAGACCTTGGGCAGACCCAGGCTGTCTCGTGGGTGGCTGGGTCCGTGGGTGGGGAATCGGGTGCCTTGTAAACTGTAAAACCCTGCAGGAGAAGTGGTGATGTTGACCAAACCTGAGTCCGCATGCTGAGGAAGAGAGAGGACAGACTCAGGCAAGGCAGGGGCTAATGTCTAATGTCCCCAGAGTGGCCTCTGCTCTTGGCAGCCTACCCTTGTTGGGATGGTTCATTGCGGAGAGGGAGCCCTTTTTTAGTGCCAGAGATAATAACGCACATCCTTGTGATGGGTAAGTGGCCGTGACCTGCTTTCCATGCTCTTTTCCCTTCTGTGCTAATTTTACTATCCTGTTCCTTTCCCTCATCACTGCCCAATTTATTGCTTTTAAAAACATTGTGCTTCTAAAAGTGGTTGCACAAGTCACCTTAGGCCAACAGGAAAGGAGACAGTGAAGCTAGAAGTAAATTCACCAGGTTGCTCATCAGCTCTCTTGATTTGTCCACACTTCGCTCCATCCTTGTCTCGCTGGGGTCTCATTTAGATGCTGTGTCTCTGTTGCCTTCTGCACGTGGGCTCAGGTTCCTGTGTAACCTGATCTAAAGCGTCTCCCTTCCTCCTTCCTCCTGCAGCAATTCACGGGAAGAACCTGGTGGCCATCCTCCACCTGCTGGTCTCTCTGGCCATGCACTTCAGGGCCCCCATCCGCCTTCCTGAGCATGTAACGGTGCAGGTGGTGGTCGTGCGGGTGAGTATAACCGAGTGGTCGGCCTGCCTGTAACTCCGCCAGAGAGGCAACATCTTCCTCCTGCAGTTTTCCTGCCCTCCCCCTCCTTTTTTCCCCCCAGGAGGCTACCTTCTATTTTTCCCTTTTGACAAAATGTGTGTCTCACCCTGGCTCCGAGATAAATGATTGGAACGGGAACAATGGCATTGATTTGATGAGAGGCAGAAGCAGAGGCATGAGGGTGTTGAGGTTTAATTTTCCACATTTTTGAAAAGAACATTCATTTCTCTCCAAAGCCAACTGGTTGGAATTCAATCCCCTTGAATGTGCTTATTACTCATTGGAGGAGGTTGGCCCCGCGGGATGAAACAGACACCCAAATTAAAGCCGCTTTGCATTCGTTGGGGATTATTCATCATGCCCCATCATCTCTTTTTTTGGGTTCATTTCTCTTGATTCACTTGGAGAAATGGAACCAGAACCCAGGTCCTTCTAACAGAGGGTGAAGTAGAGTTACCTTTCTCTTGCTATTTCCCTTACATTTATTTTTTATTTTATTTTATGTTTTGTGAAAGGGTTTCACTCTGTTGCCCAGGCTGGAGTACCATGGTGCAGTCATGGCTCACTGCAGCCTCAACCTCTTGGGCTCAAGCGGTCCTCCCGCCTCAGCCTCCCAGGTAGCTAGGACTACAGGCACATGCCACCGTGCCTGGCTAATTTCAAATTTTTGTAGAGACAAGGTCTCGCTATGTTGCCCAAGCTGGTCTCGAAGTCCTGGGCTCAAGCGATCCTCCCATCTCAGCCTCCCAAAATGCTGTGATTATAGGTGGGAGCTGCCATGCCTGGCCTTATTTCCCTTACATTTAAGTGGACAGTCGCTGCCTAGGGTTCGTGTGTGCAGTTTCCCTCAGTAAATGTGCAATGAGCGCCTACTATTCTCTAAGCACTCAGCATAGGCTGCCGAGCCACTAAAGGAGGAACACATGCCTGGCGTCTGTGGGGGTGACCACTGCGGCCAGAGTTGAGGTCACGCTCGGAACCTTGGATGCCTCTGTGTTTATTTTACTCGAGACATCCGGCTCCACTTTCCTCTGGTTTTTAAACTTCTCAGTCCCGTGGTCTCTGTGGTCGGGGAGGACCTGGCTGTCACTGTGTTTTCCGAACCCATTCTGGCCCCTCTGTTACCCTGGGAGCTCAGTCTTGACCGGACGGGAATGCTCCTCTCTGGCATCCGGCAAGGGCCACCTGCCATGTGTCCATGTTTCCTTCCTAAGGAGGATGTTTGTGGCTGGTGGTGGTGACTCGGGACCTGGGGGGCCATTCCTATGGCCCCGTGTCTTGGCCACTGGTTCACAGGCAGCCGGCCTGAAAAGGCTTCCCTAGGACACATTGGGATGTGGTTCCCAAGCCTACCTACGTCAGCTCGGGGCCCCAGGAGCCCTGTGCAGGCTCAGAAACTGGAGTATTTCCTTTCAGGCTTGCACTTGGGTCCAAGATAATCTTTGCGGTTTGCAGAAAGTTTGAACCAGGCAAGCACTTGCTGGTGCTTCCTGCCATAACGGGTTAGAGGAGTGTTGTTTGGCCACGACCAAAGCAGAATGAAACGGGAGCAGGGGGTCCTGTGAACCGGGCGCAGTTACTCCCCAGACCTTAGAGCCGCCTTCTGTCTTCTCTGCAGCCCCCTGGCCTCTGAGCTTGCTCAGGGGACCCCTTATCTAACCCCAGATGGAATGGTTGGTGTAAGGGATGTGGCATTTCCAGGGTGGAAGGAAGGAAGGAAAGGGCCTTATTTACTGCCTGGCCACGTGGCTTTGGGCTGATCACTTGCTTTTGCTGAGCTGCAATGCTTTTCCCCATAAAACCAAGATTTTACTACAAACCTGTAAAACATCCAGCTTCATGTCTACAATCCTAGACCTGGGCCCAGCACCTGGTGGGTGCCTCAGGCATGTTTGATCCTTGACTAGGTGAACACAATGTCTGGACCTTCCTTGGCAGGCACTCCTGAGAATCAGGATAAATGTCACCCACACTGTTGTTCAATAACAAGCACCAACCCTGAGTATTCCATGGAGGTCAAACTCAGGAAAGGGATGGAAGCCCAGATCTTGGTGGTGTCCACTGTGGGCTGGCCCAGCGGGAAATGAGTTCCCAGTCCCTTGAGGGGTTCAGTGGTGGTTGGATTAGCCACCCAGGCTCCATCTGGAGCTCCTGTGACAGGCGGGCTGCCACCCCTACCATCACCACTGCCATGCCCCCCTCACTACCATCATTACTTTTTTTTTTTTGAGATGGAGTCTCACTGTGTCACCCAGGCTGGAGTGCAGTGGCACAATCTCAGCTCACTGCAACCTCTGCCTCCTGGGTTCAACTGATTCTCCTGCCTCAGCCTCCCAAGTAGCTGAGATTACAGGCACATGCCACCACGCCCAGCTAATTTTTGTATTTTTAGCAGAGACCGGGTTTCACCATGTTGGCCAGAATGGTCTCAATCTCTTGATCTCATGATCTGCCTGCCTTGGCCTCCCAAAGTGCTGGGATTACAGCTGTGAGCCACTGTGCCCGGCCATCATTGCTTTTCTATACCTGCCACGCTCTGGGAGAAGTGTGACATATACTGTGTCAGTTTCCTAGGGCAGCCATAACAAAGTACCACAAACCAGGTGGCTTAAAACAGCAGACATTTATTCTCTCGCAATTATGGAGGCCAGAAGTCTGAAATCAAGATGTTGTCAGGGTAGGATGTCCTCCCTCATGTCTCCTCCTCTAGGGGAGGGGTCTTCCTGCCTCCTCCAGCTTCTGGTGGTGGCTGTCAGTCCTTGGTGTTCTTGGCTTGTGGCCACATCTCTCCAGTCTCTGCCTCTGTCATCACATGGCCTCCTCCCTCTGTCTGTTTCTGTGTCTGTTTCCTCTTCTAATAAGGAGGTGAGCCATATTGGATTAAGGAGGGGCTCACCATAATCCATGATGACCTCATCTGAGCTAGTATCTGCAAAGACCCTTATTTCCAAATGAGATCATGTTCTGAAGTTTGTGGTAGATATGAACTTTGGGGGACCCTCTTCAGTCCCGTGCACACACATGATTGCAGGGGATGTTCCCTGTTATTTATGTTCCTTCCAATTGCATGCCTCACCTCTCCTGGCTGCAAAGCATAGAGGATCCCTTTGGGGAATCCTGACCTGGGGTGTTTCTCCTGAGACCCACACAAATGCCAACTCTCAAGGCCACGTGGAGACCAGAGGGTGGGGAGGAGGATAGGGACAGGTTGTGGTCGCTGAAAGGCACCCTGCCCAGGGTCCCCTGCTGTGTACTCACCCAGGCCTGGCATGCGTGTTCAACACCACCCCTCCTTCTCCTGTTGCTCTTTTCTAAGATGATCTCCGGCCCCGCAGCTTCGTCTGCCCTGTCAGTGCATCTTTCCTCAACTCTCCACTGCCTGATTTTGTATGTTTATTTTGGGGTTTTCAGAAACGGGAAGGCCTGCTGCATTCCAGCCACATCTCGGAGGAGCTGACCACAACTACAGAGTAAGTGGACCCCTGTCTTGCCCTTCCAGGCCCTGCTGCCCCGAGTGAGTGGGACCCCAGGCTGCCACTTCAGCCAGGGACACCAGCGCCCATGGGGCTGCTCCCGCTCCACACCCCTTCTCTGTAGCATGTGATTCTCATGCTGGTTCCCACCCCAGCTCTCCTCCCTCTGCACACTTTCTTCAGAGTTTTTAACATTAGAACTGAGTTACCTTCCACAGACTTTGAATTTTTTCATTCCTATCTTAAAAGGTGAGCTGTAAGAACATTGCAAAGTGGGGCAGGCAGAGAGAGTTCAGGATGGTTAGAGAGAACCATTGTCTCAGTTCATTTATCCATCTACATTAGCCCCATCAGAGGTGGGAGCTACATCTTTAAACCAGAACTTTCCTTTGACAGACACTACTAAGCCATCTGTTATCTCCTAGAGAAAGCCAGAGGGCAGGTGTTCAGAAGTCTAAAAGGCTTCAAATCTATTGAAAATAGCAAATCAAACAGTATCTGTGGTATGTGGTTTTAAGGACTCCTTGTGATAACCTGCTAAGAATCTTTAGAATTCACTGCATTTGTGCCTCTTGACTAAACCTGTTTCAGATGAAACAGAACATTTAAAAATTGATTGTCTCAGCTAATCCATCAGCTAAGTTCACAGAGTGATTAATTACTGTGTTGTGAATTCATGGATGGTATTTCAAAAATTGGAGCTGACACAGGAAACCACTCGTGGCTTGCAAGCTCTCAGGGAAGATGATGGGACAGTGGAGTGCAGGCTGATGCATGTGCAGAGGCCCATGAAGAGGCCTCCCAGTCTGCCCCAGGCCCACGAAGGGAACAGGGAGAGCTGGAAAAGGGGAGGATGAGAATGTGGTTCTTTGCCCAGCACAGTGGGCCTTTGGCAGCAGCTCTGCCTATTCAGCAGTAGGAGAAGGGCTGCTCGTGGGGAACTGGGATTGGGCTGGTGTCTTAGTTGTTTATTGTTGTGTAACAAATCACCCCCAAAGTCAAGTGGCTTAAAACAACATCTGTTTCATTTGCTGCTCACAATTCTGTGGGTCAGCAATTTAGGCTGGGCTCAGCTGGGCGGTTGTTCAGCCAGTCTCGCCTGGGGTTGCTCATATGATGCAGACATCTGAAGGCTGGATGGAGGCTGGGGAGGCTGAGATGGGCTCCCCCTACCTCTGGTGGTTGGTGTTGGCCTCCCCTGGGTCTCTTTCCTCCTCACAGTGCTGGGCATCTTCCCAGGGTGCTCTCAGGGTCCTGAGAGAGTGAGAATGCAGCTGCAGTCCCCTTGAGGCCTTGTCTTGGACATCCATACCTATGTCCTCAATTCTGTGAGTCAAAGTGAGTCACAGGTCATCCTGGATCAAGGTGCAGGAAACAGACTCTGCCTCCTTGTGCAGGAATGGCCTGTGCACATTGTTGGGTGGTGGGCATGCTGTGATAGGAGTTCCCCTCTAGGTGAGGGGGTCCCATATGAGGACAGCAAGGAGGAGCTGGGCCCCCTGCCATAAAACTAGAATGGTCCAGAGACAGAGAATGAGCAAGTGGGTGGGAGAATTGTCTCAGCTATTCATCAGCAGTAAGTGGCCCCAAGGACCTGCTGCATGCCAGCCTCCTTGCTGGATCAACAGAGACACTGAGAGGTGGGCTGAGTGCAGTTCTTTTCCTCCAGGGCGACCCATCCTGCTGATGAGAAAGGATGCATCCACAGACATGTACAGTCTAACACAGGGGCTTGTGGGAAGTGCCTCGGGGCCCTAAGGGAATTTCCAGGAGGAGGGGAGCACCCCAAAGTCAGGGAAGGGGAGATTTCAGTGAAAGCCACCTCAATCAGATATCAGATGGCCCTGAGCAGTGAGGAAGGGAGTTGGGATTTTCTAGCCTGAGTCAGTGTCCCTCTGCCAGCCAGGGTCAGGGTAAAGGAGAGGCTGGGTCACCTCTCCAGGATGATGCCCCAGGTAGGTTCTCCTCAGGGCTGGTCATCCCATCCTTGTCTCCTGTTCCTTCCCCTCCCCGTGGCTGCGGAGGCTCTGACGGAACATTTGAATCATTGGATGTCTGCTGAAAACCAGCGGCCCAAAGATCCACATTCAGTTTCCTAAGGCAGCATTGCCACCTCCTATCCAGTCTCAGTGTTCCCCTTTCTCTTTCAAGAGGTGGCTATGAGGTCACCCCTTCCAGGAAGCCCTCCTGTCTGCCAAGCAGGAGTGCTTGGCTTCCTGTTAGTTCCCTTAGCCTCTGGACACATGTGGCCAACATTGAAATATTGGCTTATGAGGTCTGTCACTCCCAGGCATCCTGAGGGCAGGGCCACATAGTGTTTATCTCCAGGGGATGTTAATTTCTGTATCTGCACAGCCTGCACATAGTAGGTACTCAAGTAAGTGCTTGTTAAATAAGATGGAGCCAAAGGACTTGAGCCTAGAGGGATTTGGGGACAAAGTAAAGACTTCCTTGCCTCTCAGGAAGGCAGTGCATGGAAAGGATCTGTGCACTCACTCACTGGGAATCTTTGAGGAGAAGCTGCTCACCACTCCCGTCTCCCCCATTGCTTCCGCTGCCGCCTGCCTGAGATCAGGGCCTGGCCTCGTGGTTCTCCAGGATCCTTTAGTTCCACAAGTCCTGCAAGTACATTGTGTTTACTCCTGGAAACATGAGTAACCTGCAACCTTGTGTGTGTGTTTGTTTGTTTATTTATTTATTTGAGACAGGGTCTTGCTCTGTTGCCCAGGCTGGAGTACAGTGGTGCGATCCCAGCTCAGTGCAGTCTTGACCTCCCAGGCTCTAGCGATCCTCCCACCTCAGCACCTGAGTAGCTGGGACTAGAGCGCACGCCATGACACCCAGCTAATTTTGTATTTTTCTTAGAGGAGGTTTTGCCACTTTGGCCAGGCTCGTCTCCAGCCTTGCATTTTTTTATTGTTTTGTTTGTTTGTTTGTTTGTTTTTTGAGACAGAGTTTCACTCTTGTTGCCCAGGCTGGAGTGCAATGGTGCAATCTCTGCTCACTGCAACCTCCACCTCCTGGGTTCAAGTGATTCTCCTGACTCAGCCTCCCAAGTAGCTGGGATTACAGGTGCCTGCCACCATGCCCGGCTAATTTTTGCATTTTTAGCAGAGATGGGGTTTCGCCATTTTGGCCAGGCTGGTCTCGAACTCCTGACCTCAAGTGATTGACCCGATTCTGCCCCTCAAAGTGCTGGGATTACAGGCATGAGCCCCTGTGCCCGGCCCAGCCTGTGTTTTGAGCGTTCCACGGCTGCTGGAAGACCTGTTGTCTGCTGAAATCTTCATATTAACCACTCTTCTGATTTAAGTACCTCCCCTCCAAACAACATTACCAGGGTGGTTAATGTGCAAATAGAGATGGTGATTTGCTGCTGACCTTGTGCAAACATTAATAATTCACACAAGCACCTCTCGTTTATAATTAGAGCAGGCTGGAACACAGCACCATGTGACTTGCGTTCTTATCAGTAGGCCTTTACCTGGGCAGCGAGGGCCCAGCTTTCTGGCTGGCTCTGTCCCTCATCCTCCATTGTGCTGCTTGTGAAACTGTGTTCTGAGTGACCCATCTCATGGCTCTCTCTGTGTTCTTGTTTGCAGGATGATGATGGGCCGGTTCGGTAAGTAACCCCAGGGAAAGTGGGGAGATGGAGGCATGTTAGGGCTCCCCCAGGAAGCTCCCAGAGAGTGTACATGGTTATCTGGAGGGAGTGGGAAACTAGATGGGTCTCACTGCCCCCATAGTTCTGGAATCCTAGAGAAAGTGCACAGCCCACCCCCACCTTTCTGTATAATGGGCTTGTTTCTCAGAGCTGAGAGTGGCTGGGTTGTGCTAGGAGGAGTGGGGTGGAAGGCTGGGTGACCAGCTAGGGGAGCAGGAGGGGCCTGGGATGTAACACTGGCTGGAACTGTCAGGGGCTGGAGCAAGAGTGGTTGAGGGTAAAAGGGAGGGAGGAGAGGCAGCCAGCACATGGAGCGTCGTTAGCTGGCTGGAAGAGAGTGGCTCAGCTCTGTGGATGTCCTTCCATGTGTATTATTTCCTCCTGGAAACCACTGGTTTAGCAGACTTCCTTAGAGTCAGGCAGCCAGGGCTCATTCCTGGCTGGTGGCTTGTGGCCTGCCCCTTCCTCTCTCTGCTCCTCATCCGTGAAATGGGAGTGTAAAAGGCTCTCCCCAGGCAGGGGCTGCTGTGAGTATTGGGTGAGATCACAGGTGAGTGCCCTGCTTGGCCGGGGGACAGCCCTCTATGTGGGCTGGTTTTATTAGTGTTGGTTTTCAGTGGCTCTTCCCAAAGAGAGAGAGGTAATCACTCTCTCTTCCCTCATGAAAGCCTGAGACCTCATCTTCATCTCGGTGAGGGATGGTAACGTTTCAACCCTCAGTACCAGGATACCCCGGCCCTCGGCCTGGCCAGCCTCAGTGCTTTGGGAAGCATTTCAAAAGAGAAACCTCTTGACCCCCAGATACCCTGTTCTCCAGTGAGCAGGGAGGGGAGAACAGCTCTTAAAAGGAAAAATGGAAACCAGATAGAAGTCTCCCACCTGCCTCTCTAGCGGAGCTGATATCTGTCTTTTGGGGGCCCTCTGGGTGGGGGTGCCACCCCCTGAGTCCTATACAATGAGGGCTGGGCCAGCTTGGCCATGGGGCTCTGTAACCTCAAGTTATTATGGGGACCAGCTAGGATGCCATTGCTGCTTATCTATTGTATTAGGGTTCTCTAGAGGGACAGAAGTAATACGATAGATAGATATATATAAAGGGGAGTTTACTAAGGGTATTAACTCACACGATCACAAGGTCCCACAATAGTCCTTCTGCAAGCTGAGGAGCAGGGAAGCCAGTTTGAGTCCCAAAGCTGTAGAACCTGGAGTTTGATGTTCGAAGGCAGGAAGCATCCAGTATGGGAGAAAGATGGAGGCTGGGAGACTAAGCCAGTCTAGTCTTTTCATGTTCTTCTGCCTGCTTTTTATTTTGGCTGTGCTGGCAGCTGATTAGGTGGTGCCCACCTGGATTAAGGGTGGTCTGCCTTTTCCAGTCCACAGATTCAGATGTTAATCTCCTTTGGCAACACCCTCACAGACACACCCAGGAACCACGCCTTGCACCCTTCAATCCAATCAAGCTGACAGTATTAACCATCACGCCTGTGGAGAGGGGAAGTGGCTCAGATCCTGCGGGGCTTGAATTGAGAAGATGCAGCCAGCGTGTCCCCCCTAGGCTTTCTTTACTAGACCTTAAGCTGTGCTGGGAACATTCACAGGCCTTCTCTGTTTTTTGTTTGTTTGTTTGTTTGTTTTTAAGGAGAATTCCAGCTCTTTTAAATTGTCTCTATTATTAAAAAACAAATGCAGGAAGAGAAAGAGAAACATCCTGTATATAGTTGCTGAGGGAGGCGAAACCGCAGTGGGGTCACAGCTCATGGGACCGGGGTGAGGCGTCTCCCCACCCTGCGTCTAGGTAGAGGCGCGTTTTGGGGGCCCAGTGCCCCCCTCTGTCACCTCTTCTCCATCTTTTCTTCCTGGAGGAGGCTCAGAACCCCTTTGGAATTGTAGAGGCCTAAAGATGAGGAGAGGGCCGGGCGCGGTGGCTCATGCCTTTAATCTCAGCACTTTGAGAGGCCGAGGTGGATGGATCATGAGGTCATGAGATCGAGACCAGCCTGGCTAACATGGTGAAACCCCGTCACTACTAAAAATACAAAAAAATTAGCCGGGCGTGGTGGCGGGCACCTGTAGTCCCAGCTACTCGGGAGGCTGATGCAGGAGAATCGCTTGAACCCAGGAGGTGGAGGTTGCAGTGAGCCGAGATTGCGCCACTGCACTCCAGCCTGAGTGACAGAGCAAGACTCTGTCTCAAAAAAAAAAAAAAAAAAAAAAAAAAAAAAAAAAAAAGATGACAGTGGGCCCCTCAAGCATTTTTGAGTCTTTTTGTTTTTTTTGTGGCGCTGTCACTTTTGTGTTTGGTTCGGGCCTTGTTGGAGGTTTAGGGAAAAGACAGTCTGTTCAGTTCAGTTGGGAGCACATGGGCCTCAGGCTGTGTATAGCACCCTGTGGCCCGAGGGCCCAGAAGCCTGGCCCCGGAGCCCCTGCCACCCCATGAATGAGCTTTAGGGTCTGATGGCTGGGGCAGTGGCTCCCTAGGTAAGAGCCAGGTGTCACATGTGAAAAGTGGACCCAGCTGCCACTCCAGGGGTGGGAGGACTGTGGAATCGCAAGACCATGTACAAGAGGCCGATGGAATTGTTCTCGTTACTTTGTAGGCTTTATGTGCTGTGCTTGAGAAAATGCAAACAGGCTATTAGTCGGTGACAGGCAATTAGTTCCACCCCCGGCCTTGCTGCTTCTGCTGACGCAGGTTCCGAAGTCTCCTGGTTACCCAGCCTGGCACCCTCAGGCACAGCAGGGTGTCTGGCCCGGCACCCGCCCCTGTGGGGGCAGCAGCACGCCTTGTCTTCGCTTCCCTGCCATGCCATTCCCCTCCTTCAGCCCCCGAGAGCACCCCAGGGTGCTCCCTCCTCCAGCAACCTTCACCTGAATGCTCTCCCTCTAGATTACCCCATGGCTCACTCTTTCAGCTCTGCCAGCTCTTGGTTCAAATGTCACTGATCAGGGAGGCCCTCTCTGACTCCACTGCCCCAAACTGGCCTCCACTGGCTCTCCTCCCCACCCCTGCCTTAGTTCTTTCTGTACTCATGTGACACACCAAGCAGCACTCAGCTCATGGGGATGGCCTGGCTCCTCTTCCCTGTGCCAGTGTTTACACAACGAAGCTTGCACGTGTCTGGCAGACACTGGTGCCAGCAAACTTTCAGGGGCACCCACAGCCCCTGCCTTTCTCCTTTCACACATGGCTCCTTGACCCAGAGGTGCTCTGTGGGCTGGAGCTGACCTTTCCTCGGGGTGCACCCCACCCCCTGCCAAAGCAGCCAGCCCTGGCCACAGTCTGCACGCAGCTGGGGGCAGATGTTTTAGGAGCTTCTGGAAGGCCGGGCAGACCCTCCTTGGCTAATGTGCTGGGCTTTGCCAGGAGTGGTCTTCTGGGCCTCAGTTTCCCCACGAGTACCCTGAGCCAGGGAGGGATGGGGACTCCATTCTGCCCACTCCCCATCATTCCGGGGAGGGAGGTGGCTCCACAGGTCCTCGCTGCCTCCTGACAGCATCACTGTCCTGGATGAGGTGGGTGAGGAGGCTTCTCTCCACG
The DNA here is from genome assembly GCF_000001405.40 of Homo sapiens. Classification (NCBI taxonomy): domain Eukaryota; kingdom Metazoa; phylum Chordata; class Mammalia; order Primates; family Hominidae; genus Homo; species Homo sapiens. The sequence continues at coordinate 44,143,724 of NC_000022.11, forward strand.
GAAACAAGTCTCAGGGGTTCCAGGGAGGTTGCAGCCTGGTCTCCATGGCAATGGGTGAGCTGGTGCGGCTTCTCCGCGGGCGGCCCTTCCCCCTCCTGGGCCTGCCCTGGGCTGGAGGCTCTTTCTGAGGCAGAGGGGAAAGAAGGGGGATGTGCCTTCCTCACTCTCTTCCCCCTCATTGTAACTCCTAGTAATTCCCCTTCACGTCTCTCCCATTTCTGCCAACAGGGCTTGTTCCAAAACCTCTGGCTCCATCCCATCACCCGTGGCTCCTGACTGTGCCCTCCATAACTCCCACGTTGCAGGCCACAGCCCCTGTTAACCCCTCTCACAGTCCACCCGGCTCTTGAACCTGCGCTGGGCTTTCTGGCATCTCTCTCTCCTTGTGCCTGCTGGTCCCTCGGTGGAGCGCCTTTCCTCCTCCTCTTGCCCCAGCAAGCCTGGCTTGAACCCCAGGACTGCTTTGTGAAGCCTTCCTCAGGTCCCCCCAGCCCTTGGTTCATGGGTCCCAGACTCAGGTGTCTCCAGGGACCAGGCTGATAATATAAAAGAGGAGAGTGTCTAGATTATGCAATGATAATGTCATCTGCCCCTTCACCCCAGGGCTGGGTGGCAGTGGGGAGTGGTGGGGTCTGGCGCAAGCTGGAGAGTCCACACCCCCATCCCCAGGGGCAGCTTATTGCTGCCAGGTGGGAGTGCAGGCTCACTGTTGCCACAGCCTCCAGTTCTTCAAGAGAAGCCAGAAGTTAAGAACTTTTGGACAAACTTTCCAATTTAAGAACTGTTCGCTCTCGCCGGGTACCGTGGCTCACACCTGTAGTCCCAGCACTTTGGGAGGCTGAGGCGGGTGGATTACTTGAGGTCAGGAGTTCAAGACCAGCCTTACCAACATGGCGAAACCCCGTCTCTACTAAAAATACAAAAATTAGCCAGGTGTGGTGGTGCATGCCTGTAGTCCCAGCTATTCAGGAGGTTGAGGCAGAATTGCTTGAACCCGGGAGGCAGATGTTGCAGTGAGCTGAGATCATGCCACTGCACTCCAGCCTGGGTGACAGAGTGAGACTCTGTCTCAAAAAGCCTAAAGACCAAAACAAAACAAAAGAAAACAAAACAAATGAAAACTGTTGACTCAAATCAAAACATTACAGCGACCAAGCTGAGCATTCCTGCAGATTGAGCTTGGGCAGCCCTGGCATATGGTCAGGTCGGTTGGCCCCCCGTCTGGCTTCGTCTTTTCTGACACTAACAGGGTTGCACTATCATAGTTTACTCCCTCTCCAGGCCCTCCCCCAAGTCTGTGCCTCTTCCAAGAGAGGAGTCCCTCCTTGTTTATCTCTGTGATGTCCCCAGAGCCTGCGGAGGCTCTGGGGGACAGGACGAGCGGGAGCTGTAAGGACTGAGGACCGACAATGCTCCTGCCAGGCTCCATGCTCCTGCCTCTACTCACTGCCCCACTTAGTTCCACACCAAGAGCGAGGCAGGGGCTGTGAGAATGCTGCCTTTATGGAGGAAGAAAGGGGGTCGGAGAGGGAAGGATTTGCCCAGTCATGGGGTGTGAAGTGGGGCAGCTAGAACAAAATAGGATCTATTTTCGTTCCCAAGGCCAAGCACATCACAGGGGTGCAGTATGCTCTCTCTGTCTCTCTCTCTCCCCTAGGTCAGGGTGGTCCCTGGGGAGGCCCCTGGGTTACCCCAAGACAGGTGGGAGGAGCTTCCTACCCGACCCTCTTCCTGTCAACCTGGGCTCTGCGGCTCCCAGGGCTGCTCCTTGTATTGGGGCCCCAGCCTGGCTGGTAACAGAGGGTCCCTCCACTGGGCTCAGTCTTCTGAGCATGCTCTGCCCCCAGGAACCTGGAGGATGGAAGTTGGGGGCCCTGGGTCCCTTCCAAATGCCCTTGGGTCCTGTGCCTGGTCCCCAGTGCCCATTTTCAGAGCCCCTGGCCCCTCCCTGCCTTGTGGACTGTGTGACGTGATGCCAGTCCCCTGGGTCCAGGGGCATGGCAGCCGGCGGAGAGGCCTCTGCGGCCCCGATGTCTCCTTGAGTGGCTTGACTCTGCCAGCCCAGCGGTGGCCCAGCTAAATATACCCTGGCTGACGTCAAGCACTCTTCTGCTCCTGGGGTTTTTCTTAAGCTGCATTTATAGTTTGCGTATTGCTTTGTAAAGATGTAAAAATTTCACTTTTTTTTTTTGTTTTGCCCCTTAGCAGACTGTCTTATTGAGTGTAGTCTTAGATGATTATGAAAATCATTTACAGCTGCCGCATTAGGAAGCTGGCGTGTGTGCAGAGGCAGGGCATTTTGGTCAATGTTGGTCTTTAGGTGAAGAAAACTTCCCTCCCTTCCCCCAGTCACGCACATGCTCACACACGCACACATGCGCTCACACAGGCACACACACGCTCACACGTGCTCACACATGCACACACGTGCTCACACGTGTACACACGCTCACACCGCACACACGCACACCCGTGCTCACACGCACACATGCTCACACATGGACACACGCTCACACACGCGCTCACACGTACACACGCTCACAGCACACACACATGTTCACACACAACCTCACACGCACACACGTGCTCACACACGCACACATGTGCTCACGTGCACACAGGTGCTCACACACACACATGCACACACGTGCTCGCACACGCACACATGCTCACACACGCAAACACGTGCCCACAATGCACACACATGCTCACACGCGCACACACACGTACACATACACTTTCCTTCTCTCCTTTCCTCTTTGTTTCTCACCACCTCCACAAGGCCACGGAAGGGGCTACTTGGGCTGGGCTGGGCAGGGGGGTGTGAGCTGCCTCCTGGGGCCCAGCCTGGGAGGAAGGGTCAGCATGCTTCCTCTGGGAGGAGGCTTGGCCAACTTCTCTCCGTAGGTCTCTGGCTTACCTGGGCCTAATCCCTTCTTTCTTTTTCTGGGCTCTCTTTGTCTCTCTCCTAGGCCAGGGCGGTCCCTGAGGAGGCTCCCCTAGGCCACCCACTAGACGGGTGGGAGGAGCTTCCTACCCCACTCTCTCCCTGTCAAGCTGGGCTCCGCAGCTCCCAGGGCTGCTCCTTGGGTTGGGGCCCCAGCCTGGCTGGTAAAAGAGGGTCTCTCTGCTGGGCTTGGTCCTCTGAACATGCTCTGCCTCCAGGAACCTGGAGGATGGAAGTTGGGGGGCCCTGGGCCCCTTCCAAATGCCCTCCTCCCTGTCTTTTCTGCCCTGGCAGTGATGCCCCACAGCTCTGTGTCTACCTGGAGACCTCAGCCCTCTGCTTGGGGTCCAAGTCTCTGTTCCATATGCCCCTATGGAACTCCCCCCTCCATGGCAGCAGGAGCAAAGGCTCTGAGGCAAGTGTGCACCAGTGTCAGCAGGAGCAGCTGGGAGGCCGGTTGGTGGAGTGAAGTCAGGGAGGGTGCATGTAGGAGGATAACGCTGAGTCTGAGTGTCCCATGGCACGTGGGAGAGAGGATGGATTTTATCTGAGTGTCCCATGGCTCGCAGGAGAGAAGATAGATTTTATTCTAAGCATGATAAGAAGCAGTTGGAGGGTTTTAGTTGTGGTGGGAGTGGAGGGGGGAAACAAATGATCCTGTTTGCACTTGGAAGGGCTCACTCTGCCTGCTGGGGAGAAGGGCTCAGGGGCCAGGAGTGGAGTAGGAGGCTGCAGCTGCTCCCAGGCGAGGGGCAGTGAGGCGTGAGCAGGACATGGCCACCGTCGCGGGGGAAGTGGTTGGATTCACAGGTGACATTTGCCAGTAGACAAGGAGTGTGGGAACAGGGAGAATTCAGGACGCCTCAAGTCCTAGGACGTGGCAGGTGCAGATGCCAGATGCCATCTATGTGTTTCATATGAGAAGGTAAAAAGCAGGTGGAAGGGACCCTCTGCAGCCTCTAGTCCACGCTGTTCTGGTTGTTCCCAAGCGCTCTTGCTCGCCTTGGTTTGGCCGGGACTGATCATCAGGGTCAGCCCTTTCATTCTGGTAGGAATTGGAAGGATTCTAGGCAGGTGTGGGAGTTGAGGCTGAACCTCCTGAGGGATCAGAAGCTGGCAGGGCCCTGGATTAGGGCAGCACCACGGGTTTCCATAAACGCTCCTTCGTGTCTCTCTTTGCATGTCCTCAGAGCGGGATGCCTTCGACACGCTGTTCGACCACGCCCCGGATAAGCTCAGCGTGGTGAAGAAGGTGAGCTATTGGTGGGATGTTGGATGTGCTCTCCCCTGGCTCGCGGCTTTTTGACAGCACAAACGCCCCGCTGGGAAGAAGGTGGGAAAATGTTTGGAATCTCAGAAATGTTTGCCACATGGATTGAAATGTAATTACAGTCAAAAACCTAACCACAGTGCATAAAATCAGCGCCTTTTAACTCAACCTCGCTGCTCCCTGGGTGTCTTCCTGCCCGCCCGCTCCGCTTCTGTTAAGTGAATTACCCAGCCCCCATTTCTTTCTGACTCGAGACCTTTTTTCAATGTGGAAATGTTTTTAAGCATGTCAGCCTGCTGCTCTCGCTGGCCTCATTTACCATCTACAGCCTGCCCAGTAAACACGCAGGCCTGTGCGGCTGAGCTGTGCCATACATGGATTTGGCCCGTTTCCCTCCAGACAGAGAATGGGCCCTCACTAGCCCAGGCAGCCTGCTGGTCAATCTGTGGATGGAAAAATCTCCGAGGCTCTGGAGTTGGGGGCTGGGTGTGATCAGCTTCTGGGGGATCTGCCAGGGAGGCTTGTTCCCGTCAAAAGGAACTGGAGCCCACTGGCTGCTCATTAACTTATCCGAGTGCCTGCAGGCATCCCATTCAGGAGGCTGCTGCATCCCTCCTTCCCATAACATCGGAGGAGCGCTCATTTCAACCCATGGTGCAGGCAAGAGAGTTCTCCTTTGTCTAGGACAGCTTACCCAAACAGCTTTCTTAGTGCAAGACTTGTCAGAACCTTTAATAGGCTGACCTATACTGTACTTCTCCAAGAGGGAGCTTGGTAGGAAGCATTTTTCAAACTTGTTTGTTTATAGTGGGATTTATTTATCTATCAATTTTGGGGTAAGACGCATTGTATTTTAGTGGAACCCACTTTTGGAAAATGTTGGCCTGGGTTTGGACGATGAGATCATTCATTTTTGGAAGCATTTTGCAAAAGGCTGTTGGAACCGTGCTAATGGTCCTTCTGGGACAAAGCCTTCCTAGCACTCTTGGGTGGTGAGGGATATACTTGGAGCATCAGAGTCCCCCACCTCCACCTCGTCACATGTGGCCCCCAGGGACCCTGACAGAACCGGTTCAGGGAATGAATCAAATCCAGCTTCCCCACTTATCAGCTGTGTGACTTCTGGCGAAGGGCGAGATTATACCCCCCAGCCTCAGTTTCCCCATCTGTCAAGTGGGGACAGAGATGTTACCCACCTCTCAGGGCACTGTGAGGATAAACTGGGATTCTCTCTGTGCATGGGCTTAGCCGGCAGCGTATAGTCACTGGTAGCATTGAGAATGGTGTGGCCTGAGATTGCTTTCATCTCTCGGTAGATACCATGTTAATTCATTCTGCGAAAGACACATTTTCGGCACTGGAGCCACCAGCAAGGAAGAAGACAGAATCCTTTGATTTGCCTGGTAGCTTCCCACTCCAGCCTGTCCCTTCCTCACCTCCACATTGCAAGTTTAGGTGTCTGTAGCTCTCTGTGCCCCAGAATGAAGTCAGGGGCCCCTGCCCACCTCTGCAGGTTTCTCCCTGGGTCGTCCCCTCCTACTCCTTCCCATCCCACCCACATCCAGCCACAGCCTGAAGACCCCAAAGGGTTTGCAGATGTGTCTGGGTGCCCACTCGGCTCACTCTCACCTTGCACTGGCCCACCCTCAGGCCCAGCTCCAATGCTCCCTCTCCATGGTCTTAACGGGGGTCCGCACACCCATTAATGGCTCATGAAATCTCCCTTGCATTGCGTGTTTCCCTGTAGTGCCCTATCTCTTGACTTCTCCGTCCCACCACTACACGCATATGGAGAATTACATCACAGGCCCTTTGGCGGGGGCCAGGGGTGGAGCTCTCTGTGTTTGTGTCCTTAGCACCAAGCAGCATGCCTGGCACATAGTAGCTGCTCAGTAAATTTGAGCAGAATGGGTAAGAAATCATATCATGGGCAGGCTGGGCGCGGTGGCTCACGCCTGTAATCCTAGCACTTTGGAAGGCCGAGGTGGGTGGATCACAAGGTCAGGAGATCGAGACCATCCTGGCTAACATGGCAAAAACCCGTCTCTACTAAAAAATACAAAAAAATTAGGTGGGCATGGTGGTGGGCACCCTTAGTCCCAGCTACTCGGGAGGCTGAGGCAGGAGAATGGCGTGAACCCGGGAGGTGGAGCTTGCAGTGAGCCGAGATTGCGCCACTGCACTCCAGCCTGGGCAACAGAGCGAGACTCCATCTCAAAACAAAACGAAACAAAACAAAACAAAACAAAACAAAACAAAGAAATCATGTCATGGGCAGTGGTGGATGATATTGAGTTTCTATCAAAGTTGGCTTTGGTCACTGAGGAATTACAGGTGACAGGTTTTAAGCTTGTGCCGGAGAGAAGCCAGTGCCCCTTGGTACTTACATAATAGGGCTCAGAGAGATCACCCTGGGTGGATCTCCCCATGTATTGCAAATCGATAGGCAGGCTGGGCGCTGTGGCTCACACCTGTAATTTCAGCACTTTGGGAGGCCAAAGTGGGTGGATCACCTGAGGTCTGGAGTTCGAGACCAGCCTGATCAGCATGGGGAAACTCCATTTCTACTAAAAATACAAAATTAGCCGGGCTTGGTGACGGGTGCTTGTAATCCCAACTACTCGGGAGGCTGAGGCAGGAGAATCGCTTGAACCTGGGAGGTGGAGGTTGCAGTGAGCTGGGATCATGCCATTGCACTCTAGCCGGGGCACCAAAAGCTCGGATGATCCTCAGTGGTCTGGGGTGCAGGCTTCAAACCTGTAGCTGTCTAGTGACAGAGTGGTTCAATTCCACCTTTGTAGGCCCGGCGCAGTGGCTCACGCCTATAATCCCAGCACTTTGGGAGGCCAAGGCGGGTGGATCACGAGGTCAGGAGATCGAGACCATCCTGGCTAACACAGTGAAACCCCATCTCTACTAAAAATACAAAAAAATTAGCTGGGCGTGGTGGCAGGCGCCTGTAGTCCCAGCTACTCGGGAGGCTGAGGCAGGAGAATGATGTGAACCCGGTGAACCCGGGAGGCGGAGCTTGCAATGAGCCGAGATCACGCCACTGCACTCCAGCCTGGGCGACAGAGTGAGACTGTCTCAAAAAAAAAAAAAAAAAAAAAAAAAAAATTCAGTAGGTGTGGCTCAAGGCAGCACTTTCCTCAGTCTTCTGAGTATGCCGTTTATTGTTCCAGGTCACACCTAAGATACATTTGCAAATGTAATGATCCTCCCCTGGCAGTTTCATCTTTCTTAAGAGCACAGGGTGCTCTCCAGTATGATTGTTAAATATGTCATGCGTGCACGGATTGGCATATGTGTGCATGGGTTGGTGAGCAGAGACGTGTAGCCAGGATAGATGTGGGCATTATGCCATGAAAACTAGGGGCTACTGTCAGGATATTGAGTTTGAAACATGGGCTTTTTATTTTAGCAAACAGGAGATGATGAAAGCGTTTCACAGAGCTGGGGCTGGCAAATGTCAAGCCTGCCCCTCCAGATGGGACCTGCATGCGGGCCATTCATGGCTCCTGTGTCTCTTTTATTCTTGGCAGTCTCTCATCACTTTTGTGAACAAGCACCTGAACAAGCTGAATTTGGAGGTGACGGAACTGGAGACCCAGGTATGTGCTGCTTTGGCTTGAAGGATCCTTTGTCCACCGCCATTTTCAGTCAGTGTTTTGATCCCAGGTGGGGCGCGTGAACAAAGCTGGCGCCATTTTGTTCATCTCACAAGGAACTCCCGTGGTGCAGGCAGAAATAACCACCGTGGCCTTCTCAGCCCCTCTGTCTTCCTTTCCTGGGGCTGCTGCCACAAAGCACCACAAACCTAGTGGCTGAAACAACAGACCTTTGTGTCCTCGAAGTGCTGGAGGCCTGAAGTCCAAAATCAAGATGGGGCCTGGGTGGGTTCCCTCCAAGGCTGTGAGGGAGGAGCTGTTCCTGGCCTCCCTCCCAGCTTCTGTGGTTTTGCCAGGATCTTTAGCATTCCTTGGCTTGTACACACATCACTCCCTTCTTTGCCTTCATCTTCATGTGGTGTCGTCCTTGTGTGTGTGTCTCTGTGTCCAAATGTCCCCCTTTTATCAGGACGTGGTCATGTTGGATTAGAGCCCACCCATGGCTTCATCCCAACCTGACTGCATCTATGTAAACCCTGTTTCCAGATACGGTCACATTCAGAGGTCCTGGTGATTAGGGTTCCACTGTATCCTTTTTCTTTCTTTTTTTTTTTTTTTAAAGACAGAGTCTCGCTCTGTCACCCAGGCTGGAGTGCAGTGGTGTGATCTCGGCTCACTGCAACCTCCACCTCCCGGGTTCCAACCATTCTCCTGCCTCAGCCTCCCGAGTAGCTGGGACTACAGGTACATCCCACCATGCCCAGCTAATTTTTGTATTTTTAGTAAAGACGGGGTTTCACCGTGTTGGCCAGGATGGTCTCGATCTCCTGGCCTCATGATCTGCCTGCCTCAGCCTCCCAACCACTGTATCTTTTTTTGGGAGACACAAAACCCCAAAACACCTGAGTGGTGTTATTCAACCCATAACACACTCCAGGGCTCCACCCCAGCCCAACACAGGGCCTTTGCACACGCAGTTCCTCTGTCTAGAACGTGCTGGCCCCTTCAGCCTCTGCTCAGTGCTGCTGTCACACTGTGGCCAGGACCTAGCAAATGTCCCCCTGGTAGGTATGTACAACACATTTCTTCTGCAATAAGTATATCAAGTCTACTTCCCCAGCCCCGACCCCTACTCAAAGCTAAAGGAGCATCCTTAAATTATATTTTTGGGCACTCCGAGAGCATTAAAGACAAAATATGATTTTCCCAGGATTAGCAGGGTGCTTGAATGCGGAGGTTTTTGAGCTCTTGGTACAGACATCCCTAATGCACAGCTGATCCTTCTTAAACCCCAAGGTGAATGCATTCATTCCCTTCTCTTTCTTTAACTTTCCTCATTTGCTTTTCTAATTAAAAAACTAATTCAGGTTCATTGTAGAAATGTCTGAAAATGCAGATAAGCAAAACAAATAAAAATCACCCATAATCCCGTCACCCGGAGATGAATGCACAGAGGGTTTTGTTCAGGCCTTTTCTCTACACATATAGCGAGTCATGGACAGTGTGGGTCTGTATATAAAAGCATCACGGTCTGTTTTTAATGTATATATTTATTTGTGTATCGTTGGCCAACACATTTCTTATTTTCCGCAGTTTACAAATGTTGCACATTTAGCCTCAGATTATTTTCTGTTTGAGACGTTAGCACCCCAGAAGCCACTGAGGTGAAAAGTAAAAATCTTCCTTTCTCTTTTTCTGGAGACCTCCCCCTTCAGACTCTCCAGGGGCAGCTAACTGCAGTTCATGGTTGGATGTGTATTTTTCTAGATATTTTCTTTTTCTTTCTTTCTTTTTTTTTGAGACAGAGTCTCATTCTGTCCCCCAGGCTGGAGTGCAGTGACACAATCTCAGCTCACTGCAACCTCCACCTCCTGGGTTCAAGCAATTCTCCTCCCTCAGCCTCCTGAGTAGCTGGGACTACAGGTGCGCCTCACCATGCCTGGCTAATTTTTTTGTATTTTTAGTAGAGATGGGGTTTCACCATGTTGGTCAGGCTGGTCTCGAACTCCTGACCTTGTGATCCACCTGCCTCAGCCTCCCAAAGTGTTGGGATTACAGGTGTGAGCCACATTTTCTATGCACAAAGGTATTTTTCTAAATAACAGTGGATCTTACCGCCCACTGTTTTGTAATGTGTTTTGTGTCACTAAATACACTGTGGGCATCTTTTGGTGTAAGAGAAAGTGTGTGTGTGTGTTTCTATCTGATCCTTTTTCCCTTGCTCGATCTATCGGTCTGTCTATATTTTGTCACTTTTAATGGGAAGTGTATCTCATCAGCGGGAAGGCTGCACTGCACCTCATTAAACCAGTGCCTCACGACTGGATGTTTTTCTGCTCCTGTAAACAGCAGTGCAGAGAGCAGCTTTGTGCACGGCTGTCTGTGCTCGTGCCTGCTTCCTCGGAATAAAAGCCTAGAAGTGGAGTCATTAGAGCGAAGCCTGCACCGCACACTTTGAAGGCTCAGGAAGATTTGCTGTGTGGGGGCCCCTGGTACTGTCATGGGGCGTGTGAGGGGCACTGCTCCCCCACATCCATACCAGCTGTCCCCACAGCCCTTCTCAGAGGTGTCTGCACATCAGTATTAGCAGCTGAGCCTCTTACATTGAGACTCTAAAATTAAATTTGCATTTGTTTTTATTTACTCAATATCTTCATTTTTTTCCCCCCGATTAATCGTACTATATAGAGTCTTAAAAGTACATTTAACCACTGGTCCCCCAGAAAAGGTCGCTGGTTACAGAAATGCAGGGATTTTTGTTTTGTTTTGTTGCAAAGGAATTTGGGTATTTTTATAAATACCATATATCATTTATGAAGACTGTAAATCATTAACGTCTTGATGCCCTAGGAGTCGGAGAGGCCCTGGTTTAATTTCTTCAATTTCTATTTGTGTGTGGGTGAGTGTGGTTTATGTAGTCTGGTATGTGTGGTTTATGCAGTCTGTTGGGGGTGTGTGTGTGTGTGTGGTTTATGTAGTCTGGTGGGTGTGTGTGTGTGTGTGTGTGTGGTTTATGTAGTCTGGTGTGTGTGTGTGTGGTTTATGTAGTCTGGTGTGTGTGTGTGGTTTATGTAGTCTGTGTGGTGTGTGTGTGTATTTGTGGTTTACGTAGTCTGTGTGGTGTGTGGTGTGTGTGGTTTTCGTTGTCTGTGTGGTGTGTGTGTGTGGTTAAGTAGTCTGTGTGGTGTGTGTGTGGTTTATGCAGTCTGTGTGGTGTGTGTGTGGTTTATGTAGTCTGTGTGGTGTGATGTGTGTGTGTAGTTTTTGTAGTCTGTGTGGTGTGTGTTGTGTGTGTGGTTTATGCAGTCTGTGGTGGGGGTGTGTGTGTGTGGTTTTTGTAGTCTGTGTAGTGTGTGGTGTGTGTGTGGTTTATGCAGTCTGTGTGGTGTGATGTGTGTGTGTGTGTGTGGTTTTTGTAGTCTGTGTGGTGTGTGTGTGGTTTTTGTAGTCTGTGTGGTGTGTGTGTGTGGTTTTTGTAGTCTGTGTGGTGTGTGTGTGTGTGTGTGTGTGGTTTTTGTAGTCTGTGTGGTGTGTGTGTGGTGTAGGTGTGTGTTTTCCCTCCTTTTCCAAACCATTCTTACATTGCGGACAGCGTCCCAGCTCTGTGATGGTGAGTGAACTCCTCAGCCTCCCTGAGCTTCTGTCCACAGAATTAAACTGGAGGCGATGGGCAGTGTGAGGACTGGGTGAGATGGCGCACTGAGATCAAGTGGGCAGGGCTCGGCAGGGGTTAGCACTGCGGATGAGGAGGCGGTGGTGGGGCCTCTGGGCCTCCGTGGGGATTCTGCTCCCTGCTGAGCTAGACAGCAGGTTGTGGAGAGAGGGCACCACGCTGGGTGCTTGTGAAAGTGGAGGGTCACCCGCTCGCAGCTGGGCCCCCCAGCCCTGCCCTCTCCTTGTGGCCGTCCCTCCCTCCTTCCTGTGAGCCCGTGTGCTGGGACAGTGAGGAGACACCACGGAAGGAAGAAAAGACTCAGCAGGCTCAGGGCCTGCGGGAGCAGCGGCGTGGCCACCCCAGACCTCCTGGGGAGAGGTGTGGGTTGGTGCCTTCATTCACGTGGCAGCTTCCATTCCCTGGAAGTTAGTCCATGGAGACGTGGGCATGGCAGCTCAATGTTGTTCTGCTGGGAAGGTGCCAGCACGCTTAACCAGGGTGCTGTGGGCATGAAGCTTCCATGTGGAGACACACTTAAAAGAATTCTTCAAACCCGTCTGATCTCCTTAATGATAGGAGTGGCTGGCTGCTTTGTGGTGTGGAAGGCTGAGGGCATGTGACATGGAGGCCAAGTGCCATTTGCCCATCAACTGACAGCGTGTTGAATTTCCAGGCGCAGTGGCTCATGCCTGCAATCCTAGCACTTTGGGTGGCCGAGGTGGGTGGATCATGAGGTCAGGAGTTCAAGACCAGCCTGACCAACATGGTGAAACCCCATCTCTACTAAAAATACAAAAATTGGCGGGTATGGTGGCACGCGCCTGTAATCCCAGCTACTCAGGAGGCGGAGGCAGAAGAATTGCTTGAACCCAGGAGGCAGAGGTTGCTGTGAGCCGAGGTTGCAGTGAGCCGAGATCGCACCACTGCACTCCAGCAGGGCCCAGACCCTGTCCTGAGTCCCTTAAGGGACTGTTGCCCACTGGCACTAGCTTTATGCTTTACAGCTCTAGCTGCAGCTCTCCCTGCTAAAGGTCAGGGCTTCTGATATTGGATGTTTGTGATTTTGACTTTTCATCTTTTTTTTTTTTTTTTTTTGAGACAGTTTCACTCCTGTTACCCAGGCCGGAGTACAGTGGCGCGATCGCGGCTCACTGCAACCTCTGCCTTCCGGGTTAAAGCGATTCTCCTGCCTCAACCTCCCGAGTAGCTGGGATTACAGGCATGCACCACCACACCCGCTAATTTTTGTATTTTTACTAGAGACGGGGTTTCACCCTGTTGGTCAGGCTGGTCTTGAACTCCTGACCTTGTGATCCACCCACCTTGGCCACCCAAAGTGCTAGGATTACAGGCGTGAGCCACTGCGCCTAGAAGTTTTTACTTTTAATTTTTTTAAAAATTCAAATTTAAGAATTCTGGAGATTGTTTGTACAATAACGTGAATGCACCTAACATGATTGAACTGGACAGTTAAAAGTAGTTAAGATGGTAAATGTTATGGTATATTTTATGGTATATTTTACCACAATTTAAATTAATTAAAGAGAAAGGTTAGCATAAGCGAGACACAAAAGATAAATGGATATGCGATTCCACTTACGTGAGATACCCAGAGGAGTCAAATTCATAGAGACAGAGAGCAGAATGATTGGTGGTTCTCAGGGGCTGGGGGGAAGGTAGAATAGAGAATTGGGGGACAGAGTGTCACTTTGGTAACATGAAGAAGTTCTGGAGATGGGTGGTGGTGAGGGTGACCCAACAATGAGGATGTACTTAATGCTACTGGCCTGTGCGCTTACACACGGTTAAGATGGTACATTTCAGCTTATGTATATTTTATCACAATAAAAAATAAGTTAGCAACATTCAAACAAAAACATTTTAATTTAAATAGCTGCATGTGGCCATTGGCTACCATGTTGAATAGCAGCTCCAGAGGCCCCCTGGAGAATGGGGCCACAGTCACTGTGGTCTCTGCTGCAAGACAGAGTGGTGAGGGCCACCAGGTCCCAGCTCTGCACCCTGCAGATTTGAATGAATCCTTCCAGCAGCTGATGCTGATGGAGCACTCACGTGTGCCAGGTGCTCCCTCCCAGCCGTCTCGCTGTGTCTTCACGACAGCCCTGAATGATGGGAGTCACTACTATCCCTGGGGTCAGGAGTGGGGGACAGTTCCAGAGGCACGGTCCTAGCCAGGCAGCTGCACTCAGCTCCAAACACTCATCATATTTGGTCTTTGCAGAGCCCCATGTGTTAGAGCCCCCTCCCCTTTTGCTTTTTTCTAGGTTAGGAGCCAGGTCTCAAAAGACTTCACATTCAGGCCTTCACTTGATTCCAGATTCTCCTGCCTAAAGTGAGAGGAGGGATGGATTGCTTTACTTTAAAATATTTCCAGCTGGGTACAGTGGCTCCCACCCGTAATCCCAGCACTTTGGGAGGCTGAGGCAAGTAGATCACTTGAGCCCAGGAATTTGAGACCAGCCTGGGCAACATGGTGAAACCCTGTCTCTACAAAAAATACAAAAATTAGCCGGGCATGGTGGTGCGTGCCTGTAGTCCCAGCTACTTGGGAGGCTGAGGTGGGAGAATCGCCTCAGGGAGGATCACCTGAGCCTGGGAGGCCGAGCTGCAGTGAGCCTTGATTGCATCAGTGCACTCCAGCCTGGGTGACAGAGTGAGACCCTGTCTCAGAAGAAAAAATATGCCCCCCTTAAGTTTGTGCAAAGCATTTGCCAACTCCTTACCCTGCCCGGAAACATCACAAGTCTTTCTCTGCAGTTTGCAGATGGCGTGTACCTGGTTCTGCTCATGGGCCTTCTGGAAGACTACTTTGTTCCTCTCCACCACTTCTACCTGACTCCGGAAAGCTTCGATCAGAAGGTATGTGCATGGTCTCCATCCTTGGTAGGGGCTCAAGAAATGCTCATTGAAATGCAGAGCATAGACTATCCCGGCAGCTCTTCCTGCAGCCTGGCTGCATTCTTCAGAAAGTAAAAAATGCACAAGTGATATTGCAATTAGATGTAACTCTCAGCAAAAGAAATAAGAAGCCCATCAGCCGTCCACAACGCATCCGAGTTTTGTTTGCCACATTTTCTTTGCGGTCTTTTCCATGGGACCGTGTAGTTTTTAATAATTGTGATCACATCTCGGTAGAGTTGTAAACCCTTCCCCCATTCTGCTGCAGCTCCACCACCTGTGGTTTTCCCTGCTGCTTCCCAAGCTTTCCAAATACCATCTCCAGTGGTGGCACGAAGTCCCAAGGATGGCTCTGTTACCAGCGTCTTTCCATTCCCCATTCTTGGGCAGTCAACTTGAACATGTTTCTATTGTTTTTCCCTACTGAAACAACAGAGCATCTTTTTGATACAGATTTTTTTTTTCATTCCTGTGGATTGTTTTCTTAGGAAAATTTCTCAAATAGGGTCAAATTTGGGGCATTCCTTTCAATCTGGGCTGGCCCACGCCACCCGGTCCCGCTGTCACTGCCCTCGTGCGTGGGCCTCTCCCTGCTGTCTGCCCTCTGTCCAGGGCTTCCCGCAGCCAAGCCTCTCACAGCAGTATTTAGCACATTGCCTTTAAAAACTTGGCCATGGATGGTCTATGTTGCTTTGGATTCATGGGCATCTGTCATTTTATTTTCCCAAAGTGTTAGACCCATGAGTCAGGGAGGCAGACAATGTAAGCTGGTGGCGACAGCCAGAGAAATAGCAGAAATGGGGCCAGTGTTTATCAATCTGCCCACTTCTGGCACGTTGCAGTCTGTTTGCTTGTGGCCAAATGTTGTTCCTATCTTGCCTGCTGAGATGGAATCAGGACAGATTAGAGAGGTCTTGGCACATGGAGTCCATGTTGAATCGAGAGAGAGAGAGCGAGCGAGCGAGCAAGAGGGAGTGCAGAGGGAATGAGCAGAATTGTGCAGAACTCACCAGGAAACTCACCAGGTGCCTGTGCTGTCATCCTGGAAATGAAAGGTCAGACCATCCAGCGAAGAAGCGCATGCATTTCCAGGCCCCGATATGGCTGGTTGCAGACACATTGTTTTGGAGAGATCTTTTCTTTCTTCAAACTAGTAAGAATGCTGGCGAGAACAGTGAGTTTAGCCAGGAGACCTAGGGCTGGTTTCTTTCCAAGACAAGGCTTTGTACAAATGTCAGAGGCATCATCTCCTGGGCCCTGGCCTTCTTCCCTTTGAAACTGGGATGAAAGTCTTTGACAATTGCTGCCCTGGCCTGCGAGGCTTGAGGAGGCTTGAGTCATCTGCCTTCCCCTCTGAATCGGAGCGAGGAAGGGAAGGCTATTTTCAGGTATAGCATGCAGCACACCATTCATCCTGTTCACTCAGGAGAAAGGGAGCCTGGGGTGGCGGTGTGGCTCTGCGGGTGGCTGGAACACTCTCCTTCGGAGGATGGGAGGCTGTCAGTAGTTCCTCCTCCAGCCCCTGCCTTTTTTCCCTTTCTCCTCATGGCAGCTGCTGGCAAGGTCTTCATGAGCCCATAGTATTTATTATCTACCTTGTAGTCTTCGTGAATCCTGGACAGGTGGGTGGTCCCTGCTGTGGAGGACTCACCCACTTCAGGCTGGGCCCAACACCCGTGTACTCAAAACTGCTTGCGGATGGGATGTTGATGGCATCCCTTGCTAATGTCTCCTGTGGGCTGAGACCCCGAGGTGCGTTTGCTCTGGCCCTGGGAATCCTGACAGCTGCTCCACATTTTTGGGAGGAGGGACTGAGGTTCAGTGAGCAAAACCAGAGATGCGTCATGAGCTGCTGTCCCCGAGGGTAGTAATGACTTATGGTTTAAAACAATTGCATTGGATTTAAAAAATATCACACTGGACAGCTCAGAGCCTGTAGGCTCGTGCCCCATGAGCTATCTCAGAGGCATGAGTGTGGCCTTCAGTTTTTTTGTTGCAAAGCCACTGTTTGAGCCTTACCCTGCACTGGCCACGTGCTGAGCACCTTGCACCCATTGGTCATCATTTTGGGAGACTCTGCAGGCTCCCTCTCTCTGTCGAGTGGGGTGCATCCTGGAGACGTGGAGATCTTTCCTAGAAGAAGACACGAGTTGCTTCCCCCTCAGCATTACTGGATGAGGACAGGGAATCTCAGGAAGGCTTAGAGACCAGCCCAGGGTTGCACGGCCAGCAAGGGCAGAGCCAGGAGGGTCGACTCCTATTCCAGAACCCTCTATTCTTTCCTCACCTGGCCAAGTTGATTAAAACCTTTTGAATTGCAGAGAGAAAGGATTTCTGCCCATGTGGCTGGCTCGAAGCAGGTGTGTATATGGCCTGGTCTCTGCTGGGCCTTGGGGCCTCCTACTGCAGTCACAGCTGGGGTGAGCGGTCCCCAGGCCTCTCCGGGATCCATGTGCTGGGTATCCAGGGATCTAGGCTCAGGGGACACTTCTCTGCCTGGCATGAAAGAGGGCTGGGGGAGGAGGCATGGCCTTGAGAGATAACAGGCATGGGAGGGTGGCAATTTCCTGCCTGGCATTTCCTCAGCCTGAGAAGAAAGCAGAAGGAAAATCTCACTTCAAAACCACTTACTGTGGGGCCGAGCGGCTGCAGAGCAATGAGGCTTGGAAGGGGCTTTGCTCTCCCCTTAAACTGTTCTCTCATGGTGTAGGGGTGACCACCTCGTCACCCGATCACACTCTCCAGCCGTCTCTGAGTGTCTCCACGTGTCATGCATCTCATCCCCAGCCCCTCCTGAGCATCCACTCCCTCAGCGTGGAAGAGGATTCCTCAGGCTTAAGAGGTGCACGGGAGAGGCACGTGAAAAGACCGGTCCAAATTGGTGCTGACTTTTACAATGGAGAAGAATCTTTTCTTAAAAGAAAAATCTTTTCTCGCTATTCCCTCTCTTTGCTATCCTGTCTCCATCTCGATTTGGGGTCAAGCCTGTTGTGTGTGTGTGTGTGTGCACGTGTGCATGTGCATACGTGTGTGTGAGCTCATTTGATGATATGGACGGTGGTCAGCTAAAGGGACCTGTGTTGCTAGGGGAGTGGAGGTGGGAGGCTCTTGGAGGAGAACGGGCACAGATTCTACGTTTCAGTCCTGGTTCCATGCCTGTGAGCCCCGTGCCTTGTTTTTCTTTTCTTTTTTTTTTTTTTTTGGAGGCGGGGAAGGAATCTCACTCTCTCACCCAGGCTGGAGTGCAGTGGCACGATCTCGGCTCACTGCAACCCCCGCCTCCTGGGTTCAAGCGATTCTTCTGCCTCAGCCTCCTTAGTAGCTGGGATTACAGGCACATGCCACCATGCCTGGCTAATTTTTGTATTTTTAGTAGAGACGGGGTTTTACCATGTTGGCCAGGCTGGTCTTGAACTCCAGACCTCATGATCCACCCGCCTCAGCCTCCCAAAGTGCTGGGATTACAGGCGTGAGCCACTACATCCAGCTGCCCCATGCCTTTTTAGGGCACCGATGTCCTAGCCCATCTCAGCCCAGCACCACCCTCCTTTGTGAAGGAAGATGATATTCACCTCGTACAGGGCTGGGAGGGGAAAGGGAACCTGTATGGAATACACTGACCCCATGGTGGATGCACAGCACCCGCAGGTCGCTCCCTGCTCTCTCCTTAGGGGAACTGCGTTCTGCACCCTCCGCACGGGCCGTCCTCACTCCTCCCCCATTGCCAGTGTTTGGCCATCCTCAGGCCCAGCCCTGGTGCAGCACTCCCGCATCTCCAGGCAGGCTGTCCTGCAGGGTTGGGGTGTCTGCCATGTGGCCCAGTGTTCCCATTGGCAGTTTCTGAGTTGGCCTCTGGAGCAGGGTCTCCGTCTGCTGCACCCCCGCCCCTGGGTGGACATGGCCTGCCCTCCTGCCGGGCTGTGTCTTCCCCACTGACCCTATGACTAGCCAGACCCTCTTGCGGTTGGTGCTGGCAGGTCATTCGCCCCTTTGCTTCTCCGAGCACAGGCCGTGTGCACTGTGGAAGCTTTTCCAAAGCACCCCACACTGTTTTCCAGTGTTGTTCGTTTGATTAACTCAGGGAAGCCTCTTTTTCCTGGTTAATTATTAAATTACATTGCAAGTAAAATTGTTCTTGTTTCTGATTCATTGGCCTCAAAATCATGAAAATATGATCGTTGAAAGGATTTTTTGTTTGTTTGTTTGCTTGTTTTTTTGAGACAGAGTGTTGCTCTGTCACCCAGGCTGGAGTGCAGTGGCACAATCTCAGCTCACTGCAACCTCCGCCTCCTGGGTTCAAGCGATTCTCATGCCTCAGCCACCCAAATAGCTGGGATTACAGGTGTGCACCACCATGCCCGGCTAATTTTTGTATTTTTAGTAGAGATGGGGTTTCACCCATTGGTCAGGCTGGTCTCGAATGCCTGACTTCAACTGATCCACCTGCCTCGGCCTCACAAAGTGCTGGGATTACAGGTGTGAGCTACCACGCCCAGCCAGGATGTTTGATTACTAAGAGCCCTGAAGTCCCTTGCACTGTGACATCTGTGCTTGTTTGCTGTTTGTTTGTTTGATGTCCCCTCCTCCCATCAGCCTTGGCTTGCGGCAGGTGGGTGGCTGGATGTAATCTGGTTCATTGCCGGCATCCCTCTGAGTGGTCTTTAAACACAGCCCAGAAGGCTTTTATTTTAAACCTGTTCAGCCATCATTAGCAGGATAAAAGCTTCAGGTACATTTGGGGGCTGAGGAGTAATAGACCCTTTAATTTCAGGGGAAGTCACGGTAGGGCGGAGGTGGCCACGTTTCTGTAGCATCTAACAGGACCAAGGTCCTGCAGGCTGACGCTTGCAGCCACCATCGATCTGACTTCCGTTCTGACTGGTCCACTGTCCCTACTCAGTGCTAAGGCCCTCCCTCCCCTGAGGGCACCCCATCCTGCAGAGACACAGCCTCACGTGCAGGTCTTTACAGCCCTTCCTGGGGCAGTGCCAGGCCTGCGTGCCTCTGCACGGGACTCATCCTTTCTGGGCCTCAGTTTCCCTGTCTGTGAAATGGGGTCACTGTGGGCCAGGCGCAGCGGCTCACGCCTGTAATTCCAGCACTTTGGGAGGCTGAGGCGGGTGGATCATTTGAGCCCAAGAGTTAGAGACTAGCCTGACCAACATGGCAAAACCCGTCTCTAAAAAAAATAATAATAATACAAAAATTAGCCGGGCACAGTGATGCGTGCCTGTAGTCCCAACTACTGGGGAAGCTGAGGCAGGAAGATGGCTTGAGCCTGGGAGGTGGAGGTTGCAGTGAGCTGAGATCTCGCCACTGTGCACTAGCCTGCGCTCTAGACCCTGTCTCAAAAAACGTAAATAAATAAATAAACAAAGAAATAATAAATAAAATGGGGCCCCTGTGACTTCTCATCAGGTGGCTGGCATCTGGGGCAGAGCAGGCTCTTGGTGGCCGTGAGCCCTCGAGAGCAGGCCGGGCACCTCATCCTTCCATCTCTCAGCCCAGATCACTGGTGTGAGGGGTGAGAACCACCTAGTAAGCGCACATGGCCCTCCGCAGACTTCCTCACCCGTGTCTGCCCACCCTGTGGCCCGCCCCGGGCTCACTGGGTCCTTGTGGACGTCAGCGTTGCAGAGGCTCGGTCCTGTCCATGCCGGCTGTCCTCCAGCAGTGGGCCGTGTGTGGGAACGACTGTTGGACCCTAACGCTGACCCACCCCCCTTCCTTGGCAGGTCCACAATGTGTCCTTCGCCTTTGAGCTGATGCTGGACGGAGGCCTCAAGAAACCCAAGGCTCGTCCTGAAGGTAATGCCCCTGGCTCAGGTTCCCCCGGGAGAGGTGCGCACGGAGGGGAAGAAAAACGGGTCCTAGAAGTGGCTGGAAGGCTGGCATGTTGTTCCCCAGATGGGCCCCACGTCTCTGGCTCTGGGGCAAGGGTCTGCCAACCCCAGCTCCTCAGTCTCCTCATTTTGGGAACCAGGAGGACTTCGCTGGTGGAGCTGGCAGTGCCGGTTCTTTAATAACCACTTGACTTTGAAGGACGTGGCCTCTGCCCACAGACCTCAGGATTAAGTGCGTCTCTAGCTGGCCACTCAGGCTGGAAATGCAGCTTCGTGCCCTGAGAAGAAATTAAAGGCTTACTCAACTGTAATGACTGTTGGGCTGGAGGTCCCCTGATGCTCAGCCAAAGGCAGTACTTGGTAGCAGGGACTTGGCATGCTCTGCGTGGGTCGGAGCTGGAGGCAGGAGGCCAGCAGAGCTGGGGCGGGCGGTTGCTTCCCTGTCCCCCCCCCGGCTCCTGTGCCAAGTTACCTATAGGAGGACTCTCTAACCTGAGTGAGCATCACAGTTCCCCAAACACACTTCCTAGGTGTTTGGGGACAGCCAGGCTCAGCAGAACATGGGTGGCACTGCCTGTGAACCCTGCTGGAAAGTTACAGGGCAGAGCTGAACATTAAAGGCTTTGACAAGTCCTATATGAAGACATCTGTTTGCCTCCATCAAAACCTTTGCCATGCAGGAGGAGCCCACAGAACTCAGACACTGTGGTTTAGTGCCCTGGGCCCCCACTTTGACCGTGGCCCCCTACCTAGCCCTGCTCCCTCTCCTGAGTCCCCCATGGTGCTATATGAGTTGGGAGCCCATGATGCTTCCTACACCTGTTGCCAGCATCCGCTCAACGGCGGGCTTTGTAGAGTCTCCAAAATAGCTAGAAAATGGATCCTGTCCCTTCCATCTACCCACTGCAGCCACCGCTTCCTGCCAGTCCACGCGGAAGGTTCCTGGCCGGTCCCTTCCTGCCTGTTCATCCTCCTCTTGGGGTTTCACAGGACAATTTCACACCCTCCTGTCTCGTGTGTATGGCTGTTTATTCTTTTTTGTTTTGAGACAGGGTCTCACTCTGTTGCCCAGGCTGGAGTGCAGTGGTATGATCACAGCTCACTGCAACCTCTTCCTCTTGGGTTCACAGCATCCTCCCACCTCAGTCTGTCGAGTAACTGGGACTAAGGCGCATACCACCATGCCCGGCTAATGTTTTAACTTTTCTTTTTTGTAGAGACAAGGTCTCACTATGTTGCCCAGACTGGTCTCGAACTTCTGGGCTCAAGCGATTCGCCCATTACAGGCACGAGCCCCCATGCCTGGCCTTGTTTATTTTTTATTGTCCCTCCCTCCCCACTAGAACAGAAGCCTCAAGGGAGCAGGGCTTTGTCCCCTGCATGCCGGTGCTGAGAATGGTGCCTGGCCTGGAAACTGCTCGACAGCACGGATCAAAGCACATGTCCAGCAGGGAGTGTGGCGAGCTGCTGCCTGTAGATACCGGCCCGGCCTGGGTCTCTGGGACCCCTCGTTGCTGCTGCCCTGCAGCCCTTTTGTTGCTGTGAGGCAGGGCCATGAGGGAGTGGCTAGAGGCCCGAGGGATGCTGCTTTGCCTCTCCCCAGCTGTGCATCCTTGAACAGGTTACTTTGCCTTTCTGTGCCAGGGCCTCCTCCTCTGTTGAGGGGAGTGATGATGGCACCTGCCTCCACGCGTCATGGGGTCGCTGGATGGGGGGCGGATGTTCATCACACAGGACTTGTCAGAGCCTTCACTGTTCAACTCTGCCCTGTAACTTTCCAGCAGGGCCCACGGGCAGTGCCACCACGTGCTGCTGAGCCTGACTGCTCCTGAGCACCTATTACGCTCAAGTGAGCTGCTCCCATGAGCACTGGAAGAGGGTCCTGCCCACAGAACACACCAGGTCCCTGCTGATGGTGGCTGCTAGCTCGGCGTTAGTGTCTGGTGGGTCGCACACTGTCAGGGAGGAGAAATCCTTGCTCATGTCCACTGTGGGCTTGGCTGGGGCTTCCTTTAGTTTCCTGTAGCCCAAAGCCTGGGCCCTATCTGCAGCATGGGGTGCTTCCCCCGTACCCTCAGAAGAGCCCCTGGTGGCCCTTTGCCTCTGAGCTGCTGAGGGAGCCCTGCTTCTTTGTCCTCCCGAACCCACGACTTTTTTTTTCTGAGACAGAGTCTTACTTTGTCACCCAGGCTGGAGTGCAGTGGCGCGATCCCAGCTCACTGCAATCTCCGCCTCCTAGGTTCAAGCAACTCTCTTGCCTCAGCCTCACAAGTAGCTGGGATTACAGGCACCCGCCACCATGCCTGGCTAATTTTTCTATTTTTAGTAGAGATGGGGTTTCACCATGTTGGCCAGGCTGGTCTTGAACTCCTGACCTCAGGTGATCCACCTGCCTTGCCCTCCCAAAGAGCTGGGGTTACAGGTGTGAGCCACCACACCTGGCCCTTTGTCCCGTTTTTGAGGAGTGAGGCAGGAGCCTGTCCAGAGGCCAGGATATCCTCTGACAGGCCGGCCTCCTAGGAGGGTGTTTGCCCCTGAGCCCGGATGTGTTTCCTACTCATCTGCCGCTGGACGGCACGTTAGGGAACCCACCACGGACGTGTGGAAACCAGGCCAGAGGCAGAGGCACTGGTCCAGGGCAAATAGCAAGTTCTGCAGCCTCCCAGGCAGGGTCCCTTGGGTGTCCCAGGGCCTCTGTCCAGCCCAGGCAGGGGGCAGAGCTGGTCTGCAGTGCTCATTAGCACCTTCGCTGGGCCAGCACTGGGCAGGGGCCAAGCCGCAGAGATTTATGAGATGGGGTCCCTGCTGGGCCTCTTTATTTTGTGGCTGATGCAATGAATGAGAGACTTTTCCTTCTTCATTCAAAATCAGCTGGGGAGCAAGAATCAGGAGGTAACAGAGATAAGAATGACACGGAGAATGGGGTGCAGTGGCTGCGGTCTCCCTGACACCCTCCTCTGAGCTAGGCAGACTTACCCGGGTACCCAGGGCTGGTGGGGAGGGAGGCAGTGGCTGTGGCCTCCCCTGCAGGCCTGAGACTGCCCTGTTGGTCCCCACCCGGAGGAAGCAGAGCAGTCTCACACCCCCTGCACGTGGGCGGGTCTGAAGAGCCAGGCCTGCACCTGGTTCCCTAGGCCCCCAGCAATGATGGGCATCCTGGCCCCCTGCCCCCTTGTGGGGACCTGGCGGAGACTCCAGTGGGGTCCCCGACCCTGCTCTTAAGGAGGCCCCTTGCCTGGGAGAAAGGCTTGTGGCTCGCTCCAAATTCACAGAGCCGAGTGCGGAGCTCGATGGTGGGGTGGGTGTTTGGGGAGCACAGAGGGACTGAGGTTCATGGGTCACAGAAGGTGATTCCTATCCCTGGGCGCAGGTGCTAAGGGGTGGCTGTGGTTAGCAGGTCTGGCAGGGGTGTGAGGGTTAAGTTCTGTTTGTCCAGCGAGGCTGTCTGGAAGTTCTCAGAGCTCAGACCTGGGGGCTGCTGCGTGGGGGCATCGGTGTCAGGCTGCTGCTCTGGTCTCCCTGTGAGTCCACCATGGGAGTGGAGTCAGAGGGGGCCAGGAGGTGATGGCCCCCACCCCTGGGAGCTCCTCTGTCCTTGCTGCCCCCCTCGCCTTGGCCACCTCCAACTCCATGGCCGCCATTCTCCCTCCCCTGCCTCCACTGGGCTGTTGGGAGCTGGGGTGGACTCTTCAGGTCAGGGGGAGACCCTGGGATCCCTGACAGAGCCCCGGGTGTGTCCCCAAGCCCGCCGAGCCGAGTTCCCCGACAGAGCCCCGGGTGTGTCCCCAAGCCCACCGAGCTGAGTTCAGCCCTGCTTTTGCTCTGACAGCACACTCGTGGGCAGGTCATTTCTCCATGTGAGTCTTGGTCCTCTTTGTAAAACGAGAGGGAAGGAAAGGAGGCTGTGCAGGCTCTGATGAGGGTGTGTGAGTCGAGAAACTCCATGCCCAGTGACAAGGACAGTTGCTGATTCTTAGCATCCACCCCACCTGCTCTCTCAGTAACCGATGTCGTTTCTTACTCTTGTGATCAGGACTAAAGCACAGGGTCATCCCATGGCTGCTTTTGGATCACAGGGAGTCAGGACTCCAAGGGCCTCGAGCGTTACCTGGTCCAGGCCCATTTTACAGATGAAGGCACTGAGCCCCAAATCACGGAAGTCACTTAGAGGTCACAGAGCAAGTGAAATGAACAAGGTGTCTGATTCCCAGGAAGGTTCTTGTCCACATAAAGAAAGTGGCCCAAGACTTCCAGGGCCCCAGAGGGAGCTGTCGGGTCCATTAAGTGTTACTGGGGTTTTTGGTCCCGGTAAGTGTCATTAGCCATGTCCCCCAACCGGTTCTTAGACATGTCCTGATGCAGATCCAGGAGGGGCTGTGGGAGTGTCTCTGTTCTTGTCACCCCAGGTGCCTGTCCCCGCAGGGTGTCAGCCCGCGCCAGGAGCTCTCACAAAACCTGTGTGTCTGGGGAGGCACTGCCCAGAGCGTCCTGGACATGGTGGTGGCCAGTCTTTAAGGGGAAGCGCTGTGTGTGGATGCGGCAGCTGGTGTCATGCTGGAGACGTGGCTTCTGAGAGTACCTACCGCAATGACAGGAGGATGGCACGCCTCTGAAGTTTCTCTGTTTCCTTCTGCAGACGTGGTTAACTTGGACCTCAAATCCACCCTGAGGGTTCTTTACAACCTGTTCACCAAGTACAAGAACGTGGAGTGACGGGGGAGCTGTGGATGGTGGCAGGAGTGTCCCAGCAAGAAAGGCGGCATCCGTCTGTGCCCTGTGCCTTTCCAGGGAGCCAGGCGCCATGGGCTTCTGGTCCAAGCTGTGTTGACTGTCATCCCCACCCCACCCCTACCTCACGCCTGCCCCACCCCCTGCCTCTTTTGGTTGTTGTTCTTAATCTCCTCTCCATGTAGTTCCCAGTGGGCAAGAGCCTTTGAAAATGCAGGATTCTAAACACTCGTGCTTGCGTTTGAAGCCTCGCGTCACTCAGTCGCGTGGGATGATGAGTCCGTTGTTGTCTGCCTTGGCCGAAAGATGAAAAAAAGCCTGAACCCCAACCCCCAGCTGGTTGAGAGCACCCTGCATTCTGCCTCATGGTGCAGTTAGCGATCACAGGCCTTCAGAAGTACAACATCAGCTCAGCAGGAACGCCGGCTCCCCGAGGACCCAGGCTTGACGATTCACCGGGGATCTCCTGGGCTGGGCTCTCCTTGGAAGTGAGGCCTTTTATTAAAAATAAAAGGGTTTTGCAGTTTGAAAAACTTTAAAGTCCCAGAAGCTTAGATGTGACATGGGTGTCCTCCACCCACATTCCTATCACTTCTTGGTCACTCGTTTTAATGTAGGTTTTGCACAAACATCCAAGACTCAGGATGGCCCAGCTCCCACAGTCCTTGAAAGGAGCTGTCTGCTGGGGACGTTTCTTAATTTCTTGCTGTGGTTGAGGGGCTGGGTCTGGAGATGGCTCTAATTGTGCTGCTTGAGACAGCTTGGGTCACAGCTTTCCCCTTCAGAGGCCCTTTTTGGGAATGAATGCATCTTTGGAAACTTTAAAATGAGGGGGGTGCATTGGTTCACTGGCACTGTGTAGTAAAGTGCCACAGGGGAGTGGCTCAGACATCAGAGAATTACATCCTCAGGCCTTTCGCCTTGGCTTGTAGATGCCGGCTTCTCCCCGTGTCTTCACATGGTCTCCCCTCTGTGTGTCTGTGTCCTCACCGCCTCTTTTATTTTATTTTTTATTTTTGTTTTTATTTTTTGAGACAGAGTCTCGCTCTGTCACCAGGCTGGAGTGCAGTGGTGTGATCTCAGCTCACTGCAACCTCTGCCTCCCAGGTTCAAGCGATTCTCCTGCCTCAGCCTCCCAAGTAGCTGGCATTACAGGCAGGTGCCACCACACCTGGCTAATTTTTGTATTTTTAGTAGAGACGGGGTTTCACCATGTTGGCCAGGATGGTCTTGATCTCCTGACCTCATGATCTGCCTGCCTCAGCCTCCCAAAGTGTTGGGATTACAGGCGTGAGCCACTGTGCCCAGCCTATTTTTTTTTTTTTTTTTGAGACAAGTTCTCACTGTGTCACCCAGGAGTAAAGTGGTGCCATCTCAGCTCACTGCAGCCTTGATCTCCCAGGCTCAATTGATCCTCCCACCTCAGCCTCCCAAGTAGCGGGGACCACAAGTGCACACCACTAGGCCCATCTAATTTTTGTATTTTTTGTAGAGATGGGGTTTCACCATGTTGCCCAGGCTGTTCTCAAACCCCTGGGCTTGAGCGACCCACCCACCTCAGCCTCCCAAAGTGCTGGGATTATAGGCATGAGCGGACATGCCCAGCCTGCACCCCTCTTTTTAGAAGGGCTGCGGTCCTATTGGATTAGGGCCCACTTATATGACCTCATTTAATCTTGATTACCTCCATAAAGACCCTGTCTCCAAATACCATCACATCAGAGGTGCTGGGGTTAGGACTTCAGCATGTGGATTTGTGGGGGGCATAATTTGCCTTGTACCGGGAGGATATGAAGTGTTCATGTTACTCTCCCTGTAGCCCTGAGAGCATCTCCCTTAGAGTATCCTATAAAAGGAGTCGCTGCTCACTCAGTTATGGGTTGTTCACCCCCTCGCTCACCCCAGCTCTGCAGAGAACTGGGGATCCCATCGGCCATGCTTTCTGGGCTGGCCTCTGGTCGCAGTCAGTCCCTCGCTGTGGCGCCCCCCCCTCCCCCAGCTCCTTCCCAGGGTGATGACCCGCTGACCCCCTGGGGTGCACCTGCTGCAAAGCAGCCCCCTTCCTTGGCATCTCTCAGCATTCTCCGTAGTGAGCCTGGCCTTTCTGATCTTGTTAGCTTTTTGTCTTCCTGCCGCAGATCAGAGCTTTGGAGTAAGTTTTGATATGAAATCGAATGCCAACACCGAAGTTTTAGAAAACAGTTTAATATTCCCTCTCAGTTCCGGCTGTTGCTAGGCTGGGGATGGGTTCAGAATAGCCATTTTGATGGAGGTGATTTCCCAGCAGGGGAAAGAAATAATTAAAACAGCATTACGGTGTCTCTTGCGGGATGCAGTGACATTCAAAAGCCACACTGACAAAAAGCCTGGGGCTGGAACGTTCTGTGCTGCCTGCATGGCATGTACAGGACCGCGGCCCCCTGGAGCTGGTGGAGTGGCCCAGCCTTGCCCTGCTCACAGGTGGACCTGGAGAGGGCACTGTGCCTTCCCAGGGATTGGGATTTGAAAAGAACAGAGCTTGGCCAGGTGCGGTGGCTCACGCCTGTAATCCCAGCACTTTGGGAGGCTGAGGCAGGTGGATCACTTGGGGTCAGAAGTTCGAGACCAGCCTGGCCAACATGGTGAAACCCCATGTCTACTAAAAATACAAAAATTAGCCATGCATGGTATGTATGCCTGTAATCCCAGCTATTCGGGAGGCTGAGGCAGGAGAATTGCATGAACCCAGGAGGTGGAAGTTGCAGTGAGCTGAGATCATGCCACTGCACTCCAGCCTGAGCAACAGAGTGAGACTCTGTCTCAAAAAAAAAAAAGAAAGAAAAAAGAAAAAGAAAAGAACAGAGCTGTGATTTTCAGCCAAAATGAGCAGCCCTGGCCCATTCTGTGTCATCAGAGGGGAGAGGACGGTTACTGTGGGAGGGGGCTTCAGCTTCTCAGGGAGGTCCTGGCGGCCCCCATCTAGTAAACCAGTAAACCCATGCCTATCCTCATGCCCACGTCACACTCTTGTGGGTTTCAAGTCGAACAGTAAAAGGAATCATAAGATCTGTGGGGAAGCTACATGGGCACTTGTGTTTCACAACAGGGACCCTTAAAGGCGATGTTTCCAGCAAAGGATGTGATTTTTTTTTTTTTTTTTTTTGAGATAAGTTCTCACTGCGTTGCCCAGGCTGGAGTGCAGTGGTCATTCACAGACACACACATAGCAGACTACAGACTACAGCCTTGAACTCCTGGGCTCAAGTGATCCACCCACTTCTGTATCCTGAGTCCCTGGAACGGCAGGTGCACACCACCGCACCCGGCTTGGATGTGATCTTTTGTCCACATTCTTTTCCAATTGGTTCAAAGGTGTAGGTGTGCCTTTTGCATACCTGGGAAGGGCCCCATTAGGCTCGACTCCTCATTTTTCTCCATTCACCATCAGTTTGAGTCTGAATTCATAGCATGGCCTGGACAGATGCAGCAAGGGGCCAGTTCCAAGGCAGAATTCAGGGTGAACTCGATTCCTATAGGCTTGGGATGAATGGCTGCTGGGACATGAGGCTTGGGTGTGAGATGCCCCGTCTGCTGCTGCTCTTGGTTCTTAGTTCAGAGAAATTCTGGGACCCTTCCTCCTCCCGGCACCACGTTTTCAGTGAATGGTTCTTTGAAGAGGAACCCTGGTCCATAGGAACTGAGTGAAAGCAAGGCCAAGTATGTCCACCCATGGGGACAAACGTCCCAGCACAAAGGGGTCTCAGGCCTGCAAGGCCCAAGTGGACGCTCGGACAAGGGCAGGAAGGTATTTGCTGATTCTCCTTCTCCATGTGACGTGTCTCTCAACCCACACCAGCTAGGGGAGCCTCCCGCAGCTTCAGTTCCCCTTTGACGCCCACACAGTGTTATGCAAGCACCGAGCCCAGAGTCCCGCTGGGCCGTGGTGTCCTAATTGTCTTGGTGACAAAGAGCAATTTTATTTTAAAGCAACTGAATCCTTTCCCCCTGTTTTGTGTGCCAGTATTTTACTGTCTTCTTAATTGTTTTAAGCAATGTTTACTTTGGATTTCTGGATGTTATATAAAAGCCACGAAAACCCTGGCCATGCTGTTTGTCAGGCCCACCTGGCTGAGTGCAGGAAGCAAGCGCTTTTCAGGAGCTCACTGCAACACCGGGCAAACACTTCTTCCGCCAGGGATGCGGTTAGGACAATGCCACGTGGCGTCACAGTATGCTGTTATTTATTCCAATAAAGACCTCGTGAGCATGGGCCTGTCCACCGTCTTTGTTTGGCTGCTGTTTTAATCTTTCATGCATTTAGCAGTCATGGATGGTGCCAGCGAAGGAACAGGTGCCAGGGCGTTGTGACTCCACCCAGCGCTGCTTCCCGGGACCTTCCAATTGGACAGGAGCTGGGGGAAGAGCTGGTTCACAGCCCTTTGTGGGGGATGGGACTTTGGGAACCCCAAACTTCTGCTGGGACCACAAGGAGAAGAGGGCAGCAGAGTCACAGCTGCAGGTGAGTAATAAAGGCTCATCTGCCCCTCTGCCTGGGTCCAGACCATACGTGCACAAAGCTAGCGGCCAGGAGCACAGGCTGCATGACACATGGAGGTGGTCTCCTTACTTTTCATGATGTGACGTCACTGGGCCTTGCATGCTGACCAGTAAGTGACCGCTGTTGACTCTGAAAGGCAAGGAACCCCTGTGTGGCGGAGATGGTGGCCTGCCCTCCGTGCTGGCCCTGCCATAAACTCTCCTTGGCACAGGTCATAGCAGGTTTCAGGTGCGTCGAATTTTACGAAATGATGATAAAATTGTGACTAGTCCAGGATGGGTAGCCTGGAGAGAAAGGCAACCACGCTATTAAAAAAAAATAAGCTAAAAATTATAAACTGTGGATGGAAGGAATCTGGGCTTTGGAGAAGTGCCTGGGTTTGTGTCCAGGTTTGTCACTGTGTGACCGTGACTGCGGGGAGCGAAGTAATCCACACCTTCCAGCTGAGGGTTCTGAGGGACAAATTCAACCTCCTTCTTTCAAAGTCAGCCATTGTCAGCAGAGAGGGAGGTTCTGCCCCTTGGGGGATCTTTGGCAATGTCTGGAGACAGTTTGGGTTCTGGGCAGGTAGCTGGTGGGGCCCGGGTTACAGCTTAACATCCCACAGTGCACGGGACAGGCTCCCTTCTCCCCAGCAAAGAATCACCGGGCCCCCCTGTGCACTGTGCTGAGGTTGGGAAGCCCTGCAGTAGAGTGCCAGGTCCTTGAGCTGGCCTGTCTTCGCCTGCACTTTTATTGGGTAGGACTCAACTGTTACTATTGATGAGGATAAAATATTTTCCACTGAAATGCCGAGTTTTCAAGGCCAGCAATGGTGCAGAACCTTCTGGGGATCTTCCGATTGGTTCTGTTCAGCAGTCGTTTACCAAGGGTCTGGTTTGTCCAAGGCTGGGGCAAGTGGCCAGTGAGAAGAGCGTCCCCTGCCCTTGAGCTGGTGGAGTGAGAGAAAATGCCCAGAAAGGAGGGGTGCGGGTGGGGCAGGGGAGTGAGAGGGAACTCCCAGAAAGGAAGGGTGCAGGTGGGGCAGGGGGGTGGTTACCTGTCTGGAGAGGGACAGCTGAAGCCTGGAGATGGTGTGGTGGAAGCCAGTCTTCGAGAAGGAACAGGACCTGAGTGCTTCAGGTGCACCGGAGTAGGGACTAATCCAGGTGGCTTTAATTCTTTGTCTATTATAAAAATTGGTTTTGGGCTGAGCCTAGTGGGCTCTGGCTCATGCCTGTAATCCCAGCACTTTGGGAGGCCGAGGTGGGCTGATCACTTGAGGCTAGGAGTTCAAGACCAGCCTGGCCAACATGACAAAACCCTGTCTCCGCTAAAAACAAACAAACAAAAAAAAAAACCCACAAAAAATAAAAATTAGCTGGGCATGGTGGCGCACACCTGTAATCCCAGCTACTCGGGAGTCTAAGGCATGAGAATCACTTGAACCTGGGAGGCGGAGGTTGCATTGAGCCGAGATCACCCCACTGCACTCCAGCCTGGGTAACAGAGTGAGACTCTGCCTCAAAAACAAAAAAGAAAAGTGTAGGTGATATAGGATGGTTCTGAAGATGCTCTTAGCCTGACCTGATTCTCCGACCTTTCTCACTTGTTCTCAAATATAACTGCCGTCCGGGCACAGTGGCTTATGCCTGTCATCCCAGCACTTTGGGAGACTGAGGCAGGTGGATCACCTGAGGTCAGGAGTTCAAGACCAGCCTGGCTAACATGGTGAAACCCTATCTCTACTAAATATAAAAAAATTAGCTGGGCGTGGTGCCAGGCACCTGTAATCCCAGCTACTAGGGAGGCTGAGGCAAGAGAATCACTTGAACCCAGGAGGCGGAGGTTTCAGTAAGCTGAGACTGCACCATTGTATTCCAGCCTAGGCAACAAGAGGGAAACTCGGTCTCAAAAACAAAAAACATTGCTTCTGTCCCATTCTTTCAGGCCAATGCACTGGTGTGAGCTGCATGTCCCCAGAAAGGCCCCCCAATTCAGCCGTCACCTCCCCAGGGGGCCGTGGTGGGGAGGGGGCTCTCTGCTTAGGACAGGGCCCCTCCTTTCCTGGTGGCCAGTCTCTGGGGGAACTGACATTGCACGGCCACTTGCCCTCAGATGTGACAGAACTGGCAGAATCTGAGAATCTCGAGAAGGAAGGGACCTTCTGAGGTCACCTCTGTTCATCCTTACCCAGGCAGGAATCCCCGGCCACCGCAGGGACGGGCATCTCTGTTCCTTCCGCAAGGACAGTGCCCTGGGGTTGGGCAGCTCAGAATTAGTGAGGTTTTCCGTGGAAACCCACTCTTTGGGGTTTAAATTTGATTTAATACACCATCATCATCTTCACCAGGGTGAGGCTTTGCCCTGGGGCAGGGGGTGGGGAATCCCTGTGTCCAACACAGTAGGACCTGGAGCATTCATTGGGTCAGTGAGTAGTGGGAGCCTGCTGTGTGCCGCTGAGGCGTTGGGTGTGGGGGGGTGGGGGTGTGCTAGGGCACAGGAACCAGGAGAGAGTGGAGTGGCAGGTGGACAACACAGTGAGGCCGATGAAGAAATGCAGCTGGGGGCAGGTCTGGGACGAAGATGGAGCAGAGGGCTGCATCTGGGCATAGAGGCGGGTAAGGAGGTCTCTGACACCAGGGAAATGGGGCAAAGGCCACATATTCTTCCAGTCCCCAGCCCCTCGGATTTAGGTGGCCATGTGGCTGGTCCTAACAGCCGGGACATGGTCACACCGGACAGCTTTTAGGAAAGACTGTCACCTTAAAGTATGCAACACCTTTGTGGATGTTTGGTGTGTTTTCGAAACATCCACACAGGGTTCTGATGTTCTCGATGGCTTTGGAATGTAGTGCTAGATTTCCTCCCACAATCTCATTCTTAAAATGTATTGCCAAGGTGAGCCTGAAACACTGTGCCGGAAAGCAGGGAAGCACAGTTGTCCCTGGTATCCTCTGTGGAGTGAATCCGGGACCCTGGAGGATACCAAAATCTGAAGATGCTCAAGTCCCTGATATCAAACTGCACAGTATTTGCATATAACCTACGCACATCCTCCTGCATACTTTAAACCAGCTCTAAATTACTTATGATACCTAATACAATGTAAATGCTATGTAAATAGTTGTTACACTGTATCACTTAGGGAATAATGACGGAGAAAAATTCTGTATGTGTCTGGTACAGATGCAATTTTTTCTTGATATTTTTAATTCGTGGTTGGTTAAATCCATGAATGTGCAACCAAGGATATGGAGGGCCAACTGTACTCAAGGAATGATGGGGACATGTCAAAAGGACAGAGGCACAAACAGCGTCCACATTTTGGATACTTCAAGCATCTGAAGGAGCAATGTGGAGTATAACACATTGGATTTTTTTTTTTTAATTCGTGCACTTAGAGTGATATTAAACTAGGATGAGAGCAAAGGCTTTTTTTTTTCTTTTAACATTTTACTTTTATATAGTTTCAAACCCGCAGAAAAGTTGCAGGAATACTACAAAGAGTTCCTATGTGTATTAATCCATTCTCATGCTGCTAAAAGAGACATACCCAAGACTGGGTAATTTTAAAAGGAAAAAGGTTTAGTGGACTCACCGTTCCACATGGCTGGAGAGGCCTCACAATGATGGTGGAAGGCGAAGGAGGAGCAAAGGCATATCTTACATGGCGGCAGGCAAAAGAGTGTGTTTAGGTGAACTGTCCTTTATAAAACCAACCAGTCTCATGAGACTTATTCACCATCATGAGAACAGCATGGAAAAACCCGTCCCCATGATTCAGTTACCTCCCACCAGGTCCCTCTCATGACACGTGGGGATTATGGGAGCTACAATTCAAGATGAGATTTGGGTGGGGACATAGCCAAACCATATCACTATGTTTACCTGGAGACTCATGAATGTTAACATTTTTACTTTATCCTCTTCACTCTCTTTCTGTCCCTGCCTATCTGCCTCTCTCGATATAATAATAATGATATATATTTCTTTAGACGCACACATTTACCTGGTGATATATATATTTTCTGAATCTTTGAGGGTAAGTTGCATGCATTATATCCTCTTCACCTCTAAATACATCAGTGTAGCTTCCTAAAAGTGAAGACATTCTCTTCCATAATCTCAGTATGTGTCATAATCAGGAAATAACATTGATACAATGGCATTGTCTAATCTACAAACCTTAATTGTGTTTTTTTCCAATTGTCTCAATGATGTCCTTTATGCCAAAATAAGAGGCAGGACAAGGCATTGAATGAGTTGTCCCATCTCTCCAGCCTCCTGTAGTCTGGAGTGGCCCTTCAGTCTTTCCTTATGTTTCATAGCCTTGATTCTTTGGAGAATCCAAGCCAGTTATGTTCCAGAATGTCTTGCAGCTTGGATTGATCTAGTATTTTCCTCGTTATTAGATCCAGGTTATGCGTTTTCGGTAGAAGTGATGTGTTCCTCTCAGCGCATCATTACCAGGAGACATGTCATGTTGATTGTTTTACTTTCTTATGATGTTAATTTTGATTACTTAGCATGTGAGCACACGTCTGTGGTCCCAGTTACCCAGGAGGATCACTTAAGCCCAGGAGTTCAAAGCCGCAGTGAGCCGTGATCACACCACTGCACTCCAGTCTGACAGAGTGCACTGTTTCTATTTTTAAAAAATATATATTACTTAGTTAATATAGTGTTTATCAAATTTGTACACTAAAAAATGTAACTCTTCTTTGTAATCGATCAATATTTATGAGGAAAGAATTTTCACTTTTGGAGTTACCTTTCCATCAGGAATAACTAGAAGCCTCCACAAAACACAGGAAACAGTTACTTCAGACATTGGACATGCCTTTGCTCCCCCTTCACCTTCCACCATGACTGTGAGGCCTTCCCAGCCATGGTGGAACTGTGAGTCCATTAAACTGTCTTTCTTTATAAATTACCCAGTCTTGGGTATGTCTGTTTTAGCAGCATGGAAATGGACTAATACACATAGGAACTCTTTGTACTTTCCTGCAGCTTTTCTGTGAGTTTGAAACTATATAAAAGTAAAATGTTAAGAGGCGAGTCAGATCTGTGATCCCCAAGAAAAGGGTGGCAAGTGAGGTGAGCCCTACCCTGGTCTTGGCTTTCTGCCTGGACATAATTCCTGGACTGTGCTGTAGTGAGGGGGACCCAGACAGAGCCAGGTCTCACTGATTTAAGGAGACAAAGATCAGAGCTTGCAGAGATTACGCTTATTAAAAACAGACATCAAAAGAATATTTCTGCCAGAAAAATTCCAACACTTCTTAAAGAAATGCAACAAAATTCAGCACGCGACGACATAAAAATTTAATGTCTAGCATTCAATAAAACATTATTATAAAGAAGCAGGAAACTGTGACCCACAATCGGGAGAAAAATCAGTCCACAGAAGCAGACCAGGAAATGACAGAAGTGATAGATTCTACAGGACAACTGACCTGGATGTTTAAAAAATGTTAGTGTCGTGAAAGATTGTTCTAGATTACAGGGCTCTAAAGAGACATGAAAACCAAATGCAATCACATGTGCTGTGTGATGCCTGAATGGATCTTGGATTAAAAAAAATACAGCTGTAATAGACATTTTTTGAAGCCTTGGTGAAGTTTGAATGTGGATGAGATATTAGAAAACCTTCTATCAATGCTAATTTTCTTAGGTATCATAATGGTACTGTGTTATGCAGGAGAATGTTTTTAGGAGAAACATTCTGAAGTATTTAGAGATATCCCTAAAGTGATGTGATCCCTGCAATTTATTTATTTTTTATTAATTTTTAAAAATTTTAGTTGTGGTTAAAAATACACGTAACATAAAATGTACTGTCTTAACTATTTTTAAGTATACAGTTCAGTAGTGTTTGGCATATTTGCACAGGTATATTTCACACCGTGTCTCTGAAAAAAAAAAAGGCTGGAATAATTCCCTTCTATCCATGCCTTTCTCTTAATTGGGGTTTGGGGGTGCTTGGACTTATCTCCATGTTACTCTTCCAATTCTTAGAGTCCCTCTCTTCCCCTAAACAATGCTCTACACACAAGAGGCTTTGTGAGTTGTGGATTTAGTCTGTTGTAACTCCACACCATACAGGATTAGATTTCGCATCTGATTCTTACATCAGCCCTGCAGCCCCAAGAGATGAGAGATAGCTTTGAGGGCTATCAGAGAACTCCCTGTATTCTGCACATACCTTGAGCTGAGAATGTAAAGCCCTGGGACTGTCCTTTTCTTGCTTTAAACTCTTTGGTGTGATGATAACAAGCTCACCCCACAGTCCTTAGATAACCTGTGCTCGTATTGCGTATGGAAGCCACAACTCTGCCAAAGCCACAATTTAATAGGTACTTCGTTCTGAGTGATGACAGGTAATTATTTTGCCATCACAGGCTACGATCTATTAGAACTCCATTCTCTAACAGTTACTAGGTCCCCACTGCCTTTAAATCAACCAGAACAAGTAACCAATCCCAGTTCCCATCCTGGAGGTCGTGTTGCCTGCAATTGTTTCTGGTAACAAATCCGAAGTTAATTGGGATTCAGTTGCCGATGATTAGAGTCTCTTCAGTTGTTTGGAGGAGAAAGGAATCTAACATAGGAAGCTGTGTGATTCTCAAGCTGTTGGAAGGCTGGAGGCAGCGCCTCCAGCAAGGACTCTTGGAAGAATACTGCAGAGCTGGCTCCTGAAGGAAGCTGCCGAGTCAGGCTGGCCCTA
Organism: Homo sapiens; assembly: GCF_000001405.40. Lineage (NCBI taxonomy): Eukaryota > Metazoa > Chordata > Mammalia > Primates > Hominidae > Homo > Homo sapiens. Next base: position 44,179,940 of record NC_000022.11, read on the forward strand.
GAAGCATGCTTTCTGGGTTGAATGCTTTAGGTTCACCTCTGCAGATCCACTCCCCACCATTTTCTCTCCTCACATCTATGGGCCGCAGCAGGGGACTTCTTTTCTCTGGCTTCTGGCTGGATGTGGGCAGGGGAGGCCCTGGCAGGAGGGAGGAGAGTGAGGCTTGGTCATTGATTCCTCCAGCTGTGCCCTTCTGCTGGTTCACCATGAGCTGGCTGTGTCCCTCTACCAAAGGCCACAGCTCCTATCCCGAGGCCCCTCTTAGAGCTTCAGTGATTCTGTTCCTGGGCTCTGCCACCCACTCCCTCCTTCACCCTCTAGGTTTTGAAGAAGTAACAGCTCCCCATGTTGCTAGCCTGGGGTGTAGCACTGTCTCTTCTGGGTTCCTTTAACCCTGCCCCAGCTGTCCCTTTATTAAACAGTCTTCAGTTAGCACATGGGAATATACCGTCTCTTTGCTGCTGGGACTGTGACTGCTGCTACATCTATGTGGCTGTGATCCAGAGTCAGAAGCCACCACCAGAACCACTGTGTCCAGAGCTGGGCTGAGCCTGCTACACACGCCCCAGCAAAATAGGTCCTGCACGGTGGCTTCTCTCCCCACCTGTTACAAGCCCCAGTCTAGCACGGGCACTTCAGAATGGCAGGGACTGACTCATGTGCCTCAGTGTCTTCCTCTGTAATATGGGGGTGATGATTGTACCTACCTCACAAGGAAGTTTCCAGTAAAATGAAAGCCCTTAAAATTATGTTTGTTTCATCACCAATGACTCCATAAATATTAGCAACAATACCAGTACTAAGTTTTGTCATTTTTTATTAACTTCTTGTAAACGACCCTACTTTCCTGCTCTCACACACTCCTTACACCTGCATCCCACCTGATTTAGCCACTTTCTGCCTAACCTGTCAGAAAGGGTAGATAGCTTCCCAGTCACCTGTTGCTAGGGAAACTCACCATTTCAGCCCGGATGGTGAAGATTCCAGCTTGAGAGACCAGCTCGGGTCTGAAGTGTTTCTCTATCTACTGTGCTGAGATCTCTCCTTCTCGAACCCTGCTATGCCTTTGCATACGCTGTTTTCTCCACCTGCCACGTTCTCACCCCTTCTTCTTCCACTGCAAACTCCTATGCAGCCGTCAAGGCCCCATTCTCCTCTGGAAAGCCTTCCCGATCCCCTTGGCAACAACCACCACCAATATTTATTCACTGAGCCCACTTTGTGCCAAGCATTGTTCTAGACACGGGTATGTAACCGCGATTGAGAGAGACAGACCACGCACAGCCTGGATTTTATTTTAAGAGCTATTGGGTGCCGTTGGTGGGTTTGAGTGAGTGGGGTCAGGAAGTGACTCACTCCTCCGAGGGCTTGTGGGAGCCTCAGCTCAGGGGCGGGCAGGGGGCGTGGGGAAGTCTGCAGCCGAGAGTCCAGGTAGGAGTCTCCTGCGTGGTCCCGGGAGAGGAAGGGGCCTGGCCCGGGGCGGGGTGTGGAGGTGGGAGGACGGCGGTGCGGGATGGAGGGTGGAGGCCAGGCTGACAGGGTGCTGGTGGTGGGTTGCGGGGGTCGACCCCAGGCTCTGGCCTATGTAGCTGCCATTTTGGAGGTGAACAGCCTGCGGGGAAACTGGCATGGTTTGGGGAAGGCGGGGAGAGGGGGAGAAATGAAAGCATTGAGTTTAAGTGGCCTGCAGAACCCCGGGGGCCCAGGCGGCACGGCGGGCGCTGGGGCTCCGGGCAGAGCTTTCTGGAGGTTTGTGGCAGCTTCACTTTCACGGCATCCACCCCCCTCGGGCCCTGCCGCAGAGAGGAGGAAGCTCCTGCCGGCTGAGCGGGCCTGGAGGAAGTGAGCAGCGGGGCTCCTGCCTCCCGGCCTGGTCCCCGAAGACCCCAGAAGAACCCGGAACTTGCTTCCATTCGGAATCCAGGGACCACCCTTTGCACTCAGTAGGCCTTTGTTTTCCTGCGTGGAAAGCGGTTGGGTGAGTTCTGGCATCGGGGCCACCATACTTGAGTGTTGGGGGTCACGGAGGGAGGGGCCCAGACACCACCTGGGAAGGATCCCAGAGTGCAGTCCCAGCCCAGGCCACCCGGGGAAGGGAGTCGGTAAAGTGGGACCTTGAGTCCCCACGGCCCCTCCGGCTGCCCCTGCTCAGAGGCTGCTCGGCGTCCTCCCTCCCTGTTCTACTGAGGAGTTGCCGCCTCTGAACTTCAGCCAACCCCTCCGTCTCCAGGTGAAGAAACTGAGGCCCTGGGGCCAGGAAGGGGCTTGCCCAGGCTGCTGATCCCTTTGGGCAGCATCGAGTCCAGGCCCTCCTTGTAACCATGCATCAGGACCAGAGAGGGCAGGGGGTTTGCCCAACGTCACACAGCCTGAGTGAGGAGGAGCTGGCCTGGGACCCAGGCTTCCTGACGCCCAGGCCAGGCTCTTTCGTTTTCTCTGGCCATGGCCCTCAGCTTGGATATTAAGGGGCTGGGAGTCAGTTGTGTCCCCACCACCTCCATGCTACAGGGCAGGATGGAGTCTGGCATCCCCCGCCCCAGGCTGGCTGCTGGTGTGACATGGGTGGCTCCAGTCGAGTGAATGCCTCCGTCTCCCACAGCTCAGGGGGCTCCCTGCTCTGGCCACCAACTTCTGCCATGTGACTCCCCTACCTCAATGTCTGATTGAGTTTGAAAACACTGAGAAGACCCAGGGGCTGAAAAGGGAGGAAGAGGGAGGCCAGAAGGCGCCAGCCGAGCCAGCGAAGCCTTCACAGGAGAGGAAGTGGGCCAGGGGAACAGGAAGGAGGGCTGGGCTGGCCTCTGGGTCTGCCCCTGTCCCGGGCATGTGGTGAGCCCAGCCTTCTGCCTGTAATGAGGAGGAGGAAGATGAACAGTGCCTCTGTCAACCCTGGCCCTTCCGGTTTATGGGATGGGAGATGTCACCATTCCACGTATCCACCTCAGCCAGCCCCACACAGGCCGACCGGGGAGGTTTCCCTTGAGCTCAACCTGACAAGCTCTGAGGAGTGAGCTGTACCTACTTTGTCCTGTCTGGGATAGGGTGGGGGGTCCCTGGGTAGGGGGCTGGGGGCTGCAGGAGCACGGTGGGCGGCCGCTCTGCACCTGCCTGAGGAAGGACCACTTCCTCCGCCAAGCCTTTGCTTGGCTGTGCCCGCCCTCAGCTTCTGTGCCTTTTTCTAACCCGTCACCCCGCAAGGGTTGGCTCAAGGGCTCTTTCTCACAGGGCCCGTACCCCCTGCCTAGGCTGGCATGCTGACGTGTCCCCAGAACCTGGCTTCTACCCTCCTTCTGTGCCTCCAGGTCTAGAGAAAATGAGGGGCTCAGTGAGTTTGGGGCTTCTCAGACCGTGACGCCCTCTCCTGCCTCCTCTGTGCAGGCTTGGGAGGCGATGGAGCCGGAGTTCTTGTACGACCTGCTGCAGCTCCCCAAGGGGGTGGAGCCCCCAGCGGAGGAGGAGCTCTCAAAAGGTGTGTGCCCACGCAGGTCTGAGGGTGGAGGGTGAAGGTCTGTGTGGCAAGAGTGAGCCTGGCCATGCCTGGGACTTGCAGCACCTTCCCAGCTGTCAGCTGAGCGCCCAATTCTGCTCACCCCTGCCTCCACCTTCTGCTTTATGCTTGACCTAACTCCTCCTCCTGGGACCTTCTACAGAGCTAGAACCTCTTCTCTCCAGATGAGAGACGGTGTGGATTACGATGGTGAATACTGATTGCTCTCATCCTGTGAGCCTTCTGAGTGCCCCTACTGCACCAGCACCTCTTACCAATAGCAACTCATTTATTCTCAAGGGCGGGCATCAGTGCCTGCTTTATACAGATGAGGAAACTGAGGCACAAGGGGTGACGTGCCACAGTAACAGGAAACTCTTAGCAAGTGGTGGACCTGGGTTCTGAGCCCAAGGAGGGTGGTCCCAGAACTGAGGTTCCACACGGACCACGCAGCGATGCCCACCATGGAGTGATACTTTGCAGGGTGTGGGGCTCCTGACGTGCTCCCCTCACACGTGTGGGTCCCTTTCAAAAGTGGGGTGAGCATAGGATGGAGCAATTCAACGACTATAGGTCGCCCTTTCAGTAAAGCTCTGTGTCATGAGCCCTTTGGGGGGTTGGCGGCCACAGTTCCTGCAACCTCCCTTCTAGGAGATGGCTCAAAAGAAGGACATGGGCAGGTACCCAGAGCTGTCACCCTCTCTGTGTTCTCTGAAAGAAACAAATGAACAACAGCTTGCAAGGAAGCAGCGAGATGTCCCAGTGGGGAAGGGCTTTAGGTGAACTCATTGGAATTTATGTAACCACAAAAACATAAATGTGCTGACAAAGAAAATGTGTGAAATAATTTAAGGGAAGGGAGCAGAATGCGGCTTTCTCCAGCTCCTGTGAATACCGCCTTTTAATGTTTATTTATTTATTTTTTTCTTGAGACAAAAATCTCACTGTGTCACCCAGGCTGGAGTGCAGTGCCAGGATCTCGGCTCACTGCAGCCTCTGCCTCCCAGGTTTAAGAGATTCTCCTGCCTCAGCCTCCCAAGTAGCTGGGCTTATAGGCACCTGCCACCACACCTGGCTAATTTTTGTATTTTTAGTAGTGACGGGGTTTCACCATGTTGGCCAGCTCGGCCTCAAACTCCTGACCTCAAGTGATCCACCCGCCTCGGCCTCCCAAAAGTGCTGGGATTACAGGCGTGAGCCACTGCACCCAGCCCTGAATGCCGCCTTTTAAGTAGGTGTTATGGAGCGAGAACTCCAGTGCCAACAGGGTCCCTGGCACGGCAGATGAGACCCCAGAAGGGACAAGCTTGGTCCAGAGTCACCTGGCTGTCTTTGTCACCATCTGGTATTCTGTGTTTAAAACATTGAAGATTAGAAAGTGTCCTGAGGAAAGTTGCTGAGTTAGAATAGTAGGACTTAGTTACTACCAAACAAAACAAACAAAAAAACCCATTAATTTTTTGTTTTACAACTGATTTAAATTACTAAAAGTTCTGGCAAGCAGAGCTGGGACATTGGATGATTCAAGCGGCAAGAAGTCTGCTCCAGGAAGGAGCAGCACCATATCCATTCACTCATTCCTTCATTCCTTCCTTTCTTCATTCATTCATTCGCCTGCTCACCCGCCCAAGTGTTTGCTGAGAGCCTGCCCTGTGCTGGGCACAACAGCCCATGACGCTGTTGCCTTCCCTTTCATCAGAAGACATGGGTCTGGGTAGTACTTGAAGGTTTTCAGAATACCTAGGAAAAGCCTTTATTGGGGTCACATGAGAGATGATGCATTTTGTGAATTTAGGCAAGACAGTCGCCACTGCTGACTCAGTATCCCCCCATGTACCTTGGAACTAGTTGATCTCAGAGGTCCTTCTTGGCCCTGACATTTTGTGGGTTCTGTGAGTCTAAAATGTGGGCAGATGCTGGCCATGGCCTTGGGGAAGGGGAGCTGCTGGGCCTCTGAGGGCCACCCCGGGGAGTCTGACTACGAGAGGGGCCATGGAGGGGCCTGGCAGACCTGGGGTAAGTCCCACCTTAGCCCCTTAGAGCCTGGTGAGCCTGGGCACCTCCTCCCCTCTCTGGCTGGGGTTTCACTTTACCTAAATAGGTAGGGTTGCCAGATATATCAAACATAGGATACCCAGTTAACTTTGAATGTCAAGTAATCAAGAAATAACTTCCGAGTTTATGTCTCAAAGTATAAATGCTGCAGTGTCTGAGGATGAGCTGGTGTTCGTGAGGGAAATGAGGGAAAGCACGCTGGGGCGGAAGTGGCAGGACCGGTGCCCCTGGGTCTGCGGTGCTGAAATCTGTGGGTGACCTGCAGGGAGTGTGGCCAAGCGCCCCACAGGGTCCCCATGCGCTTGTCATACCCACTCTGCTTCCAGGAGGAAAGAAGAAATACCTGCCACCCACTTCCCGGAAGGACCCCAAATTTGAAGAACTGCAGAAGGTACAGCAGCCTCCACAGCCCTGACTTCCCTGGGTGCCTCTTGGCAGACCAGGCAGCGGCCTCCACGGGGCGGGGACAGCAGGCTGTCCCCACTCCTTGGCCTCAGGCTGGGGGGTGGCGACCCCCGAAGACCCCTGGAAGGCCTGTTGAATGGAGCAAGTCACCCACAGAGCCTGCATGAACAAACATCTATTGAGCACCAACTGTGTGCCTTCACATACACCATCCCAGCAACCCCATGGGATTTGAGGGGAATCTATTATCCCTTACATCCCGGGGACAGGACAGACAGCAAGGCTTAGACAGGTGACCTCATCTGTCAGGGGCACGCAGCTGCCCGTAACGGAGCTGTGGTTTGACACGAGCTGCCAGCCCCTAAGCCCGTGCTCCTCCCCAGCTTGTCTGCCCAAGGTGTAGGAGAACTGGTGAGGTGGTGGTGGTGGGCCTGGGTCACCCATTCTTAGTTCTCTCCTTGGTCATGGGTCTGCTGCTATGGCCACTGGACCAGCTCGGCACAGGTGGGCTCCAGGCCTCTGTTTCCCTCAGCGTCTGTGTCTCCAGTCTCCACATGGCCTCTCTGTTGCCTCCTCCAGGGAGGCCTCCTGGCCTACACCATCTTCCATACCCAGAGGCTTTGTGGGCCATTTCCCATCCTCCTTCCTATTCCCTCACTCCATCCATCCACCTTTCCCACCTTTGACCAGCACACCTGGCCCAGCCCTGTGACTGGCACTGGGGACACCATCTGTGGTCTTGCCCGGAAGACCTGGTGAGGTGCTGACATGTCGTCTCAGCTCGGTCTCCTCCACAGGCTGATCCAGAGACAAGGATTTGGATGCCAGTAGTTGAGTTGGGAGGTTATCCCAGGGGTCATGGGAGGGAAGGGGCCAACACATGGTTAGTGATGGAGCTGGTCATGGTTCTGGGGGCTCAAGCCTGCTGGGTACCCTGGAGCCAGCATAGAGCAAGTTCAGTGCATTCCTGCCCAAGGGGCGATGGAGCTGGGGTATTTATACACCACCACCCCTGCCCCGACAACCTCCTGACAACCTTTAGTGAACAGCTGCTCCCTGAGAAAGGGCTGGGCCTTGATTCCCTGGCACTCTGACCTTTTGAGCACAGCAGAGTGGGGACAGTTTCGAGCAGAGCTGCAGGTGGGAGCTGGGCCAGTAGGCAACAGTCAAGGAGTGGGCAGGGTACCAGCAGCCCCCGCATTAGCTTCCTAGGGCTACTGTAACATGTGACCACAGACTGAATGGCTTAAACCACAGAAACCTACTGTCTTACAGTGCTGCAGGCCAGAGGCCCTCAACCAAGGGGTCGGCAGGCTTGGCTCCTTCTGGAGGCTCTCAGGGGACCCCTGTCTTCTCCCTTTCCCCCAGCTGTGATGGCTGCAGCATCCTGGTCTCCCAGATCTGTGGATGCATCACTGCAGTCCCCACCTCCATCTTCACGTCCAATGTCATGTCCCTCATTTCCTCCTAGGACCTCAGAAGGGGCACCTTTAACATCCATATTTCTACTGACCACCTCTTCAGGGCAATCTAGGCTTTTTCTATCAAGTGCTCATTGTCCAATTCTTTCCATTCCCCAAGCCATTTCCCCATTTTTGGGTATTTGCTATGGTAGTACCCCACTTCCTGGTACTAAAACCTCACACATGATAATGACAGCCCCACACTGCTCAGGTTTGTGATGGAGAGAAGCAGGGAGTCTGCAGGAACCTGGGGCAGGCCCCTAACAGCCTGGGAGATCAAGGAGGGCTTCCCAGTGGAGGTGACATTTGACCAGGCCTTGAAAGATGGGTAGGAGTTGGCAGGCGAGAGGCAGGCATTCTGAGCCAGGTGGAGGGCCAGGTGAGAAGTCTCCATCCCCCCAAAAGTTGTCCCCTTGGAGCCTGCAGGTGTTGATGGAGTGGATCAATGCCACTCTTCTCCCCGAGCACATTGTGGTCCGCAGCCTGGAGGAGGACATGTTCGACGGGCTCATCCTACACCACCTATTCCGTAAGTGGCTGTTTCTGGGGCTGCCTGGGCCTCGGCCCCATCCCCCTGACCTGGCCCCTCCAGGGCCCACAGGTAGGCTCTCTCCTTCAGTCCCCACAATGGTCCCGGGTTTAGGGACACCTGTCTCACTTTCTAGATGGGCCTGGGCTGGGGAGATGGAGGCGCTGTCCACAGCCCATGAGTGAGGGGGCCGAGCTGGGGCTCAGGGTGGGGCTCTGACGCCAGGGTTGGTGCTCTTTCTACCACACCACACTGCCTCTCTAACACTTATTGAGTGCCTGCTGTTTTGAGGTGCTGGGAGGTAACAAAAGAACCCATGATCCCTGCCCTCGGGCTGCCCTAGGCTGCTAGAGAGAAAACGGGCAGTCCTGGGTGGCTGGGGGCAGGGCTGGGCTCCTGTCTCCGTGTTCCTCCTCAGTCTGGAAAGCTCCAAGGGGCTTTGCAGGGGATGTGCATTCTCAGGGCCTCCTCCTGGTCCCGGGCAAGTGTTCCCCACAAGCCCCAGAGTCACCCTCTCCTTTGTCCTTGTATGGTCATGTCTGGTCTACGCATCTCTTCTGCACACAACTGTGGTCTCGGAGGCCACAGATAGGCCCAATTCCATGTCCTCAGCACTTCGCCTGAGGCCAGCCTCTGCAGTGTTCGCCGAGCTCTTTGGAGATGGGCTGCACAATCCCACTCATGCGGCTAGCACTTCCGGGCATGTCCCATGTAGCAGGTGCAGTTCATCCTCAGAATAGCCCTGTGCTGTTACTGTCCCCATTTCACAGATGAGGAAAGGGAGCCTCTGAGAGGCCTCATAATTTCTCCAAGGTCTTATGGTTAGGGAAGCAGGGGGGTCAGGATAGAAGCCTAGGAGTGTAGGCTTTAACCACTAGGCCACACTGCCCTGCAGAGATGAAGTGGACACAGCTGTGCAGAAGGGCAGGGGCTGCAGGCACAGGCTGATCAAGGTGAGGTGGGCTCTCTCAACCAGCTCAGGGGGCTGAGGCTTGCTCACATCATGTGGCCTGCATGGCCCACCAATCCTGTTCTGTGTAGATGAGGGTCTCCTGGAAGCTGGAGGGCATACCCGATTGAGGCTGTGAGTGTGGCCCACGGTCCAACACCAAGAATGGGCTCTCCAGACCCATGTTCCCTGAAGCACCAGGCAGGCTCAGCCTCCTGGAGGGTCCCTGAGGTGCTCTCTGGTCTGTCCCCGGCCAGGGGTCCTCACCACCCTCTCCTGCCTCCAGAGAGGCTGGCGGCGCTCAAGCTGGAAGCAGAGGACATCGCCCTGACAGCCACAAGCCAGAAGCACAAGCTCACAGTGGTGCTGGAGGCCGTGAACCGGAGTCTGCAGCTGGAGGAGTGGCAGGCCAAGTGGAGCGTGGAGAGTACGTGGGCCACAACCTGGCTACCCCTGGGGAGTGTGGGGCCGCTGGGGTCCTTCTGCTTCAGGCTTCTCACCCACCAGGAAGGCGCACTCATCCTTCTCCCAGCAGGGGTACAACCTGGGAGTCAGGAAGGAGGTAGAAGCCTCAGGCAGCCACAGTCAGGCATCTGGCTGAGCAGCCAACAGCCCAGCACACATCTGTGCCCTAGAGGGTGTTACTGCTGCAAAGTGCAGCCCAAGGATAGCAAACAGTCTCTGTTTGCTATCTGAATGACAGCCACTGTTGAGTTCCAAGTACCGTGGTCCGCCCATCCACACTCTCATTTCATTAAAGTATTGGAATATCTGCAGGGCCTGCTTATACAAAAAATGAGTGTGCCTGGTCGGGTGTGGTGTCTCACACCTGTAATCCCAGCACTTTGGGAGGCCGAGGCGGGTGGATCACCTGAGGTCAGGAGTTTGAGACCAGCCTGGTCAACATGGTGAAACCCCATCTCTACTAAAAATACAAAAATTAGCTGGGCGTGGTGGCCGGTGCCTGTAATCCCAGCTACTCAGGAGGCTGAGGCAGGAGAATCGCTTGAACCTGGGAGGCAGAGGTTGCAGTGAGCCCAGATTGCACCACTTCACTCCAGTCTGGGCTACAAGAGTGAGACTCCTTATCAAAGAAACACAAAAACCAAGAGAGCGTGCCAAACACCTAGACTTCCCCACCCCACCTGGTTCACAGTTTGGTATAGATTTCCTTCCCTTCAATTCTCCATATCCCCCCACCCCACCCAGATGAGAAAACTGAGGCTGAAAGAAATTATGCAGCTTCTCCAAGGTTGGGCGGTGAGGATTTAACAGAGTCCGTTTTCAAACCCAGGTTTTGTTGGGTCCCATGCGCCTGCATTCGCAGCCTGTAAGGTCTCACAATCAGTAATTGATGTTGATGAAATCAACCCTGAATTAAGTCACATGCAGCTGAAATCTAATGATCGTTCAGCCAGTGCCTTCCCAGAGGTCACTTGGTTGTTTCCGATTGTAAACAGTGCTGCAGTAAACATCTTTGTGTCTAGAGCCCCTTCCACAAGGTAGATCATACCCCTGGGCTATATTCTAAGAAGTGAGATGATGGGGTGAAGTGTGATGATTTTTAGGTTCTGAACACGTATCTCCAGATCTCTGCTCTCCAGAAGGCTGGACACAGACCTCCTTGGTCTGCAGATGGTTGTTCTGACAGTGAGGAAGCCTCCATTTGGCTGCACGTTTTGGCGGCCTCCTGGGCTCTGACCTGTCTCCACTCTCTTCCCAGGCATCTTCAACAAGGACCTGTTGTCTACCCTGCACCTCCTTGTGGCCCTGGCCAAGCGCTTCCAGCCCGACCTCTCCCTCCCAACCAACGTCCAGGTGGAGGTCATCACTATCGAGGTAGCAGCCTGGGCCCCAGGGATTTGTAAGCAGAAGCTGAGCCTCTTGGGCCCCCATTGCCGTACCCTGCATGGGTGGAGCTGGCTGGGGCGGGGCTGACCCAGGGTGAGTTTCAGGGAACCCTGAGAAATAGAATCCAGCCAGGATGGCCAGGGGGTGCTGTCTGGAGCTGGGGACGGGCTGGTAAGGGTCTAGTGGGGCTGGCGGAGGCCTGGGGGCATGAGGAGGTCCACGGCTGGCCAGCTCCACTTGACCTCAGCAGAGGGCATCTGGCTGGCAGAGGCTGAGGCCAGGGGCTGTCAGGCCATATCCCTGAGCCATGCGTGGCCGTCCGTTCATTGCCACGGGGAGCCTTCACGCCCTGAGCAAAACCAATGCTCTCACCATGAGGGTACTGTCTCCTGTGAGATTACCGATGGCTGTGACAGTGCCCTGTTCTCTTTCTAGGAACCTTGCCGGGTTTCCCCACCCTCAGATGTTCTGTCTAGCATGCGGCCTGCCTGTGCTGCGGTTAATACCCAGGAATCCACGACTTCCCTCTCCAGACAGACTCTGAGCATCACAATAGGGGGCCCCACCAGCTCTTTGCTTCTCATGACCGCCCCCACCCCACCCCAGCCTCGGGTCCCTCATGCATAGGGGCTTTGTGTGTGAGGGCTTGCCTCTGACTCGCCCCAAGAGAATAAGCCAAGTTTGGCCACACCCAGTCAGAGTCATTTCTATTTTTTTTTTTTTTTTTTTTTTTTTTTGAGATGGCGTCTTGCTCTATTGCTCAGGCTGGAATGCAGTGGTACAATCTTGGCTCACTGCAACTTCTGCCTCTCCAGCTCAAGTGATCCTCCCACCTCAGCCTCCCAAGTAGCTGGGACTACAGATTTGAGACACTGTGCCTGGCTAATTTTTTGTATTTTTGGCAGAGATGGGGTTTCACCGTGTTGCCCAGGCTGGTCTTGAACTCCTGAGCTCAAGCCATCCACCTGTCTTAGTCTCCTAAAGTGCTGGGATTACAGGCGTGAGCCACCACACCCGGCTTTCTACTGTTTTTTAAAACCATTGATTATAATTCCCTACCAAGCAGTTGTGTGGCTTGGTCTATACTGCCAACATAAATCAGAAGTGACTTCATTGATTCACTCCTTCACCATTCATTTGTTCATAGTCACATGCTCATTGATACTGCCCTCCTCCCACTGTGAGACTCTGGGGATGCCTTGGGGAGTGAGGCAGACACATCCCCAACCTCAAGACTCCTGGGGAAGAAAGACAATTAAGCCAGAGGCTGTCCTGAGGAGGGATGATACAGAGCAAACGGATCACTGGGGCTTCTTTGGGCCCCAGAGTTTTCTGGATTATTTAATTTCTTCCCCCTTTATTTTTCTTAGAGCACCAAAAGTGGTCTGAAGTCAGAGAAGTTGGTGGAACAGCTCACTGAATACAGGTGAGGGAAGGATGAGGGCCCATGGGTGGGGCTGGGGCTCACAGCGGTGGATGGGGGCAGGGTGGGGGCCAGGGCAGATCTGCCTGACCTTTGTGGGAAGGGCCCTCACATTCTGTGGCTTTCTCTCAGACCCGAAAATGCTGCGCTGACCTCTCAATCCCACGGCAGCACACAGGACCCCTTTCTAGCCTCCAACCAGGTCCCTGCCTGGCCCCTCCCAGCCACCCTGCTTTGTTTTCTAGGGTGGGGGCCCCTGGGTTTGGGGTACAGGGCCCAGTGAATCTGTCTCTCTAGTGTGAGCAGGATGTTCCTCTTTCCTTGCAAAGCTGTAAGAGTTAGAGGCCCCTGCATGGCCAGGGGCTGGCCGTCTTGCTGCCTGCCCACTTTAGGGTGTGACTGTCTTGTTCCCCGCCCACTTTGGGGGTGTGGCTGTCTTACTCCCCACCCACTGGGGGGTGTGGCCATCCTGCTCCCTGCCCACTGGGGCATGGCCATCCTGTTCCCTGCCCTCTGGGGAGTGGCCATCCTACCTCCTGCCCACTGGGCATGGCCACCTGCTCCCCACCTACTGGGGTTGACCATCCTGCTCCCTGCCCACTGGGGCTGGCCATACTGCTCCCTGCCCACCGGGGGTGTGGCCATCCTGCTCCCTGCCCACTGGGGCTGGCCATACTGTTCCCCACCCACTAGGGCTGGCCATCTTGCTCCCCGCCCACTGGGAGCATGGCTGTCCTGCTCCCCATGGAGCAGAACAGGTGGGGCCTGGAGAGGGATGGGCCCAGGGGCTGCACAGGCTGCCAACAGGTCCACCGTTGCTGGCTTCTGTGTGGCGCTAACTCACGATCTCTCACAGGGATGCAGCCAAGATGCTGGCCAGGTGGGGCTGCCATCCTCTGAAGGCTTGGCTGGGGCTGGAGCTGTGTGGACAGCACATGGTGTCTGTCTCTCCTGGCAGCCTTGGCCTCTGTGCTGAGCCCAGGTCTCTGTCACAGGCTGCTGGGCTCTGCCCCGTGGGCCCCAGCTTTCTTCTGGAGGGCTGTGGTTAGAGAGACTTGGCCTGCCCTGGACCTACAGAACTTCTCTTCTATGGGGTAGAGGTGGATCTAAAAACGTGACCAAAAAAAAAAGAAGAAGAAAAATTGTTCAAAAACAATAAAAATGGAGTGAAAGAAGCCAGACCCAAAAGAGGACACGCAGTATGGTTTCATTTCCATGAACTTCCAGGACAGGCAAAACCAACAGATGGCAAGAGAAATCGCAGCTGTGGTCAGCGTAGGGAGGGAGAGGATGGAAGGGAGAACACGGGGGGTGCTGGGAGGTTCTGCAGCATGTAAGTGGGGGTGATCACACAGGTGTGTATGTGTAAAACGCACAAGCTGTGAGCTTACGATTTGTGCACTTTATGATGTGTGTGATGTATCTCCCTCAGAACAGAACACGAACAACAAAACCAGCAAAGTCCAAATGTTTCTAGGTGTGGAAGCCTCAGGGAAGGGCATGAACCTGTTTCTGCCCTTTGCTTCCCACAAAGACCTTCTCTGCTATCTGCCCTACCTACAAAGCTGCCAGGAAAACCACAAGCATGCCAGTTTCTTTGCAACCTTGCCAGCACTGAGGCTTGTCATATTGAGAAATTGTAGGTTTGCGGGGTGTTTTTTTTTTAACCATTTGTTTGCTTTTTCCACCCACTGCACAGCACAGACAAGGACGAGCCTCCAAGTGAGTACTTTCATCATTTTTGGAAATCTGTTCCTATCTGATGCGTGTTAATGCAGACAAGTCTTAATGCAGGGTTAATTGCTGAGCATTCTCTCATTTCCCTGTCACTTGCTGTTTGTATCTCAAGCCTCATTCTTATTCATTTGTCCCTCTTTCTGTCTGTCCATCCATGGAGCTGGCTGCTCCTTCTCATGATACTGTTCCTGTGGGGAGAGAGATTTATAATTCACATGGGCAGTGATGGTGGAGTCTGTTAAATGTGTGGGCTCTGGAGTCAGTGGCCTGGGTTCAAACACCAGTGTTCCCACTCATTAGCCACTTAAGTTTGGGCAAGTATCTTAACTTGTCCGTGCCTCAGTTTCCTCATCTATAAAAGGGCACTCACCTTTTAAACTGGCAGTGAGGGTTAAAGGAGATAATGTATGAGTGTGTTCAGCATGTGGGCAGTGCTCAATAGTGAGTGGGCAATAATGTGGCTTCTGCTCTTCTGACAGAGCTGTTCACCAATCAGTTGATTGTTCTAGTTGTTACTTCTTTCATGCATCCATTCCTTTGTCACTGGTCTGGCCAGCTCTTCCCCTTCCCATCCATTAATCTATTTATCCATCTATTGATCCATCCTTTCTTCCATTCATCTATCTACTTACCCACTTATCCACCCACCCACCTATCCATCCATCCATTCATACACCCATGCATCCATCAACCCATTCTTCCATTCATCTATCCACCCACCCATCCATTTATCCATCCCTCCATCCATCCATTCATGCCTCCATTCATCCATCCACCTACCCATCCATCACCTGTCCATCCATCCATCCACCTATCCATCCATCAACCTATCCATCCATCCATCCATCCATCCACCCACCCACCTATCCACGCATTCATCCATCCATCCATCCCTCCATCCATCCATTCATGCTTCCATTCATCCATCCGCCTACCCATCCATCATCTATCCATCCATCCATCCATACACCCACCTATCCATATATTCATCCATCCATCCATCCATCTATCCATCCATCCACCCACACACCTATCCATCCATCCATTCATCTATCCACCTACCCACCTATTCATCCACCCATTCATCTATCTACCCATCCAACCACCTATGTATTCACCCATATCCATCCATCCTAACACTATTTTTCCTCCCTATACCCTCCCCACTTAGACACATAGCTATGTGGGCAGGGATGCTATGAGGGGCACCTTCCCTGCAGAGGTAGAGATAATAACCTGCCAGGAGCTTCTGAGAATGGGGGCTGAGGAAGGCGGAGTTTGGGGAGAAAGGAGAAAGGAGGGGCAAGGAGGGCTGGCTGAGGATCTGTGTATGTAGCAGGAGGGGCAGCCTGAGGACATGAGGGGTTGCCCAGGGAGCAGTATTTTGGGCAGGGGGCAGCATGAGAAGTGGGTGTCAGAGGGTGAAGAAAGGACACAGAGCAGGGGCATTTTAACGTGCATGATGCTATTTGGTGCTACTTTTCCCCCTTCACTAACAAGGGAACTGAAACAGAGAGAGGTGCTGTGACTTGCTTAGAGTCACACAGCTGCTGAGTGGCAGAAGCCACAGCAAACTCAGGCCAGTCTGTGTATTTGGTGCCCAAGGACCAGTGTCCCCATGGGAGGTATGTTAGCTGCAAATAGCAGGAATCCAGCTAGTGCACAAAGGGCATTAGCCTGAGGACATGGGCACCCGAGGCTGGACCCCAGGGCCTGAGCCGCTGTTCCCAGACCCCAAGGGAGTGACTGAGTTGCTGAAGAGCTGGCCTTTTGCAGGCAGCAGGTTCAGACACTCTTGGGGGCGGGGGGAGGCAGCAGGGAGCAGTCCTCACTCAGCCAATTTAAAACCAAGGGGAGGAGACTCATGGACCCTGATCACCCACCTGTGGCAGCTCCCGTGGCCCTGGGGAGTGGAGTAGGGCCCTGGGAGGAGGGAGTGCCAGCTGGCAGATAAAGGGATGCAGCTGTGCAGATGTAGTAACAGGTGTCAGCTGCAGGAAGAGTGGCTGTTTATGAAGTCCTACTGTGTGCCCAGTCACTGTGCCATGGGGCCATGTGTGTTATCTGCTATGGAATTCCATCTCTGCAACAACCCCAGCTAGGGAGGCACAGAGAGAGACGGTGACTCCCCTGGGGCCACACGGCCAGGAGAGCAGTGACTCAAATCCAGGTCTGTTTTATTTGAGAACCATGATGTAAAACGACAGCTCCCTCTGGACTGGTTATTCTAAGAAACTTTTGTGAAAAAAAAAATTCCCTGTTTGGCACAAAGATAATAGCATCGTAATGAGGTGTTTATTGGATCTGTGTCTGCAGAGGACGTCTTTGATGAATTATTTAAGCTGGCTCCGGAGAAAGTGAACGCAGTGAAAGAGGTAGGAGAGATCAAAGCTCTCAGCGGCTCTCAGGCTGCCCACCCCACCCACTGCCCACCTGCGCTGTAGGAGGGAATCACGGGTCCTCCCATCACACCTGCTGTGTGCTAGGCCCTTGTTCTTCCCTGGTTAGGCCATCGTGAACTTTGTCAACCAGAAGCTGGACCGCCTGGGCCTGTCTGTGCAGAATCTGGACACCCAGGTAGGGACTGAGCTGCGGCGTCCCCAGGCAGGGCAGGGCCACTGGCCGTAGGAAGGAAAGAGGGTTCTGCAGGCCCTGGGAACCTGCTGTGTGGTGGGGGTTGCATCACCTCTTGGAGCCTTAGGGTCCCCCTCCCCGGTGGGACTGTTGCTGGCAGGCAGCAGTGGTCACCAGGGACATGGTGGGATCCCGGGGGTGGAGGTGTGGGAACACTTCACAAAGCTGGAGTCACCTCGGCTGTCACTGCTTCTCATTGTTATAATTTTATTTTATAATTAATCTCAGACTAGCTGATGCCAAGACTTGAAGCATATGAGTCTTCCCTGCGTGGTTGTGTTCGCCCAAACAGAATTTATTAGATTTGTCCCATGTGCCAGGCGTAGGTGACAGCGCAGCCCAGCCGTCTGCAGGCTCCATGTCTCTCACAAGCACCCTGAGGAGCCCAGCCCCTCCCCCGGCTGACTTAAGTCGAATTTTCCCAGGAGCAGGAGCAGAATCTCAGGGGGTCAGCACCCACCATGGGCTGTGGCTTTCCACAGTGAAGCTGTGTCCCTGTAGGCTTCCCACACTGCAGGGGAGCAGGGGGTGCACAGTAGCAGACCGGCTGCCAGCCCGGGGCCTGCAGAGTGGGCATGGAGTCTGCTGGATGCCAGTGGCCTGAATGGGACATGACGTAGGCATCTGGCCACCTGGGTTCTGCTGGGTGCTGGGGTCTGGGGTGGGGAGGGAGTCTGGTCCCAGATGGACCAGTTGGCTCATGAAGATCGTAGCCAGAGCTGCTGACCTCTCAGAGAGACTCTGGATGGGCATTGGCTGGGGAGGGAGGGGTTAATGTACTCCCATGCCTAGTAGCTAAAACCAATAAAGCCCTCACTATGTGCCAGTCCCAGGGCAAAATGCTTTCCATGTTAACTCATTGAATCCTCTCCATAATCCTCTGAAGTGGGAACTGTACTACCCCACTTACAGAGGAGGATGTTAAGGCACAGAGAGGTTAATTAACTTGTCTAAAGTCACACAGTGATAAGTAGTGGACCTGGGATTTGAACCCAGGCAGCTGGGGCCAGAGTTAGTGCTTATAACCACCTCACATGGTGGCCACGTGAGAAGTTTGTGTGTGATATGGTGTGGCAGCATGGCAGGGTGGAAGTATCACGCTCTGTAGCCAGACAGACACACATTTCCCTCCTGCCTCCACCACTTATGGGCCCTGGGGTCTGCTGAGAACCCTCCACATTTGCTGTGTGACCTTGGGTGAGTTACTGGACTTCTCTGAACCTCAGGCTCTTCTTCTTATAAAGTGGGTACAAGATAGCAACTTGGTAGAATTGTGAGTGATACATGAGCTGGTGAGCCCCACGTGTTTGGTATATTACCTGGCACGCTGCCGGCATGAAATAAGTGAGAGATTTGTAGTTTTATTATATTTTATGTGGGTATAAACAGGATGATTTCTGAGATTTACATTCTACCTGTTCTATCTGTATCTCTCCCTTGGTAAAATAATGGGTTTCAGAGACTCATGGCATGTGCAAAGGTGGTATTTAGAGACTGTTCAATAAAATGGGGTAAGGAAGTCCCTTGCATTTCAGTTGTATTACCAAGGAATAGCAGCAGAAAAGATTTCAGGCCCAAACTAATAACATCGAAGCAGACTTAATATGAGGAAATTCCATTAAGGGCTTCGAATGGCAGTTCCTTCCAATATCCCATCCTGTGTTTTGTATCTTTGAAGAGTCTCAATAGGATTATATTAACATATGATATGCTGGTGGCAGGGACGACAGCTTTATCTCTGAACATACAGACAGAACAGACAGAAATATTAATGTGGCAGCCAGCGAGATGAGCCTGGTGTGCTGCTCTCTGCCTTTCTCTGATGGAATAATTTTACACTTAACTCTGTTTTCCCCTGTGTTTCTGTAGCTTGTGGAAGAGCGTGCTGTTTAAAAACTGATATGAGGCTTTTCTGCAGTAAGTTTAGAAAGCACTCTTTTCACTGAGCATGTACTATATACCAGGCAGCCTGAAACCACTTTTTACCTGCAACCCTGTGAGGTCAGGCATGTCTTCCCCACTTCTCATCAAGGCACCAGAGGCTCAGAGAAGTTGTATGACTTCCTTAGGGCCACACAGCCTGTAAAAGACAGAGTGGGCTTCGCCAGGCTTCTTCCATGTGATTGTCTCCAGTTCCTTCCTTTGTAGTTTGCAGATGGGGTCATCTTACTCTTGCTGATTGGACAACTTGAAGGCTTCTTCCTGCACTTAAAGGAATTCTACCTCACTCCCAACTCTCCTGCAGAAATGGTAAGTTTTCCAAGGATTTTTCTTTATGGTCTACCTCTAGGTGAACAGATATACAGAACTGGCATGACCAGTCTGTTTATTCACTTCCAGGTGAAGTGAAGGGTGTAGGGGAAGCTTATTTGTCTATATGTCTGCCTATCCATCCATCCATCCATCCATCCACCTATTCACCTATCCATCCATCTACCCATCCATCCATCTACCCATCCATCCATCCACCCACCCATCCATCCATCCATCCATCCATCCATCCATCCATCCATCCATCATCTACCTATCTATCCATCCCCATCTACCCATTATCTACCTACCTGACCGCCTATTAGCCCTCCTGTTCACCTACCAAGCCACCCACCATCTATGCACCCATCCATTTAACTGCCTACCTGTCCATCCACCTAACTGCCTACCTGTCCATCCACCTACCTGCCTGTCCATG
Source organism: Homo sapiens (assembly GCF_000001405.40). Taxonomy (NCBI): domain Eukaryota; kingdom Metazoa; phylum Chordata; class Mammalia; order Primates; family Hominidae; genus Homo; species Homo sapiens. Next base: position 44,199,162 of record NC_000022.11, read on the forward strand.
CACCTATCTTCCTGTCTGTTTATTCATCTACCCAGTCCATCCATCCATCCATCCACCCACCTACCTGCCTGCCTGTCTACCCACCCATAGGAAGTTTATCTATATGTCTGTCTGTCCATCCATTCATTCATCCATCCACTTGCCTACCGGTCCATTCACCTGCTTGTCCTGTCATGCATCCATCTGTTTGTCCTTCAATCCATCTTCCTGTTCTGTTTATTGATCCACCCAATTTACCCATACACTTGCCTGCCCATCCACCCACCTGCTCATCCACCCATCCCCTACCCACACGCCTGTTCCCCCATTCCCTGAGGGCCTGTTTAGTGCCAGGCCCTGAACTGCATGGGATGTTAAGTTGATCCAACATAGCTCTTGCTTTCAGGGAGCTCTCAGTCTGTGCCCACTGTTCTCCTAGTGACGTGTGGTCTTGCAGGGCCACAGTGAAACGTGTTGGTTCAGATGCCTGGGTCAGAGGAGGGGCCTGGAAGAATGAGGGCTTAGAATAATCTCAAGGAGTCAGGAAGGGCATTGCATCAGAGGGGAGCCGGGAAGTTGATCAGGGATTGGTTTGCAGAGTTATCAAGGAAGGGCTTGCAGAGGGGAGGGAATAGCATCAGCAAAGGCTCAGAATGTGGCAAGAACAGGAATGGGTCAGGGAGGTGTAGGTGCTTCACTCTGGCTAGAGGGGCTGGAAGGGTGGGGCCTGACCTGGGGGGATCAGCAGTTCCCACGTGGACCCTAGAGGCTGGTGGACTGGCTGGGAGCTGGCTGCCTGCTTCCAGGCATGAGGGCTGTGGCTTGACCTGGGGAAGAGGGATGAAGAGAGTGATGGAGGTGGGGTGAGAGGGCAGGTGAGCCTGCAAAGATGCAGCTCCCACCGCCTCTTCCCCAGGTACAGCCTTCAGTGCCCGCTGGCTAGTCCTGCCTCCGCCCCCGCCAGGCCCCTGTGGTGTGTGCCACCACTTCCTCCAGCTCCCTGGGCTCTCCCATCTCTGGGCTTTGCCACAAGCTGTTCCCTTCCCAGGAGCACCCTTCCTACCAGGTAGGCCTGGCCCATGAGAAGGGATTTTACTACTTTCCAAATAAGGAAAGAGAGGTCCACGGGCAGCCAAGGCTTACCCCGGGTCACTGCCAGGCAAGAGGCCTGAGTCTTGTGCTCTTCGCCACCAGCTCCCTGCCTGCCTGGACCTCAGGTTTTCTGTCTCTGAAAATGGGCTGACAATCCCTGCCCCCTACTCAGGCCACACAGGTAGTAAGAAAGAGTTTGGAGAACCATCGAGGAGAAAGCATTGAGGGACATGTGGTCCCTAGTATCCCCAGGCTTGCCTCTCACAGGAGGTGACATTGGAGGCGTGCATCCCAAAGGACAGGCTGGAGTGTTGGTGGCTGGTGGCGTGCCCAGGATCCCGGGCAGCCAGCTTATCTCCATCCATGCCAGGGTTCCCGTGGCCTGGGGCAGGAGGACCTCTTTATCTCTCTGCAGCAGTAGCTTTTTCTAAAGAGGTGAAGCAGGAGGCAGGGCCACATGCCCCGTCCCAGGGCCAGCCTCTGGGGCTGTTTCTGGGAGAGACAAAGGCTTCCATCCCTTTCACATGCTCAGGGCGTCCTTGGCCCTGGATCAGGCCTCTTGGCCTATCTGGGGCCCAGTAGCAGGTGAGGTCCCCCCTGGACCCCTACCAGACTCCCCCTCCACCTAGGCCCTTCTTCTAGGCCGCTCCCCTTAACCTTCCTGGACACCCACCCTTGTGCCTCTCCCCTGCTTCAAGTGGAGCACCCAACTGCCAAGCCCCATCTGCCTCCCCGACCACGTCCCCTCCTCCCTTCCTGCCGACTCCCAGCCACAGCCACAGCCACAGCCACATGACCTCTGGCCCCCTTCCAGCTCTCCAGGGCCTGGTCCTCCCCCATTCCCTCACATCCACGCAGGCTGTGCTCTCAGCCCAGCCTACCCTGGCTTTGCTTCCCACCTGCTTCCCTGGGCGGGCGGCCAGCTCTGCCCACCTTCTCAGCTCCTCTGCAGTCCCTCGGCGCTCTGTGGGGCCCTGTACCACAGTCCACACTCCCTTGGGGTTAGCTCCCTGCACTTTGCCTCTCCTGGCCCTCTCCCCACTCACCCTCCCTCCTTGCCCCTGTGAGAGCGGGGCAGGGCTGCATCTCCATTTTACAGAGGGGAGCCCAGGGCCCGAGAGGCTTACCCAGTACCACCCAGCTGCTCAATGGCAGCCTCACACCAGCACAGCCTGCCGCCCGCAGCCTGCCATGTCCCTCGCCCCCACGGGGATGCATCTTGAGTGGGTGTGGCCTCCACCTTCCCTGGAGGCCAGGTGCTCTGGACTTGGTTCCCAAGAGCTGGGATGTTGGGTCAGAGCAACGAGGCCGGGGCAGTCAGTGTCTACGGTCCTGGTGGTTGTGGCAGGCACGGTGCCTGCTGCTTCCTAGGTTCTTCCATTCGGAGGAGCTGCATCAGCCAGCCATTGCCACAAACGTGCTGCTTAACAAACCACCCGAAAACCTAGGGGCTGAAAACCATGCTCATTTCTTCCCACAGACCGGCAGGTCGGCTGAGTTTAGCTGCTAGAGGCTCAGCTAGGCTTTGTCACTCCTCCGAGGACTGGATAGGGATCAGGCTGTCGTGGCTGGGTGGCTCGGCTCTGTGCCACAGCCTGCCATGTTCCTTCTGGGACCAGCAGCTGGCCCGGGCACGCTTTCCTCCTGGCAATGGCAGACACATGAGAGACCAGGCAGAAGGCATGAGGCCCTGGCTCAGAATGGGCAGGCTGCCACTTCCATCGAAGCAGGCCCTGTGGCCTTGACAGTGACATGGGACAGCCCTGCAAAGTGTGTGGGTGCAGAATTGGGCCGATGGTGGGATCTCCCACGGGCAGTGTGGACGAATGTGCTAGCAAATCCTCATGTTGGGTCTTGGAGTTAGGAACTCTTCCCATCCCCACTTCCACAGAGGAAACAGTTGAGAGAGGCACAGAAGTCTGGCCCAGAGCACACAGTGAGTTAGGGTCCTCCCTGTTTCCCTCCTGTGGAGCCAATGTGAGTCTCTGGGAGATGGAGGGGTGGCAGGGCTCAGTGGGGTTGAAGCCAAGGCTGAGACTGGGGTCAGAGCCTGCCTCGGGAAGGCAAGGCACTGAAATGTGAGCGGTGAGGAGAGAAGGCGGAGGAAGGGGGCAGGCAGGACCACCTGCGGGCTGAGGGCCTGGGGCTCGGAACCCAGCTCAGAGCCACTCTGGGGTGCCCCTGGGCTGCAGGGCCTCTGCTCAATCTGTTGCACCATCCAAGCCCCAGTTACAAGACGGGAACAAACGTGCAGACTTCCATGTTGCTGTGTGCAGCCGCTTTGCTGAATCCACTGATTTTAGAACTTACTTCTGAATATGAGTCAGATTAGATGTGGGGGAAAAGCAGCAGCCTCTTAGCTCAGACTCCAAGAATGAATTTTTACAGCATATTGTGGGCAATCTCTGCTGCAGGAATGTGTAATCAAAATGCTGAAGAGGTCGTCAGCTGAGGAGGGCGGGAACACCAGCCCTTGCTGAAGGTGGGCCTCTGCGGAATTGTTATCTTGGCAGAGTAGCCTCTTGAAATTGGATTTCTCATTATCAGACCCTCTTTGCTGATGGTGTTTATGTGAGATAGTTATTCATTGTGGGCACGGAAGTTAAGGATGGAGGGAGAGAGGATCATTCGCTCCCAGAAATAAAATCCCCGGAGCCAGGAATCCTTGGCGTCCTTCCACGTTAAATTACTTTCCCCAGGAGGATTTGCACGTATCCTCCCGGGTTGTAACCTTCTCTCAGCTCCGTGGAAGGTGGTAGTTTTATCTTCATCTCAAGCCACACGCGGAAGAAAAATCTCTGGACAGAGCATCATGAGATAGCTCTGGAGCCAGGGTCAGCTCTTACTGGGGGATGATCTTTTGTTCAGATTGAGTGTCATTGAGGAAGAGTGTGACAAACAGAAGCAGATGTCATAATTTTCAGTGTCGATAGCAATTCCCAAAGCATAAGCTCTATGAGGGCAGGAGGTCTGGTCTGTTTTGAGCACTGGTTGTATGGCTAGCACATAGTAGATGACAAGTATTTTTTTAAATAAGTGAATGAACGAAGTGTTTCCAAAACATTGGTCCCAGGAGGTGTTCTGTGACAAATGGGTTCTATGAATAAATAACTTGGGGAAACATGTCTAGTCTTGAAGGTTCATGCGGCCCACCAACACATTCAAGGCTCTAATAAGTCCTGCAGTGAAGGACTTCCATAGTATTTTATTTAATCCAACAATTTCTAAAAACGTTTGGCCACAGATATCCCCTTTCCTGTCCATCTTAGATCACAGTTTGGGAGATGCTGGCTCGCTGAATGTATCAAAGGCGGAGCTTTGAGGCAGGAGAGCACAGTGCGGAGTCTGGAACCTCAGGTTCCTCAGGGTCTTGTTCTCACTCCGACATTTACTCTCCATGTAACTGCAAATAATATTCGTGATGAGAATGCGAACAATAGCAACAATTGCAACCCTAGTTTCCCAGAATATTCCAGTCTAGGAGGAAGAACTGGGGACACAGTGATGGGAACTTCCGGTGATGCTCTGGTCTGTCCACTCGGAGCTTCCCATCCATCTTGGTCTGGACAGTCTCAGAGTTTCACCCCGCATTGGCCCCTGCAGCATGCTGCAACATTGGTGCCGTGTGATAGCCTTTGTTTCGCTCTTGTCACCCAGGATGGAGTGCAGTGGTGCAATCTTGGCTCACTGCAACCTCCGCCTCCTGGGTTCAAGCAATTCTCCTGCCTCAGCCTCCCAAGTAGCTGGGATTACAGGCACGTGCCACCACACCCAGCTAATTTTTGTATTTTTAGTAGAGACAGGGTTTCACCATGTTGGCCAGGCTGGTCTCGAACTCCTGACCTCAGGTGATCTGCCCACTTTGGCCTCTCAAAGTGCTGGGATTACAGGAATGAGCCACCGTGCCTAGCCTGTTTCTTCTTGTTGGCTGACTACAGAGGAGCGGCCCTGCTGCTGCTGCTGGGCACCCTGCCCATACACTCCTTTCCATCTGGGACCCGCCCTCCATCTTCATGTCCCCACGTGGAGAAGGACTCTGCTCACCCACTTCCAGCTCCTATGCCTTCATCATCCTCACCTTCAAATCTTGCTTTGTGGCTTCAATTCTGTGTCCGTCATCACATTGGACGCACATGGCAGCCTTGGAGAGGAAGGCAGACAGGTGTATCATCCCCGTGACACAGATGAGGCACCTGAGGCCCAGCCAGGATGTGTGACTTGTCCGAGGTCAGACACTTAGTGGCAGGGATGGGGGTGGCAGTACACAGACATCCAAGCTAGATCCCAAGAGTCCTCTTGCTCGGGCCATCCAGCAGGTGGCTGGAGGTGGCCTGGGCCAGGCTGGCGTTTCTGGATGAGTCTTGCCTGGCCTTGCTCATCCACCGCTCGGCCAACCTGGCCTCTTGGCCCCTGGCGGGTTGCCATGGGAACTGCCCTGTCCTGGTGGGGCTGGTGTGGCCAGGCAGATAGGGAGGGAACGGGACCAGCACAGCTGACCCCCGGGCTGGGATGTCCACCCCGTCTAGTGGATCTACGGGTGGCTAAGACATTGAAGGGAGGACCTGTTTGAGGTCACAGTGAACCAGGAGTTCATCCCTCTTCACCCACACCAGGCTGCTGCCCTAAGGCAAAGGGCTGGGACCTACTCTGCTTGTAGACGAGGCCCAAGGGAGAAGCTAGAATGGAAAGGGAGGGGACCTACTGTGGGAGGGCCGGCAGGCTCCTGGGCTCTCACCATATCCTGTAGCAAGGCACAGGGGAACTGTGGTGAGCCCACTTTGCAGGGGAGCAAGGGGAGGCCCTGGGCAGGGACTAAGCTGAGCTCTGAATCACTGGGGGACTTGACTGATGCCCGGGCGCTCTCCACCCTAAAGGGAGCCATCTCTGAGACTGCACCCCAGGCAAGGGGTGGCGGAAAGGACAGCCACCTGGGTGGGGACCGCTCCAGTCTCTAGCCTGCTTTGCATGAGCATTGGAGCGGACAGACCTGGTTTGAGCGCTTTCTGTCTCGTGAGCTCCAGTGAGCCCCTTGGCTCCTCTGAGCCTTGATTTCCTCACTGTGCTTTGCCCTGGGAAACAGCTGTTCTCAAAGGTGCTCTGCCACCCCAGGCCCTTGCTCCTTTCCCTGGGTAGTTCTCCCTGCCTGGCGGGACTCACCACCAGGCTTCACCTCCACCAGGAAGCCTTCCCTGATCCCTATTGGGTATCCTCCTTGGCGATTGCCTTTTTCACGGGCAGTGGCCCCTGGACGCAAGCGTGTGCCCAGTGTGGTATAGCACCTGCTCAGAGTGGGGCCTGTGAGTGGCTGAGGAATGAGACATGGATTGCTTGTGTGACAGAGTGAGCTGTAGGGAGATGCTGGATGACCACGGATTGTGGTCGTGGTCAGGGATGCCCACCTTGGATGGGAGTTTAGGCTCATGATGGACATCACAGACAACAGGAAGGGCTTGGCACTTGGGACCCAAGGCCTGGCCTGGGGCTGCTGCTTGTGCCCACATCTGATAGGGCCTTGTCATCATAGCTGCACAACGTCACCCTGGCGCTGGAGCTGCTGAAGGACGAGGGCCTGCTCAGCTGCCCTGTCAGCCCTGAAGGTGAGTGCAAGGCAGATGCCCACACGGTGGCCAGCCCTGGGTGGCAGCCTTGTGCGAGAGCCACAGAACAGGGTGCAGGGCATTGGGGGATGAGCACGCATTGGCAGAGTCCTCTTGCCTGGCAGGGGTGGAGAATGGGCGCTTGCCAAGGTTTCTTGGGAGGGGGCACTGCAGCCCCAGGGGAAGAGGTTCTGGGGAGGGGGAGACCAAGGTCTCTGGGGACAGGTTGTCCAGAGAAGCCAGACCTTGAGGAGTTGCTGTGTTGGGGGCACCACAGGAGCATTCAGAGGAGGACTGGCCAGGAGGAGGAGGCAGTCACGCAGCAGGCGCGGGACCCAGGCCTGGAGTGACCAGCTGTCCTGGCTTCCAGGGATTCTCCTGGGATTAGCACTGAAATCCTGAATGCCAGGAAACCTTGACCACATCGGGACAGTCGGTCACTGCCACCCAGGCCTGACTGGCTGCCCTGCCCTCCTTTGGCCCGCAGATATCGTGAACAAGGATGCCAAGAGCACACTGAGGGTGCTCTATGGTCTGTTCTGCAAGCACACGCAGAAGGCACACAGGGACAGGACGCCCCATGGAGCCCCGAATTGACCCTCACTGCCTCCAAAGCCCAGAGCCTGCCTGTCAGCCCAGCTGGAGGGCCCGAGGCTGCAGGGTGTCCTCCCACAGTCCCGCTGTTTCCTGTGCATTCGTGACCCGCTTCCCTCCCACCCTGTCTCCTGTCTCCATCGTTGGATTATCTTTGAACCCCCTTGTGTGGATCATTTTGAGCCGCCTGGCCTTGCTCAGTTTATTTTAATAAAAGTATTTCTGGGAGGGATTCTGGGAACTTGACAGGGTCCTGAGGAGGGCCCTTAAACCTGCAGCCTCCCTCCCATGGGGTGAGTGTGTGTCACATCAGTCTCTCATCTCTGGGCCCAGGCTAGTGACCGCCCAGAGAGGTGGCATCACTCAGGGCTGGGGACTCTCAGGGACAGGGCCCACAGCCCCAGACCCCACCTTTTCCAGCCCAGCTCCCCACACCCACCTGCTTCTCACTCGGGAGGATGGGCCCCAGAGTCACCCTCCAGGGCAGGAGCCCGAATGGCTCCATAGCCATGCCCCCACCCACCGGGAGAAGTGGATTCAGTGACTGTCAAAGCAACCCGGGCTGTGTCCTGCAGCTGCCCTCGTGAGTTTTGCCCAAAAGTCACAAAGAAGCAATCTTCGTGGTTGATTAGTGGGTTCAGGTCATCTCCAGTCTGTCCTCGGGAGCTGTGGGTTCCCACTCGCTCCAGTGAGACTTGGCATTTTCTGCACATAAAGAAGAGTCGTGTGGGAGAATTGCACATAGTCAGTCCAGGGCATCCAGAGTGGGGCAGAGCTGATGGCTGATGGGAACCGGGGAGGAGGCTGGCGGGGAGGGGTGAGATTGGTGGGGAGGGCTGGGGCTGGCCGGGAGGGGTGGGACTGATGGGGAGGGGTGAGGCTGGCGGGGAGGGGTGAGGCTGGCGGGGAGGGGTGGGACTGGTGGGGAGGAGTGAGGCTAGTGGGCGGGTGAGGCTGGCGGGGAGGGGAGGGTTTGTGGGGACGGGTGAGGCTGGCGGGGAGGGGTGAGGCTGGTGGGGAGGGCTGGGGCCTGGTGGGGAGGAGTGGGACTTGTGGGGAGGAGTGGGACTTGTGGGGAGGGGTGAGGCTGGGGAGAAGGGCAACCACAGCCCCAGGCTGCTGCTCCTCCCTGGACCCTGAAGAGGCCTCTGGGTCTGGGGTTTTCACAGTTTGACAGCTGAGGCCTTGGGGAGGGGCTTTAGATGGGGGTTAGGGGCTAGGTCATCATTGACACCCACTGGGGGCGCCTAGGCAGATGTCCTTCGGGGGAGCAAGATGGGAGCCAGGGACGCAGTGCCAGGTCAGCCCTGGGAGCTGGTGTCTGGGTGTGAGAAGGCCTTGAGGGGTCTTCCCTTCACCTAGCCTCCCATCTGCCTGCCCTTCTCAGCTCCCAATTCACAGGGCAAACCCAAGCCCATAAGCGTGTTCCACGTGAGCACTCAGATGCACCCCTCTTCATGGATACCCACCCTACTTCCCGGCTGCCTCTGGGAAACGTGCATCCTCCCACACCAGGTACCTGGAGCCCAGCTCCTTCCACCTGCTCAGGTGCCCCCTCCATTGCGATGCCCCCTCCAGCACCTCAAATCCTCTCCTGGAGCTTCTGGGGACACAGGCTCAGCCTCTCTCAGCTGGCTTCATCCCAAAAGCCTGAAATCCAGCCCCACTTCCTGGGGCCTTTGAGTCCTCACTTGCTTGGGCCCCATCCGCTGCAGGCTGGCTCTGCCTGGCTGTTCCACGTCCTCACTCTTGTTCTATTTGACAGCAATTAAAAAAAAAGTGACTTATTTAATTACTGTAGCTTTATTGAAAAATAACTTCCCAGTTTGAAGTGTACAATTTGATGAGTTTTGACAAATGCATGCAGTCATATAACCACCACCATCGTTATCCAGACATGGGACATTCCCATCACCATGCAAGTTTCTGCATCTGTCTGCAGCCAGTTCCCTTCTCCCAGCCCCTGGCCCTGGGGACCACTGATCTGTTTTCTGTCACCATCATTTAGACTTGTCTAGAATTTCTTATAAACTGTATCCTATGGTATGTTGCTTTTTGTGTCTGATTTCTTTCACTTAGCATAATGCTATTGAGAGTATCTCCATTGTTTCTTGTATCAACAACTCATGTCCTTAGTACATTCAAAAATAAGTCCTCCAATTTTGTTCTTCATTTCAAAAATTATTTTGGTTTTTCTAGGTCTTTTTAATTCTTTTGGTTTCTACATAAAATTTAGAATCAGTTTGTCATTTTCTGCAAAAAAGCCTGCTGAAATTTTGACTGGAATTGTGTTCTTTAGATCAAACTGGGGAAAACTGACATCTTAAAAATATTGGGGAGCTAAGATCACTGATTTGAGAATATTTTTCTTTTATATAAATATTTAATGCTGGATTTTTTTTTCTAAGCACAGCTTTAGCTGCATCCCACAGATACTAATATGTTGTGTTTTCACCTTCATGAAGTTCAAAATATCTTCTAGTTTCAAATGTGACTTCCTCTTTCACTCATGGGTTATTTAGAAGTGTATAATTTCCAAATATTTTGGGATTTTTTTTCCAGCTATCTTTTGGCATTGGGTTTTGTTGTGGTCAGAGAACATGCTTTGTATGATTTAAATCACTTAAAATGCATTATGACTTGTTTTATGTACTGGATTATGGTCTATCTTGGTAAATATTCTGTATGCACTTGAAAAAGAATGTGTGCTCTGCTGTTGTTGGACAAAATGTTTCATAAATGTCAATTAGGTCAAGTGGGTTGATTATGTTGTTCAGATCTTCTATATCCTTGCTAATTTTCTCTCTACTACTTCTGTCAATTACCAAGACAGAAGTGTTAAAATCTTCAACTGTAACTGTACATTTCACTATTTCCCCTTTCAGTTCTATCAATTTTTGTTTCATACCTCATATAAGATTATAATGTCCTTTTGTCTCATTTATCCCTTGTAATATCTCTTACTCTGAAATCTGCTTTGTCTGATATTAATATAGCCACTCAAACTTTCTGTTAGTATTAGCATGGTATATGTTTTTCTATATTTTTAAACTGCGTCTGTTTAAAGTAGGTTTCTTATAGACACAAATAATTGTGTCTTTTTGTACAATCTGGAAACCTCTGCCTTTTAATTAGAGGGTTTAGTCCACTTACATTTTTTATTGTGGCAAAATATACATAGCACAAAATTAACCGTTTTAGCCATTTTAAGTGTACAATTCAGTGGCATTAAGTACATTCATACTGTTGTGCAACCATCACCTCCATCCATCTCCAGAACTTTTTCATCGACCCAAACTGAGACTCTGCACCCAGGAAATACTAACTCTCCATTCTCCCCTCCCTCAGGCCATGGTAACCACTATTTCTCCCCTCCCTCAGACCACGGTAACCACTATTCTACTTGCTGTCTCTGTGAATTTGACTATTCTAGGTACCTCTAGTCCATTTACATTTAATGGAATTATTAATGCCATCTTGCTGTTTGCCTTGTTCATATGTTTTTCTTATTCCTTTTGGATTGAAGACTTTTTAGCGATGTGAATTTATTTCCATTATTGGCTTACCAACTGTATTTCGTTATTTTCATTTCCTAGGGGTTGCTCTAGACTTTATATACACATCTGCATTCATATCCTGTCATTGCTGTAACAAATTACCACAAACTTCTTGGCTTAAAACAGCAGAAATTTATTCTCCCACAATTCTGGAGGCTAGATGTCTGAAATTAAGGTGTTGGAAGGGTCACGTTCCCTCTGGAGGTTCTAGAGGGAAAGCTGTATCTTGACTCTTCAAGCTCCTGGTGGCTACCAGCATCTCTGGGCTTGTGGATGCATCACTTTAATATCTACCTTCACAGTCACTTTGCTTCTTTCTCCTTTCTCTGTCTATCCCTCCTCTGTGTCTCTCTTATAAGGGCGCTTGTCATGAGATTTAGGACCCACCTAGATAATCCACGATTATGTAATCTCAAGATCCTTAATTTAATTATATCTGCAAAAACTTTTTTCCATGATTATCTAATCTCAAGATCCTTAATTTAATTGTATCTGCAAAAACCTTTTTCCCAAAGAAGTTAACATTCACAGGTTCTGGGGATTAGCATGTGGACAAATCCTTTTGGTCACCATTTAATCTACTATAACATCTTAACTTATTACAGTCTACCTTTAAGTAATATTACTTCCATTTTACTCTTCTGTGTCCTATTGTTGTCATGTGTCTCATTTCTATAGAATAAATTTCACAATATATTATTTTTGCTTAAAAATGTCAATTGTCTTCTTTTGAGACAGGGTCTCACTCTGTCACCCAGACTGCAGTGCTCACTGCAGCCTCGACCTCCCGGGCTCAATTGATCCTCCCACCTCAGCCTTCTCAGTTGCTGGGGCTACAGGCATGCACCACCACACTTGGCTAACTTTTTTAGAATTTTTTTTTTTTTTTTTTTTGTAGAGATGAGGTCTCCTTATGTTGTCCAGGCTGGTTTCCAGCTCCTGGCCTCAAGTGATCCACTTGCCTTGGCCTCCCAGTATGCTAGGATTACAGGCATGAGTCACAGTGTCCAGCCACATCGATTGCCTTTTAAAGAGTTTTTTTTTTTTAATTGAGAAGAAAGTCTTTTATATTTACCCACATACTTATTACTCCTGGTGCTCATCGTTTCTTCTTCCATTTGGTATCATTTTCTTCCTGCCTAAAAGACTTTCTTTATCATTTTGTGTAGTGTTGGTTATATGTTAGTGAGCTTGTGTACCTACAGAAATAGATTCAGTATTGGTCCTTCCCACTCCAAACAGCTTTCCTGGCGATGCCTTCTGCTTCTAAAATTCCTGTCCCTCCTCCCTAAGGGTCACTCTCCAATCTCCACTGCAGCTCTAGCCCTGAGCTCCAGACCCACATTTCTTTCTTTTTTCTTTTCTTTTTTTTTTTGTGTGTGGTAAAATACACATAACACAAAATGTACCATCTTACTATTTTTAAGTGTATTCAGCAGTATTAAGTACATTCCTATTATTGTGCAACTGTCACCACCCTCCAACCACAAAACTCTTTGCATCTTGCAAAACTGAAACTCTGTATCCATTAAACAATAACTACCCCCATCTTCCTCCCCTAGCCCCTAGCCCCTAACAACCACTATTCTACTTTCTGACCTAATCTATATTTTGAACTTCCCAGGGCATAGCTGTGCCTGGGGTGCCCACCCCAAGCTCACCACATCCAAGTCAGAGCTTGCCCCGTTCCCTAATCTTCACTCTGGAACTTTCCAGCTGGCCTCCCTTTCGCAAGAAAGGGACTTCTTTCTTGTGACTTCACTTCTGCACCAGCAGCCAGAGTGCTTTTGTCCTCGGAACCCAGTCTCACTACCATCCTGCTCTAACCTTCCCAGGCCCCAACCTCCGGGCAGCGTCTGGACTCTGGGTGCTCTGGTGCTGCTGGCTTTGTGGTCCTCCTGCTCACTGTGTTCTGTCTCCGTCCCTGCCTCAACCTTTCCACACTGCTTCCAGTTATATCCCTGACATCTCTGCGATCTTTCCAAGTCTTTCTGATGCTGTTCCCTCTGCCCAAGATGCCCTCATCCCACCTGCCCCAGGAACTTGTCATTCAGAAAAGGAGTGGGGACATTCTTTGAGAAGAGAGTGGGGAAGAGGGTTCACCGTGGGACAAGGTGGATGCCTGGGGGCCCTGGGTGCCTGGGGGTGGGTGGAAGAAGTGGTTCCCACAAAGAAGTCTGAGACGAAGCAGGATCAGGGAGCCCTTTCCTCCCCTTATTTCACTATCCATGGCCTTCGCTCTTTTTCTCTCTTCCTCCATCCCAAGAAATCTGACTCCAGTAGAAGTTGCAGCCGAAGTTGGAAGCAGGATAATTATAGCAAGCTGAACAGGAAGGCGTCCAGGGCCAGAGAAGGAGCTGGCAGCTTGGGCTGGGTGTGCAAACAGCTTCGAAGCGAAGGGAAATGCCTCGAAGGCTGGGGTGCCTCGGAGTTGAGCTGCTTCCCAAAATAATCCAGAGGGCAGCTGTCTTGGAGTCTGAAACTGGGTCTGGCCGCCTGAGCTGCAGGAAGCCCCAGGACTCACACCAGCTCCACTCTGGGAACAGATGGAACTAAGATTTTTTTTTTTCTTTTTACCAAAGTCAGCTGGTAAGCGAACAGCTTGTCTAGAGAAAAGTGTGTTCCTGCCCCCATATCTTCTGGCAATGGATCAAAGCTGCCAGTGCCATCCCAACCCCCATCCCTGCCCCACCAGCCTTCTTTCCTTGTAAGACTTGGGCAGTGGTGAGCAGAGGGGCATCATGGACCTAGAGACACATGGGATCCCCACCCCCTGGGGGTGTAGCCCAGGGAGTGTCCTGGGCCCCTAGGTCAATGGGGGACTGGGCTGAGGGGCCTGGCTGGTAAGAAAGTAGATGATGAAGATGTTCCAGAAATGATTCTTCCAAGAAGAGTCAGCCAATGGACCTGGGCTGGCCAACAATTGCATGAATTCATTTATTTATCCACAAGCATTTCATATGGGTTGGTTTATTATTACCTAGAAAGGTGATGCATTAATACCTAGGTGGGTTTTTACAAAGGTACAAAATCATAGTGCACACACCATTCATAAGAGAACTTCTCCACCTACTGTGTGCAGGCCCAGGGCACAGAGCTGGGTATAAAGAGAGTGCTCAGACCGAGGCTCTATCCCAGAGGAGGTGTAGCCCAGGGTGGAAGGGGCTGGGTAGTGCAGTGGTTAGAGTGTGATGCTTGAGTCAGACCCTGGGGTGTGAATCCTGGGCAAATCCTCACCTCACTCTGTGACCCCAGGCAAATCACTTACCTCCCTAAGCCTCAGTTTCCTTCTATGTCAAATGGAGGCAATAAGGAATCTATTCTTCACAGGGCTATTTAAAAAGTTGAGTATCTGGAGAGCTTGAAGCTTGCTGGACACATAACATTCAATAAATGTCAGATGACATCATGGGTGTCATCATCACCATCACCACCACTGTCACCATCATCACTATCACATCATCATCACCTCCATCATTATCACCATCATCACCACCACTGTCACCATCATCACCATCACGGCATCATCATCACCATTATCATCCTCATCACCTCCACTGTCACCATCATCACCATCACATCATCATCACCTCCATCATTATCACCATCATCACCTCCACTGTCACCATCATCACCATCACATCATCATCATCACCATCATCCTCATCGTCACCTCCACTGTCACCATCATCACCATGACATCATCACCACCATCATCATCAACATCACCATCATCACCACCACTGTCACCATCATCACCATCACATCATCATCACCTCCATCATCATCATCATCACCTCCACATCATCAACATCACCATCATCACCACCACTGTCACCATCATCATCATCAGATCGTCATCACCATCATTATGACCATCATCACCACCATCACACCACTGTCACCATCATCACCATCACTGTTACTATCATCACCATCACATCATCATCACTATCATCACCATCATCACTACCATCATCATTGTCACCATCACCATCATTGTCACCATCATCACCACTGCTGTCACTATCATCACCATCACATCATCATCATCATCATCATTATCATCATCATCACTACAGGCACAAAAACAGTGCTGGAAGTCCCTCCTCCATAGGTCCTAGTGAGGATGCAGTGACATGAGGTACGTGAGGTTAGAGGCCTGGCACGCCTTTGGCACTCAGAGTTAGGCACTAAAAGGCCAGCTCATCAGGTGAGTCCTACCTGGATTTTGTGTCCCTGCTTCTAGGCTTTGCTTGTTGGAGACCCACAGCAGCACCTAGCCCTGGGTAAATACTTGTGGACTGACCCACTAACGTGACCTCTTAACTCTCCTGGGTGAGTCAGATCCAGACCTGCTGCTTCAACTTGCAGCCCACCCAGCTGGCCACCCCAGCATCCCAGGATGCCAGCATTCAAGCGGGGCTTAGCTCTGACTTGAACCCATCTTCTTGGCCCCTGTGCTGGGCCAGTAGGCTCACCAGCTCAGCTGAAAACACAGGGACAAATGGAGGACCTCTGGCTCCATGATCCCTCTCCTTTACCCGGTTGTCTGGAGTAAGAGGCAGGAGTGTGATATGGGAAGTCCTGGCTCCAGTCTTACTGGGCCCCTTAGCAGCTGTGTAGTCTTGGACAGGTCACTACCCCTTTTTGAACCTGAGTTTCCTCATCTGTAAAATGGAATGATCCTGCCTGCTTAGTTCAACCCCCACGATGGTAATCCATCTTAAGGATGAACTGCAATAATGGTGGGCAGGGTTTTGAAAAGTCCTATCAGCTAAACAATGGCCAAGGCTAGCACTGACTGGGATCTCCACCTTTCTTCAGCAGCCATGGCCCAGATGGCCTGGCCACCTACCAAGCCCATCTGCTCTTCCTGCTGGGCACGCAGCTGGACTGCATGCCCCACCTTCTTTGCAACCCAACGTGGTCAATAATAAAATGTGAATCAAGTAAAACACAACATTGCTGAGCCTGGTCCTCAAACCCAGTCCCCTGCATGACCTGATACTCCTGTACTCCCCGATGCTCTGGTGATGCTGACTAGCCTGGTGAGATTGCAAGCCGTGTGCTGAGATGCTGGAGCCACAGACGGAGTCACCCTGGGAGGAGAGCTGCCTGCCAGTCAGGAACACTCGTTTTGAACAGTATATGAGCAAGAAATATTTGAACTCCTACTCATTTGGTGTGTGTTACAGTAGCGGTGGAACAAACACTATAGCACTTGACTAAAACAGCTGCATCAACTCTATTTAATCATTCATTTTATTTCAATTAGATATTTTTTTTTCATTTCTAGAAGTTTTATTTGCTTCTTTTTCAAAATATCTTGGCCTTTGTATAGTCTGTTGTTCTTTATTCATATTATTCGTATTTTTGAACCCTTCCTCTAATTCTTTCTATGGATTATCTTTATTTTCTGTTCTGTGTCTGATGACGCTAACATCCAAACCTTTGCAGTTTCACTGTGCTGTCTGTTGTTTACCTTGACGCTTGCTCATGGTGCTTTTTCCCTTGTGGGTCTTTGTGGGTTTTGATTGTGGTCCTTTCAACTTAATTGTGGAGAATTCTTCAAGGCCTAGGTTGAAAATGGGAACCTCCAGAGATTATTCACATCTGCTTCTGCCGGATGTGTAGGGTCACTCCAATTTGGCTCTTTTATGTGAAAATCCTAGTCTAAGGATTTGGGGTCCACACAGCTAGTGTACAACCCATATTATGGCTGTGGTTATGAGCCCTGGCTAAGCCCATCTGGCTTATGGTTATGACTCTTTAGGGGAGGTTTTTATTCATTTTTTACTCATGTCCAAGATTGATATAGACAAGTGTCCTTGCTTTCCCTTTCTTCAGCCCCACTTCCCCATCTTATTCCAATAGTGAAAGCATAGTCCTTTGGGGGATACCAGCTTTATGTGGGGTTTCCTGATTTTTTTTTTTTTTTGAGACAGAGTCTCACACTGTCGCCCAGGCTGGAGTGCAGTGGCGTTATCTCGGCTCACTGCAACTTCCACCTCCTGGGTTCAAGCGATTTTCCTGCCTCAGCCTCCCGAGTAGCTGGGACTACAGGCGCCTGCCACCACGCCCAGCTAATTTTTGTATTTTAGTAGAGATGGGTTTCACCAAGTTGGTCAGGCTGCACTCGAACTCCTGATCTCAAGTGATCTGCCTACCTTGGCCTCCCAAAGTGCTGGGATTACAGGCGTGAGCCACTGCACCCTGCCAGGTTTCCTGATTTCCTTTGATGGGTGGGCCCTGGCTTTCCTCCCATCCTCAGGGCCAAATGCGGTCATCACAAAGGAAGATCAGATAACCAGGCATGGCTGAGGTCCCCCAGGCAAAGTCAGCTTTGGCAACTGCTCACCTCTTGGGATTTCACTTTCACTTGAAGTTCTCCGGTTTGTATTTTCCTTGTTCTTGCTTGCTCAGTGTGGCACATTTTAACACATACATTATAGATCTCTATGTATATATGCACATATAAAATACATTCATATACATACATACATATACATTATATTTTCCGTTACTTTGCAGTGGGACTCTTGTTCAGTGATTAAGTCTGCCATACTGTGGAAAATAGAAGCATTCTCTGGTAGCACATAGTAGATTTTTAATAAGCAGCAAAAAGTATCTTTAAAATCCTCCCTCTCCATCTCGAGTCCCCACATGGAGGCATCTGCTCTCCCACCATCCGTTCTCCTCCATTCAGGAAAGCCCTCCGCCTGCCTAGCTCTGTCTCCCAGCCCAGCCCCTGATCCAGCCAGACAGTGGGGGAGGGGTAGCATGTATCTATAGATAGTCTTCTCCATCACGTCGGTACAGTCGGCCTTCAATGTCTGCGGGTTCCACATCTTCAGATTCAACAACCTTGGATCAAGAATATTCAGAGGAAAGGCAGGGTGCGGTGGCTCACGCCTGTAATCCCAGCACTTTTGGGAGGCCGAGGTGGGTGGATCGCTTGAGGTCAGGAGTTTGAGACCAACCTGGCGAAACCCTGTTTCTACCAAAAATACAAAAATTAGCCGGGTATGGTGGGGCACGCCTGTAATTCCAGCTATTCGGGAGGCTGAGGCAGGAGAATCACTTGAACTCTGGAGGTGGAGGTTGCAGTGAGCTGAGATCATGCCACTGCACTCCAGCCTGGTGACAGAGTGAGACTCTGTCTCCACAAAAAAAAAAAAAAAAAAAAAAAATTTAAAACTATTTACATAGCATTCACATTGTATCAGGGATTATAGGTAACCTAGAGATGATTTATAAGTACATGGGAGGATGTGTGAAGGTTATATGCAAATACTATGTCATTTTATATCAAGGACTTGAGCATTTGTGGATTTTGGTATCCTCGGGGGGTCCTGGAACCAATCCCCAGGATACTGAGGGACGACTGTATACACCGGCCACAAAAGGCTTTGGTGCTTTCTTCTCAAGGACACAATTAGTGTGGGGTGTGCTGGGAGATGGAATCTTCTTGAAGAGCTGGTCCTGACTCTGCTGGAGGACAGAGTAGGCTGGGGTAGCTGTTCTAGAAGAAGGAAACGGCCTGAGTCCCAGGGGCTGAGGGAGGCAAGAAATGGGTGCGAGGGAGCCCACAGCCTGAAACAGAGACTCAGCTTCCCTGTGGGCTCACCTGCGGGAGGCAGAGGCCCCAGGTGACGGGGCGTAGCAGGCAGGTTCTATATCAGCATCAGGCAGAGTGGGGTTTTTTTTGTTTTTGTTTTTGTTTTGAGACAGGGTCTTGCTCTGTTTCTCAGGCTGGAGTGCAGTGGTGAGATCATGGCTCACTGCAGCCTCAACCTCCTGGGCTCAAGCATCCTCTCACCTCAGGCTCCCGAGTAGCTGGGACTATAGGCCTGTGCTACCATGTCCAGCCAATTTTTAAATTTTTTTAGAGATGGGTTTGCACTATGTTGTCCAGGTTGGTCTCGAACCCCTGGCCTCAAGTGATCCTCCTGCCTCAGCCTCCTGAAGTGCTGGGACTACAGGCGTGAACTACTGTGCCTGACCAGACAGAGCTTTCTAATGGGCAAGAATGGCATCCATGGCCTTAGAGGCAGTGAGTCCCCATCCAGAGGGGTGTCAGCAGAGGGAGGAACCGCCTTTTGAGGAGTCTGCACAGGGTTCTGGCCTCCAGTGTGCAGGGCAGAATGGGGTGCTCCTAATGGGTTGGGTTCCACACCCTGGACCAGTGCCTTGTTCAGGCCACCCTGGGCACAGACCCTATGCCCTGTCCTGTCTGCTCTGGCTATCAAAATCTGGGCTGTGGTGGTCAGACAGGGCCCACCAGCTGATGTCCATTCACCATTTAGGAGACCCTGGGGACCGGCAGGATGTCATTGGGACCAAGGGTAAGACCAGTGTCCCTGGGTCACATAGAAAGCACCGGTCATGCTGTTCTCATGAGGCTGCTCAAACCTAATCACGCGTGTAACATCTGGGGGGTACAGGCAGACCGACTCTGAGGGGACAAGGCCCTTCCCTGCTCACAGCCTCGGTCTCCCCCCTTTTAGGGCAGGAGGCTCCAACCTTGAGATTCCAGGGCATCACCCTCCCTGCTCTGGGCTTCTCAGAAGCACCCCCCCCCAACCACCACCCGCAACACACACACATCTCTGGCTGAATCTCCCTGGGAGCAGCAGATGACAGCAGGGCTTGTGGTGCTGCAACAGTGGCCTGGTGTGACGTGGTGATGGTTTCCGGAGCAAGGGGCAGGATCTCTGAAGAGCAGAGTGGACTTCCTAGGAGCTGGGGAAACCTCACAGCTCCTCCCTCCCTCACACGGCAGCTTCCAAGGTACTGGGAGGGCCCCAGTAATGCATGTGCAGTGGCGTGATCTCGAATCGCTGCGACCCTCGCCTCCTGGGTTCAAGTGATTCTCCTGCCTCAGCCTCCTGAGTAGCTGGGATTACAAGCGCCTGCTGCCACACCTGGCTAACTTTTGTATTTTTAGTAGAGATGGGGTTTTCACCATGTTGGCTAGGCTGGTCTTGAACTCCTGACCTCAGGTGATCTGCCTGCCTCGGCCTCCCAAAGTGCTGGGATTACAGGCATGAGCCGCCGCGCCTGGCCCACATGGTATAGTTTCTATACACCTGGTAAGAGGAGAATATCTTTGTGTTTCTTTAGTTAAAATGACAGACTGTAGAAGCTTTGCGCCCTGTAATGCCTGAACCTGGACCCGGAGCTGTTGAAATGAGGCTGCTCCAGAAAAGCTGTGCTCTGAGACCCCTGGGGCTGGGACACTCGGCAACTTCTTTCCAGTGGAGCCTCCAGGCCTGACCGGCCTTCCCACAGCTGGGGGATCCTGCAGGTCTAATCAGGTCCCCTGACTTACACCCAAGCTACCCTCTAGCAAGGCAGCAACTGCGGGCGGGCGGATAGCCGGGTTCCAATCCCTGCTCACGCTTTCCCTGCGTGGCCACTGCACCAGACAGGCTTCCTCATTATGGGGGTGGGGATTATGATGCCAATCATAACAGCTTCCCGTCTTTCCTGTCTTCCAGTTCCCTCCAGCTGCCGGATAAACCTCCCAAACACAACTGTGTGAGAGAACCCTGGTTTTGGGTCTTGCTATGTTCCTGGCCTCTGTGGTTAAGGAATCCAGCCGGGGACTGGCGGGCGTCTCAGCTCCCCTCCCCAGTTTCTGGGGCCTCAGGTAGGAAGGCTGGACAGGCGGGAGGTGACCGGATGCTGGGGCTGCACTCATCCTGGGGAGGCAGTTCACCCCCACCTCGGGTCCCAGGTGGACTTGGCTCATACTGCTGATGGAGCGAGGGGGCACAAGTGGCCTCCCTGTGTGCCTTGGGCTTCTCAGGACGTGAGAGCCTGGCTCTGAGTGTCCTGGGAGTGGTCACACTCCCCGGCCTCACCATGCTTTATGATGGAGGCAGTCACGGTTGCCTTGTCCTCTGCAGAGTCCCGAGGTGGTGCAGGGCATCACATGGTGAGGGGCTGAGTGTGCTGGCTCAGGTCTCTCTTCTGCCTTGTATAAAGCCACTAATGCCACTCTCATCATAACCCATTAATTCATTAGTCCATTCATCTATTAAGCTTCTAATCTGTGTATGGATTAACCCATTCACGAGGGCAGAACCCTCATGATCCAATCGCCTCTTTTTTTTGTTTGTTTGTTTTTTGAGATGTAGTGTCACTCTGTCACCCAGGCTGGAGTGCAATGGTGTGATCTCAGCTCACTGCAACCTCTGCCTCCCTGGTTCAAGCAATTCTCCTGCCTCAGCCTTCAACTAGCTGGGATTACAGGCGTCTGCCACCACACCTGGCTAGTTGTTTTGTATTTTTAGTAGAGACGGGGTTTTGCCATGTTGGCCAGGCTGATTTTGAACTCCTGTCCTTAAGTCATCCACCAGCCTTGGCCTCCCAAAGTGCTAGGATTACAGGCGTGGGCCACTGCACCTGGCCCCAATCACCTGTTGAAGGCTCCACCTCTCTTGGCCGGGCACGGATCACCTGAGGTTGGGAGTTTGAGACCAGCCTGACCAACATGGAGAAACTCCGTCTCTACTAAAAATATACAAAATTAGCCGGGCATGGTGGTGCACACCTGTAATCCCAGCAACTCAGGAGGCTGAAGCAGGAGAATCGCTTGAACCTGGGAGGCGGAGGTTTCAGTGAGCTGAGATCGTGCCACTGCACTCCAGCCTGGGCAACAAGAGCAAAACTCCATCTTAAAAAAAAAATGGCTCCACCTCTCAACACTGCCAAATTGGCAATTCAGTTTCCCATAAGTTTTAAAGGAGGCAAATATTCAAACCATATCAGTGGGCCACTGTGGCATCAAGAGCCTTGTGGGGTTTGAGATGTGAGAGCCTAGAACCACCAAGGAGAGGGGGCCGTGGAAAGCGAATGATGACCCAGCAGGGGGTGGGGCCTCACGCAGGCTCTGTGAGCAGCTGACTGTGAAGAGCTGTTGCCCGCTGGGCAGGCAGCTCAGATCCTCTCCTGGGTGAAGACAGAATGTTTCAAATGCAGCTTCCCTGAGGGCACAGCTTCTATCTCAGACCAACTCCTGGGACAATATGGCCCGTCTGGAGGGAGCCGGGAGGAGGGCACTGGGAAGGTCCTGGGCCCTTTCTCTTCCAGGCGCCGGCAGGGAACCCCACCCTGGCAGGCGTGGGGAGAGGCCACAGCGGCAGGCACCGTGGCCAGCTGGAGCGGGGACGCATCTGACAAAATACTTCCCCCACCCCCGATTTGTGAATCTAATTTTAGGAAAAATTTTACACAGTGTAAAAGCCTTTAAACACACGTAGCTACACATTTTACAAGCTGCTTCTATCGATAAGAATAAAATTACATATAAGAAACATCAGCTTCAAGCAAAACTACCCTCCATTCGGGGACACATCTCACTGGGATCACTTGCTGTGGAGGTGGAGGCGCACTGATGCGTTGGCACTCATGGCTGCCCCTGGCATTTTGCAGGTATTATTTGAGTTCCCGCACACTCATTTGACAGGAGCCCAGAGCTGCCAGGTTAACAGCCACAGCATGGCTGAGCAGGGGGCTTCCATGGGATGCCCCGGGGGCCAGGGCAGGATTCAGGAACTGGGGCCAGATGCTGAGAGTGGCTGTGACCTTGCAGTGTGGAAGGAAAGAAGGTGTGGGGCAGGGGCACTCCACTCTTTGGGACCAGCCTCTCATCCACGCATCCCACTCATATTTATGGAGCACCCGTCACCTGAGTGGTTTTGATCCTTCTGTGAGGTAGCTCAGGGTTACCATAACATATGACCACAAACTAGGTGGCCTAAATCAACAGCAGTGTCTTCTCTCACAGTTCTAGAGCCCAGCGTCCGAAATCTAGGTGTTGGCAGGGTTGATTCCTTCTGGAGGCTCTGAGGGTGAGTCTGCTCCGGACCCCTCTTGCCCAGCCTCCAGTGGGTCCTGGAAGCTCTCGGCATTCCTTGGCTTGTGGTCGCATCCCTCTCCTCTCTGCCTGCAATGTCACGTGGCCTTCCCTGTGGGTGCCATCTGTGTCTGAGTATCTCAAACCTCCCTCTCCTTCTTCTCATGAGGATGCCAGTCAGTAGATTCAGGTCGGGCTTTGTCTTAATCACATCTGCAAAAACCCCATATCCGAATAAGGTCACATTCACAGCTCCTGGGGTTAGCATGCAGATGTGTCATTTTGGGAACACCGTGCAGCTCACTGCAACCTCAGAGAAGGCCCAGGAGGGATGGGGTTTTCCTTGATGAGGTCTCTGCAGGGCTGCCCCCTGGGTGAGGGAAGCTGGCACATGGGCCCAAAGGGCAGAGGGGGGCCGTTGGCTGAGGGGAGGGAGACAGAGGGGCCTCAGTCGCAGGAGGAGCTGCCTCACAGTCTGGCAATCACAGTAAGTCTGGGGCTTCAGGGAGCAGCCAGACCCAGTGTCCTGACTCAGCCCCTCTTCTGTGGGTGTCTTAGTCCATTTTTTGTTGCTTATAACAGAATACCTGAAACTTGGTTTTTTATAAGGAAAAGCAAATTACTTCTTACAGGTACGGAGGCTGAAAAGTCCAAGGTCAAGGCACTACATCTGGTGAGGACCTTCTTGCTGGTGGAGGCTCTCTGCAGAGTCCCGAGGTGGCACAGGGCATCACATGGTGAGGGGCTGAGCATGCTGGCTCAGGTCTCTCTCCCTTCTTGTATAAAGCCACTAATGCCACTCCTGTCATAACCCATTAATCCATTAGCCCATTCATCTACTAAGCTACTAATCTGTGAATGGATTAACCTATTCAGGAGAGCAGAACCCTCATGATCCAATCACCTCTAAAGGCTCCACCTCTCAACACTGCCAAATTGCCAATTAAGTTTTACATGAGTTTTGAAAGGGGTAAATACTCAAACCATAGCCGTGGGCCATTGTGACCTCAAGAGCCTCCTCAATGTGTCTGCCCTCTGTGATTCCAAGCCCACCCAGACCCTCCTCCCAGCACCACTCAGAGAAGACAGGAAGGCCAGAAGACCTAGAGTTGGTGGGGGTGGGGAAGGTGGGGAGGTGACCTGGGGGAGGGGCTGCTCAAGGATGATGCACACCCGGACAGGTGGCCCATGCCCTGCGACCAAGTGCCCAATTGCCTTACTCCAGGTTTTTTTTTTGTTTGTTTGTTTGTTTTTTTTTTTTAGACGGAGTCTCACTGTGTTGCCCACGCTGGAGCACAATGGCACAATCTCCACTAACTGCAACCTCCACCTTCCAGGTTCAAGCAATTCTTGTGCCTCAGCCTCCCGAGTAGCTGGGATTACAGGCATGTGCCACCATGCCTGGCTAATTTTTGTGTTTTCAGTAGAGACAGGGTTTCCCCATATTGGTCAGGCTAGTCTTGAACTCCTGACCTCAAGTGATCCACCCCGCTTGGCCTCTCAAAGTGCTGGGATTACAGGCATGAGCCACTGCACCCAGCCCTCCAGTTTTTGATCCTGGGACTGACTCTTCCACAGTGAGAATGTCAAGGGTGCCTGCCCACCTCTTGGAATTCCCTCTGCAATCCCGTCCCTCTGTTCAGAATTCTGCCCTCACTTGGACCCACACATAGAGCTCCTTCCTGTCACCCAGCTCTCAGCTTAGTTGACACTGCTCAGTGTCAACTAATGCAAAAAGCCTCATCACCCTCTCCTGTGGCCTTGCGTCCTCTGCACTGCATAAGCACGAGCTGGACTCTCCTCCCTCTCCTCCCTGTGCTGCTGTGTGTAGGTTCCTATTTGTCTCTCCAGTGAGGGCAGGGACCCTGAAGGACCAGTTCACGGCATCCCACGTCTAGAGAACTGCTCAACACATTACAGGAATTCAAGAAAGAAGTTTGTCAAATGAAGGAACTTTCTAACTTTCTGAACCAACTAACGATGGCATGGACCACTTGGTGGTAGTGAGCTCCCTGCCATTGGTGGTATTTAAGCAGTAGTTGGATGACACTCAGAGGGTGCATTACAGAGACAAACGCAGGAGGTAGAGTTCAAGCTTAGGGCAAACACAGATCCTTCCCAGGGTCTCTGACCATTCAGTGTCCCCTTCCCTGCTACCACCTTGCCCTGAGACCCTGGGGGATGCCTTTCTTTTCTCTGAGCCCTAGTCTCTCAACAGTTCTAGAAAACAAAAGGTGGCAGCATCTATTTGGCTGAGCCACCCAGATAGAAAAGGCTGCAGAAGCAAAGACCAATATTTATTCATTATCATATTCAGAAATTAGACTGGGGAGCCACAAATAGACATTTCTAACAAGAGCCTGTCTGTCCCTGCCTCTCGGGTTCATCCTGCACACTCCTCGTTCATGTCACGTCTTGCTGCCTCCCGCACTGGGGGTTTGGCTTGAATATTTGCCAGCCACTCAATTATTTTCTGGGGTGATTCATGGGAACGTGGGACGTCCAACTGCAGTTGGGATGTTCTTTTAAAAGAGCATGTGCCGCTCCCAATGGGGCCGCATCTGAGCGAGGCACAGGGCTCGCTCTCCTCTGGGGATGGGCATGCAGGGGTGGGGAAGAGCATGTGCCACTGACTGGAAGGGGCCCCATCAAAGCCCGGGCTTTACCAGGGAGCAGTCCGTCTGTTTTGTGCCCTGCCACAGGTGCTCCACTCCTAGCATCAGCATTCATGCACCCACTGTTTCTCCATCTTTATTTTATTTTATTTTATATTTTATTTTTTGAGATGGGGTCTCACTTTGTTGCCCAGGCTGGAGTGCAGTGGTCTGATCACAGCTTACTGCTGCCTGGAATTCCTGGGACTACAGGCATGCAACACTACATCAGACTAATTTTTACAATTTTTGTAGAAACAGGGGTCTCATTATGTTGCCCAGACTGGTCTCAAACTCCTGGTCTCAAGCAGTCCTTCCTACCTCAGCCTCCCAAAGTGTTAGGATTACAGGTGAAAGCCGGTGTACCCTGATTGTTCCTCCATCTTCAAAAACAGTCTTGATCTCTACTCCTTCCTCTGCTTTCATGTTTGTTTGTTTTTTTTAAATGTAGCCCAGGCTGGATAGAGCGCAGTGGCGTGATCTCAGCTCACTGCAAACAGCCTCCTGGATTCAAGCGATTCTCCTGCCTCAGCCTCCCGAGTAGCTGGAATTACAGGCATGGGCCACCATGCCTGGCTATTTTTGTAGTTTTAGTAGAGATGGGGTTTCACCATGTTGTCCAGGCTGGTCTCAAACTCCTGACCTCAGGTGATCTGCCCGCCTCAACCTCCCGCTGGGATTACAGGTGTGAGCCACGGCGCCTGGCCACTTCCATGTTTCTTTCCCCCTCTGGATAGCAAAGCTCTTTGAAGGAGCAAAACTCCTCCCCATCTTTCTTGAACACCCCTCTCCAGCACACTCGTGACCCCATGGATTCCCTGAGGCTTAATGAAGTCAGCAGTGACCCCCAACCCAAAACCCAGGGTTGGCTGGCAGACGTCAGCTGTCTGAGCCACCCTCTGAGTCTGACTCTGCTGGCTGGTCTCTCTCTCCTCCTTGCTGCCCTCTCCTCACCTGGCTGCCAGGACTCTGCTGCTCTCAGCCTTGTTCCCATCTCTCTGGTAGTTCCACCTCAGTCCCTTGCTGGCTCTTTTATGTGTCCTTGACCTTGAACGTGTTGGCGCATTCTGGAGCTCAGTCCTTACCGTGTCTTGTTTTATTACCCTCTCATTCCCTTACTGATCTCATCCTGCCTCGGGGTTTTAAATGCCCTCCAGATGCCAGTGACTCCCATGTACGCCTCCAGCCTGGACCTCTGTCCTGACTCCTGACCTCCAACTAGGTTTTCAACGTGGATGTCAAAGACACCTCTGCTCACATCCAACACGTCCAACACTGATCTCCTCATTTCCTCCCACCTCCCCATCTGGGTTGGTGGCTGCCCTGTCTTCCCCGTGGCTTGGGCCAGGAGCCTGTGTTTATCCATGGTTCCTTTTTCTGCTGCACTCTACATCCAATCTGTCAGGAAATTATCGTTTCATTGCCCCAGTGCATCCGGAATCTGATGGCTTCTCTCCACCCTGCCCCGTTTCCATCCTAGTGCAAGCCACCTTCATCCTTGCCTCTGCAGTCTGTTCTTAGCACTGCAGTCAGAAGAAGCCTTTACACGGTAAGCCAGATTATGCTGCTCCTCTGCCCAAACCTTGCCGAGGCTCCTCCTTTTCACCTGAAATGCAAGCCAGCGTCCTTCCCGGACTCTGCAAAGCCCCAGATAATTTGACTGGCTCCCTGCACCTTCTCTAACATCCCCTTCTATTACCCCTCCTGCATTCCACCCCCCTTCACTTTCTCCTGTTCACTGGGCTCCAGCCACACTGCCCTCCTTCCCATTCCTCCAACCTGCCAGGCATACACCTGCCCCAGGGCCTTTGCACTTGTGGTTCCTTCTGCTCAGATGCTCTTGTCTCAGATATTCGCTGGGCTCACACCCTCACCTCCTTTACCTCTGTGCTTACCTTCTCCATGCAACCTCTCTCAACCAACATTTTTAATAATTCAAACACCTCACCTGTCCCTGCTCCACAATGCAATAGCTACAGATGTGACACACTTTAAAGTTGAATTTGCATCATTAACATTTTCTCCATCACTTGCTTAAGTCTAGACAATCAACAGAACAATCAGTCAGGCCCTGATGTGCATTGTTTGCCAATTCCCATGGTGTATATAGTTCCACCAAGGCCAATTCTAAACTACCTATGTGACGCCCCTGAACACAGTCTTGGAGAGGGATGCACAGAAGCACGCCATTATATAGTATTTTGTAATAAATATAAGTCACCCTAGGAGCATCAATAATAGTAAAATGAGGTAAGATAATTAGGACGTGATTACTCTGAGTATGCATTACCTTTGTTTTTAATAAAATGTACTTAATTGGAAGTTTGTGTAATTTAATTTTTTTATTGGCTACATTTAACAACTGACTCGCAAAAATTCCTGAAAAATTAACAGTAGACTTTCACCAGCCAGTATATGCTGGCTCCAGCATACCCCTGAGAATGGTTGATTAATATGGAATGGCCATGCTGTGGAATTTTATGCAACTATTTAAAATAATGAATTGGAGCTCTATAGGGGATTTGGAGGAATTTTCACAAAGAATTGTCAAATAAGAAAGCAAAATATATAGAACCACAGAGTCATTTTTATAACACAGTGATCCTCTCCTCAATAAAACCCTCTCTATATGTGTCTGTACACATTAATAAATAATTGCATAAGTATCCAGAATCAACTTGATTTGGGGGCATAGGATGTGATGTGTGGGAAGGAGAAAAGGAAGCCAACCAAAATAGGAAAACAGAACCAAAAAGACTGCCAGGAAAGCAAATTATACAGATGGTAACACATTTTGGCATTTAAGCATAATATATGTATTTGTTCCTATCATTAAAATACATTTTTAAACCAAGTCCTCATTTGGACAGTTGTTCAGGTTATCTATTGCCTTATAACAAACCACCCTAAAACTCAGTAACTCAGTAGTTCAAATTGCCAACAACCATTTATTATGACAAGCCTGTGAGTCGCACATGTGGTGTGTCTGCTTCACATGGTGTTGGGATACTGGGATGGCTGCAGGGTTCAACACGACCTCCCTCACATGGCTGGGGGTTGATGCTGGCTGCAAGCTGGGAGTTCAGCTGGGCCTATCAGGAAGGGACCTGAACTCTTCTCTATGTTGACCTCTCCACGTGGCTACTTGGGCTTCCTCACAGCATGGTGACTGAGTTCTAAGAAGAAGCACTCCAAGAGGCAAAGGCTGGAGCTGTGTCATTTCCGCCATATTCTATTGATCACAATGATGACAGGTCAGGTCAGATTCACGGGGAGGAGATACAACATTCACCTTTTGATGGAAGTGGCAAGATAATATCACAACAGTGCATGTGGTAAGGGAAATTTTGTGGTAATTGTCTTTGGAAACACAAAAGACCGCAATGATCCAAGCCCTTGATCATGTGGCACAAAGTCTTCACTTCCCTGGGGTGAAGACCCAGTGAAACCCTCAGTGACAACCCCCAGGAGGGTTTTCTTCCGCGTTGACCGAGCTGTCTGTGGGTAACATTATGTTATATTTGTATATTGGTTGCAACTATCAATTGGCTGCAGGTACAAGACTTTGGCAAAAATCATAAAAGCATTCTGTGAGAATCAGTTGAATATATACATTTTATAAAACAGAGTATCATATATTTTATTATTATTTGTAAACTTTGTGTCACAAATCTTCTAGTGTTAATAAATTTTATAATAAAAGTAGACGTGTGTATATATGATATATATGTGTATATGCATTTTTCCCCTGTAGCACACCTCTAAGTCTTCCTCTGCTGATAAGCATCATTTTGTTTCTATTCTACCATGGAATTCCATTTTACTCATGCTGGGTTCAAAGGGTATGTGCATTTTTAATTTTAATAGATATTTTCAGATTGCTTTCAACAGAAGTTATAATTCTCATTTCTAGCAGCAGTGCATAAGAGTACCCTTTTCTCACACAGCTGCCAACAATAGATTTGTAGATTTATTTTTTGCCAGTCTGAAAGGCATAAAGTGGTATCTTATTATTTCAACTGGCTCCCCTCTGCCATCCCAGGAAGTCTGAAGGTCTTTTCTTATGTTGGGTGACATTTGGCTTCCTTCTGTGACTTGCCTCTTGGTTTTTCTGTTTTTCTATTGGGTTGTTTATTCCTTCCCTGTCAATTTGTGCATGTTCTCTGTATATTAAATTTCAGCCTTACAAGTGGCTCTGTGTTCCAAATCTCAATTATATATTGACTTTACATCATCTTTTGTCATACAAAAATTAATTTTTGCATTACCAAATGTTTATCATTCCTTCTATAGCTCCTGGGTATCTGGTCTTGGTTAGGAACCTGTCCCTTTGTTGAGAGTGTTGATATAACCTTTCAGAATTTCTTGCTGAATTTTTATTGTTCTGTTTAAGCCTTTAATATAAATCTTATTTTCATATATGGCTAAAACAGGAGTCCAATTTTATTTTTTTTCTGGATAAGTAGCCTGTTATGCCAGTTAAATCTTTGTGGTTTAGTGAAAAACAAAATAATTATGTATTAAATAATAATTCCCCACTGCATTGAAATGCTACTTTTGTTATATTAAGTTATTATATATACTCACATATATTTTATATTCTAATCTGTCATTCTTATGCCAATGACATATTGGTTTGGTCATAGTATTTTTGTAGTATGTTTTAATTTGGGGGATTTTAGGCAGGCAATATATAACACTATTTCTGGGATAAAAACAATAATTATGTATTAAATAATAATTCCCCACTGTATTGAAATGCTACTTTTGTTAAATTATTATCTATACTCACATATATTTTATATTCTAATCTGTCATTCTTATGCCAATGACATATCGATCTGGTCATAGTGTTTTTGTAGTATGTTTTAATTTGGGCGGTTTTAGGCAGGCAATATATAACACTATTTCTGGGATGAGGTCATGAAGAGTGCCTCTTTTATTCTGTTTCCCTTTCCATGACATTCACTGCTGGGAGGCTCTGTGTTGAAATTGTGGAGACACAAGATGAAAGCAATTGGATCCCTGCGTCACTTTATGGAGGAGAGTTTCTTCCCTGGAGCTTTGCCTGATTACATCATCTTTGTGTGAGTGATAAACAACCCTTTGTTTTTTACTTCAGCATAGCCTATCCTGTCCCAACTAATCATTGGTGCTGCTGTGTCAAAAAGCCAAAATATACAGCATTAGCTTAGTGGCTGGTGGTGTGTGCCAAGGACACTGCTACTGGAGGCTGGGGCATGACAATCTGTACTATTAATGGTAACACACTTGTTAAATGGCACACTTGCATTAAGAAGGCTAAGAAAGAAGGCTATTGTAAGCGTATCTTGGCTGTTGATTTTATTCAACAAAGTCTTACAAGAAATAAGTGTCTAGTTTGTGAGCAGCAATAAAGGAAATAGAGAAATTCCAGAAAGTTAGGGCTTTGCAAAATTAAAAAGCCGACTGCTTCCAGATGCCAACTAACTTGAAACAGGATTGACAACACCATTGAGCAACAAAGGCCCAAACTACCTCAGGGCAAAAGGCAGATTAAAAAGATCCAGATAGACTCAAGGTAAGTGCCATGATATTGTGTGTGTGAGAGAGATGGGGGAGCAAAGAAGGTAAATAAGTTGAGATCTACCTCTCAAAAAGAACTTTTCAGGGAGTTATGGTACAGGGAACTCTTTGGAAACAAATCAAAAGCAGACTAAGTTTTTAAGGACATGGTATTACAAAAGAAACCCACAGTTTGAACTAAAAAAGGCTTGGACTATTCATGACTTAAAACAAGCTGTAGCTCCCCAATTTTCCATGGGCCAACAGCAGCTGAGTTTCACAGTCCAAACACAGCATATTCTTCCACGTCCATTTGAGATGTGGCCAAGGAGGGTGATGGAATGACAAAAGGGCCAGGGAGAACAAGGAACAAGGGACTTCTTCCTGGAGAAGCTTAATGAAGAAATCTTCTCTAACGAGGGTAGGAGTTTTCACAATGTCTACTCAGAAGGATTTCAGAATTGTTACCCCTACTTTTCTTCATTCTCTCCACTTAAAACTAAAAGTGTTTACTGCAGTTGTCCTAACCCCACTCCATCATTGAATATTGGGTCTGTATAGGAGGAAAGGAATATGTCTCTTCTAGTTTATAAATCTCCAGACCAAGAAGAAGCAGGTATAGACCTGATGGAGAGCACTACGCGGTTCACTTGAAGACCCTCAATTTCTTTTTCTTTCTTTCTTTCTTTTTTTTTTCTTTTTTTTTATTTTTTATTTTTAGAGTCAGGGTTTCACCATATTGGTGTATTGGTGACTGGCCTCAAACTCCTGGCCTCAGGTGATCCACCCGCCTTGGTCTCCCAAAGTGTTGGGATTACAGACGTGAGCCACTGCACCCAGCCTAAGAAGATTTCAGAATTGTTACCCCTATCTGTCTTCATTCTCTCCATTTAAAACTAAAAGTGTTTACTGCAGTTGTCCTAACCCCACTCCATCATTGAATATTGGGTCTGTATAGGAGGAAAGGAATATGTCTCTTCTAGTTTATAAATCTCCAGACCAAGAAGAAGCAGGTATAGACCTGATGGAGAGCACTAGGCGTTCACTTGAAGACCCTCAATTTCTTTTTCTTTCTTTCTTTCTTTTTTTTTTTTTTTAGAGACAGGGTTTCACCATATTGGTGTATTGGTGACTGGCCTCAGACTCCTTACCTCAGGTGATCCACCCGCCTTGGTCTCCCAAAGTGTTGGGATTACAGACGTGAGCCACTGCTCCTAGCCTAAGAAAACTCTCAATTTCAAGCTGGATTTGCTGACTTATGGGAGTGGGGTTTTCTCTCTTGAGAAAGCGAGAGTATGTTCTACATATGGGGAAAACAATGACCAGAGGGGCATGCAGGAAGATTACACTTCCTACTTCCTGGTAGTTAGGTGGGGCCATGTGACTAATTCTAGCAAATGAAATGTGAGTGGAAGTGTCATGTACCACTTCTGGCCAAAGTTTAAAAGTTGATGTGTTTCCCTAACACTCTGTCTTTCGTCATGGTGACCTTGGAGGCCACCAGTGAGGTGATGGTGGACAGGATGAAGGATGCCTAGAACTAAAGGGGTTTTCACTAACCCACGTTAGATTTTGCATGAATGAGATAACATATTGCTTTCTCTCTCTCTCTCTCTCTCTTTTTTTTTTTTTTTTTTTTTTTTTTTTGAGATGGAGCTGCGTTCTTGTTCACCAGGCTGAAGTGCTATGTGCCTCACCGCAACCTCTGCCGCCCGGGTTCAAGTGATTCTCCTGCCTCAGCCTCCTGAGTAGCTGGTACTACAGGCATGCACCACCATGCCTGGCTAATTTTTTATTTTAGTAGAGATGGGGTTTCTCCATGTTGGTCAGGCTGGTCTCAAACTCATGACGTCAGGTGATCTGCCCGCCTCAGCCTCCCAAACTGCTGGGATTACGTATTTCTTAATGTTTAGCTACTGGGAATAATTTATGTTAGATTATTTTAGGTTTTCTACCTATACAATCATATCATCTGTGAAAGGTAATGTTTGAAAATTTCTTCCTTTTTGATCCTTACACCTTTTGTTTCTTGTCTGCGTCTTGCTGTACTGCCTGGGACTTCGTAGTCAATGTTGGGTAGAAGCGATGACAGCTGGGACCATGGGCTTGCTTCTTACAGGAAAGGAAAGCTTTCCATATTTCAGGTATTGAGACAAGTAAGATGTTTTCTGTAGTTTTTTGTGGCTATCTAGTGTCTGTTAAAACAAAGTTCCCTTGGACTCCTAGCTTGCCTAGCTGTTTTTATCTCGAATGGCTGTTGAACTTTACAATTTTTTGTATCTCTTGAAATGATCATATATTTTTCTATTAAAGAAAAAATGCGAATTCTCCTGATTATATTTATTGTTTTCTGATGTCAAAGCAACCTGATTGATATGGTTTGGCTCTGTGTCCTCACCCAAATCTCACCTTGAATTGTAATAATCCCCAGGTGTCAAGGGTAGGACCAGGTGGAGATAATTGAATCATGGGTTGGGGGGGTGTGGTTTCCCTCATGCTGTTCTCGTGAGAGTGAGTGAGTTCTCAGGAGATCTGATGGTTTTATAAGGGGCTGCCTCCACCACGTCGCTCTTCTTTCTGCTCTCATCTGAGACGGAGTTTCGCTCTTGTTGCCCAGGCTGGAGTGCAATGCGGCTCACCGCAACCTCTGCCTCCCGGGTTCAAGCGATTCTCCTGCCCCAGCCTCCCGAGTAGCTGGGACTACAGGCATGTGCCACCCTGTGCCACCCTGTGAAGAGGTGCCTTCTGCCATGATTGTAAGTTTCCTGAGGCCTCCCCAGCCAAGTGGAACTGTGAGTCATTAAACCTCTTTTCTTTATAAGTTACCCAGTTTTAAGTATGTCTTATAGTAGTGTGAGAATGCACTAATGAGCTGACATTTCTGTTCATATACCTGATTAGGTCATGCTGAATTCTGTTTATTGTCTTTTAATCGGGATTTTTGCGTCTATGCTGACGAGTGAGACTGACTTTGTCAGGTTTTAGTATCAGGGTAATTCTAGTCTCAAAAATGAATTGAGGCCATTTTATGCTCTTTAATATTCATTTTCTATTCTCTAGAAGAGCTTGTATATGATTGGCATGGTTTCTAGAAGAGCTTATGATTGGCATGGTCTCTTCCTTAAATGTTTGGTTGAATTTGTAGGCCTGGGTTTTTTTTTTCCTTTTTACTTTTATTTTACTTTAAGTTCTGGGATACAAGTACAGAACGTGCAGGTTTGTTACATAAGTATACATGTGCCATGGTGGTTTGCTGCACCTACCAACCCGTCAGCTAGGTTTTAAGCCCTGCAAGCATTAGGTATTTGTCCTAATGCTCTCCCTCTCCCTGCCCCCCAGCCCCGACAGGCCCTGGTGTGTGATGTTCCCCTCCCTGTGTCCCTGTGTTCTCATTGTTCAACTCCCATTTATGAGTGAGGATATGTGGTATTTTCTCTTCCTGTGTTAGTCTGTCTGCTGAGAGTGATGGTTTCCAGCTTCATCCATGTCCCTGGGGTTTTCTTAGTGGGAGAGATTTGGTTATGGATTCAATTGATTTAATTACTATAGGACCCTTTACATTTCTATATTTCTATATCAGCTTTGAAAATTTGTACTTTTTAAAGAAAAGTATTTCTTTTACATTTTCAAACGCTTTGGATATTTTTTCATAACAATTTCCTTTTTAGTCCTTTTGGGCTGCTGTAACAGAATACCTCAGACTGGGTAACTTACAAACAATAGAAATTAATTTCTCACAGTTCTGAATACTGGGTAGTCCAAGATCAAGGAACTGGCTGATGTGGGGTCTGGGGAAGCCTCGCTCTCTGCCTCCAAGATGGCGGCTTGTTGCTGTGTCCTCTGGGGATGAATGCTGTGTCTTCACATGGTAGAAGAGATGGAAAAGCAAAAAGGTCCAGAAAGTCCCCTCCAGCCCTTTTATAATGTCACTAATTCCATTCATGAGGGCTCCATCCTCAAGACTTAATTTCTTCCTAAGGGCCCTGACTCTTAATACTATCACATTAGGTCTTAGGTTTCAAAATATTAATTTTGGGGGAAAACATGCATTCAAACCATTTCAGCCTGTTTTCATTTTTGTGCTTGCTGGAGGTGTAGTGGTGTCTTCTTTCTAATTTCTGATATTGGGAAATTGTGTCTTCTTTCATTTTTATCATATGAGTTTTGCCAGGGATTTATCAATTTTATTTTATTTTTTAAAGAACTAACATTTGGCCTTGCTGATCATCTCTGTGTTATGTTTTCCTTTTTCTTTAGTTGTGTATTTATCTTCATTGTTCTGTTCCTTTTTATTTACTTTGTGTTTATTTGACCGTTCTTTTTTTTTTTTTTTTTTTTTTTGAGATGGAGTCTTTCTCTGTCACCCAGGCTGCCACCCTCCGCCTCCCGGGTTCAAGTGATTCTCTTGCCTCAGCCTCCCGAGTAGCTGGGATTACCGGCGTGTGCCACTGCCTGGCCAATTTTTTGTATTTTTAGTAGAGATGGGGTTTCACCATATTGGTCAGGCTGGTCTTGAACTCCTGACCTCGTGATCCGCCCACCTTGGCCTCCCAAAGTGCTGGGACTACAGGCATGAGCCACCGTGCCGGCCGACTCTTCTATTTTTAATTTGTGAAAAGTATGGCTGACATTAGTTTTCAGTCAGTTAAACTTGTGTATCAACTTGGGGAAAATTGACACATTTACTGTGTTTTCTTCCAACTCACGAACATGCTACGTCTCTTCATTAATTTAGATGTTCTTTGATTTCTTCACCAAGATATGCTCTTAAGCTTGAATTTTCTTTTAAGCACTTATTTATCTGAATCACATAAATTTAAATATGGAACAATTCCCTTATACTCAAATGTATTCTAATTTTCATTATGGTTTATTCTTTGATATTAGCCTATTTATATTTCTTGTTTTCCAAACATATGGAAATTTTTATATTTTTATATACATATATATAAAATTTCTTTTTCTTTTTTTTTTTTTTGAGACAGAGTCTTGTTCTGTCACTTAGGCTGGAGTGCAATGGCACAACCTTGGCTCACTGCAACCTTCGCCTCCCAGGTTCAAGTGATTCTCGTGCCTCAGCCTCAGCCTCCTGAGAAGCTGAGATTACAGGTGTGCACCACTATGCTCAGCTATTTTTTTGTATTTTTAGTAGAGATGGGGGTTTAGTATATATATATAAATATATATAATATAAAATAATTTATATATATAAATTATATATATTTTATATATAATTATACACAAAAATTATATATATTTTATATATAATTATATACAAAAATTATATTTTATATATAATTATATACAAAATTATATATATTTTATATATAATTATATATAAAAATTATATATAATATATAATATGTATTATATAATATATAATATCTATTATATATTATATATGTCAATTATATATATTATATATATAATTATATATAATGTATATAATACCTATTATATATAATATATAATAATTATATATATAATATATAATAATTATATATATAATATATATAATATATTATATATAATTTATATATAATATATAATATATATAATATCTATTATATATATGTGGATTATATATAATAGATAGAATAGATATTTTATATATAATATAGTTTTTCTAGTATAGATATGGACTATATATGGAACTATAGGAATTTTCTAATTTTTACACACACACATATATATATACACACACTAGCTAGATATATATATTTTCGTGTGTGTGTGTGTGTGTGTGTGTGTGTGTGTGTGTGTTTGTGTGTGTATGCTAGAATATCCCCATATGTTTGGAAAACAGCATTCATCCCCAGAGAACACAGCAACAAGGCGCTATATTGGAGGCAGAGAGTGAGTCTTCCCCAGACCCCACATCTGCCAGTGCCTTGATCTTGGACTTCCCAGCCTTCAGAACTGTGAGAAATATAGTAGAAAATTCCTATATATATCTATTTTATAGAATTCTATCTTAATGGCATTGTGGTCAAATAATGTCCTCTGAAGTTCACTGATACTTGCTTAATTATACAGTATAAGGTAACTTTTTGTAAAAGTTCTGTGTCTGCATGAGGAAAATGTGTATTGGCATGTGTCGAATGCATTGTTCTAGATATCTCCATTAGGTAGATTTCTTAATCACATTCAGTTCTTCATATTCTTACTTGTCTTTCATCTGATTGTTTGACCTGTTATAGAGAGAAGTATGCTAAAATTTCCCAGTATAATTGTGATTTTGTCTACTTCTTATAGTTCTATCAGTTTTGGTACATGTATTTTGAGGTTATGTGTCAGCAGGTGCCTACCAATTTAAGATAGTTATATTTTCTTGTAGAATTGGCTTTTATCATTATGAAATGTTATCCTATATCTTTGTAATACTTCTCATCTTTAAGTATACTTTATCTAATATTATTACAGATACACCAGTTTTTCTGTTTATTGTTTGTTTGAGTTGGTGCTTGCACAGTATATCTTTTCCCATCCTTTTACTTGCACTTACTTTCTGTGACCTAATGTTGTAAATGTCTTTTATAAATAACATATAGTTGGTGTTTTTTGGTTTTTTTAAAAATCCAATCTGATAGTGTTTGTGTTTTAAATGGTGCATTTCATTCCCCTATATTTGATGTAATTACTAAAATATTTGGTTTTAAATATTTTAATTATGTGATTTTTTTTTTGGTCTCACCTGTTTTATATTCTTTCTTCTCAATTGTTATTTTCTTCTTTTGGATAAGTGCATTTTGTCATTCCATGTTTTCCTTTATATTAGCTTGGAAGTTATATTTTCTTTTACTGTTATTGCAACGGTTACCCTGGAGATTACAAAATGCATCCTTAACATAATATTGTAAATATTGTTTGGTATTCCTGGACAATCCGAGGACCTAACAGTACTTTAACTTATACCCCTTCTGTGTTCTTTGCAGTTGTTGTGTATTTTATGTCTGTATATTTTAAAACTCACGAGACATTTTTACAACCATCAAATCAGCCATTCTTTATTTAGATTTGCCCCAGATATATCCTTCCTGTTGCTCTTTATTCCTTTCTGTGTCATCAACCTCTGCCTGGGATCATTTGTTTTACTGCCTAAAGAATACACTTTGGTATGTTTTTTAAAGTTAGGGTCTATTAGTTATTAGTTATATAT
Source organism: Homo sapiens (assembly GCF_000001405.40). Taxonomy (NCBI): domain Eukaryota; kingdom Metazoa; phylum Chordata; class Mammalia; order Primates; family Hominidae; genus Homo; species Homo sapiens. Next base: position 44,237,204 of record NC_000022.11, read on the forward strand.
TTTAAAAATTTTAATCTTTTCTAAGAAGTCTTATTTTATCTTCACTCTTGAAAGATATTTTTGCTAGGTTTAGAATTCTAGTTTGGCACTTTCTTTTAACATATATGCTGTTTGATATAATAGTATAAAATAATATTATATTGTCCTTTAGTTTCCAGTACTTTTATTGTAGTTTGCAAGTCTAATTGTGCTTCTTGGAAGTTAATCTCCACTCCCACCCCCACCCCTTTTCTGACTGCTTTTAAGGTTTTCTCTTTGTCTTCTACTTCAGTTTAGTAGAGCTTCTTGAACTTGTGGCTTGATGTCTTTCAGTAGTTGCAGAAAATTCTTAGCCTTTTATCTCTTCAAATAGTATTTCTCCTCCAATCCCTTTCACCTTGCCTACTGGAACAATTATATCTCAGTTATATATCTCCTTTCAGTATATATATCATATACATATATATACATATATATATGTGTATATATATGACTGCTAAGTACTTTTCTGTGTTTTTCATCCTTTTATCCCCTGATCTTCATTCTGGATGTTTTCTTGTGACATATCTTCAGGTTGATTAATTAAGTTGTGTCTAATCTGATTTTTAAAATTAAACCTTTTTATTCTGAGATAATTGCATATGCACGTGCAGTTGTAAGAAGTAGTACAGAGACATTCTTTTACCTGGTTTCCCTCAGTTGCAGCATCTTGCAAAACTACATTACAATATTACAACTAGGATACTGACATCAACACACTGAAGATACAGAGCATTTCCATCACAAGGATCCCTCCTGTGGCTCTTTGATAGCCACACCCACTTTCCTCCTGCCCCACCCCCTCCTTAATCCCTGACAATCATTAATATTAATATGGTATCCATTTTTATAATTGCATCATTTTAAGAGTATTATATAAATACAATATGTAACTTGTGGTGGTTGGCTTTTTCATTAAGCATAATATCTGGAGCTTCATCCAGATTTTTGCATGTATCAATAGTTACTTTTTATTGTTGCATTGTATTCCATGTTATGAATGTACTACAATTTGTTTATCCATTCTCCAGCTGACGTACATGTGGATTTTTCCCACATGTGTTTTTCATCATTTTATCTCTGTCATAAACAAAGTTGCTATAAACAGTGATTTACAGGTTTTTGTATGAATATTAGTTTTAATTTAAATGGAATAAATGTGCAGGAGTACTGTTGTTGGGTTAGATGGTAGTTGCATGTTCAGTTTTCTTTTTTTTTCTTTCTATATTTTTTTTGAGATGGAATCTTGCTCTGTCGCCCAGGCTGGAGTGTAGTGGCATGATCTCGGCTCACTGCAACCTCCACCTCCCAGGTTCAAGCAATTCTCCTGCCTCAGCCTCCCAAGTAGCTGGGCTTACAGGCGCCCACCACTACGCCTGGCTAATTTTTGTATTTTTAGTAGAGATGGGGTTTCACCATCTTGACCAGTCTGGTCTCGAACTCCCGACCTCATGATCCAGCTGCCTTGGCCTCCCAAAGTGCTGGGATTACAGGCGTAAGCTGCCTCACACAGCCACGTGTTCAGTTTCTAAAGAAACTACCAAACTGTTTTCCAGAGTAGCTGTAACATTTTACAGCCCCACCAGTAAGGTTTTTTATTTTTGCTATTCTGATAGGTGTGTAGTGATATTACATTGTGGTTTTAATAGGCATCTGCCTAATGATTAATTATGTTAAATATTGTTTCATGTACTTATTTGCTGTCTCTATTTAACAAAACAGTATAAAACTTATATCCTGAAAACTGTAAAACATTCTTGAAAGAAATTTTAAAAGGTCTAAATAAATAAAAAGACATCCTATGTTCATGGATTGGAACACTTAATATTGTTAATGTGACAATACTCACCAAATTGATCTATACATTCAACAAAGTCCTTCCGGAAATCCTAGCTACCTTATTTGCAAAAATTGACAAGCTGATCCTAACATTCATATGGAAATGCAAGAGACCCATATTAGCCAAAATAGTCTTGAAAAAGAAGAACAAAATTTGAAGACTCACACTTCCCAGTTTTAAAACTTACGACAAAGCTATGCTAATAAAGAGAATGGTACTGGCATAAGAATAGACATATTAAAGGAACAGAATTTAAAGTACAAAAAAAAAAAACCCCTCACATTTATGGTCAGTTGGTTTTTGATAGTGGTGCCAGAACAATTACAAATTGTACTGAGACAATTAGATATCCACATGAAAAAGAATGAAGTTGGACCTCTACCTCACCATATACAAAATTAACTCAAAGTGGATCAAAGACCTAAATGTAAGAGCTAAAACTATGACGTTCTTAGAAGAGAACATATGGGTAATTCTTGATGACTTTGGATTAGGCAGTGGTTTCTTAGATATGAAACCAAAGGCACAAGCAACAATATAAAAAAATAGATAAATTGGACTTCATCAGAATTATTTGCCCTTTGTATATCCTCTTTAGTAAAATGTCTCTTTGTGTCTACTTTGTTTTTGTCTTTTACTATTTACTTTTGAGTGTTTTCTTGTGTCTAGCTACTAGTCCTTTGTTGGATATGTGGTTTGAATTTTTTTTTTTTACTGTCTGTAGCTTGTCTGTTCCTCCCTTTAACAGGGTCTCTCACAGAGCAAAACATTTTAATTGTGATTAAGCCCAATTAGTCAATTTTTATTTTAAAGAATATTTTCCCCAAATTTTATAGTTTTACATTTAACATTTAAATTTATATTCTACCTTAATATTATTTTTACTTTGTATATAAGACTTAGGTACTTATCTCAAGGGTCTATTTTATCTTTTTCATATGAATGTCCAATTGCTCCAGCACCATTTGTTGGAAAGCCTATCTTTCCCTTATCAAACTGCTTTTGCACCTTAGCCAAAAACCAATTTGGCAAATATGTGTGGGTCTATTTAAGTTCTCTATTCTGTTCCATTCATCTGTGTGTCTGTCCTTCTAACAAAACCACGTAGTCTTGATTGCTATAGCTATATAAGTAGTAAAATTAGGTTGAGTGATTACTCCCATTTCTCCCACTTTATTCTGTTTCAAAATTATCTTAAGCTATTCTTGTCCTTTGCTTTTCTGTATAAATTTTAGAATAATTTTGTCTGTCTTCAAAAAATCTTCCTGGGATTTTGGCAGGAATTGGAGATAATTGACATCAATCTGATTTGGGGAGAATTGACGTCTTTACTTTGTTGAGTATTTCAGTCTATGAATATGTCACATCTCTTCATTTATTTAGATTTCCTTTGATTTCCTTCAGCAGTGCTTTCTCTTTGTATAAAAATAATTCATTTACTTATTTATTTATTTTTTTCTTTTTTTAAGCAGTGTTTTGTAGTTTTCAGGATACAAGTGTGAACCCAAAAGTCTCTGAGACAGATCTCAATCAATTTAGAAAGATTATTTTGCCAAGATTAAGGACACACCCATGACACAGCTTCAGGAGATCCTCACGACACGTGTCCAGGGTGGTTGGGGCACGGCTTGGTTTTATACATTTTAGGGAGACATGAGACATTATAATCAATATGTGTAAGGTGTACATTGGTTCGGTCCGGAAAGGTGGGACAACTCAAAGTGGGGGAAGGGACTTCTGGGTCATAGGTAGGTAAGAGACAAATGTTTGCATTCTTTTGAGTCTCTGATCAGCCAGCCTTTCACCAAAAACACAATCTACATGTGGGGTGGTGTAGAGGAATAGCCACTTCTACCTTAGTTTGGCTTAGTGAAACAGTAGGTCAGAGGAAGCAGATCAGACATGCATTTGTCTCACGTGAGCAGAAGGAGGATTTTGAGTTCTGTCTGTCCTTTGTCCACAAGGAATTTCCTTGTAGGAAAATCACAATTTCAGATTGGCTTCTTTCACTTAGTAATATGCATCTGTGTTTCCTCCATGTCTTTTCATGGCTTGATACCTCATTTCTTTTTAGCATTGAATAATCTTGTATTGTCTGGATGTACCACAGTTTATATCTATCCACCTACTGAAGGACATCTTGGTTTCTTCCAAGTTTCGGCAATTATGAATAAAGCTATAAACACCCATGTGCAGGTTTTGTGTGGACATAAGTTGTCAACTCCTTTGGGTAAATACAAAGAAGTGTGAATGCTGGGTCGGATGGTAAAAATATGTTTTGTTTTGTAAGAAACTGCCAAACTGTCTTCCAAAGCGGGTACCATTTTGCATTCCCACAGCAGTGAATGAGAGCTCCTGTTTCTCCACATTCTCATCAGCATTTGTTGGTGGTGGTGTTCTGGATTTTGGCCATTCTAATAGGTGTGTCATGGTATCTCATTGTTTTAATTTGCATTTCTGATGGCATATGAGGTGGAGCGTCTTTTCAGATGCTTATTTGCTGCCTGTGTATCTTCTTTGGTGAGGTGCCTCTTAAGGTCTTTGGCTTATTTTGTAATCATGTTGTTTGTTTTCTTTTCTTTTCCTTTTTTTTTTTTTTTTTTTTTTTGAGACAGAGTCTAGCTGTGTCACCCAGGCTGGAGTGCAATGGCGCATTCTCGGCCTACTACAACCTCTGTCTCCTGGGTTCAAGCGATTCTCCTGCCTCAGCCTCCCAAGTAGCTGGGATTGCAGGCATGTGCCACCACACCTGGCTAATATATATATATAATTTTTTTTTTTCGTATTTTCAGTAGAGATGGGGTTTCACCATGTTGGTCAGACTGGTCTCGAACTCCTGACCTCAGGTGATCCACGCGCCTCAGCCTCCCAAAGTACTGGGATTACAGGCATGAGCTACCATGCCCAGCTTGTTTTCTTTTTTGAGACAGGGTCTCACTGTAGCTACCAGGCTGGTCTTAAACTTCTGGGATGAAGTGACCCTCCTGCCTCAGCCTCGCAAATGGCTGGAATGACAGGTGCAAGCCACTGTGCCTGGCTCTGTTTTCTTATGGTTGAGTTTTAAGAATTCTTTGTATATTTTGGCTAATGATCCTTTATCAGATGTGTCTTTTTGCAAATATTTTCTCCCGTTCTTTGGCTTGTCTCTTCATTCTCTTGGTAGTGTTTCACAGAACAGAAATGTTTAATTTTAATGAAGTCCAACTTATCAATTCTTTCTTTCATAGATCGTGTCTTTGGTATTGCATCTAAAAAGTCATTGCCAAACCAAGGTCATCTAGATTTTCTCCTATATTATCTTCTAGGAGTTCTGCAGTTTTTTTTTTTTTCCACTTAGGTCTATGATCCATTTTGAGTTAATTTTGTGGAGTGTAAAGTCTCTGTCCAGATTTGTATTTTTCCACGTGAATGTCCAGTTGTTCCAGCACCATTTTTTGAAAAGACTATTTTTTCCTCCATTCTATTGCTTTTGCTCCTTTGTCAAAGATCAGGTCACTATTTTATGTGGGTCTATTTCTGAGCTGTCTGTTCTGTTCATTGGTCTGTCTGTTCTTTTGCCAATACCACGTTGTCTTATATAATCTGCTTTTAAACTCATTTACTGAGACCTTAATTTGGGTTATTATGTACTTTAAAAAAAAATTCTACAGTTTCTAATCGGCTCTTTAAAAAATTTCCTGTATCTTTTTTTTTTTTTTATGGGTTTCAGATGTGATTTTATGTATTTGGAGCACAGTAAGTGTGGCTGTGTGAAGACACGTGTCTGACTGCTCCCGGGCTTGTAGCCTCTCTGCCTGTCTCCTAATCCTTGTGCCTCCCTTGCTTCTTCACATTGCTGCCTTGTGTACCTGGTGATCTCTGATTGTGTGCCAGGAAAGATACATTTGATACATTGTTGGCAGAAATATTCTGAAGCATCGGACGATGAGACCTCTCTGGAGGAAAATAGCATTTGCCACCATCCATTGTCTGGGGGTGCCAGCAGTCTGGTATCCCCACCATCAGATTTCAGGTGTTGGGGGCCTCTGGGCCCCAGGTGAAGTGGGACTGGGTTGCAAGACCTGGTGCGGCTTTTCTCCACGGTGCAGCCTGTCCCTTCTCCTGCATCCTCACTCCTCCTGCTGGCAGGTGGGGCCAGAATTGACTCTGTGTCCAGCGTGAAGGACACACGGTCCCAGTGTGAGGGATGGTAGCTTTTCAGGAGCACAGTGCTCGTTAAAGGAGCTTACTCTGTCCCCTCGCCAATGAGATGACAAACAAGAGGCACCTGGCATGTCACACCAGGGGCCACGGATGGCATGCCATCTGCAGTGATGCCCGCCCCCCCCACCCTCCACGTGCTTTCAGCTCTGTCTTGTTGGGTGCTAGTGCCAGATTCAGGGCTCTGTCACTCCTCTCTGACCTTGCCCCTGCCCCTTTGGAGGTGGCGTCCACCTGCCATTGGCATTGAGTGTTCAGGATGGACTCGTGTGTCCAGCTCCCCCTAACACCACGTTGGCTGGGACCCCAGCCCCTGGTCCTCCACCCGCCCCAAAAGAGTGACAAATTATGCGGGCACAGGTTCCCTTGAGCTCATTTTGAAACACTGAAGCAAACGTCAATCTAGGGAACAGTTGACATGACACTCCTTTATTAAAACCTAGGGACATTGTTATAAAAACTACTGTATATAAAGACAAAAGCAGAGCAACAGCGGTCAGTGAAAAACACATGATTATTCTTACATTCTAGTATTATTATTAGGAATATTATTGGTTTTGGTTTTCCCGGTTATCAGCTCTCAGGGAGACCCCATGCCTGCTCACATGAAGTCAGAGTTTACGGGAGAGAAAATATTTCCATCCCCCTACCCCTGCGCTGCATGCCCTTGTCCAGCTGGCCCTGGGGACGACACATCAGCCTTTTGTGGGAGGTCTCCTGCCTTGTTAAGGTGACTGAGCCCCTCACCCTTGCAGCCCCCACCTCGTTACTGCACATTGTCGAGACACTGACCACTTGGTTATTTGACTGTGAGGTATGCCACTAGCTTTAAAACGGGAAATGGGAAAAATAGGAAGAAACTGCGTATGAGAAACTGACATGCAATTCCAAGAAGAGGCTCTCTCTTGGGCCACCAGCTTGGTTCCAGCTGTGGCCAGGGTGGCCATATCATCTATAGTTTTAGATCCTGTGCTCAGGGTTGGCGCTGACCAATGTGGGATCCTGCACATTTTGGAGGCTGGTTTAGGGTCATTCAACAGGGTACCTCATTGTACAAACCTAAGGGTCACCGTTCTCAGTGCAGTCTATGTAAACAGTATCCCTGGGAGCCCATTACCATTTATGGGACAGTGTCGTGAATGGTGCCTCCTGGAGGTGAACCCTGCAGCAGCCCCGGATTTCAGTCTGTCAAGGGCAAATCTGTCAGGGCTTTGATGTAAAGATAGGAGTTTTAGGTACAGAGTAACTAACAGTCAAATCTGCTCATTCATCAAGCATCTATCTAGCACCAGCTGTTGGCTTGGACTAGAAACTGGGGTGGTGGGGGGCAATGACACCTCCAAGGTCACTTTCACGGGTGGGACAGGTAAGTGTTCTGAATTCATTTTGTGAATCTGAGCATGTCTGTTAGGCACAACTAGCCGTTTCACAAGTGGTCCCAGCTATAGCAGGAATGGCTCCCAGATGGGCCCTGGGTACAGGGCCAGGCAAGTGGCAGGCACTCGGCAAGTATCTGAATAGGTGAGGGAAGCGCGTGTCATCGAATGAGTTTTCTAGGAGGCTCCTCACCTCTTCTAGCTTGCCTGACTGCTTAACTTTAACATTTGAGCTTTTCGGGCCACAACCACCAAAGTTGTTTGCGTGCATTTAAGCACCAGCGTGGGACGTGTTGGTGCTACAGCAAGGAACTAGGGCACTGTGCATGGCATCTGGCACATAGTAAGTGCGCAGGCTTGTCTTCCAGAGGGCACAGGGTATGGCCCCAGCCCAGTGAGGTATTCCTGGACTGCAAAGGGCAGTGATCAGGGCGTCATCCACTCATGGCCTCTCTGACTGTCCCAGTGCTGTGGGGGCCAAGCAGACACCCTCTGATGCCCACCACGTGAGCAGGATGATTAAGAATTCCTGCAGTTTGCTTCCATGATTCCAACCCTAGATTTTCACAGCAGACGAAAACAACCCACGTGGATGTCTCCCTACAGTGATAGGGGGCCCTTCAACATTGATAAGACATGTTCCCAATAACTCCATCCAGGTCTGTTCTTCCTTCCTTCCTTCTTACCTACCTACCTAGACAGAGTCTCACTCTGTTGCCCAGGCTGGAGTGCACTGGTGCGATCTCAGCTCACTGCAAGCTCTGCCTTCTGGGTTCATGTTATGTTAATTTCAAACATGGGAGAAATCTGTAAATTCACTTCCGAAGGCTTTTCCTGTTGATGGGGACCAGTTCAGCCAAGTTGAAAAATTAAAAAATTTTACAAGTCTGCACCCCCGGGGACCCCGTCTCCTTGAATGGCACAGTCTCTAATAGACAGACATGGTGATTGTGAAAGCAGCCGAGCCAGCGGAGGGGCCTGCCTGGGGATGGCAGCTGGAATCCTGAGCCAACCTGGACAGCGGCCTGTGGGGGAGTCAGTGCCAAGCACAGCCACACCCACAGCCCTGGTCTGTTTGCCATGACCTGAAGAGAGCTTTTGGGTTGACGGTGAACTGGAAACCATCTCCTGGCCAAAGAAGCCTGTTAACCCCTAGCCCTGTCATGTTTTCCCTGACATTCCCAAGTCCTCCTCTTCAGCTCTGGGCCAAAATTTGACTGAATCTTTCTGATGATGAGGGGAGATGCCACTCACCCTGGGAACACTGTCAGCTGCCTACTTGCTGCTTTCTAGAGCATTGGAGACAGCAAGAGGGACCAGATCTACCTGTGAAATCACCTGTGTGTGTGCGCGCATGTGCATGTATGTACTTGTGTGTTTTTTCAATTAAGGCCTGTTGCACATCAGCAATGGTCATGGTCAGGTGGCTGGCCTGGCCGCTGGAGCAGCCAGGTGAGGCGGGTGAGAAGGCTGCTTCTCTAGGTGCAGGGCACGTTCAGAGGCTAACTTGAGGGCAGCGAGCCAGCAGGCATTACCAGCTATTGGTTCTGAATAGAGATTCTGAAACACACAACAATCACACCGTACACAGACGAGAGGGAAAGCATAAAACTGCTCATTAATTACACACAGTTCCCAGTGGGAAACAGTCCTTACAAACGCGGTAGTTCTGCAAACAGCCTCGAATGCAGATTCCTCTGTGGACATCTTGTCCTCTTCTCTCTCTCGTTTTTCTTTTTGTATTATTATTATTACAAATTACATGGTGATGGACAGAAGCTCACAGTAAAAAGTAAAAGTAGGCAGCTTAAAAAATCAGGTTGAGTTGCTAAAAAACAGTAACTCTAGCTATGCTTGAACTCGTCACTACCCTGCATCCATCTTGTTCTCAGGGACAGTCTACTCCTTGAGGGACCTTCCAGCCACAACCACAGCAGGATGGGGACAGTGTTTATCACAATGACCTGGGGACCCATGGCATTTTGAGGAGCCCTTGACACCATTGGGGGATTGAATACACACACACCTGCTTTCCACACTGAGTGTTCACACCCACATGCACACTGTTCTCACCTGTCGGCTCCTCTGTGAGACAGCAAGTACCGTGACTAACTGGTACCCTACCTCACACACTTGACAGGTGAGAAGCAGAGGCTCTGAGAGGTTAAGTGGCTCGTGGGGGTGACCTGCAGGAAGGAGGATGCCGTGGCTGTCTGCACCAGGTGTGCTGGGTCTTGGTGATCTCTGCTGAGGCCTCCTGCTTGCCACAGAATGTTCCAGTCCTCAGCCCAGCTGCCCAAGAGGGACTTGGCAGAGCAGCAGGACCACAAACCCCATGGGTTTTTCAGTTATTCCTGAAAAGACCTCTTGCGGGGAGGGGGGCAGGCAGGAGGAATGTCCTCCTAGAAGGTTGTACATCTCAAGGGATGCTTAGGTGAACCCCAGTTCTAGCTGTCTATTTGGCAGTGACCTTTGACCCCAGGTGTCCAGGAGAGGGAGGCAAGGCCACCAGTTCCTTTTTGGCAGAGGAAGCACCTACAGAGCATTGTCCAGGACAGCAGGACACGAGGGTTGCAAACTCCTTAAATACCCATCTGACTCCTTCCTCTTACCGATGGGGAAACTGAGGTAACAGACCTTGCCTGAGGTCACGCTGTTCTCAGTGGCAGAGCTGATGTCAGAATCTGGGTCTTGGGCCCCCACCTCAAGGCTTCCTCTGCCTTCTGAGGCACTGCACGTGGGACACAGCTGTGGCTTCCGCAGCTGGGCTAGTGGACAGGCTGTGCACCCCCTTACGGCAACATGGCCCTGGGACGGCTCACATCAGGGGAGAGGAAGCCATTCCTTTCTCCAATCGAGACCCCAAGCAGAGGTTCTCCCACTTTGCCAAGCCATATGCCTGGACACTGGCAGCACTGCCTGGAGGAGACAGCTGGACCCAAAGACTGAAGCCAGGGGCCTGGGTCTTCCACAGCTGACCTGTGTGATCCTGGGCAAGCCACTTGACCCAGCTGAGTCTGTCTTCTTGTCCATAAAATGGGGAGAGCCCCTTCTTCATGGGGCTGTTGAGAGGATGGACAGCCAGGCAGAATGGAGGATGCTTTATACCCTAGCAAGTTTGTTCTGCTTTTCCAAAGGCAGGACATTGTGTTTGCACAGCTTGACTCACAGCAGAGCCCAGAGCTGGGCACTATCACCCTCATCTCCTTCTGCCTTCCCTCTGGGTCCCCAGCCACCTGGCTTTCTTGTGCCACCTGGCTTTCTTGTGCTTCCTTGAAACCACCAAGCCTGTGGCTGCCGCAGGATCTTTGCACTAGCCGTTCCTTCTGCCTGGAATGCTCTTTTCCTATCTTTAACGCCCATTACTGGCTCCTGTGTGTCATTCAAATCTGGGCTTCAATCATCTGCTCAAGGCGGCCTTCCCAGACCACCCCAGGTCCACAAGGGTCTCACTCACGTGTCCCTCGAACTGAGTTCCTGGCACTGAGTTCCCGGCAGAGCACTCACTGCCTTCGCCACCTTCCTTCTTCACTGTCTTCCTGCCCCAGCTAGAAAGCTAGCACAGTGAGCAGGGACCTGCCTTGCTCACTGTCGTGTCTGGTGAATGGATGGGTGGTCAGTGTGAGAACACTAGGTCTGATGAAATGAGGAAACTGCGTCAGAGGACACACACATTGATCAAGCAGGGCCTCCCGAGCTAAGAGCTGGGGGAGATTTGGTATCACTAACACCCATGGAATGAGTGTGTCTACACTGGCAGCATGGCCTTTGGAGATGTTTGTGATGATTTAGGTGATGCCATCTCATAGGTGTCCCAGGGCAGCGGGGCAGGAGTGGGGGTGATTAGCTCGGTGGGTGGATGTTACGGGCATGGAAGTCCTACTTGAAAGTGGATGGATTTCTAGAACGCTCCTGCCTGGGTTTCCATGGCCTTGTTACCCTTTCCAGCAAAGATCCACGTGTCTGTGTCTCCCACCAGATGGGAGGCTCCCCGGGGGCAGAGATGAGATCTAACTCATCTTTCATTCCCATCACTGCCCAGCACGGGGCCTGGCACACAGCAGATGCTTAGCCAGAATGTGCTGAGTGGATCAGCGCTCCAGGCGGTGATGGTGGAGGCATCAAGGAGATGCTCCCAGCATTGTGCAGGGTGTACCCCGGCTGGCGAGCATGTCACGTCCAGGGAGTTGGAGCCTGGACTTTGGGTTCCGGCACCGCTTCCCCACTGTGAGTTTTTCTGCAGGGGGTTAATCATACCTGCCTCCCAGGTGGTGAGAGAGGGAGTGCATGAAAACACTTAACTTGGCACCTGCCCTGTGGTCAGCCTGAGATGCAGCCCTTAGTATTACTATTGTTACAGGAACGAATTCTGTAAGAAACAACCCTGACTGGCATTTTCAAATCCCCAGTGCTCCCCGAGACACAGAGGGGCCGTACCCTGTGCTTAGCAATAAGCTTGCGGCTCGGACATTGACACGGATGAGAACCCCCAGCCGGAGGGTGACTCATGCCCATCAGAGAACTTGAGGGGGGAAGCCCCAATAAAAACCAACCAACCAAGCAAACAAAAAGAACACCCCAAATCACACACACGCACACACACACGCACATTCAATATTCTGACACAAATAGCCCCAAGGGGCCACTACTGGAGGGAGCAGGGGCAAGGGAAGCTTCGGTTTTCAACCACAGGTATAACTCACAGGCCTCAATCCTCCTGGCTGGAATCAGCCAGAGTTGCTTTGTCTTGGTCATCCTGAGTCCACAATGAGTCACCTCTCAGAAGCCACCAGCCCAAAATAGGACTATTGCTTGCGGACAGGTGGCTCAGAATCCCCTCCCCTGCACCCCCAGCCCCTACCCCTGAGTTTGCTCCTAATCTTAGAAGTCCGCGGAAGGGGGCTTTGGGCACAGGCAGCATTTCCTCCTGTGCCACCGCCGCTACCTCGGCTGTCCCTGGCATCTCTGTAGAAGTTGTTCTTCTCGGAGGCTGCACCGGGTGCTTCAGATCTCATCTCCCCCATCCTGAGGCACAGCAAAAGCGTTTTCTGGAGGAAATACAAGGAAAAAAAGTATCACATGGTGTCTCCTCCATGGGGACATTTCTCTCTGGCCTCAGTGCCGGAAGAAGCCAGGTTTTCTCTGAGCATGTGGGTTTTGTCTTCTGAACATTGCGAACCATGTGACTTTAAGACTGGAAGAAAGAAAAAAAATGTCTGCTATCATTATAGCTCCATATAGTACTAGAGCTCTGGCCCATGCAATAAGACAAGAAAAATAAGCATAGAATAGGACTGGAATAGAAGAACCAAAATTACAGTTAATTGTGGATAACTTACATAGAAAATTTAACAGAATCAACAGGTTAATTAGTAGAATGGAGAGTGCAGACATAGACGTATAATAGTCAACCTATAAGACATCAGATCAATTTATAAAATGCAACAGTGTGCACTGACCTCAGCAATTACTAGGGTAATTATATGTCATGGCTTGGGACAGTCTCAGTTAACACTTGTTCTGACATAATTTTTAATGTTGTTCCCCTTTTATCCTCAAAAGTATTCTGATTTGGCTGATAAATTATATGGTCACCATTGCCATAACAAACTAAATATTAAACACAGATACAGATACCATTCATATTGACAAAAACCATTATGTATTTTGGAATGGCACTAATATATGACCATGTCATACAAAGCTATAAAGAAGAGACCAAGGTGCTCCTGGAATAGGGAAAAGCCAGGAGACCAGTGGAACAAGATCTACAGTGTGGAAACAGATCTGCGGGGCACTTACTTATAGCTTTGATTGGCAGAGTCAAGTTGCAAACAAGACAATGAGGAAAAGAAATACAGACTCCATCTGTGGAAAGCAGCATGAACCCCACTGCCCTGTGTCTATTATAAGAGCAATTGCCCAGTCACAAATACTTACCTTCCCCGACTCCCTTGCAAGCAGGGGTGGTCACATGACCCAGTCTGGCTAACGCTGTGTAAGTGGGAGTCTATTGGGAAGGGGACATGAATCCAGGGGGAAATGAACTATCTTGCATGCATGAGAATGAAAGACGCTCACTAACACAGGTGGAGTAGAAAGCAGGCAGAAACTTGGTTCTGGTGGCAGCCCTGAACTACCCCCTTCATACCATTGCAGTTGAATTTCTTTTACTTGCGTAAATTGCATCTGGTGAGTGTTCTTAAATGATAAACCATCTTCAACTAAATGGAGAAGTCAAGGGAGTGGCTCCGACCAAGCCAGCAAAGCCCACCTCCCCAGAGTGAGTGATACGCCAAGAGGCAGAACCTACTCTCCACCCTTTGCATTAGTGGGAATGTGTACAGGGGCTAAGGGTGAGAGATTCTGTGGGGCCATCTCCTCTGCTTCATAGAACTAAGCCAGGTCCAGGTACTCTCCATCACCCACTTTGTTTTTCTCCATAGCACACACCTCCATCCAGCATACCACCTATTGTACTTACTTGAATAGTTTATTGTTTGTCTTCCCCAAATAGAAAGTTAGCTAAAAGAGGGTTAAGGTGATTGTGTGTTTTACACATCGCTGCATTGCCAGGGCCTAGAACAGTAACTGGCATACTGTAGGGGCTTAATAAATATTTGTCAAATGAATGAATAAACCAAGAATTTAAAGCCCAATGAACCATCTGTCAAGAATAAAGTCAACAGAAAAACATGTTGAACAGATTTTTGAATTAAAGTTCCCATGACCCCTTCTTAAAAAAATTATTAAGGATACGCTTAGGCAAATCAAGAATGATTCAGAAAGGTTTACTATAAAAGGATGGGCAGATGATTTTTTAAAAGTTCTGTGGATGGATGGCAGTGATGGCTGCTGTATTAGTCCATTTTCACGCTGCTAATAGACATACCCAAGGCTGGGCAACTTACAAAAGAGGTTTAATTGGACTTACAGTTCCACATGTCTGGGGAGGCCTCACAATCATGGCAAAAGGCAAGGAGGAGCAAGTCACATCTTATGTGGATGGTGGCAGGCAAAGAGAGCGAGCAAGCTTGTGCAGGAAAATTCCCATTTGTAAAGCCATCAGATTCGGTGAGATTCATTCACCATGAGAACAGCATGGGAAAGACCTGCCCCCATGATTCAATTACCTCCCACCAGGTTCCTCCCATGCCACATGGAAATTGTGGGAGTTACAATTCAAGATGAGATTTGGGTGGGGACACAGCCAAACCATATCAGTTGCCTTACAGTGAGAAGGTACTTATTGCCCCTGAACCGTATACTTAAAAATGGTTAAAATGGTAAATGTTATGTTATGCGCACTTTACCACAATTCATAAAAAGGATGAGCAGAAGCATAACAAATGCAATGAAGAGAAATTATAAATGGAGCCCTGCCAAGAGTGCCAGCAATGAGCGTAGAATTTGTGTAACTGTAGGACTATTGCAGCCAATCTAAAGATTATGACCATCACAGAGAAGAATGAAACAAAACAGAGAACTGGCATAAATAATAAAAAGTTGGAGGGGTGGAGATGAGAAGCAGGGAGGTGATATAAGTAAACTATGACATATTCATGTATAGTTGGGGGTCTAAAGAATTGCTTAGAAGTTTAAAATTAGAGGCATCAAGGTAAACAAAAAATATAGTCAACTAAAATAACTTGATAGCAGGGAGACAAGAGGAGGGGAAGTAGAAATATTCTAATTTTGATACTTTTCACAGTAGGGAGAAAATAAATGTTGTCTAGAGAAATAAAAGGATTAAAGATATCATGTCATGTTATAATTATGAAGATAACCATGGGATCAAAAACGCAGCTTTCCAAATTATCTAGAAGACATACACACAGAAAATAAAACAAAGACAACAGAGACCATATGGTAAAAATTGACAACCCCCACAAAACTATAAAAGCAGAAAGCCTATCAAACAATGATGACAGAACTAAGACCAAATGCATCTGCCATATCAGTAAATGTTAATGAGCCATACACACTTGCTTAAAAAAAAAAAAAAAAGACTGATCACAAACAAAGGCACTGAAGGTAGAATGATTCAGCAAGGTTTCATAGAAAAGGATGGGCAGGGCCGGGCGTGGTGGCTCACACCTGTAATCTCAGCACTCTGGGAGGCTGAGGCAGGTAGATCACGAGGTCAGGAGTTCAAGACCAGCCTGACCAACATGATGAAATCCCGTCTCTACTAAAAATACAAAAAAATTATCCGGGCGTGGTGGTGGGTGCCTGCAGTCCCAGCTACTCAAGAGGCTGAGGCAAGAGAATCGCTCAAACCCCGGGAGGCAGAGGTTGCAGTGAGCCGAGATCACGCCACTGCACTCCAGCCTGGGTGACAGAGTGAGACTCCATCTTAAAAAAAATAAAAAAAATAAAAAAAAAGGGCAGATGATTTTTACAAAGTTCTACAGAGGGATGATGGTGATGGTTGCACTATAGTGAGAAGTACTTAATACCCCTGAACTGTATACTTTAAAAATGGTTAAAATGATAAACGTTATGTGCATTTTACCATAATTTTTAAAAAGGATGAACAGAAGCATAACAAACAAATGCAAATGAAGATAAATCAGGGGTCATAATCTTAATATCAGAAAAAGCTGAAGTCAGGGCAAAAAATACTGAATGAGAAAAAAGAAGGGCACTGTGTGAGGGTGAAGGATGAGAGTCACCATGAAGATCTAACAGTAATGAATGTTCATGTACCAAATAGCATAGCCTCAATATTCATAGAGCAAGACTGGAAATTTAGGGAGAAAAAGCAGAGTATGCTAGTATTAGTGCATGTTTTTTTTTTTTTTTTTTTTTGAGACAGTGTCACTCTGTCGCCCAGGCTGGAGTGCAATGGTATGATCTCAGCTCACTGCAACCTCCATCTCTTGGGTTCAAGCGTTTCTCCTGCCTCAGCCTCCTGAGTAGCTGGGATAACAGGTGCTCAACCACCATGTCTGGCTAATTTTTTTTTTTTTTTTTGTATTTTTGGTAGAAATGAGATTTCACCATGTTGGCCAGTCTGGTCTTGAACTCCTGACCACATGTGATCTGCCCACCTCGGCCTCCCAAAGGCCTGGGATTACAGGCATGAGCCACCATGCCCGGCCTAGTGCATTTCAATTCACCTTTCTCAATCCATTCCATATGCAGTTGGCAAAAACTAAAGTAAGGATATACGGAGCCAAATAATCTAACAACTGTGTGTGTGTGTGTGTGTGTGTAAAACACAGTCTACCTTCATTCTATTCAAATGCTCTTGAAAGTGCATACACCAAAAGTGACTATCAGGCCACAAAGAAAGTAAATTCCAAAAAACAGAAATAAGACAACATTCTCTAATCACAATATACTAGAATTTGAAAATACTAATAATGAAACCACAGACCAAACCAAACTTTGCCACCAAGAGGTCTATAAACACTTAGATAACCTTGAGTTAGAGCAAAAAATAAAAACTGCAGAATATCTAGACAATAACAAAATATATATTTAAGGACCTGTGGGATGCAGCCGAGCCAATGCTAAGAGGAACATACATAGCCTTAAAACACTGATCTTATTAATAAATGAGAAAGAATGAATTGCCCAACTCAAAAAGTTAGAAAAGAAAGACAAAATAAACCTAAGAAAGACATACAGTAGCAATAAGTAAATGAAAACAGAAATGGAGTTAACAGCAAAAGAAAGGAACTCATAAATAACTCCATGTTCTTTTTTTAATGTTTAAATTATTATTTTTTTTTAGAGACAGGCTCTTGCTCTGTCACTCTAGCTGGAGTGCAATGGTGCAATCATAGTTCACTGCAACCTCAAACTCCTGGGCTAAAGTGATTCCCCTGCCCTAGCCTCCTGTGTAGCTAAGACTACAGGTGTGCACCACCACACCTAGCTAATTAAAAAAAATTTTTGCAGGGATGGGGTCTTGCTGTGTTGCCCAGGCTGATCTTGATCTCCTGGCCTCAAGCAATCCTCCTGCCTTGGCCTCCCAAAATGCTGGAATTACAGGCATTAGCCACCATAACTGGCCCCAACTACTTGTTCTTTGAAACACAATGAGACATGTTCACTGCTGAGGAATCTAATGAAGCAGGAGATATAATATGTAGAAGGTGGAGGTGACAGCTTGGGAGGAATCTAATGAAGCAGGAGATATAATATGTAGAAGGTGGAGGTGACAGCTTGGAATGATTCTCTGCACTTTTGCTCTCCAGTTTCACTTCTCACCATCACTTAGCCCCTTCCCAACAGGCTTTTCTTCCAACTTCCCTGCAGAATTTGCCCTTGTCAGGGTCACCAAAGACCTCTCTGTTAATAAACCCAGTGGTCAATTCTCAGTCCCCCTTTCACTCATCCTCCCAGCAGCACTGACTCAAGTGATCACCTGCTTCCAGGACACTGCAGTCCCCTCTCCTGATCCTCCTCCTCCTCCCACCGCTCCTGCTCCAGCCCTTTGCTGGTCTGCCCACATCTTCCTGACCTTCTCTTCTCCACAATTTCTACTCACTCATGGATCTCTCCTTCCAAGAATCTAAACACTGTATGTTGATATATATATATTTTTTTTGAGATGGAGTCGGAGTTTCACTCTGTTGCCCAGGCTGGAGATATGTTGATGACTTTTGACCCTCAAACTCTCACCTAAACTCCATTCTGATGGCCAACGTGTCTACTCGATGTCACCAAATGGATATTTAATAGATACCTCAAACTTAATATACCCCAAACCAAAATCCCAACCTTCCTCCTCCACCTAGCTTTTCCCACAATTTTCCTGACCTCAGGAAATACAACTCCATCCTGCCAGTTGCTCTCCTCAGAGGCCTGGAGTCATCTTTGACCCCTCTTCTTCCTTTCATACCCCATATCCAACTCAGGAGCAAATCCCGTTGGACCTTCCTTCAGAATCTCAATAAGCCTTACACTTCCCTGCTGCCTCCACTGCTCCTACTGTGGTCCAGGCTGGCAGGATTCTTGCAGTGGTGTCTGCGCTGGTCAGCGCTGGTCAGCCCCTTCCATCTGCTCTCAACACAGCAGCCAGAGGAGCCCTGAGAAAACCTAAGTCCAATTACATCACCCCTTTCCTCAAAACTCTCAGTGGCTCCCAGATTCACTCAGAGCAGAAGCTAAAGCCCTTCCCACCCCATCACCTCCCTGTCCTATTCCTCACTCTTTTCATTTTCATTCTCTCCACTCCAATGGTAATGGTTTGTTTTGTATCAACCTGACTGGGCCACAGGGTGCCCTGATATTTGGTGAGACATTTTTCTGGGTGTGTCATGAAGGTGTTTCATGATGAGATGAACATGTGACCTAGCAGATGGAGGAAAACTGTGTCCTCCCCTGTGCAGGTGGCTTCATCCAACCCGCTGGAGGCCTAAACAGAACCAACAAGTAAGGGGGAATTCATGCTATCTCTGCCTGCCTTTAAGTGGGGACATTGTTCTTCTCCTGCCTTTAGACTCAGGCTGGGACGAATTCACACCATTGGCTCTCCTGGGTCTCAGGCCCTTGACTCATAGTGGAACTCACACCATCGGCTCTCCTGGGTCTCAGGACTGGAACTCACACCATCAGCTCTCCTGGGTCTCAGGCCCTCGACTCACACCATCAGCTCTCCTGGGTCTCAGGCTCTCGACTCAAAGTGGAACTCACACCATTGGCTCTCCTGGGTCTCAGGCCCTCGACTCACACTGGAACTCACACCATTGGCTCCCCTGGGTCTCCAGCTTGCTAACCCAGACCTTTGGAATTCCTCAACCTGCATAGCTGCAGGAGCCAACTCCCTACAGTGTGTGCCTTCATGTGTGTCTATATGCGACTGGTTCTGTTTCTCTGGAACACATTGACTAATACACCATCCATACCAGCATGTTCCTGTCTCTTCTCCCAGATAAACCCAAGGCTGAATCCCTGATCTCCTTTAAGTCACCTTTTTAGTGATCCCTTTGGCCACCTGTTTAAAATTATCCTCTATCTCAAACGCATTATCACCATCTGACAGTCCACATATTTAACATATACATTTTAAAAATTGTCTGCAGTCTCCATAAAAGCAGGCTTGTTGCTGCTTTTGGCCCATGACTGTATCCCCAGGGCCAATAACGATGCCTGGCACAGGGTCTACACTCAATTAAGATGAACTGAACAAACAGAAGAACAAAAGCGACTGCCTGCTCAACTCTACAGAAATCAGGAAGCCTCCAAGAAATGGATCAATTTCCAAGAAAAGAGAAATTACCCAAAGGATCTGGGAAGGTAGAATCTAAACAGACCAATTGCCAAGAAGAGAAAGAGAAACTGTCAAATAGCAAATCCAAAGTCTAAAATAAGAGAAATGCAAATTAAAGCCACAATGAGAGAGGATTTCAGAGCGCAGACAAAAGGGAGCATCTGCATTCCTTCACTTGCCACCCTGACACAGATCAAAAAGGCTGAGCGCCCGACGCGTGTGCTGGTTTGGGTTTCTGCTTCACTGCTAGTTGGGGAGATGCTGGGGTCATTTCTGTGGAAGGCAATTTGACACATGCCTATGGTACAGATGCCCACATCCTCTGACCCAGTGGTCTCACGTAACGATTATCCTACAGACATGCTCACAAGGGCAACATAGGTACAAGCACATTAATCACAGAAAGGTGGTTAACAGCAGAAGATTCGGATCACTGAAGTGTCTATCAGCAGGATGCCAGGTCAAAAACAACAGCTCCCACACAATGGAGAGTCACACAGAGACCAATCAGGCTCAGACAGCTGTCCTCAGCCACCTCCCATACCGTGCTTTCCTTCCCTGGGCATTGGTCATTGAGATTCGAAATTCATGATTTGTGGCATTAATGCCACTTACACATTGAGCCCTCTGCCCTGAACTTTAGTCTTGAATTTCCACCTTCCTCCCCTGGGCAATTTCTGTACTTTCCACTCAATTTTTCTGTAAACCTAAAACTGCTTTAAAAAAATAAAATCTATTCATTACCTAGATAACAAAATTTGTAAGACAGTGAGATGTCACTTTAAAGCCATCAAATCAGCCAAACTTAGATCAGATGATTTGAAAGGTAAGTGAACACCTGTGAAAGGGACTCGCCACCGTGCTCAGCAGACGATCCAGCAACCTCTCTCTGCATGCACTTCCCGAAGAAGCTCTGGAGCTGGTCTTCAGGGGCAACCCATCACCTTCCTAGGGAACTGCATTAGCGTGAGCTGCTTCTTTTTAAAAAACTTTTAAGGCCAGGCACGGTGGCTCACGCCTGTAATCCCAGCACTTTGGGAGGCCGAGGTGGGCGGATCACCAGGTCAGGAGTTCGAAACCAGCCTGACCAACATGGTGAAATCCCATCTCTACTAAAAATACAAAAATAAGCTGGGCATGGTGGCACACACCTGTAATCACAGCTACTCGGGAGGCTGAGGCAGGAGAATTGCTTGAACCCAGGAGGCGGAGGTTGCGGTGAGCTGAGATCATGCCATTGCACTCCAGCCTGGGCAACAAGAATGAAACTCCGTCTCTAAATAAATACAAAAATTAGCCAGGTGTGGTGATGGGCACCTGTAGTCCCAGCTACTTGGGAGGCTGAGGCAGGAGAATCACTCGAATCCAGTGGGGTAGAGATTGCAGTGAGCCAAGATCGCACCACTGCACTCCAGCCTGGGTGGCAGAGCGAGACTCTGTCTCAAAAACAAACAAACTTTTAAGTTCAGGGGTAAATATGCAGGACGTGCAGGTTTGTGACACAGCTAAACGTGTGTCATGGGGGTTTGTTGTACAGGTTATTTCATCACCTAGACATGAAGCCTAGTACCCATTAGTTATTTTTCCTGGTCCTCTCCCTTCTCCCACCTTCCGGCCTCCAGTGGGCCCTAGTGTGTATCGTTCCCCTCTATGTATCCATGTGTTCTCATCATTTAGCCCCCACTTATAAGTGAGAGCATGTGGTATTGGGTTTTCTGTTCCTGTGTTAGTTTGCTAAGGATAATGGCCTCCAGCTCCATCCATGTCCCTGCAAAGAACATGATCTTGTTCTTTTTTATGGCTGCGTTGTAGTCCATGGTGTATACATAGGCTTCCATACAGTTCTCAGAAGTGAGGGTGCAAGAGCCCCTATGGCAAATGCAGAGGTCTTGCACATATAATGTTGGGTCAAAGGTAAGAAATACTATACATGAAAAGTGAAAACACTTCCATGTTCCCAGCATTGTGCATAATTTGAGCATCACACTCAATTAACATGTAAGAGTGGGGTGGATGGAGTAGGCGTGGAGGGTTGGGGGGTCAGGGGGCAGGTACAGTAAGGGGCCCATCACAGCCACTGATGTGGGAGCTATGGACCAGAAGGTGTGACCAGCTCAACATTCTGGACCCAAGGGTTGGAAACCAGAATGAAGCCTGGCTGACTCGACCATGAGGCTGAAAACCTGAGAACATCACACAAGGCTCGTGAAAAAGGGAAGTGCATCCTCACCCGCCCTGCTATGTTCTTAGGTGGAAATTTGCAACAGGGTGGCCACATGGTAGAAACGGCCAGAAGCGGGCCAGGTGCGGTGGCTCATGCCTGTAATCCCAGCACTTTGGGAGGCCGAGGCGGGCGGATCACGAGGTCAGGAGTTTGAGACCAGCTCAAACATGGTGAAACCCCGTCTACTAAAAATACAAAAAATTAGCTGGGTGCAGTGGCACACACCTGTAATCCCAGCTACTCAGGAGGCTGAGGCAGGAGAATCACTTAAACCTGGGAGGCGGAGGTTGCAGTGAGCCGATATCGCGCCACTGCACTCCAGCTCGGGCGACAGTGCAAGACTCTGTCTAAAAATAGAATAGAATAAAAATAAAATAAAAATTATTAAAAAAAAAAAAAGAAACAGCCAAAGCCCAGGGGAGCTGGGAAACAGCAGGATGGGGGCTGCTTCCTGGGTGGAGCCCTCGGTTGCACAAATGGGTTCCGAGAAGCACTTCCTGCCCCTGGGCTTGTGCATGGCATGGCTGCATGTGGGGATGGGCAGACATTCTCACATGCCAAGGGGAGCTGAGAAGGAAAAGGACTTTGGGTTGCATTAATAGAAGTATATGCGCCAGAATAGAGGAGATGACCCAAGGTTCTGCTGATCTTTGTGGTGGCTGGACCACAATGTCAGAATTTCAGCTTAGGGGGGCTTGCAATCGAGCGTCCAATTTTCCTAGAACTTATCTTTACCTTTCTTCTTTTTCCCTGTGTGTTCACCTCTTAGCTCTTCAGGAGTGCAATTATAACGTTTACCTCCTCTCCACCAGGCGCTCCCTGCACTGCAAGCATATCTAACTACAGGTCGATTTGTTTAGAAATTCTCAGGACAAAATGTTGAACCAAACCAGGCACCCTCTGGGATTCTCCCCCACCAGGAGATTACTTCAAGACAACGGTGAGTTTACAGCCTAGCTCTGTCCACCACGGCGCCCTCCAGACTACCCGACTGAGAAGACATACAAGCAAGTCAGGTGGACCCTGCACCTCCTCACTCCCTCCCCTGCATGCCTTTCACACCAAGTTCCCCTTTAAAGACCCCACTTTCCTCCTCGAAAGCTGAAGTGATTCCCTTAAGTCAGGAGCCTGTACTGTTTCCTCTTAACCAAGCTCTGGAATAAAGTCACTTTCTTTCTACTAGACCTCGTTCTGTTCATTGGATTCTGCAAGAGGCTGGACTTGTGTTCGGTTACGGCCTGATTTGAGAGCCCATCTCGAACCTCCGTGCTGCACAGGAAGGGAAGAATGTGACATGGACTCATTCTCAGCCCAGGACCTGGTGACAATTCAGTCTCTGGCCTTGGAGACGCTGTCTGCAGGTGCGGACAGTGCCATTAGGCTGGTAAAGGTTGGGACAGAGGGAGCCCAGGGGCTGAGGGAAGAGGGACAGAAAATCAGAGGAGGCTTGGAGAGGAGGTCCAGGTGATGGTCGAAGCCTTTGCTTGGTTTCCCCGGGAATGGTAAGCTCACTCCTTTACAAGCCATTCCCTTTTAAGCTGCTCAGTTCCCTGGAAAACTTAAAATGCAGAGCCAAACGCTTGCCTGTAGGCCACAGTCTGGCCTTCTTGGCCCGTGGTGGCCCTTCAGGGATAAGGGTGGCAGCAGCCATGCCCCTCCTCACTCCTTTTTGCTGCTGCAGGCTGACATGGAAAAGAGGTTGTCCATTCTGGGGTGGGGGCAGCGTCACTCCTGACTTTGGCCGAGGCCTCCCCATGGTTGCCCCTGCATGGCAGTCTTTGCACTCCCCAGAGTGGTTTCCCTGGAGGGCAATGTGGCTTCGGTCACTCCCTGGGGATACATCTCTGTTTGGGGATGACAAGCACAAAATTCAGGCTGGTGGACCCGGGAGGGAAGGGGTGCCACTGGGGCATGCTGAGGGCCTCTATGGCATTGACGCAGCTCTATTTCTTGTGCCAGTGGTGAGAATGTGGTGTTTGCTTCATTACTTTATATATATATATATATATATACACTATATGGATTCTCTTGCAGAAAATGAAATATTTCAAAATCAATGACTTTTAAAAAAAAAAAATTCTACTTATAGCTTCTTCGAGGGTAAAGTTTTGACGCCTTAGCTGGGCCTCAGGGCCTCTTAACAACAGAACTGTTACTTTCGGTTTTGTGGTCTCCACTCCAAAGTACTCTCTTTCCAGAAAGCCCAGTGTGCTCTTCACACTACTGGGAATACCCTCCCCTATCTCCACCTAGAAAACTCCTACACATCCTTCAAGACCTCACTCACTGGGCGCCCCTTCTGTGCAGCTTGTCTGACTCCCACAGGCCTTTTGTAACACCCTGTACCACACAGCACTGCAGAGTCCCATGGTAGAGATGACCATGGCCTCAATGTCAGACAAGCCCGGGTTCAGGTCCCGGCTCTGCCCCTCAGAAGCTGTGTGACCCTGGGTGAGTCATTAACCTCTCTGGGCCTTATACCACTCTAGGCCATCCTCACTGCTGCCCAGTGGGGCTATCGCTCCTGTGGACACAGCCCAGCTCATCAGCCCACAGTAGCCCCGGGAATGCTTCCTCATTGCACAGCCTTCTGGAAGGAATCTTTGGCAAATGTCAACTCTTGTTCTGCTCTCACGGCAAACACGCCTTGGTCACATACCCGTGAGTGCAGGAAACTGTTCCTGTGTGGCCACTGACTCCTGCCACGGAGAGCACTCGCCTGCCCTGATGCGGGGGTCATGTGTCCTCCTAGGCACTCTGCAGGTCACCTTGCCCCTCATGGCCAGTTCTGTGGACCCCAGGCTCAGGCCCACCAGTGCTCCCCTCACTCAGTGGCAACTTGTGGCCCCTCACACTAGGCCTTCCATAAGCTGGAACTATAGCACCTTCGGCCAGGGCCTGGGCTGGGGGCTCAGAACTGAGTCAGGTGTGGGCCCTGCCCTTGAGGGCTCGAAGCGGGTAGGGGAGCCACACCAGGACCCTGAAACAAGAGCAGCAGACCCACACTGTGTCAGCGGCGAGTGTCTGGCAGTCTTGGGGTCCTGGCCAGGGTGGGAATTGGGGGAAAAGTTCTTGGGAGCAGCCACAGAGCTGGGCCCTGGACAAGGCTTGTTGGGACGACAGGGAGGGCACTCCAGGCGGACGGAACAGCCTCAGCCAAGGTCATTCAGAGGATCACAAGGAGCATGGCTGTCATGGCACAAGATGCTCCTGGCAGGGGTGAGTCTGCAGAGGCGGCAGCCACAAAGCCTTCATCTGCCAGGAGAAGGTGTCTGGACCTGATCCCAAAGTTGTGGGGAGCCGACATGGAAGATCATGCCTAATTCTCATAGCAGCAAGATTAGGGCTGCAGGGTACTGATTATCTCTTCTGTGCCGGGCACTGTGCCAAGCACCTCCCATGCGTGTGGAGCCTCAGTTCTCTCAGCAGCCTCAGGGGTGGGGACCACTAGTCCCTGCAACTTGCTGATGAGGAAAATGAGGCTCAGAGAGACAATGTCACTAGCCCAGAACTGCATATCTAGCTAGCAGTGGAGCTTGGCCTGTGCTGCTGACCGCAGGGCCACACGGCCAGCCCCTCTCGTCTGGGGCAGTGGCCTGGGCAGGCTGGGGAGTAGCAGGCTGCCCTGCTGGCCCTAGTGGCCCTGGCGAGAGAGGAGCTGAGCCTGGAACCAGGAGCAGGGCCCACGGGGTGAGGAGGGTCTGCAGCTGGCAGGCCTGGTGGGCTGGTGCCTGCAACCTAAGTGGGAAGATAACAGAGCACCTGGTAATTTGAATAACAATGAAAGCTTCCAGAATGTGGAACATCTGTGACAATAACCCTTCCCGCAGACGAAAGCAGAGGAGTCATGAGGCACAACACGCCTCATTCCAGGTGAACTGGAGACAATGTGTTCCCCAGCAGCAGCAACAGCTTCTGTTAGTTAGTTGGTGCTGACGGTATGCATGTGGGGTGTGGGGCTGGGAGCCTTCACGTATTTTTTTCTTTCTTTCTTTTTTTTTTTTTTTTTTTTGGAGATGGAGTCTGTGTCGCCCAGGCAATAGCGCAATCTTGGCTCACTGCAACCTCCGCCACCCGGGTTCCAGCGATTCTCCTGCCTCAGCCTCCCGAGTAGTTAGGATTACAGGCACCCACCACCACGCCCAGTTAGTTCTTGTATTTTTAGTAGAGATGGGGTTTTGCCATGTTGGCTAGGCTGGTCTCGAACTCCTGACCTCAGGTGATCTGCCCACCTTGGCCTCCCAAAGTGCTGGGATTACAGGCGTGAGCCACTGCACCCGGCCGCCTTCACATATTTTTCTAAGGGATTCTCACAGGGACCTGAAAGGGGGAGATGCTATTAATCCTACTTTGTAAATGTGTCCCTGCAGACAGTACAGGGACATCAAGGAACCTATCTGGGGCAAGATGGCCATCCCAAGGAACACTGCCTCAACAAGGAGAAAGAGACTCTGCTGACGCGATGGAGTTGAGGGTTTTGGGAGAGAGAGATGAGCCTAGATTAACTGGCTGGGCCTGATGCCATCACAGGGTCCTAAGTGAGGAAGGCAGCAGGCTCAGAGTCAGTGGAGGGGATGTGGCCATGGGAGCAGAGGTTGGAGAGATGTCCTTGCATCTGGAAGGGGCCACAAGCCGAGGAATGTGGGCACCTCTGGGAACTGGAGCAGACAAGGAAACAGACTCACCCCCGTGGCCTCCAGCAGGGCCCCGTGCTGCTGATGCCTTGACATGAAGTGTTCATGAGTCTCCTTTCCAACTGCTGTCCTCTGGATCTGTACAAGACTAAATCCGTGTTGCTTTAAGCTACTGCATTTGTGATAGTTTATTACAGCAGCTACGGGACACTCACACAATACCCAAGAGAGATGTGTGCATTCACTTCACCAAGAGACGTGGATGTGAAGGTTCATAGCAGCTTTACTGATGACGGCCGGAAGGTGGAAACAACCCAAGTTTCCTCAAAAGGTGATGGAGAAACACAGTGTGGTGCGTCCACACAATGCAAAGGGCACAGATCCAGGCTGGGGCCAAGATGGGAACCTTCATCTTTTGCTTCCTGGCCCAGAGTGCTCTGCCCCAGCACCTGCCTTGTCAAAGCCCTGGTGGACCCATGGGATTGCCCAGTTCTTGCACCTTCACTGGGAGGAAAGCAGAGTAGATGACTCCATTTTACAGTTGCGTAAAGTGAGGCTCAGAGCCATGCTGCCCAGGGAGGAGCTGAAGAGAGACCCGAGGCCTGCTGGGGACCAGATCTTCTCAATGGTGGTTCCTTTTGGCAGCCTCTCTCCAAGCCCAGTGCAGAGCCTGGCATATGGGAGAGCTTTATGGGAGAGTTTGCTGAATAAATGACAGAGAGCAGGTGTGGTGTGAGCTCTGGTGGCTGGACATACCTTCCCATCCCCTGCAAACCTGTCCTCCTTGCAGGGTCCAATGTGCAGGGGTTTGGGGCACAGGTGGGGTGTCCTGACGGATGTAGTCACTCTCAGGGGATGTCAGTCCATGGGGCACCTCGGGCATGGCATGGGAGGCCTCTAATGTGGCCCAAGATGTTTAACCAGAGTCCTACAGGCCCCAGCCTGAATTGGACCCAGCAGTTCACAAGCTGTGTGACCTTGGGTGAGGTCCCCAACACACACACAAGAGCCCCAGCAATTCACAAGCCGTGTGATCTTGGACGAGGTCCCCAACACACACACCACAGCCCCCAGCAATTCACAAGCCATGTGACCTTGGACGAGGTCCCCAACACACACACCAGAGGCCCCAGCAATTCACAAGCCACGTGATCTTGGGCGAGGTCCCCAACACATACACCAGAGCCCCCAGCAATTCACAAGCCACGTGACCTTGGACAACGTCCCCAACACACACCAGAGCCCCCAAAACACAACCAGATCCCTTAACACACACACAACAGAGACCCCAACACACACACACCAGAGTGTTGACTTTTCCCTTCTGCTCTCAGTCCCCCCATCTGTAAAATGCGGCTGCTCACAGCCCCCTACTCTGATTCTACATTGAGGCCTGTGGTACGCAGCCCTAAGATGGCCTCCAAAGAATCTACCTTCAGCTACTCACACCCTCCCCTTTGGTACCAAGGGAGACCAAAGGATGGGGACGGAGGCAAGTGGCTCGCTTGTAACAAATGGGTAGAAGTGACAGGGATGGGATGTCCCTTCCAAGGTTAGGCTCCAAAAAGACTGTGGGTTCCACCGGGCTCTGCACCTTGAACTCTCTCTCCCAGAGCCCTCTTTTTGGGCAGTCAGCTGTCATGCCATGAGCTACCCTGTGGAGAGGCCCACCTGGTGAGCAACTGACACCCCCAGCCAACACCTGAACCCGCTACCAGCCACCTGAGTGAGCTGAGAGGTGTATCCTCTCCAGCACAGCCTTGAGATAACCAGTCTCAGCCAATGCTTTGATTGCAGCCTCCTGAGAGACCCCCAAGCCAGGAGACTCCAAGCCAGGAGACCTAGTGAAGCCACACCCTGACTCACACCTTTCTGACTCACAGAAAGGGTTAAATAAATGTTTTAAGCTGCTGACTTGTGGGGTAACTTGTTACACAGCACTAACTAGCTAATACAAGGCTTCACAGCAGAGCTAGAGATTCTGGGAGAGGGAGGATCTTGCAGATTGTGCATCTGGACATCCCTCTACTCTATCCTCAGGGAATGAGCCTCTGACCTCAGCTTGCACACCCCAGCGATGGGGAGCTCCCTGCTTACTGAGGCCAGCAAATCTGCTGTAGAGCCAGGCTGCCTGGGAAGGTCTTCCCTCTGCCTCCTGCTTCCTCTTCCTACTGGTGCCAGTAAGCCTCTGGGGGTTCCCTGGCACCAGTCCCATCCTTCAGGGATGTGTGGGTTCCCCCAGAGTGAGCTGGTGTCTGGATCAGGCTTCTCTGCATCACAGCTTCATCCCCTTCTCTGCTTCAGGGGAGAGTTGCTGGGAGGCAAGTGAGGGCTCAGACCCAGCCTTGCCATTCAGTGTGCACCTGGCAGAGAGGACCCCAGGATGTACCAGTCTTCACTCAGCCTTAGCTCCAAGTCACCATCTCCACCCACCTCAGTTTACTCATCTGCTACATGTGAGGACATGAGACAGTACATGTAACAACGCTTGGCACACAGAAAGCACTCAAGAAATGTATATCCTATTGAGTCGGGAGAAAACATATTCAAAGCAGGGCTGCGGAGATGCTTAAGGGAATTTTTATTTTGTCTTCAGCAAAATATCTTGATGGGCCACCTAGATGGATGGGGATGGGGAGTGGACGAGGCAGTGGGGTGTGTTTGTGTGTGTTTGTCGGAGGGCTTGTTGTTTGTTGGGGGGCTGTGTGTGTGTTGGGGGGTTGTGTGTGTGGGGCTGTGTGTGTGTTGGGCTGTGTGTGTGTCTGTTGGGGGCTCTGGTGTATGTGTGTGTTGGGGGCTTTGGGGTATGTGTGTGTGTGTGTGTGTGTGTGTGTGTGTTGGAGGGCTCTGGTGTGTATGTGTGTGTTGGAGGCTCTGGTGTGTGTGTTGGGGGGCCAGGGCACATTGTAGGTGCTCTGGGAGAGCCTCTCCCTGGCTGTTTGACTTTGGACACATGCTGTGGCCTCTCTGAGCCTGAGTTTCTGACAAAATGGCAAGAAAAACGCCACTGGCGAGGTGGTGCACAGGGGAAATGGCCGTGCTCTGCAAACTCCCTCATACCCCACTCAGCTCCACGCCCGTCAGCTCCCCTGGTCTCCAGGAAAAACCAAAATGAAGATCCTGCTTGAGGGCGATGAGAATTATTTTGTGCTTTATAGGGCGCCACATAATCTAAATAATGAAACATGGAACCTTTCTTTGCTTCAGAAAGAAGCTGGCGGGCATCCCAGCTATGTAAAAGGCAGGCAGTGGGGTGGGGATGACAAAGCTATTTGGTGCCAGCTATGCCCAGCGGCTTCTGGCAGACAGGACGGTGCCTGGTATGTTGTTGGAGCCCACGGATTGCACCTGGGATGGGGACGTGGGCACTGCAGGCAGGGGACATCGCAGGAGCGACAGGCAGAGGGCAGGGCACGCAGCCCACATCCGAGGCCAGGTCCCATGCCCCTCAGCTGTCCTGATCCTCTCGCGGCTTCCAGACCCCATTTGCCCTGGAGTTCTTCCTGCCACAGGTGGGAGCGCCTCCTCCCCAGGCCCATTGCAGTGGTCTCTCGGGGCATCTCAAACTCAAAACACTCCATGCTGCTGAGACCAAAGCCACAGCCGCCCCAAGGTCCCCATCTTGGAAAATCTCCCAGGCTACTCAGCCCAGGTTCCCAGACATCCTCCTTGGACCCCCACCTCCTTCTCAGCCCCCACCCCAGGCCCTGGCCAATCTCACGGACTCCACTCCCTGGTGCCGGCCCCTCCCCACCACCACCCTCAGCCAAGCCACAGACATGGCTGCAGCTCGTGGGAGAGCGGCAGCCTCTCTGGTAGACCCCCAGCTGCCTTCCCAAAGGCAAATGCGTCCTGTCACTCTCCTCGAGGGCACCCCTGTC
Organism: Homo sapiens; assembly: GCF_000001405.40. Classification (NCBI taxonomy): domain Eukaryota; kingdom Metazoa; phylum Chordata; class Mammalia; order Primates; family Hominidae; genus Homo; species Homo sapiens. The sequence continues at coordinate 44,267,603 of NC_000022.11, forward strand.
CCTGGACCGAGAAGCCCACATCTTACCATGGCCCTGCACAGTCAGACCTACCTGCATCTCCCACCTGTCCCCTCCTGCGCTTCCTTCCTCCCCCACACTCATGCCACCTGGCTGCTCTTCTGATGGATTGATGTGCAGCTGTCTCTGCCTCAGTGCCTCTGCACGTGCTATTTCCAGTGCCCGGACCACTCCCCACTTCCTCCCCTGGTCTCTTCCAACTCCGACAGACTCATTCCTTTCCATCCTACAGATCCCAGCTGCCCAGAGAGGCAGGGCCAGGCCATGGAAGGCTGTGGATGCCCAGCTGAGGGCCTGTCCTTATCCTGCAGGCCCTCTGGGAGTCTCCGAAGGGCTGGGAGCCTCTGCAGAGACACGGCCGGAGGCTGCCCTGGCTTTGGGAGTGGGGTCAACAGGGAGCTGTGTTGGGGGACCTTTGGGGGCTTCCATTATTCACAACCCGCTTGTAGCCTTCCTTCCTGTCACTTTACCCTCCTGATGTTCGGTCACTTCTCAGGGAACTTAGGGCCTTTATACATCCCCATGGTAAAGGTTAATTTTTAATGCTGCTTTGGTAAATATTTGATGCCACTGCTTTAATGGGAGGAGGCATTAGACATTAAATGCCACAAAGTGCTCTGAGATGCTGTCCTTTTCATCGACAGCCTCTGTCCATAACTCCTCCTGCCTCCCGCTCTACGAAAATAAAGACTCTTTCTCCTTTGCCTCCTGCTATGAATTTTTCAAAGCGTTTTTCAAATCCCTTCTTGCCCCTGGTCAGCACCTCCATTAGCCAGATAGAAGGTCAAAGAGGTTTTAAGCTGAAAGATGACTTAGAAGGCGCAGTCCCTTCCCTCATTTTACACAAGGGGAAAGTGAGGCTGAGGAGGGACACGGCCTGCCTGAGGTTAAACAGCGAGGCTGTGGGTGAGGGAGTGGAACGAGGTGCCGGGACTCCCAGCCCAGGGTTCTGCTCTGCACCAGCACCCCCCAGAAGACTCAGTCCAGTGGAAACAGGCCACGGAGCTCTCTGACTGTGCTGCAAGTGGGCAGCAGGGAGAGGGTGTTTTAGAGGATGGGGAGAGGCCTCGGGAAGGAGCGTGACCTCAGCGACGTTTTGAGGAATGAGGAGGAGCTCGCCAAGGGGCTGGGGTGGGGAAACCTGTGAGGTGAATGGGTGTGGGTAAGCACCTGGGGGCAGGGATGGGGACTGATCCACTCTGTATCCCCAGTCCTGGCCTGGGGCCCAGCCTTGGCCCATGCTTTTTAATCCTTGTGAAATGAATATGTCCTTTGCCTCCAGGGCTGTGTGCACTGTGGCCTTGATCATCGGCTCTTGGTTCCATGGGCCCTGGCACCCTTGCATCTCTGTGCTTCCTTCATCCCGGGCTCCGACCTGACCAGCTTCCATGCATTCTGCACTCCTGGCCTGTCCCTGATGCTGGGGCTGCTTCCCCGACGTCCTTTCTACTGCCCGGGACAGTAAACATCCACAATACACACACGCACAGCATGCCACACAGACACCCACAATACACATAAACACACATACCATGCCACACAGATCCACACAATATCACATACATATGCCATACAGACCCTCACAATATATACACACACACCACGCCACACAGACCCTCACAATATATACACACACGCCACACAGACACCCACAACACACATACACACACCCCATGCCACACACCATACTGCACAGACACCCACAATATACACATACACACACCATGTCACACAGATGCAGAGTACATATGCACACACACCATGACACACAGACACCCACACAATACACACACACACCATGCCACAGACAGAAGACACACACACACCATGCCACACAGACGCCCACAACACGCGCACACACACACACACACACTCCATGCCACACCATGCTGCAGACCCACACAATATACACACACACCATGCCACAGATACAACACTACACACACTACACCATGCCAGATACCACACCATACACACACACACGCCACACAGACCCACACAATATACACACACATGCCACAAACAACACACACACAATGTCACATAGACCCACACAATATACACACACCAAGCCACACACTCACAACACATACACACACCCATGCCACACAGACATCACACAATGCACACACCATGCCACACAGACTCCTGCTCACTTCTTACCTGTCCTAGCCCCTCAGGACCCACCTCTGCCCTCTCCGCCTCTCCCCTGGTGCTGGCGTCCCATGGTGGTAACGATGCACCACCCTGTGCCCAGCTCCGCCCCTCCAGCACTGTCCTTCCTGGTCAGCAGCAACACCACGTGTCTCTTGGGTCAGACCTCTGAGTTGTCCTTGTCCTCAGTGTGCCCCTCCAACATCCAATTCCTTTGTGGGTCCTGCCTGCACTACCTCCAAAATACTGCTTTGTGTCCCCCCACTGCCTCGGGCACAGTGATAGCCTCCCCCTGGGCCTCCCTGCCTCCATTCCTGCTGGTTGGCTGCTGTCAGCTGCGTGGCAGTGGCCTCTCGCCAAAACCCCACCTGACGAAGTCTCCACACTTCGCTGGCTCCATATTTCCCTTAAACGAATGGAACCACTCTCTCCTATCTCGACAACCCTGCAGACTTGAGTCCCGAATCTCCCTCCCTCTTGGATGCCGTCAACGTTGAGATGTCCCACAGACTGACTCATGGCTTTGGGGAGGAGGTAAGCGGCACTCCAGTAAGTGTACACATTGATCAGGGGACACATCTGGGCTCAAGGCCCTGTGGGGTGACAAGGACGTGTCCCTTAGAAACATAAGTGACAACAGTATTGGTCAGAGTCCAGGCAGGGACACAGCAGCCATGGCTGTCATGGAATAGGGCATTTATGATAGGGACTTGAGTTTCCACACTTGTGGGAGGAGCTGGGCAGTGAAGGTCCAGAGGGGGACCTTGGAGGCTTACAGAAGGGACACTCAGCAGTGCCGGGCAGGGAGGCATCAGGGCCAGCTCGCATGGAGGCTGAAGCCAGGCCCATCCTGCCTCTGTGAGACCACAGAGAGGGTCACAGGGATCTGCCAGCCTAGGGTGGATGGTCGGAAAGAAGAGCCGGACACAGACGGAAAACCCAAGGACGCTGGGGGCCCTGGTGCACCCCTGCAGCTGTGCTTCCCTGGCTCTGCCCAGTGAGACCACCAGCACCACTGACGGCTGCTTCCACCTCCCAAGTCTCAGACAGCTCAAGCCAGCTCACCGGGAAGCAGATCCTGGGATACAACGAGCCCAGAGCAGCCAGGCTGGCAACAGAACCACGTAGCACAGTATCTCCTTCTTCTTGTCTGGCTAGAGAAGCTGTGAGTAAGCCCTGAGCAACCTCAAACAAGGGGTAGGTGAAGGAGGCACACTTAGCAGGGACCTCTTTCCCCACTCAGAGTGGATAGAGACAAGAAAAGAGGATAGATTTTGGGGGTTCTTCCTATGAGTGGGGTACTGAGCTAGGCCCTCCCCACATCCCCTTTGATTTCATCCCCATGATCCCCTTGCCAGGTGGAGCTCATTTACTCCCTGTGCCTATATCCACATGACAGCCCAGAGAGGTGATGCAACTTGCCCAAGGACACACAGCTGGGCAGCACAGAGTCCAGTCCAAGCCCAGCCCAGGCAGCTCCAGAGCCCATTGTTCCTGCCTGCCCCCACCTGCAGCACCCAGCTATTCCTGAAGCCATAGGCCCCAGCACACAGGGTGTGACAGGCTCAGTCCCAGAGCTCACAGCTGAAGCAATCAGTTGACAAGTGCCCCTCTCCCCCAGCACCCTCTGGGGCACCTTAGAAGCTACAGGAAGTCCAAGCTGGAGGGTGCTTAGGAGGAACAGGGAGTGAGCACCCTCCAGCCCATGGGCAAAACTCAGTTTCCATCATTCTGATGGGAGCCAAAATGCCCATGTTGGGAGACATTTGCCAACAAGCATCTATTCTTGGAAGGAAATATTTTAGCAGTTAAGACCAGGGTTTTAATAGCAGGGGAAATAAAGTAGAATCCATGGTCCTCCCTGACCCATGTCGATGGAGATAAATTCCTTCTCCACTCGCTCTGCCCTGCAAAGCCTAATCTGGGAGCCGGGCCTATTAAGGGCCCCTGAACTAAATTGGTTTTTTGGGAACATTACTGCCACCGGCCCAACCACACTTCTCTCTGTAGGGTGATCTCGCTTCTTCCATATTACTCTTGCTGCAGCCCGGAGGGTGATTATGTGGAATTCCTGTCAAATCAACATAAAGGAGCATCCTCTGAGCTGGAGGCGTATTCACGAGCCCCCAGATTCGCCTGGGCCTTTGTGGAAGTGTCCTTTTGTTAATTACTCACGCAAGCTGGCATCTTTGTTTGCACAGTAGTTGCTGCGTTAGGGCATTTTAATTAAGATTCCAAACTAAAGATTCCAAACTGGCTGGGTGAAGCCGTGTGGGTCTCTCCCGGGGCAGGATTATAGGAGCCACCTCTGAGGAGGGGGCTTCTATAAGATGCCTGCTGCAGGTAGCACGTCCCCAGAAACAGGTGTGTCATGTTGCCAAGCTCCTAATGGGAGCAGTTGCCTTTCTCCCAACAGCTGCACCCTGGGCCCAGAGACACACAATCTCCATCTGAACTCCAGATAGCTGTGCTAGGTCTAGTTCATTCCAGAAGTGTGTCTTCAAAATGACTTCCAAAAACCTTCCCTAAGGAATATTCACCCTTTGGCTGAAGACATTGATTTTTCCAAGCAAAGCCAGGGCAGGGTCAGAATGGATTTTCTACACATCACTGGACAGAGTTCCTTAAGAGCAGGGGCCCGGCCTTTTTCATCTTTCTGTTCCCAGCACTTAACACGGGGCATGGCCTGCAGCCAGCCCTCAATAAATGCTTGCTGAATAAATGAGTAAATTAATCTTGTCTGGGCTGCATCCATGCAACAAACACGGATTGTTCCAGAGACAGAAAGGGACAGGGCTGGAGGCTTTGAAAGAGGATGCCCAAGACGTTTCCTTGGGGGGGACTAAATACCCAGATGTGTGGCACAGACCAGTCTTTCTGCCTCCTCATCTGCCCTGCTTTCTTTGCCTGGGGAAGGGCCAGGAGCTGCAAAGGGCCGATGAATTGGCCTCCCAGGACCACCTTGCCCCTTGTCCTGGCTACCATTGCCCTGGGTGCCTGTCTGTGGGTGTCCCTGGAAACACTAGATTGCTGTTTCATGTGCACATAAGAAACACATTGGCTGTAATCCCAGAACTTTGGGAGGCCGAGGCAGGCGGATTGCCTGGGCTTAGGAGTTCAAGTCCAGCCTGGGCAACGTGGCAAAACTCTGTCTCTACTAAAAATACAGAAAGTTAGCTGGGCATGGTGGCACATGCCTGTAGTCCCAGCTACTCAGGAGGCTAATCAGGAGAATCGCTTGAACCCCAGAGGCGGAGGTTGCTGTGAGCTGAGATCGCACCACTGCACTCCAGCCTGGGCAACAGAGCAAGACTCTGTCTCCAAAAAAAAAACAAAAAAAACCACATTGGCTTCCCACAGTAAAGTTCACAGATCAATGGAGCAAGTGAGATTATGTGAGGAGGTAAATATACTAGCATTTGGACCATTATGCACAGGGGCAAGCTGGTAAACATTTAACAACCTGTTCCCCAGGGGAAGAAAACCCTGATTTGTAGCACGTGCTGTCAATTTCCCGAGCGTAAATACTGGTGCTGTCACTGAATCAAAGACAGGAAGAGATACAAGTAGCCACCACTGATAGATTTCCACCATACAGACACAACAGATGCAAATACCGTCACCGGCACAGATGATGGTAAATGTAGCAAAAGAACTAAGAAGTGATACTTTTGAGGATGTATTATCTCTGTGTTTAATACAATGTATTTAATTGCATGTTTATCTAATTTGCAATAGTGGCTGTGTTTAACAACAGGCTCCCAAAATTCCTACACCCTAAACTCTCTTGAGCCAGTGTGATGCAGCCCCATCTCATAATGGATATGTTTACTTGTTCGTTTTAATGCAAATTAGGAAAAATACAACTCTTAAACTAGCTATGGTATTGCTTACAGCAAATCTGAGTTTTCTACAAACATGACTTGATTTCAAGTCAATTAAAAATGTATTAAGTAAACAGAATGAGGGATGTATACAGACAAGAACACCAAGGAACTGAAACGTGGGGGATAAATGTTGCTTTATGAAAATGGCTTCAAACCTCAACTGTCTTGGGGGTGCAGTAAAACAAATGGGCAACTCACAAGAGAGGAAATACAATTAATTAACAAATGAAAGGACAGGTGTTTTATCTCAAGAACCATCAAAGAAATGCAAACAGACTGGGCGCGGTGGCTCACGCCTGTAGTTCTAGCACTTTGGGAGGCTGAGGCAGGTGGATTGCTTGAGGTCAGGAGTTCGAGACCAGCCTGGCTGACATAGTGAACCTCCCGGCCCCCCCCTCCCCCCCACCCACCCTGTCTCCACTAAAAATACAAAAATTAGGCGGACGTGGTGGTGGGTGTCTGTAATCCCAGCTACTCGGGAAGCCAAGGCAGGAGAATCACTTGAACCTGGGAGGCGGAGGGAGGCTGCAGTGAGCCAAGATCACACCACTGCACTCCAGCCTGGGCGACAGAATGAGACTCCATCTCAAGAAATGCAAACTGTATAGAAATAGGGGCACCCCATGCTGGAGAGGGTGCCCCAAATCCAGTGCCCTCAAAAGCTGCCTCACTGCACCAGCCCTTTGGGAATGAGGCTGGCGCTGGAATCGAGACCCATAAAACTGTCCACCCCCTGGACTCAGGAATCTCCCTGCCTGGCATCTATCTGGAGGAAATCATTCCAGAAAGGGAAAGGCCACAAATTCACAAAGGTGTCTGCTGTTTTCTGGAGTATGTCTCCTCCTCCTGCCCCCAGGAGAGCTGGGATTGGTGTTATTTATCATCGTATTAATAAAAAAAATTATACGTTGTATAAACGCCCCGCTGTAGGGAATCCCACACATGGAATCTGGACAACTGGGTGGCCGCTGAAATGGTATTTAGAAAGGTCGGGTAAAATCGCAGGGTCATCGCTGATTCAATAGGAGAACAAAATCAGAAGGCACATCATCATTAGAGACACACAAAAGCAGGTGTGCATTAGAAGGGAGAAAAACGCAAAGCAGTCCTATCTGTGTGTGAGCGGGATCCCGAGCGGCTTTTCTTTTCCTATTTTTTACTCCTCAAATAATAGTCGCAATAATAATCACAGTTAGCATTTCCTGAGGCATCTGCCATGGGCCGGGCTCTGTTCCAGTCCTAACAATCGTCCCACAACCTAAGGCCACTTGTGGCCATTGTACTGACGGGAACACTGAGGCTCAGGGGAGCTACTGGCTTACCTGCAGTTGCCCACTGGCCCGTAGACAGGATCTGAACTCAGCTCTGATTCGAAGACTATGCAGCTCACCCCTCTGCGGGTTTGCTAGAGTACAGCTAGGTTTTCAACGTAAACTTGTATTAAAACTAAGCGTGGGTGTTGCGTTTTTACCTTCTGTTCTGCCGGGCCCTCCTCTGGTGGGGAGTGGTTTGCAGAGGGAGGTGGGGAGCTGCCAGGTGGAAGAGAAGAGTACACCTGCCACCTCCGGAAAGATTCCCAGGGCTGGGAAAGACCTTCACAAATGGTGCAGGGGAAAAGACAAACCCCGAAAGCAAACAAAACCAACCACGCACCCCAACCGAGCACACACCAAGCTGGCACCATCACCTCAATTAAACCCCTGCCTGGCAGCCCGCGAAGGGGCCGACGGCGGATCAGAAGCGAGGCTGAGTTTCGGGAAGCTCCTGGGCCCAGACCAGAGAGGACTTGTTTCACTGACACCTGTGGGCCAGATCTCAGGTGCTTTGGGGGACCCCTGAGGTCCTGCCTGGGGGATGGGTGAGGCCTACCTTGCACAGAGAACCCACAACCATAAGGCAGCTATGCAGCCGGCATGGGGTGGCATTATCTCAGGGTTAGCTCTTACAGGAAGCGAAGTAAAGGCGGAGACGTTGCTCTTCCCAGTACAAGGATGTGGGCTTTGGAGTCCACCAGACCTGGGTTCCAATTCTGACCCAGCTGCCGTGCAGTTCCCAGCAATCTCTCTCCGAGCCTTGGTGTCTCCTTCATAAAATGAGGCTCGGGATGGCCAAGCTGCAGTGCAGCTGGGGAGGCTCAATGGCACAATTTGTTGCAGCTGCTTAGCTCAGCAAGTCCTCAATAAATGGGAGCTACTGTTACAGTAATAATGCAGCTCATTGATTGGACACTGTCTAGGTGCCTTCTGTGCACAAGGCACGGGGCAGGAAGATTCATTCATGCAACATGGATGTATTGAGCACCTACTATGTGTCAGGCCCTGTTCTATGTGCTGGGGTCACAGCTGAGCACAAGAAACACCAATCCCAACTCTCCCGCGTTTTCCATCCAGTGGAGGAGACAGGCACAAAGCCACAAAGCAAACGTGATGTCAGGCGGCGGTGCACATGATGAGGCAGCTGAAGGAGGACAAAGGGACAAAGTGACGGGGGGAGGTGGCTGCTTCTATTTTGTAAACCTTGGCCAGGGAAGGCCCCTCTGATCGGGTGACTCTGAACAGGGGCTGTGGAAGGGAGGAGTGAGCCCTGCTGGGATCCAGGAGGAGAGAGGTCTGGGTGGAGGGAACAGCAGCGGGGCTGGTGTGGCTGCAGCAAGCGGCAGTGTGGGGAGATGAGGACAGAGGGACAGTGGGGTGCGGTGGAGTCAGATCACATTGTTGGCCAAGGAAAGCATTTTGATTCCTAAGTGTGAAGGAGGCCATCGGCGGGTCTTGACTTAATGTTTTTAAAAGATCACGCTGCTGCTGTCGGGGACAAAGGCTGGTGTCAGGGAGATATGTGGAGGCAGCTGCCTCCATCCTGGCCAGAGAAGATGGACAAGGAGGGCTGATCTCAGTGGAGGGGTGGGTATGGGGTGGATTCTGGCTTCATTTTCAAGGTATTGCTCATGGAACACGTGAAGCAGGAAAGAAAGGGAGGAGCCAAGGAGATGGTGGGAGGCAGCGGGGATGTGGATGTGCCGGTCCCCCACGTCTATGGGACATCCAAGAGCTGCCCTTGAGGACTAGGCTCTGCAATGACCAGCAGATCTGGATTCAGGGGAGAGAGACCAGGGAGAAAGAACGGGAGGTGGACAGGATTGGAGCTGTGGATCCGGGTGGGGTCCCCAGGGGTGGGTGGAAATGAGAGAGAAGTGAAAGGGAGGAGCGCTTGTGTCTAAGATCAGGCAGATGATGAACGAGCTGCAAAGAGGAACAAGAAGGGCAGCGATGAGGGGCCAGGAGCCAGGACCCTGCGGTGCAGAGAACCCAGGGCTCCCCAGTTCCCCTCAGCCCCTCCCTCCTCCGAGGCTCTGCCTAAGCTGCTCTCTCTGCCGGGATGCCCTTTCCCCACTTTGGCGAACTCCTATTCATCCACTGAAACCCTTTCTTTGTGTTAGCTGCTCCTCCCCTGGCTGACCAGTGCTTAGTCTGGTGGACCGTGAATGCTGGGACAGCTGAGCACTGTCTTGGACAGAGCCGTGAACAGTGGGGAAGGCTCACGGACGCGATGCCGGGAGAGGGATCCAAGCATTTGCAGAGCAGCTGCTCCGTGCCAGGGCCTTTCCGCGTTTCCTCTCATTTAAGCAGACAGCACCTGAGAGGCCAGTTCTGTCACCCACTGTCCTGGTGAGGAGGGGCAAGCTGCCTGCTGGAGGCCCTCCAGGTACCTCAAAACAGGGGACCTGGGATTTGAACCCAGTTCTGTTTGCCTCCAAGAGCCTTTGCTCCTAACTCAACTACTCTGCCTCCAAACAAAACAAAACAAAACAAAACAAAACAAAACAGCCTCATGGCAGGTGGGGCTATTCAAACCGAGGCCAGCTTCCTGGAGGGTGAGTGAGTGCTGGATCGCTGGGCCGCACCTCCTAGGCAGGGATGTGGAGGGGATCCCTACAGCAGGTTCCAGGCAGTGCTGGAGAGCTGGAAACCCTCTCTCCCTGGAGGCCGAAGGACCCTGGGCGTGAGACAGAGGCGTGCTCACAGAGGCTAAAAGAGAACCATTTCAGGCTAGAAAATTAGGAACCCCCATGGCCTGAGGTGGAAGTGGATCACTGGGTTATGGGCCACCGCCTGCTCCTTGGACAATTAGCACAGCCATTGCAGGGTGGTTATGAACACTTTTCCATCACACGAGAGGCTCGACGGGACATAATGTTGAATTAAAAACCCAAGACACACCATTTTATGTGCAGGATGACAACACTGCCCTGATGACCGGCCAGGCTGGAGGGACACGGAGCCCTGCGGGTGATGGTGAGGTCACTTGGTTCCCACACTGGCAGTGTCCTTGTGATGGTTAATACTGAGTGTCAACTTGATTGAAGGATGCAAAGTATTGATCCTGGGTGTGTCTGTGAAGGTGTTGCCAAATGGGGTTCACATTTGAGTCAGTGGGCTGGGGAAGGCAAACCCACCTTCATCTGGGTGGGCACCATCTAATCAGCTGCCAGCGTGGCCTGAACATAAAACAGGCAGAAAAATGTGAAAAGGTGAGACTGGCCTAGCCTCCCAGCCTCCATCTTTCTCCTGTGCTGGATGCTTCCTGCCCTTGAACATCAGACTCCAACCAAGTTCTTCAGCTTTAGGACTCAGACTGGCTTCCTTGCTCCTCAGCCTGCAGACAGCCTATTGTGGGACTTTGTGATCGTGTGAGTTACTACTACTTAATAAACTCCCCTTTATATAGCTCCTGTTAGTTCTGTCCCTCTAGGGAACCCTGACTAATACAGTCCTCCAGCAAGCAGGGGCACCTTTATGGTGGAAAATGAAGCAGAAAAACAGAGGAAACTGCGACTGTCCCTTGGGGGAGTGCTGAGGAGAAGGAGGTAGGTATTAAGGCAGGGAAAAAGAATAGCAACATGACCGCAGCCCCCAGGGGCGGCCTGTGTGCTGGCTCCGGGTGAACGGGCCTCTCCACGCATCTTAATGCCCCCCTGAACCTTTGGGGGTACAGAGAGGGGTCAAGGAGTTGTGTTCCCCAGGAGAAGGGGTGAGGAGAAACTCTGCAGCTGTCACAGGGGTCCCGATGCACCTCAGGGGCCTCCGTGGGTCGTGGTGATGTGGATCCTAGCTGGGCCACAGTCAGCCACATCCAGGATGCGGCGGGAGGAGCAGCATAGGCTTCGGCTTGAGGAGGGTTCCTAGAGGCTGGGACTGTAGCCTGCACTCTGGGGAGTCTGCACAGTTGGGCACCAGGGCGTGGGTAGGAGGAGGAGATTCCCTGCAGTCCCACTGTGTACCCTCGGGACCTCTCATCACCATCATTGTCCAGGGCAGGCTCTCATCACCATCACTGTCCAGGGCAGGCACTGAGACTAGGGAGGGCCAGCAACTCGTCCGAGGACACACAGCAGGTGGAGTCACTGGTTCTGAGCCTTTCTGTCACCACCCGCCTGCCGCCCATGGTACCCACCACCGCGGAGTGACACTGATGAATGGACAGCCTCCGGGGTTTTAGCCAAGCTGTCCAAACAAACGGAAAGCAGCCCAGAGAGCCAGCAAAGGAGGGAACGCGCGCCTTCTTGAGCCCCAGCTGGGAAAAGACAGGAACTGGAGGGGACAGCCCAGTTTCCTGGTCTAGCTGGAACCCCCAAGGAGCTGCAACTCCATCCCCACTCAGGACATCAACTGTCTTCTGAATTCCAATCACAGAAGCCTCCTTGGTATTTGATGTTACGCCAAGGAAAGAAGATATTTGGTCATCTCCCTTTTCAGTCTCCTCATTTTCTGGAATTTCTTGCTGTTGGCTGGCACCCTCCCTGCAGAAACCACACGCCAAGGACCCTGGCTGCAGAGCCAGGAAGAACATGATGCTTGGGTTTCAGCAGGAGAAGGTTCTGGGGTTGGGTGAACTCTGGGACCTCACAGGGGAGGACGAATGAGTTTTGCAAAGAGCTTGAGGGGTTCTAGGCGCAGGGAGAATAAGGTGAGAAACGGTGGTACTGGGGCTTTGCTGGTAGGCAGAGGCCAATGGATGGAGAGGAACTCTGGACATCCCCCCGCCCCTGCTGGGCTCCTGTCTCTTCAGGTGGCCTGAAGTCCCCAGGGTCCAGGGTGACGGAGCCAGCACTGTAGAGGTGCTCAGGCTCTAATGGCTGCTCTGCCCTGTCCCTGCATGCCCCACAGGCAGCATCAGCATCTCCCAGGAACTTGCTATAAATGCAGAATCCTAGGCCTACCCCATCATTAGGCATCAGAATTTGCAAACCCAACAAGACCCAGGGGATTTGGATACCCCTTAAGATCTGAGATGTACACATGATCGATCCCCTTGAGCCAAGTTGGGAATTTTTCCCTGAACTCTGACAGCCTGCGAGGGCTTGGGGGCTGGGAGGGCTGGGGCTAGGCAGCCTCCTCTCTTCCAGCCACTCCCCATCCCCCATCCCCACTCAGGCCCCTAGACCTCAGGGCAGGTTTTGAAGGATGAATAGGAGTTCCCCAGGGAGATGTGGGGCAGAGCACATTGGGAAGAGAACTGAGTCAAAAGCAAGGAGGTGTGAATCTGCAAGGGATTTGAGGGGTCAAGGCTGGGTTGGAAGGCATGGGCAGTGAGGTGGGGGGAGGCTCTGAGATAGGTGAGGCCCAGGTGGCAGTCGGCTCAGGATCTGACATAGGCTGGGAAGACCCTGGCTCAAAACCATGGATCTACTGTGTGGCCTTGGGCAAGTCACTGACCCTCCCTGGGCCCAAGTTCACTCATCCACACAAGGTGATGAGGTGTCCTGCTGAGCCCAGTCCCCAGCGTGGGAGTGACAAGAGTCCATGGAAATACCAAGGGGGGCAGTGTCTAAAGTCAAGCACTAACCGTGGTTCCCAGCACTCTCTGCTGGGCCCTGCAGGTCTTACAGGGTGTTGAACAGCAGCCTGAAGCTTCAGGAGGGGGCCGCTCAGGTAGGGAGGCAGAGTCAGGCCACCAAGGGCTAGGGAGCAGGCTAGGAGGCAGCCGAGGCCCTCTCTCAGAGATGGGAATGTGGATGCATGGGGGAGGGAGGGAGGTGGGGACAATGGGGAGTGGAGCTGGGTGTCCCAGGAGGATGTCAGCCCCCATCAGGTCCTCACAACTGCACTGAGAGGCCAGCCCTGCCCAGTTTACAGATAGGGACACTGAGGCTCAGGCAGGGGAGGCTCGGGGCAGGCAGGTTGTGCGGCACTGGCGGGGCCAGGTGGGTGTGTCTGACTGGGAGCCACTGCCTGTGCCCCGGATTTGAGACAGCAACAATAATGACCATCACAACCATGAGAGCGGCACCTCCCAGGACCCAGGCCACAGCCTCAGTGATGATGACAGCACAGCATGTGGCAGGAACGTGGCAACATCCTCGGGCCTGGCTTAACCCTGGGGGCACAGCAGCTTCCCTCGGTGCCCCCTCCACTGCTTGCTCCTTTAGCCTGAGGTGGGCCCTGGCTGTACAGAGGTGAGACCTGGGCTGTCAGGGTGAGGGGACCAGGGCCCGCCACCTGAGGGGAGAGAAGGCTCAGCCCAGACCCTGTCCCAGACCCCTAGTGCTGATGCTCCTGCTGCATCCCTTACACGGGATTTGCTGAGCAGCTACTATGTGCTGGGGCCCTGAGTCGGGCTGAGGTTCTGGTCGGGGGAGCTGCACACCACTGCACAACTGACAAGGGTAGGGAGTCCAGCAGGAGGACGGAGGTCCAGATAGTGAGGTCAGGTCGGGGATTGGTGGGAGGGCCTGGCTGGGCTGAATACTGGTGGAAGTGTGTGTGTGTGAGTGTGTATGTGTGTGTGTTTGTGTCTGTGTGTGTAGGGGGTAGTGCTGCCTCCTGCCGCGCTGTGAACTGAGTGTGCAACTGTGCAAGGAGGGCCAAGGTGCTTAGAGAGGCTCTCTACGCCTGGGAGGAAAACCCAGGACCTCCACAGTGCGAAGGAGACACCGTTAGGTGACGAAGGCACTTTGTCGCAGGTGCGGTGTCCCTGGGGTGCCTGCTGGGTCACACTGGGCTCTGGGCCCTCAGGGGTTGTCCTGACTACTTTCAGGAGGAAATGACGGGTGGAGTCTTGGGGTCACCAGAGAAGACACAGTCCAGAGAATCTGAGCAAGAAACTTCACAGTCTGAGTTCAGTAGCTACTAAGCGGAGGGAAAGCCCCGCTTCTCCGTGAAATTAAACGAAGGCAGCTGAGCATTGTGACCATTGCACCACTCCTGACGCCCCTGCTGGCTCCTAACTCAGTTATAAATCCCACGGGCGGGGGACGGCACAACGCCCCACCTGCCTGGCCACGCGATTCGGCAGCACTTGGATTTTGCCCAGCCAGCTGGCAGGAAAATCACATTTCTTATGATTGATGGAGTGCGTGTCTGTGGGGACCAAGAGGCGGGGGCTGTGTGGGGCTGAGCCACTGCCGCCAGGGCCTTCAATACTGCTGTTCAGCGGTGGCCTGGGGGCTGCCTCGGGGCCCTCACCCACCAAACCCAAGGGGTTTCTGAGAGGGGAGGCTGTGCCGGCCTCCGCTGGGGAGCCGAAGGCCTTGAGGCTGGGCCCAGCAGTCGCCCAGCTTACTCCTCTGCCCCAGCTCTGGGATCTGCTCCCCGCCCACCGTGGGCCCTCCCGCTGCAGCAGCCAGGGTGGGAGCCAGGGGCAGGGAACTCCTGGGCACTGAGGCAGTCCTGGCCCCCAGCACAGCTGCCCCTTGCCTCCACCTCCCCTGGCATCACCTGACTGCCCTGTCCTGGCAGTGCCTTGGCCTCCTGTCTCTGTCCCCCCTGCGGTGGTCCTTGACCCACTGCTTGGGTCCCACTAAGCCTCCCCAGAAGTGGCTGGCCTCATTAGGAGACTCCAGGAGCTCAGGGGATGTGGGTGTGTCTGCAGCTGTCTTCCTCCTGCTGCCCCTGCACAGGGAGCCCTGAGGAGCTGGAGAAGCTGGATTCATTCGCAGGAGAAAGAGCTGGGGTGGGCAGGGGAGAAAGGCAGAGAAGCCACAGAGGCTGGGCTCATAGGAGACTTCTGGAGGTGAAAGCAGAAGTGAAGAGAGATTTTGAAGAGCAGCGGCACTCAGCAGGAGGCTCCTGAGAGGGCTGTGAGGGGAACAGAAGCCTTTCCAGGGGCTGATGAGTGTTCAAGAACCTCCCTGGTCCACACTCCTTGCCTGGACATTCTCCAGTGTGCCCGAGGAGGGCCGCAGAGGGCGTTTGTAATGGCTGTTTGGGTGCCAAGTGGTGTTTCATTGACTGGGACACCACATGGAGGCTGGGCCACCCGGGGACCAGGGACCTAGTCGGGTTACAGTCAGAGCTATAATGCTGGAGATGTCCTGGGTCACACAGCTGGGAGGACCTTGGAGTGGCAGGAAAGGAGGCTCCTCCCTGATCTCCAAATGAAATCCCCTCTCACGTTGGTTCCTCAACTGGCAAAACTGAAGCCCAAAAAGGAAGCTCCTCACCCAGAGTCACGCTGCGTGTCAAAGAGCACAGCGGGAGTGGGACGGTGCCCGTGAATCCAGCCAGGGACTGGCTATTCCCTTATCCTGCACCACACCTTTGTGGGTTCTGACAACCTTTTTTCACGCTCACAGGGTGATGGGAACACCTTCCTGAGCCTGCACTCAGGACGGTCAGGAAAGACGAAGAGCCTCTGAGCTCCAAAAGGAAAAGTGTCCCACCTGGACCTGGAGCTCAGCTGCCCACTCAGGCTCCGTGCACAATCCCTGCAGGCTTGGCAAGCTCTCTGCATCCTGATGGCATAGCACAGTGCCTGGCACACAGCAGGTGCACAATGTGTGCTTGTTGGGGAAAAGCAATATGGAACAGGGGTAGGGTGGGAACTGCTGCTGAGACAGGCAAAAACGTTCTGGGCAGGATGAGATCGGGGAGCTGTTAGCAGCAAGCACAGTGACGTAGGAAATGGAAGACCTTGAGGCCGGGGCAGGAAAACAGCACCCAGGTGCTGAGTGCAGGGTGCTCACGACATCCTCCATCCCCTTGGCAAGTGTTCGGCGAGGTGTGAGCTATTTATTCCAAATGTATGTGCATGCAAAAGGTGCGGGAGTGGGGGAGGACCACCGTTTTAAACGGAAGATTCTCAGCTATCAAAAAGCTTGGCTCTTATAGACGTTTTCCAGTGCCTCCTGAGCTGTAGTGCCTATGAGCATCACCCTCAGAGATGCCTGGTCAGTAGGCTCTGGGTCTTTAGTTTGACAAACCCTCTAGGTGTGTCTGTTGCAAAGGATCCACATTTCAGAACACCCCACTCTTGGGTCCTGCCAACAGACATTTTATTGTCTGTAGCTCTCTGGAGTCCCCACTGCTCAAGGGTGGAGGCTGGCTTCTTCTCTACCCATCACCTCCACATCCCCCAGAGCCTGGCACAAACCCCTGCCCAAGGACCCACTCTGCCAGCATTTGTCAAACCGAGCCACACAGGGCTGTGTCTTTGTCTCCTGTGTGATGGATGGTGTCATTATTCAATCGATAAGCACAAGCTGATTTATGCATCTTATTAATTATTTAATAATAATTGAAAAGGTCACTACCTGCTAGCTATGTGAACGATCACTAACTCACGTCATTGCTGCCTCCAAAGAGGAGGCAGCAAGGATTAACTGAGGACCTACTATGTGCCAGGTAGGTGCACAGTTAATCCTTGGGAGGGGGCAGTCTTACCCACTCCTCCTTCACGAGGATCGGAAGGTTAAGAGGGGTGAAATCTCATGCCCGAAGTCAAGGAGCAGGTAAATGGCAGAGCCGGGACTCAGACCCAGGTTAGGTTACCTGCAAAGCTCCTGCACATGAACCCAGGGGTCACTGTGCGGCAAACTCCTGCACCCCTCCAGCAAGGGGGCTCTGGGATGGGTCTTGCAGCCTGGGCTTGGTATCATGATGTCCCTGGATGACGTGCCCTGAGCCCTGTGTGCCCATGGCTGCAGCTCAGCCCCCACAGAGCATCCGAACCTCTCACTCTAGCCCTTGACCTGGGAATCGACCCTCAGTCTGGCTCCTGTCCTTGGTGCTAGCCAGCCTCCCAGGGAGTTCCTGCTCCAAACGCACAGACCCTGCCTCTCCCCTTCCAACTCTAGATGCTGCACTACCCAGGGCCGCCTGGGATTAGGTCAGGCCCATCCCCACCATACTGGAACTGGGCGGAAATGGGAATTGCAGTAGACAAGCTCAGATCTGAACATAACCCTGGGGCAGCCACCCCACAAGGCCAACCCTTGAGATGCCACCTCTCTGCCTTCCTGCCTTCCTTCCTTCCTTCCTTCCTTCCTTCCTTCCTTCCTTCCTTCACAGCCTGCCTGAGTCAGAACTAGTACCCCTCATGCCATACAAGGCATGTACACATAAGGAACTAAGTAACATTTGTATTTTCTAACCTCATGCTGAAAAATCTGGCTGGACAGACTGATTTGCTTCCTTTGGCCAGATTTACAACTCAAAAAGCCATCCGGTTTTCCCCTTTGCCTTGGCAGCTAGGTAACCCAAAACTCCACTAAATGTTTAGTGGTTACCTCTCTCACACTGGGCTCTAAGCGCAATGAGCTTGCAAGCTTTGCTTCTAAGCTCTGTTTCCACCTCTCATTTTGACTTTCCTGTCTAGGCATGTGTTGTAGGCTACCCATAACAGTTTGAAATTTTTCTTGGCAAACAACAAGATAAGCAAACAATCAGGCAACCAATGAGCCAAACACTATGGCGAGAGTGATGGCGTATTCTCCAAGCTCTCCAAAGACAATGACCCAAATCATTCTGGGTCTCAATTGTAGCCACTCACCAGGCAGACGAACTCTGGAAGGTCATCAGCGGTGGGCTGTGAGCATCTCCCCGCAATGTGTGCACGGCCTGTGGGGCTTGTGGCAGCGGGCCTGGGGGAGGCTGCGGCTGTGGGGCCCGCTGACCCGGCCGAGGGGCCCGAGCGGGGTTCCCCCACCGCCGGGGGTCCTGTTTCATCCATCGTCCTTGGATGCCCCACCGTGCCAGGTAGACCTTGCAGATGTCGTAGTTCATTGCCGAGTAATACAAAAGGTCCAGAACCAGCAGCATCAACACGAAAAATCCATAGATCCACACTCCCAACAAGGCGGTGTAATTGCTGCGAACAAACAGAGAGGGAGTGAGCAAGCAGAGGGGAGCAGTCCAGCTCAGGCCGGCTTCATCAGTGGGGCTGATTAGAGAATGTGTCCTGGGGCTATGTTGGGGTCCCCGGGAGGAGGGTACTGAGCCCCTCTGGAGGGCGGGGCCTTGGCTCCCTCTCCTCTGCCTGCCTGTTCGCCTCCTTCCCTGGAATCCACTGCCCGGGCCTGGTCCCCACCTGGGCATCCTCCAGGACCCTGAGTCCTTGGGCTGGGATCCCTGAGGGTCCCACAGAGTCAGACACTTTGGGGGGAATTCTGAGCTGGCATCTGGGGCTCCCAGGACATGGCAGCCTCTTCCTTTACCTGGTGCTGTTTTGGTCTGCCCTCTCCCTCCTTCCTGCAGGTGCCCCTGCCCCACCTTTGCCTACATTGTTCCTGGCACCCGGGATGCTCTCACTGCCTCACCCCTGCTGTGAGGACGGAGGTCCTCCCCATCCTGCTGGACCAAGAGCAGAGGCATCAGGTTCTGCCCTCTAGACCCTCTCTCAGCCTCCCCCAGGGGTCCCCTTCACTCAACACGACCAGGCTGTGCATGGCTGGGGCTGTCCGGGCCCCATGACCTCACTTCTGTTATTCATTTGCCCAACATTTCCCCACCGAGGGCTGCTCTGCCTTCCTCAGGCAGAGGTGGCCAAAGTTGCGGGAGGGTTTGGAAGCCCGCTGTGAAGCCTGGCTCTCCCGGTGTCAGCCGACTCCACTGCAGACAGGGTCTGCGCTCCAGCACCCGGCCTTTGCACAGGCCGTGCCTTCTTTCCCTGCCCCCTTCCTCCCCTGCCTACCTCCCACCGGCCCTTTGTCGAAGATCACTTCCTCCAGGAAGTCTTCCGGACACCCTGACCCTCCTACGCAGCTGGGTCAAGCCTGTCTTCTGGCCCACAGCCCTGAGTTTCCCTCAAACCCAGCCCCTGTCACCCAGAGCCACATCTGTCTCCCACACCCTTCCCCAGGGCCAGGGTCCAAGTCTCCCCGACCTGTGCCCAGAGTGGATGGTGTCCAGGGCTTGCCACAGCAGCTGGAGCTGCCGAGCCCTAACAGTGCGTGCCAGGGGCTGTGGCTGCCTGAAGCCACCGATCTGTTAATCACTCCGGCGCCGCCTCCGTCTGCTCCCTGCTGCAGGCATGTGTTTGGGTGGGTGTGCGCTTCTGGTGTCGAGGAGGCGTGAATGGAGCCAGTGTCCGGCCTGTACACGCCACCGCTGCACATCCCCAGGGAGAGACTCACCTCGCTCTCGCCCAGACGGAGGTCTCGCGGGCAGCAGATCCTTTAAGACCCTGTTTGAGGCTGGGGGGAAGGGGCCAGCCCGGAACCCGGAGACCTGGTTCTAATTCTTCCTCTGCCTGGTTTGCTGTGTGGCCTGGGAAAACCCTTGCCTGTCTCTGGGCCTGGAGGAGATGAGCATGAGGCCTCTCCCAGTCTCGACTTCCAGGCTCCAGATCTTCCCAGGCTTAGGTCAGCCCTGGCGCCAGCAGTGGCCTCTGTAGGAAGATGGGGGCTGCTTCCCTTGGGCTCCTCTGGCCCTGACCAGGGCTGAGCCCAGGGCCGGGGAAGCTCGCTTTCGCTCTCTGCCTAGAATGCCTTCCCTCCTCTCACTTGGCCAAGTTCTTGGCCTGAAGATGCTGCTCGGGTGCCTGGGAGCTCCTGGCTGGGAGGTCTCTGCATGTCCTGAGCACATCCCATGAGCAGCTGTAGGCCAGTGCTTAGGCTTTGTAGCTGTAATCCCACAGCTCCCGGTCACTGTGCGTCCTTGCTGCCTCCTTGCCCCCACCTCCCAGCCCCCACCACCATGAAGCCTGCATCAGACTGATGGGCTCGCTCATGCTAAGGTGTAAATGACTGACAGCCAGGCCCCAGCGGCCTTATGTTAAAAAGAGACTGTTAAAGAGAGGCTAGCTTTTCCTGGAGGCATCTGGATATGGAATTCCTTCCAGGAATTCCAGGAAAAAGAGGCCTGCAGCCCCATCCAGTATGCTGGGGCAGGTGTCCCCGGGGTAGATGTCCATGTAGACCGAGGAGTCAGGCCTGGCTCCAGTTCCCAGGCCCTCCTGCTTTCCCCAGCACCCTCCCTGCTGCAGCCCCCACGGAATTGCTCTAAGTGCCAGGTTTTTCTTCGGTGGTTCCCATGGCAGCAGCCACGGGGGCTGAGGGAGGAGACGGGGAAAGGGGAGGCAGGGCAGCTGTGTGCAGATGCTGTCCGCAGAAGGGGTCCAGGATGCCAGCTGGGGGTGTGGCTGGGCCACAGGCTGGGCCTCGAACCACTGGGCCAAGAAATAATAGTACCAGAAGTGGCAGTGGACGCTCGTTCCCCTACCTGCTTCCCACGTTAGCCCATTTAATGCTCACGCAACCACGGGAGGAAACAGCTTTTTCATCATTGTCATCCCTGCTTTACGGATGGAAAACTGAGGCTCGGTGGAATTAAGAGACTTGCCTAAGAGCTCACAGCCATTAAGGGGCAGAAGCAGAATTTGAACTCAGCAGCTGAGCTCTAGAGTTGCGCTCCTCACCACTATAGCACACTGCCTTGGCTGCGGCCACCCGGGTTCTCAGGTAGAAAAGCTGCTCCAGGGGCCAGGCGCGGTGGCTCATGCCTGTAATCCCAGCACTTTGGGAGGCCGAGGCCGGTGGATCACAAGGTCAGGAGATCGAGACCATCCTGGCTAACACGGTGAAACCCCGTCTCTACTAAAAATTAAAAAAAAAAAAGTTGCTGGGTGTGGTGGCGGGCGCCTGTAATCCCAGCTACTCAGGAGGCTGAGGCAGGAGAATTGCGTGAATGCGGGAGGTGGAGCTTGCAGTAAGCTGAGATTGCGCCACTGCACCCCAGCCTGGGTGACAGAGCGAGACTCCGTCTCAAAAAAAGAAAAACAAAAAAGAAAAGAAATGCTGCTCCAGCCCAACATCTCTCTTGCCTGGAGGCCTTTGTCCATGCTGCACCTCTCTCCAGAACCCCTGCCTACCTCCTGCACACCCAGCTGGCCCTGGCACTGTGTCTTAGCCCAGATATCGCCTCCTCCAGGAAGCCTTCCTTGTCAGTCCAACCCCTACCCTGCATTCTCAAAGCCACTGGATTTCCCAGAACACACTGTTGTCTTTGTTGTTTTGTAGGACTGTCTGCCCCTGGAGATTGGGAGGGCCCTGAAGGCGGGGTTGGGGTTCAAATTGTCTTTATGAGCCCAGCACTCAGCCTTAGGCTGTAAATACTGACACCAACACATACTGACAGCTGAGAATGGGCTGGTGACAGTGGCTGCTTTGATACTAACTTCCCTGGAGTTTATAGGCTGCATGTCTTGTGCGCCAGCAGCTAATAAAAACACTGGCAATTGTTATGCGCCAGTGCCCTGTGCTTCTGAATCCGTGCAATGGCACCATGAGGGAGGAGCTAGTGTTCCCATGTCACACATGAGGAAATGAGACCCAGAGAGGCAAAGTCACTTGCCAAAGGCCACACAGCTGGTGAGTGGCAGCACTGGGAGCTGGACCCAGGTCCCTCTCTGACTTCAAGTGAGCTGATCTTGGGGGAATTCCATGGTTTAATCTAGGATAGATGTCCAAAGAGGGGTCCCCTGTACCTGCGTGGTGTGCCTGCTTGTCCCGGCCCACCCTCTACCAGGAACTGAGGGCGAGTCCCTGTCCTCCCTCCTTGGGGCACCGTGCAGATCAGTGTGTCATTGTAAATGTGTGTGTGTGTGTGTGTGTGTGTGTGTTTACTGCCGGGCTCCTGGCCTCTGCAGCCAGCTTGCTGCAATTGACACATGACATGACCCCCGGCCCTCCCAGCTCATCCTCCCTGTCAGGGAAGGGAGGGGCCTGCCTGCCGGGGGGTGTTGCCTTTGCTGATTCGCCCTTCCTTGTGAGGTGACCACCCTGGAGGTGGCAGGCGGGGACGCCCAGGCCATGGGCACTATGCTGAAACCACTCCCCTGGCCTGCCACGGCTGGCCCTCCCTGTGGTCAGCCAGCTGGGAAGATTCAGGTCTTTAAAAAACTTTTGTAAATGTAATGAAAAATATGTGACCTGGAAATTAATTCCATCCAGATGCAGGGGTCTTTGTTGTGTGGGTGTGTGTTTTGTAAATGGCAGAAGATAAAAAACCAAAGGCTGTTTTATGGAGCAAGATGTGAAGGCAGCCAAAGCCGCAGATCGCAATTTTTTCAGTGTATTTTGGGATATTTACTGATTCAAATTCTTTTGGTGTTTCCCAAGCAGTAAACAAAACCTCTGATGGAGGAATCTCACTGAACGTCTTCCCGGGGCACAGGAGCAGATCCGTCAGCAGGAAGAGCAGCTGCAGCCAGTGTGGGGATGGAAGTCCCCATCACCACCCCACCAGGCAGTCACATTTGAGGGTGGAGGAGGAGAGTTCCTGAGGCCAGCAGGCCAGAACGAAACATCAGCTCAGCTGGAAGATGGCCGATGGCCCCTCTGCTAACCTCGTCTAAAAAATGGGAGTATGGCCTGCTGGGTGCAGTGGCTCACACCTGTAATCCCAGCACTCTGGGAGGCCGAAGTGGGTGGATCACCTGAGGTCAGGAGTTTGAGACCAGCCTGACTAATACGGAGAAACCCCGTCTCTACTAAAAACACAAAATTAGCTGGGCGTGGTGGCAGGCACCTGTAATCCCAGCTACTTGAGAGGCTGAGGCAGGGGAATTGCTTTAACCCGGGAGGCGGAGGTTGTGGTGAGCTGTGATTGTGCCATTGTACTCCAGCCTGGGCAACAAGAGGGAAACTCAGTCTCAAAAAAAAAAAAAAACAAAAAACGGGAGTATGGAGCCCATTGGCAGGAGTGGCCTCGGGTCCACGAGACAAGGTGGATGACTCTGGCGACTAAGGTGTGGGCTCAAGACGTCAAGGCTGTGTGAATCCGAATCCCAGCTTGGCAAAATTCTCTCTGTGATTTTGGGAAACTGAGCTTCAGTTTCCTTGTCTGTGAAATGGGGATACCTAGACCTCCTACTTCATGGTGTAAGTGTGAGGCTGTGAGATAACACGAGGGCCTGGAGAGAGACAGACCCCTGGAATGCTGGCTCGTGTGATTAAGGCACAGAGAGAGTGCTTAATAGGTCTAGACCCAGAGGCAAAGTGCCTCGCCCAAGGTCACACAGCAGGATTGAGGTTGTCTAGGGCAGTGGCGGTGTGTGGGCTTTGGGCCTGGATATACCTGGTGAAGCAGAGTCTATTACTATCAAAATACCACTGCGCCTGGCTGAGGGTGTTCCCAATAGGGTCAATCCCTCTGTCTCTCCTCACTCCACTGGTAACAGGCTTGGACAAGTGACGTGCTTTGGCCAATAAAACATGAGCAAAAATGCTGTGGCCACTTCTGAGCAGAAGCTTAGAGACACGACGTGTGTGGCTTCACCACTGCCTTCTCCTTCTACAGCAGGGCCATCCTACCCGGGATAGGGGCTGCTTCTACGGCCTTGTCACAGAATGCTTTACACATAGAACCAAAGAGCCCAAGAAGGACCCAGAGTATGAGCCAAAAGGAAGCCTTCGCTTCTCAAGCTCCCGGGACCTCTGAGGGTGCTCCTCTCCTTGGCATAACTAAGCCCAGGATGACCGATACGGCTGACCCAAACCCTGTTGTGTCCCCTGTGTGCTGTGTGGCTGCAGGCAGGGCTTCACCCTCTCTGAGCCTCAGCCCTAGTGAACGGGGCTAGTGGAAGGTCCTTCATAGATAACAGATGGAGGGTGTCA
Organism: Homo sapiens; assembly: GCF_000001405.40. Lineage (NCBI taxonomy): Eukaryota > Metazoa > Chordata > Mammalia > Primates > Hominidae > Homo > Homo sapiens. The sequence continues at coordinate 44,291,492 of NC_000022.11, forward strand.
GCATGAGTCAGGCCCCTTGTGTTGGAGGAAGTCCTCATAAGTGTTCATTCACTTCCTTCCCCTGGGGAAGGGCAAAGCTTTGGGGGTCAGAGGTTTCACGCGTGGCCAAGGGAGGGACCACCGTCCATGCCTGCACATGCTAGGCCTTTGGGTGCACTGTTCTGTCCTCCTAGAGTCCCTCCCCACCTCCCACCCCCTGCAGCCCATCTGCCTGGTGAAGGAATGCCCATGCATTGTGGGAGATGCCACTCCCAGCCACCTCCTCCAGAGAGACTTTCCCTGTCCCCAGAGAGAACTGACCACATCCCCTGCACGCCCTGGCCCACCGCGACCCCCACACGGAGGCTTCCACAGATCGCCCAGGGACCTGAGTCTGAGTCGCCATTGCTGGTGTCTGGCAGTGCCCTGGCATGGGAAGGAGGGCAGTACACTTCTCACCACGTCAGGGCCCCTGCCCCACCCCTCTCTCTGCAGTCTCTCTATGGCCCACGTGGCTGGAAGCGGGCATCTCGCCGTGGTAGTGGGCTTGGCGAGGCTGCTTCCTCTCACTCTGCCTTCCTGCCAGGCAGCCAGAACCAAAACAAACCATTCTGTTCCTCCAGAAAAATACAAATAAATAAATCATCAGAAGCGCTCTCCTTTTCCCTGTCACCAGCCCCGCCTCCTGGCTGTTTCACCAGCAGGGAGGGCTGTGGCGGGGCGGGGGTCGGGGGAAGGGCGATGGGGGAGGACCAGGAGCTCTTGCATCTGCATAAAGCCCCTTCCGGGAGTCACATTGTCCTAGTCCATCTAGACGGGCTGCTGGTGAGTGCTAACCTGTCTAGGATACTGGAACATCCAGCCTTTTAGCTGGGGTCTGGTGCGGTCCCCAGTGGCACACAAGTCCTGGCCTTCTAGATGCACCAAGGGGTGGCAGAACCAGGGCTCCAGAGCCCCTCAGATCTTGACACCAGTTGTTATCACCCATGTGGTCTGGGACAGGTGACTTCCCCAGCCTGGGGCCCAGCCCCTCCTTCCTCCCATGGTGAGGATTAATGGGCACCACAGGTGTCTTGCCCAGAGGAGCCTGTGATATCGTGTGGCCGGGGCCCCAAATACAGACAGGCACAGAGGTGGACTCTACCTGGGTCCCCGTGCACACAGAGGCCCTCTCCAGCCCATCCAATGACCCAGGACTTCAGCCCTGCATCCCGCTCCCCAAGGCTCATCCTCAAGTCGTCGTCTGCCGCTGGGCCAGCCCCGCCTGGACACCAGGCCCCACGTCAGCTCCCTGGGCTTGGGTCCTCTCCCCAAGGTCCTTGAAACTGGGCAGCTGGGAAGAGGCTTCCATGGCCCCTGACCCGAATTCTTGATCTCCCCTCAGTGGGGTCCAGGTCTGGCCTAGGCCACCCTCATGGCTCCTGCTCCTGCAGACACTCTAGGTCCTCTGGGGTCTTATCCCATGCATGGCCTATGCAGCCTCAAGCCATTTAAGGCCCTCCAGGGACGCTTGATGGCCTCAGAAGAAAGTCTATCCACCCTATCCCCTGGGCTAGACAGGGCCCCGGACCCCCTGCCTCCACCAGCTCTTTATTCCCCGCTTCCCCTTGCTCTTCCACTGGGCTGCAGAGAATTCTGCCCAAAAGTGCTCTTTCCTCTGGGCTGTGGGGCTCCCACCTTCTTAAACGCTGTCAGATCTCGAGAATCAAGCACCACGCCCCCCTCCGCAGGAGCACCTATGACAGGAGAAGCCTGGGGGAGGAGAAGGAGCTGCGTCCTCCTCTGTGTGGGCTCCATACTCACAGCTATGGAGAGGGAAGGCGGCGAGAAGATCGCTGGAGAATGACAAGGGATGGGATCTCCCCAGGGCAGCAGCTTAACTGGAGATGATTCTGTGCCCCCGCATTTGGCACTGTTAGGAGCCATTGCTGGTTGTCACCGGGGTGGTGGGGAGGAGGTGCACCGGGTCAGTGGAGGCCATCGGGATGCGACTAAACATCCCACAATGCACAGAGTGGGCCCCACCATGGAGGGTGACCTGGCCCCAGATGTCAGTGGTGCTGGGGTGGGATCTCCGCTCAGGGGGCCTCTCCTCAGTAGGATCTGCCTCTGTTGGTAGAAGCTCCAGAATGACTAAAGTGATTCCAGCCCATCTGGGTTGGCTGCTGGCTCCACCACGAACCGTTGCCTTCCTCAGGCAAGTGACTCAACTGCTCTGTGCCTCCCCTTCCTCATCTGTAAAATGGGCTGAGGATGGGCTGCCAGGTAGCTGCAGCGGCATGATGAGGTTGAGGGCAGAGACTCAGCTATATTATGTGCTCCATAAACACTTTCTAGGGCTAACGATTAAAAATGTAAGTTAAAATTCTGATCCTCGATACTCCCATTCTCCCCAGGGGAAGGCCTTTACTTTGCAGCCCAACTCTTCATCAGCAGCCGCCAGGACCCCCTGTGCTGCTGGAGTGGAGTGTTCCGTGTGAAATCCTGTGCAAATATGCAGATTATAGAAACTTGTGGGCTTCAAAATGAGGATCCCAGACACCAGTCACCAGACCTTGGAGAAGTCTGGTTGTTTTGCCAAGCCTTGTCTGGCGTTCAGCCAGAACTTGCAGCATGACAGGGTCCTCACCCAAGTCCTGGCACTACCCTCGTCTCTCAGGGAATTCGTTCCTTGTCTTATACAAGGCTTGGGTCAAATCCCAGATCTGATTGCAGCCCTGATATGATGGACAGGGCTTGCTGAGTGACTTCACACACAGAATTATTCTAAGGGCTGAGCAGATGGCGAGAGATTCAAGGGAAGCACCCGTGCATTTGAGGAAGGAAGGATGGGGAGCTGGCCTAGGTGGGAGGTGGGGAGACTTGGAACAGGCGGCTTCCCCCTGAGTGAATGCAGCATGGTGGCAAAGCCCTTCAGCCCCAACATCAGACAGAGATCGAGGCTCACACTTGCAACCCACCACCTCCCTTCAACAAACGCCCTGTTCAAAAAGATTTTTCCTTATCATGAAAAAATACATCTGCCCCAAAACTCAGCCTCATGCTTATTGGGAAAATAATTTGAAGGATCACATTAAAATTAGAAGGAGATAAGAAGCCTGACAATTCTAAAGATTGTTTTAGAGGGACTAGCCAACACAATCAGACAAGAAAAAGAAGTGAGGCACGAAAACAGCAAGGTAGGGTGATAAAATTATCATTGTTTACAAGTGGAATAATTGGAAACCTAAGAGAATCAACTGAAAAAAGAATAAGAAATTTCAGTAAGGTGGCTGAATGCAAAATTCCTATCTCAAAATCATTGCTTTTATCAAAATTCCTATCTCAAAATCATTGCTTTTAACAATACTCAGAGGATATAGTGGAAGGAAAGACCCAACAGCAACATAAAAAGAAATAACTCGAAATAAATGCAAAATATATGTCTAATATCTATATGAAGAAAACTCTAAAATGCTATGAAAGAAAATCTGAACAAATGGAACGACATTTGTATGGAAATGTTTGACATCATAAAAAGTCAATCCTTGGGTTAACCTATGAATTCAACACAATCTCAGTAAAAAATACTAACTGGATTTTTTTGGGGGGAGGTAGGGGTACTACACAGCTAATTCTAAAGTTTGCATGACAAAAGAGCCAGGAGGAGCCCATTAAGATATTAAAACATATTAAAAGTCACAGTGGTTAACACAGTGAGGCACTAGTGTATAGCCAGAGCAAGTGAAGCCAACTGCATATCACACTCTACCTCAATACTCAGATTTAGTATATTAAGATATTTGGTAAGTTTGCATTTCATCTCGGGGGAAAAGAGATGGCCAATTTAATAAATGGTGTTGGAATAACCAGCTACCCATTTTGAAAAAAGAATAATAAAGTTTAATGCCAACTTTAAAACTTTCATCAAAGTAAATTCCAGAGAGCTCAACTAATTAAAGACAAAATATTAAAACGTAAAATAATTAGGAGAAAACATGGTATTTTTAATGACCTCAGAGCAGGAAACACCTTTCTTAGTATGATGCAAAAGCCAGAAACCATAAAAGAAAAAAAAAATGATAAAATGTGATTACATAACAAAAATTAAGCATGAGGAAAAAGCAGTATAAAGTCAAAGTCACAGAGGAAACATTTGTATGGAAACATTCAACAAGGAGAAGATGGGAAGATGTTTGCAACTCATCATATTTCCTTCATATATAAAAAGCACCCATAAGTAAATAAGAAAAAAACAAAAACTTCAATAGAAAAATGACAGAAGACATAAACAGCTAGCTCACGGTAAAAGAAATACAAATGTCTCTCAGGCATGTGAAAAGACGGCCAGCTTCACTCATAATAGAGAAACGCATGCTGTTTTGAAACTCCATGACTCTACTTAGCGTGTTCCCATTGCTTTTCTAACAGCAAACTCTCTCTTTCTCCACACCTGTGGTCCCCTCCATCAGGCCCTGATCCCAATGTATTTTAATCACCTTAAGGAAAAGAACTGCATGGGATTAATCTCTGGGTCAATGGTGTCAATCAGTATTTGTTAAATGAATGAAGAATGAATGAAGGAACCCGGTGGATTACAGGCCCAGGCGCCTTCTACGCCTGAAAGCTTTCCACATCCTTAACCTCACTTAGCTTCTATGGTAACCCTGCAAAGTGAGTATTCTGTGTCCCTCCCTCCCTCCCTCCCTCTTTTCTTTTCTTTTTTGAGACGGAGTTTCACTCTTGTCACCCAGGCTGGAGTGCAATGGCGCCATCTCTGCTCACTGCAACCCTCTGCCTCCTGGGTTCAAGTGATTCTCCTGCCTCAGCCTCCTGAGTAGCTGGGATTACAGGCACCTGCCACCACATCCTGCTAATTTTTGTATTTTTAGTAGAGATGGGGTTTCACCATGTTGGCTAGGCTGGTCTCGAACTCCTGACCTCAGGTGATCCACCCACCTCATTCTCCCAAAGTGCTAGGATTACAGGTGTGAGCTACCGCGCCTGGCCTCTGTGTCCATTTCTCAGATGAGAAAGCTGAAACTTAGAAGGCACAATGGGCCGAAAACCCTGGTCATCCAAAGACTCTCCCAGACTCCTTCCAGGCCCACCCAACCTTATAGCGGTTACCCAACCGCCTCCCTAGGGGACGCGATTTTGGGAGGCAGGCCCCTTGCCTGGGGCCCGAGGCAGTGGGGTTGCACCCCCAGAGTGGCACTCACTTGTGCATGTAACCCTCGGAGCTGGCCGTGAGGTTCGCCTGCATCACCGCCTGGAACTCCGTCTCGTTGCAGCAGTATTTGAAGACCGTGTTGTTATGGTGACAACAGAGGATGAAGGTCTTGTTGTCCGAGAGCCGGGGGCAGTGGAAGCCAAAGTGGTAGCGGCCTTTGTGGTCTGTGTATGGTTCACAGACCCGGAAATGTGCAGACAAGACTGGAAGACAGAGTCACCAGGCTCAGAGGGGTCCCTCACCAGTCCACGGGTGCCAAGAGGCAGGGGGACTGGCCGGCCTCTTCTCAGGTCCTGCCTGCTTCTTCCCTCCCCTGGATGCCTTTGTGGTCCACTGTGAGCCTCACCTCTGGGTTCCCATTACCCCGAGCCTCCCAGCCCTGGTTACATTCTCTGTGTCACCCAGACTGGCTGGTCCTGGAGGGCAGGGCTGGCTCTCCTGCTTCGGTGAACATGCTTGACATGCAGCAGTCACTCAATTAGGAAATCAGCCTTAACTGAGCACCTACTGTATGCTTCACAGACCCATCTCATTTAACTCACACAGCCAAGCAAGTCTGAGATCCCACTTTACAGATGGAGAAACTGAGGCTCAGAGACCTAAGGTGACTTGCCCGAGCTGATAAGTGTTGGAGGGACAGGAATGGAACTCAGGCCTGGATTCAAAGTTTGGGGCCCTCTCCAGTCTTGTATCACTAGCTCTTTGTTCCCAGGTGGGCAGTGGTGGACCTGCTGCTCAGCCCAGGCTGGCCCGGGTGGTGGCTGGCATAGGTGCAAGGACCTCTTGGGTACCTCTTGGGTCAAAAACAGCAGACCCTTCGTTCCTTGGTTTCTACTAAACTAGTACCCTAGGCCCCAAGGTCCCCAAGGGCCTGCCTCAGTCACCCCCACCTCACGGTGGTAGCTCTGCCTTGGCCTGGAACCCTCCCACCACTCTGCTCAGGGGCGGAGGCCCCTATTCAGCCACCAATGCTACTGCAAACCCAGGATGGTATTTACGAGTCGTGCCGATGGTGATAAACAGGACTGAAAGTCTGAACAAATATAACAATGGAAAAAACCTAAAGCCCGCTCTCTCAGGCTTAATTAGTATCTTCATAAAAGAGATCGCTGTATCTAATTTGTATCACTGAAAAGGGGCTTCGCTGGCTGAATACATTCCTTTAACCACAAAGGCAGTGGCTTTGCAGGAGTTCCTCCAGCTCGTTGAAAGCTCTGTGTCTGCTGAGAGGTTATTAGACTGCAGCCCACACAGCTCCCCACCTACCCACCCGGGGCTGCTGCAGGGGAGTCCCAGCTGGGCTGGGCTGGGCTGGAAGATGGGCAGGCGGCCTTCATGTGCTGGGGTGCTGAGGCTGCCTCCGGCGGGGGGCATGAAATTCCACACCCCTTCCCCCACAGACAGCACCCTCTTCTGTGGGGATGGGCATGACCACTGCGAGAGAAAGGTCTCAGCTTTTGGGGAACCAGGGGAGCTCTCCAGGCCCCCTTCTCTTCCTCAACCTTAAGAAAGAAGAATACCCCCTCTGGGGATGTAGAGGTTATTAGAGAGCCCCAAGTAGACAGCTGTCTCACCCCATCTCATTTATTCCCATCGTACAGGGGAGAAAACTGTGGCTCAGAGCAGCAGTTCCCAAAGTGTGGCCCCTGATCGGCCTCGAGGGCATCCCCGGAGGGCTTGTCAGAAATGCAGATTCTCAGGCCACTGGGCTTCTGAATCAGAAGCTCCGGGGTAGGCCCCGCCGTCTGTCCTGGCAAGCCCTCCAGGGGATGCTGATGGGCTTGGGTTTGGGGCCCACTGGCCTAGCGGCAAGGGGCAGAGGCAGCTAGCCAGTTCCGGTCACTGTCTGGGTCACTGCCCAGGTCAGTGAGGAGGCCCTGCTCACGCTCAGTGCGTGGGCAGCTGGGGAGGAACCAGGCACACTCACGCTGCTGGGCAGAAAGTCTAGCTTAGGCCCTGGGACCAGCCCGTGAGGCTACCACAGGACTCAGGGAGGGAAGGGACAGAGCGGTAGGGCAGCATGGGGAGGCAGCCTTTGAGCTGGGCCTCAAGGGACTGGGAGGAGCCTGATATGCAGAGATGGGGGGCCGGGGAGGGCAGGCCCGGCGAGGTTGGGGGATGTGGAAGGGTCCTGCCCATTACCAGCACCCAGCTCACCCGGCCACCACTGGGCGGTCAGCGCCATGGGCTTTGGCCATTTGGTAACGATGAAGCCTCCCCGGCTGCCTTCCCGGAGCCAACAGAGCCCTGGGCTGGGAGCCGGGACAACCGGGTGGGAGTCCTGGCATGAGGCTGCCTGGGCCATCGTGACCTCTCTGGCCTCCTCCCCTCACTGATGAAAGACTCATGGTCTCCAAGGCGGGCTGGGGGCTCCCAGGAGCGTTTTGTAAACAGCAAGGCGCAGCCCCCACCTAGAGAAAGAGGCTGTGTGTGCACTAGGGGCCCTACGAGCACTAGAGGCTGTAAAGGGCAGTAAAGGGCAGCATCCGTGGGCTTCTGCTCTGGGGCATGGCGTGACTCCAGGCCGAGGGACACTCTGTTAGGAGGCCCCAGCAGAGCAGGGACGCAAAGGAGAGAGCCGCATTTCGGGCCCCGAAGCCTCAACCATGAACGCACCCCTGTGTGCACAGCTCCACGTAACTCCTGCATCTGGATGGCCCTGATTCACTGGCTGGCCCCTCCCCTGAAGGGGTGACCTCGGGCAGGCCGCTTTCCTTCTGAGTGTCTCACCTTCCTCATTTGTAAAATGGGCTGAGTGGGTCCGTCCTCCAGGGATGGTGAGGACCAGGTGAGCCAAAGCATGGGAAGCATCTGGGGTGGGGAGAGCAGCTGGGTAGCCCCCAGACCCCTGGCCTGGGCGTGGCTTTGGCTTTGCTGTCCGGGGAGCCCTGCCAAGCACCCCCAGACATCCTCATAGCCTCCCTCTGAGCTGCCCCCAGCAAAGGGGCAGGGGCTGAAAACCACCAGGCCAGTGTCAGTGACCCTGTTAGAGCATGCGGGCATGAGGAGGTACAGAGAGACACAGAGACAGAGACAGAGAGATGGAGACAGAGACAGAAAGACAGAGTCAGAGAAAGACAGAGACAGAGACAGAAACACAAAGACAGAGATAGAAAAAGACAGAGGCAGACATAGACAGAGACAGAGACACAGAGAGATAGACAGAGACAGAGAGACAGAGACAGACACAGAGACACAGAAAGACAGAGACAGAGAGACAGAGACAGAGACAGAAACAGAGACAGACACAGAGACACAGAGAGACAGACAGAGACAGACACAGAGACATAGACAGAGACAAAGACAAAGAGGCAGAGGACAGAAACAGAGAGACAGAGACAGACACAGAGACACAGAAAGAGACAGAGAGACAGAGACAGACACAGAGACACAGAAAGACAGACAGAGACAGACACAGAGAGACAGACAGAGAGACAGAGACAGAGAGACAGAGAGACAGAAACAGAGAGAGACAGAGACAGAGAGAGATAGAGATACAGAGACAGACACAGACACACAGAGAGAGACAGAGACAGACAGAAAGACAGAGAGACAGAGACCCAGAGACACAGAAAGACAGAGGGAGAGGAAGCCAGAGAGCCAGAGGGGGCTCCTTGCTGGGAGCAGGCCCTGGCTGGGGAGCAGGGCTGCCCTTGAACTTGGGCTCTCAGCTCTAGCTGGGAGGAGCAGAGGACTTAGTTTGTGCTCATCCTTGTAACTGGGAGAGCAGGAGCCCACCTGCGACCTCAACTGGGATCCCAGGGACAGCCCAGGAGGCTGGTCGGGCTAGAATCCGCTAACTGCCTTGTCCTAGGCAAGTCAGGTCCCTCTCCAAGCCTCAGTTTCCTCATCTATAAAATGGGATGACTAGGACACTGCCTAACCTTGTCTCGCAGGGGCAAAGGAGAGAATGTGAGTCAGGGCTTCTCCCGAGGGTCCTGGCAGCCAGCTGAGCTCCCATGGGAAGTCCCAGGGCTGCGGTGCACAGTAGAGATAGAGACAGAGAGACAGAGACAGACAGAGACCAACCACACAGCAACCAACATCAGCTGCTCACCAGAGGGGTGCCAGTAAGGTGGAGGACAAAAGGCAAGCCTCTGTGTGCCCCCAGAACCCCAGATGGGCCAGCACGAATCTCAGGAAGAGCCCACACCCCCACGTGCCGCCCCCGCCCCCAGCATCCACGGAGGTTTTACCTGCAGAAAACAGCAATGAGAAGAGGACGGCGAGCACGTTCAAGGACTGCTGGCCACAACTGGTCATCGTCTGGCTTGCATTGATCCGTCCAGAGCTGCCTGTTCAATGAGAGCCACGAGAGGCTGGGTGTGGGCTGTCTCGCCTGACACTGGCTTTCCTGCCCACAGCGGGGGACGGGCAGGCGGGCAGCGGGCAGGAGAGCGAGTTTGTCGGGAGCAGGGGCCGGGTGCGGACGATGGAGATGCCGCCATCCAATTTCCTTTCTGGAATGAATGACCTTCCCCCACAAGCCAACTGTCACCTCCTTTTCTTTTCATGGCAAAATGAGACTTAATCAAAGGAGGACGGATGGCTCAGGTGGTGGAAATGACCGGCCGGCAGAGGCTGGTGGCCAGGCACCAGAGCTGCAGGAGTGAGGATGCCCGGGCTGGCCCGGCCACCTCGAGGAGCTTACAGGACCCAGGTCCCCTGCTGTGTCGCTAAGGTGGAGGGTTTCATGGTGACTTCCATGAACCCCTCCACAAGTATGCACGGAGCCAGGCAGCTTCCGAGGCACAAGGCACACAGCAGTGCATGAAATAGAAGCAGTTCCTCCCTGGAGCCCCTGTGTTCTACTCAGGAAGGCTGACAACACGCAAACAAATGAATGTTTAAAATGCTCCGAGCTTCTGAGTACATATCCCAAGGCGCAGAAAACAGGGACTCGAACAGATACGTACACACACCCATGTTCCCAGCAGCATCCTTCACCTTAGTCAAAAGGTAGAGGCAACCCATGTGCCCATCGAGGGATGGATGGATCAACAAAAGGTGGCCCGTCACACAATGCACATTACTCTCCCAAAACAGGAGGGAAACTATGATACATGCTACAGCAGGGGGATCCCAGAGGGAATTATGCCTATGAACTAGGCAAGGCACAAAAGAACACAGACTGCAAGATTCCACCTACATGGGGTCCCTAGAGGAGTCCCATTCACAGAAGATTTGTCATCGGGTCAAAAGCAGAATGGAAGATGCCAGGGGCTTGGGGGAGGGGGATGGGGAGTGAATGTTTCATGGGTGCAGAGTTGCAGTTTGGGAAGATGAAAAAGTTCTGGAGGTGCATGGTGGGGAGGGTCGCACAACACTGAATTTACTCAATGCCACTGACTGTCCACTTAAAAAGGGTTAAAGTACAGTGGCCCACACCACCCAGGCGTTGTAATCCCAGCACTTTGGGAGGCCGAGGCTGGCGGATCACCTGAGGTCAGGAGTTCGAGACCAGCCTGACCAACCTGGACAAACGCTGTCTCTACGAAAAATACAAAATTAGCCGGGCATGGTGGTGCATGTCTGTAGTCCCAGCTACTTGGGAGGCCAAGGCGGGAGAACAGCTTGAACCTGGGAGGTGGAGGCTGCAGTGAGCTGAGATCACGCCATTGCACTCCAGCCTGGGCGACAGAGCGAGACTCCGTCTCAAAAAAAAAAAAAAAAAAAAGGAGCGGGGAGGAGTTAAAGTAGTAAGTTCTCTGTAATGTATATTTTGCCACAATAAAAAAAAATTTTTAATGTTACGAGGGAAAATAAAACAAGGCGTGTCTGGGGAGTGGTGCCGAGAATGGTGATGGGGGAGCTGCTTTAGAAGGGTGGTAAGGAGGGCCTCTCTGAGAAGGTGACATTTGAGCAGACCTTTGAGTGAGGCGGGAGAGGCCACGTGGCTGTCTGGAAGAAGAGTGCTGCACACGGAGGGATAGCAGGGGCAAAGGCCCTGGGGTGGGTGCGGTGAGGAGGCAGCAGGGGCAAAGGCCCTGGGGTGGGTGCGGTGAGGAGGCAGCAGGGGCAAAGGCCCTGGGGTGGGTGCGGTGAGGAGGCAGCAGGGGCAAAGGCCCTGGGGTGGGTGCGGTGAGGAGGCAGCAGGGGCAAAGGCCCTGGGGTGGGTGCGGTGAGGAGGCAGCAGGGGCAAAGGCCCTGGGGTGGGTGCGGTGAGGAGGCAGCAGGGGCAAAGGCCCTGGGGTGGGTGCGGTGAGGAGGCAGCAGGGGCAAAGGCCCTGGGGTGGGTGCAGTGAGGAGGCAGCAGGGGCAAAGACCCTGGGGTTGGGGTATCAGCAGGGCCACTAGAGACAGGGCTTTGGGCCCTGAGGGGACTAGATTACTTAGACTATGATCAACCTGTCTCCCATAGGAGTTGGAAACGGAGGCTAGGACAGGCCATCTAAGTGCTCTGTGTAACAGCGTCGTCCTCCCAGAGCCCCTGTTGCCTGCGTGTATCTGGTGGGAGCAGTAGAGATGAGAGATGGGAGTTGATTTGCTGAGCATCTACTATGTGCCCGGCTCTGGGCCAGAAGAGGTACTGTACCCCATCCTCTCCCTGGTGGCACCCTGTTATGGTATGTGAATTGTGTTCCCCCCAAATTCACATGTTGAAGTCCTAACTCCCAGGACTCAGAAGGTTGACGCTGTTTGGAAATAGGGTCATCACGGAGGTCATTAGTTAAGATGAGGTCATCAGGGTGAAGTAGGGTGGCTCCCTAATCCAAGAAGACTGGTGTTTTTTATAAAAAGGGACAATTTGGACACAGAAACACCTGTGCAGGGAAAACACTATGGGAAGATGGAGGCAGAGGTTGGGGTGATGCACATATAAGCCAAGGAATGCCAAAGATTGCCAGCGAACCCCCAGGAACAGATTCACCCCTACAGCCTCATAAGGACCCAACCCTGCTGACACCCTGACTTGGACTTCCAGCCTCCAGGCTGAGACAGTAAATTCCTCTTGTTGAAACCTCTTGGTTTGAGGAGCTTTGCTAGGCAGCCCGAGCAAACAGGTACAGCCTCTCATGTGGAGCCTGGTCCGTGGAAGGGCTGGGTTGGGTCCACACGAGGAAGCTCACCTGCATACTTGGGGGCAGGGTCTGATGTGAGGATGGTGGGGCCTGGAGAGCCCCGAATCCCACCCGGGTGGGAGACCCTGAGGACCTCCTGGCCTGGCTGAACCACCCTCCCATCCCCCAGCCCCACCTCCACCATCTGCAGAGCAGACTCCCTGCCCGCTCCATCCTGTCCACGCCAGGTGAGGCCCTCCGCCCCCCAGGAGGACGGTTTCAGAGTTGAACATGCAGTGCAGGGATCTGCTGCCAGACCACACGTTTCTGAAAGAAGAGATGGTGGAAGATGATGGGCAGTCCAAAGAAACAAGCCCCTCTGCATGCCCAGACTGTCCTGGCACCTGCTCTGGGCCCTGGGAGCCACCCAGCAGCTGCCTTGCCCTCCAGAGCTCACAGCCTGGTCAGGGAGAGCAGAGGGGACACCAACCTGGGTCCCAGGGCAGCTCTGAATGCTGCTTTACTGGGGGCAGAGTTAGGGCTCTGGGCAGGCAGAAAGGAAAGCCACTCGGGCCACCCAGAGGTTGGAGACTTCGGAGCGAGATGGGGCAAAACTCAAGGCCAAACGCACAGTGCTCATGGCCTGGCCCTGGCCTAGGCCCTGCTTCTGCAGCCTTGGTCTCCTCCCCTGTAGCATGGGCATCGTGGCGGGAGCTGGGACGTCAGGTGCTGACCTTGTGAAGTCTGGTTTGCCAGAACAAGGGAAGGGACTATCAGGATTGTAAAATGCCACTGAAACGCAGGCCTCTAACACTAAGCTTACTCATCTCTTCCTCTGGGGAGGGGCTGCCCCCATCCACCCGCAGGCCTCTCTGCTCCCACCACTGCCCTGCTCGTCCCTGGGAGCTGTAAGCTGCTTAATTGCTCTGAGCCTGGGCCTCCTCCCAGCCTCCTTCTGGCCCTCCTGGGAGGATAAGCCGAGGTCAAGCATCTGGGAGTGCTCAGGAATGGATTTCTCCGGGGGAGTCCTATGGATCAGCCCTGGAAAATGCGCTGTGGGAGTGGAGAGTGACGGGACCCCTGAGATGCCTCCCCCGTGCTCCATTCTACAGATGGGGAAGCTGAGGCCCAATAAGAGTTGAAACAGGTCCCCAGACTCCAGCTCCTCTGGCCCCCGTAGGGTGGGGCTGCCCCACTTCTGTGGCTGGGGCTCAGGTCCAAGAGCTGGTAGGTTTGTTGAGTGAATGAGGAGGATCTACCTTAGCCACAGGCCTGGCCCCTGCTCCTGGTGCTCCAACTCCCTACAAAGCCCTGAGTGTACTGGCTGATGTTGCGGGGCTGATGTTCACCCCTGGGGGGTACTCTTCCTTCACCCCTAGGAGTCCAAATCCTGCATCACTTTAGAAGCTGCTTCAGTACTACCTCCTCCAGGAAGCCTGCCATGATTTTATCAGCTGGAAAAAGTTTGCCCCTCCACTGAGGCCTATAGTATTCCATCTCTTCTTTCATTCATGTGTTAATTCATTTATCCATTCACTTATTCTCTCAACACCCACTTGCTGACCTGCACTCGGGGCCAGGCCCTGGGCTGGGCTCTAGGAACACAGAAGAGGTGAGTCCCTGCCCTCAGGGAGCACAGGCAAGGGTGCCCAGCAGCCTCCCGTTATGCGATTCTTCCCAGGACCTCTTCTACTAGGCCATGAGGGTCCTGGCCAGGGCTGGCCCTCAGCCCCCGATCTGCCTTCGCAGACCCAGGGTCCAGAGCTGGAGAGGCCTTTATGCCTCTGGGGGACAGTTCCAGAGATGAACGCACACTGCAGAGATTTGTTGTGAGACAACGTGGTTCTAGGAAAGGACAGTGTGCAGCCTGAAGGCGGGGGCTGGGGCTTAGGAGTTCCAGGGACTGGGTGGGAATCCCAGCCCTGCGGGACACCAGCCTTGGGCCCTCAGGCACACCCCGTGGTCATGTGGATTTGCACACTGCAGGTGTCCCTGCCACAGCACGCTGTGGTTGCGCTGGTCCCACGTCCAGCCTGGGCTTTCCTTGGGGGTCTGTTTGGCATCCATGGCCTGGCTGTGCCCCCAACCCCCCGAGTCTGGCCTGAGATAGGTCACCGTGCGATCAAAGCCGCAGCCCTGTATGCTGGACAAAAGCCCCAGGGGCGTGTGGGGAACTCTGGATGAAGGGGTCTGGGGGATTCTGCATGAGGAGGTAGGGGCTGCCCTTACTCCCCACGCCCCCAAGGCAGCTCAGGGCCAGAGCTGAAAGCTGAATCCTCAGTAGAAAGAATAACCCGCCGTGCGTCACGAGAAGTTACCTAAGTAAAAATTCCATTTCTAATGATCTGAGACAGCAAAGCTTAGAAGCCAACCTCCCCATTCCAAGCTAGGTCAGAAAGCTACTTTGGAAACCTCCCCAGGCCTTGGGGACCAGCCAGCTGCTGTGATCCCAGTCAGGCTTCCATGAGGCGGCCAGCCTCAGGGCCATGAGTTCAATAGCACTGATGTTCACAAGGCCAAAGTCATCACCTTGGGTCCCTCCGTGGGATGTGCAGAGGGGGAACTGAGCTCAAGGAGCTCTGACGACGATGGCGTGTGTGGAGGGGACCTGGGCTCAGGGAGCTGTGATGACGATGGCATGTGTGGAGGGTACCTGGGCTCGGGGAGCTGTGATGACGATGGCGTGTGCGGAGGGGAACTGAGCTCGGGGAGCTGTGATGACGATGGCGTGTGCAGAGGGGACCTGGGCTCAGGGGGCTGTGATGATGATGGTGTGTGTGGAGGAGACCTGGGCTCAGGGAGCTGTGATGACGATGGCATGTGTAGAGGGTACCTGGGCTCGGGGAGCTCTGATGACGATGGCATGTGTGGAGGGGAACTGAGCTCGGGGAGCTGTGATGACGATGGCATGTGTGGAGGGGAACTGGGCTCAAGGAGCTGTGATGACGATGGCGTGTGTGGAGGGGACCTGGGCTCGGGGAGCTGTGATGACGATGGTGTGTGTGGAAGGGACCTGGGCTCAGGGAGCTCTGATGACGATGGCGTGTGGAGGGGACCTGGGCTCGGGGAGCTGTGATGACGATGGCGTGTGCGGAGGGGACCTGGGCTCGGGGAATTGTGATGACGACGGCGTGTGTGGAGGGGACCTGGGCTCGGGGAGCTGTGATGACGATGGCGTGTGCAGAGGGGACCTGGGCTCGGGGAGGTGTGATGATGATGGCGTGTGTGGAAGGGACCTGTGCTCGGGGAGCTCTGATGACGATGGCGTGTGTGGAGGGGACCTGGGCTTAGGAAGCTGTGATGACGATGGCGTGTGTGGAGGGGACCTGGGATCTGGGAGCTCTGATAATGATGGCGTGTTACACCACTGGACAACATCCCCTGAGGGGCCCCACAAATGAGGTCTGTGGGACACCACTCCGGCAGCCCAAGAACAGGCCTGGAAGGGCGTCCGCCGTCCTCCATCCTCCTGTGGGCCTTGTGCTGCCTGCCACCTGGGGCTGCTGACCGAGGCTGGCTCACTCTGCCACCTGGGGCTGCTGACCCAGGCTGGCTCACACTCGCAGAGTTCTTGGTGCACCAGGCTGAACCCTGGTATTCACTGCACTGTCTCAGGTGACCCCCATGTCAGCCTAAGGAGGTGGATCACCAAGCTCCCATCTCAGAAGGGGGAAGCTGAGACTCAGAGAGGTGAAGTGACTTGCCCAAGGTCACACAGCCACTCAGCAGCAAAGCTCACTCTACCTCCTGGCACTGAAAAAGCTTCTGAGGCCTCCTGAGGACCCCCAGAAAGCACATTTACCAGAGACAGATTAAATTTATCCTCCCGGGTTCTATTTCTCTGAAAATTGGTAAACTTCCTAAGATGGTAGTCCGTGGCCAACAACAAAACTCAAACAACTGGAAGAACATTCTGGCTGAGTGGGACGTTCCTGAACGCTCGTTGTTTGACCATGGCCAGAATCACGAGTCAGGCATGCATCTCTGCGGGCCACCCCTCCGGTCAGCCTGGGACTGCTGCTCCGAGATTTGAAGGTTATTTTTAAACACCGAACTTGGCGAGGCTGGGGAAGGAGAGGAAGGAGGGCACGTGAAGAGAAACAGAGCTGGGAAGATGAATTAAACCCCACCAGGAACAGCAACGGATCTGTTTTTGTGTCAGCCAGGTTCGGCAGGGCAGGATGCAGGATGGCCTGCGGGGAGGGGCTGAGGCCTCAGGCTCCCACAGGCCTGGATGCTGGCCTGATGCCTGGAGACCCCCTACAGCACTGGGGGCTTCCAGCCAGCCCCTCCTCAGCCCACCACGCCCCACTTCTGGGCACGACCAAGCGCGACACCTCCAGTCCACTGCAGGACTGGGTCTAGGGCAGCAGGGCTTGGGGGTCGAGCCCTCTGCCTGGGACCAAGTCCTGGCTCCACCTTCTGTAACCACATCCCATGTGACCTGGGGTGACACCTGAGCCTCAGTGTCCTCAGCCCTAGAATGGGGACCAACATCGGCATCTAATTCACCAACTAAAGGAAGTGAGGCATGGAAGCCTTGGACAGGCCTGGCCACGTGCTTCTTGCTGCTGCTGTCTCTGACTCTGCCTCTTCCATCAACCCAAGCCCTAGGCGGCCCCCAGAGCCAGCTTTCCCAAGTACCCACCTAATCACCTACCTGCCCCCTTGGGTTCAAGGCTGCGCTCGCACCTGAGGCCCCTTGTGGCCTGGCACTGTGGCCATCTTGCCCTCCCTGTTCCTGGAGCTTCAGCCCTCTGGGTCTGTGGTGCCTCTGGGCCTTTACTCATGCTGTTCCCCTGTGCTAGGACCACCCTTCCCCTCTCCAAAGCCGTAGCCTGGAGGCTCATCCTGGGTGGCCACCTCTCAGGGCAGTTCTTCCCCCGTGATTCTCTCACTCCCCAGGCGAGCTTCTGACACTCTGACTTCCCCCGTCCCCAGGGTGATCTCGGGCTGTCTGGAGGCCATGCTAGGGCAGGGGCTGGGTGGGGTTCATCTGGGGCCAGCATGGGCAGGAGCACTCTGTGCAGCGTGCCTGGTTTGTGTCCTAACTTGAGAGTGAGCTGGGAGAACAGAGCATGGGCTGCCGAGGGTGGCAGAACCATGACCTCTGCCCCAGGGTTGGCCCTCCTTAGACAGGGGCCACGCTCGGGCCTGAACCCCACAGGATGGAGAACAAAGGACAAGTGGCCTGTTCCCCAAACACATCCCACCTACTCTACTGTCATGGGGGGCGGGAGGCTGACCTTGGGGTGAGGATGAGTCTTGCCCAGCATTCTGGGTGTGAAGCGGCTGGTGGCGGAGCTCAGGAGTCTGGGCCTTTGCCCAGCTGGTCCTGCCCGTGGGCATCCCTTTCCCCACCGTGTACGTCCAAACTGAACCTGCCCATGGGGCCTGGCTCAAGTGCCACCTCATCCACAAGCAGCCCCAGTTACCAGCCCTCCTGACCCCACTGGTCAGGGAGCGGTTTCTCTCCTGGTCGCCACTCAGGGATCACCTAACGAGTCTCTACTGTGGACCAACAGTTCTGGGCGTGGGGGATTCCCGCTGCCATAAGGCTTACAGCCTGGGGGGAGGCGGTCACAGACAGTAGATTACGTAATGATGAGTAATTCTATGTGGGCACGATGATTAGCAGTGGTAGCATTAGCACGGATTAGTAATTCAACAGGGCAGGGCTCTCTGGAGCCCCACCAACAGTCCTGCGGGTAGGCAGCGGCCCAGCAGAAGGGCAGGAAGTACAGACGAGGAGACGGGCTAGCAGCTGCAGATCACCCGAGCCCAGGGCAGAGCACGGTGCCCAATGCTCCCCATTCCTCACCCGTTCCCTTCCCACCCAGCCCTATGCTGCACCCTCAGTCTCTCTGTTACACAGATGGAGAATGTGGGGCTCGGAGAGGGGACTCAAACCCCGGGGTCTGCTCCTGTGCCCTGTCTCCACGACTCATAAGAGTGTTTACCCCTGCAGGCAGCACTTGTGTGCATGCCTGTCTCCACACAGCACACACATGTACACACGTGTGCACATATGTATCATCAGGGATGTTTAACCTCCACAAGTTTCCCAGTCTCCAGGGCCTTTCCTCGGCAGTGCAGACCTAATCCTGAGTTTGTGAACTTTTGTTTTCAGGACATCCACTTAGAGGTTATGAAATCTCACTCTGAAACGTGAAGTCCAGGAATAAACACTTCTCGAGGCTCCACGCCTGCATATGAAGTGAGATCAAAGCATGTCTTTGTGACCCCTTCATGCTTGCAGGGGGAAGCGGCAGGAGAGAACTAGGACATCTTTCCTCGCTGTGCTGGCCAGGACCGAGGCAGCCAGAGTGTATGGCTGGAGAAGGACAGAGAAGCAGCCCGTTCGCCTGCAGCTGGGGTGCCGGGCTCCACGGCTGACAGTGAGTGAGAAGGGCCAGCACCTCACACCCTAGTAACGGCCAATGTGACCTGAGCCCTGCTGACCTGATGCCTAGCCCTGCAGCGGTCACATCCCCGAACCCAGCCCTGCTGAGACCATTTCGTTTTTGCTCATCTCTATGGGCAGCACAGGCCTGACACGTAGTAGGCACTTTATAAACATGTGTTAATTGGTTGAATGAACATAAGCAATGATCATCTCCATTGCTGAGATAAATAAACCACAGCTCAGAGAAACTAAGTGATTGCCCAGAGCTGGAGGGTGGAAGGTTTGCAATCTGAACCCAGGTTTGCTCGACTCCAGACAGGGTGCTGGGGGCGACCACATAGGCTTTGCAGCGAGTCTCCTTGGCCTTGGATCAGAGCTTTATCACTAACTAGCTGGGTGATCTAGGGCAAGTTACTTCACGGGCTTCAGCTTCCTCATCTGTGAAACGGGAGCCGTGCCCCACACCTTGCAGGTATACCAAACATAGAAAGGACCAGAAGCTAGCAGGGCACCCAGAACATTAGCAGCTGATCCATAAACCGTTCTTATCCGATGTTGCCTACTCTACTGTTCCCAAAGCTGATGGTTTAGGTACCAGAGAGGGTCCTGTGTGCCCCTTGGCAAATGAAATTGTGTTTGAACTCCATGTCTACGTCTGATTTCCCCAGTTCATCTTTCCGTGCTTTGCTTGTTCCTTTAGTTGGCACGGATTTCCCTCTGCCTTACCTGTTGGTTTACTGCTTCCCTGCCTAGTACAAGCTCTTCAAGGGTGGGAAATTTTGTGCCTCTGCATCGCCCCACCATGCTTTGCACACAGTAGGTGCTGAATAAATGTCTGCCGGCCATAGAGTAGGAACTCCATTAGCACTCGTTGGCCTGGTTTGTTTTATTGCAAAGAGCAAACTTCCAGATGGGAACAGCAGAGATCCAGGCAGGAGATCTCCTTCAACTGAGACATGGCCTCAACTTTTACGGCCACCACCGGGAGTGACCTTGGGCCATCAGCCCTGGGTGGAAGTCCCTTATTTTAGCCTAGAAACCCAACTCCAGGGCTCCAGTGGGACAGGTCCCCCTAAGTCCAGGGGAGCTGAGGTGGGCCGGCTCACACCCCCTGGGCCCTCACTGTCTCCCTACCAGGCGGGCATACCACTTGCTCCATGGGGCTGCTCTCAGGGTCAGGGCCACGAGGAGAAGCACACTGCCACGAAGGGTGCTGGCCTGGGTGCTGGAATTGGGAAGGCACGCAGGTGACCTCCAACGTGGAAACCTCTCCTATCTCCCCAGATCCCTCCCTCAGTGGATAACCATTCCAGTGTATCCCTAATAAGGCTCTTGTCCCTCACTGACACCTTTCCCTGCTGAATCCACCATGCCCCAGCCAGCTGGGCTCTGAGTCCAAGTTACAAACTCAGCTGTTTCAATGGTTCCCCCTTTTGAGCCCCTGGCCTGGGCCAGTTCTGCACCCATCAAAGTTCTCTGCATGTGCTACTGTCTCGAATGTTGGAAGTAGGCACCACTGTGATCCCATTTTACAGATGAGGAAGCTGAGGCCTGGGGAAAGGGGGACTTGAGCGAGAACACACAGCTGAAAGGGGCTTAGCTGGAAACCCCAACCCTGCTGAAGGCCCTAGATGCCCCACTGTCCTCCAGGGGGCCACACTGGGTCACAGGGCGAGGGGCTCAGGCCAGACTCAGTTTCCTCCCCTATTAAAGGGAGAGCTTGGCCGAGACAATCATGGGCCTTCTTCAGCTCAACAACCCTTTGTTTCTCTCTGTCCTCCTGAGTTATTTGGTTGCACCATGGAGATAAAACAACCCCTGGAAATCCCAGAGGCATTTTTTTCCCACTGGAGAAACACAAAAATATCACATGAAGAATGAATCACTTAAAGTGTCAGGGCAGGAAGAGGAAAGACAGGCATGGCGCTCGCCTCGGGGTGGGGGTGGCTCTGGGTTTCTCTTCAGCTCCCTCAGCCTCCCTGGTCCCCAGAACCCCTTCCTCACTGGAGTGAAGAGAAGCCAAAGCCCTAAGCCTCAGTTTCCCAATCTGTAAATGGGGACAACAAACCTGCCTTGAAGGCGTATTCGGAGGGGCCAATGCATTCATTTGTTCGTTCATTCATTCATTCATTCATCTATTCACTTATTTCGTACCGGTGTGATGCTGGACTGGGACTGCAGACTCTGAAGTGGGTCGAACAGACCCACCTCACCCCCGTGAAGCCAACCAAATGCCCTCCAGGCCATGACTAGGGCATCCTGAGAGCACTCCCTAGGCCATGCCGGACCCTCCCCCGAGCCTTTGGCCTTCTCTCCAACCCCTCTCTATGCAAGGCTCTTGACACAAGGACACTGAGGCACAGAGACGGTCAGCAACTTGCTCAAGGTCACACAGCAGGTAGGTAGTAGCACCAGCATCTGTGCACCCCCACAGGGCTCCCACCCCTCTAGATCAGAGCCTGCTCCCCATCTTGCCCCACTGGCATAGCCGTCACCCCGGCCCCTCCCATTCTTCTGTGACTAGGAGTCACTTAGCAGCCTTGCCTGGCTTCTCCCTTAGACCCAGTGCTTAGCCAGGGCAGGGACCCCAGGGTCAGCGTGAAGGAACAGAGGTGCCCCTGCACAGTGAGGACCTGGAAACCTCCACAGGCTGCTCCTTACCTGCCGAGCCCTGTGACTGAGGGATCAGAAGCCCCCTCCGCTGGCTGCGGTCTCCCTGCAGCTGCTGGCCTCTTCCCCGGCTCCTGGTTGCCACCAACCTTAAACCCCAATAAAAGGAGAGCAACTTGGTCGAGCCTTGTATAGGCAAAAGAGTGTTTTCCAGCGCAGGCTGGCCTCTGTGTGCTGACAAGAATTCAGTGTGCTCCTCAGGGCGGGGAGTGGGGCTAGGGCGCTGAGTCAGCCCTGCAGGAGTCCAGCTCCCGCCTGGGCCTAGGGCCGCCACCTCCCAGGCCCAGGATGGCAGCGGCTGCTCCCGCAGTCCCCACGCACTCCAGCCTCTGGTCTTACAGCCTTGTGCATCCTCAGAGCACCAGCAAGAGCCCCATTTTACAGGTGAGCAAACTAGAGACACTCCCTGTGAGATCCCACAGCTAGAAGCAGCAGGGGCTTAGACCCAGGGCACCGGGCTCCAGGTCCGCACCTCAGCAGATGCTTGGCACAATACATGTGGGTTCCCTCCCGTGGCCCTCAGTCTCTGTTGGGCAATGGAGGTCAGTGGCACCACTGCACAAGCCCCTCTGGCCAGCATGGCCCGGGGAGGGGTGTGGGTAAAACAAACGGTCCCCACACCAGCCCGGGGAGGAAGGGTAGCTGGGACCCGAGAGCCCACAGAGGGTGTGTGGCACCTGCCTGACTCCAAGCTGGGCTGATCTTCCTGCTGTTGCCCCCCTACCCCTGGCCTGTCCCCACCCAGCAGCAGAGGGTCCTCCCTGCCAGTAGGAATGGGGTGGGGATGGGGCAGGAACAGGGCGGGGGATGCCCACACCTGCCACTGTTCGAAACACATCAGTGGCTTCCATGACTGTCTGGACACAGCCCAGGGGCCTGGCTGGCCTCTGCAGCCACACTTCCTGGGTGCCAGGCACCCCCCCAGCCCATGGCCGTCTCCCACCCCTGGGCCTTCGTGCATCGTGGTACCTTGGCGGCGCCCTTGGCTGGCTTCTGGGTGGCATTTAAACGCAGCCATAAAGGAGGCCAGCCCTCCTCTGCCTCCCACCCATCCCTGGAAGCCTGCCCATCCTGAGCCAGGCCAGAAATAAACCTCCTTTTTCCATTCCTTTCGGTGGACAGAGAGCGAGTTCAGACTGGTCTGGGTGCCCCTCATCTAACCACGGTCCCAACAATGGCAGCCCAGAGCGATGGGTGCCACGATGGGAAACCAGGGGGCTATGGGCGCCCAGAGTGCCTGATGCAGCCTGACGGGGTAGGGGCCGGGAGTGGGGGTGGTATTTATTTAATCTTCATGATTAGGAGGGGCTGTGATTATCCCCAATTTACAGATGCGGAAACTGAGGTACAGAGTTTCAGTAACTCGTCCTGGGTCGCCTGGCTGGGGACTCAGACCAGGGGGTCTGGTGTGGACACCTGAAGGATGAGTCGGGCGGTGGGGCGGGGGTGGGGGTGGGGGAGTGTTCCTGGCAGAGGGAACAAGGCACACAAAGTTCCTCCTGCCTCTTGTCTGGGGCTCAGCATAGCAGCAGAGAAACAAAAGGGCTCTGAGCTTGGGGTTTGAACACGGGTTCAAGTCCCTTGCCGCTTCTCAGCTGTGTGATCCTGGGCATGTTTCTCTGTCTCTCTGAGCCTGGACTGCCCTGTGGATTTTGTTATAGTTCAAAGCAGACCTCCTGTGCACCAGATCTGGAACACCTATGACATAGAAAAGTATGGGTCCGCCAATGACATTTACTCCTTGCGATCCACCCTACGAGGCAGGAATTTTAAAAGTTCACCTTTGACAGAGGTTGGAAGCACAACAAAGACCAACCTGCCTGGCAGACCGGGGTGAGGGCTGCCTGGAGGGAAGGTGACCCCACCTCAGGGAGGCCACTGTGACCACATCCTCTTGCACAGTGGGTCTTTGCCTCAGCAACTGTGGGGGAGGAAAAGCACCAACATCCCCTCTCGGCCGAGGGGACCAGGCTCTAGAAAGCTCACAGCGGCGCTATGGAAAAACCTGGAGACAGCCCTGGAGACGGCCCAGTGGATGAATAGGAAAATGCATGGTGTTATGGCCAAACACCGGAACACTCTTCAGCTACCCAAATGCACTGCAGCCGCACAGAACATTACGGGGCATCTCAGCGCTATGAGGCTAGAGAGAAAGTAAAGTCTCCAAAGATGAAGTTCAGCACAGTACGCTTTCTAGAAGGCTAAAAAGAACTGTAAATAAAATGTTCTTTTTGAGAGTGCATCTGGCTATAGCAAGGCATACAGCGGGACGTGGGGTGAAGTGGGCCCTGCTTGGGAGCGCACAGGCTGACGTTCCTGCTCTCAGGCTGAGGGATGGGTCAAGGATGTTTCTTATATTATTAACAAACAAACAAGTAAATAAAGAAGTCTTGGCAAGGACTGCCGAGGGCGAATACCAGGAAGCAGGCAGAGACATGGGCCTGACTCCATGGCCTGGAGTCTGGAAAATAGAATAGAAAATCAAGGTTCAAAATATATGTAAAGAAAAATAATGATTACAGTACCCCCCAGCCCCCATCCATTGCACACAGGCCCACCCCTCTGGGCAGCTGAGACCCACACAGGGGCCTGGGTGGGGACTGCAGAAGCTGCTTTGGCCTGGCTGGGGGTCCCTGAGAAAGGAGCGTTTTTTTCCGGTTCACAGTCCCAGGCTGCTGGGTGTGGTGCCGGAACTGTCCAATTCCAGTAGGGAATCGGTGTGAATTCCCAGCCTCCTCCTACTGAGCCCACATACACCTCGTCCCTTTGAGACCCTCCCAGTTATAAACTCTCTGTGCCTCAGTTTCCCCATCTATAAACTGAGGACACCAGGCCATATAACATCCTCCTATATTTCCATGTTTGGAACTGAGCTGGTGGCCCCATGTCACCTGGGCCACAGAATCCCAATGCTGCTTCTTACGCTGTTGTTACCTGCCTGGCGGGTCACCTGCCTCGAGGAGGCTTGGTTTCTTCCTTTGTGGATGGTGCCATGCCTCCATCCTGGCCCCTCCAGGTCAAGGGGAGGATGACTGAGATGAAGAACACGCAGGGCCCTGCCTGAGCCACTGCTGGGGAGTTGCTGCCTCCTTCATAGGCTCACAGGCAGCAGTTCCCCGGCCTCAGGTGATTCCGCAATGGCAGGATGGGTCTCCATCCTGGCCCTCAAAGGATTCACAGTCCGGGGCAGGGAGGGGAGAGGCATTGCACAGTGTAAACCGCCCATATCGATGTGGAGCAGGGCAATGATAACCCCCCAGGGGCCAAGTGCTCTCTGCAGTGCCCGTGACAGACCTGGTCTCCCACACATCATGCTCCTGCAACAGGACATGTCATTCTGTGACTTGCCCAAGGTTACAAATAGCAGGCCCCCACGTGGAATCCAGATTTGGAGCAGACCAAGCCAGGGAACCCAGTTGGGACGTGGTGCACCCTGGGGAGAGGGACCTGGGTCAAGGATGCAGGATGTGGTGGGAATCGGCCAGATCTTACTAGCTTGGGACCTCGGACAAGTGAGTGACCACTCTGAGCCTCAGTTTCCCCAGCTATCTAATGGGAATGGTACCCAGGGTAGGCCAGGATGAACAGAGAGATCCCCGGAAGTGGCTGCACCAGGGCTGCACAGACCTGTTGGATCAGAACCAGGGTGGGGGGTGGGGGGGCAAAGGATTTGCATCTCTCCCAGCTTTCCAGGGTGTTCTGATGCCCACTCAAGGAAGAGCTGCTGGGCCAGCTTTGCAAGCCACCCAGTCTTTGTCCACTCTGCAGTTATAGACAAAAAAGAGCTGTAGAGAATCCTACATGAATGAGTGATGGTGTGTTCCAATAAAACTTTATTCACACAAACAGGCAGCCCCAGTTTGCAAACTTCTGGGTGAGATCATTGCTACCCCAAGCACAGCCCACAAACCAGCAACCCTGGCATCTCCCGGGAGCTGTTGGAAATGCAGGCTCTCGCGCCACCCTTCCGGCTGAATCAGAGGCTGCGCGCTAACCCATTCCCCAGCACCTGCAAGTCTGAGAAGACCTGGGCTGGAGCATGTGGCAGGTTCTCTGGGCAGCTACCTGGCCCTGCCACTTCCTTCTGAAGCAGATTATGGGGCGGGCAGGAGGGGGAGCTGGGGGTTGCTGCCTAGAGAGTTATAACAAACCAAAGCACCAACGCGGCTAATTGGCAGCAGCTGCTGTTTCAACCAGAGACTTGTCAGCTGTGATTAAGCGAAGTTGCCTTTAGGCCAATCAACTTCAAAATTATGCAAATAGAGCTGCAGTGGAGACCACAGGGATGGTGCTGAGCCAGCTCCCCAACCCCTGACCTGGCACGCTTAACCCCCCATCGTCGGCTGGAGGGCCCCTGTCCATCCTCACCACTCCCTGGACCAGTTCCACTTCTGGGGGTTAATGAGCCTCCCACCCACACTCTGTGTAATTGGCATGGAAGCTGCTGGGCGGGTGCGATTCAGCTCCGAGAGCCGGGCCAGGATGGAAGGACGTGCCTCTCGAATGGATCAGCTGCTGCACCGACGAGCAGGGCCCGGCCAGCCACACCGGCCCGCAGCAAGCCAGGCCTGTCCTTACTCGGGGCGGTCCGCGCCCAGGAGGACTCCCTGGCGGCAATGGCTGGACAGCGAGGGAAACAGGTGCTTTCAAAGGTGGTAGGAAGTGGCTCTCGGCTGCCTTCTTGAGCCCTTGCAAACCCTTGCTGGCCCCATCAGCTTTCCTAGGCCCAGATGTGAACAGACAACAGCCTCCTCCCACCTCATCTGCCTCCATGCCTGTGGCCCCAACACCCCAAACCTGCTGTGCCGCCAGGTGGACTTCTCAGCTGCCCTGGCCCTGTGGTCTCTGGTCTCAGGTTTGCTGCCTTGCTCTGTGGGCTGTTCCCATGGGGGCCGAACCCCCAGGAAGAATAAACCACTGGATGGTGCATTGTTGGGGAAGGCAAGGAGGGCAGACCCCCTGACACCAGACTTAGAACCCAGAACTGTGTCCGCTTCAGACACAGACTCCCCAAGTCCTCTCCGTCCTCCCCCGCAGCATAGCAAGCACCAGGCTCCACTTTCTGTTGAATCCTTCTCTGCTTAGTCGTCCCCAAACTAGAGATCTGTTCTGATACTGAGTTTGCACTTTGGAAGCAACAGGATGGCTAATGAACATGTCTGCCCTGTCTGCTGAGCACGGGGCCCTCTGACCTTCCCGAGCTGGGCTCTGCCACTGCAGCCTCCTGACACCAAGGGGCCTGAGAGGGAGCAGGGACCGAGGGGCAGAGAGAAGCCCCTCCAGGGGAAGGCCCCACATTCAGGCTGGCTGCCCCCCGACCCAGTCCAGCCCATCCAGGAGCCCACCGTGGGGGCGGGGAAGTCCAGGGCAGACAAGCCTCTATCCCGAGAGTCCTCTCTGCAGGCCCGATGCCATGCACCAGGCTTCAAGAGAAGGCCTCCTGCTTTCCAAAAAGGAACATCCCTTATAACGGGGAGAAAACTGCTAAACTGCGTAGCATCGGTCGACATCTGGGTAAATGGTATTATGGAAGTCTAATTAGTGTGCTGTTGCTTTGGGGGAGTGTTGGCTCACAAATTTCTGGGGAATGGAGAGGTAACATCAAAAAGTATTTATGAAAGTGCTTTGTCAGCAGGAAAGCAATCGGGACTGGGATGGCAAGTGCAGAATGCCAGGGGGAAGCGGGTGCTGGGCCCAGGCCTGGCGGAGGCTGGCCACAGCCATAGCTAGAGAGAGGACAGGACGTGCAGGCTGGCCTGGGGGAGGGAACCCAGCTGGCCCTGTGATCCTGGACATGTGACTTAGCCTCTCTGGACCCTTACCTCTGAAGCAGGCTGCTAACCCCAGTTTTACTTCGGTGGTGTGAGGATTAAATGAGATGATGTATGTGAAACTCAGAGCCCACGCTAGGTGGTTAGGAGGGGTCAGTCACCAGGGCTGCCTTTTTCCCTCTCATCCTCTCCGGAGGCTCGCGGCCTGCTCAGTGCTGTCACACAGGTTCTTTTAGGTGAGTAGCACAGTGACCCTGAGAAGTGAGTAAGGGCTGTTCATGACCCTCGGGTGAGGACACAGAGCCCCAGAGAGGCTGTCACTCCCAGAGGGTCACACAGCTCATATGTGGCAGACTTGGGACTGGCACCCAGATCTCTCACTTCCCAGCATGGGGCTCCCTCCAGGATGCGGCGCTGGCCACAGCTGGCACCACCCACAAGTCCCCAGCGTGGCTAAGGATGGAGGCTCAGACACTTGGGGCTCAAAGGGTCCCGTTGTACCATGGCTTCGCCTCTCATTGTCAGCCAGGGAACCTGCCCAGGACAGTAGCCCGTGAAGACTCCAGGCCACGGAGGCAGAACCAAAGTAAGAGTGGAACTGTATAAGCCCTGGCCTCGCACGCGGTGGAGACAGGAGGAAAAGGCCATTCCTTGAGCACCTCCGATGTGTTCAGCACTATCCTGGGTGTTTCACAAGTATCATCCCCTCCAATGTTCCCAAAAGGAGGGGCTACTGCCCAAGTCTGCAGATGAGAACACAGCCTCGGAGAGATTGTGTTGCCTGCCGAAGATCACACAGCTGCTGAGCTTCTGGGACTTGGACCCGAGCTGGTTGGGTTTCCAAGTCAAAGTTCTTTCTAGGACTCAGGCTCTTGGCCTTGGCCCTTGGGGATGAAGGGGAAAGAGGAGGGAGCTGCCACTCCCTGAAATGAAACCACTTCCCCATTACTGGGAACAGCTCCCTCTCCCAGTGACAGGTGAAAAACACAAGAGACCATTCTGGGATCCACTGGTCCCATTTCCCACCAGTGCCAGATGTCCCCACACTCACGATGTCCCGGCAGACCCCGCCCCTGGGTGAAATCCTCCAGCCGCAGAAACTCCCCACACCACAGCGGAGAGGGAACTGCTCCCTTCGGGGACAATTCAGACCATGTGGAAGGAAGGCTCTGGCTTTCGGCTCTCCTGCCCTTCCCACCACTCCGGTCTGGCCTCACACTAAACATGCTTATTTTAAAACAATCAGCATTTGGCTCAAGTCGTGAAAGATTAAATGTAGGAGTTGTGTTAGGAGGAGTGGGATGCACTGTGCCGGGGAAAGAAAGGGGTCGTCAGTGTGGGAGGCCCCTAAATGTCTCAGACCTAGCTCCTGGCCCCAGGGATGGGCGGCGGGGTGGGTGGAAATCAGGTCTCGAGGGTGATGGATCTGATTCCAATCCCACCTCCATCTCTAACAGACCATGTGACTGTGAATGGGTCACTTCATTTAAAGCCTCAGTTTCCTTCCTTCCTTCCCCCGTCCCTTTCTTCCTTCCATCATTCAGGCAAGAAACTTTTACTGAGCACCTACTATGTGCCAGCCCTGATTCTATGGCCTGAACCCTGGGGGTATAGGAGTGAACTAGGCAGAGACACCTTAACCTTGGCATGGAGAGGCCTTGTCTGGCAGTGTGGGAGAGAGGGACAGAAGGACCTCCCTCAGGGTGCCTGTTGGAACACAAACGTCCGATCTTAGCCATGTCCATGTCTGAGTTCCTATACACTGTTGGTTCCTGGAACCAACAGGGATGCTGCCCCTCTGAGACCCCCTATTGCCAGCCCAGAACTGGGCATGGAGGAGAAGGCAGCAGGCATTGGGGATAAGTGGGCCAGGCCGTGGATCAGGGGGCAGGGAGGAGGTGCGAGGCCCTGGCCAGGGCCTTGGACAGTCCGCAAATAAACTCCAGCTCATCCCTCTGCCCAAGTGAGCTGAGAGGGAGAGAAAATAGCTTTCACACTATATTTTCTAATTTTTTTCCACTCCACTGCTTCTAAATCGATCCAGAACAGATTGTCCAATTGTTTGAATTTCAGGAGAGATGTCTCCTGATCTTTTCCTAGTTCTGCCTAAGATTCTGCCAGGCCGCCGCCCTCCCCCTGTGACCCCCTCTTTGGCCCAGCTCCAGCCGATGTCCAGGCTGTCCGGGGCTCGACCCCTGGCCTGTGGACCTGCAGGTGATGGAGGAAGGGCTGCACTCCCAGGTGGTGCTCATGCCCAGGGAGGCCCTGGCAGCAGCTCGTCCCTAGAGGGGAAGGCTTTGCTTTTGCAGGAAGAGCTGAACTAGCCAGCACTGTGGGGCAGTGGAGTCTCACCAGAGGCCAGCCACAACCCACCATCTTCTTCCATACGGAAAGTGCTTTGGGTTTTGGGCTGAGTCAAGACACAAGCAACTGGGAAGGGGCATCATCGTCCCCATTATTCACAGCAGCAGGAATAAACAGGTGTCATCTCGGGCACTGACATGCCTGGGGCTGCCTGGGAGACTGCAGGCCTCCAGGGTCCAGCCACGATGGTGGATTAGCAATGTCTAATGGTAGCAATGTCTGCCCCGGGCACAGCAGTGAGAGTGGCAGTGCTCCAGCCACACAGTTGCCATCCAGGTCCACAGGGTAATGTCCAAACCCAGTAACTCTCCAGCAATCCAGTAACTAACCCACCTGCGACGAGAGTCCTCCAGCCTTGGCTTCTGCTTAGCCTCAGCTTCTGCTCAGCTTTCCACAAGTGCCACGGAACAGCCATACGGAGCTCCCAGAAGTCTCCCAGACCCATTTCCCAGGCTCTAGATGCATGGTTCCCTCTGCCTCAAATATCCCCGCTCCCCTTGCTTGTCAACCTGGTCATCTCAGACTCCACCTCCTTGGATGCTGCCTCCTCTGGGAGGGTCCCCTTGATGCTCAGCCCCTTTCCTACTGGCAGAATTGCTCCCCATCCTCTGTCATCACCCACACCTGTGCATTATCTTACACAGGGCTAGAGTCTGGAGCCAGAACAGGTGACTGTGTTCACGAGTCCCTGCAGACTGTGAGCCTGTGAGGACGGGCCCTGGGTACTATCTCAGGAGTGAATAAACCCATGACATGCACCGGACAAGTGGCCGGCCCATGCCTGCCTGGCACCCACCCCCTTCTGAGGAAGCAGCAGGCAGCAGAAACCAGCCCCTGGTTGTTAAGATGCAGGGAAGCGGGACCAACCCCAGCGCAGCTCCTCTGTGGCTCCTGCAGGCCCCACACCTTCCCCAGGTGTCTCTCCTCCCCAAAGAGGAGTCAAAGAACAACCAAGGAGTGGAGAGGGCCGGCCCTTCGGAGCACTCTGCATGGTCCCTCCTGGGTTCAGACTCCTGCAGGAGGGCCTGCTGTGAACACATTTTACAGAGAAGGAAACCGAGGCAGACAGGAGGCAGGAGGCTGGGCAAAACCACATGGTGGTGAAGGGTGGACACAGGAGTGTGGTGACCCTGAGGCCCCACACCAGCACCCCTCCTGACCACAAAGTGTATTCAGCCTCCCCAGCAGAAAGAACAGAAGCCACCAGGTCCAAATCCTGGCTTTGCAACATAGTGGCTGCGTGCCCTTGGGGAAGTCCCTTTGCCTCTCTGAGCTCCTAGTGAGAATGGCAACCTGTCTCTTCTCACAGAAAGTTATGAGAATTAAACAAGGTGATGTTGGCAAAGTGCCCAGGATAGGGCTACGGTGAGCAGGTGAGGGTCTCCCCATCAGGTTGGGGCTCCAAGGGCCTTGGGCAGAGCACTCCCATCCCTGGGCCTGGTTCTGCCCATGAGTTGGAGGTGCTGCCTCACTGCCCCAGGTGCCCCCTCTACCCCTTCCCTGACCGTGTGCCTCAGGTCTCCTCAGGAGGGGACCAGAGAGTGCCCAGGCTGATGTTTCATGAGCTCCGCCAACTCCAAATCCACCTCTGCTCCCTGTCACCCACTGCATGGAGCCCAAACACCTCCCTTGACTTTCAGTTTGACTTTACAGGTTGCAAACCACCTTCAAATGTGTTATCTTTGCAAGCCAGTCCTCTCCCCACATTATGGAGGGGGAAACAGAGGTTCAGAGTGGCATGGGAACTTGCCTATGCTGAAGCTGAGGAGTCACAGCCTGAACTCGGCTCTGTCCAGCTCCAGAACCAAACTGTGAGGGAACCAAGGAGCCTGGGCCCCCAGACTTGGGCCACCATCCCTAGTCAACAAAGATTCATGCAGCAAAGAGAGAGATCATCCAGCTACACAACGCATCCCACCTTGTCGCTCTCGTCCTCAAAGGGAAGCTTCTGCCCCCAAACTTCAGCCTCTTCCTTGGCTGCCCTGATCTTAATTTCATTCATTCACTAATTCATTCATTTGTCCATCCACCCATCCATCTGTCCGTCCACCCATCCATCCATCCATCCACCCACCAACCTCACCCACCCATTCATCCATCCATCCACCCATTCATCCATCCATGCATCCATCCACCATCCATCCATCCATCCATCCATCCATCCACCCACCTCACCCACCCATCCACCCATCCATCCATCCATCCATCCACCCATCTACCCACCTCACCCACCCGTTCATCCATCCATCCATCCACCCATTCATCCATCCATCCATCCATTCATCCATCCATGCATCCATCCACCATCCATCTGTCCACCCATTCATCCACCCATTTATCCATCCATCCATCCATTCATCCATCCACCATCCATCCATCCATCCATCCATCCACCTCACCCACCCATTCATCCATCCATCCATCCACCCATTCATCCATCTATCCACCCATTCATCCATCCATGCATCCATCCACCATCCATCCATCCATCCATCCACCCATTCATCCATCCATCCATTCATTCATCCATCCATGCATCCATCCATCAACCATCCATCCATCCATTCATCCATCCATCCATTCATTCATCCATCCATGCATCCATCCATCAACCATCCATCCATCCATCTACCCACCTCACCCACCCATTCATCCATCCATCCATCCACCATCCATCCATCCACCCACCTCACCCACCCATTCATTCATCTATCCACCCATTCATCCATCCATGCATCCATCCACCCACTCACCATCCATCCATCCATCCATCCATCCATCCATCCATCCATCCATCTATCATCCCTTCATTCTCAGCAACCTGTCCAAAGCATGCCAAACCTGGACTTGATACTATCAAGCTAAACTAGGAACAAGGCGGCCTCCACCCTTCCAGGATAGAGAGAGGCTCTCTGACCCTTCACTGCTTCTGTGCCTCCTTGGTGTTTCTGCTTTTAAATGTAGCAGTGGTGATAATAATTCCAGTTATATTTACTGAGCACTTACTATATGCCCGTCTGCACCAAACACATTCCTTGGAGCAACTCGTTTAATTCCTGAAGAGGTGGATATCATCCCAATTTTTAGATGAGGAAACAGGCTCAGAGAGGTGCTGTAATTTGTCCAAGGCCACACAGCCAGGAGGAGTGGAGACTGGGATTTGAAATCTTACTGTCTCTCTAGAGCTTAGGGGTAAAACAT
Organism: Homo sapiens; assembly: GCF_000001405.40. NCBI lineage: Eukaryota > Metazoa > Chordata > Mammalia > Primates > Hominidae > Homo > Homo sapiens. The sequence continues at coordinate 44,324,096 of NC_000022.11, forward strand.
AATGGTTAGCAATGTAACTGACCCAGCTGTCCCAAATGTTACAATCCCCGCCTCAAATCCTCACAAGCCACTCAGGTTATTATCATCATTATTAGCCCTATGTTGAAAATGAGGATGCTGAGGCTCAGAGGGAAATATGCAGCCCCCATTGGTCACTAGTAAGAGATGGGGCTAGATCAGAACCCAGGCTCCAAAGCTGGCTCCCCCCTGCCTGGTCTGCAGTTGCCATGGTGCTGGGTAAGAAACACCGCCACTGGTCTAACTGCTCACCTGATTCATTTCCTCATTCATTCAACAACCACAGGCTTGGTGGTCCCTACTCTAGGGGTCTGGGGATGAGCAGATTTGGTTCCTGCCTGGCTGCTTCATGGAAGGGCTGCAACAATGTCAACACAGTAACACAAAGTTGTTAACAGTATCAAAGTGAGAATACAGAGGCGGACAAGGCATTGAATGCACACTGTGCTAACTAAACCCTTTGTATGAATTTATTTTATCTGGTCTCACAATAACCCATTTTGCAGGTAAGGAAACTGAGGCTCCAGGGGTTATATAACTTGCCCAAGGTCACAAAGTGAGGAGCAAGCAGCGGAGACTTGTCTATGTGAAATCCCAGCATAGCCTCGGGAATTCCAGGCTGCTCTTGGGGAAGGAGGCAGCCTGCCTGAGATCAGCACCCGGAGCCTCCCTCTGGCCCGTTGTCCTGAGGATAGGGCTCATCTCAGCTGCACGGCTCATTCTCCAAAGGCCTTTCTGTCCTAGGGATCAGATTCCAGGCAGCTGCACCCAGCTGATGCTACACTGCCACACTCCAGCCCAGCGCCCAGAAGCTTGAACAATTTAAACAGCAAAGGCCCTGCTGGAGGGCTGGGTGCAGTGGCTCATGCCTGTAATCCCAGCACTTTGGGAGGCCAAGGTGGGTGGATCATCTGAGGTCAGGAGTTCAAGATCAGCCTGGCCAACGTGGCGAAACCCTGTCTCTACTAAAACTACAAAAATTAGCTGGGCATGGTGGTGGGCGCCTGTAATCCCAGCTACTAGGGAGGCTGAGGCAAGAGAATCGCTTGAACCCAGGAGGTGGAGGTTGCAGTGAGCTGAGATTGAGCAACTGCACTCCAGCCTGGGTGACAGAGAGAGACTCCGTCTCAAAAGAAAAAAAAAAAAAAAGACCCTGCTGGACTCTCACTGAGCTGAAGGCTGAACCTGGACCTTCTGGGACTTGGGATGATGCCAGGCTTCCTGCAAATGGGCAGAGAGAGGCTCCATCAGCACATTTTCTGGACGCAGAGACCGAGGCTCAGAGCTGGCAGCCCCAGCATGGGCATCACCGGGACCCAGGTCTTGAAGCCCAGCCCCTCTTGCAGCCAGGGAGTTCGGTTCCCGTGGAGGGAGAAAGGGGCCTTTCTAGACTTTGGAATTCATGTCTGTAGTTCTTTAAGTTTTAGAATTTCTATAGAATAACTTATTCTATTTGCTCTCAACCCGCACAGAGCCCATGAGATCCAGGGCCTTGGGTTTCAGAGTCCCGCCTGGCTGCGACTCTGGCCACCTTGCTTCCCATCTCTGGGCTCAGCTCTCTCCTTTAGGGAAACTTGGCCTGCCTTGGGCTACCCAAGGGCAGTGGAAAATAATGGATATGAAAGGGCTTTGTAAAAAGCCACATGTCCAGCCAGGTTGTCACAAAGGAACCTTCATAACGAGAAGCCACATCCGTGTGAGACCCACACCAAGAATTTCCTCAGGCTGCTCCTCTTCCCGAAATGCCCCTCTGCCTTCTTCTACTTGGCACGCTCCTACACACCTATCAAGACCCAAGCCGAAATTTACTTCTACCAGGAAGCCCTCCCTGACCCCTCTCAGGGGCTTTTCTTTAGTTCTCCTTCCCTTCCCCCAACAAACACACTGCAAAACTCACCAGGGAAGGACCCTGTTTCAAATCGCCCCTCCTCGCCCCAGAACTTGGTAGACGCTCCAGAAATGTGGAATGAATGAACACTAAATGCATTTCTTTCGGTCTGTAAATCCAGCTGCACACGTACAATTCTCCCGACAAAGGAAAGGAACCCAAAGTGAAAGCAAATCACCATCGTTTCCGTGACAAGCTCCGGGAGCCTCAGAGGAAATTCTCGCGCTGGATTATGGAAGGAATTTGCCTTTATTTTTAATTTGTGCCAATATCTAAGAAAACGGCACTTTATTTTGAGCCCATCAGGCGACAACGAGGAGCTTCGGAATCTGGCACGGGAGACAAACTTTCCCAGTCCAATTTCCCAATGCAAATCTCTCCTCCGCGGCAGAGCCGGCCATCCCCTCCCTCTGCTGGGCATCTCTCTGAGGCTTGCCAGGGAGGAATAATCAGATTATGTAGCTGGGTTTTCAAAGATCACGGTTTGTCTCATTTTCCAGGGAAGTGTGACCAAAAAAAAATTTTTTTTCCCTCCCAGGGCTCTGTTAAGAGCTTCCAGAACTTAATTCAGTGTTAAATGGGTGTAATTTGGGAAACTCATGCATTATTTCTTAATTTCTGGAGGCAGCCGTTTGCACACATCTGTTGGGGTAGGTGTGCGTGCAGGCAGATGGGTGGTGACTGGAGTATGTGCCCCAGATGGGAGGGGAAGGAGAGCAGGCTGGGGGGTATGGGCTGTCGATGTAAACGCCCTGTTCAGGTTGATGTCGAAAAATATAGGACTGGAGGCATTTACATTTCATCTCAGCTTCTGCTTCTGTGGATGGCTAGGCAGGGAGCGATTCTGAAGCCCTTTCCTAAAAGGAGTGCCTCGGTGGGCTTCAGTGTAAATTTCATCATCTAGGAAATGTTTGTACTCCTCCCCACACCCCCGACTCCCCAAAGCTCCTCAAGGCCTCTGGACAATGTCCACCATGTCTGCAATATAGGCTTGAACATCCTTGGCCCTCAAGAATCCCCAGTTCACTGTGTGACCTTGAACACGGTCCCAGCCCTCTCTGGGCCTCAGTGTCCCCATCTGAATATGGGGAAGCAGATCGGTTTCAGCCCCCTCCACCAGCAGTTCCTGGGGCCTCTCCCCATCACAGCACAGCACACGAGGCTCAGGCCTGCTGCTGGCACTGTCTCTGTCTACCACCCTGCCCACCCCCTTGAGGGCTGTGGAGAGTGGGGGGCGCGCACACACACACACACACACACACACACACACACACACACACGTGCGCGTACACCAGAGACCCTGCCTGGGCCTGGTCTGACGCTTTCAGAGGCACTGTGTCCTGAGGGGCTGAACGAGAAAACCTGGGCTTGTGGGAAGTGGGGACGGCCCGTGACTGGGGAAGTCAGGATGAACATTTCTGACCTGGCCACAGCTAAGAGGAAAAGGAGGAAGGGGCTCATGATAACTGGGGTGGGGGGACAGAAGGCACATCAGTAGGGCCAGTGGGACATCCACAGCCCCAGCTAGAGAATGATTTATTCATAGAGTCAATCGTTAAACAGGTTGGCTGGAAGCTGCCCGGGGGTGGGTCTCAGTGACCTTGGAGTCTCCTCCACCTCCCTAGGGGGTTCATGCTTAGGGGTCAAGGAATGTGTACCCTGGAGGAAGGCAGGAAGGAGGGAAGGGGTGCAAAAAGGGAGGGAGGAAGAGATGGGGCCACCCTCCTGCCAGGCCCTGTGCAGAGTGAGACCAGCGCCTATGGAATGGGTGTCCCCTGGTGTCCCCAGGAGGGCATAACCAGGGTGGGCAGGGCCTCGGGTCACCCTCCTCACTCATCCTGGCTCAGATGTCCAGAACTCTGCCTGTTTAGTGTTTAGGAAACAAGGCCCCACTATTCTTAGGGGTTGACAATTGTTTCAGTAACTTCTGAAAGAGCAGCTGGGCTGGGAAAAGCCTCTCTTGGGGGCGCTGGGGAAGGGGCTCTCAGTTCGCTCTAAGATCCTGTGAATCTGTTGTACAAGTCAACTGGGGAGAAGCTAAAGCAGCCAAGACTGGGTTAATAGAGGCAAAGCATCCCTAAGAAGGGAGGGGATAGCTTTCATCTAAGCATAAGGCAGGCCAGGCTCTGGGTCAGTAATATTGGAAAGTAAACAGGATAATGACTAGAAAGTGAGACTGCGGGGCCCCTGCCCCCTCATGGTTCCTGGTGCTGTGTCCTAGGAACTCTATATTGCCACCCCTCACTAGGTGGTATAGTGTAGTGGTTGGGAGCCTGGTCCTGGTGGGGTTATGTATTATTAGCCTCTTTGGGCCAGTTTTCTCATCTATACAACAGAATCCACAGTTGCCACTGACAAGATTGGCATGAGGATTAAGTGGGAAGCTGGGTTCCGAGTGTGCTCAGCATGGTACCTGGCTCGGGGCAGGCCTTCGGGCTGTCACTGCCAAGTGCAACCCTAGTGCTGTGGAGGGTGCAATTGTGAGCCTGTTCGGTGAAGTCCTGTACTGTGGACACAGACAGCTGAAGTGGCCAGACCTGCTGTCTACATGCCACCGCCCCCCAACCCGCCCCAGAAGCCAAGGGCCTGGGCATGAGGCAACCCTCTTGCAGTGTGGCCTTTGGGGTGGGGCTGGAGAGGGCTTGGCCAATTGTCCTAGGGAACTGGAAATCAGATTCACCTTCTTGGCCCAAACTGCCTCTCCCTGTGCCCACCTCAACCATGGGCAGCCCACCCAGAAGCTGTCTAAGCTCCGAACCTGGCCACCCTCCCCTCCTCCCTGCCCCACCCTGCTATTCAAACCCTCACTCAAGCTGGGGGTAGTGTTGTCTCCTGCCCTGGCCCTGCTCCATCCCCCAGCCCTCCAGGTCTGCAGCCACCTCCCAGACCCGCAGGTCCAGAAGGCTTCAGCCGCCCTGCTGTGTCTGCATCTCTGCCCACAGAGGGTCCCTGCCCAGAACATCTCCCCCTTCCTCTAGCTGATTCACGCCTGTCATTCTGGACCAAGCTCCCCTGGCCCCAACCTCTCCCAGGCTCCAAAGGACAGGTGCCTACCGCACGTGCACTTCCCCACCCCCAGGAGCTCCCCACTGCCTCATGACCTGACCTAGGGATGCCTCCAGCTCTGCTGGCTTGTCCAGGGTCACTTCCTCCTCTGCTTCCTTGAGAGTGCCAAGGGTGAGCCGAGGCCCTTCAGCACAGGCATGGGGGCTCGGGGAGTTGGCTGAAGAAGGGGAGTGAAGGGATGGATGGATGGATGACCGGTAACTGGGAGTGGCTCTCAGCTGGTCTCACTCTGGGCAGGTCCCGCTCGCTTTCTTTGTCACTCACTGACTCACAGGTCTGAGTGAGCAGCACTGGCCCTGCCCCCTACCCCTCTCATCTGGTCCACCTGCCCTGATAAGCTCCAGGCTGGGTGGCTCAGGAGAGCGAGAATGGGACACACACACACACACACACACACGCGCGGCTCTAAGCCAAACTGCTCCCCTCACCCCTCTTCATCAGTCCATACCTCCCAGATGCCTGAGACAGTGCCAGGAACGCAGCGTGAAGATGACATTAAAGAAAGAAACTGTCAGAAACCCTTGCCTGGGGCTTTCAGTTTCAGCCACAAGAGGGGCCGGGGCTGCCTGGTTGCAGAACTTCCTGGTCATCTCTTGCCAGAACAGGCACAGCAGACAGCCTCTCTGGGGAGACGAGGTGCTTGCAGAGAAGTGTCCCGCACTGAGCAGTCACAGATTCAGGGGATGGGGAGCGACCCCCCAATTCTAGGCAACCGTGACCGGCATGGAGATTGTACTGGTTGACACCAGGACCTGAAGGTTATTTGAATTCTGCTTTTGAATGACACTTCTCACCGAAGCTGAAGCCTACCAGTAGGTGAAAAGTCCCAATGGTTACCCCTGGACCATCTGATTCCCAGCAAGGTTTGGACAATCAGAACCAGGCGAGGAAACAAAGGGTGATGGAGGGAGGGACTTCTCATCAGTCTGGGTCTGAACAGAGCTGAACTTGATGGTATTTCAGGCACAGCCAGCCAGCAGCGAGATTCACAGGACATTACTGACAGAAAACACTTTAGACAATGCCCAGAGCAGGGCCCTCATTTTATAGTCTAGTAAACTGAGGTCCAGAGACATGTGGACAGCTGCCTGGGGTCACACAGCCACCAATGCTCAGTGGGAACCGACAGGGGTTTCTCAGAGTGAGCTCACAGCAGCCTTTGGTGGTGGGCATGGCTGCCATTCTATCTTCCAGATGAGGAAACGGGCTGGGAAGCCTCAGGAGCCTTGGTCAAGGTCACACAGCCGTGGAGAGGGGGCTGGAGGCCACCCCCAGAGAGTCCCTGTGTGGGGCACTTCGTGTTCTTCCCATCCTAGGCTGGGATGCCTTTAAGTGACAGGTGCAATCACTTAAAACAGGCTCAGGAGGCCCAGAGAGGTAGGGGAGACACAAAGAGGCATCCCCAGAGGTGCTCTCCCGCAGATTACATAACTCCCCTTCCCTGTCGGATGGCCCCAGGGGTGAGGCTGGGGCAGCTAGCAAGAGTGGGGGAGACCCTAGGGGGCATGGACCCGGCCTTGTTTGCCCACATCCTCTTGACTCTTTCCAAAGAGGTAACAGTTGCAGGCGCCAGGACGCGCTGGCTTTTTCCCCCTGTTTTTTTTTCCTCTGGCTGAGTAACAAATACTAATACTAATAATGATAATAATAATTAGAATAAATATAACCTCGAGACGCTTGGGGTCTCGTTGCCATGGCAACCACGGGCACTAATGAGCTTCCGAGGCTGCCGCCGGGCCGGGCCACCCCAGCCCCGGGCGCGGGATCAATGTTGATTCGGCCCCGGAGGCGACAGCGGTTCCGCAGGGGCCGCGCGGCGGACCAGGACCCAGGGGCACGCACTTGGGAGGGGTCCTTCTACCCGTCCCCTGCGCTGCCCAGCTGGGACCCCCAGGCCCCTCTGGGTCCGCAGCGTGGCCCTCAGTCCCCGTGCAGCCCGCACGGGGCTCCCAGCTCACTGAGCTCCCCGACTCTGTTCTTGGAAGCCAGTCCCCCCCTTGGACGCGGATTCCGGTCCCGGCCGCCGCGTCCCGGCGCGGTGCGCCCCGAACTGCTCTCTTCGGAACCCAGCCCCTTCCTCTCCAAGGTTCAGCGACCCCGACCTTGGTGAGCGCCGGCGCGGACCCCAGTGCCGAACACCGGCTGTCCCGCACGGTTCCTGCCCCCGGACCCTTCCCCGGTCGTCCCCAGCCCCTTTCTAAAGAGCCCCGGACCCCCGTCATATGCCCCTTACCCGCCTCTCCCAAAGCGCCCACCCTTCACCCCTTCTCCGGAGCCCCGCGCCGCAGACCCCGCCCCCCACTCGCCCAGACCCTCCTCCGCCAGGAGCTCCGCCCCGGCCCCTTTCCCCGCCGCTCTCGGACCCCGGCCCAGGCGCGCCCCTCCCCCGCGCGGCCCCCGCCCTGCCCGCCCCGGGGCTCAGCTCACCTCGTGCCCGCCGCCCGCTCGTTCCTCGCTTCGTAGCCGGGAGCCGGCGCCCGCGGGAGCCGCCTGCTGGGGTGCGGGGGCTGCCCACGCCCCCGCGATGCCCCTGCCGCCGCCGCAACAGTTGTCCGGGTTCTGGGGGCTGCGGGGACGCGGGGACTCCGGGCTCCCTGATCGGCGCTCGGAAGGCGCCCGCTCCTAGGCGCGCCGGGCGCGGCGCGGAGCTGGGGCCGGGGCCGGGGCTGGGGCTGGGGCCGGGGCTGCAGCTCCGGCTCGGCGTCCGGCTCGGGGTCCGGCTGGGGGTCCGGCGGCCGGCCGCATGCCCCGTCGCCGCCCGCGGCTACTCGGCGGCCCGCGCCGCCCGGCCGCCCGCCGGCCCCGAGCCCCGCGCCGCGCCCGCCGCCGCCGCCGCCGCGCTCATGCTCGCCGGGCCCCGCGCTCGCCGCCGCCGCCGCCGCCGCCGCCGCTGCCCACTTCACTCTTTGGCGCTCGCTCCGCGCCGCGCCCTCTGCTGCCCCCTCGCCCGGGCTCGCCGAGCTCCCGCCGCCCTGCCCGCCGCGTCCTGCGCCCTCCTCTCTCTCCCTTCCTCTCTCCTCCCTTCCTCTCTCTCTCTCCCTCTCTCTCTCTTGCGTCCTCCTCTCATTTTTTTTTTTTCTTTCGCGGTCTCTTTTCTCCCCCTCTGGCTCTTTCTCTCTCCCCTCCTGCTGTTTGCGGTGGCTTCTCACTTTCTCTCTTTTTACTTCCTTTCCGTCCGTTCTTTCACGCCTTCCTCCTCATTTTCCTTCCTTCTACTTTTCCCTTCCCTCTTTCCGCTTTCCTGCCCCGTTTCCTTCCTCCCTCCCTTCCTCCTTCCTTCCTTCCTCTGCGTTCTTCCTCTCTCCTTTGTTCCTTCCTCCTCCTCCCCACTCCCTTTTCCTCTCCTCTTCCCACCCCAGTCTCCTACTCCCCAGTCCTCCCATCCCCATGGAACATACACCTGCTTTGTCTGGGAGCCACGTTATTCCTGCCAGCCAGACCCTGGCCAGGAGGATCAGGGTCACGGTCAGCTTGGGCCGAGAACCCTTCACATGAGACAAGCTCCTCTGCCAGGGTTTCCTGTGGGAAAGGCCCCACTTCCCGACCCTCCTGGGCCACTGCATGGGGTCCCCTCTTCGGCTTCTTCTCCCCTCTCCACCCGGCAGCCCCCCAGCTCCAGTCTGCCCCCCATTTCGCCCCTCACCTGCGGGACAAGGCTGCGCTTGCCCTTCTGTGGCCTCGAAGCCAGTGAGCCCCCGTTTCCCCACCTTCCCCTGTCCCTGGCCGGGAGACCTCTGGTGTAAAGAGATCTCGTGGGGAGAAGGTTGCAGCCTCCTCGAGGGCCCCAAGAGAGAATGGAGATGAGGATCTTTTATCGATTCCGCATTTTAGGAGGGAGAAGGGAGCCCCTGGAGGACTGGCCCCAAGATCCTCCCACCTGGGTCTCCTGAGATGGTGGCCCTCATTTCATTTTTCTAAGCATTGATGGAACCGCACCAGAAACTGGGCTGAGCCCTTTATACTTGATGTATTCTTTATGCTTTATTTGTTCCTCACCACAGTGCTGGGCAGCGTCCTCCCCACTTCACAGCAGAGGTGCTGGGACTCAGAGAGGTTAGGACATCTGCTCTGAGCCACACAGCCAGCTAGGGGCAGAATCGGGGCTCAAGCCCAGGTCTGCCTGACGTCCAGGCCCAGTCCTCCAGCCTTGGCCCCTCACAGGTACCTTAGTAAACATCAAGAGAAGGCACCGAGGGCAAGTGCTGCACCCTCTCCTTACTGAGGAGGAACCAAGACAGCGGGAGGTGCCTGGCAACAGCTTGCGCGTGACCCACTGATGGGGCTGGGAATCCAGATGGCATTTCCGATGCCACATCCTGGGCCCCTTTCAAAGATAAGAGGGAGGCTCAGCCTCATGCCCGAGGCACCCAGCTGGACAGTGGGAATGGTGCTGGGGCGCCCACCCTAGGAAGCCTGCACTGTTGGAGTGCCTCAGTTTCCCCACCTGTCTCACAGGTGTCCATCCCTTCCTGTCTTCAGTGGACCTGGCTTGAGCAGCTGCCCAAGCAGGACACAATCTCCCTCCAAGGGAGCCGATGTGGGCCCTGCTCATGGGAGGGGCAGAGGGACCCCATGAATGCCCCAGCAGGGCGAGGTCAGGGTCACAGTGAGGGTTCAGGGAGGCAGTGCCTGCTCAGCCACAGGGGCAGGCAGTGTTGCCCAGTGGGAAGGCTCATGGGATTTGTAGCAAGGTGGCACTTTGTCCCTAATTGGCCAGGTGGCCTTGGGCACGGCACAGAAGCTCCCTGAACGTCAGTTCTCTTTCCTAAAGAGGTCACAGCACTGCCTCCCGCATAGAGTGTCTCGAGGACTAAATGAGACTGGGCCCATGAGATACTTCTCCTGGCGCCTGGCAAATATCCCAAGAGGGGGACGGAGGAAACTGAGGCCAAGAGAGGCCATGGAACAGGTAGAAGTGCCCGGTGCTGGTGGTGGCGGGGCTGGAAGGTGCCTGCCAGACTGTCCCGTCTGATTTTGGCTGTTATGCTGGAGAGGTGCCTGTCATCTGTGCCCTAGCAGGGACCGTGTCTCAGGCTCTCAGTGCCAGGGACACTCAGCGTTGAGGGATGCGGGCTGAGCAAGGGGAGGAAGTGTAGGGGTGTCACAGCAGGCCGCCTGTGTTGCTGGGATGGGGTGTGTTGTGTGTGTGGTGTCTGTGTGTGTGGTGTATAGTGTGTGTATGTGTGTGTTGTGTGTTGTGTTTGTTGTATGAGTGGTGTGTGTGTGTTGTATGTGTGATTTGTATGTGGTGTTTGGTGTGTGCATGTGCTATGTGTGTTCTGTGTATGCGTATTAAATGTGTGGGGTGTATGGTACATGTGTGAATATGTATGTGTGTATGAGAGAATCTGAATGAGTGGTGTGTGTTTTGTGTGTGTGGTATGTGTGTGAATATGAGAGTGTGTGAGTGCTGTGTGTTTTTTGTGAGTGTGGTATGTGTGTGAATATGAGAGTGTGTGAGTGGTGTGTGTGTCTTGTGTGTGTCATATGTCTGTGTGGTACTGTATATGAGGTGTGTGATGTATGTTTACGGTGTGTCTGTGTGTTATATATAGTGTGTGGTGGTGTGTGTGGTATGTGTGAGATGTGTATGTTTGTGAGTATACCTAGGACTGTTGAAAGTGTGTGCTGTGTGTGTGTTGTATGTGTTGTGTGTGTACGTGTGTATAAGAGTGTGTGTTGTGTGTTATATATGTATGTTATGTGTGTTGTGTGTCATGTGTGGTATATGAGTATAAATGTGTGTGTTGTATGTGTGCGTTGTGTGTATGTGGTATGGTTGGTGTGTGGTCTGCGCTGTGTATGGTGTGTTTGTGAATGTGTGTGTATGTGTGTGTGTATGAAAGTGTGAGCAGAGTGTGTTGTGTGTATATATGAAGATACGAGTGTGATATGTATATGTGAGTGATGTGTGTCAATGTGTGTGTCTCAGGCTGTGTGTGTGTGAGTATGAGTGATGTGTGTGAGGGTTTGAGTGGTGTGTGGTGGTTTGTGGGGTGTGTGGTGTGTGTGAGTGTGTGAAGGTGTGAGTGAATGGTGTGTGGTGGTGTTTGGGGGGTGTATGAGGGTGTGAGTGGCGTGTGTGTGTGAGGGTGTGAGTGCTGTGTATGGGGCCTGTGGTGTGTTTGTATGTGAAGGTGTAAGCAGTGTGGGGATGTGGTGTGTGTGTGTGTATGAGTGGGTGTGTGTGAGGGTGTGAGTGGTGTATGTGTGTGAAGGTGTGAGTGCTGTGTGTGTGCTGTATGTGGGGTCTGTGGTGTGTTTGTATGTGAGGGTATAAGTAGTGTGGGGATGTGGCGTGTGTGTGTATATGAGTGGGTTTGTGTGAGGGTGTGTGTGGTGTGGGGAGTGCCAGTGTGTATGTATGTGTGTGAGGTGCGAGTGAATAGTGTGTGTGGTGTGTGGTGTCTATGTGTGTGTAAGGATGTGAATGGTGTGTGTGGTTTTGTGTGTGTGGTGGGGGTGTGTGAGTGTGTATGTGAGTGTGCGTGAGGGTGTGAGTGGTGTGGGTTGTGTCTGTGTGAGATGTGAGTGGTGGTGTGTGAGTGTGTGTGAGGGTGTGAGTGAATGGTGTGTGTGAGGTGTGAGTGGATGGTGTGAATGAGTGGGGTGTGTGCTGTGTGTGCTGGGGTGTGCGATGGCTGTTGGCATGCGGGGGTGGTAGAATGAGGCATCTCCCTTTTTGGGGTGCGCATGTCTGGAATCTCCATATGGTGAGTGTGTCGGTGCATGTTTCCACGTGTATGTGTGGTGGTGTGTGTGTGTGCATGCATGTGTGATGTGTGTCTGTGTATGTGTGGTAAGTGTGGTGTATGTGTGGTTTGTGTCTGTGTATCTGTATGTATGTGTGGTGTATCTGTGTATGGTATGTGTGGTGTGTGTTTCTGTGTGTATGCGTTGTGTGTGTGGTGTGTGTATGTATGGTGTGTGTGTGGTGTGTGTCTGTGTGTGTGGTGTGTGTCTGTATATCTGTGTGTATGTGCGGTGTGTGTATCTGTGTATGTGTGGTGTGTGTTTCTGTGTGTCTGTGTGGTGTGTGTGTAGTGTTTGTGTGTGGTGTGTGTATGTGTGCTGTGTGTGTCTGTGTCTGTGTGTGTATGTGTGATGTGTGTGTGTCTGTGTGGTGTGTGTCTTTGTATCTGTGTGTGTATGTGTGTGTGTGTGTGGTGTGTTCAGGGCATGTGGAAAGCGTCATCATTTAGTGGAGCCCCTCCCCCTCATCCTCCCTCCCTCCGCCCTTCACCTGCCACTGGGTGGGGCTCTGTGCCTGTCCCAGGTAGTGCTGGACACCCACAGACCAGAAGAGGTCCCTGCCCCAAAGAAGCTCACTGTCGGGTTGGTGACGGCCCAAATGTTAAGGCTCTGTCACTCCATCTCCTACAGGATGAAACTCCATCCCCTTTTCCTGTGCCTGTGGCCCAGCCCACCTGCCCAGCCTCCTCTGCAGTGAGGTGCCGGAGCTCCAGCCATGTCAAACCTGCAAGGCACGGTGGCTGTCCTGGGCGGTCACTCCATGGCCTCCTCATAACCCCATGACAGGCCCACTATGTGCTGGGCTGGGCTGCCCTCCGCAGTGCTCCCAGGGCCCTGCACCTTCACCTTCTGTCTCTGGCATGGGCTCGCCTACCTTGGACAAAACTACTTTGCCTCCCTGAGCCTCAGTTTCCCCATTTGCATAATGGGAATGACCTCAAAGGGTCAATGTGAGGATTAGATGAGAGACAAGATCATAACAGGCAATGGTCCTGTTGATTAACCCAAAATAAATGAATGCTTGGCGCTTCGTGGGTACTTGGTCTCATCAACATCCCTTCTGCTTTTCCAGGAGGCCGAGGGGTCGGCAGGAAAAAGGGTGGACTTTGGAACTGAATGGATTTGGGTTTGGATCTCTGTTTGGCCACTCACCAGCTGTATGGCCTTGGCCAAGGCCGTTCACTTCTCTGTGCACTCGTGTCCTGTGCTGCCCCAACCAGATGACCACCCACTTTACAGTTCCAGAGTCTGAAATCAAATGGGTATCCCTGGGCCAAAATCCAGGGGTGCGCGGGGCCGCTCTTCCTGGAGGCTCCAGGGGAGGAGCCTCCTGTCCCCTTCCAGCCTCTAGTGGTACCCTCAGCTTGCGGCGGCATCACCCGGCCTTGGAGGGCAGCATCTTCAGATCTCCCTGCACTCCTCTTCCCACAGCCTCGGGGCGGATGCTCCCTCTGCCTCCCTCTTATAAGGATGCCTGTGATTGCATTAGGGCCCACCCTGATCATCCCAAATAATACCCCCATCTCAAAATCCTCCACTCAACCCCTTCTGCAAAGTCCTTTTTTCCCTGCTTGCCGTATAAGGTAGCACTGGCAGGTTCCAGGGATTAGGATGCGGATATCTTTGGGGGCAGGGGAGCACTCTTAAGCCTTCCGCCCTCCAGGCATCTGCCGAGGCAGGTGAGGGCGTAGGCTCGGGGGCTATTGTGTGAGTCCAGTGAGACGGAGCATGTAAGCATGTAAGCTGTCATCCACGGACCATTCAACAAATACTGCTGCGTCTCTGCTCCCGGCTGCGCTGGAGGAGGCATGTGCAGGTGACTATGCAGACTACCCTGGGAGACATTCCCCTGCCCCATTTCTGGGCACCTACTGCGTGCCAGGCCAAGCCCGACACCCCACATCTGTCGTGGCTTCATCCTCCATCCCTATTTACTATTTCTCTGACTTCGGGAGGCCTGCTCCCCCGCAAACGCGACTGCTCACAGGGCGGCCTGGCGATGACTCATGCTCTCTCCCTTGGTGGAGAGCAGCCTTTTCAAAGGGCTGGCTGGGGAGGGAGCTAAATTTAAAGCCAGGCTTCCCGAGAAGATCACCTGCCACATCAAAATTGCAGCCATTTAATCGGGAGTCGGGGACAGGAGGCATCGCACCCTCTTTCCTTTCTGAGAGGGTGGTGCTTGGAGGCCAAGACCCTGGGGCGGGCAGGGTGAGGGGGCTCCGGTTTGGTGCGACCAGCTGGTCCCAGGTCTCGACACGTTCCCTCACCTTCCCCCGCTTCCTTGCGGAGCAGCCCCCCACCCTCCCAAGGACCACCCCCAGCCCCTTCCTCCTCCAAGGGGTCCAATCCCCCAGCCCCCATTTCCTAAATTCAAAATCGAGGGCTCAGAGAGATTTCGATGCACCCTGCCCCCTCAAAGTCCTCCGGCAAGGGTGTGGCCAAGCTGGGCAGTGCCCTGGACTGGGTGGCTGCTCTGCTCCTTGGGTAGGGTGGACAGGGCGGGGTCAAGTTGTCACCTCTTTGAGCTTCTGTTTCCTTATTTATCAATCAATTCCAGGCAGGAGGAAGCACTTTGGTGGGCCCTGGAGGGCATTGTGTTCACTCCACCTGTCTACCTGGGAGGAGGCGGAGGCCGTGAGGTGGGGAGACTCAGCCCAGGATCCTGGGAGGGAAAGAGGAGCCAGCCAGCAGCCAGGCCTCTGCCTCCCAGCCCTGGCCTCCTCTGAGGTGTAAGGCTGGCTTGCTCACTGCCGCCCTTGTGCCTTTGCCAGTGGGTGAGGCTGGCTGGCTGCCTGTCCCTGCTCCTGCTCTCCCAACTGACCACAGGAGCCTCGTGTCACAGCAAAGCCATGGCTTCCCTGTGGCTACAGGGATGGGTCACAGGGAGGAAGGGCTGCCCACTGGTTAGGGGTGCTGGCTGTGGGGTCAGAGCTGAATCTGCATCTTGGCTGCTGCTGTATTGTGAGTCTTGACTGCTTGGGGCTGGGTACGTAGTAGTTGCTCTGTGTGCAGGCATCATCGCCATGGCTGACTGCGGTCCCACAGATTTGGAAGGTGTGGTGAGCTGGGTGCCGGGGTCCGGGAAGCTCGCAGGCCAGATGCACTGCACAGATGCCAGCAGTGGGGTTTGCCAAAGGCCATCATCTCATCCCTGGGGGTTCCACAGTCTCCCAGCTCCTCCTCTCTGGCCTGCCCACCTGCCTCTTGGTCACAAGTGTAAACACAGGTTTCTCTTCCAGGCCTGGCAAGGAGGCAAGAGGCGGCTTCTGTCTGCAAACAAAGTGCATGCAGCAGGCCCAGCTCTAAGCCACACCATGACCCCCCTCCCCAGTGTTTCCCTGTAACTACACTGCACTGTGAAAGGAACTTTGCAGGTGTCACAAAGGTGACTGATCAGCAAACCTTAAGAGGAGATGATCTGGCTCAGCTGACCTTGTCACATGAGTCCTTTAAAAGCAGAGCATTTTCTCTGACTGGTGACAGCAGCTGGGGCCCAAGAGACCCCGGGTGAGAGGGGTAGGCATGAGGCAGTGCGGTGCAGGGGTCTCAGGGCAAGGCAGTGAGGAGCTAAGAGCCCCCAACCAACACCAGCAAGGACACAGGACCTCAGTCCTACAGCCACAAGGAGCTGGATTCTGCTGACACCCCCAGATAAGCCCAGGAGCCTCCAGGCGAGGGCCCGGCCCTGCTGATACCTTGAGGTCAGCCTTGTGAGACCCTAAGCAGATAACCCACTGAGCCCACGCAGACTTCTGGCCTCCAGGACTGTGAAACAGCAGGTGGGTGGTGATTTAAGAGTTCAAGTTTGTGGCAGTTTGTTACATTTTGCAGCAATAGAAATACCCACGTCCTCAGCAACCACTCATGCTACTGCCTTTTTAAAGGGGTGCAGAGCCTTACAGCCCATCCTCCACTGTCCCTCGAGGGGACAGCCCCTGACCTCGCCACTCCTCTGCTTACAGACCTTCCATGGGTACCTTCAGGATGAAGTCTGAGCTCCCGATGGTTGGGCATTCAACGTGGGAAAGAAAAGACATCGTCTCCATCAGTTTGGAGAAGATTGGCTGCAGGGGCCCTGCTATGTGCTGGGGGCAGCTGAGTCTCACAAGGGACTGAGCTCCCAGGGAAATGCCTGGACTCCAGAGGCTGCTGTGCAGACCTGTCTGTCCCCCCGAGTCCTAGGGCTCAGGGCCCATGGAGATGCCCCTGGGTCAGGGACCACCGAGCAGCCCAGGCACACTGGGAGGACGTCGGCTACGAGGTGACACGGAGCCAGGAGGCTTGGGGGACTGGGGAGCACCAACTTCACTTCCCAAAGCTGAAACACAAGAGACCCCGGGGATGCAGGCTGTTCCTGGCCTCAGTTTCCTCATCTGTAGGCGATCACTGATGATAAGCCCCGCTCGGGTAGCACCGGGCTCTGTTCTCAGCGTGTGATGCGCATTACATCGTAAGGTGGGGTAGGTGCTATTTGTCAGTGCTGTCAATAGTCAATATCACAGTTTCCCAGGCAAGGAGCTGAGGAGACAGGTGTGGCTGGAACAGTGGCTCTCAGGCAGGGGGAGGGGCTGGTGAATGAGGGCCCTGGTTCTGGCTTTGTGGCTGTGTCCTGGGCTTGCCTCCTGGCACCCCACGTAGCAGCTGGGGACCTGGACCAGATGGACTGGCTACCTCCTGCCGCCCCATGTCCTCCTCTGTAAATCGGGGACAGTGATGACTGGCCTCAGCCCAAGGCTGGCTCACAGGAGGCAGAGGTTCTGTCCAGGGGAAGTGAGAGGTCCCCACCATAGCTCAGATGCTCAACCCCTCCCCACAGCTCTGTGGCATCAGGTTCATCTGGGGAAATGGCGGAATCCACTCCTGTTTCCCGGCGCTGTGCGTCTAACCCGGGCTTGGCATCTCTGCAGCTGGCGGCTGTCACAGCTCACTGCATCCTACCGCCAGGCATCTGAAACCCAGCCCGGGACGGCGAGAATTTAGATGGTGCCAATTGGCAGGTGGAGCTGAGCACCCAGCAATGAGCCTCACTTGCACAGAGCCCCGCCTACCCTGCAGCGGGCCCCAGAGTAATGCAGTAATAATAATAACAAACACGATGACAGGCAGGATCTTTGGTGTGTGCGGGAGTCCCTGAAGTTCACTGAGCGCCCTCCACACCTGCTCATGCCTTGCATCCATGCAGGGAATAGGGTCAGGTGCTACCCTCTTCTCAGAGAGGTTGTGCCATGGGCCAGAGGTCACACAGCCCGTGAGAGGCAAAGCTGGGCAGAAATCTGAGGACCCTGATGCAGATGCTCGTGCTACTGCTGGGGAAGCTCCTTCTCAGAGCTTCTGTCTTGGGGCACTAGGGTGAGGGCTCTGCTCTGTAGACCAGTCATTTTATATCCCCAAGGCGGAGGCAGGCAGCCCAGGCCAGAACAGGAGCCTCAACTTTGTAGCTGTGTGCCCTGCACGAGTCACATGGCCCCTCTGAGATTAAGATCTACCTTTTTTCTCTGACCAGGTCACCAGCTCCTTGAGTACAGGGAGTGTGCCTTCTCTCCCCATTCTTCCTGGGCTAGGCACAGAGTATTGGCAGAACACTCTGTTTAACTGAAGCCGAATGAAGGCCCCCACTTACCGGGGGCTCTGTGCCTCACGGTGTCACTCAGGTGGTTTACCTGAATCTTCACAACCATCCTAGGAGTCACTTCTATGCATTCCCTATTAACAGATTAAAAAATCAAACAGGCCCAGAGAGGTTAGGGGACTTGCCCAGGGGCACACAGCTGGCAGTGCACAGCTGAGATTTGAACTTGGATCTGTCCCTCCTTAGCCCCCGCCCTAAGCCTCTACTCCTGACCTCAGTGCAACAAAGAACAGAGTAGAGAGCTCTGGAGTGGGAGCTTATCCTGGGTCTACCTCTCTAGGCCTTGGTTTCCCCACCTGCTCCATGCTCATTGCTGTTCGGGCCCCTCCAGCTCACAGTGGGAGGCTCTGGTAGGCTCTGTACAGCACTGGCTTCTGGCTGGTTTAGCCCAGGCGCCGAGAGGCAGGTTATCTGGGATTAAACAGCTCAGGCCCCCATGGCCCAGGCTGGAATTCCAGGCCTCTTTGATTGTGCTGAGCAGCCTCTCCCAATCTTGTAAATTGTTTGGCTTGGCCTCACGGAGCAACCTTTGTTATTGCAAAATCTCATGTTTCCATAAAGCCCAGGGAAAGAAGAGGCTTTGGCGGCAGGTTCCAGCGACTGTCTGAATTCTGTTCTTGTGAGGCTCCCAGCTGTGGGGACGCCAGCCCGGGGCTGAGCGGCAGGGTGGAGGCCGTGGCCCTGGCCAGGTGGCCCAAGCCTGTGTGGGCACCAGCCAGCCGCAGCCTGGTCACCAGTCAACATCTGAGATGAACCAGAACTGCCACAGAGATGCCCAAGGGCCAGACGGGGTGAGACTGAGATGAGGAAGCCGGGGGAGGTGTTCCCATGGTCACAGGCCTGGGACACTCCACAGACCCTGTCCAAGGGCTCTCAGGCAGATCGGGACCAGCCAAGCCCTGGTTCCTTTGGAAGAGGAGAAAGGAAGGGAAACTCCAGCTTCCAGAGCTTGGATTCATAAACCTCCTGCCAGGCCTGGGCCTTTACAAACATTTCCTCATGAGCACCACCAGCCCACCATGAGCAAGGCACTATTATTTTTGCACTGTTACAGCTGAGGATAGGAAGGATCAGAGAGGTTAAGTACCCTGTCCAGGGTCACACAGCTGGTCAGTAGAAGATGTTGTCTGCGCTGGGTTGGATTTCCAAACCCTTCAGAATCATTTATGCCAACATTGCTTTCTCAGTTGGAGAAAGCCAGGTTTCAACTTGGTGTCCAGGAGCTGCCTCTGCCTCAGTCTCTCCACCCTGGATCCAGGCCCCATGAGGGACCAGGCCCTCTGCGGTTGGGTTTGCTGACATCCTGCTCTAGGTCCCCCAGAATGCCACGCCGGGTACTGGAGCCCAGGCCAAGAGAGAGGATGGGCTGCCTTCTGCCCCAGGGCACCATGGGAATATCTGGGAGCACTGCTTGCAAAGATGGATCCCCAGAACCCTGGCTTGCTAGAGCGACCTTCTAGGACCAGCAGCATGAGCCTCAGTTACTGATGAGAAAATGGAGGTTCTGAGGGTCCGGTGAGTTGCTCAAGGCCCCTGCGTAGTGAGCCTCCTTGCCACCTTCATGTTTCATTTCAATGTGACAGTTACAGATTTGCAGTCAGACTCTTGGGTCTGCCTCCTGTCTGTGCCCCCTTGGACAAAACACTTTCCTTTTGTAAGCCTCAATTTCCTCGTCTTTGAAACGGGGCCCACAGTTCCTCCCTTTTAGGGACCTGGGATGGTTGGTCAGTGGAGGCCATATAACTAACTGATTTACCACAAAGCCTGGCACACAGTAGGGCCTCTGCTTTGCAGTCCTCACCGCCTGCCCCCACTAGCGGTCAGTACCTATAGTTTGATATTTCACTGAGACACAGCAGTCACCGCTGCTGTATCTTAAGCACCTGCCGTGTGCAAGGTGCTCCGCTAGGCACTTGGTATCATCATCCGTGACAGTAACCACAACCGCTGTTTTGAGCCGCTCGTTGGGCGCAATTCTGTGCACTTCAGAAACATCTCAATGGCTGCAATGTGGGTGCTGTCATCACCACACCCATCTCACAAACGAAGAAACTGAGGCTGGAAAGTGACTTGCCCAAGGCAAAAGGCTAGCACCTTTGGTCAGTAGAGCGGAGGTCCTGTCCTTCTGAGCCAGCTCGGGGACCCTGGGGCAGAGCCTGGCCTGCCAGGAGAGGAGGGAGGGAGCAGTGAGGAAGGTTGGCGAGGGGGTTGGGTGCAGATGGGCAAAAATGGGAACCTGCAGGCTGCCAGGTGCCTCCCAGGGTGGAGTCAATAGGGCTGAGGACCCACAAACTGTCTTGGCCAAGGCCCCGACCTGGACTCTGGAGTATGGCGGTCAGCGCAGGATGGGTCTGTGCCACAGACATAGGGACCGGTCTGCATGGGACTCTGCCCTTGACAACGGGGGCTCACAGTCCCTAGGTGAGCTGGCTTCACTGGGCAGAGTCCCTCGGTCCTCTAGCTCTAGATACTCAGCCATTCCTCCTAGTACCCCCCTCTCAGTACTCACTGGTGCCATCTTGTCCAAGACTCACTGTCTCCTGCCTGGACTTAGGCAGTAGCCAACAATCTCTCTGACTCCATTCTCTGGCCCACTGAGCCATCCTTCACATGGAGCCAAAGGATCTGTGTGAAATCCACATCCAACAGCATCGCTCTCCCGCTCAAGACCCTCCTGTGGCTCCCTATTTACTTTCAGGCTAAAGTCTGGATTCCACCTGCCATCTTGCCCCTTCTCCTGCCAAAGGCCACCCTAGGCTTGCATAGCCTCTCAACTTTTCTGAAGGTACCCTTATACTCTCTGTTTTCTTTTCCTGGACTTCTCTCTTGCTCCTTTTTATCTCTGAGGACCCAGAACATTTGTCTCCTCTTCCTGGAAGCCTTCTCTGAGCCCCAGTCTGGGTCCCTGCTTCCTTTGTGCTTCCTGCCCATCACAGCCCTGGTCCCAATGAAGTGACACTGTCTATCTGTGCCTCTGTCACTGCCAGGAGCTCCCAGAGAGTCAGGTTTGGTTCTGCCTTGGCTCAGTGTCTCCAGTGTGACCCACGACAGGGTCCAGCCCAGAGGGGGTCTCCACGCCTGAAGTCGCATATGTGGTTCCAACAGGCCTGGCTTGGAGAGCCAGCCCGGGAGGCAGGCAGCGGCTGGTGCCTCTTGAGCTCCCCCGGGACACCTGGAGCAGTCTGGCCACGTCTGCAACTTGGCACTGATGTTTGATTAATAAGCATATTTGGTACTTGCCTCGTACCTCTCATCTCCAACCCTCTGAACGCGTCCCCAACTATAATTAATTCTCCCCACACCCCAATGAAGCTGCTCTTCCCACAGCAGATAATGATGTGCGAAGTCCTTTCAGTGAAGGTGTTGTGATTAATTCCACTGTGTAATTAGGATCGTCTCTTCCCGCCTCCCAGGCCCCTTCCAGTTCTCCCCCTCCCTCCCCCAGGCCAACAGGTGGACTCAAGGACTTCAGCATGGAGCACTGGTTTATTATTGTTACCAAGCCACACATGAGCTTGCTGCCTCAACAGCTTGGCTTGTCCTTGGAAAATATAATGGGATA
The DNA here is from genome assembly GCF_000001405.40 of Homo sapiens. NCBI lineage: Eukaryota > Metazoa > Chordata > Mammalia > Primates > Hominidae > Homo > Homo sapiens. The sequence goes on from NC_000022.11 coordinate 44,345,012, forward strand.
ATTTTTGCAGAAATGACAGAGGCAGCAGAGGAGCAGTGAGTGGAGCGCAGCCACACTGGAACCTGGTCTCTGCAAGCTTGGGGAGTGAACTGAGGTTGGGAAGGGCCCTGGGAAATCACAACTTTAGAAAGCTCTCCCTCCTTCAGGAAGCCTCCTTTGATTAGTCTGCTCAGATTGGCCTCTCACTTTTCTGTTTCCCTCTGGCCTTTAGAGCAGAGGCCCCTGTTTTAATAGATGATTGCTTGGTATTGGCCTGGCCTTCCCAAAGACACTGAGAGTCCCCGCATCAGATTCAAGTTTCCATGTCTTTGCATCCTGCGGGGTGAGCGGAGGACTTTGCATCCAGTAGATGGGTATGTGTGGATGGGTAGATGGATGCAGCATGAGTGAACAGATGGTAGATGGGGGGATGGATGGATAGATGGGTAGGGAATAGGTGAATGGATAGATGGGTGAATGGGTGGATAAATGGATGGATGGATGGATGGGTAGGTAATTGGTGGATGGATGGATGGATGGGTGAGTGGGTGGGTGAGTGAATGGGTGGGATGGCTAGATGGATAGACAATGGGTAGATGGGCAGATGGGTAGAGGGTTGAGTAAGTGAATGGGTGGGCCGGTGGATGGGTGAGTAGATGATGGGCGGATGGATGATGGGTGAACAAGTTTACGGCAGGATGACTATACAAATGAGTGGTTGGGTAGATGGAGGGCTACGTGGACAACTGAAGGACGGGCTGGGTTGATAGGTAGATGGGTAAGGTGGTGAGTGTGAGATGGATGGGCGAGGGGTGCATGGCTCGGGGGGTTACTGGGTGAATGATGGGTGGTGGGTCTTCAATAGACAATAACAATAATGGCAGTAATAATTTACCTCCAGCTAATATTTATTGAGGTACCAGGCACTGTTCCAAGCATTTTACATGATGAATTAGCCCATTTAATACTTGTAACTCTTCCAGGGGAGAATGCATGGTAGATTGAGAGGGGGCAGCTTGGGTGTCTGTGTTGTGGACAGGCAGGCAGTCAGGCAGACGGCTGGATGTGCATTTTGTGATGGGGGCAGATGCTTGATGAAACAGATAGGGAGCTGGGCAGCTTGGGAGGGGAGGCGTGCGGGAAACAGGATGATGAGAGGTCCTGAGGGGCAGGTGAGAGGCTGACATAAGAGCTGAGTATGTTTTATTTGCCCCCACCTCAGGGAGGGACATTTCCATCCACTGGACACCCACACCAGGAAGCTGGTGTCCCCTTTGATGGCCATCTCTGCCTAGGTCCCTCATCCTACCACCTCTTAGGGCTGCAGCCGTCTAATACCATCCATTCCAGATCCCACTGACTCCTGCTGAATTTTGCCTCGTAGGCCCCCTTAGCAGCCCTGGCCCACTCCCCTGTCCCCTACACATGGAAGCCAGAGGGATCTGGCCAAAATGCAATCTTTTTTTCTTTCTTCCTTTTTTTTTTGAGATGGAGTCTCGCTCTGTCACTCAGGCTGGAGTACAGAGCTCACTGCAACCTCCGTCTCCCGGGTTCAAGCGATTCTCCTGCCTCAGCCTTCCAAGTAGCTAGGACTACAGGCACACGCCACCACGCCCGGTTAATTTTTGTGTTTTTAGTAGAGACAGGGTTTCACCATATTGGCCAGGGTGGTCTCAATCTCCTGACCTCGTGATCCGCCCGCCTCAGCCTCCCAAAGTGCTGGAATTACAGGCGTGAGCCACCGTGGCCAGCCCCAGAATGCAACCTTAATCCTGCCACCTCCCTGCCCAAGCTCTTCTGTGGCTCCCAACCCCCATGGACAGCCAGCCCTGGTCTGCCATGTGTTACATGACCAGCAGCTGCAGACACACCTGAGGCCCTGGTTTCCCCCCAACAACAGGTTCCTTCAGGCTTCCAGGTCATGACTACAAGGTGCCTCTTCCCAAATGCCAGCCCCCATCTCAGCCCATTCAACTCGGGTCGAGGGAAACCTCACCTCCTCTGCAGCCCCCGCCACAGCCACCATCCCAGAATCTGCGCGGAGGTCTCCAGCCTGAGGTCTGGAGCCACTGCCGTGTGCAAACCTTGGCTTCTCCAGCCCAGCCTCCTCATCTGTAAAATGAGGGTGAGACTTGTTCTCATCTCCCCTGGTTGTCTTGTCGTGAGGACTCAATGAGGTGTGAAAAGTGCTGAGGACACAGCTGACAGAGAGTGCTTCGCGAATGCCTGGCTGTGATTGTTATTAATAAAGCGCCTGCTTCCCCACCAGGCAGTGCATTTCTCAAAGATAAGACTGGGGCTTCTTCATGGATGAATCATTTCTTTCAACAGATATTTATGGAGGCCCTTCCTCCGCGCAGGGCAGTGTCCTGGGTGCCAGGGACACGCTAGTGCACAGAGGTCCCCCAGGCTCAGCCTAGGCCCCAGGTGACATAGGAGAGTGGTGACCGAATGGTGGCATCACGTATATGCCTAAATGACAGCAAACGAGACAAGCCAAAGGACCTTGGGGGCTGAGGTCCCACCAGCTGCCTGCTGGCCTGTTCCCTGGACCACGAAGGGTCCTTGCCTTTCGGAGCAGGGCAGACTGGCTGCCCAGGTCCTCCATCTGCATAGCTGAGTCTAAGCCACTTCTCTCTCAGGGACAGGAGGGTGACCTTGCATCTCCCGGAGCCTGGGCCCTGAGGAGCTAAGAATAGTGAAGGGACCCCACCCCCCGCAGTGTGGCCAGCTGCTGCTGGCATCTGTGGGGACATGGCTGAGCCTGGGCAGCTGTTGGGGAGGGCAGGGGAGCCAGAGTTGGGGAGAGTTTCCATCTCCAAATGTGCTGAGCCAGCACTCTAGGCTGCCGTCCTTGCGGTCTCACCTGGAGTAGGGGAAGGCGTGGAACTCTGGCTCTGCCACTTACTAGCAAGTGACTTTGAACAATCTGCTTGTCCTTGCATCTCTGTTTCCCAGAGAAGAAAGTGTCAGGGCCCTTGCTTCAGGATGCGGGCTGCCTCCTGGCCCCCACTCTAATCCTGACCCCCACCAGGGGACTTGAGGATGGCAGCCCTTGTTGCCCCAGGCCCCTGTCTTCATCTTCAGCTTTGCCAAGCGCATGCTCTACCCCTGGCACCCCGTTTCCATATGAGGAGGCAGCAGTGGCTGAGAGCTCACAGCACTGCTCTGGAGTCTGCCAGCCTGAGGACAAATGCCACTGGGCACTCTCAGCCTATGACCTCAGTCAAGTCCTTTGCCTCCTAGCCTGCTTCCCCCTGTGTAAAATGGGGACAATGGCCCATCCTTGGGGCATGGTGCTGTGGGGTGAGCTATGCATGTCAATGGCATGTAGTGAGAGCTTCTGAAGCACACAGTAGGCGTTTGGTGTTGCTGTTATGCTTCCCCACGGGTTGGACTGCTGTGGTGACTTATATAATAGATTACCTCTGCAGAGCCAAGCTGAGGAGGAGAGAAAATGGCCAAGTTTTCTGCATCTCTGAGAGTCAAGGCTGGGACCAGCAGGGAAAGCTTTGGGGTGGATTGGAAGGGCCCCAACTCTCGGAGCTGGGAGAAACAGTCTAAATTGGCTGTCCATTCAGGTAGGGAGCTCCCCATTACTAGGGGCAATCAAATATAATCTGGTCCTCTGCTTTCCAGTGATTCACATATACGTGGGTCAGTATTTTCCCTGAGATTTCATGATGCAGTTGTTTATCTAGATCCTCGTCAGTAGAAACACTCTATATAAACTTTAGGTGAAAATCAGGTCTGACCCTGCCAGGCTCCTGCCACGGACCCTTCTATGCTCCCATTGCCCCAGTAGGCAAGGGAGGGGAGGAGGGGAAACCCAACAATGATGTCCCCACGCATGCCACGACCCCGGCCACCAGACCTGGAGTGGGAGGAAGGACAAAAGGCCAACACCAGCAGGTGGATGAACATGGACAGGTGGATTCAATCTGGGCTGAGGGCTCATCCCCAGGGGCCTGGAGAAGATGAGGTGAGAGGCAGCGATGGGAACAAATCAAAGCGATTCATGTGCCGCCCAGAGCTCCTGTCACGCAGTGAACTCGGCACAATCCTTGGGGTGTTCTTTGATGCCTGTTTCATAGAGGAGGAGTCAGAGGCTCAGATAAGTTCAGAGATCCTCCCAAGGTCAACTCCCAGCTGTGGAGTGGGAATCTGAGCCCAGCTGCAAATGCTACTGCCCATCGCTCCCTGGGGGGCGTCTGTGAGGCGTCATTGCCTCGCTCCCTGGCCAGCACAGGCCGGTTATGCAGCTGAATCCTGGGCTGCTGCTGGCCTCTGGCACAGGTGGCCCCTGCTGCACTGGGCAGGCCTGTTGGGTTCTGAGCTCTGCGGCCTGGGGTGGGCCTGCTGCCCTGGAGTGGATGCCTTTCCCGGGTTGCTGTCCAGCTCATCACTCCCCTGCCCCATGGCTGCACAGAGTCCTGAGCGGTCGGCAAATCACAGTGACTGTTTTCTCCCCCCATGGACCAACTGGAGGGGAGCGCTCAGGTGTCTGCTGTCCAGGTGTCCGTTGGCTGGCGCCCCTGACCTGCGGACTCCAGAGCAGGTTTCCAGCGGTCGGGGTGGCCTCTCTCAGGCTCCATTCGCTGGACCCCTATCCTATAACATCCTCCTGAAACCCAGCAGCCTCGGTGGAATGGAAGCACAGTCAGTGTAATGAGGGCGAGTTCCTGCATTTGGGTCTTACCTTCAAACCCTCCCACAGTGACCAGGAGTAAGGGTTCTTCCACTCAGCAAGGACACAGAGGGTGAAGGCTGCATTCCAGGAGTTGCTCTAGGTCACTCACTTGGAGAGGCGGAGGCAGAGAGAGCGGCTGGGAGGTATTTTTCTGGGTTACGTTTGTAACTTGACCCTTCCTCTTCACTTGTTCATCTATGGGCTGCCAAGTCCCCAATCTCCCTCTTGAGCATGAAACCCATGTCACCAACTGTCCAGGCCCTGAGGCTGCAGGCAGGTCTGAGCTGGAACTCTGCACCCTATGCCCAGATCTCCACCCTCACCCTCCAGTCAGATGCTTCCCCTTGGCTGGCACCAGGCTCTGTGGTTCCACCTTGTGAATTCGTCCACTTCCGTCCACTACCACACTGTTGGCACCACAGTCGCTGTCTAGGCATCATCCTGCTGTCTGCTCCCAGGCCCCCGCCTGAGTACCATCAGCCTGGCTCTGCCCAGCAGCCCAGCCAGCTGCCCGGAACGTCCTGCAGTGGGATGATCTGACCAAGGTACCAGGACACCAGCATCAGCGAGATATCACTAGTCAGGGTCCCCAGAAAGGCAAAGGAAGGGGATCCCCCTTTCCCAATCCTGACTCCTCACTCACATCAGAGACCAGAGAGGGAGGATTGTGGGGACACTCTTTCAGGAAGAGAGTGGGCGCAGTCCCACCCTGAGTCTCCAAAGGGGAGGAGACTGCTGCCAGCTTCTCTTCTGCCTGGTGGGACCGGTGAGAGAGGCTCGGTGTTGACTGGAACCAGGGGCTGCAGGCTCAGGGGAAACCCAGGAGAGAGGGCTGGGTTGGGCACGGCTATTATTCCCAGAGTTGGCCTGGCCGAGGTGCCTAAGTCAGTCTGTGGTTCAGACATGGGGCTCAGGGCTGGGGGAGTCCTGCCAAAAGACCCTGACAATAAGTCTTCAAGGTGTGAAGACCTTGAAGAAGAGACTCAGGGACTAGGCGTGGGAGGGCAGCAGCCTGGGGCCAGCCATCTGCTTTGGGAAACTCCGCCCAGTGGCTGCATCTTGCCGTCTGATCAGAGGACGAGATGGGCAGGCAGGTGGGGTGGGATTTGTGTTAGAGGCTTGGGGGGCTGTGGTTCAACTGATTTGCCTGTGGCCTCAGGGGGTGTGAGCCCCATCCCCATTTATGCGGGGGGCTGCCAGGTCCTGAGACCACCCCTGCCAGTTCCTCCCAGGTGATGGGGTTGCTTCTGAGGAACAAGTGGCCTCTGTCCAGGAGTCACGGGGGGTGGGGACACCCCAAGTTCACAGACACCCCTCCCCCACACTAGAAAGTATGAATGGAGACAAATTTCGTCAGCCTGGTGTTCACATGCATGGCACAGCTCCCCCCAGCCCACCTGCCCAGGGGCCCCAAAGGTCTCAGCCTCGCACGAGATCCCCCGACTTTCCAAACTTGTCAGCTTTCCAGGTTTGTCTTCCTGGACGTGTTTCTGCCCAGGGGTTTCTGCTGTGCCTGAGAGGTGGCCCAGGGTCATGTGACGGGGGTAGAAACTAGCCCAGCAGGCCTGGGTTTGCCTGCCACTGTGCTTCTCACTTGCTGTGTGACCTGAGGTAAGTTACCAGAGCTCTCTGAGTATGTTTTCCTAGTCAAGCTTTGGACAGATGCCCTGTGCGGGGGTGAGTGGTCAGAAAATGCTGTTTCCCCTGTCTCCCTTCCACTTTTGAATGTTTCCTCTTCTCAGCTGACATTTAAAACAATTCCCACAGGCCGGACGTGGTGGCGCACGCTTCTAATCCCAGCACTTTGGGAGGCCGAGGTGGGCTGATCACTTGACGTCGGGAGTTCGAGATCAGCCCGGCCAACATGGTGAAACCCCATCTCTACTAAAAATACAAAAATTAGCCAGGCATGGTGGCGGGCGCCTGTAATCCCAGCTACTCAGGAGGCTGAGACAGGAGAATCACCTGAACCCGGGAGGCAGAGGTTGCAGTGAGCCGAGATTATACCATTGCACTCCAGCCTGGGTGACAAGAGCGAGACTCTATCTCAAAAACAAAGCAAAACAAAACACCAGTTCCCACAAATGCCTGAACCTCCCCCTGAAACAATGACTCATCTTGGGGCGGGGGGTGCCATAAAGTATGTGATCAATTTAACCCTGTCTCAGCCACAGTGTCATCACCCCAGCCCCCGTCACCTCACTGATATTAAGTAGGCAATGAACACGGCAGGTGGAAGCAGTCCCTGCCTGATGGGGGAACCAGATGGCGAAACCGATGGCAGGGCTGCAGTGGGAACCTGGCTTTGCCTGCATCACGGGGGAAGAATCTGAAGAATTGGCTGAGGGCCATTGAGAGCCTGCGGCTGACGGAGACTCGGGGAATTTAATGATGGGTTAGTTGCCTGCATACAGGAACCTGCTGACATGGCATTTTGTGGGCAATTCTGGGAATTTTGGTGACAAGTGTTCCTGACCCCTCAACCTCACCCTCACCCCCACTGTGGTTCTCAGTTTCTGATTGGGTAAGGACAAACCTCAGTGGAAACTCAGTCCCAGGTGGAAGGGGCCCCAGAGGCTCTCTGGTCAGGGAGGCTCCCTTTGTGTGAGTGTGTGCATTCACATGTGTGCGCCTCTTGGAAGAGAGGATTCCAGGTTCTTTCAAAGCTCAGAGAGGTTTGTGATTCCCAGAGACCAAGAACTGCAGGTCTTGTTCATTTTACAAGCAGGAAAAGCCCCGGACAGCCTGGCTTGACTTACAATGTGGCCAATTTGCTTGCAGTTGAACCATTCCCATAGTTTCCTTCAGGAAGCAGGTCTGGCGGGCTGGGGGTGGTGGTGAGGGAGGTGTCAGGGACATCTGTCACTGGTGCCCCTCCTCCTGGGGTTTTCAGGAGTAGGCCCAGGGCTGGTACCCCCTCACGATGGCCCCACACCCAGTCACAGCCAGTGGAGACCACAGTAGAGGGGAGGGGACTCCTCTGGGCTTGGTCCTCATTGGTCACTACCTGTGGCCCAGGTGCCCTGGGTACTTGGGCCTCAGGAGAGGACCGCTTTGGCCACCACGTCCACCGCACTGCCACAGCTCCCCTCACTGTCCTCACCCCCCTCCTCAGTTTCCTCTTGATGGTCAGCTGGCCCGCCCCCTCCTTTCTTGCAGAAGAGGAAACACAACACAGCCCTGTGACTCTTCAGGGCTCCCAGTTTTCTCTGTCTCCGCCAGGCTGGTGGGGCTTGCTGCTGGGCCCATTGGGGTGAGATGTGTGGGCCCCACAGCCTTCTTCCTGCCTGCCCCGGGCTCTGAGGCTCAGGGACCTGGAGACCCCTCTTTTCTATCCGCCTCTAACAGGATGAGTTGAGCATGGAGGTTTCTAGACTGGGCCTCCTGGCAGTGTCTCTTCCCAGCCCCAGGGTGCTATTGAAGGGATGCGAGGCAAGGAGAAGGATTCGAGCCAGGAGCCCCGAGGAGGGAGCTGCTTGAGGGACCTATTGCTTGCAGGTAAATTCCTGGTTTTGGAGAACCCAGGTGGCCCCCAATCGCCCCCACTTTCTGCGCCTTCCGACAGGTGGCAGGCGGCAGGTGCTCTGTGCATATATGTCCCTTTTTGAGAATTCGCTCTGAGTCAAGGTGGCTCATCCCAAGGCTCCTTAGACCTCAGGGAGCACCTGCGATTTTACAGCAAGTACCCATGCACTCTCCCGCTTAGACCCCACGACAGCCTGGCCGGGTGGCGATTTCAACTGACATTTTGTATAAGCCTTCAGGGGGCTGAGTGACTTGGCTGAGAACACCCAGTGGGACAGCAACAGAGCTGGTGAGAGCACTCACTTTCCAAGCCTTATTCCAGCACTCTCTTCCCAGCCCTGGGGAAGCTTTCAGGTCATCTGGTAATGGCAGAAGCACACAGCCAAGACGTGTGTGGAGAAGCTGCGGGTAAAACCCCTCTCCCCCTCTCTATTCTCAGCAAGCAGCACAAGGGACCCCTCTGAAGGTGGGGAGACCACGACCCTGCTCACCGTTCAGCCCCTCTGCAGTCCCTACCTCACCAGAGCAAAGTCACTCACCACCCTCTTTCTGGAACACACTTGCCCTAAGATACCCGCTGGGCTAATGGGCTTGCTTCTGTCACATTTTTTGTTTTTTTGAGATGGAGTCTCACTCTGTCACCCAGGCTGGAGTGCAATGGCACGATCTCAGCTCACTGCAACCTCCACCTCCTGGTTCAAGTGATTCTCCTGCCTCAGCCTCCTGAGTAGCTGGGATTACAGGCGCCCACCACCACACCGTGTTAATTTTTGCATTTTTAGCAGAGACGGGGTTTCACCACGTTGGCCAGGCTGGTCTCAAACTCCTGACTTCAGGTGATCCGCCTGCCTCGGCCTCCCAAAGTGTTGGGATTACAGGCGTGAGCCACTGCAGCCGGCCATGTCACATGTTTTCTAAAGCACCGACTTTTCTGTAAGGCCTTGGCCATCTCACTGTTCAAGATCTCTACCTGCCCTCCCCACTTTCTCCCTATCCTGATTCCCCTTTCCCTGTTCTTTGCAGTTATGTTTCCTGCCACGGCTCCCCACCTCCGGAACATCTGTGCAATTTACTATCAACCACGCTGTCACCCATGCCCCTTTGATCTGGAGCTTCAGCCACACGAGGGCTAGGTCTGCATCTGCCTTACCCTCTGCTACGTCCCAGGGCCTGGCACCTCTAGGACCTCAATACTAATCTGCTGAATGAATGAATGAATGAATGGGCTCTTGGGGAAGCACCTTTGGGATCAGCAGCTGCCCAGGACCCTGGGAACACTGGGCAGACCCCGGGCGGGGAGTTGGGTTCTGTTCCCAATGAGCAAGTGGCTCATATCTTTGTTTCATCCATCAGAAACCAAGCCTGTGCCAAGCACGGTGACAGGTCTACATGGGCCCATTAAAGCCTAAGGAAGAAGGAAGTACTTTGTGGCAATTCAGCCGAAGCAAGGAGAAAATTCAGAAAGATTGTGATTCCCCTTTGCAGTTTTTGCCAATTTCGTTTCTTTTGGTAGTGAGCTTATGGTCTTTATTTCACTATTTCTGGGGATTTTCTTCATGGCTGTACTCATGGGTTTGTGTGTGTGTGTGTGTGTGTGTGTGTGTGTGTGTGAGAGAGAGAGAGAGAGAGAGAGAGAGAGACGGAGTCTTGCTTTGTCACCCAGGCTGGAGTGCAGTGTCATGATCTCGGCTCACTGCAACCTCCGCCTCCCGGGTTCAAGTGATTCTCCTGCCTCAGCCTCCCGAGTAGCTGGATTACAGGCACGTGCCACCACGCCTGGCTAATTTTTTTGTATTTTTAGTAGAGACAGGGTTTCACTATGTTGGCCAGGCTGGTCTCGAACTCCTGACCTCATAATCCACCTGCCTTGGCCTCCCAAAGTGCTGGGATTACAGGTGTGAGCCACCGCGCCTGGCCTGTCCCTGTGGGTTTTATGATAGCATTACACAGAGTGATTTCAATAATGAAGATCCTGCCTGTTTGTTCTTGCTAGCTTGGGAGCCAGGCTCATTACATAGGGAGGACCAGCCCGGGGGCCTGGATGTGATCTAGGACTGGAATTTGGACATGGGAGCTTCTCCTGGCACCAGATGGGGAAGTGAAGGGAAAAAAGCTGGGCCAGAGACCAAGTTCTGTGTCAGGGGGTGCATAGGATGACCCATCTGCTTCTAAACTCCTTTCCCGAGTTCTCCACCCACCTCTTCCTCCCCCAAGGGACACTGGCCTCCTTGCTGCTCTGGGGCCACGTCAAACACACTCCTGCTTCGGGGTCTTTGCACTGGCCGCTCTCACTCCCAGAGAGTTCTGCTGTCCCCAGAGATGCCCGTGGCTGCCTCGCCTTCCTCCATGCCTCTGCTGACAGGTCGTTTTCCAAGCATCCTCACCTCCTGATGCTTCCCACTCCCCTTCTCAGCTCTTCCCCTGAGGCATTCATTGCCATCTGTTAGATTATACACGTGCTTGCTTATGTGCAAGGAGTGAACGGATTCTGTTCTTTAGAAGATGGGGAGGGAGGCTCGAATCTGCAGGCCAAGGAATGCAGAGGGGCAAGGACATCCTAGGTTTCTGATTTGAGGATCTAGCTGGGGGTGGAGCCATTTGCTTCAATGGGGCACTGAGGCGACACTTCCCTGAGAAGCTTCTGGTCTCCCCACTTGCATTGCTGCCCACAGTGGCCCCCATCGGCCCCCTCTGTAGCAGCTAACCCATTGCCAGTACCAAGCAGTGCTTGGCCGGGCCCCACTGATTCTGTGGCTGGCTCAGCTCACTTGCAGCCCCCTGGATACTGCCCTGAACTTACTATTAGGGGCTGAACTGTGCCCCCACCCTTCATATGTTGATGTTCTAAACCCCCATCCCTCAGAATGTGACTTTATTTGGAAATAGGATTGTTGCAGCAATAATTAGTTAAGATAAGGTCGTACTGGAGTGTGCTCTAATTCAGTATGACTGTGTCCTTATAAAAAAGGGAAATTTGAGTCCAGGCGCAATGGATCATGCCTGTAATTTCAGCATTTGGTGAGGCCAAGGCAGGAGGATAACTTGAGTCCAGGAGTTTGAGACCAGCCTGGGTAAAATAGTGAGACCCTCATCTCTACAAAAGTAAAAGTAAAAATATTAGCTGGGCATGGTGGTGCATGCCTGTAGTTCCAGCTACTGGGGAGGCTGAGGTGGGAGGATCATTTGAGCCCAGGAAGTTGAGGCTGCAGTGAACCTTGATCCAGCCACTGCACTCCACTCCAGCTTGGGCAACAGAGCAAGACCCTGTCTCAAAAAAAAAAAAAAAAAAAAAAGAGTGGGGCAGGCGGACCTTGAAGACAGGAAAAACACCACATGAAGAAGGGGAGGCAGAGATTGGGATGATGCATCTACAAGCCACAGAATGCCAAAGATTGCCAGCCAAACCCCAGAAACCAGGAGAGAGGCCTGGAACAGACCTTTCCCTTGGAGTCCTCAGAAAAACTAACCTGCTGACACCTTAATCTTGGACTTCCAGCCTCTAGAACTGTGAAGGAATACATTTACATTGTTTTGTTTGTTTGTTTTTTGTTTTTGAGACGGAGTCTCACTCCATCACCCAGGCTGGAGTGCAGTGGCGTGATCTCAGCTCACTGCAACCTCCACCTCCCGGGTTCAAGTGATTCTCCTGCCTCAGCCTCCCAAGTAGCTGGGATTACAGTCATGCACCACCACACCTGGCTACTTTTTTGTATTTTTAGTAGAGGCGGGGTTTCACCATGTTGGCCAGGCTGGTCTCGAACTCCTGACCTCAGGTGATCCACCTGCCTCGGCCTCCCAAAGTGCTGGGATTATAGGCGTGAGCCACCGCATCCAGCCCATTTCCATCACTTGAGCCACTCAGTCTGCGAAACTTCGTTAGGACAGCCCTAATGTCATTGCCAAGCACAAACTGGCCAGTCCCCAGCCCTCACCCTGTGCCCTCCGCTGTTCTGACCTGTCTCATTTGCCAGTGGAACCTTCATTCCTCAAATAAGGAGTCGCTTCTCTGAGTCTCCAGTTGATCACTTGAAAAATTAGGATAATAATACCCACCTCCTACGGCTGTCACGCTCCTTCAATAAAATATGACAGAAAATGCACCTGGTTTGTAGCGATGCTCAGTAATTGCTGGCGGCAGTAATGTGACAGTTATTTTTACTGTTGTTTTTATGAATCGTGTTATTTTAATTAGCTGTCAGTTTCCAGGTCTGAGCTGGCCATCCTGGAGATAAAAGAGCCTCGTGGTTAGGGGCTCTGCTCACCACTATGTGCAGGGGAGGAGGCCACCTTGAGGATAAGGGAAAGATCTGCATGCATTGTGCAGACATTCACTCATTCACCACTTGTTGCTGCCTCTGTGCCCACACAATACCATGTCTGCCCCAAGGACGCAGCTACATTAAAAGCAATTGCAATGCTGCACGATCAGGGCTCTGAACTCGGGGACTTCGGGGGTCCAGAGGGCACCTGGCCCAGCCTGGAATAAGGTGGCATGTGCAGGAAGGCTTCTTGGAGCACGTGGCTTTTGAAATAAACATAAAAGGAAGAGAATCCAAGCTTCTGGGCTCCCAGCTTATTTGCTGTGTGACCTCGGGCCAGCCCCTTGCCTTCTCTGAGCCTCCTGAAATGAAAAACCAGGAGCAAGAGTTCACAGGCCACCAAGGCCTGCCCCCAGGAGAGACTCAGAGTTGTCACATCAGTTGAGCCTCAGGGTCCCCAGACTGTGCTGTCAAAGCCAGCTGAAGTAAAGATACTGGTTCCCCTGCAAGGGAGTCAGGCGGGTCATGCTTACATTCCAGCCAGCTCCCAAAGCTACATGCGTGAGGATAAGAAAAGAAACTCCAACAAACATCTGAAACATTTCACGGCTCCCTGCCCCGCTGTTCCAGTTGGAGAGAAAACAGAACGCTGAGCCAGTCTCGCTGACGACCCACACGCTGCCGCGGCCGAGCCTGGACCATCCAATGGCATCCTGGTTCTTTTCATTCAATTTAGTCTCTGCGGTTGGCCACCTGCCTGTCCTTTTGAGCACTGAACTCGAGGGATAAATGGGGAAGCTGGAGCTGGGCAGATGTCACCGTTTCTGGGAGTTGCCGCTCGCTCACCACCTGGGATTTTGTTTTCCCCGTTGGAAGACAGAATATCCCAGCAACGTGCAATCCTTCTTTGCTGGCAGGTTTAAGGCCTCTTGTAAACAAGAGCCAAAGAAGGAGAGAGAAACACACTTTTGCCGTGTGCCTGTTCTGAGCCAGGCTCTGTGCGGCGCCTGATATCCTTTCAATCCTCTGTACCTATTTTACGAATAAGAAACGAAGAGGCAGGGAGCTGAGAGAGCCCCCTTGGGAGGTGAAATTATCACTTGGAATGTCAAGCTTGCTCTAAACCAGGACATGGACTGAGATTTCAGGGCTGAGCAGTTTCGGGGGGATGGTTAAGCTGGTGGAGGGCTAAGGGGTATGTGTTAAAGAGAAAAATTGCACCTGACCCGTGTTTAAAAATGGCAAAGAAGACTTTACCAAAGATGATTGTAACAGCGAACAGAGTTTGAACTCAACCTTGAAGACAGGAAGGACAGCTGGAAATTTATGGCCAAGGAGCAGAGTGAGGGGCAGTGGATGGAAAATTACTCAGAAGGACTAGATTTGACATCAAGGGTAGAGGACTTCCTGCTACCCAGGCCCGGTGGGATTCTTGCTAAAGGGACAAGGACTTAACGATCAAGAGTGGGAGAGAGGAACTTGATCTGAGATCAAGGGTGGGGGATTCTCTCCCTGAACTGACTTAGCGGGATTCTTTGCCAGCCAAGGTCAAGGCCTGTGCCAGAAGAGGGCTCAGAGACACCTGGCTAAAGTTTGGTCGAGGACGGCGCTCTGTCACGTGGAGGGGGAGACACTTAGGAGCAGGAGGTTGCGCACCACAGTGTGAATGTCCAAGTCTCCCCAGGGACGTGGCAGGGCTTCGAGGTATCCTAGGAGGTGGTGAGGGGCCGGGACAAATGCCCAGAGCCAGGGGGAGGTGGCGGGGGCACGCTGAGGATCCAGCAGGTACTGGACCCAGAGGTCTGGGGACCCCAGTGTGTGTGACAGACCCGAGGTTCTCAGTCGAAGTTTGGGGTCAGCAGGGGAGGAAAGAGATGCTGAATTAGGTTGGCAGGGTGAGGGCGGCAAAGGGCTCAGTGCTGGGTGTTGCTGAGGCAGTGGCTCAGGCCCCCTTGGTGTCCAGAAGGCATCCTCTGGGTGTCCATCAGGGACAGTACCAGTCCTCCGCTGTAACTGTGTGCACCTTAATGGGAGCCATCTCCCCAGTTTCTTGCTAACAGAACACAGATTTGGTTAGGCGGCAATGTGCCTAGGCCCAGAGGGACCCCAGGATGAGCACCCTGGATGAGGGGTAGACCACACGTGTGGGGACATGCGTGTTACCTGGGCCCCCACCTGCGGTCCAGCAGACCTTGGTGAGGTTGGTGCTTGGGACTCCTCAGCTGCAGAGCTGAGTCCCAGTTCAGCCGCTTCCTGGTGGGGTGAACTCAGCCCTTGCTCAACTCAGCTTCCTAATCCTGAAAACAGGTAGTGAGGACACTTACTCCCCAGAGAGAGTCATGAGGATTTCATGGGCCCAAGCTCGGCCCATGGGGTTAGCGATGATGGCATGCTGCGGGGCTAGCTGGAGAGGAGCCATCCTCCCCATGGGGCTGCATGGGCGTGTGTGCAAAGGGCCAGGGGCAGGCTGGCTGAGGCAGCCTTCAAAGCTATCCGCTGGCCGGGTACAGTGGCTCACACCTGTAATCACAGAACTTTTGGGGGACAAGGAGGGCGGATCACAAGGTCAAGAGATCGAGACTATCCTGGCCAACATGGTGAAACCCCATCTCTATTAAAAATACAAAAAGTAGCTGGGCATGGTGGTGTAAGCCCGTAGTCCCAGCTACTTGGGAAGCTGAGGCAGGAGAATCTCTTGAATCCAGGAGGTTGCAGTGAGCCGAGATCGTGCCACTGCACCCCAGCCTGGCGACAGAAGAAGACTCCGTCGCAAAAAAAAAGCTACCCTGCTTTGCAAAAGCTCTCTCACCTTGGCTCCTGCCAATCCCCTCACTGCCTGCAGGACACAGGCTTCCCCCAAGCCTATTCTCATTCCACAGATGAAGAAACCAAGAAAGCGAGGCTCAGAGAGGCAAAGCAGCCCACTTAAGTCTGGCAGCCGGTGAGGAGTACAATGGAGACGCAAGTGTGGGCCTTGCCCTGCCCCACCCGGGGCTGCAGCAGGGTGGGCTGGGAAGGGATTTCTGAGACTGAGAACGGCGTAGGCAAAGGCTCAGAGGCAGGAAGGGGCCTGGAAACCCAGGGCACGCGAATGTTGGGTAGCATGGTGCCGAGCTGGGAAAGGCGCCTCTGGGGAGAGCAGGTCATGCCCAGACTGTGGCCCAGGGTTTCTGTAAATGGAGCTTCGCACAGTAGGCCCACGGCAGCCAGTGTAATTTGGAGAGAAAATTCCAACCGGATGAAAACAAATGTTCTTTGCTACTGCAGCTCCCTGCCCTGCAGGCCATCTCAGGCTGTTACAGCTGGCGGCCGGCTGGAGACTGCGAGCGGCAAGGAATTCGGAGCCAGGGCCAGGGCAGTGCTTCATTCCAGTGGAAACGTGTGCTAGCTGCGGATTTCTGGGTGGTGTGGTATGGGCTGGAGCCGGCTGGCATGGATGGAGGCACGCAAGGACGTGTGGGGGCTAGATCTGTCCCCCCAGGAATCCCACCAGCTTCCGTCATGACTCAGTTCTGGGACAGCCGAGGGCTTAGGAATTGGCTTGGGCTTTGCAGAGCAGACGTGGAAAGGTCAGCTCCACACTGGCCCAGTGTGGAGGCTGGCAGGGCCCAAACCAGAAAGGAAAAGTGGCCTGGCTCTGGCCTCGGTGATCTTGGTGTTCGGGTGTGTGCCGGCGAGCCTGCCTTCTCATCGGGGGGTGTGTGTGCCCCCAGGGCAAGGACTGTGCCCAAATGTGTCATTGTCGAATTCATCCAACAACTTCCGAACAGCAGTTGTGTGCCAAGCCCAAGCGGGCACTGCGGGTGCCAAGGTAAATAGGTCTCAAGTTCTGTCTCCTCCCAGCTCCTTCCAGCACTGGGCTCCCGACTGGCACCGTCAGGCTCTGGAATGAACCAGGCCTGGGTTCAATTCTGCCTCAGCCCTGACTGTGAGAGCCTGGACAAGTCACTGTCTCCCCTAGACCTGGCTTCCCCTGAGAAGGGCAGGGGTAAGGGTGCTGTCGCAGCAGTTACTGGGGTAGTGATCCTGGAGTCTCGAATAACTCAGGCTCTTTAAATCCTAGAACTCTGATGAATCACCCATGCTATGGGCTCGGTTATGGCCCCCAAAATTCATGTGTTGAAATCCTAACTCCCATACCTCCACATGTGGCTGTACCTGGAGACAGGGCCTTTAAAGAGGTGACTAAGTTAGAATGCAGTCAATGGGGTGGGCCCTAATCCAGTAGGACTGGTTTCCTTATAAGAAGAGGAGACTGGGACACAGACACCCACAGAGGGACAATCAGGTGGCCAAAGACACTGGGAGAAGGTGGCATCTACGCACCAAGGAAGAGAGGCCTCAGGAGGAACCACCCAGCTGGGACCTTGGCCTCCTGAGTGGTGAGAAGATGGCTGTCTGTTGTTGAAGCTGCCCCGTCCATCGGTGCTGCCTTGGTATATGGCAACTCGAGCAAAACACAAGCCGCACTGCAGACCTTCTCAGGCTGGAGTCCCCCTGCAGGGTACCCGCCGTGGGCCCCTGGCTGGCAGTTTTACTGGGGTTCAGTTCTAGAGGAGGCAGGGCTCCCAGCCCCAAGCCTGTCCAAGACGATTCTCTACCCAGAGGATCCCAAATGTTTCTCTCAAAGGAATGCCTTCCACCGTCCCTGACAGAGCACAGCCAGGGGTTAGTTATAGCCAGGGGTTAGTTACAGCCAGGAGTTAGTTACAGCCAGGGGTTAGTTATAGCCAGGGGTTAGTTATAGCCAGGGGTTAGTTACAGCCAGGGGTTAGTTATAGCCAGGGGTTAGTTACAGCCAGGGGTTAGTTATAGCCAGGGGTTAGTTATAGCCAGGGGTTAGTTACAGCCAGGGGTTAGTTATAGCCAGGGGTTAGTTACAGCCAGGGGTTAGTTATAGCCAGGGGTTAGTTACAGCCAGGGGTTAGTTACAGCCAGGGGTTAGTTATAGCCAGGGCCCGGCTTCTGCCTCCAGGGACTGTTCTTAGGGACGCTCTAGTTCCAAAGATACTTTCGGCCGTAGCATCCTGGTTGAAAAACCACATAGAGGAACAAGCAGTTGAGTGAGCCCTGGTGGGTCCATTCAATGGAGTCCAAAGTAGCTTACACCAGTTGGTCTGAAAGTTACACCCAGGGAAATGCAGAAGGTGACCGATGCCTATTGAATGACCCTCCAAGCAGCGCCTGGCTCCAAGAAATGCTTTCTGTAAGTTATCTTGTTTATTTTTCTTCCTAAGGAAGCTAGATATTTTTGTCCCTATTTTACACACAAGACTAAAGAACATCTCAAAGGCAGGGATTTGGTCTCCCTCACTTCCCTTCCCAGCACCCAGGACCCAGCACAAGGCTCCATCCAGTTGACCATAGCAGCAAACATGGGCACCCACTGGCTGTGTGCTGGCCACACCCTGAGCCCTTGACATGGGCTGGCTTATACCATGCTCAATGCCCATGGCAAATACTGTGTCAGACCCATTTCACAGATAAAGAATCTGAAGCCCAGAGGGGCTGTGACTTGTCCAAGGTAAACGCCTAGAACGTGGGGGTGCCAGGAGTCACCCCTGGCACTGCTGGGCTCCTAGCCCAAGTGTGCAGACGCTGGCTATCCTGCCTCTCAGCCCACGGTAGTTGAAGGACTGAATGAGCGAGTGGCCCTGCTACGTCCTGGCTGCGGGGTCTGCAGTAAGTCCCCTAGACCTGCTAAGCCCCAGTGTCCTCATCTGTAAAATGGGCTTCCCCCGCTCCCCACCAGGAGCTGCCTTGTGTTGCTGAGAGAGATGTGGCCTGATTCCAGAGACTCGGCCTCGTTGGGTGGACTGCCGGCTTTGTGGGGGCAGGGAGGGCGGGGAGCATGGGGCCATCTGCAGCCCCTGGTGCCTGACTATGAGTGTCTGATGAAGGACCTCACCCTAGGACTTGGGGCCCTCAAGGCATGGTGACTCACCCCGGCTCCTTCCTTCCTCCATGGCCCTGTGTCACTGGCTTAGGAGCCCCCAGCTCAGCAGCCTGCGTGAGCGAGCCCCAAGTGCTCTCAGACCAGCCCAGGCTCACACCCAGGACATGAGGCCACGACGACCACCTGGCACATCCCTCTGCTCGCCACAGCCCCGGCCCTGATGGCTCCCAGCCCTCTGGAAGGGCCAGCCCGGCTGGATCAGGAACGCCAGTCCGGAGAGTAATGAGGGTTCCCTGTGGAATGAGAGAGACTCCACATGGTTGGCGGCGGCGCCTGGACGGTAGCCAGCACTTTTCCAGGGCATTCCGGGAATCCCGCTCTGGCCCCTTGTCTGACGCACTTTGAGTCAGCACTTGAGCCAGACGGCCGCTCTGGGCTGGCCAAGAGACAGGCCAAGCGTCCCCACAGGAGCGCTAGTTGTGTGAGGGAGCCCAGAGTCCCCTGACTTAAACGGGCCTGGCTCACTGCCCCCATTTCACAGATGAGAACACCAAGGTCCAGAGGCAGGGCAACCTGTCCACCCTGGATACTCCCTGTCAATCATCAGAGTGGCTCCCCTCAGCCCCTGCTCACCCCATCCTCCATCCTGCCGCATTTATAATTGCAGTGGTGGGATCATCCTGACCCCACCTCCCCCTGGGGGGGCTCGCCCTGACCTGAGGAAGGAGGGGCTGGGCCTCAGGCACAGGGAAGAGGCCCTGGGACTGCCACATCCCAGGTCACACACCCCCATCCCCGGGGGACAGAGGCTTCATCTGGTTATTTATGGAACTGCCACTCTGTGCCAGAGCCTGCCCAGGACACGGTTTCTGCCTTTGAAGACATGCATGGAAGGAGTGACCTCCAGGCCAGAGCGATAAATGCCGAAATGAGGGGAGCACAGTGGGAGGACGGAGCACAGGGATGGAGGCGCTGGGGACAGCCTCCTGAGTCAGCCAGAGAAGCCAGCCCAGGGCCCGTGGCTGCTGGGGTTCAAGCAGAAGTCCCTCTAGGCAGCGGCCCCTAAGGTTGTCAGTGGGGCCTTGGCTGGGGTGCGAATGGGGGTAGGACTGAGCCATCCCCCACAAGCCAAGCCAGGAGGTCACCCTGGAGGAAGGGGCCTGACTGTAATTGGTACAAGGGTGCAACATGAGCTGGTAGCTGCTTAAGGAGAAGGATGAGGGGTGCCAGCCAGCCAGCCAAGTGCTTAACAACTGTCCCCTGGGGACATCTTGGGGTTTATGCTAAGGTCTGGGAACAAACTCTGGGCTACTCTAGGAGCTGTGGGACAAAAGGACTTGTTCTTTCAGCCAAATTGGACCCAGAAGAAAGGGTGGATCCTGGAAGCTGGAGCAGGGGGCGGCATTGCCAATCAGGAACCCATGGGGAGGGTCTCCAGGACCACCCAAGAGGCCCAGCCTCAGCTCACAGCCGTGTCTGTCCAGGGAGACCCGGCGCCCCCGCTCCCCTGCCAAAAAAATCCTTCCTTGCTTCCCTGGGCAGGCCCAGCCCTGGAGGGGCAAGAGCAACACCCAGCAAGAGGGAGGGGACAGAGGAGAAACTGACCGCACCCCTCCCCGATCCCTGGACTATGCGGAGCTGAGCTGAGCTGAGCTGGCGGAGGAGGAAACTCTAAATTCTAAGAGTCTCAAATTTAATACAAGAGCCGCCTGGACTTTGCATTACCCAAAGCCCCTGGAAAAACGACGTGAAATAGCTGCAGTTCCTTGCAAGGGGGGAGAGTGAGTCTGCCAGACAGGAGTGAAGGGGGGAATTGAGAAAGAATGAATAAAGTGCTGTATGGATGTTAAACTTGTTGAATTGTCACAGGCGCCCTTTGAGTGGAGCCTGTTACCATGCTTGCTTTCCAGAGGGAGCCACTGAGGCACAGAGAGGCTAAAGGATGCCCCAGGGTCACACAGCCAGCACACAGCAGAGCTGGAATCGGATGGGGCAGGCTGGCCCCAGCGGGTACCCTTCCTGGCCTGTGGTGCTGCTTCCCAGCAGACACACTTGCGTGTCTGTTGATTCATCCCCTCCCCGTCTCCATGATGCTAATGCCAGCTGCATGGATGGAGGACCTGCTAGGAGCCCCGCGCCCCGCAGCACTTTGCAAGCATCACACGTCATCTGGTGGAACTCCCATTTGCAGGTGGAGACAACTTTGATCTCAAAGGAATTCATCTCAAACAGTGAAACCAGAATCCCAAGAAAGATGTGGGAGGGATTTTCCGAGAAAACCTCCCCACGTTCCGAAGACAGAGACCTGTCACACAGGGCCAAGGAAAAATCATGGAGCTGGGAGCAGGAGGCCTGGGTATGAGTAATAACAGTCTAACCAAGTATCCCCACTTTTCTAAGAAAAATATAATGAGTTATTATTTTTTATTATCTTTCTCTTTTCTCTGATTCCCCTTATTCCCTACTTCCTACTTATCCCTTTAGAAATGCAATTATAACCTTTTGCCTCCCCTGCACCTGAGGCTTGCTACAGGCCAAGTCCATCTAGCTATGTGCTTAGACACTCCAGAGTGGAACTCTCACCCACCAGGAGGTTGCCTCGGGAGATAACAGTCCATCGACGATCCAAAGGATGTCCGTGACGAAACTCTCTCCCACCTGGAGAGTTTTCAGCTGCTTTACAACCTAGTCCTGCCCATGAAGGTGCCAGCAGTCACCAGTTTTACCACCGCCTGGTAGATAAAGCACCAAGTTAGCGCACAGACCCCCCAAACCTGCTCGCTTCCTCCCTGTGTGCCGTTCATGTTAGGCCCCCTTCAAAAAGCACTTGCCTTCTGCTCCAAAAGTCAAGCCTTAAGGCAGGAAGCCTGTACTTCTTCCCCTAAGCTAGCTTGGGAATAAAAAGTGACTTTCTTTATATTGGACCTCAGTCTTGTTAATTGAACTCTGCAAGGGGCAAGCAATGGAACCTGTGTTTTGGTTATGACGGCGACAGCTGTTGTGTGCCAGGTGCACACTCTGTGAGCCACCCATGGTTTTCAGTGTTTTACACACATTATCTCATTGAGTCTTCCCACAACCCCAGGATGGAAAGACAGCAAACAGACCCAACTTACAGACAAAGCCACCGAGCCCCGAGGGGTCAAGCATCCTGCCTGAGGTCACAGAAAGTGAAAGCCAGCCAGAGGACAGAGCCCACCCTCCCACATCCCCTTGGCTGCCCTGGTGGGGCCACAGATGCTTCCCCTGAAGGCATCTGTGACTCAGCTCCCCATTGTGAAGCGGCTGTGGGCTGCATCCTGGGTTTCAAGGTCTCTCTGGTCTCTGGCATCCTGGGACCCCACCCTCCAGCTTCTCCATCCTATTTCTCCTCCAGCTTCTGCTCACCTGCTTTGGCCCCCACTGTGCAGTGCAGCCTTGTCACAAAGTGCTGGACACCCTCTTGGGGTAGAATTGGCGGATTTTCATGGCACTTTGGCTGGTACTAGCATGTGCCCCCCTAATACCAGCAAGCAGCAAAGATAGTGAGCCCATAGCCACTTGTGACAGCTGTTCCCTTCCCGCTTCCCCTACCTCCCCCAACCATATCTTCCTTAAATAAACAATAATTTCCATAGACTAAAAAAGGCCACAGCCCTCCCTCCTTCTCTCCTTGGCCTGTGCTGTCCCCTCCCACACTGACCCTGGGCCTGCCCATGTGACCGGCTTCGGTGTGATGCAGACAGAGGCTTGGAAAGCCCTAGTGTGTTAGGGTTTGTCCACTCAGTACACTGGGAACATTGAGGCCACCAAGTCAGTGAGCCTGAGGCAGTCTGCTGCACAGGCCACAAGGGGAAACTGAGGGGCCCCAGGCTACCATCTGCCAGGCACCAGACAAACAAGTGAGCCCACCTGAGATCATGTCATCACCAACCAACCTTCCAGCTGACCACAGAGCATGATATTACCCTGCAGATAAGAGTTCAGCCCAGCCAGCCCCCAAAACGGCTCAGGCAGCCCACAGAGTCATGAGCTCAAGAAATCACTGATTTTAAGCTGCAGAGATTTGGGCTGGTTTCTTACATGGCAAAAACTAACTGACACAGCCACTAACGTTTGATTTGAGGATTGGGTATTAGGTGTAAGTGTTCAAGACTTCTGTGCATTGGAAAAATTGCTTTCAGGGCAGACTGGCCTGAAAATTATTCTTTACACCAAAAGCTTAAGTTTCTAAAACCTGCTCAGAGCTCTAGCACGGACCTCAAAGGGTGGCTGATGGAACAGCAGAGGTGTCCTGATGCAGAGACACAGGGTCATTCCCAAGGACTTAGGTCTGGGGACAGGTGTTTTACAGGCTCCTTTAGGGGTGGCAAGTCTCCCGGAAACGTGATTAGTGAAGACACATTAACAGCGAAACTGACAGAGAACCTCAACATTCTCTGGTAGGAAAAGCCAGGATCCTGGCAGAGGAAGCAACGATTCGAGCAGGGAACTGTGCAGGACAGAGAACAATGCGGCCCCAATTTTGATCCGGGGGTAATTAGCTTAGCTAAGGAGTTCCCCAGTCCCTAAGTGGAGAGGGGATCCAGAACCCCACAATTTATTTTTATATCTTAGTGTATGTATCTATGCATCACATATGATAAGACAGAATATTTATACAGATATTTTAGTTAATGGCCTAATAAAACATATACATAATTATTATTCCAGAGCAAGGTTCTGCAAAACACATTTTTCTCCTTTCTTTTTTTTTTTTTTTTTTTTTTTGAGATGGAGTTTTGCTCTTTTAGCCTAGGCTGGAGTGCAATGGTGCGATCTCGGCTCACTGCAACCTCCTCCTCCCGAGTTCAAGCCATTCTCTTGCTTCAACCTCCCAAGTAGATGGAATTACAAGTGCCCACCACCACGCCCAGCTAATTTTTGTGTACTTTTAGTAGCGACAGGGTTTCACCGTGTTGGCCAGGCTGGTCTCAAACTCCTGACCTCAGGTGATCCACCCGCCTCGGCCTCCCAAAGTGCTGGGATTACAGGTGTGAGCCACCGCACCCAGCTGCAAAACACTTTTAATTTTCTTCATAAAGTCCTGACAGTCCCCAAACACTGTGACAGACAGATACCTGCTCTGGGGACCAGTTACATCTTCCTGAAGGTGTGGAGTCCCTTCGCTGGATGAGGTTGTTGGGTTTCATCTGACTGTCCAGGCAATGCAGTGAGGCAGGTGGGAGCCCATTTTACAGACCGGGAAACCAAAGCCTAGAAAGTTGAGATGGGTTGTTCAACGTCCTCCACCTGGTACACGGCAGGCCTGGGAGTCCAACCGAGCCAGCCCCTCTGACTGCACACCCAGCAGACCTTTCCCAGCGTCATAGGCACTAGAACCAATGCCATCTCCCTTCTTCCTGCTGATGGAGGGACAGACCCTTGCTCTGGTGGCCCCACAGCCAACCCTCGGGTCTTCCTTGGAGCTCTTCCCTGCAAGTGAGCACCTAGATGAAGGCCCTGGTCAGCTGCAGGGGAGTCGGGGGGAACTCCTCCAGGGTGGGATCCACATTCAGCCTGGCTTCCAGGGGTGTCAATGAGAACCCAACCTCCAAATGTTCCTTGGCTAATGGTAGGAAGATAACTGGGTGTCAGCCGGGGGCCCTCTTGGGAGAGGCGGGGTTTAAGCGCGTCTTTATTTCCAAGGTTGCATCTGCCCAGAGCAGGAGATTGGGTTTGTTTGTACTGCAGCGGGTCTTTTCAGCCGGTGGGTACATTTGGCAGCAGCTTCCAATCTGATTAATTCTTCCATGCCTTGGAGGGGCCCAGAGGCTAGGCAGCAGCCGGGGCTCTTTCATTTGTCTGGGAGGAAAACACATGACTGCTTAGCTAGGGCAGGTAGCGGTGACGAATTTGTCCTCCCCAGGTGGGGGCTTGGGGCCAGAGACGGAGAAAGCAGTCTTCTTCAGTGCTTCCCTGCACAAAGCTGGTGGCAGGCAACACCCGGGCAAAGTTGGGACGCTCACGTCCGGCAGAGGCAGCGGGCCAGCACTCTGTAGGGCATTGGCACCTTGCCGCCAGCCCCCGCCCGGCATGTATGCCCACAGTGGTCTGCCTGCTCTGCCGGCCTCGACCCTCCTGCCTCCAGGCCTTTGCCCTTGCTGGTTCCCCTGCCTGGAGCGCTGTACCTGCAGCCTTTTGATGTTATTTCCAAAGGCGGTTACAAAAGCAGGCTGCCAAGAGCACCTCCTGCAGGGGACGACCCGCATGGCACCTTCTCTGGAGACTGCCAGCCCCTGCCTGGTGTAGCTGCCTGCAATCCCGCCCTGGCCACCTTACCTGCTCTACTATTATTTCTTCTCTCTGCACTTACTGTCACCCCTTATGTGGTTGTTGATTGCCTGTCCTTCCCTCTCCAGGATGTTAACCACAGGGACAGAGACTTTTGCGTATTTTGTCGGTACCGGACGAACCCTTCACAGGGGGATAACTGTGCTCCACCATTATCAGCTAAATGCTTGAGGACAAGGAGACGGCTTTGAGCCTCATCACCATCTTTTCAGGTGGGGCAGACAGGCCAGGATTAATACCCCATTTTGCCAGCAGGAGAAACTGAGGCTCAACAAAAGGAGATTTGCCTGATGTTACCGAAAAGGTGACAGGCAGAGTCAGGCAGAAGCCCAGGTCCAAGCCAGCCAGCACCAGGGACCCTCACACAGGGAATGTGGTGGGGAGCAGCTCTCTGCAAAGCTTGCCGTCCCTCAGGATGGGGGGTACAATGTGGTCATCACCAATAACGTGCCGTTGCAAACTGAGGAGTGTGTACTTGAAGGGTGGCTCACAGGTGACCTAGCCTGGCCCTGGCATAGGCCACATTTGGGCTGAGACAAAAGGGTGGGCAGGAACCCTCAACTGGCTTCGGGGAGAGAGTGGGGGAATATTCTCAGGCTGGGGGCAGTTTGTGCAAAAGCCCTGAGGCAGGACCTCAGCATGCATTTGAGGCAGTGACAGATGCTCAGGGGGGCCCATACCAAGAGCGGAAGAGCTGCTGGCCCATCATGGGCTGGGCCAGAGCCTGCAGGGCCTTGTGGGCTATGCTGAGATGTTCGACCTTTACCCGAGGGAAAGGAGGCCCTTGAAGGTTTTATGTGGGGTGATGTCACGAGGTCTGAGGACCCAGACTTAGATGTTGGGGACTCTCTCTGGCCACCAGCCCCGGTCTCCTGGCAGCCCAGGCCCCATCGGGTGTGGAAGCACTTCGGGCATTTCTGCAGCATCCAAACCAGATGTCGCCGGCTGCCTTAATGACCTGTTGATCCTCCAAATGCCAGGAATCAATTTCCTGCTGCTCTGTTGCCAGGATCTGGCTGAAGATGCCCCTTGCGAGGGCAGCGGCACACATGGGCCTCAAGGGTGGCCTCTGGGGAAGTGGTGGGGTCGGAGACACAGCTCAGATTCTTGGGGCACAACAGCGGATTGGGGGACCAGTGTAGGACCCCGTGCAGAAGGCACAACATTTTTCTAGTAGGTTTCGATGTGGCAGCACATTTCTGTCGCCTCCATCACAAATACTCACAAAGCTCCTGCACCGGGTGGACTACTGTCCCTCAAGCCCGTGTCTGCCTAGAACCCCAGCATGCGATCTCATCTGGAAACAGCATCGTTGCAGATGTAATTCATTAAGATGAGGTCATGCTGGATTAAGTGGGCCTTAAGTCCAGTAACGTGATCTTCTTTTTTTTTTTTTTTTTTTTTGAGACAGAGTCTCACTCTGTCACCCAGGCTGGAGTGAAGTGGCACAATCTTGGCTCACTGCAACCTCCACCTCCAGGGTTCAAGCAATTCTCCTGCCTCAGCCTCCCGAGTAGCTGGGATTACAGGTGCATGCCACCACACCCAGCTAACTTTTGTACTTTTAGTAGAGATGGGGTTTCACCATGTTGGTCAGGCTGGTCTCGAACTCACAACTTCAGGTCTCAGGTGATCTGCCTGCCTCAGCCTCCCAAAGTGCTGGGATTACAGGCATGAGCCACTGTGCCCAGCCCCAGTAATGTGATCTTCTAAGAAGCCCTGGAAAGACACAGCAATGCGCCCAGAGCCGGGAAGAAGGACAGGCGGCAAGGGAGGCAGGACAGGAGTGAAGCCACTGCAAGCCACATGCCCAGGGATGCCGCAGCCACCAGGAGCTGCAAGAAGCAAGACAGCATCCTGCCCAAGAGTCTTCAGAGGGAGCACGGCCCTGTCGCCACCTTGGTTTTGGACTTCTGGCCTCCAGAATGGGAGAGAATAAAAGTCTACTGTTTTTTAAGGCCCCATTGTGTGGTCTTTTATTATGGCAACTCCAGGAAACCTGCTACAGCCCCCAGCTCTGGCTCTGGCCGTGGGAGATTCCTTGAATTACTATGACAAAGAGCCCTCTCAGTGGAACTGGTTGCTTTGGGGGCCACCAGACACCTGCACCCTGTCCTGTCCTGGTGAGTTCACCATTGTTTGACTCTTCTACTAGGGAAGTGCCCAGGCCAGGAGGCTGAGGTCATTGGCTCCAACTGGGTCAGCCAATCAGAGGCTCCCCTGGGACTTTGCTCCAGCTGGCTCAGCCAATCAGAGGCTTCCCTGGGACTTTGCATCTAGAGCTTGTGAGGCAAAGAAGCTGGTGCCATCAGGGAGTGATCATGGTAGAGACTGTGCCTCCAGTGTGGCAGTGCCAGCACCCACAGCAAGGGCTGCCTGGCCACTCTATTCCCACAGCTGGACCTGCTTCTGTCCTGGGACACCAGGCTGCCCTCGACTCCTGTCCCCTTTCTTGGCTAGGATTTGGGCTCCTGTAGATTCTGAGAACCCTCACATAGGCTTTCTATGAGATTTCTGCTGTTTGCCACTGAACCTCCTGATGACCACCTGCTCATGCAGGCTCTGCCTACTCACAGAGGGTGGGAACAGAGGCCGTGCTGTGACCTATTGGAGTCTCACAGTAGCCTCAAGGGAATGGGTCATTACTCATTTGTAGAGGGGAGGGGACTGAGCCTCAGAGAAGTACAGGGACCTGCCCAGGGTCACACAGCACCTTCCCAGGGGGCAGGTTTGCATCCCAGCTGCTGCTGGCTGGGACGGTGAGTCAGATCTCCAATGACAGCTGGCAAATTCTCCCATTGCCCTGTGTCTCCTCCAGCCCCTCTCTTTTCTACAAGGTTTGTGACATTTCTCCAGTCATAATCACCTCCAGAGAAGAGCAGCTCTTAGCCTGACCCTGTGTTGGCTGTGGTGCTTGGAGCTGGGGGGATGAGGAGGGGCAAGGCAGACTGTTCCCAAGATACTCACGAGCCTGCACAGGGATGAGAGAGACCGAAACAACGACAGCCCATCCAATGTGAAATGGAGTCAGGAAGTCATTCTAGAGAAAGAGTGTTTTCTTCTTTGGGAGGTGTTGGGGAAGCTGACAAAGGCTTTCTGGAGGAGCCAGCCTCAAAGTTTTGAGGGATGAATAGGAGTCTGTTGGGTGGCCAAGGTCCATGGGAGGCAGTGGGTATTGGTTAGGATCTTGGCCAGGAGCCAGAAGCTTCTGGGCCTTCAGGAAAGAACCAGAATCCAAGGTCCAAGACCCTAGCCCAGTTACCCTCAGCCCACATGACGATGCATATCAGCTCCTCTGGCCTCACCTCCCAGCTCTCCCTGCCCTCCCAAACCCCTCCAGGGCGCTCTGAGGAAATCTGTCTGATACCAATGAAGAGGGAACACCTGAGACAGGAGTTTCTCTTCTTTTTTTTTTTTTTTTTTTTTTGAGACAGGGTCTTGCTCTGTAGCCCAGGCTGGAGTGCAGTAGCACAATCTTGGCTCACTGCAACCTCTGTCTCCTGGGTTCAAGCGATTCTCATACCTCAGCCTCCCGAGTAGCTGGGACTACAGGTGCGTGCTGCCATGCCTGGCTAATTTTTGTATTTTTAGTAAAGACGGGATTTTGCCATGTTGGCAAGGCTGGTCTTGAACTCTTGACCTCGAGTGATCTACCTGCCTTGGCCTCCCAAAGTGCTGGGATCACAAGCGTGAGCCACTGCACCCAGCCCAGAGACAGGAGTTTCTGTGTCCCTTGGCCTCTGCCCTGCAGGGGAGTTCTGTGCTACTTCACAGACAAAACAAAGCCAGTTGGCAGTGTCAATGGCTTGGCTGGCCAGCTCTTCTACAGGTGATGTGGTAAGAGGAGCCCTGTGCAGCCCAGAGTGGGCTGGCCTGGTTGGGTAAGGTGTAGCAAGCCCTGCAGGAGAGCCCCTCTTTCTTTGTTGTTGCTGATCTAAATTCTGCATCCAAAGGAGAGGCCAATGGAAGGGCCAAGTCATCTTAAGTGGTGTTTATCTTTTAGCTTCCTCCAGGCTGCTATACATGCTATACACACACACTTCCCACAGCCCTCCCACTGCCAGGGAGAGGCCTCCCTTTGGCACCCACCCCATCTAACCTGAGAAAGGGGAGACGGTAGTGAGAATGTGGTCTGCCTAGGGCCCAGTGAGGACTGGGGACAGCCAGGAGCCCAGGGAATAGCCTGGGAATAGCCTTGGGACTCATCCAGTGGCCCAGGTAGAGCCGGGCCCAGGTATGCCAGCTGCCAAGGGGGACAGATGTGCTGGGACCTGGGACCTGTCCAGCTTTACCTTTCTACTCAAGCCCTGGCTGGGAACAGAGCTTGAAGTCCCAGTTGCCTTTGGACCCAGGAGACCCTGGTTTCATCACGGATCATTGTTCAACAAATTCACATTCTTTCATCCATTCATTCCCTCAATGACTCATGACCATCTCAGTGCTGGACAACACCAGGACTAGCAGATAAAGCCCCCTCCTTTAGGAGCACCTAGCTGGTGGGAGAAAAAGACAAGAACATATAGAGTGACTACAGAGAGTGATCAGGGCTGTAATGGGGACCCACAGGGCAGAGGTTGGGGACCCAGAGGAGAGGCCCGCCTAAGCCTGGGGATTGGTGAGCATGTGCCCAGCATCTCAGAGAGACAATCCATCTACATTCATTATTGGTTCCTCCTCTCCCATCTAATTAATCGCTGTGACTGTATCTCTCTCAACCCACCTATTGCTACCACCTCCACTGTATCTGCCAAGTTGAGGCCAGCATTGCCTCCTACCTGCCCTCTATCCTGATCTCCAAGAAAGGAGAAAAGTGATATAAAATACAGGCAATATCAGTTCAAAAACACAGGAGAGCTATGAAGGCAGCCTGGACTTGAGGGCCAAGATCCCAGAGAGAAGGAAAACTCATTAAGGTGAGGCTGATATTCTACCCTTCTATTCCTGTCATGACATCTGCCAATTTGTAGGTAGCTGTTCCAACAGGCTGAGAAGCCAAGAAAAAGCCAAGCAGAAAGTGACAGCTAATCAGAACTCCTGGAAGTCGCAAGGGACCAGGAAGATAAATCTTGGAGTTGAGGGCTATCAGAGCATCCAAGACTTGAAGATGTAAGTTCCAGGAGAAGAGAAGCACAAAGAAGTGACCCCAATACTCTCTCCATCTCCCCTTTGAAAAATGTGCCAATTCCTAAGCAAAATAAACCTAGCAGAAAGTGGCTGTTTAGACTGAAAATCTAAGAACTTTTAGCAGATTTATGGTCAAGGAGGAAAAATTGGAGTTCAGGGATCACCAAGGAGGAGGGACGCAAGAAAACACCTGAGACACCACAGTCTCAGATGGACTCTGAAGGTGTCAATACCCTACAAGTAAGAGTAAATCACAGAAAGCAGGCCTTAGAAGTCTAAAACCCAGCTTAGAGTCAGCTCAGGCCCTGATTAGATTGAAATTATCTCCTCATAATCTAAATGCATTTAGAAGTTAAACTAAACCCTCTCAAGGGGATTATATTATATGAAGATGATATAGGCTTTTAGACGATGTTCAATATGTATTTAAAAATTACCAGGCATACCAGCAACAGGAACAAGAGAAAAAAAAAACAGACATAATAAATGACCCATTGGTGATCTAAATATTGCAGTTATCAGACACAGACATCAACATTATTGTGATGAATATGTTTAAGGAAATAAATAAGAAGATGAAGAATTTCAGCTAAGAGCTGGAATATGCAAAAAAGAAGCAAATAGAAAATCTAGATGTGAAAATGCAATAACTGACAAGAATTCAATAAATGGGGTAAAGAGCAAAGTAGACTAGACTGAATGAGAATTAACTAACTGGAAGATCAATGAGTAGAAAATATTTATATTTATGCATAGCATAAATACATCAAAAAAGGAAAAATACAGAAAAGATAATTTTAAAAAAATACTTATGGGAATCAGTTAAAGATCCAACATACATATAACTGGTGTCCCAGAAAGGGGAGGAGCAAGTGAATTAGGCAGAAACAATATTTGAAAAGATCATTTCCAAGAATTTTTCAAACCTGATGAGATCTCAAGTCAAAATTCAAGAAGCATAACACACTCCCAAGCCACACTGAGGCATATCATAGCATAACTGCTGAGAACTAAAGACAAAGAGAAAGGCTTATGAGCAGCCAGAAAAACGACACATTACCATCAATGAAACAACAATAAGACTGGTAGCTGACTTCTCAAAAAAAGAATGAAAGCGAGAAGTCTGTAGAATGGCACCTTTAAAGTGCTAATTAGCTTGATTTTATCATTCCCTTTGTGTGTGTGTGTGTGTGTGTGTGTGTGTGTGTGTGTGTGTATATCTCTCTCTATATATATATATAATATAAACACATATATACAGACATCACACTGCACCCCACAAATGTATACAATTAACATTTGTAAGAAAATAAGACAACTCTCAACCTAGAATTATAAACCTTATGAAAAATACTTCAAAAATAAAAGTGAAATAAAAATATTTTTGGACAAATAAAAACTCAAGGAATTTATTCCTAATAAACCTTCAACAAAGGAAATACTATAAAAGAAGTTATTCAGGCAGGAAGAAACTTGTTTCAGACAGAAACATAGGCACATGGGGGTTACCATATGAAGAGCCAGAGAAAGGGTAAACGTGAATCTGTGGGTACAACAGAACAACAAGAAAAATGTATGGAAGAGGAAAATCAAATTAAAATGTTCACAGACCCTTGCATTTTTGCATTTACTGTGAAGTGTAAAGTGGTCATTTCAATTAGACTATAATATATCAAAGATGCATGTTGGAATCTATACAGTAATTGCTAAAAAATAACTAAAAATGTATAACTAACAAGTTAATCAGGGGAGAAGTGAAATAATAAAAATATTTGATCATTCTAAAATAAGTAAAATAAGAGGGTGAAGAAATATAGAACAGGTGGGACAAATAGAAAAGAAATACTTTTATTAAAGACAAAATTATCTCATAATTCTAATTGATTTAATTAGCTTTTTAAATCTCCACTATATGCTGCTTCAAAGAGACAGGTTAAATAAAAGGACTGGAGAGGCTGAAAGTTAAAAGATAAAGATCACGCAAACTCTAACCAAAAAACAGGAGGTTTAGCTATAGTAATAGCAGGCAAAGTAGATTTTAAGGCAAAAATCATACCTAGAGATAAAGAGGAATATTTTATAATGAAAAATTGTCAATTGCCAAGAAGATAAAACAATTTTAAATTTCTATAGACCTAATAACATAATCTCAAAATAAACAAAGTAAAACATGGACAGAACTAAAAGGAGAAATAGGCAAAGCAGCAATCACAGTGGGAGATTAATGCATTTGTCTCAGTAACTGATAAAATGAGCAGACAAAAACTGTCTGGACATAGAAAACTCAGACATGATTAAGAAACCTGACCTAACTAGCGTATATAGAACATGGTAAAACAACAACAGTGGGATTCATATTCTTATCAAGTGTGTATGGAACACTTACCATGATGGATTATATGCTGACCCATAAAGCAAGTCTCAGCAAATTTCAAATGATTAAAATCATACATTCTTTAACCACAGTGAAATTAAACTGAAAATAACAAAATGGCAACTAGACTATCGCCACTATTTATAAAGTAATATACTTCTAAATAAACAATGACAAAAAAATTACAATGAAAATTAGAAAATAATTGTGAGCTAAACAGTAATAAAAATGAATTATCAAAATGTGTGCAAGTTAGCTAAAACAGTGCATAGAAGAAGACTTACAGTCTCAACATTTTAGGGGGGAAAAGGCTGAAAATAAGTTATCTAAATATCCATTTCAAGAGGCAAAAAGAAACCCCCCAAAACCCCCAAAACAGCAGCAGCAACAACAAGAATAAAGTAAACCCAAAGAAAGTAGAATAAATAAAAGAGAGATCTGAAAATAAAATAGAAAATGAATATATGATAGTGAAAAATCAACAAGGTTTAACGTTTATTTTTCAAATGCATAATAAAATTGATAAATCCCTAGCATGACTGATCAAGAAAATAGAAAGCAATATCAAGAATAAAAAGGGGACATCGCTACAGACCTTACCATCATTAAGAAAGGATATTATGAACACCTCTTTATTGCAATAAATTTCAAAATTAGTTGAAACGAACAAACTCTTAGAAAAACAAAACTGACCAAGAAAAAAGTTAAAAGTTTGAATAGTCCTCAAAGCATTTGCTTTATAATTTAAAACCTTTTCACAAGGAGATCTCCAGGCCCAGATGGCCTCACAAGTGAATTCTCCCAAACATTTAAGAAATAAATAGCACCAACTGGATACAAATTATGCACATAACAAAAAAAGTGGGAATATTTTTCTACTTGTTTTAGAGGCAAAGCATAGCCCTCATACTTAAAGCTGATAAGAACATTACAAGAAGGGGGCCAGACTGTATTCTCCAAAGGCAGACACACCCATAGGTTTATCCCATCCCACATGCTCCTCTTGCAATGGGATTGACAGTCTTCACTCATTCTGAGTTTGGGAGGAGTCTTGTGACTTCCCTACCAATGAAGAGCTGTAGAAATGATGTTATGTGATTTCCCAGGCTAGGTCTAAAAAAGATAAAAGAACATATACCTCTCCCTCTTTCTCTCTCCCCCTCCCTCCCTACCTCCTTCTCTTCCTCCCTTCTTCCCTCTCTCTCTCCCTCCTTCCTCTATCTTCCCCTACCTCTCCCTCTCTCTCTCTTCCCCTCCCTCTCCCTCTCTTCCCCTCCCTCTCCTCTCTCCTTTCAATCTTTCCCTCCTTCTCCCTTTCTCTACCTCCTTCTCTCTCTCTCTCTCTCTCTCTCCTTCTTAGGGCACTTGCTTTTGGAATCCAGCAGCCATGTTGTGAGGAAGCCCAAGCAACCTGGGGAGCTTGCATGTGGTGTTCATCTGAAAGCCCTGGTTAGGGACCCAGTCAACAGTCAGCATCACCTCCAGGCATCAAAGTGAATGAGACTTCATGCCATTCCTGCTCTCAAGCCTCAAGCCTTCCAGCTGAGGCCCCAGAAAGTATAGAGCAGAGGCAAACTGTCCCTGCTCTGTCCTGTCTCAATCCCAATGATAGATCCATTGGAGATAAGACTATTGTTGCTTTAAACCCATATATTTTGTTGCAATTTTTATGCAGTTATTGCTGCATAAAATACTAATACAAAAAAAGTAAAGATGTAAAACTCCTCAAAAATATTTGCAAACAGAAGCTAGCTATATATACAAAGAATAATACATTATAATCAAATTGGATTTGCTCTGGGAATGCCAGATTGACACTTGACATCCATCAATCAATGTAATTCACCACACTAGAAGAATAATGTACACAATGATATGTTTATCTCTTTCGATATAGAAATAGCACTTGATAAAATTCAACACAGATTCATAATTTTTAAAAAATGTTTAGCATTCTAGGAATAGAAGAAACTTCCCTAATATGATAAAAGATATTTACAATACCCACAGCAAATATAATACTTAATGATGAAAGATTGAAAATATTGCCCCTGAGATCAGGAACAAGTCAGGCACACCCACTACATCTATTCAACATTAAGGTTGTAGCCAGTATAATAAGGCAAGAAAATGAGAAGGGATAAGGATTTGGAAAAAAGGAAGCTGTCAGCATGTATACACGTCATTATTATGATTATGATAGATAATCCAAAAAAAATTTATAGATAATCTATTAGAACTAAGACATTTGGCAAGGTTACTAGATACAAGGTCCATATGCCCAAGTCAATGGTACTTCTATATATCGTACATACATAACCAGGAAATGAAAATTTTAAAATAGTGTACAATTACATCAAAACACAAGGCACCAGGGAATCCCTCTAACAAAAGATGTGCAAGACCTCCACACAGAAAAATTAGAATATTGTTGAGAGGAATCAAATAAGATCTTTTAAACAACACAGGGATCGGTCAGTTCATGGATAAGAAGGCTCAGTACTGTGAAGATTTTAATTATATCTCTATTGATCTGTACATTAATGCTTTCCCAACCCAAATTCCAGCAGGCTTTTGTGCGCATGTGTGTAAATTGATAAGCTGATCCTAAAATTCATAAGGAAATTAAAAGGACCTATAATATCCAAAGCTGTCTCAAAAAGAGAACAAAATTGGAACTCACAGTCTTGGATTCGAGACTTGCTGTCAAATCAAACCTGAATGTTTGTTTGAGTGTGAGGTGCACATGTAGGGAGGTGTGTGGGGGCATGAAAGGCAGCGACCTCCTGGAAGAGGGGAATCTGTGAGACCTCCCAAAGAAACGGGCTCAGAAAACGGCGTGTGTGGGGGCAGAAGCTGGCGGGATGGACAGAGCACCTGCTGTCAGCACACTGTGTAGGCACTCTCTGAATCCTCAGCACCGCTCTGCAAAGCTTGTTACCATCCCATTTTGCAGATAAGTAAAATTGAGGCTCAGAGAGAGGAAGCCACTTGCCCAAAGTCACATACAGCCACGATTCAAACACAGCTCCAACCCCATGACCTGTGCTGTGCATCTGATAACACAGACTGGCCTGGGCCAGAGAAGAGACCCAGGGGTGAGCAGGGGAGAGGCCATGAAGGTGAGTCTGCATCCCTGCAAAGCCGAACACTCCCGCAGCTGCAGGCAGGCGTCTCTGGGGCAAGGCTGATGCTGCCTTCTTCCTTGCTGAGGCTTCTGTCCCTGCAGCTGAATCATGCACAGCCCAGATGTCTTCTGCTTACAGAAATTTTCATTTCCTAGTTATGTATGTATGATATATAGAAGTACCATACAAGAAGCGCTGTTTCTAGGGTGGTCTGGGAGGGAGGGGGCCGCGGGCCAGCCTGAGAGGCAGTAATGGTGCAGCAGCTGTCTTGGTGCTGGTGACTAGATCAGCTCCATTCAGATTCTTAAGTGAAAGCTCAGCCAAGATTTGGACACACAAAATAAAAATTATTCTCAGCAAGTAGGGTGCATACTTTATACTTCCAGTGAATTTGAATCATGCCACAAGAAGCTGATCCAAATGTTGGCTCCAAACAATTTCTTTTTCATGCTCCAGGGTCACACGGGGCCCTGGGAGGGATACGACCAGACAGCCCTGGAATAAGGAGTGGTTGTTGATCTGGGAACCCCAGATCCCCAGAACCCCCGCAGCAGCGGGAAGTTCGAGTCAGCAATGCGAGAGCTGGGTCTCCCCCAGGCTGCATCTGGCCCCCATGTGCCCCTAGGCAAGGCAGGTCTCAGTATCCTTTCCTGTGAAATGGGAATGTCACCCACCTCACTGCACTACTAGGAAGAGTCCCTGAGATCCAGAAGGGTAAAAGCTGCTTCTGGGGTGGGCACACAGTGGCTGTGCAGAAAATGCCAGCTCTTAGCCCTCGCGGGCTGCGGAACTGAAGCGTACTGTGAATAGAAAGCCCTTCCCCAAGCTGCACAGCAAGGGGTTGGTGGCAGAGCCAAGGGTGGGGTCCTGAGCCCTCCAGCCCCCAGATCCATTTGCTGATGGACTCCTGGAGAACAAGGAGCCTCCAAACTCTATAAATCCTCCGGGAACAAAGGGAACCCAAACAGCGCACAGACTGTTTGGAAAGCGCAGTCCTGCTGGAGCCGCTGGGCTCTTTGTGGAAACAGCTGCCCTGGCAACAGGAGCTGAGGAGGAGGGAAGCTCGACTCTGCAGGGAAAGGAGTTCAAATCAGGAGCTCCCATTATCTGGGTGTCCCCAAACACTGGGAACCAGAGCCATCCCTGGGAGGGGCACTGGCTCCCCAATGTCAGAAGGCCCCTCTCAGACAGAAAGGCCATATGGCTTTACAGTTACGAATGAGTGCAGACTTGCTCTGGTCTTCCCATCTAGGGAGCCGTGTGGCCTTGGGCCAGTGCCTCAACCTCTCTGGGTCTCAGTGTCCTCAGTGGTAAAATGGTATCAGTATGGCGTGTCCTGTATGAATGGTTGAGCAGGCTCCATGAGTTAAGATGTGTGCATTGCTTACCCGAAGCCTGGCACCTGCAAATACCACAAATGTGCTGGTTGCTATTATTATTGTGGAATCCTGGCAAGAAGCAGTGTGGGGAGGAAGGGGAAGGGGAGGGGGAGGGCAAGGACTAGAAAGAGGTGAGGCTCTGGGGTGGAGGAGTCCAGTGGCAGGGTGGTCTCCAGCATGTCCCTTCCTCTCACCCTCCTTAGACAGGGTGAACGGGGGCCCAGGGTGACCCTGGTAGGGAAGAAGGAGCCACAGGCCTGACTGGTACTACAAGGCATGTGGGGCTCAGATCCATCCATTTGGCCAGGGAGGGAGTGATGCTGGTGTTGGGGCAGGGCAGAGACAAAGCCCGAGAGGGGCCATTGTCGAATGTAACATCCTACAGCAGGAGGTCAAAGCAGCTTGACCACAAGAAGGACTGTGAAGAATGGTGGTGAGCACCCCATCAACGAACGAAGGGAAGCCCCAGGGCTGGATGTAGGGGAGCGGCTCCTGGACCACGTGCTTCCCACCTCCTGGATGAGCACACAGACATCTGTACCTCAGCTACTCTACCTATAAATAGGATGATGACAGCAGCCCCCGACCTGCAGCTTGGCCTTGAGGACTGAGTGCGTTCCCACTGGCAGAGCGTGGGCAGAGCGCTGGCATGCTGGGACGCCAGCTAGGATATCTGTCACACGCTTGGAGGGCCAGAAGGACAGCGGCTGAGACCCCATGCTGTGCCCAGCTCCCTCTCCCTCACTGAACACAGCCAGGAGGCAGGGGATGGGGTGCGGATGCTCAGCTCAGCCGCATTAGTCTTTTTCCCGGATCTCGGTGATCATTCCTAGACCGCAGGGCGGCTTTATGGAGTGGAAAAAATCCATTAAGGTTTTAAAGCAAAGCTCAAGACATAATCACCTCATTGTCAGGGTCTTCCCGCTCTTTCTCTCAGGGTCGCCTCCCCCACCCGTCCCGGCCTGGCACAGTGGGGGCTGTGCCTCTCCAGCAGCTAAGTGAGCAAAGCCCAAGGTCAGCCACAGATGGCCGTGGCCACACTCCCGACAGCTCGGTGAGGTGACTTCGGGCATGCCTTCTCTGGAGCTTGCTGTCACACAGGGACCAGGCCCCTCCTG
The DNA here is from genome assembly GCF_000001405.40 of Homo sapiens. Taxonomy (NCBI): domain Eukaryota; kingdom Metazoa; phylum Chordata; class Mammalia; order Primates; family Hominidae; genus Homo; species Homo sapiens. Next base: position 44,382,796 of record NC_000022.11, read on the forward strand.
CTCCTCCACCCCCTGCCACAGTAACCTTTAAAAGTACAGCTCAGACATTGTCCTTCTTCCGCATAAAATCTCCAGTGGCTCTTGGCCATCGCCTGGCTGTCTGCCCCGACTCCCAGACTGAGAGCACGGACCCTGGTCAGGCAGCCTCGGGCTGGGAATCCCAGCTCGGCCTTGTCCCCACAGGTCACCTAACCTCTGAACCCGTGTCCTCATCTGCAAAATGGTGTAGAGGTCATAGCAGCCCGGAGGGGCTGAGACGTGCCTGAAATGACCCCAGTGAAGAGTTCTGTGCCCGGTTGAATGCCCGCGGTTATTACCACAGCCCCTTCCTTCATTTCTTACTGGTCACACCTGCAAATTCCCTGTCCCTTCCTTGTCATGTCTCTGTACCTTTGCAGATACTGTTCCCCTATTCCTGCCCTGACTGACTTACAAGGTTCAGTTCAGGGTGCCCTCTTCCAGGAAGCCCTCCCTGATTGCCCAGATGAGCCCCAGCCCTCCTCATCACAGTTTGGAGCATACAGGGTTGGCACTGGACATTGATTTTCCTGCCTCCCTGCAGACGAGCCTTCCAGGGCAGAGTGCATGTCTGGGTCCCCAGCAGCTGACATAGGACCTGGCACTGTCGTTGAGGGCTGGTTGATCAGGACTGGCATCTAGAAGCTTCTAACATAGCTGTAAGCACATTTGAACCTTTTTTGTCCCCAGGGTCTGCCCGTGGTCTGGCATTTAAGGCCCTCTGCAGGTGAGCTTTTCCAGGCCCTCTGCTCCTCTCCCCAACTCTGCTTTGATTTCATTTGGGCTCATCCACCTCCTTCCTGCCTTTGGCCTCTGCTCAGCTTGGTCCTTCCTCCTGGACACCTTCTCCCCTATCCCTTTCCTTTCACCCACAGACATTCTACCCAGGCTAAGGACCCTTTCGGACTGCACCTCCACACAGCCTCCTGGTTCCCCTGGCTCATGCTGAGTTGTCCTCCCTCCCCTTTGCCCTTGGCCCCAAATTCATGCTTTGGCTTTGGGCAGGTGCCCTTTGCTCTCAGAGAGTAGCTGATGGGCACACAGTTCTGGAGGGAGGGAGGGAGAGAGGGGCAGGCAGAGAGCAGAGCCTGAAAGCCAGGACACGCCCCGCAGCTCATGGAAACAACCTGATGTCTCTGAGCAGAGACTCAGAGCTGAACGGACTCCTTTGGGATGACACACCGAGGAGCAGAACCCGGGTTTGAACTTGGCCGTGCAGCCCTGAAGGCTTCCCCCACATCCCAGACCCCTTCCTCAAACTCCGACTGGTGCTCCTCCACCCCGGCACCCTTGGCCACAGTTAGTGTATGCAGGGTGGGGTGGGGAAGAGGAGACTCAGGGGCCCCTGGGAGCAATGAAGTGCAATTGCCTGAATTAATGGAGAGGGAACAGCCTCCCTCCCTAATCGCCCTAATTCCCGGTGTTTACAAACTGCTGATTTCCCAGGGTTCCAGGCTGGCATGTCGGCAAAGTGTATTAAAATCCCTGGTTTCTGCTAAGTTCCCGCTCAGGGTGGCTTCTTGGAGGGGTGAGATGTGAAACAGGCAGAAGGGCAAGAACCAGCAGCCATGCCGAAAGCTGGGGAGGAAACTCCTGGGACCTTCCAGAAGGCTGGAGATGGACAACAGCTGGGCTAGAGGAAGAGCCAGGGGTGCTGAGTGGCTGGAGCCTGGTTGGGAGTGGGGGTGGGAAAGGGGTGTGGGGAGGGGTCATGAGATCAAGAGAGGGGACAGAGGGGGCAGTCACTTAGGGCCAGGGGCCTTGGTGAGTGTTGGGACTTCATCCCCAGTGGACTGGAGGTGGCTAGAGCTGCCCGGTGGCAGGGAGAAATGGCAGGATTCCAAAGACATCTTGCCTTGGGTCGAGGAAGCAGGGAGCCAGCTCAGAGCAGGCTGTGGGCACCTGGTGGGAGATGAGCTGCCGGAGAGGGTGGCTTGGACAAGGGTGGCCTGGAGCCCTGGAAGGGCTGCCACAGGGTGGAGACAAGCAGAGGGATTGGGATGTGGCCTGAAAGTGGGGCCGCGGGAAGGGCTGGCTGCCTCAGGTAGAGGCAGGAGGGGCAGGAGAGGGGAGATGGGGGAAGCTCGGAGTGGGGGGAGATGGAAGAGGGGAAACCCCAGCCAGTAGATATTTGTCATATATCACCCTAGGATGGACTGGGCATCAGCAAATAGGAAGTCCCTGCGATGGGACACAGGCTGGCCGGGCCTGTCAGGATGGATGCCTGCCAAGGCCAGAGGCTGGAATTTCACTGGGGGAAAGCCCCTCACTCCTGGATCCCATGACTCAGTGACACTCATGAAACCCTCCCAGCGGGCACAGCAGTGGGGGTCTCCTGACCACACTTCATTCTCTCCTAGCGCTCCCCCAGCCCTTCCCTGAGATCTCGCACTGGCCTGTGAGGGCCCAGCCAGCCTCAGCTCTGCTCAGATGAGGGCCCAAGGACTGGCGGTGGAGGACCTGCCCAGTCCTGCAGCTCTCAGTGGCGCTGACCCTGGCAACCCAACCCCCAGTCCTGTGTTCTCTGCTGTCAGGGGCTGGTGTGCTTGCCGGCCTCCCCGCAAGGGTCCCTGCAGTGCCCTGAGCTCTCAGCAGCTCTAAGTCCCTCGGCTGAGCCCAGCCCCCATGCCCTACCCAGCACCCACGCCCCACAGTGGCTGCACTCCCCCTCGGCGAGCTCCCCTGGCTTTACTCCGTGCGGTGCACCCAGGGTCCCGCCTGTGTATGGCCACCCCGATGCCTCCCTTGGAGGCCAAGGGCATCTCCCAGAAGACATTTGGACTTTTGCGCCCGCGGCAGCTACCCCGGTCATTTCTATAAGGAGGAGAATTCTCCTCTTTAGGTTTTCCTCTACTTTCCAAATTGTCAGGCTTAATTATTCCAAAGTTGAAACGCCAGAGACAAACCTCTCAGTCTCCCCACAGCCAGGCCTGTGCCACGAGGGCCCCCACCCTGGAACGACCTCTGGTCCTCACTGTTCCTCTCGGTCTCCCTGCAGCCAGGCCTGTGCCATGAGGACCTCCACCCCTGAATGACCTCCAGTCCCCACTGTTCCTGCAGCGGATGGGAAAATCGGGACTCACAACAGCTTCCCGCTCCCAGGCCAGTGTCCCTCGGAGCCACTGAGTGCTGGCCTGGGAGTCAGGGCCTGTGTCCCCTGCCTGCTGTGACCCCACACCCAGTCTGGGCCCTGCCTGCTCTGACCCCACGCCCACCCCGGGCTCCACGGGCAAAGCGTTCTTCCTGCACTGGCTCTGGTCTGTAAAAGAGACGTTGGCGCCTGGTCCTCTGTAGTTCACATGAGTAAAGGGGGTGCTGTTACTGATGAGGGTGAATAACCAGTGTGAACGGGGCTCCCTGAGCCACCTGGATGTGTGGCTGCCCTATGCTGAAGGCTTAGTGGACACTGGCCGCCACCACCTCTCCAGCCACATTACGTGCCATACCCAGCATAATTTTCTGAGCTTTTCTGTGCCTAAACACTTTAGGGTCCTTCCCACTCCAGGGCCTTTGCACATGTGGGTCCCTCTGTCTGCAATGCTCTTCCTCGTCTTCTCCTAGTGAACGCCTGTCCATCCTTTAGCTCCCAGCTCCCAGAAGCCTTCCTCCCTCCCTGGGGACTCGGAGTAGTTACCTGCCTTTGTGGCTCCTCAGCCCCTTAGATAGCTAATGTCTGTCCCGTCCTGGGCCGTGTACCTGTGGACGCACGCCTATCTGGGGCATTGACATCTTCCCAGGCAACGCCTGGTACACAACAGGTGCTTCACAAACATACCTTAAACCACTCAGTGGAGGAGAGCCTATTGTTATTCCCACAAGCGGGGTGGACCTGAGCCCAGAGGAGGTGGGGTTTGAATCTTCATCTGCCCTGCCCCACAGCCCGCATCCCTCACCGCTGGACACAGGATCCCCGAGATGAGATTTCACTGTGCTGCAGCCTCTGTGGGCAGGCGTCACTGCTCTCCTCCCGATACCCCAAACCTGATCATTCCGCCCCTGTCCTTGTCTTGCCCATCCACCATGGACAGCCCCAGGCTCAGTAGCTCCTGCAAGCAACGATCCATTCGCAAAGGGCCCTGTGGACCTCCAGACGTCTCACGGTTCTGACGGCTAACACCCCTCCCTTGCTGACCCCGAGGGCAGCTGGTGACTGCTCGGGGTCTGGGTCATTATTGCCCCTGCCCTCTTTTCCACATGTTTCAAAGTTCCTGTCCCAGTGAGGAGCAAAAGCCTTCATGGACAGCAGCCTGAGGCAGAAAACAGCAATTATTTCAGGGGAGCTGACTACCTTATGTTCTAGTCCATGGATTTATACATGGAGATGGGGCCAGCTCTGGGCTGGGAGCCCTGCAGCCAGGGGCAACCCTGCCTCAGTGGGACCACAGGCCAACACCCACTACCCCAGCCCTCCTTGGCCAGGGAGGTCCAGGCCAGCCTCTCTTACCAGGCGACCACCAAACCTTCCCGCCCCCACCCGTGTGCCTCACTTCACTTTATGCCTCTGCCAGGAACAACCACCACAGCTAAAGCCACCACCGTGTGCTCCCGGATTCTCCTCCAGGGTGAGGGATCTCCTCCCTCCCCACCACCAATGGGCACTGTGCCCTGTTGGTTCTCTTCACAGCTCTTGTCTGGATTATAGCGTGTCTCATTTTGGCTTCTATTTAAGACTTTTTCTTCTTTCTTTGCCTCACTAGAATGTGAAACCCTGGAGGCATGCACATGGTTTTCTTTACTGCCGTGGTCGCCATAATGTGGCCCCCGACGGCGTCCACACCAGAACCTCAGGACCTGTGAATGTGTCACCTTTCATGGCAAAAGGGGCTTTGCAGCTCTGATTCAGGGTGGGAACCTTGGGATGGGGAAATTGTCCTGGGTGTCCGGGTGAGCCCAGTGTTAATCACACGAGTGCTTAGAAGCAGGGACCCGGGTCTGGCTGATGAGCAAGATCAGGTGGAGGGAGGGGGAGAGATTAGAAGCCGGAGAAAGACTCGACCTCCATTGCTGGTGTCAAAGAAATGTCAAGACCCTCTAGGTTTATTAAGCCAAGGGGGAAGTTAAGCCCCAGAGACTGATTCCTATAGTAAGTTTGTAACTCCTGATTCTTCTTCTTTTTATTTTTATTTTTTATTGAGACAGGGTCTCACTCTGTCACCAGGCTGGAGTGCAGTGGTGCAATCTTGGCTCACTGCAACCTCCACCTCCCAGGTTCAAGTCATTCTCCTTCCTTAGCCTCCCGAGTAGCTAGGACTACAGGCGTGCACCACCATGCCCAGCCAATTTTTGTATTTTTACCAGAGACAGGGTTTCACCATGTTGGCCAGGATGGTCTTGATCTACTGACCTCGTGATTCGCCTGCCTTGGCCTCCCAAAGTGCTGGCATTACAGGTATGAACCACCGTGTCTGGCCTCCTGCTTCTTAGATTAGAGAATAGCCCTCTTCCTCATTGTTCCTGTTCAGTAGAAGAAAACAGAGGCCAGACCTCCCCGACTTCCAATCACTAATCTTTGTTTTAGAAGAACTGCCTCTTTGATTGTCTGCAGTCAGGACAATACTGTCCCAGCTCAGCCCAGATGGCATAAAAGACCCCAGGACTGTTACATCTTCAGTGTGGAAGGTTAAATATACCTTTCCCAAAGGGAAAAAATCACCTTGACCAAGCAGATCATTGTAACTATGCATTAAGCCTTATGTAGAAAGATGCTGAAGCTCTGCGAAGCTTTCCTAAACTTTGTCTCTATAAACGATCCCAAACGTCCATATTTTGGAGCACTGACTTCCATTCTTTGGAATCTGTGCTTCCCTGGTGGCTGGGCTCAAACACTGTTAATAAACCTCTGTGGGTTTATAATAAATACTTGAATAAACCTCTGTGGGTCTCAGGTCCACGGTTTAAATAAACTATCTTGAAACTAGATCCTGGCCCTTTTGATGATTTTAGGTTGACACTGGCTTTGGAGATGGAAGAAGGGGTCATGAGCCCAGGCATGAGTCCCTCCAGAGGCTGGGAATGTCATCAGCTGACCACCAGCAAGAAAACTCAGTCCTCCACCTCCTGGAGCTGGAGTCCAACTGTACCCCCATGAGCAGGGGATGGATTTTCCCCAGGGCCTCCAGAAAGACCTTGCCCACGCCTTGATTTTAGCCTAGCATGCACCGTATTGGACTTCTGACCTATGGAGCGGTAAGAGAATGGATGGTGCCATTTAAACCACTGAACCTGTGGTCATTGCTTATGTGGCAACAGAAAAACACACAGCTAAGTCCCCTGCCTAGAAACACTCTGGCCCCAGAGTGGGTCTCCACCTCTCTGGCTGATGGGCTGGCAACAGCCCCCAGGTGGTGTGACTTTCCCCAGGCTCGGAGTGCTGAGGAAGCCTGCTGGAGATCACCCAGCCAGGGGGTGGCAGAGGTGGGACTCCAACCCGTTCCTCCTGGCAGGTGGCTTCCACGGGGTGGGGCGGGGGCAGGAGCAGCTCCAGGGTGGAGTGGGCTTCACATCACCTGTACAGGGCTCTGCAGCTCTGCCCTCATGGGCCTGGGGTACAGAAGGGAGGTGGCCCTGCACCCCCCAGTGGTTCCCCGCCACCAGTGCTCGTGCTGCAGAGGGGGGCCGTGCTGGTGTCATGCCTTCCATCCAAGGGCTGTCCCGGAGGCGGAGCCCACTGTGCAGGGAGGATGGGTTAGGGCAGCTCCCTGGCAGGGGTTTGGCTTCCCCAAGGAGGCACTTCCTGACTGGCAGAGCTCTCCTCTCCTGGGCAGGAGGAGCTGGTGGGCTCGGCTTGAGAGGCCATTGGGGTGGCTCCAGTTAAGAGGGCATGGCCGGGCACGGTGGCTCATGCTTGTAATCCCAGCACCTTGGGAGGCCAAGGCGGGTGGATCACGAGGTCAGGAGATCGAGACCATCTTGGCCAACATGGTGAAACCTCATCTCTGCTAAAAATACAAACAAATTAGCCGGGCGTGGTGGCACACGCCTGTAGTCCCAGCTACTCGGGAGGCTGAGACAGGAGAATCGCTTGAACCCAGGAGGCAGAGGTTGCAGTGGGCCAAGATCACCCCACTACATTTCTGCCTGGTGACAGAGCAAGACTCGGTCTAAAATAAAAAAAAAGAGGGCAGGGTGGGTGAAGGACAGGCTCAGCTCAGAGCCACCTGCTGCTTTGAGATGCCAGGCCCCTCCATGACTCCGTGCGGCCTCCTCCTGCCCTGACCTCATGTGGCAATTACTGGAGACTTGTCTCTGTGACCACACCAGGGTCTCCTGGAGGGCAGGGCTGTGGCTTGCACCTCTGTGTCTCTGGGCCCAGTGAAGTTCTTAGGAATCAATGACTGTTCCCTGAGCACCTGCCAGGGCCAGACCTTGGGGCCACAGAAGCGGGAGAGTCAGGCCCACTCTTTCAGGGGACAAGCACAGCACAAATCAGTATGACTGATTAGATAGAGCTCTTGGGGTGGGGCAGGGGCACAGGTGCCAAAGGAGCATTGGGATGGATGTGGGGGTGAGAGGGGGACTGGGAGGGCTCTTCCCATGGAAACTAAGGAAGGAACCCAAGTGTTAAAAGGTGAGGAGGAGGTGACCAGGGGAAGGCAGGAGGGATGGTGCCTGGGTAGAGGGACAGTGTGGACAAAGGTGCAGGGTGTGCCAAGTGGAGGGCTGGACACTAAGGCCTAGGACCCCATGCAGGAAGGGGACTACAGAGGCCAGTGGGAGGTGGCTGGGGTTGCGGAGCAGATCAGACAGACCCTCCTCAGAGTTGGGATATTTTTCCCGAGGGCAATGGGAGCCACAGAGCATGTTCAGCCGGGGATGAGGCTGGCGGAGTTGTGTCTCGGGAAGTTCCACAAGCACCTGGTGGGTAACTAGCCGGAGAAGCCTGATTGGATCTTCAAGAAGGATGGGGAGACACGAGGGTGAGAGACCCAGAGAAATCTGCAGTGAGGCCAGGAAACCTAGGCCGGCTCAGCTGCCCTCCCCTTCTCTCTCCACCGCCCCGAGCAGAGCTAAGCTGCAGCATGAGAAATGGCCCTGCCTGGCGGCAGCTCTCCCCCAGAAGCCATTTGAAAGTGTTCCCAACTGAAAACACAACATTAAAAAGAGGAATTCAAACATAGTCAATTCCTCCCTTTGCTGGGTTTAGCTGCCAGGAGCATAATGATTTTCATTAATACCATCAGCTTTCCTCAAACTTGATTATAATTACTCTCCAACCCACATCCCCTTCTGAGGAGTGATGATGAGTGGAATCTACATTAATCAAATCCACTGATCACATCTGAATGTGGTGGCCTGAACTCAGAGCCTGTGGCCAATGGGAGAGGCCAGAGGGGATGGCTGGACGCCCTCTCTCCCTGGGGTGATACATCCATATGGATGGGGGAATGAACGGCCCTGATCAGCCGCCTCCCTGCGGCTGCTTCTGTCCACAGGGTCTGTTCTCATCCATCACCTGTGAGGCCCTCACACAGCTCCCAGTGGCAGGAATACTGTTTGCATTTTGAGACAAGAACTGTGGCGCAGGGAGGTCGTGTGACTTCCTGAAGGTGGCCCAGCCTGTTGGAAGTCAGTTGTAAAGCCAGAGCCTGGGAAACCCCAGGCCAAACTGCTTTCTCCTCTGTCCTGATGGTTCTCAGGGGAGCAGGGTGGGTAGGGGTGGGTGCTGGAAGGAAGAAAATGGCAAAGAAACGGGGGGCAGGAGGAAGTGGGAGGCGTCTTTCTGGACTACCCAGCCCCCTGGGAGAACATCCGGCGCCCTGTCTGGCCACCCCGGAGTCTAGGCACTGGCACCTGCCCCACCCACCCCTGCACAACAACGCTGGCCACTTGTCACTCTCCCCTCTGCCCTCTGTGGGGATTTTAAATGCACTCATGTCACTTGAGGCTCTGAGATTTGCCTGGCCCCCAGCCCCACCTGCAGCCCCTTCCTCTCCTCCACTCCCTGCTGCACTCCAGCAACTCCTAATCCTCACAGTCTCCCGGAACACGCCCTGCTCCCTGGCCCTCCCCAGTCTGTCAGGCCGCTCAGATATCCCTCCCAGGGAAAGCGCTTCTGATGGCTGCAGGCAGCCCCACTTCCCCTCCGTGGATCTCAGGCTTGTGGTTTCCATGGAGACGGTCACAGGTAAATCATGAAGTTGGGCACAGGTAAGTCATGGAGCAGCAACAGGTAAATCATGGAGCAGGAACAGGTAAATCATGGAGCGGGCACAGGTAAATCATGGAGGTGGGAACAGGTAAATCATGGAGGTGAGCACAGGTAAATCATGGAGGCGGGCACAGGTAAATCATGGAGCGGAAACACGTAAATCATGGGGGTGGGCACAGGTAAGTCGCCTTTCTAAGGTGCTGGCTACTTAGAGTTTTCCCATTGACAGAGTTGAAGGTTGGCAGATGGGTTGAAGGAGGCTCCGTGGCAGCTTCGCCACTTACCAGGCTGCCTCGGGCACGGGTTCACCTAGCTGGGCCTCAGTTTTCTCATCTGTAAGGTGGGGCAGTAAGAGCACCTACACCATGGGGGCACAGGCAGGGTGTTCGGCAGGCTCTCTGCAGTGCGGGGGTGAGCTGCTACCTTCCTCTCTGACCCTCATGTCTCTCTGGATGGCCCAATTGTCCCTCAAGGACTTCAGGACCTTGGGAATAGGGACTTCTCTTCATCCGTAAGGCATGTTGTGAGTCCCGGGCACTGCACCAGCTCTGATCAAAGAGCAGGCACACAGCTCTGGCCCAAGGCATATGCCTTGAGGGCCTCTCTATGGGGGCAGCGCCGTGGGCACAGTAGGGCCTCCTCCAGGATACGTGCTCTGTTGCATCACATGTGTGATGGGAGGGGCTCAGCAGGTACCCAGGTACCTTCTGTGGAGCTCTGAGCCCGGAGCCAAACCAGCCAAAGCAGCCAACACCCCAACCATGGGCCAGGGGCTGCCTAGCTGAGAAATGAGCAATAGTGCAGCTGACAGGCCAACCCCCAGCCCCAGCCCCAGCCTCCAGGGGAATAAACCTGTCAAGTCATCCCCTCCCCTCCCCAGAAGGAGTGGGTGAGCCACAGGTGCCTGAAGGATGACTGGGCCCTGATGATTAAGCTGAAAGAGAAGCAATGCCTTACTTAATATTTACGTAGGGGGAACAAAAGAAAAACATCATCAATCCATTTGCCAGGCAAAATAGCCTAGCCCCCTGCTAGGGTGGACTTACTGCCCAAGATGGCACACTGGGTTCACAGGACTCTGCCCTTCCCTCCCTGGGGCCGCCAAAAGCAGAAAGTGCTTAGAGAGAGGGCGAACTCCTAACTATGCTGGCAACAGAGAAAAGGGGCCTCCCTGTGGGCAGGACAGTATTGGGCTGGGCTGAGGAAGAGGCTGGAGTCGAATAAACCTTGACCAGAGGTGGGAGGAAGGATGGGTCTCCCTAGCTGGGTGCAGAAAAGCCCAAGTTGGGCATTACAAACTACTCAGGTCAAGACTGGCCGGGGCGCAGGAGCATTTGGGATGGCAGGTGCTCGCCTGGTTCCTCGTCTCTTTTGTTAACCAGAGTTGCTGGTGACAGGGACCTTTGACTTCCGGAACCCAGGGGCAGTGGGCCTGCGTGGAACTGCCTGAATGCTAGGTGGTAAGGATGAAGCAGAGGAACAAGAAAGAATAGCTGAGACACAAAGAATACTGAAGATGGATGAAATTAACAAAAATAGTGCAACGGGTGTGTTGAATCATCAGAGGCTCATCTGGAGATCAGGCTGGCATTCTGGAAGACAAGAGAAAGCACCTCTTTAGCACAGAGCAAAGTGACTTCGAGATGAGGGACGTGAACTGCAGGACTGAGGGGCAGGGGCGTCTGACAACGAGATTTAGCAGTCCTTTGAGAACAGCTCATGGGGGAGACCAAGGGACAATGGGGAAGAGGAAGTCATAGTTTGAAAAATAATAGGCCAGGCATGGTGGCTTATGCCCGTAATCCCAGCACTTTGGGAGGCCGAGATGGGTAGATCACATTAGGTCAAGAGTTCAAGACCAGCCTGGGCAACATGGTGAAACCCCGTCTCTACTAAAAATTAGCTGGGCATGGTGGCATGTGCATGTAATTCCAGATACTCAGGAGGCTGAGGCAGGAGAATTGCTTGAACTCAGGAGGCTGAGGCAGGAGAATTGCTTGAACCCAGGAGGCAGAGGTTACAGTGAGCCAAGATCATGCCACTGCACTCCAACCTGGGCGACAGAGCAAGACTGTCAAAATAACAACAATAATAATAAGAGTAACAGAAGAACTGTTTCCCCCCGAGCTGCAGCAAGATACATGTTTATGGATCTGATGCACCCGATAAGAGTTGAGCAGGACTAATGATGGAGAAACACCCACGCCTGGTGAAATTTCAGAATGACAACTGTAAGGAGAACATCGTGAAAGCTTACAGAGGGAAAGAGCAGTCTGGGACAAGGAAACAAGAGACGGGCGGGTATCAGAGTTCTCACAATCAGCCACGAAAGCCTGAAGGCAGTGGAGCCATATCTGCCAAGTTCTGATGGAACAGGTTTTGATCAGAGTTCTGTGCCAGCTGAACTGTCTTCAAGGATGAAGGCAAACAGAAGCTTCTCAAGATGAGGAGAAAGGCAGCTGGTTTACCCCCCATGCCCTTCCACATATAAGCCCCAGCCCAGGCTGCACGCACACCGCATTTAGGATGCATGCACAGAGTTTGAGAGCTGCTTGTAATTAAGCAGGGGCCAAGGAGAAGGCAGCATAGATCGGGGGACAGGGGCTTCCAAGGCAACGCAGAGCAGCTGCGAGACAAGAAGCAGGTGAAAACGCCTGTGCGGCAGTCGCTGCTGGGTGGATTCTCCTAAGCACAGGTTTTCAGGAGCTGGAACCACATTTCCTAGTCTGTGGGTTCAATCACACTCTGAGGTTCCTCAGGGAATGACCCCCACGCAATGCTAACATCGGCTTCTTTGTTAATTTCCAACGTGTAGAATGAGTCCATTGACAAAGGGCCGTCAAGCGATTTTTGGTTGTTCCACCTGGATTGCAGAGGCCCTCAACCTTGACCGTGGAGCTCCCAACCCTGATCGTGGAGCTGTGAGCCTGGGCAGCAGCCTGAGTGGGGAAGGGTGGAGGGGGGGTCATTTCTTCACCCTCTGTGCTGCTCGAGGTTGGCACATCAAGAAACTGAGACTAGGTTCTTTGCTCATGTACCCAGCGGCCTCATTTGTCCAGGCCCAATGAGGGCCAAGCACTGCTCCAGACACTGAGGTCAGAGCTGAGCTCAAGACGGAACTGGTTCATCTTCCTGTGGGAGGGTCCGACATGAAGCCCACCACCAACACAGGAGAGAAGCCCCACGGCGGCGGCGCGGATGGTGGGCAGGACTTCATCTGGGAGGGGCGCCTCAGAGCCACTATGCTGGGCACGCCCTGTGGACGGTGACTTTCAAGCCTGGCATGAATGGCAAGAAGGACCCGATCGTCCTGCCCGGGGCTCAGCCGGCTCGGGGGCCGGTGGGGGAAGTCTGCCCTGCCAGAGGAATTGCAAGGCGGCCAGCGGGGCTGGGAGGAAAAGCACAGGTGGTGGAGGAGGGGGCACAGCACGTGAAGCAAGAGGGGTGCAAGGTGCATTCAAGAGAGGTCCCAGGCCCAGGTCCTGCAGGTCTGGAGGCCACAGCAGAGTTTGGACCTGACCACAGCTGCTGTTGGGCATCGTAGGAGGCCTGAACAGGGGAGAGCCCTGGTCCAAGGAGCTCCCTCTGCCTTTGGCCTGCTGGGGACGATTCGGGCAGAAGGAGAGCAAGAGTCTGGGGCGATGGCCGGGGTCAGGCAGCAATGGTGGTCTATGCTTTAAATCATGGAGTCCATTGAAGCCCACAGGGAGAAGAAAATACCGTTGAGGTGAAGGGCACGGGGAGAGAGAGCAGGATGCATAGGGACCTGCCTGGGCAAGCCTCGCGTCTCAGAGCCAGAGCCCGCAGATAATGTGCAAAGATGATAAGGAAGAGGTAGAAGTGGATTATTTGAAGTTAGAAAGAGAGCTGATAGAATTAAAAGCAAAACAGAGAACAGCTGTTGCCTCAGGGGAGCGGGTCTCGGCAGGGGGATGGGAGCAGAGGCGGTTTTTACTCTTCTTTTCTACTCTTCCGTAAGATTTTATATGTATTCTACATAACCATGTGCATATGTAACTTTTTTAATTAAAAAGGGAGGGGGTGGGGAGAAACTAGAAAGATGTGGCTGTGTCACCCTTCCAGAACAAGCCAACTTAATGGCAGAGGAGGGGACGTGGTCAGGAGCATGTGCTGAGAGCAAGCCATGACTGTGAGATGGGCAGAGGTGGGGCTGTTGGCATGGGGTGGTCCGGGAGGCCCTCCAGGAGGCAGAACAGAGGCTGAGCGCAGGGGAATGAGGGCGCACCAGTTGACGAATGGGAGAGGGGATCAGAGGGATCAGCAAGCGAGAAACACTGAAGCCAAACTGACCAGGGACATGAGAGGTCCAAAGAAGAGATGGGAATCCCGGAGTAAGAGACAGGAATCCCCCCCTCCATGGGGGAGGTGGCGGGGAGGCGAGACGGGAGGGGGCTGTCTCAGGCCTGGTGGCCAGAACTTATCCCTGTGTCCTGGGCTATTTGCTTGATGGTGATAAGCCCAGCATCCTTCTATAATTCAGGGTAACACCGTGGCAATGGTAGCTCCTGTGGGTGCTTCCTCTGTGCTGTGCCATGCCCTGTGCTAAGCAGTCCAAGTGGATTATTTTGTTTTCTTCTCAAAGCACACTTGCCTAATTGTTCCCATTCTATAGATGACAAAACTGAGGCTCAGAGAGGTAAATTAGTGCAGAGTTAGTGGGCCGGTAAATGGCAGAGCTGGGACTGGAACCCAGGCAGGTCACTGCTGGCTCTCCAACACCACCCCTGATGGACTCTTGCAGGAGACAGGGCCATCCCCTGGGGTCCTCGGTCCAGCAGGCTGCACTGGCAATAGGGGAAGGTGGAGATGCAAGCCTCGCCCCTGTGCTCCTACAAAGAGGCTCCATGGTCCCCGAACCAGCTGTGTCCAGGGGGTCCCTGGAGCCTGAAATTCATTTCACTCATAAATACATTAAAACATCACCAGAAGCCTTCTCACTGCAGAGGCAGTTGAAGCATCAGGGAGAGAGGCAGAAATCGAGTCTGTGCAGAGGCTGTGGCTGGCTCCTCCCAGGCTGCCTGCTCAAGGCTCTTTGAGGAAATACTCAGTTCGGTAGCGCTCATTGAAGCAAAACAAAGCACCAGCAATGTCAGGAAATAATGAACCCAAATCACTCATTTTTCAGGACAACCATAGGTGCCCCAGTAGAGCAAGGGCAGCCAGTACCTGCAGCCTCCCTGGACGGAGAGAGGCTTCTGCAGGACACAGGCCATTTGCCTGCTTAGGTAACTCACGCAAACAAGGAGGCTGTGGCTTGGGGTGAAATAGCACGGGATGCGGTTGCGTGGGATGGGGTTCAAGGCCTGCATTTGCACCCCTCTGCCTTTGCCACATGACCTTCACCAAGTGAGTCTGCCTCCCTGAACCTGTTTCTTTCACTGTAAAATGAGGATAAGATGGGAGCTCTGCGTCATCATGGTGCTATCAAACCTGAGACTTCACGTGCCTTTGTGCTGTCCCCAGCCTCACAGGTCTCACAGGTCTCACACTTCCATTTCTAAGGATCGCACCAATCTCGCCCCCACCTCCAGGCCTTGGCACCTGCCACTTCCTCTCCCCGGAAAGCTGGTCTCCCAACTTCCCCTGGCCAACCCCAGCAGGTCCCAGCTTCAACATCTCTTCTTGGGTGAGGGTATTCCTTGCTCTCCCATCTATATTATATTATGAGATTGTTCTTTCCTATGACACCCTCTGTTCCCTGGACATCCACCTGCCCTGTGCTGGCTGTGGGGACCTGGGAGGAGCAAGACGCAGGCCGTGGCATGGAGGAGCCCACGGTCTGAAGACAGAGACCAGAGGCATTAACCTAGAAGTTGGACATCACACCAGGAGGACTCATTCATTCCTGTGTTGTCACACCTTGAGGGAGGAGTCAGATTTTAACAGGAAGACACAAGGAAAGGCATTCAGGGGAGGGAACAGCCCAGGCAAAAGCAGAGGAGTATCTGATTGCACGGAGGATTTGGGGACCCCGATAGTGTATTAGTCAGGGTTCTCTAGAGGGACAGAACTAATAGGATATATATTGCGGGGGGGGGGGGGGCGTTTATTAACTTACACTATTACGAGATCCCACAGTAGGCTGTCTGAAAGCTTGAGGAGCAAGGAGAGCCAGTCTGAGTCTCAAAACTGAAGAACCTGGAGTCTGACGTTCGAGGGTAGGAAGCATCCAGCACTAGAGAAAGATGTAGGCTGAGAGGCTAGGCTAGTCTCTCCTTTTCATGTTTTTCTGCCTGCTTTATACTTGCTGGCAACTGATTAGATGGTGCCCACCAGATTAAGAGTGGGTCTGCCTTCTG
Organism: Homo sapiens; assembly: GCF_000001405.40. NCBI lineage: Eukaryota > Metazoa > Chordata > Mammalia > Primates > Hominidae > Homo > Homo sapiens. The sequence continues at coordinate 44,398,282 of NC_000022.11, forward strand.
CAGCCTATTGACTCAAATGTTAATCTCCTTTGGCAACACCCTCACAGACACACCCAGGATCAATACTTTGCATCCTTCAATCCAGTCAAGTTGACTTTCAGTATTAACCATCACAGAGTCTTGTGTGACTGCAGAGGAAGTTGGGGCAGCTTATGGAGGCTGTGAAGGGCGTGATAAAGAGTGTAGACTTAAGCCCGTGGGTGATGGGGGCCTGAGGAAGTGAGTTTCTCAACAGTCCCCAGGGCCGGGCACGGTGGCTCATGCCTGTAATCCCAGCACCTTGGGAGGCTGAGGCAGGTGGATCACTTGAGGTCAGGAGTTCAAGACCAGACTGGCCAACACGGCAAAACCCTGTCTCTACTAAAAATACAAAAATTAGCTAGATGTGGTGGTGCACACCTGTAATCCTAGCTACTTGAGAGGCTGAGGCAGGAGAATCGCTTGAACCGGGGAGGCGGAGGTTGCGGTGAGCCGAGATCGTGCCACTGCACTCCAGCCTGAGCAACAGAGCAAGACTCTGTCTCAAAAAAAAGAATCCCCAAAAGGAATCCTACAGCGGTGAGTCCTTAGAATAACTGCAACTCACAGCAGACAGTGATAAACAGGGAGGGGAGCTGGCCGGTCTCCCAGGCCTGTCCCTTGAGACTGTCCCTGGGACTTGGGTTTGCAATGCCACAAATGACACATTGTCAGTCACCCAGAAATCCTCAGCTTTGGGACTGCCACGGTGCTCGTCCACACTGGCTGGTGGGTTCCAGGGCTTCGAAGCCAGGCTGGCTTGGCTCCCTGTCCCTCCCCTGGCGTCTGTGTGTTCCACGGGTTTGTGCAAGACACTTCCCCTCCATGCTTTCAGTTCACTTGGCTGCAGGGGGTCTAGGAGACAGCAAATGGGAAGGAGCAGGGTGGGGGCGGGAGGCTCAGGGAGGGGGCTGGTGATCCAGAAGGGAAGAGCAGCGCTTGCAAAAGCTTGGCATGGCAGTTTCATCTCACTGGAGTGCAGAGTAAAGCTGAGAGACAGTGGCAGAGGTGGGGCTGCAGAGCCAGGAAAGGGCCAGAAAGCAGGTTGGCGTTCTATCTGAAGGTGGAGGTGGGTGAGGTGGCTTGGGAAGCCAACCACCTGGAGAGGGATAAGAGGAGAGGTGCTTTCTAGCACTTGGAAGACGCCGGGTACCGTGCGGGGGATGGACTGGAGGGCCCACGAGCTTTAAACTTAGCAATGGAGATAAAAGGTACCAGACACAAGCTTTAAACTTAGCAATGGAGATAGAAGATGCCAAAGAGGAAGTGCAGGTGCGCTGCTGCGGCCTAGGATGGCTGGCGTACACATTCACCAGGCACTTGTGAAGGGCAAGGCTCTGTACAGCTATCAGCTCAAATGTGATCACGTTACCATGGACAGATATGGCACACCTGGGGCACAGAGAGGTTAAGTAACTCACACAAGGTCACACAGCCAAGGCAGTCCACATTCATAGCACCCGCTCCTAACCATTTGGCCATGCCTCCTGGGAGAGCCTACAAAGTGGCCAGAGACCAGCACAAAGCATATCTTTTTACCAGTGCCAATTTGCACCACACATGTTCATTACTATTATGGTTTCCCGCAATCCCTATGATATTTGCACAGCAGTTTACAGTTTGCAAAGCATCTCACCTACATTGCCTCCTAAGATCCATATAATAGCCCTGCACAGTGTTATTAATCCTGCTTTCCAGATGAGGTCAAGGGACCCGCCCCAGCTCAGGAGGGCAGCAAGGGCTGCAGGCACCCAGGGCTCCTTGCCAGGTCAGTCAACCCCATGGGGCTAGAGTTTGACAGTTGCTCACTAACAGTTGTCAGCATTCCCTGAGCTTCTCCTGTGTGCCAGGCCCTAACTGCCCATCCCATTAACTCCCTGGGCATTCCGGGCCTCAGTTTACAGATGAGGGCACTTGAAGCTCAAGGACCTTGAATCCACTGAACAAGGTCACCTGGCTAAGTGCTGGAGCTTGGATGCAAGCTCGATTCAGTGCCCGGAATCCTGGGCCCTCTCCCCTGCATCCTGCTGAGTGGACCCCTCATTGATTGGTGATTCTGAGTTGGCATGCTTGCCACTGAGCCCTCCATCCCATCAGCTCAGGGTGCAGCACCCCCCACCCCAGTCCTTGGCTCAGGATGGCAAGATCCGGAAAAACAGGATCTGAAATGGGCAAGAGTGTTTCCGTTACAACGGCCAGATGACATTCGTGCTGCTCTCCGGAGCAGAACAGCATTAACAAGGAGTGTGATGGGACCTAATTGTCTTCTGGTCTTTAATCACTTATGTTCCCCTCTCCTGACACACCTCTGTTGGAGCTAATTGGCAGGCGGTGTCGGAGCCGCGAGAGGAGACGCTTGTCCCTTGAAGTGGCTGGTCTTCAAGAGGTCATGAAGTTGGGGGCTGCTCACAGAGGAAAGTGTGACTCTGGGACACAGCCCTCAGAGTGCTCGCTGCAAGATGAGGGCCATAGCACTCTGGCAGGGGGACAAGAAAGGGATTCCTGATGTCTCTGCTCCTAGCTGAGAAACGGGGAGAGCTCAACTTTGTGGTCAGTTGGTCCAGGCTGGAGGGTTGTGGTTATATTAACCCACACGGAGACATTTAGGGAGCAGTGCAGTCTGGGAGGCCTCTGGGCAGGAGAATTCCTGGTGTGTTTTTTGTTTTGTTTTCTTTTTTTCTTTTTTTTTTGAGATGGAGTCTCACTCTGTCGCCCAGGCTGGCTGGAGTGCAGTGGCACAATCTCAGGTCAGTGCAACCTCCGCCTCCCAGGTTCAAGCTATTCTCCTGTCTCAGCCTCAGCCTCTCAAGTAGCTGGAATTACAGGTGCACACCACCACACCTGGCTAGTTTTTGTATTTCTAGTAGAGACAGGGTTTTGCCATGTTGGCCTGGCTGGTCTCGAACTCCTGACCTCAAGTGATCCGCCCGTCCTGGCCTCCCAAAGTGCTGGGATTTGTACAGGCACAAGCCACCACACCCAGCCGGAATTCCTGGTTTTTAACCACGACACCGTGCAACTCAAAAGAATCGCATGGCCCCACATGGCCCAGTTCTGCAGAGTCAAGCTTAAGGAAGCACAGGCCAGAATCAAAAGTAGACAACAATGAATTATCTTTTTCACTTGATTTTCTCAAAGCACATGAGAAGGAAGCCAAAAATTCCCCTTTTTTTCCTCTTTCCACAACCTGTAGCTTTCCCAAAGCGTCTCCTTCTCAGCCCATGCCCCTGAAAACATACACCCCTGTCTTCCTCCGCCCTCCTAGCTCTTCCCTCTCATCCGTTCTTCTTGCTCCCAGCTCATTATTAAACTTTCTTTGGCTCACCCCTCAGCCCATCTGATTATTGTATCATTTTCTCTGCACCCTGCCAGAGAAAATTCTCTACAGCAAAGACCAGAATATTCTCTACAACAAAGGAAGCTCAAGAACTGACCCAGGGAACAGATTCTTTCCCTTTTTTCTCCAGCTTCTGCCCTGTCTCAACTTTTCCATTTCTGCAGCTCAAAAATCCAGGCACAGGCTGGACCCTCAGAATTCTCCTTCGCGGTTTGGGAGTCGGAGCAGGTGAGTGGACAAACACAAGATTCTCTTTATGTGGGCAGGACAGGGAAGTCGGAAGTTTCTCTGTGCTACGGCAGCATGACTGTGTCATCATAGCCACAGTCCCTGCTTGAGAAGGGCTCCTCCACGTTACGCCCCATCCCGACTGCTCAATCAGCTGCCCTCTGCCCCCAAGGAGGCCTCTCTTGTGACAGAGAAACATGAATACCACCACAGGGCCACTGTCACGGGTGCTTTTCTGGAAATCTGTGCAGGTCCAGTTGGGAAGAGGGAGGAGGTCCAAATGGCTTCATGGAGGGGGTGATGTTTGAATTGGACATAGATATTTACCAAGAAGATGGGTGCCCTCAGAACTAAGGGAACGACAAGAGTCAAGGCTTGGAACCAGTATAGGGCATGAGGCTGGCAGTGGCAGAGGGATGGTGGAGGGTAACGAGGGACAAAGACGTCAAAGTGGCATTTAGGAGACAGGCAAGGAGGGGGCTGAAGGGAAGGGTGTTCCTGGCAGAGGGAACAGCATGTGCGAAGATCTCAGAGTGGGAAATAGTCTGGTGTGCTTGGGGTGCCTGGGGGGACTAAGGTGCCCACATCTGCCTGTGTGTCCACAGGGCCTGGGGCAGTGGGCGTGAGTGGCGAGGAGCAGCGCTGGCCACCTCTGATGCCAGCTGTCATGTTATCACCCTGTTTACAGCCCACACATAAGTGGTTTGGCCAAGACTGCAGTCAGGGGTCTGATGGGGGCCTCTGCCTGGATCTGCCTGCGTCTCAGGCCTGCAGGATCTCACACTTCTGGGCAGCCTCCAATCCTCAAAGCACCTGGAGAGTCCTGGGCTCTGAGAGCTCTGTTCATCCCTTCAGCACACTGCAAGGCCGGCTGCATGAGCTCACCTTGCTCTGGTGAACTCAGTGACCAGGTGTGGGTGGCCCCTTGTGCAAGCTTACTCCAGGGCCACAGAACACTCATGGGTCCCACTGGGCCACTGCCACCTGCTGAGGGACTGGTAAGGCCCTTCCTCTTTGGGGGTCTCATCTGCACAGTGGGGATGGCCACATGGAATCATCTGGGAGGAAGTGCCCAGCAGGGGCCTGAGCAGTGGGGGCCCCACACCTGAGGAGGGAATTGCCAGCATTCAGGAACCCCTGGTCATGGGGCCTCCAGTGCCCTTACCTTCACTGCAGGTCCAGGCTCAGATCCTGGTAAATGAGACCCTCTGGCTGGCTCTGTGCGGAGATGGCAAAATGGTCTTGGGCTGGCTGGCATGGGAAGGAGTGGAGAGCGAGGACCCTGAGGGTTCATGGTAGAGCCGGCAGTGAGGGGCTCCATGCCCAGAAGAGTTAGGCTGAGGACCCTGTGACCCCTCTCTGCCTGTGTGATGGGGGACAAGGACGTGAGCTGGACACCAGGCTGGCCGCCTTCAAGGCCAGCTGTGCTATACGTTGCAGGTGGCTTTGGACTTGTGCCCTGGCCTCCCAGAGCCTCACTGTCCTCTTAGAGAGTGGCAATGCCAGTGCCCTACCAGGCTGCTGCAGGGAAGGGGGAGATGGGCTCTGCAGAGGCCCAGAGCTCAGAGGGACTGGTACCACCATCAGCTGCATTCCCATCACCTGGGTGATGAGACCCCCCAGGACCCCAGGGGATGGCAGTGGGAGGGACAGTTGCTGCCCAGTCCCGCTGAGGCCTGGGGGACCCAAAGTGCAGGTGTAGGTGCCTCCAGCACAGAGTGGATTGGATTAGTGTGAATGGTGGCAAGGCTGGTCTCTGTGGGGATAGTGGCAGTGGGAGAAAAGAATCAATGAATTCACATCGGTGGCTTCTGTTGTACATTTTTGAGAGGGAGAAAGAGAAAATGCCCCACTCATCTGTATTTTAAATGAAGAACAGGAAACAGCCAATACATTTAAATTGCTAAAGAGGACACTTGAGTTTTATTTCACAGCCACTCAAGGCTGAGAGGAGGGAGAAGGGAGGAAGAAAGAGTCTAGAGAGAAAGAGAGGTGGATGTGGGGCGAGAGACGGGGGCTGCAACTCTCAGAGGAGGGATTCGGAGGAGACTCTGGGTGGACCCTAGGAGAACCTTGTGAGATCTCAAGGAGACCCTGGGAGGCCCCGGGAGGACCAGAGAAGATCCTGGTGAGACCTCTAGAAGACCTCCAAGCACACCCTCGGGAGATCCTGGGAGACCCTTCTAGGACACTCCAAGGTAGCCCTGGGAGGCCCTGAGGAGAGCTGGGTCTGGTCCTGGCAGGCTGGTGCCTCCTAGAAGCCATTCTGCCTCCCTGGCATTGCCTGAGGATCCCACCCAGGGCGGGGCACAGGGCATGGTTGTTGGAACAGGGGCAGGAAGGTAGGCCTGAAACTGCTGCGTCTCCTCCAGCTGTGTGGCCAGGATTTGGTGGGAGGTCCAACTGCTCCCGAGGCTCAACCAGTGGCTGCCAAACAGTGGTCCTCGCAGCCTGAGAGCTTCAGAAGGGGATCCCCCACGTGGGGAAGTCAGAGGGAGGCCAGACTGGCCCTCTCTTCATTCCCTCCTCATCCACCTCCAAACAGAGCAGCCCCTTAGAAAAGGTTTTATTTGAAAACCACCAAAAGAAAAGCTAAAAACCCATAAGGCTACAGTCTCTCCTCCAGGTTGCCATCGATACCCTCCAAAGTCAAGGGCTTCCTCTGAGTCACTCCAAGCACAGCAGGGTGCACAGGCCTCCCCGAGAGCTGCAGTCTCCTCCTCTACAAAGTGGGCATCAGTGCCCCAGATTGGGTGCGTTTCTCTAAGAGCAGAGCCTGGGAAAACAGTAGCCTGCCTTTCCCGAGAGCCCCACAGTTCCAAGTGATTCAAGCCAGTGAACTTATTCCATCCTCACCGAGACGCAGTGAGACAGGTGCTGCCATCGCCCCCATTGACTGGTTGGGAAATCGAGGCACCGAGAGGTAAAGTGACCGCCAAGAACTCATGGCTGATGTGGCAGAGCAGGGGTTCGCACCCAGGCTGTTTGGCTCCACAGCCCCTCGACAGACCACCCATGCACACAGTAGGTGCTCAGCAGTGGCCCCTTCTGAAGCAAGACGAGGACTGATTCATAAAAAGGAAACCAACTCTCAGTATAGGATGGGGGTGGGCGGGGGGCGACAGGAAATGAATGTTTTATCCTAAACTGACTTTCAGATTATTCCTCTTATATGTTCAATCATTCATTTTCTTGGCCAGGCGTGGTAGCTCACGCCTGTGAAACCCCATCTCTACTAAAAATACAAAAATTAGCCCAGTGTGGTGGTGGGCACCTGTAATCTCAGCTACTCGGGAGGCTGGCTGAGGCAGGAGAATCACTTGAACCCTGGAGGCAGAGGTTGCAGTGAGCCGAGATTGCGCCACTGCACTCCAGCCTGGGTGACAGAGTAAGACTCTGTCAAAAAATAAAAATAAAAAATAAAATCGGGCCGGGTGCAGTGGATCACGCCTGTAATCCCAGCACTTTGGGAGGCCAAGTGGGCAGCTCACCTGATGTTGGGACTTCGTGACCCACCTGACCAACATGGATAAACCCTGTCTCTACTAAAAATACAAAATTAGCCAGGCGCGGTGGCACATGCCTGTAATCTCAGCTACTTGGGAGGCTGAGGCAGGAGAATCGCTTGAACCCGGGAGGCGGAGGTTGCAATGAGCCGAGACCGAGCCACTGCACTCCGGCCTGGGCGACAAGAGCAAAACTCCATCTCAAAAAAAAAAAAAAAAATTCATTTTCTTAAAATGTGGACTCAGTTCTTTCCTTTTTGAGTTGGAGGCAATGTTGAAGGGGTCTAGGTCTCTGTTAAATGACCATGGGGACAGGTGGGGTCCCAGGTCCTCAGGCCAGCTGCAGCCAGGCTCCCACACATCCTTGGCACAAGCGAGGGTCTTTAGTGCATCAGCCCTCATGTCTGGGGGCTGCTGGGGGCTGTTCACACACCTGCAGAGAGAGCAGGTGGGCCCAGGCTTCATGGGCCTCCTGCAAGTGACATCTGAGGTCACTGGGTCCCTGTTTACTGCCAGAGTCACTGCCCCAGGCCTGGGGTGACCAACCTCTCTCTCCTCATTCCTTCCCCTCCCTGTGCCCCCCTGGGACCCCTCATTGCCCTTCTTCTGCCCAGCCTCCTCCATGTTCACAGGGTGAGAACCTCCTCGTGCATCTTCACACACCCATCTCCCTTCATTCTCCCAGGCCTCCTGGAGGACCGGCCCAAGCAGGGATCACCTGCCCATTCCACAGATGGATACACGGAGGCTCATGGAGGCTAAGGGATGTGTCCAAGCGCATATAGCTACAAGACACAGGAGCCTATTTGGGAATACAGGTCTTTCTGTCTCCTGGTCTGCACTGTCTGGAAGTGGTGTGTATGGGCAGGGATCAGAACATCTTGAACAAATGCTTCCTGCGCAGGATTCATTTCCTTAAATGTCCTCTCTCTGTCCAGGGTCTTGAATTCTTGGGAGACAAGGACGTATTTAATGTGGGAGAATAACCTCTCTCCCTGCAGTGATTTCAACTGGTTGGTATTGAAATACCTTCCTAGCCTAAGGGCACTGGGGATGTGTATTACTTATTTTGCGAATTATCGTGAACTAGAGTATTTGTGAGCCACCTTTAAGCCACCCGGCCTCCCCTTCCAGCTGCCTGCTGTGTGGCTCTCCTGAGCCTCCGTGTCCTGGGGCTCCACAGCCATGAATTATTAAAGAACAGGACAATTATAATTCACATAATGAGATCAGAGGTTCCTAGTTACTAGTTAATTTAGAGCTGGTGCCAGAGGAGCTTGAAGGAGTTCTCAGGGAACAACTCAAGTGCCGGGGAATTGCCTTTGATGGGGTCCTAGGGCTGTGGACCCTCCGCAACGTCCAGGCCCAGGGAGGGAGGGCAGCTTGCCCAGCAAGTGGCAGCAGGGCTAGCCAGGCTAAACAATGAACGGCACAGACTTTCTCGTCTCCAGGTCTTTGCCCAGGCAGTGCCCTCTTCCAGGATGCCCTCCACCCATTCCTCTGCCTGCTAAAATCCCATCCAGCCTGTGGCGCTCCTTTATGGGGCCACCTCCCCTGCGAAGACTTTCCTGTTCCGTCATTCACACACAAATGCTCCTGGCCTCATCTCCATTCCTCTTCCTGAGCCCTGCTAAGCTGGGAGGAATGCCATTACCTAAGTACTGACGTCCCTTCTTGACTCTGAACTTGAGCTTGTCTTGCTGAGATCTGCACCCTCAGGGCCTGGCCTGGCTCTGTACTTAACAAACCTCCACTCTCCTGTCCAGGGAGAACAGGCAGGGGCCTGTCCTCAGGAGGGACAGCCTGGACAGGCGCAGATGTGTGAATAAACTGGAGAGAGTGCTGAGGACACGTGTGGAAGATGCGGTCACCCATCCCCATTCCCCACTCCCTCCCTGCACTGTGTGACCTCACGGTGCCCTCCAGCAGAGTTCAGTGGGGGTCTACACTCTCATCCTGCTGACTCGGAGCCTGGCCTTGTGGTCTGCTTTGGCAGATGGAACAGCAGCCGAGACACACGAGCAGACCATCCGCGAGCTTACGTGGTGTGGTTTGACCCGCACTCTTTGGTCACCATCAAGAGAAGAACAGACCCCAGCGTGAGGCATGTGGAGCCATCCCGAAACTGACTCACAGCCTGGAGCCAAGTGCAGCTGAGCTCCGTGGAGCCCAGCCATCCCCAACCAGGACGGCCAACCCCAGATGGACCACAGGCCCGGGAGTGAGAGAAACACACGTGTGTTGCTGTGAGCCACCGAGCCTGGGGGACTGTTTGTTACAGAGCAATGTTACAGCAACCGCAGACCCATGCAGTGGAGATGTGTGTGGTGCAGGAGCAGAGAGTACCCCAAACTGGATGGGCAGAAGTAATCTGAATGAAATGGCTGGGTGGTAAAATTCACCAGCACATCCACAAGACAGAGCTTACCCTCTGCACCCACAGCCGGGGTAAGTGGGTTGGCAGTGCATGGCACCAAACCCGGAGTCAGGGGGCTCGGGACATCCAGAGGAGTGCTCAGGGGCAGCACGCACAGCAGAGGCTTGGTGCTGAAGGCTGGGCAGGTTTGTTGGAGTGACCAGAAGACACCATGGGGTTTTTACTCATTTGCACTAACATATAGAATGCTGTATCATTTTGCCTATTGGTGTATTTTTACAGAGCCTTGTTCCTTTCCAAAGTGCTGACTGGTTAAATTGTAAGACAATGTTTGCAAGCATGGCACACTGAGCCTGGCATTCTGTCAAGTGCCTGATAAGCAGGGCCACTGTTGTGATTGTAGGAACGTGCCTTGGTTTTCAGGCCTTTGTTACAGCACTTGCAAGACCTTGTCCCCAGTCCTGGCGTCCCGGTTATGGAGGTGGGAAAATGACCACCACCACCTCTGACTCTCCTAGCCTTCCTGGGCACCCGCAGAGGCTGCACCCGGTCAGATGGAGCTCTTCTTCCAGCCTCGTGGGTCTATGGACAGCTCTCAGGAACAGGCCCACGTGAGAGGCGTCTGGGGGAGAGGCTGGGTGTGCACGTGCGTTCATAAGTAGGAAGCCAATTAGCCAAAACAGAGCAGACACTCCCAAGACCAAGACCAGCGCCTGATGGTGGTGGTTTTGATGATTTACAGCCATGCTTGCCTCAGCTCTGCCCTCAGCAGGCTCTCCCCATTGTATGGAAGTGATCAAGTGCCATGGACCAAAATCCATCCGCCTGTGGTGTCGGCCAGGATTCCGCAGGGCAGAGGCGGCACCAGAAATGGGGGTGCGGAGGCTGCTTCTGCGGGCATCACGGCCACTGTCCTAGGCAGACGGGGTTGGGATGAGTTGGAGCTAGGGCGGTGGTGCCCACATAACCCTTGTAGGTCGCCTGACATGTGTGTATGTGTGTGTGTGTGTGTGTGTGTGTGTGTGCATGCAAATGTATGAATTCAATAAGCATTGTTGCACACCTACTGTGTGCCAGGTCCCATGCTGGGAAGTAATCAGAAGAAGACATTATCATGATGTATACAGCGCAAGGGCTGCCACATCCCTCATCCCTGTCCCGCTTCCCACATGTGATCTGTCCATCCTCCCACAGCCCAGTAAGGAAGGAAGCATTGCGGCCATTGTATCCACGAGCAGACTGAGGTTAGAGGAGCCCAGTGTTCTGCCAAGATTCACACGGCTGTGGAGCGCGCAGCAGGAGCCTGGGTAGGAATTTCAGTCCCAATGATGGCAGTGATTCAATTCCTGGTCCTAGTGACACAGGCCACATGGAAGGACTGGAAGTTAAACCAAAGCTGGAAGTGGGGTGGGTTTCCTGGGGCAGGTTCACAGGGTGGCTCCTGGGCAGGGTTCCTTGAAGACACAGGGGAGAGAAAGTCAAGGAAACCAGCTCCTGGGACGCGACCAGAGTGGACGGCGAGGGAGGTGGGGTGGACACCTGGCCCTGGGCAGCCTCAGGGTCCTGGGTAGCATTTGCAGGAACTGTGTGCTCCGTTCCAGACCCAGCACTGGCCGCCTGGTGTTTCCTGACCTGCCACAGTAGAGAGCAGCCCAGACGAAGTCTGGCCCTGCTGAGCCCAGCAGCCCTCACACCTGTGCTCAGCCAAGCCAGCCTGCTGCAGGAGTTGGCTGCGGCTGATGCCAGCTCGCCCTCAGGCCGAGAAAAATCCATCATGGCTAATCCCACTCCCCCAGTGATTCCTGAGCTGTGTGCCGTGGAAAGGCTGGCCCCAAATCCTCTCTGGCCTCCCCCCAGCACCAGCCTTCCTCTGCGAACCGGGGCGGGTGAAAGCCGCCAGCAGGCCCCTCCACAGAGGCCATCTCCCCGGCATCCTGCACAATTGCTCTAACTGCTTCTCCTGCAGGTGAATACCCTTTCCTGGGATCAGACACAGAAAGCTCTTTAGGCAGAAAGCCAGGCCTGACAGCCCCTCTGAGCACGAAGACAAATGAACCGAGCTCCCAAGGCGAGTCCCCTCATTCTACCTTGAGTCCATCGGGCCTGGCTCGACTCCCAAAGCAGCGCTCACCAAAACGAGTTTCTTTGGTGAGCCTGGAAGTGTGACACAGAACTGGGGAACTAGAGACCCACCCAGGAGACCGTCTCCTTGGATTTCTCCCCATCTTGCAAAGAGAATCTTCCCCAGCCAGTGCTCCCGAGAAGAACTGCAGTCCACCCTCCACAGGGTCAGAAGCCCAGTGCCTTCTGGCCTTGCCCCACCCAGACTCCGGAGCAGGAAGCGGAGGCCTTTCTCCTCCCAAAGGCATGGGCTCCTTGCAACCCAGGGCAGCAAAACTTTTCCACCTGGTTCCTGCTAACCCATTATCCTGGGGCCAGCATCTCATTAAGCCAACAGGACTCCAATGTTTTGACGGAGGAAGAAAGTATTCCAGAATGAAAAGGGCAGGCTGTTCCCCGCCAGGCTGGGGGCATGGAGAGGGAGCCGGAGAGCGAGGAGAGCTCAATGCCTGTGCCAGGATTCTTAGAGCTGAGGGAAGATGCAAGAAACCAAGGGAGCTGGGGCTCCTGCCTCCTCCCAAAGCCTCTTTCCCACCCCTCGGCCCGCATCCCTTCTCCAAGAGAGCAGGCCCTTCAGGGGCACAAGGAGGCATCTCTTACCTGTGCCTGGGCTTGTTGCTGTCCAGTACGCAGAGGGCAAGGCTGGCACCGGGAGAAGCGGCTCCAGGCGTCCCAGGGACCTGCTGCCTCTTTTCCAGGGAGCAGCCCCCAGCCCGCTCTGTGCAGCTCGTCCCAGCTCAGGGCATAGATGTGTGTGTGCCTGTGGAGGTGGGGTGCCCTCTGGAGCAGGGGGTCAAATATTCTTGGCTGCCACCTGCTGCCAGCCCATCCCAGGGGCCAGCTGCCTGAGAGGGGGGCCCTCCGGCTGCGCCACCGTCATCTGTGGGGAGTGGCAGGCAGCAGCTCTAGCTCTCCAGGCTCCTGCCTGCTCCCGGGCTTAGGCGAGTGGTTTATTTATAGAGCCCGGCCCTTCCCCAGATGCCAGGATCCCAGCTGAGATTTCCAGCTCTCAAACTCGCCCGTGCCCGCCCTGAGTTGTTGCTCACTGGGACTGTTCTGGAGGACAAGGAGCGAGGCACTTAAGCAATGTGATTCTCAGCATTCTCCCCTGAGAAGCACAGGGCTGGACCGGGGGTCTCCCAGGCCCTCCTGCTGTGGGCAGCACCTGACCCAGGAGCCAGGCCTGTGAGTCAGCTTGGGCAAGGTGCTTCCCCTCCCTAGGCTGCCTCAGTTTCCTTTTCTGGAAGATAAAAAAGACAGAGGGTCTGCCTGTCTAGAGCAGGGCTGGAATCAAAGAATGGACTGGAAGGAAGAATGGCCACCACCGTCCACTCTGTGCTTCTCCCCGGCTGGGCTGAGGCTTCGCGAGGGCACCACTGTCACCCCCAGGGGCTACTCCATAGGAGATGCACATAGTAGGTGCTCAAGAATGATTTAGTAAGTAAGGGAGCAGACACCCATCCCACATACAGGCTCGCTTCCGGCTTCTAATAACCTGCGAAGGCCCTGGAATACGCCCATTTGGCAGATGGGAAGCCCGAGGTCTAGAAGGGTGAGGTGGCCTTTCCAGGGCCCCCCAACAAAAGACAGTAGCACCATGGTTCCCCTGGGTCATTCTGTTTCCAAAACTCATTCCCTTACCACGCCCTCATCAGGCCTCACGGTTAGCTGAATGTCCCCTGCAACGCTGCCGTTTTCCGAGTCTGATGTATAGTTCAGGGCTCACCCACCACCGTGGCTCCTGCGATCTCTGCTCCTCGCTCCTGCCAGCCGACCCCCGTGGGCCAGGCCCTCTGCGAACGCGTCTGCCTTCCCGAGGAAGCTCTCCAGTGTGCCAGGAAGGCTCCTCCCTGGTTCTGGCTGTTTCTCCTGGGCATTTCCCCCATGCCTGGGGCGCCCGGGCCCTTCTCCTGACCCCGCTGGGCCTCACTCTCGCCTCTCAAACCAAACAGTGATTCCTCCTCCGGGGCCAGTGAGGGGCTTGTCTGCCTTCTCACAGGTGAAGACGCCAGACTCACAGGGCGCCCGTGTTTGCTCATCCGCTTTGACTCAGCTCACCGGAAAGAAGTTTGCTAATCTTTGTGTGTTTGCTCCGTGTGCTGGAGCTAACAGAGCAACCCGACCCTGGTGGGTTCCAGCTTCAGTGCAGAAAGAGCCTGGGCCGGGCTGTCCTCCCCAGACACGCAAGCCTGGGTGCAGCTGCTGGACTCTGGGCCTCCCCACTACCCACTTGGCCGGTGCTCCCCCCGTGCCTGAGAAGCCACCTTCCTCCGTTCCTTCCACTTCTCTGCCTGCCAAGATCCCACAGGGCCTCCCAAGCCCAGACCCGCCTCCTCTGACCTCTGGGCACTGGTGGGCCGGTCTCTCAGGGCCCCAACAGGGCTGCGGACTGGGAATGGCCCCCTTGCTCCTCTCCTGGGGAATAGGAGGCCGGCTGCCTGGATGCTGGGACAGCAGGGACAAAGCTCAGAGGTCTCTCCCCGCATGGAGGCAGATGTGAACCTCCCCAGGGCCTCCCCAGCCTCTGGGGCTCCTTGGAAGCAGAGCAGCGTCGGCTCTCACTCCTCACCCAGGACTGTCCATCCCTGGGCAGCTGACCCGGCCCAGCCAGTGGTCCCTGCTAGGACCTGTCCTGCAGGAATAGCTGGCGAGGCCGGGGGAGCACGTCCCTCCAGAGCACCCAGCACCGCCCCATGCCCTGTCTAAGCAGGTCACCCCTCCCTGGTTGTCTCTCACAGTCCCTGATTCCGGAGCACTAGTCCTGGAGAACTGATGTGCTTCCGTGACCCCAACTTGCTTGACCTGGTCTCTCCCGTCGGGATGGACACTCCCCGAGCAGGTCCACTGCTTACTCCGGGCTCCCAGCGCCCTCCGTTCCTGCTTCCTGGTCACAGGAATGAATCTCCTAAAAAGGGTTAAGCGAATCGTGGCTGTCACACGATGCCATGCCGTGCAGCCATCGCATACTGATTTCTGAGTAATATTTAACATCAGGGGAAAATGTTACAACTTGACGCCAAATGAATAGATTACAGACTGTCCATGTAGGATGGTCTCAGTGTTGTTTAAGATCTATGTTAGACCAGGCACAGTGGCTCACGCCTGTAATCCCAGCACTTTGGGAGGCCAAGGCAGGTGGATCACCTGAGGTCAGGAGTTTGAGACCAGCCTGGTCAACATGATGAAACCCTGTCTCTACTAAAAATACAAAAATTAGCCGGGCGTCGTGTCAGCTGCCTGTAATCCCAACTTTTTGCAAGTTGTTTTATTTACAATGCCAACTTTTAAAAGGTCGCTCAGGTGATCTGGACAAGATACTAGGCAGAAACCACTTTAGAAAAAGAGGGAAACCCAAGGTGCCCCTTTCTGTAAAGAAGCCACAGTTCCGTTGTATTTAGAGCAAAGAAAAAAGAAACTTTTGACGATACGAGAGGAAACTCAGACATAGGTTTGGAATCTGTACTCAAAACTACACACGCAATGAAGACAGTGTCCTGCCGTCACGACTGATCTGCTGCTGCACCTGCCCGTGGTGTGTCTAACATTCGCAATGACAGAGCTGTGCGGCTGGTATTCGGAACCATCCTCACAGTGTTCGTGTCAGATGCATTTCACTGCTCCTTACACCACTGTTCTCTTTGCACACTCAGGCTTCTTCCTGTTTGTTTTTGATATTGAAGGTCTTGAGAATCTCCAGTTTTCCCCTTGATCATGTGGGCAGTAGTCACATGTAGCATCAAGCAAACTTTTGAGTCCAAGTAGTTTACAGCCAGAATAAGTTCAAAAAGCATTTCTTTGGTCAACTTTCAGGGATTCTTGGTCCCCACAGAAATGGTCTGTTCACTTTTCTTAGCTCTCATCCCCTCAGGAGGAGGAGGAGGAGGGTATCCTTGGGGTGGGTGCACCCCTGAGTGACCTTTTAAAATATTGCTGCATTAACATTTAGGAGAGGAACTGAGCCATCATCTCCCTCCTAATTTCTTTCCAAATCTTCCAAAGTAGGTTTTATTTTTGTTTTGTTTTGTTTTCTTTGAGACGGGGTCTCGCAGTGTCCCCCAGGCTGGACTGCAGTGGTGCGATCTTGGCTCACTGCAAGCTCTGCCTCCCGGGTTCACGCCATTCTCCTGCCTCAGCCTCCTGAGTAGCTGGGACTACAGGTGCCCATCACCACACCTGGTTAATTTTTTGTATTTTTAGTAGAGACGGAGTTTCATCGTGTTAGCCAGGATGGCCTCGATCTCCTGACCTCGTGATCTGCCCGCCTCGGTCTCCCAAAGTGCTGGGATTTTTTTTGAGATTCCCTCTCAAAAAAAAAAAAAAAATGTCCATCATGAATATTCTTATTGTGTTTTTCTGTATGTGATGTGACTTATTTTCTGGCTGCTTCTAAAATTTTATCTTTTTATTTGGTTTTTAGAAGCTTGAATATGATGTGACAAAGTGTGTCTTTTCCTTCTATGCATTCTACTTGATTTTACAGTTTCTTGAGTGTTTTCCAGTTTACAGGCGTAAGCCACTGTGCCCGGGCTTTTTCTTTTCTTTTTTTTTTTTTTTTCTTTTTGAGACGGGGTCTCACTCTGTCATCCAGGCTGGAGTGCAGTGGCATTATCTTGGCTCACTGCAACCTCCACCTCCTGAGTTCAAGTGATATTCCTGCCTCAGCCTCCCGAGTCGCCGGAATTACAGGCACCTGCCCCCACACCTGGCTAATTTTTGTATTTTTAATAGAGACGGGGTTTCACCATGTTGGCCAGGCTGGTCTTGAACTCCTGACTTCAGGTGATCTGCCTGCCTCGGCCTCCCAAAGTGCTGGGATTAGAGGCATGAGTCACCATGCCCGGCCTACGACGTGGTCTTGATAGTCACATGGTCTTGATTGCTTGACAATTTCCACATCACCTTCAAGTATCTCTCCCTCAGAACTCTGGAACTTTCCTGAAGGCACGATGTCTGGTCTCAAGGAGATGGTGGAGGATGGCAGAATAGGGCAATGTCAACACAAGAACAAGGCCACTCTCAATGTGTACTTACGTCTTTCCTCTTCTACTTATTTTGGATTTTGTTTGCACTTCTTTTTCTTAGCTTCTTATGGTGGAAATTTTGATGACCAATTTTAAACCTGTCTTCTTTTTAAATATAGGCATGTACGAAAGAAATTTTATTCTAAGTACTGCAGCATCCCCCACATTTTGATAGGTGGTAGTTTTTTATTCAGTTAGAAATATATCTTAGTTTCCTTTGTGATTTCTGCTTTGACTCTTAGGTTATTTAGAAGTGTATTTACCAATTTCCAAACACATGGTGACTTTCTAGATACCATTTTTGTTGTTGACTTCTAACTTAATTCTGTTATGGTCAGAAAGCATACTTATTATTTCAATCCTTTGGAATTTATTGAGATTTGTTTTATGGCTCGGAATATGGCCCATCATGGTGAATGTTCCAAGTGCACTTAAAAAATGTGTTCTTTGCTATTGTTGGATGGGGTGTTATATAAATACCAATTAAATCAAGTTGTTTGAGTGTGCTGTTCAAATACCTATAACTTTGTTGATATTCTGTCTATTGTACTATCAATTGCTGACAGGAGTATTAAAATTTCTAACTATGACTGTGGATTTGTCTATTTCTACCCTTACTTTTATCAGTTTTTGCTAAGTATATTTTGATGCTCTGTTATTAAATGCATACATATTTAGGTATATTTACTTGTTAAATGAACTCTTTTATCATTATGAAGTGTCCTTCTTTATCTCTGGTAATACTTTTTGCTTTAAAGTCTACTGTGTCCTTAATATAGCCACACCGGATTTTTAAAAAATATTGTTTGCATGTTTTATCTTTTCCTGACCTTTACCTTCAACCTTTTTATTTAAAATGAATATCTTGTAGGCAGTATATAATTGGGTCATGCTTTTTTTTTATCCAGTCCAACAATCTCTGCTGTTTAATTGAGGCATTTGGTCCATGTATATTTCATGTAATATTAATATGACTGGGTTTCAGTCTACCACCTTGTTATTTGTTTTTTATTTGTTCCCCTGCTTTCTGTTCCCCATTGCTCCTTTTTGCCTACTTTTAGGTTAATTAGATATTTTTAGTGCTCCATTTTATTTCTGCTATTGGCTTCTTAGCAATTCCTATACTGATTTTATTTTTAAGTGGTTTTTCTGAGGGTAACAATATGCATCCTTAACTTATCAAAGTTTATTTAGCATCCCTTTTCATCCTTCACACCTGAATTTCACGATTTCTACTTCCTCTTTTTGCTTTACACTTCTCATTTCGCAAATACAATGGTATAATTTCACTTACCTGACCCTCAGCAATAGTTTTCATACATTTATTTTCACATATGTTATAAGCCCTACCTTACACTTAATTTTGATCATATAGTGATATGGTTTGGCTGTGTCCCCACCCAAATCTCATCTTGAATTGTAGCTCCCATAATTCCCATGTGTTTGGGAGGGACCTGGTGGGAGGTAACTGAATCATGGGGGTGGTTTCCCCCATACTGTTCTCAGGGTAGTGAATAAGTCTCGTGAGATCTGATGGTTTCATAAGGGGAAATCCTTTCACTTGGTTCTCATTCTCTCTTGTCTGCCACCATGTAAGACGTGCCTTTCACCTCCCACCATGATTGTGATGCCTCCACAGCCACGTGGAACTGTGAGTCCATTAATCCTCTTTTCCTTTACAAATTACCCACTCTTGGGTATGTCTTTATCAGCAGCATAAAAATGGGCTAATACATATAGTAAGATGTCTTTTAAGTAAAGATAAAAAACAAGAGCGAGCCCCTTATCTTTACCCATTTATTTGCCATTTCTGGTACTCTTCATTCATTCCTCTGTCTCTAAGTTTTGACCCAAAAGACATCCTACAGCATTTTTTTAAATTGTAGTTTTGCTGTAATTCTCTTCACTTCCATTTATTTAAAGACTTCTTTATTTAACTCTCATTTTTGAAGAATGCTTTTACTGATTATAGAAATCTAGATTGACAGTTTTTTTTTATTTCAGAACTTTAAAAATATCATCCCTTTCTTTCTGTTTTTCATTGTTTCTGCTTAAGAAGCCCATCATGGCTGGGCACAGTGGCTCACACCTGTAATCCCAGCACTTTGGGAGGCTGAGGTGGATGGATCACCTGAGGTCAAGAGTTTGAGACCAGCCTGGCCAACATGGGGAAACCCCGTCTCTACTAAAAATACAAAAATTAGCTGGGCGTTGTGACGGGAGCATGTAATCCCAGCTACTTGGGAGGCTGAGACAGAAGAATCACTTGAACCTGGGAGGAGGAGGTTGCAGTGAGCTGAGATCGTACCATTGCACTCCAGCCTGGGCAACAGAGCGAGATTCCCTCTCAAAAAAAAAAAAAAAAATCCATCATGAATATTCTTATTGCGTTTTCCTGTATGTGATGTGACTTATTTTCTGGCTGCTTTTAAAATTTTATCTTTTTATTTGGTTTTTAGAAGCTTGAATATGATGTGACAAAGCGTGTTTTTTCCTTCTATGCATTCTACTTGATTTTACAGTTTCATGAGTATTTTTCATCAATGTTGACAAACTTTCACCCGTTACTTCTTCAAAGATTTCTCTCCCCTAATCTAAGTCTTCATGACTCTCATGACTAATTTATCAGACTGTTTGGTATTGTCCCTTAAGTCTCTGTTAATTTTTTTAAATAAATTTTAGACAGTTTTAGATTCACAGAATTATTCCAAAGAGAGTACAGAGAGTTCCCATAGCACTCATATCCACTTTCCCCTGTTATTAGTCTCTTAGTATAGGACATTTGTCATAATTAATGAACACTGATGCATTGTTATTAACTAAAGTTCATACTTTATTCAGATTTCCTGAAGTCATTTTTCTCTTCCAGGATGGCATCCAGGACACCACGTTATAATTAGCAGCCGTATCTCCTTGGGCTCCTCTTGGTCATGACAGTTTCTCAGAGCTACCTTGTATTTGATGACTTGCTGGGGGTTTCTTGTTTGTTTGTTTGTTTTGAGACAGAGTCTCGCTCTGTCACCCAGGCTGGAGTGCACTGGTGCGATCTCAGCTCACTGCAACCTCTGCCTCCTGTGTTCAAGCGATTCTCCTGCCTCAGCCTCCCGAGTAGCTGGGACTACAGGTATGCACCACCATACCCAGCTAATTTTTTTTGTATTTTTAGTAAAGACAGGGTTTTGCCGTGTTGGACGGGCTGGTCTCGAACTCCTGACCTCGTGATCCGCCCGCCTCAGCCTCCCAAAGTGCTGGAATTACAGGCGTGAGCCACCACGCCTAGCGACTTGCCAGTTTTAAGGGTCACTGCTCAGGTATTTTGTATTTTTTAATTGGGATTTTCAAAAGGGTTTTTCTCAGGATTAGAGTGGGGTTTTGGGTTTTGAGGAGGAAGCCCACAAAGGTGAAATGCCATTCTCATCACATCATATCAAGGGGACATCCTCCCAACATGGCATATCACTGTTGAGGCTGAGCCCAATCCCTGACCAAGGTGGTGGTGGTCCGGTTTCTCACTGTAAACTTACTCTTTCCCCTCGTTTCCATACTATACTCTGGAAGAAAGCTGCTACGTACCTCCGCACTTAAACAGTAGGGAGTTTCGTCCTACCTCCTTAAATATGGAATATCTACATAAAGTATTTGAAAATCTTCTGCATGGGAGACTTAAGTTTTCTCTCCATTTCTTTACTTATTAAATCATTTATTAATATTAGGTATCATTACTTTTGCACCAACTAAATATAAGTATTAGTATTTATATCGGTACGGATTCATGTATATTTATTTTATACTTGCTTATAATCATATAGCCAATGCTGCTTCATTTATTTTGGTGCCCAAATTATTCCATCTTTGCCAGCTCCTCCAGTGGGCTCCTGTGTCTCTTTAACATTTTCTTACTTTCTGGCACTAGGAGATGCTCCTGGCTTATCTTGTGTATTCCCTACCCCAGTCCTAGAATCAGCATTTCTCCAAGGAGTCCTTGTTTCTTTATTTGAGAAGGATATTAGGAACTCAGACTTCAGTATTCAGTGTGCTCATTTCCACTGGGGTATTATCACCTCCAGGACCTCTAAGCTGACGGGGATTGGTGATGAATTTTTAAATACAACACCTTGCTCTGGCAAGAATACAGAGCAACAGGTGTTCACATTCCTTGCTGGTGGGAATGCAAAATGGCACAGCCACTTGGGAAGACAGTTTGGCAGTTTCTTACAAAGCCAAACACAAGCTTACCATACCATCCAGCAATTGCCCTCCTGGGCACACTCAAGGGATTTGAAAACTTATGTCAATGTAAAAACCTGCATGCAACAATTTATAGCAGCATTATTGATAATTGTCAAAAACATGAAACAATAGGCAAATGGCTAAACTGTGGCATGTCCTTACAATGGAATATTATTCAGCAATAGAAAGAAATGAATTATCAAGTTATAAAAAAACATGGTGAATGTCTTTGACATGGACAGAGCAAAGAGATATATTTGTATATACTGACCTATGTATATACGTATAGCTATAGGTAGCATCTGTATTTATTTTAACCTAAATATGAGTTCACACTGATGTCTACAACTCTAATTCCTTTCCACATGAATCACTGTAGCTCCCTCCCTTTCCTTGCCTGTAATCTGACACTCTGACAGTAAGAAACTGGGCTCCCACTACCCACCATCCATCCACTACATTGTTGAGTTCCAGTTTTCTTGCATCATGGTTTCAGAATTGTTACTCATGGTCTTGTGAGAAATGACTTTATCAACTAGAGCACAGTGCTTATGTACAGTTTCTTGTGCCTTTAGTCTTATAGACTGCACTCATCTCCAAAGTTACTTACATCTGCACCTTCTCCCAGTCCCCTTCAGTGAGGTCACGTCACACATTTGTAAGGCAGTTAAATTCTTTTGGCACATTCTGTATTCCTTTCTGGGATTCCACCACCTCTTACGTAGATTTTTAACATTTGCGTACATTAAGATTTACTCTTTGTGTGTAAAGTTTGATGCATTCTGACAAATGCTTAGTATCTCATGTTCACCATTAAGCTCTCATACAGAATAGTTTTACCATCTGAAGAATTACCCTTTTCTTCACCTATTCAACCCCCTCACCTACATCTCAAACCCCTGGCAACCCCTGATCTAGTTAAGATTTCTATAGTTTTGCCTTTTTTTGAATGTCATATAATTGGAATCATTTAAGAGGCAACCTCTTCAGACTTGCTTCTTTTACTTAGCAATATGCATTTAAGATTCATCCATGTCTTTTTATAACTTGATAACTCATTTCTTTGTATTGCTGAATAATATTACATTGTAAGGATGTGCCACAATTTAGCCATTCAACTATAGGTTCATGGGGTTTTTTTGACAGTTATGAATAATCCTGCTATAAATAGTTGCATACAGGTTTTTGCATTGGCATAACTTTTCAAATCCCTTGAGTGTACCTAGGAGAGCAATTGCTGAATAGTATGGTAAGCTTGTGTTTGGCTTCGTAAGAAACTGTCAAATTGTCTTGCAAAGTGGCTGTACCGTTTTGCATTCCCAGCAATGAATGCAAATCCCAGATTCACCAGCAATGAATGTGAACACCTGTTGCTCTGTATTCTTGCTAGAGCAAGGTGTTGTATTAAAAACTTCATCACCAACCCCAAGATTATGTAGATTTTATTCTATGTTTTCTTCAAGAAGTTTTATAGTTTTCTATTTTCCAAGTAGATCTATGATATATTTTGATTTATTATTATACAAGGTCTAAGGTCTGTGTCTAAGTTCTTTTTTTTAACACGGGCATATTGCACATGCAATATGCATATGGTGTGTATTACTCTTGTGCTGTTGTTGAAAAGACTGCCCTTTATCTACCCTGTTCATGTTTCTTCATGTTTTTTTCATCTCTGTTCTGAAGTTTGAATAATTTTTATGGATCTTTTCTCATGGTCCCTGTCTTTTTTGTTTCTGTCATCTCTAATATATTGTGAAGCCCATCGAGTGAATTTTTCATCAAAATTATTGTACTTTTTAGTTCTAGAATTTGCATTTTTAATAGTTTTTATTCTTCTGCTGAGTTTCCTACTTGTTCATTCATTAATACAATATCCTTTAGTTTCTCAAAGACTTTTTTTCTTTAATTCTTTGGACATATTTATAATGGTTATTTTAGAGTCTTTGTCTACTAAGCACAATATCAGAGCCATCTCAAGTTTAGTTTCTATTGACTGCTTTTTTCCTTGACTGTCAATCACATGTTTCTGTTTCTTTTTGTTCCACGTGATTTTGTTCCAAGTGATTTTTTTTATTGAGTGGTTGGCATTGTGTATAACCTATTGTAGAGATCCTGGATTTTGTTATCTTCCTCTAAAAAGTGTTTCTTATTTTATCAGGCAGTTAAATTACTAGCTGACCACTTTGAACTTATATAGGCTTGTCTTCACACTTTGGTCGTGTGGATGGTAGAAAGACTATGTGTTTCCTTGACCCCTTTGGTTTGGCAGGAGTTCTCTCTTAATTCTGTTTTCCCTGCAGATCTTTTCAAAAAGCCCCTTAGGTTTTGCTGGGGGAGGTTTAGTATAAATAAGTATACTAGGCTGTTGTCCTTACTCCTAAGGCATAGCCTTTTTTTTCTAACATTAGAATACCATTTATTATGATGCTGGCTTGCTATACTATTTATGTTTTTTTAAATTTTTTTATTTCTGTAGGTTATTGGGGAACAGGTGGTGTTTGGTGACATGAGTCAGTTCTTTAGTGGCGATTTGTGAGATTTTGCATCACCTGAGCTGTATACACTGCACCCAATTTATAGTCTTTTATCCCTCACCCCCTTCCCATCCCTTCCCCTCTGAGTCCCCAAAGTCCATTGTGTCATTCTTAGGCATAACCTTTTTAGGGTCTCAGCTGGATGCCAGGAGTGTTATCAAAGGTGTTAAGATTTCTCTACTCTGGCAAGGCTGGAATTTCAATATTCACCAGGAGCATTCTCTCCCTAGCTCAGCTTAAACCTCTGGCGGTTCCATTTTGCTTTCAATCCCATAGTGTCTGCTCTCTGAAAGTCTTGGTCTTCTTTCTCCGAGCATGTACAGCTCATCCCTCCACGATGAACTCAACAGCAAACCCCCACATTGACTCCTAGGGTTCCCTGTCAACACAGTTTCCACCTCTCTGATTGCCTGATTCTATCCCAGCCACCCCTAATGCCTGTCTTGTCCGCTCACCATGGCCACTGAGCTGTGTTTGGACTCCAGGTCTCTGTGCTGTGGTCAGAAAATTCTGCCCGGACAGGAGCTGGTCGTTGATTGCAGGCGCCTCTGCGGGCTTTCCTTCTCTCAGGCATCGCAGTCTTGCACTGCCTGCTGCCCACTGCTTCCAAGGAGTTGCCTCGTGCACTTAATTTAATTGCATAGTTTTTTTGTTTTCTTTTGTTTTTGTTTTTGTTTTGTTTTGTTTTGCTTCTGAGACAGTCTCACTCTGTCCTCCAGGCTGAAGTGCAATGGCATGATCTCGGCTCACTGCAACCTCCGCCTCCCGGGTTTAAGCAATCCCCCTGCCTCAGCCTCTCCAGTAGCTGGGACCACAGATGCGCACCACCATGCCCAGCTACATTTTGCATTTTTTAAAGTAGAGATGTGGTTTCGCCATATTGGCCTGGCTGGTCTCGAACTCCTGACCTGAGGTGATCCACCCGCCTCGGCCTCCCAAAGTGCTGGGATTATAGGCATGAGCCACCACACCCAGACTTAATTGTATAGTTGTTGACTTACAGAAGGGCCAGCTACTCTGCCTTGGCCAAATGTGGAAGTCCCAAGTGGCTTCATTTCTCACCCTTAACCATTCCCTGGCCTCTGGTTATGTGCAGAGGAACGCTCACATTCCTCATTCAGTCTTCAAGGCTCTGCATAATCCAGTCCCTGCTTACCTCTCAGACTTCGCCTTCCACTCCCCACTTTCATTCTCCTCCAGCCACAAAGGCCTTGCTTTTTTCTCTCGCATGCATCAAGCTCTTTCCCGCCTCTAGGACTTGGCACTTTTTCCCTCCGCCAGAACGTTCCGCCCCCAGGTCTCTGCCTGGCTGTTTCCTGCCAGCTATTAGGGTCTCCACTCCCCTCCCCATCCTCCTCAGGGAGTGTCTCTCCCACATCCTCATAACCGAGCTCACAGTCCTCACTGGTTTTCCCAGCACCAGTTTTCTTTCCAATGCCTGTGGCTCTCTCATTTGACCTTGCTCATGAGCAGGTTGATTTGTTTACTCTTAGTCTCCCTGAACAGAACGCCCTTCCTGTGAGGCAGAGGCAGGCCTGTCTTCTCCCCTGCAGCGTTCCCCAGGCCTGGTGCAGGGCCTGGCACACACTGGCCTTCAGTTGGCCCCTCCCACCCCCTTGCGTCTGCTGGGCACCTGTAGGTACTTGGTCACCATCTCCTTCATGAAGAATCATTTTCCTTGAAAGAGCAGGTGGGGCTCCCTCCTGCACCCCTCGGCTACCTGTTGTGCGGCCCCCTTCCCTCAGCCTCCCCCTCCCTCCATGTTCTTGTTTTTTGTCCCTCCAGATGGAGCTAAACAACACTCTTTCCTGAATGGACTGTGTCTATCAGAAGGTTTACTCCTGCTCCCACCCGTGGGCCCAGGATGGAGGAAACAAAGCAAGAGGCTCAGCTGTGGGGCCTGAAAGCTGGGAAGATGGAGAGCAGGAAGCAGGGGCTAGGGAGGGGTGTGGACAATCGAAGAGAACAAGGCCATGAGGTTGAAGCCGAGGCAGGCACTAAGTTCTCCTCCCCAAGGGTTCCAGGAGCTCCAGGCTGCCATCAGCCCTGGGAGGGCCCCAGGCACTTCGGACGGCCCGCCCTTCTCACCTACTCTCAGTGTCTGGGCTCAGCTGGAAGACTGGGCTTCACAGAGGCCAAGGGCGTGGGCTGGATTCTCTGGAGGCCGTTCACCTTCCCTTGGGTTTGTTGAGGGGATTCAAGTGGGCCCCCTGGTGACAAGAGAGTCCGGGCGTGGGTGGGGAGCAGGCAGGGCTGGCACCAGTGGGCAGTGGGCAGCTCCTCATGCATCCAGCACCCATCCATGCTTGTTGACCCTGGCTGCATGGAGAAATCGCTGGGGAGCTTTAAAAAATGTGTGTGCTGGTGTCCGCCCCCACCCCTGTCCAAGTACATAAATATCACTGGAGCCGCCTGGCAGCCGTACTTTGAAGAGCAGCCCAGGTGATTCTAGGGTGCTACCAGGGTTGCAAACCTGCCCAGAAGCTTCAGCAGGAGCACTTGCAGCCTCCTCTGCTCTGCACCCTGGGACCCTCTCCCCTGGGCTAGCAGGTACCTGGGTCCCCAGAGATGGCATGATTTGTAGCTGGTGGAGTTGTTCCTCTTTGCAGGCTTAATTAACTGTAAACTCCAAAGCAAGAGTGATGGCTTTCTTCTGACCGACAATTGTGCCTGTAATTGATATTTGTTTTCCTCTCTTCCCAGAGGCAGGAAATAGAAATCTCACCTGCTATTAAGCTTGACCTTAGTCTAAGACCCTTCAGATCCAGGGGAAGACCCTGGGGACAGGGGTGGGGCCTCTCTCCATCTTTCTGCTCTGCTGTGCTCCTTCCAAGGGAGGGAGGGAAGCTCTGTGGACTCAGGTACCCTGGACTGGCTGACGGAACCCTGGGAAGTCTGCCCATCCTAAAAATATACCAGCTCTTCCTTAAGATGAAAATATGTGTCCCAAAAGCCAATCTCTAGAATGTTCTACAAAGCCAGTTCCTTCTGCAATGACCACCCCCAGGGCCTTTGTCTGGGAGGAGCGTGAGTTGATGGCACAGACGGCACGGGAGCAGTGGATGTCGGTTGGTTCTGGGTTCAAATGCCACCTCTGTTTCAGGAGGTCACATTGCTCTCCGAGCCTCATTCCTCCTGTTGGGCGGTGATGGTGATGTTGTGATGATAACAGTGATCCCCATCTCGTGGGATGGAGAAGGATTACAGGAGAAAAGGGGTACCCAAGTGCTCCCCACACAGCTCAACAAATGCTGATGGCCACAGTGACCAGGGCAATCGCAATGGCCACTTACAGGCAACTTGGAGCTGGCCAGCCATCGTAGCTGAGCGGGCTACTCACCCAGGGATGAGGAGGGGGTCCCACTCCCCGGGGGAGACGTTGCTGGGTATGAGTCAAGCTCCCTGCCATGCTGCTGCACCTTCACACACACACTGTTCTCCTTATTTGCAGGCAGGAACTTTGGGCTAATTATAGAAGTGAGACAATGACCGGGCTGGCCTGTTCCGCACAGTGTAGGCTGTGGGAAACGCGCAGGCACCTGCCAGGTGTCTCTCCTCCCCAAGCGTTCCAGGAGCTCCAGGCTGCCATCATCCCTGGGAGGGCCCCAGGCACTTTGGACGGCCCGCCCTTCTCACCTACTCTCAGTGTCTGGGCTCAGCTGGAAGACTGGGCTTCACGAGGCCAAGAGCATGGGCTGGATTCTCTAGAGGCCGCTCGCCTTCCCTTGTGTTTGTTGCGGGGGTCTCAGGTTACCCTTTTTTAAGAGGCCCTAGCTCTTCCCTAGCCAAGCCAAGAAAACCCTGCCCTCCTCGCTCCTGTCCTGGGGAATGTCCCTGGGGACACTGTCAAACGCTTTCCCACTGGGCCCCAACTGAGCCTTGGAATCCTTCTCAACACAGCCCCAGGCAGCCTCTGTCGATGGATGAAGGCTGGTGTTTGAGATGGAAGCCATTTGCCAGTTCTGCCTTAAACCTCACGACTCTGAAAACATCCCAGGGAAATGTTACTCATGGTGTGAAGCAGCCTGCAGCTGTCCACAGGGGATCCCCTGGCAAAGGGTGGGGGAGACTCTCCTTCGGAGAAGGCTAGAGCTGGAACGGAGACAGAAGGGAATGGTGAGGAGGAAGGGCAATAGCATTTTCTTCCCTGAGACACTGGGGGGCTGCCTGGGCTCTTAACTCGCCTCTCTGCCCCCTCCCACCTTCTTCAATCCCCTGCTTCTCTGCCCCAGAGTTGTGGGACCCTTTGAGGGAGGATGAACAGCAGAGGCCGAAGGCCTGGGTGCGTCCCAGCTCTGCCACCTGAGCTGCTGGGCTTAGCTTCTTGCTTAGCTTCTCTGTGCCTCTGTGCCTCAGTTTTCTCATCTGTACAATGGGAATAATATTTCCTGCCTCCAAGGACCATTGTGAAGCATAAATTTACTAAGATGCTATTTAATGGGTTATAGGACTCTTTTATTTATTTATTTATTTATTTATTTATTTATTTATTTATTTGAGACAGAGTCTTCTATCACCAGGCTGGAGTGCAGTGACGTAATCTCTTCTCACTGCAACCTCCGCCTCCCAGGTTCAAGTGATTCTCCTGCCTCAGCCTCCTGAGTGAGTAGCTTGGACTACAGGCACGAGCCACCATGCCCAGCTAATTTTTGTGTTTTTAGTAGAGATGGGGTTTCACCATGTTGGCCAGGATGGTCTCGAACTCTTGACCTCGTGATCCACCTGCCTCTGCCTCCCAAAGTGCTGGGATTACAGGCGTGAGCCACTGCGCCTGGCCAGGACTCATCTTTTAACACTTCTGAAGCCAGGGAGCACCTGACAATCAACGGCGTGTTGCAGTTTAATTGGTAGCGTTTGTTGTTCTCTCTTGGTGCTATGCAAAAATACAAGCATCTCCCCATTGGTGGCATCATCAGTGGGTTGAGATACAGCATGTAAAGCCTTAGAGCCAGGCCTGGCACGTGGTACGCGCTGATAGTGCTTGCAGTTCAGATTTCTATAATCCAGATCTTGTTCTGTTGCTCCCCACCCCCACCCCAGTGCCAATGATGCAAATAAGAATCACTGAAAACAGGCGGGGCGTGGTGGCTCACGCCTATAATCCCAGCACTTTGGGAGGCCAAGGCGGGCGGATCACCTGAGGTCAGGAGTTCAAAACCAGCCTGACCAACGTGGTGAAATCCTGTCTCTACTAAAAATACAAAAAAAAAAAAAAGAATTAGCCTGGCATGGTGGTGCATGCTTGTAGTCCCAGCTACTTGGGAGGCTGAGGCAGAAGAATGGCTTGAACCCGGGAGGTGAAGGTTGCAGTGAGCCGAGATCTCACCACTGCACTCCAGCCTGGGCAACAAGAGCTAAACTCTGTCTCAAAAAATAAAAATAAAAAATAAGAATCACTGAAATCAGAAGCTCCTGTTCTGGGGTATCCCAAGAGTGTGCTCAAGGGAAGAGCGTGCAGATTTGAGCTCTGGCGGGCGGTGAGGGCCCTTAGGCCGCGGTGCTCCCCAAGCCCTACCCCCCACGGCCGCCCTGGTCAGTTCTGTGTCTATCTGTCCACCTCCACCCACCACACACCCGTGGTGCTTCCTGACACTGGACCATGCTCAATGTTCTCATCATTTTTCTTATAACAATAATATTTTTGTGCAAGATGATTTTTATGGATGGCGTAATATCCCGTCACATAAACGGTCTATGCTTTTCTTAACAGGCACCCACAGCTGGTGGTTGAGGTTGATTCCAATTTCCCGTATCATCCAGAAGTGCCTTGTCCCTATGGCTCTGCACACATCGTCCATGATTCTTCAGGATAAAACCCTGAAGGGGAATTGCCGGAGAGAAATCATGGATTTTCAAAGCCTATCTTTGGTCCTCATTATTGATTTACAATCTAGGAATCATTATCCTCACTGATTAGAAGCTCAGCTAAGCTATTTCTATTCCACCACCTGAAATAACTCTTATCCCCTGTAGCTTTGGCTTGCACCGCCTGGCTCCAGGTCTCCCAGAGGCCGGAGAAACCTTGGTGAAACCTGAAAAGTTCCCTTTGGCCTGACTTAATCTGGGGCTCTGCACTTTATGCGCAGTAAGAAGGATGGAGCCTTGGGAGCTTCCCCTTCTGCCGCTGGCAAAGCCGGTTACCCCCACACTGGATTTGTATGTATTTATTCTGGTCCGTTAGCAACGGCCAGTCTGGGCGTTTGCTTCTGGGGAAGCACCTTTTCAGCCCTAACTGTGCCTCTGCTTTTCTCCAGAGTTTTCTCTCCCAGTCGGAGTAGCTGACCCACCAGTCAGCAGACTGTTAATTCATTATGCACAGGCACTGCAGCCTCTGTCAAAGAACGCAGAAAGGCAATTTTAGAAAAGAAATCCTGGTTTCTTGCTTGGTGGCTTTCATTGTGGGAGAAAGTGACAGTTATGAATGACATCAGAGCTGTGCTGGAGCACTGGGCTGGGAGAGGAGGGGACTGATCTCGGCGCTCCAAGCAGGCGCTGGCTTTCTGGGTGGCAGGCCTAGGTTCACTTCTCTCCCCAATCCTACCCCCACCAGGGAAGAGGGTCCCGCTCCACGCGCCACTCAGGACCCAAGGGCCGAATGATCCGGGTGTGTGCGAGCCTCACTGGATCCTGGGAGGCCAGAAAAGCCCTTAGGAGTATTCAGAAATCCTTCCACTAAAAACCAGGAACCTAGGAGGCCCCGGAAGAGGAGGGACCTGCCTGAGTTCACACAGCAAGACAGGTGAGGGCCTGGGGCTGGGACCCTCCTCTCAGGGGGCTAGGCTCTGTCCCCTTCGCCAAATGTCCCTTAGTCCCTGAGGTTTGGATGAGGGGCAGCATCTTAGGTTGGGTTCCCCAGAAACTGAGACGGGAATTTGGAGCAGGAGGCCATGGTGAGGAGGGGGCTCTTGGACTCTGCTGTAGGTTGAGTGGTGAGCCCCAGAAAGATCTATCCAGGCCGGGCACAGTGGCTCACACCTGTAATCCCAACACTTTGGGAGGCCGAGGCGGGTGGATCGCCTGAGGTCAGGAGTTCGAGACCAGCCTGGTCAACGTGACAAAACCCCGTCTAAATTAGCCGGGTGTGGTGGCACATGCCTGCAATCCCAGCTACTCGGGAGGCTGGGGTAGGAGACTCGCTTGAACCTGGAAGGTGGAAGTTTCGGTGAGCCGAGATCGCACCATTGCAATCCAGCCTGGGCAACAGGAGTGAAACTCCGTCTCAAAAAAAAAAAATCTATACATATTCTAACCCCTGGAACTGGTGAATGGGAAAAAGGGTCTTTGTAGATGTAATTGAAGTAAGACCCTTAGGTGTCCTTATAAAGGACAGAAGGGGGAAGACGGAGAGCAGAAGCCCTTGTGACAATGACGGAGACTGGAGGGAAGTGCCCACGGGCCAAGGAGCCACCAGCAGCTGGAAGAGGCAGGAAGGATCCTCCCCTGAGCCTCGGGCAGGAGCGAGTCCGTGCTGACACCTCAATTTCAGACTTTGGCCTCCAGAGCTGGGAGAGAATAAAGTCTGATGTTTAAGCCACCACTTTGTGATGTTTTGTGACAGCAGGTCCTGGAAGTTGACACCATGCCTCTGCAGGAGAATGAAGAGAAGGAGGATTGGACAGAGGGAAAAGCTGGACTCAGTGGGTCCTGCAGGAATTCCAGGGCTGGGGTGGCACTGCAGAGGCATCCCAAACAGAGGTAGGGGGCTGGGCCTTTGTCCCTCTGCATCAGCGGTCGAAGGTCAGTCGCTGGGCTGCTTGCTGGGAGGGGTGAGACCTTGAGAGGCAGCTCCCTGTGTCGTGGTGGGTGTCATTGTGGGTGCCCAGGGGGCAAGAGGCTCAGTAGCCCCAGGCCCATCTGAGCATCTGGGAGCCATTCGAGTTTGCCTGATAGAGAAGCTGACAACATTGTCTGCATAAAAGTGGAAAGCTCCTATATGGCAAAGGAATGAAAACAAAGCAAAAAGACATATGTCAGAGGAAGAGAAAGCATTTTCCACACGCATAACAAAGGCTTAATAGCCTCCTTTTGTGGAGCGTGTGCTAGAAGACAGTAAGAAAAACACAAACCCACAGTAGAAAAAAGGGTAAAATATTGAAGGAGAAAACATAGAGAAAACATGTTCAACTTCACCAGCACTCAGAGAACTGTAAATTAAGGAAACACCACATTAGTTTTCACCCATCAGAGTGCCTGCAGTTAGAGTGATGGTGTTTGCTGTCGGGGATCTGGTACTGTCTGTGTTACTCGGATGGTGGATAAATAGGTTCTGCTTGTGGAGGGCCAGCACTATCAAGAGGGAAAATGCACACGCTCTTTCAAATGAGAAGGGCCACTGTTAGAGACCCTTCCGTGAATTACTCAACAGGCACACCAAGATAAATGTGCATTTTGTTTATAGCGTTATTCTGTTTTGTTTTGTTTTTTATTATTGAGACGGAGTCTTGCTCTGTCCACCCAGGCTCGAGCGCAGTGGTGTGATCTCGGCTCACTGCCACCAGGGTTCAAGTGATTCTCGTGCTTCAGCCTCCCAAGAAGCTGGGACTACAGGGGTGTGCCACCATGCCCGCCTGATTTTTGTAGCGGAAGTCACAGCATCATCTTGGATGGCTCCTTCCCCCTCCAACACATTTATGACTGGGTGGGTGGGGAGCAGGGTGTGGGGTAGGGTGAGTCCCACTCCCTGCCCAGGCTCACAGGCCCTTGCTTGCTCGGACTGCAGTGGCCTCTGCAACACCCTCTCCTGGTCCCTGCAGCCAGTCGAGCTTCAGCCACCTGGCCTCCACTCCTGAGCCCTAAGCCAGGGTCCCGCTGCCCATGGAGGATGAAAGTGTCTTCCTCAGAAGACTCCCAGCTTCCCGAAGGCCGGCTCCATGCCAGGGAGTGGCCGCTCAAAAAGATGTATTGATTGAGTCCATGAGAAAAAGAGAAACAGCCAGTGAAAAACAGCCGAAGGGCTTGAACCATGCCTCTCACAGAAGGGCTGATCTAAGAGGCCCATGCTAGTGTTCAACTCTGACATTCATAAGGGGGGGAAAGCCAGATGTGCTCCTACCAGCCCACCAGGAGGGCTAAAATCAAAAGGGCCCTCCTCTCCGGGCCAGGGATTCTCCATCCTCAGCCTACTTGTGCCAGACCGCTGACACCACGTGTCCTCTCCCACCCTGAGTATCTACATCTTCTTATTCACAGACTGTTCAAAGTCGGGTCCCAAGTTCCTTGCCTGGGACCATTCGACCTTCGGGTGAAATGTAGCAAGTGAAAGGCCTTTGGTGCATGGGGAACTGACTGTCCGTGCCACCCACAGCAAATGGGGAGCTACCTGCCCCAGGTCCCAGGCTGCCTGCCACATCCTAGTGGCCCAGGAGGTGGCCTTGTCAGCCCAGTGTCCCTGTAACCTCCTGGGGACTGGTCCAGGAGCTCCTAAGCTTCTGCTGGTTCCTAGAGCAGGAAGGAGAATTGCTCATTGCGGGAGAAGTCTCCCTGTTGAATTAGGGAAACATCTAAGAATTCCATCCTGCCACCCCAGAACCAGGGAAATGTGAAAAACCAAGGTTTCAAATCTCTTCAACAGACTCTATCTGTGCAGACCACAGTACATTCACAATTAGGAAATTTGAATAAACACTTTTCTCATTTGAAAATCTTCGAGCTTGGGTTCAAGCCTGCATGACGCTGGTGTGAGCCTGGTTGGAGGGAGTGGTTGGGTTGGTGAGTGACAGGGTTGGTGAGTGACAGGGTCCTCTCTTCCCACTGTGGCTCCCGCTGGGGACTCATGGAACTTCCACAGGGGACCATGGGGTGAGATGGGAACCTGACAAATACACTCCCCTCCCCAGTGAAGCTGCAGGGAAGCCACATGTGATGGAGCTTGGGGGTGAGGGGGTGGCCTCTGAGATGAGGGTGTGCATTAGAGAAGGCCCCCAGCATGGTGGCTCACACCTCTAATTCTAACAGTTTGGGAGGCTGAGGCATGTGAATCACCTGAGGTCAGGAGTTCGAGACCAGCCTGGCCAACATGGCAAAACCCCATCTCTACTAAAAAAAAAAAAATTACAAAATTTGTATTTATGCAGGCATCTGTAATCCCAGCTACTCGGGAGACTGAGGCAGGAGAATCACTTGAACCAGGGGGGCAGAGGTTGCAGTGAGCTGAGATGATGCCACTTCACTCCAGGCTGGGTGAAAGAGCAAGACTCCGTCTCAAAAAAAAAAAAAAAAAAAAGCCCCCAGAGGAAGGGACTTAGCTGACACCAGGAGGTAAAGAGTGGGGAGGGGGTGGGGACTTTGTTTCCCAAGCAGAGGCCAATCCTGCCCTCACCCAGCACCTGCACAGCCCTCTTCCCATATAAGGACCCAGACTCCCTGTGTGCAGTAAAAGGGGAAAGAGAGGGTTCTGGGCCCCAGGGGTTGCGTGGGCTGAGTTTGGGAAACAGGGTGTGACCAGCAGAAGAAATACAAAAATCCATCCTCTTTCCTCATCAGGGAAATGAAAATGACAACCAGAGGCCACTTGTGCCTCCAGGATGAGAAAGGTTTTTTCTAACGGGACAGTAGGCAGGACTCACAAACAGGCAGCGAAACTAACCAGGTTGACGATGGCTGGAGAGGGTGCAGATAAGTACCATCTTTCAGAGCACGACTCAACACGGGTTTCAGGAGCATTAAAATCTTCACACCTGGCCGGGCGTGGTGGCTCACGCCTGTAATCCCAGCACTTTGGGAGGCCGAGGCGGGTGAATCAAAAGGTCAGGAGACTGAGATCATCCTGGCTAACATGGTGAAACCCCGTCTCTCTAAAAATTCAAAAAATTAGCCGGGCATGGTGGCGGGCACCTGTAGTCCCAGCTACTCTGGAGGCTGAGGCACGAGAATCACTTGAACCCGG
Organism: Homo sapiens; assembly: GCF_000001405.40. Lineage (NCBI taxonomy): Eukaryota > Metazoa > Chordata > Mammalia > Primates > Hominidae > Homo > Homo sapiens. The sequence goes on from NC_000022.11 coordinate 44,432,539, forward strand.
GAGGCGGAGGTTGCAGTCAGCCGAGATTGTGCCCCTGCCCTCCAGCTTGGCGACAGAGCGAGACTCTGTCTCAAAAAAAAAAAAATAAAAAGAAAAGAAAAGAAAGAAAGAAAAAAAGTCTTCACACCTGGTGTCAGGTTTGTATCCCTGCTGTTTTTTATCACAAACTGACACTATCACAAACTGCATGGCTTAAAGTAACTGGAATGTATTCTCTTCCTGTTCTGGAGGTTAAAGTCCAAAATTAGTTTCCTGGAGCTAAGGTCAAGGTGTTAGCAGGACTGCTTCCTTCTGGAGGCTCCAGGAGAAAATCCATTTCCTTGCCTTTTTCAACTTTCATTTCTTTTTTTTTTTTTCATTTTTTACATATGTATTCTGTTTATGTTGCCTTTTTCACCTTTGAAAGGCCGCCTGCGTTCCTTGGTGTACTGGGTTTGAATAGCACCCCTTCCTCAATTCAGGTCTACCTTGTTAAAAAGAAAAAACAAAATCACAATAAACGTAGTTTAAAACATCTAATTGGCTTTTATTTGCAATTCTAGAATCAGGCTACATCTTATTCTCTAAAACAGAGTGGGTGTTGCACGGAGCTGAGCAGATGGGGTGGGCTTTACAGGCAGAAAAGGGCTGAAGGAATGAAAAGCAGACTGGTCATTTCAAAGTTACTTTATAGGGCTGAAACAGAAGGAACTTTCTCATCATGCAGGCTCAGGTAACCGGGTGTCTTCTGGTTTGTTGCAGTTGAATCTCTTGTTTTCTTGGAAAACAGGTGCTTTTCAAAGTTTCGTTTGACTATATAGCACTTAGCACGAGTGACTCCATTCTGGTCTGCTGGGGCTTAGTGCAGCTGAGTGTGAAACAATAACCTCCCGTGAATTTTTTTTTTTTTTTTTTTTTTTGAGACAGAGTCTCACTCTGTTGCCCAGGCTGGAGAGCAATGGTGAAATCTCGGCTCACTGCAACCTCCGCCTCTTCGGTTCAAGCGATTCTCCTGCCTTAGCCTCCCAAGTAGCTGGGATTACAGGTGTCCGCCACCACGCCCAGCTAATTTTTGTATCTTTAGTAGAGATGGGGTTTCGCCATGTTAGCCAGGCTGGTCTCGAACTCCTAGCCTCAAGTGATCCACCCGCCTCGACCTTCCAAAGTGCTAGGATTACAGGTGTAAACCACCTTGCCTGGCTCTAGCCTCCCATGAATTTTATGAACAGCCAGGAACCTGAAAATGTGACATTATTTGGAAATAGGGTCTTTGCAAGTTAATCAAGTGATCAAGTCAAAATGAGGTCATATTGACATAGGGTGGTCTCTAATCCAAAGACTAGCGACCTCATAAGAAAAGGGAAATTTAGAGAGAGACACAAGAAGGAGGAAGACCATGTGAGGGCAAAGTAGAGACTGGAGTGATGTGGCCACAAGCCACGGAATGCCCTGGGCCACCAGAAACTGGAAGAGGCAGGGAAGGATCCTCCCTAGAGCTTCGAGAAGGGTCATAGCCTTATTAATGCCTTGATTTTGGACTTCTGGCTTCAGATAGGCGAGATAATGAATTTTGTGGTTTTAAGTCCCCCAGTTGGGAACACTTCATTACAGGAGCCCCACGAAACCACTACACTTGGCCCATGGCCCCTTCCTCCATCTCCAAAGCTCATCACTCTGGTCTCTGCTTCTGTGAATGTGGCCTTCTCCTTCTCCTGCCTCCTGCCTCTTCCATTCCTCTTCTAAGGATGGTTGGAATGACAGGCCCAGCTATGAGGCCATGCTTTTGGCCCCTGACAGCTTCAGGAAATAGGTGGATGCCCTCCCCTCTACTCTACCTAAAATCTGCCCACTAGGCAGAAGCAGGACATACCCTTGCTTTTGTGGCTATGGAGCTTTCTTTATTTTCCTGTCCTTGTCATCTGGTTCTTGGATGATGGGGAGAGCAGTGAGAAGGAGTCGCCTTGTGATATTGAGAAATAGATATTTGGTCTTCATCCCTGTTTCCTGACATATAGCCCCTAAACCCTTGGAATCTTCAGAGTGGTTAACAGCGTCTTTAGTATGCTAATGAGTGACTGATGGCTGGGGACCCCGAGGATGGGGTAGGTCATCAGAAAGACCAAGGCAAGATCTGAGAGCTGGGACATTCAGTGCTGCCCCAAGCTACTTCCACAGGGGAGAGGGACTGAAGGTTGAGTTGATTACCAATGGCCAACGATGTGATCAATCATGCCTATGTAGTGAAAACCCAACAGGACTGGGTTTGGGGAGCTTCCAGATAGCTGAACACAAGGAGGTTCCTGGAGGGTGGCATGCCTAGAAGCTCTGCACCCCTTCTCCCATACCTCACCCTATTTGTTTCTTTCATCTGGCTGTTCATCTGTATCCATTGTAATATCCTTTATGATAAATGGGTATACATAATTATTTTCTTGAGTTCTGTGAGCAGCTCTAGCAAATTAATCGAACCCAAAGAGGGAGTTGTGGAAACCCCAAATGATAGCTGGTCAGTCAGAAACACAGGTCACAACCTGGGGCTTGATTGGCATCAGAAGTGGGAGGCAGTCTTGTAGGACTGAGCCCTTAACCTGTGGGATCTGGCACTATCTCCAGGTAGATAATGCTAGAATTGAATTAAATTAGAGGACACTCAGCTCGTGGCCACTGGAGCAGACTTGTTTGGTTGGTGTGTGGGAAAAATCTTCCACACATCTGAGGTCACAGAAGTCTTCTGTGTTGATTGTTTAGTGAGAGAATAAGAAAAAACACCTGTTTGTTTTTCCCCAATATCTCTCAGATAATTAGAAACAGAAAATAAGGATGCATTTCTTAGTTCAGCAGGAAGTAAACATAAAGGACTCATCTTTCCCAGAAATGGGATGGGCTCAAAATATAACCAGATTCATGAAAGATCTAGAAAATTCCCAGATAATGAGTGTATAATAATATGTTCTGCAGAGAAAGATGGGGTCATCTAGACTCCATCCTAATGGGAGACACTGTGGCAGGTCTTGTCCTAACTTCTGAAGGACCCCAGGTGAGTCTCGTCCCCACCAAGGCTACGGTCTCCTGTCCGGGTTGGACTAAACCAGACCTGGTCAAACTTTGCTTGGTAATTTTTCTTCCCCATGATGGAGCCTCCATTTTAAATGTAATTACACATGGTGCTTTAACAAAAACTGGTAAAAGCAATATTTTCTTTGCATAAACTCATCTTAGAATTTCAAATTGATAACACTCTCTTAGAATCGGCGTTTGGCAAGGACGCTGAGGTTTTTGGAGGAGCACGGGAACATAAAGCAAGGTGCCTGGTGCGGCTCCGGATTTATGTAGCCTCAGCATCCCATTTCTTGCCATTTTCTGCTTCGGATGAAGAGAATCAAGTACGTCTGGATTCCCGGGGGTAAGTCTTTAAACGTGATCATTTATAAAATAACCTACCTTGCGGTCTCTGACTCCTCCACTAAATTGCTTAAGAGAGAAGTCGCTGGACATTTTTGCTTTAAGCTTGAATCACTAACCTAGTGAATATCTGCTCAGATTCTCTCAGATAAATGGAAAAGCCAACTGGAAGCTTCCCAGACCTACAATACATTGAATGTGGTCCTCGCCACTGTCTGTGCCATGATACCTGTTTCCTGTTTGCCCCTTGTCAGGCTGTGGCAACCCCCTGACCTCCCCAGAGCCTGGCACTTAGTAGGGCCTCAAGAAATGTCCTTGTCCCTCCTGTCCCCTGATCAATCTGGTGCCATTTTTTAAAATTTATTTGAATTGTGGTATAACATACAGAACATAAAAATTTACTATTTTAACTGTGTATAAGAGTACACTTCGGCAGCATTACATATAGACTTCATGTATATTGCATTGTTGTGCAACTATCATCACCATTTATCTCCAGAACTTTTTGCTTTTTTTTTTAGATGGAGTCTCACTCTGTCATCCAGGCTAGAGTGCAGTGGCGCGATCTCGGCTCACTGCAATTCTCCTGCCTCAGCCTCCCGAAGAGCTGGGACTATAGGCACGCATCACCACATCCAGCTAATTTTTGTATTTTTAGAAGAGACAGGATTTCACCATGTTGGCCAGGTTGGTCTTGACCTCCTGACCTCAGGTATCTGCACGCCTCAGCCTCTCACCGTGCTGGGATTACAGGCGTGAGCCACCACACCTGGCCTATCTCCAAAATTTTTTCACCTTCCCAAACTGAAACTCTGTCTTCATTGTGCATTAACTCTCCATTCCCCCGCCCCACCCCCGAGCAGCCACCATTCTACTTCTGTCTCTATGAATTTGATTCCTCTGGTGACCTCATAGGAGGGACAGTGCTTGTCTGTTGTGACTGGTTCATTTCACACTGCATAATGTCCTCTAGGGCCGTCCCTGCTGTGGCACGTGGAGGGATTTCCTTCCTGTTTCTGGATGAATGACGCTCTATCCCATCTTGTTCATGACAAGGAGAAGATGCTGCTCCATTGTTACATGACTCTGCAAACTGGAGAGCATGCTGGAGGCTACAGGAGTGTGCGTGGTAGTCACGGCAGACCTGGTCCTGCCCTGTGACCCGGGGATAAGAACAGAAGCTTTGCTCCAGGCTTGTTGTGAGAGGCACTGGAGGGCTCTGACTGAGCAGGGGCGGCACATAGCAAGTGCTTAATAAATGTCTGTGGCTATAGTACCTCCTGCATGCACTGGCAGGGCTGGGGGCCTGAGCATTCAGCCCAGTGCTGGGCATATAATGGATACTTACTGAGCAGCACCGGGTCACATGGTGGATAGTCAGCCGAAGGTTTTATTCAACCCCCACCACCTCTGCCAGGGGCGCTCACCAAGAAGGGAGGAGAAGTGGGCACGGTGGTCTCCGGCAGGCCTGGCTTTGCTGAGTCACGTTCTTGCCCTCATCCCCACCAGGGGCAGCCGGGGCTTGTGGGAGCAGGAGTAGGATCACCGCAGGACTGGACCACCCCCCACCCACACATGTGTGCGGCCGCTGTCTCTGGCAGTCAGTGTCAGAGCTGGTATTCAAGGGCGGGCGTGTGGGCCCTGGGCTCAGGGGTTCCCGCTTTACTTCCTGAAGTTTCTAGTCCTTGGCCAGGCCTTTGGGCAGCCCCGGATTGTTCAGTAGATCCCCGTCTGGCCAGGGAGAAAGCTCAGCCTCTGAGTCAGGGATGGGGCTGTGAGCTTCTCGGGGACCAGGGTACACCAAGGCCTCCCCAGCAGGCCTTCCACCCTCCTGGAGTGCCTGGGCAGGGCCTCTGCGAGGTTACCCAGGCAGTGCTTGATGAGTCAGGAGAATCTGGAAGGGAGGAACACCTCTGAGCAATCTGAGAGCTGGGCTATTGGCCCATTTTGCAGCAGAGAGGGCAGAGGCTCAGGGAGGTGGGTCCCTGGCTGGGGTCACATGGCGTGGGAGAGGCACAGCCACGGCCCAGCGCCCGGTATGTCTGCCCAGTGCCTGGCCTCTCAGGACAGCAGCAGAGGAAGGAGCCATGCTCCCAAGGCCTGACCAGCCTTGGGAGGAAAGGAAAGGAAGCTTGGCACACGGGCAGGCGGCGGGCAGCCCCTCACCTGGGGCCTTGCTAAACTGGAAGTGACAAGGCACAGAGCGGGTCGCAGATGGCAATTCGCCCGTCCTGCAGCCAGAGGGCCGTGCAGTGAAGGCCTGGCTCTAAGTGCCTCGGCCAGGTCCTGGGGCTGGGGGGCGCCAAGGAGCAAGAACAAGGGTCAGGGGGACAGGAGGGGCTGCATGGGGAACAGGAGAGACTCCCCTGTGAAGGGCCTGGGGACAGATGGCTGGCCGTGAGCCTGAGCCGTGGAAAACTGGCCCCTCAGCTCAGAATGCCATCCCTGAGGCCGCAGCCAATGTCCCCTCCCCACCCACATCAGGAGACCAGGGTTGAGAGGCTGGTCGGGGTGGACCATGCAATGTCACCCATGTCTACACACTGGCACTGCCCATTTCTCCAGGTGGAGACAGTCATGAAGGCTGCCCATAGATGTATGGGGCTCCAGGAGGACAGGGCAGGATCCACCTCCAGGGAGACGGTGCTTGGTGAGGACATCAGGGTCAGCCAGGTGTGAGGGAGGAACCAAAACCAGGGTGACCACAGCTAAGCTTCCCGGGACCGAAGTCTGAGCCCAGGCTGGGCCGGGCCTCCCTGCCTCTCCTGCTTGGTCCTGCCGCCCTCCGGCCCCGCCCCTGCCTTTGCAGCTGGAATGCCTCTCCACGCTCCATCAACAACATCCCCTCCTCAGAGAGGCCTCAGCATGCCCCGTCACCCACCTCACTGTCCTCATCATCCCTATTATCTGGGAGGTCCTCATGACCCCCCATCTGTACACCTGGTGACCTGCTCCCTGTCTTCTGTTTCCCGCCTTCCCCTCCACCCGTGGACACTCGAACTCCCAAGAGGCAGGGGCTCTGCCTGTCACGTGGGCTGCTCCATGTCTGATGCCCTCGCGGGGCCGGCACGCAGGAGGTGCTTGGGAGACACCGGCTGAGTGAGGGATCTCATGCGTGGTGATGCCTGATGCCCACTTTGACAGAGTCCTTGTCACTGTAATGCCCACAGGATACCTGGGTCAGAGGCTGGGTCGTGCCAGAGCATGGAACACGAATGCCAGAGCCAGAGTGTGGGGTGCTGACCCCAGCTCTGCTGTTTACTCACTATGTGACGTTGGGTGAACTCTAGAACACTCCGTGCCTCAGTTTCTCCATCTGTGTCATGGCGATGCCAAAGGTAGCCCACGTGGAGACCTTCTCTGTGGCAGGCACAACTCTAGGTCCTCAGCATCCTCCTTTAATCCACACGGCAATTCGACGCCATCACCCCAGTTCTCCAGGTGAGGAAACCGAGGCTAGCTGGAGAAGTCCTCAGCCTGCCCAGGGCCACAGAGCCTACAGGAGGCAGAGCCCAGGATTTGAACCCAGACGCTGGGCTTCAGGGCCAGTGTTTATTAGAGACCACTGGCTGTGGGACCTGGAGTGCGTGTGAGGATGGAGGGGATAGGACCATACTGGCCCTAGGGGTTTCGACAGCGATTTGTGGGACAGAGCCGAGGTGCAGGGCTGAAGGCTCCGGTGAGGGGAGGAACGAGGGGTGAGGTTGTGAAGCAGGGCAGGGGCTGGCTCTGCCCACGTGGGGAAAGGCAGACAGGCCTTGCCTTTCCCAAGAGACGATTCTTCCCGCATGAGCCACAGCCATATGCCCACCCTGTGCACCTGCACAGAGCCCAGGATCTCCCCCCACACCCCTGGCCACGACCCTCCTTCCTCCCTCACCCCCTACCCTGCCAGCACCAGCTGGGTCCGCTTCTCCTTCCAAGCCTGTCTCAGCTCCGCAGTGGAGCTCTCAGCCTCCCTCACCTCTCGTGGTCTCCGCTAGGATCCAGCACACCTGGATCTGCAGGGGCTCAGAGGATGCATCGATTCTCTTGGGGATGTGAACCCCCTGGGAGCAAGGTCTGGCCTCCTGTCCTACTCCAAGCCCCTCACCACAGGGGAGGCTGGGCGGGGAGGGAGGTGAGTGGTCGTGTGGGGTGGGGGTGATGAACCAAGATGTTGGCAGAAACAACCCGGCGCTGTCTTCTCAACAAACTTTCTGCCAGGACCCAGGGGTGCCTGAAGAGAAGATCTAGAATGTATCTCTCTGGGGACCAGGCAAGAGGCTGGGGCTTGGGGTGCCCCAAGGTTTTCCCACAAAGTGTGGGGACGCTCACACTAGCAATCAGACCCAGGTCCGGCCTAGCTGGTCTCTGACATATGTGGTTTTGGGCAGGGTGGAGAGAGAAATCACACAGATAGAGCAATTTCTCCTGACCGAGGCCCACTGGAGGCCACTCCCAGCAGACACAGGACCTTTCAGCTTGACCCGCCAGAATGCATCAGTCTCACAGGAAGAGACACCCCAGGGCCTGGGGCGATGTTCCCCAAGTGTCCTATGAGATGTACCTGGAGAAACGCATCCGGAGGTCAGAGCCGCCTGGGAAGTTCCCCTCTCCGCGCCTCTCCTAGGGTCGGAAAAGCACCCTCAGGCCTGCTGAGTTCACCATCCCTCTCTGGGCTGGAATGTAGGCGCAGAGGCTCAGCTGAGACAAATCTCCCAACAATGGTGCTGGGGAAGGCGGGCAAGGCCTGGAGGCATGGGAGATTCCACTCAGTCCACAAGCTTTCAGGAACGCAGCTGGGTGGGTTTAGCACCAGAGGCTGCTGGAAGACATGGGAAGAGACTTGCCTTGGCTTAATCAGCTTTGACCTGGCTGGAAGGCCACCCTCCCTGCACCTGGTGCATGACTGAGGTTGCCCTCCCAAGTCTTTAGCAGCCCTCAGGGCCCCAGAGTCCCACATTCCTGTCCCCCCACTGCCACTGTGGCAGACAACCAGAAGGCCCAAGTGCAGCCCTGGGTGGTCCCAGAAAGCCCCTCCCAGCATCCTGTGCACAGACTGGGCTGTAAGGATCCCCGAGGCCTCTGTGGGGGACTTGGGGCCCTAAGGACAAGATTTGAAGCCACTGTGGTCCTTAGACTTCCCTTCCTCTCTGCCATCCGCTCCCTGTCCCTCTAGCCGCAGCTTTGTCGGGGGAGAATGGGGATGAAGGTGGGGGCCCTGGTTTCCATACCACCCACAGCAGACTCTGGCTCGGGCTTCAAGAGGGCAGGGACCGGCCCTATGGTGCGTAGCTGGTTCTGCGCTTCAAACACGCTGGACACTGGCCCTCCCGTTCCATGGTCCTGCTCGCCACTGTGGACATGGGAAAGGGATGTTTACAGCCCTGTAAGAGCCTCTTCCAACCTGCATCTGACTCTCCCTCCTCAAGGGCAGGAGGAAGGGTCGCCCAGGAGAGCAGGCCCAAGTCCCAGGGGCCTGGGAGCGGGCTTACAGTGGACTCCTAGGACAGTGCTCTGTGTGGGAGTGGTCCTGGTGAGAACTGCAGGAGCCCGAGCTGGCCTCTGTCCCTCCTGGAGCCCTGCACACCTGGTGACAGGCCCTGGGGATGGAACTGTCTGGCGTCAGGTCAGCAGACGCTCCCAAGGGCAGAGGTTGCATCTGCGGCCAGGGCACATCAGGTGGCTCTGTGCACCACGAGCCCAGGGCCAGGCCAGGCATGTGCTATCGGGGCAGAGGCCTTGCGGCCCCCATCAAGAGTCAGCTGTCTGGCCCCGAGCCCCCTCCCTGCTGCCCCAGCACCCTGACTTCCAGCACCACCATCCCAGAGGGGCCTGTGAGACTCAGCTGCATTGAGTGGCCTGAGGCCAAGTGTGCAAGGCCCTGGGGAGCTGCAGAGGGAGCCCCCAGGAGAATGAGCCTGGGGCCAGGGCGGGGGCCGCCCCATCTTCCTCCCTCGTGCCTCTCCATGAAAATCTGCTCTCACAGCCTCCCCAGCTCAGCTTCCCGCTGTGCAGGGGCAGAGACTGGGGCTCTGAGCAGCCTCAAGGACATGGCCAGGGGCCCCCCAGACCCCAGCACTCTGCAACCCTCTCAGGGCTTTAGAGCTGGCCACGGCCCTCAGAGGGCGTGGTGGGGGCTCTGGGCCAAAGAGGGCAAACACTGCTGAGGGGACAAGGGGATGAGATGGGTCTCCAGGGGTCCAGGAGTCACTGTGGCCTTCAACCTTGGCCATAGCCACCTCAGTGAGTGACGGAAGCGAAGCCTTCCCTATGGGTGAGGTAGGGTGGACGGGGAGTGTAGACAACACTCCCAGAGGCCCGGCTGAGAGAGGCAGAGGCACAATGCGAGGAGTGTGGGCGGGGCTTCCTTAGTCTGGGGACCCCTGAGCATGATGCGGGCGCGTAGACATTGCTGAGATGGGAGTGGGTGGGGGGTCAGTCTCTCTCCATCCCAGGGCCCAGCACCTCCCTCCTCCCATCCTGGGGACTCCCGGATCCTCATGCCTTGGTGTCCCCTCCTGGCGGTTCTTTCTTGTTAACGGTCAGTTCTGCACCCTGGGGTCCAGGCCCCAGCACCTCCACATGCCTGGAGATCTTGCCTCCTGAGTGGCAGAGATGATATGCCAGCAGGGTTGGCATCGGGAGGAACCTGCTGGGTTCAGCTCTATTTGTTCTGAATTACCATAGGAGGGAGAGCAAATGGGACCAGCAGCACTGGGGGGGCAGGTGTGATGGACAGGCCTGGGAGCCACACCCTGGGAAATGCCAGCCACAATGGCCCCACAGAACAGGCCACAGCCTCCAGCCCCTGCCCTCCCCCAGCCATGCCTCCTCCGCAGCCATCAGCCCTTGCTTCAAACTGTGCCTCTCCCCAACACCCCCAGCACCAGGAGGAGTAATTTTCCTAATAACCTTTGGTGTCTCTGACTTTTAGCCTCTAGCAGCCACTTCTAAGATTTACCAGGATTTCCGTGGACATGGTTTGACAATTTCCTCGAGGAATTAGACAGTTCAGTTGCAAAACTCAATTTATCTGAGAGCCGCACGTTCTGGTCCCTGAGCCACCAGGCACCTCCTCTCGCCAGCTCTGCTGTTGACAGCAAAGTGGCCGCCCTGAGTGGGGACCTGCCAGGGGCAGCTCGCATGTAATTCAGGGGCTTCTTTGAGGACGCCTGAGAAGTACATAGCATCTAAGACTGTGTTCTCGGTAATGAGGGTTTAGAGAAAAGCAATTCTGGAGCAGGCTCCAAGAAATTGAGATAATTTCGCTGGGAGATGAGAACTGAAACATGACCCTGCACTGTGTGGCCTCGGTCTGGAGGCAGGTGACAGGGTGACGTGACCACCCAGAGGGCCCTTAGATGACAGACAGGGCGAGGCGGCCTCCTTTGCCTGGGTGGCTGCAGGGTCAGGACCAGGACCACAAGGAGAAGGTGGGCCCAGCAAGCCCAGAGGACACAGCCACCAGGACTGTCACCCACTCCTGGGGAAGGGCGGGTAGGAAGGAAAGGGGTAGCTGAGGAGATACAAGAGGCAGAGGGCGGCAGGGAGTGAGAGGGAGGTGGTGGGAGCAGGGAGGGCAGGGGAAAGGGCCTCAGGCCAGTCCTGGAGGAAGGAACTCCCTTCCCCGGTGGTGGCCATGAAACTTCCCTTTAGAATCCTGCTGGGGAAACTGGCTCTCTGAACTATTTTTTTTGTCTGCGCTATTTTTTTTTTCTGTTCTTGGGGCTGTGGAAGGAAGGTGCTGTCTCCGGGGTTGTCAGAAAAGTCCAGAATCCTCCTGGAGTTGAAGTCTCTCTGCGGGGCCAGGATGGCGAGGAACTGGAACCCTGGAGCCTGTCATGTTACTCCAAGGCTGACTAGTCCCAGTCCCCAGTGAGAAGCAAGGTGGGCCTAGCTGTACCTGGAGCCAGACTCCTGTTCTGGGGAGGGGAACAGTCACCAGAAGGAGAAAGTGACAGAAATGCTCAGCTCAGCCCCCACCAGCCGCATGCATGTGTGGCCCCTCTCGGTCCTCCAGTACTGCACCCCTGCAAAGGGAGGCTGGTGGTGTCTGCGCACATACACGCACATATGCACACACACAGACACATGCACATATGTGCTCATGTGTGCACACACACTCACACACATGCATGTGTGTACATGCACATGCATGATTCTGTCGGCTGCTTTCCAAGCCCTGGTATTGTGAGTGCTTCCAGGCTTCCAGTAGTAGTCAGACAAACCGCTTTGTGAGCCTCCAATGAGATCCTGGGGGTGATGGGGCATCTTCATGGAGACTGGTGGGTGGCGGGTGCCCACTGCATGGAAGATTCCGGTCCTTCTCCTACTTTTTCTCCCCAGATTACTGGGAGGCTTAAACAAAGCCAGGCTAAGGGAACACGGCCCGCCCTTGGTGCACCTTAGTAATGTTATCCTCACTGCTAATGTAATGGCCCCCAAGTAAATGAAGAGGCTTCTGACGTCAACATTGCAGGAGAACCTGATACAGGCGGTGGCCCGGCTTGGAATGAGCAGAACAACCTAGACCCGTCTGGCTTTGGGAGTCAGAGGCTCGGCTTCAAATCCCAGCTCCACCTTGGTCACCTGCAGGACCCTGAGCCGTAGAGGATTAACCCAGTCGGCGTGCAGGGGGCGTGGCCTGTGCCTCACTGCAGGTACCCCTCCTGTCCCTCCCGCAGCACTGATGACAGGCCGGCTGTGCTGGGCACCGAGAATGCACCGGCCCTGCTCTCGCAGGGCCCACAGACCAGGGAGGGAGGAAGATCATAAATAAATGAAGTGAGCAAGGCACCGTGCATGTATTCTACCAGTGTCTACAGAGCCCATGCTCTGAGCCAGGCACTAGTCTAGTAAATAAACATCGCTAACGTGTTTCAGACACTTGCCTTATCCTCCAGCCTCAACCTCTGTTACCCATGAAGTCTCACAATAGGCCTAGGGGGTGGCCCTCTTGTAACCCCATCTTACAGGAGAGGAAACAGAGGCCCAGAGAGGCTAAGCTCCTTGCCATGCTGTTAGGCAGTGACGGAGCCTGCACCCATAATCGGTATGCTGCCTCCTGCTGGATGCTAGGGGGGTCTCCAGGGGCTGAAGCTCATGTGGTCCCTGCCTCCTGGAGCTCAGGCTAGTGGGGCCTGGAAGAAGAGGGGCAGGGCCCTTCCATCTGTTACAGTGAATTCCAGGTGGGTGAGATCAGGGAAGGCTTCCTGGAGGAGGTGATGTTTGAGCCGGGATCTGAAGGTCAGGAAGGAATTAACCAGGTTCAGAGGGAGAGAGAATCTACTCCTTCTACTCATGCTACCTATTCTTTGACACCCCCTCCAGGAAGCCCTCCTTGCCCTCTTCCAGACGGAGCTCCCACACTACAGCTGCACTATCTCTGTCTGTGCCCGAGTTCCCACCAGACTGTGGAACTCCCAAAAGGCAGTGCAGGGGGCTGGCTCCTCTGTGTCCCCAGCACCACCCAGCCCCGGGCACGGGAATCAGAGGCTGAGGGACGGCAGGCTGTGTGGGCTGAGGTGGGAGGGCGGCATAGCCGAGGGGCCCGTTTGTCACACTGGCTCCAGGTGCACAGGGTGAGACACTCAGGAACCCTGCTGCTCAGGAGAATTTTAGGCCAATGACCTGCCGGCCCCTGATTAGCCCCTGATGTTGCTCTGTGTCAGGCAGCGCGCCAGGCAGATGACCCCCTCTTTGACCCCAGGAGAGGCTGGAGTAAGCGTGTCTCCAGCCAGGACGTGCAAATGGCATGCAGTGGAGGAAGCCAGGGAGCATGAATTGCTGGGACCCAGCTGTCTGTTCTGGAAGAGGGCATTTTTCCCCCCTGCCCATGTTAACTTTATCCTTAGCTTGTACCCAGAACTCCACCGCTGTCTATCGGTTGGGCAGACAGAGGCTGCCTTGCCTGGCTGCCAACACGAAATGGCATTTTGCTCGAGGTGTTCCTCCTCCCTCGCCTTTCCCTGCCTCTAAATTCAGAGCAAAGGTAGCATGAGTCACGACTCATCGACACGGTGAGGGACAAGCATGCTCCGCCAGGGAGGGGCTTTGTGCGGTCTGAACCGGGGACTGCAGCAAACGATCGCGCAGCGGGGACTCAAGCCCCTGATGGTGCCAGAAAAATATAACAATAACAGAAATAAACACCAAACCCACAAAAGCTCAGTGCAGAAGGCCCAGAGTCCAAGAGCGCCCATGTACGCAGGCCGGCCAGCTGGGGGATCTTGGGCAAGATATCCTTGAGGATAAAGATATCCCTTTTTAACTTCAGTTTCTTCATCTGTAAAATGGACAGGATAATACTTATACCTACTTCATAGGATTATTGTGCTGACAAATAAGTGAGTATCATATGCCCAGCACCCACTAAGGTTCAGATGCAATAAATGGTAAGCCGTACTGCCATCATTCAGATGCTCATGAAAGCCTCTGTGTCTGTCACCAGCTAACCATGGTGACCTGAAATGAGCCTTGGAAACCTAGGATGGCAAGGAATGGGTCTAGTTTGTGCCCTGGTGTATTACCAAGACTTTCATAAATGGCATGGGAAAATTACCCCTGAAGATTTATGACCACAAGCCAGCCCTCAAACAAGTTCATAGGGACAATTGACACTTCCAGTTCTGTGTGCAAAAACCTCAGGCTGAGAATTTAGATGAAAATGGCTTTCTCTAGACTTCTCACAAACAAATGCAAATCCCCCTGGAGCAATTAAGGTGACATTCCAACCACAGGAGCATCTTACAGCTGAGAGTCACTAAACACACGAGGAAACAGGGCACCATGAGTAAGAACCAGCACAAACCTCACCTAGCTGAATCAGATCCACAGAGTCCCCAGATAGCAGAATTATCAGATGAGGAATGTAAAATAAGTCTGTTTACTACAATTAAAGACACAAAAAAGAGGAGAGTTCAAAATATGAGTTGGGAACAAGAGATTCTAAAAATGGACCAGGCATGGTGGCTCACGCCAGTAATCCCAGCACTTTGGAAAGCTGAGGCGGGAGGATCACTTGAGGCTAGCAGTTCAAGACCAGTCTGGACCACATGTCAAGACCTCATCTCCATAAAAAATTTCAAAATTAATAGGGCATAGTGGTGCTTGCCTGTAGTCCCAGTTGCCTGGGAGGCTGAGGTGGGAAGATTGCTTGAGCCCAGGAGTTTGAGGCTGCAGTGAGCCGTGATCACACCACATACTCCAGCCTGGGCAATGGAGCAAGACTCTGTTTCTAAAAAATAAATAAAATAAAATAACCAAGAAGATTTGAAATAGAATCAAATAGAATTTGTAGAAATTAATAAAATGGTCATTGTGTAAATTGGTGTGATTACTTTGAAAACAATTTGGCATTATCTAGTAAATGTGAAGATGAGCACTCGTAGTTAGTTCCCTTCAACATTTTTTTTTTTGTTTTCTTTTGAGATGGAGTCTCGAACTGTCGCTCGGGCTGGAGTACTGCAACCTCAGCCTCCTGGGTTCACACAATTCTCCTGCCTCAGCCTCCCTAGTAGCTGCGATTATAGGCGCACACCACCACACAGGGCTAATTTTTGTATTTTTAGTAGAGACGGGGTTTCACTATGTTGGCCAGACGGGTCTCAAACTCCTGACCTTGTGATCCACCCGCCTCAGCCTCCCAAAGTGCTGGGATTACAGGCGTGAGCCTCCGCGCCCGGCCCCTTCAACATTTTTTAGAGAATCTCCTGCCCATGTACACCAGGAGACACATCCCAGATGTTTCTGGGAGCACTGTTTGTAACAGTAAAACAAACACAATGAAACTTTTTTTTGTTTTTGAGATGGAGTCTCGCTCTGTCGCCCAGGCTGGAGTGCAGTGGCGCAATCTCGGCTCACTGCAAGCTCCACCTCCCGGGTTCACGCCATTCTCCTGCCTCAGCCTCCCCAGTAGCTGGGACTACAGGTGCCCGCCACCACACCTGGCTAAAGTTTTTGTATTTTTAGTAGAGACGGGGTTTCACTGTGTTAGCCAGGATGGTCTCGATCTCCTGACCTCGTGATCTGCCCACCTCGGCCTCCCAAAGTGCTGGGATTACAGGCATGAGCCACCGTGGCCAGCCACACTTTTTTAAAAAAAGAAAAGAAAAAAAAGAGGGAAGGGAAGGGAAGGGGAGGGGAGGGGAGGGGAGGGGAGGGGAGGGGAGGAAAAAGAAAAGAATGTTTTCACAGCAGAGGTGTCTAGTCCTGGGAGGGGCTGGTTTGCAAGGGAGTGAGCCCCCCCATCACTGGTGGGAAGGTGAGTTGAGACTGATGACTACTTGTGAGGACGCTGTGCTCTGAGGTCTCATTTGTGCTAAGGTTCCGATAGCTGGCCGGGTACAGGGTCCCTGTCTGATATAACTCCTGAGACCCTGGCTTTGGACCAGGCACAGGGGCCATGCTCCGTGGACATCTGAATGAATGAAAAAAATGAATGAACAAAGTGGTTGCAGGCACCGTACTTCACCGCCCATGCAGACAGCCCTGCCGTCCGGACTCCCAGGGAGCCCTGGCCTGCATTCTCGTCTCCCAGGCATTCTGACTCACACGTTCCCCAGGACATGGAGGGCGTCCAAGTCGTGTGGATGTGTGGCCCTGCAGACTGAGCTGGACTCCTTGAAGAAGAGGACACTGTTGCCCCTCCTCTGCACGCATGTGCCCTCCGCTCTGTTGGCTGGGGTGGAGATGGGGCATCCCCTCTCGGGGTAAGACAGGCCTGGGGGCTGTTGCTGCCAGAGCCACGTCTTTGGCTAATGATTCATACTCTCTGAGCCGAAATCTCATTATTTGCATAATGGAGAAAGGAATACCTCCCCAGAGGGCTGTTGTGGGAACCAGGTGCAATTTTATGGATAAGACAGTTCTATGTAAATGTCAAGGCTGGACCCAGCTGGGGAGTTATGAAGCCCTGCAGGATGGCAAAAGCTGTTTCAAAAAGGCTGCCACGTGTTATCCTACTTAATTCTCAGCACAGCCCAATAACCTAAGTAGGACTGTGATCCCCACGCTACAGAAGTGTAGAATGAGGTTCAAAGAGGTCAGGAACCCAAGCCACACAGGGGCGTGGGACAGCCTCCATACAAAGTCAGGCCAGAGCCTCGCAGGGACCCGTAGTACCGACTGTGTTTGAGGGTCAGCCCCGTGCTTTCTGTTGCTCCAGTCTACCCGCCCCCTGACCTGTCAGCAATGCCTCTGAGAGACGGTGGGCAGAAGGGCAGTCATCCATGGATCCCCGAGCCAGGGCCCTTGCACATGACCTCAGATGAGAGGCCGATGGTGCCAAGGCCTTCTGAGTCAGGCTTGGGTTCAAATTCCTGCTCCACCACTGGGTGATGAAGTACAGGACCTCCTTCCCGCGTGGTTAGAGGGCACTCCGCACCCTGTCCATCCTGGTAAGTCACTTACTTTGGCCAATGGAATCAAGTGAATGCCATGTGACCAAAGGCCTTAAGAGTGCCCTTGAGGTTTGCACTCCGGTGATCGGCCCCGAGATCGGCTGGAGCAGCCTGGGCCAGGAGCTGACCCAGACCCGTCCCTGTCGACCGCACACAGGCCGAGGTTGAGTCACCCGGGCAAAGCCAGTTGGGATCAGCGGAACCACAGTCAACCTGCAGACCCGGAAAAGGGGAAATCACATGCCTGCTGTGCGTGCTGCCCAGGCCTGGGGTGTCTGTGAAACTGGCTTAGTTTGGAAATTCCTGACTCATTCTCTGAACTGCTGATTCATTCTCTGAGCTTCGGCATCTTTGTCTATTAAATGCTCCCTCCTTTCAGGGTTCCTGGAGCATGATCCGAATCAACCATGCTTCCTTTGAAACCCCAGGGTCGCCTGCAGAACAGATCTGCTACATGGGTGCATGTAGCCCCCCCACGCTGGAGGCTCTTTCTCTGCATGTCTGTCTCCCCTGAGGGACCAGGCCGTGCTCAAGGCAGGGCTGGATGGGCCCACATCCCTGCCCAGTGCCTGGCCCAGAGCCTGGCTTGGAGAAGGCGCCCAGGAAATGTCAGGTCCTTGCCACCAATAACCCTGCCTT
Organism: Homo sapiens; assembly: GCF_000001405.40. Lineage (NCBI taxonomy): Eukaryota > Metazoa > Chordata > Mammalia > Primates > Hominidae > Homo > Homo sapiens. Next base: position 44,449,944 of record NC_000022.11, read on the forward strand.
TTAGGGCATTGTGTGGGGTCCGTCCATTGTTGAATCTGGAAGAACCCCCGGTGCTGTGGGGCCATCCCTCCTCCCTGAGCATGCGGGCACAGGTGCCAGGGCTGCCCATGCTGCATGAGGATTACAGGAATCCTGAAAGCAAAGGCTCGGCTTTGGGGTGGCTGTGGAGGGTGTGGCTTTAGCAGACTGGGAATCCTTTACATCCCAAACCCAGGACGCAAGCAAGGCTGGGTGTTCATAGCCTCAGCACACTGGGGCCTGGTGTCACCCTCAGCCCGGCCATCTACAGAGTCAGAATGCACCAGCCAGGGCAGCAGACAGAGCAAAAAAGACCAGGAAAGAGCCCATAAACTGGGGGTAGCATCCGGACCGTGGAACCGGCCGCCACCAGCATGAGTGGAATGGTCACCAAGAGCTATGAGGTCCCAGGGGGACTGCCTGGTCTGTTTCATCCCCTGCACACATCGCACATCAGGAAACTGAAGCTCAGGAAGGGCATGGCATGGCACATGTGAAGCCTCGGCTCAGCCAGCGACAGACTAGATGGGACAGGATCCACCAGGCTCACCCACAGGTTGATCAGTGTGCAGGGTCTCAGAGTCCAGTCTGAGCAGCCTTAGCTGGGACTGTCCATGCCATCCTGTCCAGCGGCCCCTCCCAAGTCCTGGAGGGAAGGCCACCTGCTCTGAGGGTGGGGTCGGGATGGTGACGGTGAGTCACAGTTGCCACCAGGCCAAAGAGACAGCCTCTATGTGGCCTTTCCCAGGCTGCGGGATGACAGGAGCCATGCCCTGGTGGCAACCGCTCCATGTCTGCAAGCTTCGAGATCGCCGTGCAATTCCAATCTGGGAAGGCCCCTTATAAGGAATTCCATTCTGGAAAGTCGCCGCCAAGCCAATCACTGAATCAAAAGGAGGAAGTCAACCTCTTCGGGTGGATTAAACCAAAGAGACATCCTGGGTACCTGTTATATGCTGGACACTCTTCTAGACTTGCTATTTAAACATGGATTCTTATGAGACAGGCATGATTATCCCCATTTTACTGATGAGAAAACTGAGTCCCAAAGAGGTGAAATAACTTGCCCAGGACGAAGTAGTAATATGAAAATGGAGATCTGTCCTGATTGTTCATTCATTCATTCATTCAATATATTTTTGTGTCTGATCTATGCCAGACACTGTGCACCTGAAAGGCCTCGCCTGTACCCTCTGCACCTACTGCCCCCAGCCTGCAGGCTGCTTGTTCATGCCTTCACGGCATGTTTGCCAAGCGCTCTGTGTGCACCACAGTCCGGCAACCTGTGGGAGACCCTGAGCCAGGAAACCCTTCTGAGCCCCCAGATGCCTGACCCCAGAAACAGCGAGACCATGGATGCTATTGATTTAAGCTTAGGGGTGATTTGTTATACAGCAATAGGTGACTCATAACTGGCACACACAAGATTCAGGCTGGGGAGGTCATTCTTGACAGAGTAGGAGCATTGCCATCTTGGACGAGCACCTTGATCAAAAACTGCCTAAATCCAAAGGGCATCAGCCTAACGGCCAAGGTCAGCATGACCATAAACCAAAAATGACATCCCTTCCTTCCTTCCTTCCTTCTTTCCTTCCTTCCTTCTTTCCTTCTTTCCTTCTTTCTTTCCTTCTTTCTTTCTTGCTTGCTTGCTTCTCACTCTGTCGCCCATGCTAGAGTGCAGTGGCATGATCTCAGCTCACTGCAACCTCCACCTCCCGGGTTCAAGTGATTCTTCTGCCTCAGCCTCCTGAATAGCTGGAACTATAGGCACCTGCCACCACACCCAGCTAATTTTTTGTATTTTTAGTAAAGATGGCATTTCACCATATTGGCCAGGCTGGTCTTGAACTCCTGACCTCATGATCCACCTGCCTTGGCCTCCCAAAGTGCTGGGATTACAGGCGTGAGCCACCACGCCTGGCCTCCTCTTTCTTTAACTCTTACAATTCTTCCATTCCACCAAGCAGGAAGCCAAGCCAAGGGGAGTGGGGGGCACTCAGGACCCAGAGTCAAGCTGGGGGGTTGGCCTCTGATATGGTTTTGATGTGTGTCCCCTTCAAATCTCATGTTGGAATGTGATCCCCAGTGTTGGAGGTGGGGCCTGGTGGGAGGTGTGTAGGGCACAGGGGTGGGCCTCTCGTGAATGGCCTGGTGCCTTCCTCGCAGTAATGAGTGAGTTCTTGCTCTGAGTTCACACAGGTCTGGTTGTTTAAATGAGTGGGACCTCCCTCTCTATTGCTCACTCTCTCCATGTGATTCGCCGGCTCCTGCTTTGCCTTCCGCCATGATTGTAAGTTTCCTGAGGCCTCCCCAGAAGCAGATGCCGGCTCCATGCTGCTTGTACAGCCTACAGGACTGTGAGCCAAATAAACCTTTCTTCAGAAATCACCCAGTCTTGGGTATTCACATTCCTTTATAGCAATGCAAATGGCCTATTCCAGCCTCCTAGCTCTGTTCCTTCTGGCTCTGTAAGTGACTTTCCTCTGAGCTTTGTTTCCTCATCAAGAAAAATGGAGAGGCCTCTCCGTAGGGGTGTACAGGGGGTCAAGAGAGGTCTTGGGGGCTGAGCCTCAATGTGGGTCTGTGTGATGGGAAAGATTTTGCTTTCCGGTTGTTGTCCGGTTTGCTTTCTACAAATTTGTCAGCTGCAAGCTCTCTCCCTGAAGCTGCCTTTAATTGGGTTGAGAAGGCACGATTTGCCAGGTGAATGAGTTGAGAGGGTGGGTCGGGGGCAGCTCCCTGGTGCCTGCTGCACACTTGCACCTGGAACAAGTCTCTGGCACAGGATATATGGTCCTTCCCACCACTGGTTGGGTTGAAGGAGTCACAGAGAGAAGGGTGCCCCTGTCCACCCTGCAGTGCCCACGGCCGATACTGTTATGCCCCAGAACAGCCGGACCTACTCTTCCTTGTCTGCCCCATTCCAATTCATCAGGGCTCAGATAAGAGCTTATCAGATATTATGAAATCACTCATCCACACAGACCAGACAGAGGGGCTGCCTCAGAGAAGCAGAAGGTTCTAGGATAGAGGCCAAGCCCAAGACAAACAAGTTTTTAGGTGATGCTGGAGAAGAGAGCCCACCAGCACTGGGGAAGAAAGAACCAGGACTTCTGGTTCTCCTCTCACTCCAGGTGCACACTCCTTTGAAATCAGGGGTGACCCTATGACCTGCTCTGTCTGCAGAAGTGATGAGTCACCTCCAGGGAGAAGCATTAAGGACCACTCTGCCTACCCCTTTCCACTGTAACGGACAGGGTGGCCCCGCACTCCCGACTTGCTGCTCCGGGATGTTGGTGCTCCAGTCAGCTGGGGCAGCTGAGCCATCCCTGGGAGACTGTGGCTCTGGGGAATCACCTGCACCTGTCGTGGACTTTGCTTGGGCAGAAACACATGTTTGACTGAAGCCACTGGGACTTTGACAGTTTGTTCCTGCAGCATCGTTGAAATCAACCTGATCGATGCAAATATATTGTCAAGTTGAAATGCAGGTTTCAAAATGGCATTGATTCATCCATCAGTTATTCATTGGGCCCCCACCTTCCCACCCCATGTCTGCAATTTCCAATTCCAGATTTAGGGGAGGGGGCGTTTAGAGTCCAAATCCCTCCCCCAACACACACGTAGGAAAACGAATGTGGGGATAACAGGGCCGCACTGTGGCGATGGCGGTGAGGCAGGGAATGGCAGTCCTGGTATGCAGTAGGGCCTCGCTCAATCTCAGCTCCTTTCTGAACTTTTCCTGCCCACACACCTGTCCTCGGGCCTCATCCAGGTGTCAGGGACAAAAAGCATTTTAATAGGGCAGGTATTATCATGTGGGCCCAGGACAATTCCTCTATATTAAAATCACAACCCAAACCTCTGTGAAGGAGACTCAGGCTATGTCAGGGCAAGTGGCCATGCCTGGGGACCACAGCATCACTGCACTGCAAGCTCCGGATTCCCACAGCCTGTGAGCTCCCCATGTGACCACCACAGCACAGGCTCGGCTAATTGGGTCCATGTGATGGGAAAGATCCCATGTGACCACCAGAGCACAGTTGGTCTATGTGATGGGAAAGATTTTGCCTTCCGGTTGCGTCCAGTTTGCTTTCTGCACATTTATCAGCTCCGAGCTCGCTCCCTAGAGCCACCTTTAATTGGGTTGAGAAGGTAACATGCGGAGCCGGCTGCATGTTGGCAAAAGCGCTTCTGCTGGCCTTGGATGGGAGGCTGGGGAGTCTAGACTGTCCCTTCATGGGGGCACGTGTGTTGCTGTACCATGATACTCGGGTGTGTGGATGCCCTTCAGGGTCCCCTCGATTCCGGGACCTGAGGGTTTGTGTGTCCAACTCCTTACTGAGGAGCCACAGCTCAGGGAGGGCAGGGGAAGGCAGAGGGTGCTGCCCATCCACGACAGCAATGGGGCTGCCCCTTAGAACCTTGCTGAAGTGGCCTGAGCCCTGTCACCCTTGCTATGGGACATCCAGTGTCCTCCCCATCCCAGGCACACGGACCACAAATAACTTCCCTTTTCTTTTAAGCTAGGGTTGCATTTCTGTTGCTTGCAACCTCAAAAGTCTATGCTGGCCGATTTGCAATGACTCAAAACTTGACTGCCTTCTTGCTACCATGGTACAGGGACAAGGGCCCAAGTAACTCTGGGAGCTGTTGGCAGCTATAAGGAAACCCCACTGGGGAAAAGCCCCTGCTTGGTGAAGGATTGATATGAGAGAATTACAGAGGAACATCTGGAGCACCAATGCCATTGAGAACCTCTAAACCAAACCACACCAGGAGCCTCTCTCCTGCTGGACATCTCGGTCCTGTGAGCTAATTTCTCTTTATTATTCTTTCCCTGTACTATGATAACTTCCATCCAGATTTGATGGAAGGACTGTAAATATTCCTGGAATGAGATCTTGAACTGGGAGATGAAGGCAGTCCCTGGAAGGCTGGAAGAGATTTTGGTTGTCTTCTTTGTGTTTATATGGATGTAGGCAACTTTGAATGTTCATGGGAAGAGGAAGGATCTGTATGAACCTTGGGTAGCCAAGGGCTGTGAGGACTATAATAAATAATCGTCACCTCCTAGCATTATTCTCCCTTCCCACCGTCCCCTATGTCCGTTTCGATGTCCAAGTAAACTGGCTCTACTCTCAGTCCCAGGGCTGGAGCATGTGATCTGATCTGAACCAGTCAGTGTATTCCATCCCCTGGCCTAGTAATTGGTTCCAATTTGGGGGTGGACTGAGATTGGTCCGATAAGAGTAATACCAGCCTCTGAGGAATGACTTGGACCTGTAGTGATATTTGCATGAGACAACGAAACTCTGTCTCTCTCAAAGGATGTTAATGAGGAGGCATGCAGGCCTGGGAGCCACTGGCAGACCTCTTTGGACTCTAAAGGGAGCCAGCTTTAGGATGAATCTGATGTCATAGAAAGGAAAGTAGAGGGAAAGCAAAAAACAAAAGTAGATATTCTGTTACATCATTGAACGGCTGAGTCACACTTCACCTGAGCCTTTCGGTTTAGCAAACGAATGTCATCTTGACATTTACTTTAAAAGCCCATTTGGGTTCTTGTGGTTTCCTGTTCTTTGCAACTGAAAACATCCTGAGCAGGTGGCTACCATTATTATCCAGATTTTGAAGATAAGAAACTGTGGCACAAGAATATTAAGTGATAGGCCCAGGGCTACCGGGCTGGTAAACAGAGGTGGTAAACCCAGAACATGCAATGGTAGCCTCAACATATAACGATTGGCCACTTGCCATTTTCTTCTGCCTTTAGGAGGTTGGTCCTCTGCACTTCTGGTCTCCACTTGACACCCAGGAGGAGGTACCATCACACCCCAGGACCTGCTGTGCTGGCGTTGTGTTTCTGCCGGAGTCACCTCTGTGAGTCGCGGGAGAGCCAGTCACCTTCGTATGTGTGCACACGCATGCACGGTCACAGAGGAACGTGCCTCCAGGGGTTTACCGTGCATGAATACCCGGACTATTTGGATGCTTTTCTTCAGGTTCTGTAGTTCTCATGGTCATGAAGCCCTCCACTAATAGCAGTTCATTTTCTTGACTTATCTTTACAAAAATAGGGTCATAGGATTTTCCCACTTTACAGGGTGAGCAAACAGAGGCTCAGATGAGAAACCTGACTTACCACTGGTGGCAGAGTGGGAAGTCAAATCAAGACATCAGTCCAGCATTTTTGACTCATCCACTCGATCATTGGTTTTTAATCTTAAGACGACCATGACCCACACTCAGGGCAGAGAGTGAAATGGAGGGAGAGAATGAAAGCTTAAATTTAGGTTTAGAAATAAGCAGTCCAGGCACAGTGGCTCATGCCTGTAATCCCAGCACTTTGGGAGACCAAGATGGGCAGATCACCTGAAGTCAGGAGTTCGAGACCAGCCTGACCAACATGGTGAAACCCCGTCTCTACTAAAAATACAAAAAAATTAGCCAGGCGTGGTGGCAGGTGCCTGTAATCCCAGCTACTCAGGAGGCTGAGGCAGGAGTATCACTTGAACCAGGGAGGCAGAGGCTGCAGTGAGCCGAGATCGCACCATTGCACTCCAGACTGGGCAACAGAGTGAGACTCTGCCTCAAAAAAATAAAATAATAAAATAAAATAAAATAATCAGCTCTCAGTCCAGGAAAAAACCCTGGCTGGAGAGGGCCTAGATGTTCTGCACCTAGAATGATGGAGCCCTAGACAGGGCTGAAACATCTGTTGCTTCCTGATGCTGTTCAACCTGCTCCTGAAGATTCAGATGAGCCTCTTTCCAGAGGCTCAGAGGGTACATACGAACAGTTTATTCCTGGGACACTGAGTTTCGAGATGCCTTCCTGTTCAAAAAGAAGGCTGGGAGTAAAGCCTGGTAGGGGAGGTGCAGATGTTGGTCGGGACCCTTCAGATAGTTGTAGAGGGGGATGCAAGCTGGAGGGGAGGTGGTGGAGGCCTCAGGGACCCGGGGAGAAGGCCTGGATGGGCAGAGACTCTGGGAAGGGCCTGGAAGCCTGTCCGCAGATGTTCCTAGAAAAGCCCCATCATCTAGTTCTCCTAGACCCCAAGCAACTTTATAGAGCACATTTTAAAAGATATCATCTTGGGCAAAAGCTCCTTTTGTTCACTAGATCTTATTGAAAGCATCCCCAAATTTTAAATTCTTCACTTTGAATGGAAATCATATAGAAATATTATCACTATGTGCACTGAGATTTGGATGACCCTAAATCATCATTTTGAAGAAAAATGCTGAAAAGGCAATTATGTTTGAGCTAAAATAACAAAATGCATTAAACGTAAGCAGAATGAGTAAAATATCCTTACCCTTTCAAAAGAGAGAGACAGAAGAAAGGGCTCTGGCCCAGCACTTAACAAATCTTGGTTCTGTTTTTTTGTCACTCATTCATTCAACTCTTCATTCCTTTTTTTTTTTTTTTTTTTTTTTTTTTGAGACAGAGTCTCGCTCTGTCGCCCAGGGTGGAGTGAAGTGCCACAATCTCGGCTCACTGCAACCCCTGCCTCCTGCGTTCAAGTGATTCTCCTGCCTCAGCCTCCTGAGTAGCTGGGATTACAGGCGCCCGCCACCACGCCTGGCTAGTTTTTGTATTTTTAGTAGAGACGGGGTTTTACCATGTTGGCCAGGCTGGTCTTGAAATCCTGACCTCAGGTGATCCTCCCATCTCAGCCTCTCAAAGTGCTAGGATTACAGGCGTGAGCCACCATGCCTGGCCTCTTAATTTAATAAGCATTTGGTGAAAGCCTGTCTTGAGTTACGTACTGGCTATAATCCACAAAGAAGCTTCAGCTCCTGACCCGAAGGAGTTTACAGTGTAAGGTGCATTCAGTCCCTCAACCAACAATTGCACCATAGGCCGTGCTCTGTAAGGGATCACAGAGTCCCCCGGCTGAACGAGTTCAGGGACAGCCTTTCCCGTGATCTGACATTTAATGCAGGACCTTAGAGATTTTCTAGAAAAAGGCAGAAGGAAGCCTGGAGGAGAGAAAAAGTGATATCTTGGAACATGCATCTATATCTGGTGTGACTGCAACCACGTGTAGTATGTGGTGTGGCGTGTGTGTGTGCATGGGTGTGTGGCGTGTGAGTGACGAGTGTGCTGTGTGTATGTCTGGTGTCTGCGTGGGGTGTGTGCATGCACGTGTGTGCATGTGTTGGCACACAGGGAGGTTAAGCATGGTGGGAGGAGGATAAGCACGGTCCGGGTGACATCGGAGACATCCCTCCTGCAGCTCAGGGAGCCCTGGGGAGCTAGTGTGCCCACTGGGAGCATCTCCCTGTGCCACCTCCTCTGGGCCCATCTGGACTGGCTCCAAGGCAGGATGGGAGGGCTGAGCTCGAGCTACCCTATCTCCCAGCTGTGGGATTTCTCTAGGCCCTGCTCCCCTCAACCTCAGGTGGCTGTCTGAGAATTCAGTTTCTAAAGACTCCATGAGCCACAGGCAAAAGCCAGGGTCCTTACTCAGTCACAGCCTGAAATTTGGCTGTCGGCCTCCAGGCTCTGGTCTCTTAGCAACCAGCCATGTGGGCCCAGGGCAGCTGCAGGGCTCTGCTCCAGGCGGGCTACACCCAGGGGCTTTGGAGTGGGTCCCCAGGCCACCTCTGGCAGCTGAGGTGTGAGGACGGCCAGGCACCGTCCCTCTAGCCTTGACCTCACTCTCCTGGTTCCACCCCCAGCCCTGCTCCTGCACCTGAGCTGGCGTAGGAGTGCTGCCACAGCTCTGCCAAGCCCTGGGCGATCGGCCCGCGGGCCCTGGTGGAAAGAGCCTCTCTGAGCAAAGCTGCTGCATTTTCTCTTCTCCATGTTCAGTGTGCCCCACATGCTCACGTCTTCCTACCAAGCCCCCAAAGGCTCCAGCTTCTGCATGAGCTCCAGGGACCGTCAGCCAGGTGCTCTATTCCCAAGGGATGAGGGCTGGTGGACCCCATGCCTGCATCTGCCCATCTTCATCCTACATATCCTTCCAGGCCCAGTTCAGACACCACCTCCTCTATGAAGTCTTCCCCAGTGACCTTGTAGAAATTTCCCTTCACACGAGCCCAAGAGGCACCTCACTCTCATTCTGGCTTTTGCCCACAACTCAGAAGCTGGCATTACCTCTGCACCCACGAAGCCAGTCTTCCAGGTGCCCCATGTGGCATGTGGGCTTTCCTGGCTTTTCTTCTCATCTTCACTGACTGGGAAGTTGGTTCAACGGCGTCTCACCCTTGACAGGCTCAGAGACTGTCTTGCTCCAGGAAGTGAGAGAGAGAGAGTGTCTCAGAGAAGACCCTGATTGGCCAGTTTGGGTCACATGTCCGCCTCTGAGCTACACCCTGTGGGCAGCCCCAGGCACACACCTGCTGCTAGGATCTGCAAGCCCTATGATACAAGGCCCTACCAAGAGCACCACCTGTGTTGGCCTATTTTTTCAGTGCCCCTAGATACCTCTTCTAGGTCATTTCTCAGATATTACAAGTAGGCTTGCTCCCAATCTACTTTCCCCAACTGTTTCCTGCCCATCCCTCCATCCACTGCACCCTTCCCTAAGGCCAAACTGGCCCCTGCCTTCTTTCCCAACTCCACTCACCTCTGTCCCTCCATGCCTGCATCTGCCATCTTCATCCTAAATATCCTTCCAAGCCCAATTCAGGTACCTCCTCCTTTAGGAAGCCTTCCCTGTGCCCATTCAGAAGTTTCCTTTCATACAAGCTGCATCCCACCTCTTGTTCCTCTATTCTCCCTCATGCTCTGAGTCAGAAATACAGCATGTAACACACTTGCCCAAGATTCCGGTCGCTCAAGGGCAAATCTTGTTCCCCATTTGGACCTGGACTGGCCCTGAGTCTAGGCATCCCTTTTTGTGTCCCTTTATTTCAATGGAAGAAGACACCACATTAGAGCATGTAAGGTGGCCTGGGCGTGGTGAAAGAAGACCTGGACCCTCCTTCCAGGCCTCTGCCTCATTTCTTTGTTAATTGGCTATTATTGAGCAGTTGCTATGTGTCTGAAACAATTTTCGGCTTTGAGAAAGTAGTCTTCAACAAGTTTCTCTCTTCATGAAATTCACATTCTAGTTTGGTAAAGTGGATAATATGTAAAAAAATAAGTAAATGTTCATGATGCAGATGGTGCTAAGGGCTATGAAGACAGGTAAGGCAGAGGAAAGAACAAGTGAATGCACCCAGTAATTCATCCATCTATCCATCCAGCCGTCCACCCATCCATTCGCCCACCCACCCATCTACCCTGCTACTCACTCATCCATCCTTCCATCCACCTACCTATCCATCCATCTGTCCTTCCATTCTCACACCCATCCACCTACCCACCCATCCATCCACCTGTCCATTCATGAATCCACTGGACTCATCAACCCATGTAGTCATCCACTCACTCATCCATCCATCTACCCACCCCCTCATCCATTCACCCACCCACCCATACATCCACCTACTCAACCATCCACCCACCCCCTCATCCACCCATCCACCCACTCATCCACCCTTTCACTCGTTCATACATCTACCCGTCTATCCACCCACTCACCCACCCACTCATCACCCACCCACTCATCCATTCATCCACCCACCCATCCATACATCCACCTACTCATCCACCCACCCACATACTCAAACATCCACCCACCCCCTCATCCATCCATCTACCCACTCATCTTTCATCCATCCACTCATTCATTCACCAATCCATCCACCTACCCATCCATCCATCCATCCAGTCACTCAACCATCCATCCATCCACCATCCCACAATGACTCACGAAACACCAAGCCAAGCCTTGTGTTGAGTACTTTAACTCAGACATGGTTCTTGATATCAAGGAGCCCACATTCTGGTGAGGGATGTGGGTGTGGATGTGCAGTATGCTGAGTTTCTCAATTCACTGGGTTCAAGTGAAGTGCCATAGTAATGAAAGTGAAATTGAAATTAATTCTGACCCCAGAACCCAGGCTTCAAAGAAGAAGAGCTTGACAAGGCTCGCTAGGGATAAGCAGGAGCTCACCACTAGGGCCAGGGGAAAGGCATTCCAGGAAGAGGAAATAGCAAAGCCTCAGAATGCTAGAAGAACACGACTCACTTAGGCAACAGAATCATCTGAAATGCCTACAGTATCAGCTAAACAGGGATGGGGCGGGGCCAGATAATAAAGAGCCTTCAGTCCATGCCAAGCAGATTATTGGGGGTGGTGGGGGCAGCAGGGAAGGCACTGAAGGGTTTTAAGCAAAGGAGTAACATAAAGATTTTTGGAAAGCCATGTCGGCATGCACAGAAAGGCTGGATGGAACATGTATTGACATTCAATGAAGGTCCAAGCAGGACATGATGGTCCAGGCAGGACACAATGAAATGGTCTAGGCAGGACATACTAGAAGCTTAGACTATGACACAGAGACAGAGACAGAGATAGAGTTAGAGATAGAGATCGAGATAGAATGGAGGGGAGAGGGAAGAGCTTCACAAGGGAGGGTGTTTGAGGGAGAAGGGATGTAGGTGCGTGACGAAGCCATTACTTGGATGGACAGTAGAGGCGGAAGAGGAGGTCTGAGGGTAGAGGATGGATTCCACTTAGGGGCCATTGCAGGTGAAGTACCTTTTATTTATCTGGGAGAGTATGCCAGGAGTGGCTGAAAAAACTGGAGACCCTTGACTTCTGTAACACCTTGTTCTCCAAATTCTTCTGTCCCTCCTCACTCTTAGGAGGGCTCTGGTTCTTCAACCTGCCTCTCTCTAATGCTGATGTCCTGGGCTTTCTCTGGATGCCCTTCTCCTCACCCCAGGAGGACTCATGCTTGGCAGGGCTTCATTTCTTACCTGCGTGGGGATAACTACCAGAGTGGCACGTCCAGCATCTCTCCTGAGCTCCAGAGACATGCAGGATCACGCTGGGCCAGTTAGCATCACAGAGTCCAGCAGCTTAAGCAAGTAAGGAGTTTTGTCTCATGGAAAAGCCCAGAGATCACATTCAGCTGGTTCAGTCCAACAATGTCATCAGTGCCAAGGCTCCCTCCCTCCTGTCACTCCATCATCCTCTGCCTGTGACTTTGATCCCCATGGTCACAAAATAGGTGCTAAGACCAAAACACTACCTCTGCATTCCAGGCAGGAATTTTTTTATAACACAAAGTTCCAAAAAAGGAAAATGGCAGCTGGCTCTGGTCCTTTTACAAAGCTTTTCTAAAAGCCATCCCTAGTGACTGTCACTCACATCTTTTTTACCGTAACAGTGCCATCAGGCCACCTCTAACTGCAAAGGAGGCTGGGAGAACCAGTGCTCTAAATGGGCATATCGCAACTCTGACCAAAATCAGGGAGAGTAGCTATTAGTTAGGCAACTGGCAGCATCCACTACCACCTCCAAGCCTTTATTCTGTCTTCGGTTACCTCCAAAGACACAGAGTTCTTTCCCCCCCAGGGTCGCATACAGCAGCTGGGTCACCTGAGAGGAGGCCACAGAATCCCCAGCCTGGGCTTCTCAGCCCACCAACTCCTGCTTCTGGGGTGAAATCTGGGGTCTGGCAATTTCACAGGCTCACCAAGACTGTCAGTCTTATCAAGAGTGCTTGGAGGCCAGTCATCCAACCGGACCCGCTCATTTTCCCCAACATGTCTTGGTAATAACGTTTCCTTAAACATCACCATCAGGATCCTCTCCAAGACAAATCACCGCTCAGACCACACAACAGCTTTTCTGTTATCTCTGCGTAACCGGCCTCCATGGTGTGATAAACAGCCCAGGATTGAAACATTGCTTCTGCAAATTGAACTCTGCGGGGCCGGAGGACTACCATTACGTTAATTATATTCCAAAATTTTCCATTTATCTCCTGCCCGCCACTCCAGGTCCCGGGCGGATCCATTTGCATTTATGAATGCACAATTCTGGCACCGGCAGCTGGTGCTGGATTGTTCTGCCTGCATGGCTTCCTCTCTGAGATGCTCTCTCTCAGCCATCTCTGGGACCTCTGCTCTTCCTCCCTCCTTGTGGGTTTACTTGAAGGAGAGCCTTGCCAGGGAGCAAACTCTTTGCTTTAAATATACTTCGGTTTGACTCTCCAAAGATGAGGTGGGCCCGGTGGCCTCTGAGCCAATTACCATATTATGCTAATCCTGACATTAACATATTACCTGCATAATGGCTGGTCTATTTTTAAAGCCACCAAAGGGATGAATTGCACCCTGAAGTTCTCCTTCAACACAGCATGCTCCTTGATTCTGGGACATTCCTAGAGAAAGGGACAGTTTCATATGGAGGGAAAACTGGGCTGGAAAAAGGTCTATGCCTGGGCCACCACCCACCTGGGCCCCTGCGTGTGGAGTTGACCCTGCACTGGCATAGGGCAGTGAGGCAGGTCCCAGGAGCTGGGGTCATCAGCAAACAACTTCAACTCAGGACAGAAATGCAGCCATGTTCCTTCTCTCTCTAGGCCCTGGAGGCAGACAGAAGCTGCCCCAAGAAGCTCAGAGAGTATCAGACTGGGATGGGACGCCAATTCTGTGCCCCTTCAGCCTGTAGAAAACAAAGCCATTCACATCTTCCTGAACACTAATGACAGCTGCAGAAACTCGTAGGAGCATGCATGCCTTTCAACCCAGAAAGTCTACCTCTGGGAATTTGTCCTGAGCACGTAAGTCAGGGCATCTGAGCAGGGGCAATTTCTCCTACACTGCTCACATGACATATATATATAATGAACTTCAGCAAGATGAAAAATGTTTGTGCTTCAAAGGACACCATCAAGAAAGTGGAAAGACAACTCACAGAATCGGAGAAAATTTTTGCACACCATCTATATGATAAGAGATTTGTATCTAGAACATATAAAAAAACTCTTGCAACTCAATAATACAAAGACAAACCAACTAAAAGTAGGCAAAGGATTTGAATAGATATTTCTCTGAATAAAATATATGAAGAGCCAATAAGCATACAAAAAGATGCTCAACATTATTAGCCATCAAGGAAATATAAATCAAAATACAATGAGATGTTAATATATAATATTATAAAAGTTATGTATATAATATTTTTTAAAGAATAATGCTTCTATGTGGTTATAGAATAGCTATAGAATAGCTATCATCAAAAGACAGATAACAAGTGTTAGTGAGGATGTAGAGAAATTAGAACCCTCATTCACTGCAAAATGTAAAATGGTGCAGCCACTTTGGAAGACAATTTAATCGTTCCTCAAAAGGTTAAGCATAGAGTTACCATATGACTCAGCAATTCCATTCCTAGGAATACACCTAACAGCAGTGAAAACATGTCCACATAAAAACTAGTACACAAATGTTCCTAGCAGTATTATTCTTTTATTTTTGAGGCAAGGTCTTGCTGTATCAGCCAGGCTGGAGTGCAGAGGCGTGATCACAGCTCACTGCAGCCTCAACCTCCCAGGCTCAAGTGATTCTCCCTCCTCAGCCTCTCAAGTAGCTTGGACTACAGGCACACACCACCATGCTTAGCTAATTATTGCATTTTTTGTAGAGACAGGGTTTCACCATGTTGCCCAGGCTGGTCTTGAACTCCTAGGCTCAAGCAATCTGCCAACCCCAGCCTCCCAAAGTGCTGAGATTACAGGCATGAGTCACTGTGCCTGGCCACATAGAAGCATTATTCTTTAAAAAATATTATATATATAACTTTTTTTTTTGGTAGCTGTACGGTCTTTCTGTGTTGCCCAGGCTGGTCTCGAACACCTAGCCTCAAGCGATCCTCCCACCTTGGCCTCTCAAACTGCTGGTGATGCAGGGCAGGCAAGCTCTAAAATTGGGACTTAGCCTGGGAGGGTTCTTGACTTCACCTAAGAAAGAATTCAACTGTGAGCCAGTGATGTTAGACATCAACACTTATTGAAGTGGCAGTGTATGGCAGCAGCAGAGGTACTACTCCCTGCGGAGCAGGACCACCCCATAGGCAATGTGCCCAGAGTAGCAGCTCAGGTGTAGTTCTGCAGTCATAGTTATACCCACTTTTAATTACATGCAAATTAAGGGTCAGGTTATGCAGAAATTTCTAGGAAAAGGATGGTAACTTCTGGATCATTGACATAGAAAGGGGCAGTAACTTCCAGTCTTGCCATGGCAATAGTAAGCTGACATGGCATTGGTGGGTGTGTCTTATGGAGACTTAAGAGTGCTTTTGCCTCTTCCTTGGTTCAGCTAGTCTTCAATCTGGTCCAGAGTCTAAGCCCCACTTCTGGAGTTGAGTCCAGCCTTCTACCTGAATATTTAAGAAACCAAAGATTTACCCCCAGATTTCCTTCTAAGAGACTTATAGTTTTAGCTCTTAGGTCTGACCCATTTTGAGTTAATTTTTTATATGGCATGAAATAGTGGTCCAGCTTCACTCCCTTGCATGTAGATAGTCAGGTGTCTTAGCACCATTTGTTGAAAAGACTATTTTCCCCATTTAATGGTCTTAACATCTTTGTCAAAAATCAATTGACTATAAATGTGAAGATTCATTTCTGGATTCTCAATTCTATTTCATTGATATATATGTCTATTCTTATGTCAATACCACACTGCTTTGAGTACTGTAGCTTTATAGTAAATTTTGAAATAAGGAAGTGTGAATCCTCTAACTCTGCTCTTTATTTCCAAGAGTGTTTTACATATCCTGGATCCCTTAGTGTCTATATAAATTATTGGGTCAGATTGTCAATTTGTGCAAAGAAGCAAGCCTGGATTTTGGCAGTGATTACAATGAATTTATAGATCATTTTGGGAGTATAAAACAATATAAATTATTATATAAAAATATAGATATAAATATAAATAATAAATTAAATTAATTATTAATTATTAATATAAATTAATTATTAATTTATTAATAATAAATATTGCAAATATAAACAATAATAAAAATTATTGTGATTATATAAATTAATTATATTAACAATATTAATTACTCTGATCCATGAACATGGGATATGTTTCCATTTATTTAGATTTTCTTTAATTTCTTTCAACAATGTTTTATAGCTTTCAGAATATATATTTTTTACTTCTTTGTTAAGTGTATCTGTAAGTATTTTGTTCCTTTTAGTGCTATTGTAAGTAAATTTTCTTAATTTCATTTCAGATTGCTCATTGCTATTGTATAAAAATATAATATATTTTTGCATATTGATCTTGTGTTCTGAAACTTTCTAAACTCATTTCTTAGTTCTACTTTTCGTGTGTGTGAATTGCTTAGGATTTTCTGCACAAAAGGTTATGTAATCTGCAAATAAAAATAATTTTACCTTTTCCTTTCCAATGCAGATTCCTCTTTTATTGCCTAACTGTCCTGGCTAGAACTCCCAGTACAATGTTGAACAGAAGCAGTGAGGGTGAACTCTAATCCTAGTCTGAGTATTTTTATCATGAAAGAGTGTTGAATTTTGTCAAAAGCTTTTTTTTTTTTTTTGAGACGGAGTCTCTCTCTGTCACCCAGGCTGGAGTGCAGTGGCACGATCTCGGCTCACTGCAACCTCCGCCTCCCAGGTTCACGCCATTCTCCTGCCTCAGCCTCCCGAGTAGCTGGACTACAGGCGCCCGCCACCACGCCCGGCTAATTTTTTGTATTTTTGGTAGAGATGGGGTTTCACCGTGTTACCCAGGATGATCTCGATCTCCTGACCTCATGATCCGCCCGCCTCGGCCTCCCAAATTGCTGCGATTACACACGTGAACCACCACGCCAGGCCTGTCAAATGCTTTTTCTGCATCTATTGAGATGGTCATGTGGTTTACTGCTGTACTGATATGGTGTATTATACTAATTGTTTCTGGGTGTTAAATCAACCTTGCCTATAGGGATAAATTCCAAATGGTCATGGTGGACAATCCTTGTTGGATTCTATTTGCTAGTATTTTATTGCAGACTTTTTGTATCTATATTCATAAAAGATATTAGTCTGTAGTTTTGTAATGTCTTTGTCTGGTTTTGGCATCAGGAAAATAGTAGCCTCATAGAATGAGTTGTGAAAGTTTTCCCTCTTCTTTGATTTTTCTGGAATAACTCATAAATAATTGATATTAATTCTTTCTTAAATGTTTGGCAGTGAAGCAATTTGGACCAATGCTCTTCTTTGTGGAAAGTTGTTTTCTTTTAAAAAAAAAAAAAAAAGTTACTAATTTAATCTCTTTATTTATCTGTTCAGATTTTCTATTTCTCCTTGAGTCAGTTTTGGTAGTTTGTGTCTTTCTAAGAAATTATCCATTTCATCTAAGTCATCGAATTTACTGGCATATGATTGTTCATAGTATTTAAATGGCATCTTTTAAATTTCCATTTGCTGTTTGTTTCTAGTATACAAAAATACAACTCACTTTTGTATATTGACTTACTAGACTCTCTAATGAATTCCAATAATGTACCTGTAGAATCTCTAGACTTGCTACATGCATGAGCAAATTCTCTGTAAATAATGATGAATCTGTTTCCTCATTTCCAATCCTTATGACCTCATTTCTTTGTATTGCCTTACAGTAAGGCTTGATTTTCAGTCCAATGCTGAAGAGAAGTGGGGGAGCAGGTATCTTTATCTAGCTGCCAATTTTAAAAGGAAGGTTTTCAGCATTTTACCAATAAATACATGTCTTCTATAGTTTTTGTAGCTACCATTTATCAGATTAAATTTTTTCTTTTTTTTTCTTTTTCTTTATTTTTTTATCATTTTGAGACAGGGTCTCACTCTGTCACCCAGACTGGAGGGCAGTGGCATGATCGTGGCTCCCTGCAACCTCTGCCTCTCCAGTTCAAGCGATTCTCGTGCCTCAGCCTCCTGACTAGCTGGGAATATAAGCACGCGCCCCCAAGCCCAGCTAATTTTTGTATTTTTAATACAGACGGAGTTTTGCCTGTTGGCCAGGCTGGTCTCTAACTCCTGACTTCAGGTCACCCACTTGCCTCAGCCTCCCAAAGTCTCGGCCTCCCAAAGTGCTGGGATTACAGGCGTGAACCACTGTGCTCAGCCTATATTTCTAGTTTTCTAAGAGTTTCTTTTTTCGTAAATGGAGTTTGGGCTTTGTCAAATGTTTTTTCTGCATCTATCGAAATGAACATTTACTTTTTCTCCTTCAACTGTTAATGTGGCAAGTAACATTTGAGTTTACAATGTTAAATCTACCTTGTAGGTGGGTCACTTTTCTAATGTTTTGTTTAGAATTTTTGCATCTGTGTTTTGCGTGAGGTTGCCTGTAATTTTTCTTTCTTGTGTTGTCTACCCTCTTCTCTTTTTCATATCAAATTAAATTGGCCTCCTAAAATGGATCAGGTAATCTTCCCTTTTTTTCTTTCTCTAGAAGAGGTTGTGTATTAGAAGTGTTATTTGCAGGGCAGGATTCTCTGGTGAAGCCATCTGGACTTGGAGTTTTCTTTGTGGGAAGGTTTTTAGTTAAAAGTCAATGGTTATAAGATTATCCAGATTTTCTTTTTCTTGTGCCAATTTTGGAGCATGTGTTTTTCTAGAAGTTTATCCATTTTATGTAAAGTTTCAATTAAATTGCTACAGTTTTTCCTGATAGCCTCTATTTAGTTTCCTATAGCTGCTACAACCATTTATCACCAACTTGGTGGCTTAAAACAACACATATTTATTATTTTACAATCTGGAGGCCAGAAGACCAAAATGGGTTACACTGGGCTGAATCAGGGTGTCAGCGGGGCCATGCTCCCTCCAGAGGCTCTAGAAATGCACCCATTTCTTTGCTTTTCACAGCTTCCAGAGGCCACCTATACTCCTTAGCTTGTGCGTAGCCACTTCTCTTATCTTCAAAGATGCCATTTAAATACTATGAACAATCATATGCCAATAAATTAGATGACTTAGATGAAATGGATAATTTCTTAGAAAGACACAAACTACCAAAACTGACTCAAGGAAAAATAGAAAATCTGAGCAAATAAATAAAGAGATTAAATTGGTAATTTAAAAAAAAATCCCACAAAGACGAGCCTTGGTCCAGATGGCTTCACTTCCAAACATTTAAGAAAGAATTAATACCAATTATTTATAATTGGTATTATAAATGCCAATTAACTATGGTGATGGTTGCAGAACCCATTATAAACCCTCCAGGCTCTGCTTCCATCACAGACTTCTCTTCCAGTGTTAAACCTCCCTCCACCTTCCTCTGGCCTGGAATACTTGTCCTAAGCACTTGACTCTATCTGGCTATCACAGATACATGCATGAGATCATCATTTGTGCTGAGAGTCTCTAGGGAAAGAGACTCAAACAAGTGACTCCTTGTCTCTTAAGTGTTTTCAAAGAATTAATTGCTGATTTCATTAATTTTCTCTTACTTTTTTCTATTTCATTAATTTCTAAGCTCATCTTTATTATTTTCCCCTTTCTATTTGGTGTTTGTTTGTTTGTTTGTTTGTTTTTGAGACGGAGTCTTGCTCTGTAGCCAGGCCGGAGTGCAACGGTGCGATCTCCGCTCACTGCAACCTCTGCCTCCCGGGTTCAAGCAATTTCCCTGCCTCAGCCTCCCAAGTAGCTGGGACTACAGGCGTGTGCCACCATGCCTGGCTAATTTTTTGTATTTTAGTAGAGTCGGGGTTTCACAATGTTGGCCAGGATGGTCTCAATCTCCTGACCTTGTCATCTGCCTGCCTCAGCCTCCCAAAGTGCTGGGATTACAGGTGTGAGCCACCACGCCTGGCCTATTTTTCTGGTTTTATGGTTGTATTATTATTTTTTATTTTTTTATTTTTGAGATGGAGTCTCACTCTGTCACCAGGCTGGAGTGCAGTGGCACAATCTCAGCTCACTGCAACCTCCTCCTCCCGGGTTCAAGCGATTCTCCTGCCTCAGCCTCCTGAGTAGCTGGGACTACAGGTAGGTGCCACCATGCCCAGCTAATTTTTGTATTTTTAGTAGAGACGGGATTCCACCATGTTGGCCAGGATGGTCTCGATCTCTTGACCTCGTCATCTGCCCACCTCGGCCTCCCAAACTGCTGGGATTACAGGTGTGAGCCACAGCACCAGGCCTGGTTTTATTTTTGAGGCATCATGTTGTCTGGGCTGGAGTGCAACAGCGTGACCATGGCTCACAGCAGCCTCAATCTCCCAGGCTCAAGTGATCCTCCCACTTCATCCTCCTAAGCGGATGGGAGTACAGGTGTGCACCACCATGCCCAGCTAATTATTATTTTTATTATTATTTTGGAGAGACGGGGTCTCACTGTGTTGCCCAGGTTGGTCTCAAATTCCTGAACTCAAGCTATCCTCCCACCTCGGGATCCCAAAGTGCTGGGAATACAGGCATAAGCCACTGTTCCTAGCCCTGGTTTGATTATTATTTTTTTTAACTCCTTAAGATGATTGCTTAGCCCATTGATTCCCAGCCTTGATTATTTTCTAAAGTAAATATTTATGGCTGTAACTTTCTAAGTGCTGCTTAGCTGCCTCCCATATGTTTTGATGTGCCTTGCTTTTATTTTCATTTCATTCAAAACATTTTCTAATTTGCATGATGATTTTTCTTGACCTGTGAATTACTTAGATGAGTATTTCTTAATTCATAGTTGCTATCTTGTGTCAGATTTTTATGTATGATTTCAGTCCTTTAAAGTGTATTAAGATTGTTTTATGGCCAAAAATGAGGTCAATTTTAAAATAATCTTTCGTGTGTGCTTGAAAATAATGTACATTCTGCAGTTGGATGCAAATTTCTCTATATGCCAATTAGGCCAAGTCTGTTGGTGGTGTATTTCAAATCTTCCGTATGCATACTGATTTTGTGTCAGCTTATTATACCAATTACGGAGACCTTGCACTAAGACTGTGAATTTGTCTGCTGCTCCTTGTGGTTCTGTCATTTTTCTTTAGCTATCTTGAGGCTTTGTTATTGGGTACATACAAATATACAATTGCTATATTTTTCTGATGAACATAACCTTTATCATTATAAAGGGCTTATGCTATCCAATGACTTTTCCTTTCGTGCTATTTTGCCTACCAGACGTAAAGCTAGACTGACTTTGTTCTGGTTAGTGTTTGCAGGGTATGTGTTTTTCCATCCTTTTACTTTTCACTTTTCCGCATTCTTAAGTTTTACATGTATCTCCTGAAAACAGCATGTAGAGTTTTGAAAACCCATCCTGACAAGCTTTGTCTTTCAACTGGAGAAACTGCCCATGTAGTTTCAGTCTAATTGCTGATAAATTTCCCTTTTTCAATCCTACTTTGTATATCTATCTAACCTCTTCTATGTTATTTTTCACTCTGTTCTTGCCCTTTGGGATTGATTATATATTTTATTATTCCATTTTTGTCCTGTCTTAGTTTGACAATTCTATTGCGGCTTACCTAGAAATTTCAATACCCTTCCTTTTCTTGTTAGCATGAAATATTAATTGCTACTTTTCCACTTCCCCAGGAAATGCAAGGATCTACGATCTGTCTAATTCCATTACCCCCTTTCCAAGTTATACGCTCTTGTGTTTCTATATGTTCCATATATTTTAATATAATATACTCCATATATTTTAAGCTCCATAAGAATGTATATACAGTTTGTTCTCATTTCGGTTTTTTAAACAACTTTATCGAAATATAATTTGCATACCATATAGTTCCGCTGTTTAAAGTGTACAATTCAATGTTTTTAAGTTATTTGCAAAGTTCTGCAACCATTACCATAGTTAAATTTAGAGCATTTTTATCATCCCCAAAAGACACCTTGTACCCATTAGCAGCCACTCCCCATGACCCACCTCCCAACTTCTCCTCACCCTCCTCCTTGCCCCTAGCAAACACCAATTCACTTTCTGTGTCTGTAAAGGGCCTAATTTAACATTTCATATAAGTGGGGTAATAAAACACACAGTCTTTTGTGTCTGGCTTCACTGTGCAGAATGTTTTCAAGAGCGCCCATATTATAGCATATTTCGGCACTTCATTCCTTTTTATTGGTGAATAATGTTGCACTGCAGAAATATAACCCCTTTTGTTTATTCACTATTGATGGATGTTTATGTTTTTTCCATTTGTTGTCTTTTATGAATAATGCTGCTATAAACATCTGTGTAGAAGTTTTTAGGTGGACATATGCTTTCAATTCTCTTGGGTATATACCCAGAAGTGGAATTACCGGGTCATACACTAAGTCCATGTTTAACCATTTGCAGATCCACCAGACTGTTTTTCAAAGTGGCAGCGTCACTTCACATTCCCAGCAGCAATGTACGAGGGTTCTAATTTCTTTACATCCTCATTGCTGTAGTTTTAATGATGGGGTCCCTCCAAAATTCGTGTTGAAACCAAATCCCCGATGATACAGCAGTGTTAAGAGGTGTGGCCTTTGAGGGGTGAGTGGAAGTGGTACCTTTGTAAAAGGGCTCAAGGCTGGAGGGAGGGCTCTCTTGCCTTCTGTCTCTTCTGCCGTGGGAGGCCACAGTATTCCTCCCCACTAAAGGATGCTACAACAAGACGCCATTTTGGAAGCAGAGAGCAGCCCTCACCAGACACCAATCCTGCTGACACCTTGATCTTGGACCTTCTGGCCTCCAGAACTGTGAGAAATAAATTTCTGGTCTTTATAAATTACCCAGTCTATGGTATTCTGTTGTACTAGCACAAACAGACTAAGACAGAAATGGGTACCAGGAGTAGAGTATTGCTATATATGTATATATATATACATACCTGAAAATGTGAATGTGGCTTTAGAACTGGGCAATGGATAGAGGCTGAAACAGTTTTGAAGTGAGTGCTGGAAAAACCCTGTATTTCATTAAGGGAAATTCTGGTGAGGGCTGGGTCTTCCCAGAAAAGAGCTGTAGAGATTATCTGAGTAGGTCAAGCACAGAATGTTGGTAGAAACATGAACAGGAAAGGCCATTCTGATAAGGTCTTGGACAGAAATGAGGAATTTCTTATTGGAAACTGGAGGAAAGGCCATCTTTGTTACAAAGTGGCAGAAAAGTTGTCTGAATTTTATCTGTGCCCTGCTGCTCTGTGAAAGCAGAATTCAAAAGTGATGAACTAGGATATTTGGCAAAGAAAAACTCTAAGCATGGCTGCGTGGCTTCTCTTAACTGCTTATAAAATACAAGAAAAGAGAAACGAGTTAAAGACAGGATTCATTATCAAAAGGGAAGCAGAACATAAAGATGTGGAAAATCTCAGCCTGGCCATGTGAAGGATGAAACCGCATGTTTAGGGGAGAAAATTAAGGGTATGGCTAAGCTACACTTGGATAAAGAGATTAGCATGGATAGAAGGGAGGCAGATACTATCCATCAAAGCAATGGAAAAATGGCCCATTTCAGAGTCAATTGATGGCATTTCAGAGATCTTCCGTCCTCAAGATTTCAGAGATCTGCTACAAGTCTCACAGGCCCAGAGGGCCACATTCTTGAGGGTAGCAGAGTTCAAAGGGAGGGTTTCAGGATACTCACGGGACGTCAGAGCTCGCTGCCCACTGCTGCCTCAAGTCTCAAAAATGCTCCCTACATTTTTGTGCAGTGCTCCTTGGCCACCCCAGCCATAGCCCAAGTGGACCCAGATGTGGCTCAGGCTGCCACTCTAGAAGGCATAAGCAATAAGCCTTGGCAGTATCCACTTGGTGCTAACTTTGCAGGCAGAGCTCATGCACAGAGAGTGTATGAGCTGTGGATCCATGGCTACCTCAACCTAGATTTCAAAGGATATCTCAGAGAGCCTCGGGGCCCAGGCAGAGAAATGCTGCAGGGGCAGGACCACTGCAGAGTCCCCACTAGGGCAATGCCTAGTGAAGTCAGGGCCACCACGGAGAGCCCCTACTAGGCCAGAAGAAAGGGGCACCAGGGGAATGTCCAGTGGGGCCACGGGAGTGGGGCTGTTCTCGAGACCTCAGAACTGTGGAGCCATTGGAGTATGATCCCAGCCTGGGAGAGGGGCAGTCACCAAACTCCAACCCATGAGAGCTGCTGTGTGGACCACCCAGCAAAGCCATTAGGGAAGGGATCCCTGGAAACGTTAAAGGACCAACTCCCACCTAAGTGTCTAGAAGGCAGGACATGGAGTCAAAGAAGATTATTCTCAAAACTTTAAGTGATTTTTTTTTTTTTTTTAGAGACAGGGTCTCACTGTGTTGCCCAGGGTGGCCTTGGATTCCTAGATTCAAGCATTCCTCCCACCTTAACCTCTCCAAGTAGCTGAGACTGCAGGCACACACCACTGCACCCAGCTCAAGCTCTAAGGTTTAATGTTGTTTTCCTGTTGGGTTTTGGATTTACTTGAAACTTGTTACCCTTTTCTTCTTGCCTATTTCTCTCTTTTGGAATGGCAGTACCTATCCTATACTTCTCCCACCATTGTATCTTGGAAGCACATCACTTGTTTGATTTCAGTCTCACAGCTGTAGAGGAATTTGCCTACGGATGAATGGTACCTTGAGTCCCATCTGTATCTGAGTTAGATGATATTTACATGAGACTTTGGACTTAGACATTAAAGTTGATGCTAGAATGAGCTAAGAATCTTTGAGGCTGTTGGGATGGAATACATGTATTTTGTTTGTGCAAATAACATGAATTTTGGAGGCTAGGACAGAATGTTATGGTTTGAATGATGGTGTCCTCTCCAAAACTCACGCCCAGTGCAACAGTAAATTAAAAGGTGCAGCCTTTGGGAGGTGATTAAGACAGAAGGGTTCTATGCTCATGATTGGGATTAGCACCCTCTCTTGCCTTCTGTCTCTTCTGCCATGTGAGGCCACAGGGTTCCTCTCCTCTGGAGGATGCTGCAACAAGATGCCATTTTGGAAACCGACGGTAGCCCTCACCAGATATCAATCCTGCCGGCACCTGGATCTTGGACTTTCTAGCCTCCAGAACTGTGAGAAATAAATTTCTGTTCTTTACAAATTACCCAGTCTGTGGTATTCTGTTACAGGAGCAAAAATGGACTAAGAGACTTACCAACATTTGTTATTGTCTATCCTTTTGATGATAGCCATTCTGGCAGGTGTGAAGTAGCATCTCATTGTGATAATTTTTGCCTATATTTACCCACATATTTGCATTGTAGTCCTCTTTTTTGCTGCAAGTCTGACCTTTGTTGGGGTCATTTTCCTCATGCCAACAGAACACTTTCTAGTATTTTCTTTACATAGGTCTACCTACTATTGATGAATTTTCTTAGTTTTAGTCTGTCTGAAAATGTTTTTATTTCATCTTCATATTTCTATCTTTCTACTTTAAACTTTCTTCTAGTTATACTTGAAGTCAGTTGCTTCCAGATAGCATTTAGTTGGGTCATTTTTAAGATTTACTCCACCAACCTGTCTTTTCATTAGTGTATTAAGACTATTTACATTTAATGTAATTATTGATATTTCAGAGGTTAAGTTTGTCATTTTTTTCCTGTGTGTCTCCTCTAATTTTGTTTCTCTGTTTTTTTCTCTGCATCCCTGTGGAGCATTTGAACACTTTTTTAGGATTCCATTTTGATTTGTCTATAGTATATTCAAGTGTTCCTCTTTGTGTAGATTTTTTGTGGATGCTCTAGGCACTACAATATACATACATAACCTATGGTCTACTGGTGTCAACCTTTTATCAGTTAAAGTGAAATATAGAAACTTTACTTCCCTTGGAGTCCATTTACCCTCCCATTTAAAATATTATTTCCTAAATATTTCTTCTACATACATTGAGAACCATAGTGAATGATGTTATAAGTTTTGCTTCAATCCTTGAACACAGTTTAGGAAATTCAAGAAAAGAAAATTATATTGCATTCACTCATAGTTTTGCTCTTTCCCTTATTCTAGGTTCCTAATGTCCCAAGATTCCTTCTTTTATCATTTTTTTCTATTTCAAGAGCTTCCTATAGCCATTGTTTTATGGTAGGTATGTTGGCAATAAATTATTTTCATTTGTTTTCCTTTGAGAATGTCTTAATTGCCCCATCACTTCTAAAGGATATTTTTGCTAGGTATAAAATTATGGGTTGTGAATCCTTTCTTTCAAGAATCCAAAAATGTTGGACCGCATGGTTTCTGATGAGAAATCTAGTGATTTTCCTCTATAGGTAAGGTGTCATTTCTCTCTTGCTGGCCTCGAGATTTTTTCCTTTGTCTTTATTTTTCAGAAGTTTGACTATGATGTGTCTTGGCATGCATTTCTTTGGGTTTATTTTAGTTGAGATTCATTTAAGTTATTGAATTTGTAGGTTTGTGTCTTTTGCCAAATTTGGGAAATTTTCAGCTATATTTCTTTGAATACATTTTCAGCTCCACACTTTTTCTCCTCTCCTGAGACTCTGATGATATGGATGTTAGCTCTTTTGTTAATGGTCCCACAGGTCCTTGAGACTCTGTCCATTTTTTAAAAAGTCAATTTCTCTCTATTGTTCAAATTGTGTAATTTCTGTTGTTCTATTTTCAAATTCAGTGGTTATTCCTCAGTCCCTTCCATTGAGCTCATTCAATGAGGTTTTAAATTTTGGTTATTACTTTTTAGTTCTAAAATTTCCATTTGACTCTTCTTTATATCTTCTGTATCTTTGCCAGGATTTTCTATTTTCTCATTTGTTTCAAGCTTATTGAAAATTTCTTATGATACATGCTTTAAAATCCTTGTCAGATAACTTCACATCTGTGTCATTTCAGGGCTTGCATCCATTGATTGTCTTTTCTTTTTCAAGTTGAGATTTTCTTGTTTCTCAGAATGACAAATAATTTTCAATTGTGTTCCAGTCATTTGGGGCATTATGTTATGAGATTTCAGATCTTATTTAAATCTAATTTATCAGGCGGCCTATGACACTACACTAGTAGGGGAGTGGTACTGTCTCATTACTGCCAGATGGAGGTGGAAGTCTAGATTCTCACTCAGCTTCTCCAGCATCCCATGTGGGAGGAGGGTCTTGTTACCTGGTGTACCTTCATTTTTCTCACCTTCATCTTTCTAGGTATATAACTTTAGGTTGGCACTCATTTTTTTTAATAGTACCAAAACTATAATTTCTCTGTTTTTTTGTTTCTATTGCTGCCATGGAAAAAATAGCTGTCAGTTGCATTATTACTCCATGAAACTGGAGGTGATTGCAATTTGTTTCTACTCAACTCTCCCACCCCGCTCTCCACTCGTGACTGCATATAAGATTTCTCATTGTTATTCTAAATCTTCGTTTTGATTTTTCTAGGTGTGAATTTCTACTTATTTGTCTTGTTTGGGGTTCATTAAGTTCTTGAAATCCATGGATTTACATCTGCCATCAGTTAGAAAATTCTCAGCTATTATTTCTTCAAATGTTACTTCCACTCAATTCCCTCTCTCCTTTTCTTCTCCAATTACAAATTCATATACTCGCTATATTGTATATTTCTATTACCCTTCTGTTTTCCATCCTCTTATCCCTTAGAGTTTCATTCTGTGTTTTTTGTTTTTTGTTTTTTGAGACAGAGTCTCACTCTATTGCCCAGGCTGGAGTACAGTGGCACGACCTCGGCTCACTGCAACCTCTGCCTCTGGGTTCAAGTGATCCTCCTGTCTCAACCTCCCGAGTAGCTGGGATTACAGGCGTGCGCCATCATGTCCCACTAATTTTTGTATTTTTAGTAGAGAGGCGGTTTCGCCATGTTGGTCAGGCTAGTCTCAAACTCCTGACCTCGGGTGATCCATCCGCCTCGGCCTCCCAAAGTGCTAGGATTACAAGCATGAGTCACTGTGCCCAGCGCAGAGTTTCATTCTTAATGGTAAATTTTCAGTTCTCTCTTCAGCTATTAAAATCATCCATTGAATTCTTAATATTGGTTATTGGTTTTTTACTTCTAAAATTTGTGGTTGGTTCTTCCAATATGCTTGTTACTTTTTCTAGTTTCTAGTTCCTTGATTACATTTTTAAGCTCCACTTTTGTCCCCAAGAGCACACATAGTGATCATGTTGTCAAGACTGTGTCTTATAGTTCTACCATCTGAGATAACTGTGGATCTTTCCATTGTTGTCTTGGTTTTCATTCCTGCTCTCTTGCCTCCTTCTGTGCTGGTTGTCTTTGATTGTGCGGTGATGGACATTATGTCTGAAAAACTCTCTGTAGAAATAATCTACTGGGTACAATGGCTCACACCTATAATCCCAGCACTTTGGGAAGCTGAATCAGGAGGATTTCTTGAGCCCAGGACTTCACGACCAGCATGGGCAACACAGCAGAACCCTGTTGCTACAAAGAATTTACAAAATTATCCGGGCATGATGGCCCATGCTTGTAGTCTCAGCTACTTGGGAGGCTGAGGTGAAAGGATCACTGAGCCTGGGAGGTCAAGGCTGCAGTGAGTTGAGGCTGCAGTAACACTGCTCTCCAGCCTGGGTGACAGAGTGAGACCCTGTCTCCAAAATAATAATAATAATTTGAGGCCAAGATGACTTTATCTTCTTCCAGAGAGAATTTTCTTTCCTTCTCCAGGTGCTTGGGCATTCTAGATTTACCTTAATCCAGTTTCAGGGATTGAGATTTTTGGCACTACCCTGGTTACTGGAAGCTAAGCTATAGGACATGAAAGAGCTGGTTTTATTCCAATGTACTCTTTATACTTAATATACACCCTTTTGGAACCCAACCCTAAATATGGGGTCAGGGATGTCTGCCAGGGCCCCCAGCCTTGCTTGGCAGGCTCTGGACACCAGTGATTGTCCCCGTCACCCTGTGAGGCTGTCAAAAGTGCTGCCTGGCCTCTGACTTTCCTCTTCCAGATCAGCTAATGCTCTCTGGGGAGAAGGCGCCCCAAATGCAGGCTTCACCTTTCTGAATTTCCTTCTCGGATTTTACTCACTATCTCGTCACTCTTCGATGTTTCTAGGAAGATCTTAAAATCTTCTGTGCATCTGTTTCCTTATCTTCAGAGAAATGGTGGGTCTGAACTCTGTAGCCCGTCATCACTTGAAGGGCCACAAAGCGCGTCTCGCGAAATCCACCCCCTGCAGGAGCTCTGCCTGGTGACAGGGCTCAGGACCCCTCTGCTCTCAGTTCTGTCCTCACCTTCCCTCCTGGGGAATGTCTTTCCAGTGTATGGGTTTCCTAATTCCCTTCTTGTTTCTTCCCAATCACTCTTCTTCTACCAGGGGAAGCCTCTTCTCTCTCTGAACTTGGATTTTGAACAAAAGCCAGAAAGTGTTCCTGGGAATTTTCTGCCTCTTGCCCACCACACCCTTCCCTTCTACCTGTAACTAGAGAAGCCTGACTGAGCCAGACTCAGTGGGATTACATGGCTCACGCCTCTAATCCCAGCACTTTGGGGAGCTGAGGCAGGTGAATGGCCTGAGGTCAGGAGTTTGAGACCAGCCTGGCCAACATGGTGAAACCCCGTCTCTACTAAAAACACAAAAATTAGCTGGACATGGTGGTGGGTGCCTGTAATCCTAGCTACTTGGGAGGTTGAGGTAGGAGAATCCCTTGAACCCGAGAGGCGGAGGTTGCAGTGAGCCGAGATCGTGACACTGCACTCCAGCCTGGGTGAGAAAATTAGACTTCATTTCAAAAAAAAGAAAAAGAAAAAAAAAGAAGCTTGACTGCACAGTGCTCACCTGAGAGATAGGAGAAAAAATACATGATTAAAAAATGCTAATTAATGCTTTAACGATTACTCAGCCACACACATGTTAGACTTGCATGAGGGTCCATTTAAGGAAAGATAATGAGTAGAAGGCTACAATTCTGTTCTAAAAATGAGGAAAGCATGATCTTGGAGCCACACTGCTTGGGTTTGAATCTGGGCTCCACCCCTCACAGTCATTCACTTCCTATGTAACCCACTGGGCACTTCACACTGAGCCAAACACTTCCTGAGCATTTGCAATAAACCTCTTGAGTGAAGTGCTGTTATTACCCCCTCCTTTGAACTGTGTAACTTGAGCAGCCTACGTATTACAAACTCTGTAAACCATCAGAGGCTATACAGGAGTGTCATCACCACCATCATCACCATCACCATCATCACCACCATCACCATCATCATCATCACCATCATCACCATCATCAACATCACCATCATCACCATCATCACCATCATCATTATCATCATCGCCATCATCACCATCATCATTATCACCATAATCACCATCATCATCATCATTATGCTAGAAGAGACGTTTCTCAAACATCTGGATGATACCTGGACGTGGCAGACATGGATCCAAGATGATCTCAGATAGGTTTGGGGGAAAGAGAGAGAGAGAAGGAGAGAGAGACAGAGACAGAGACACAGAGAGACACGAGCGAAAACTGGCCATATCAAAAGTAACAATCGACCGTGTGGAATGCATTTCCCAGCATGAATTCTGAGGCATCTTAGGCCTAAAAGAAGACCAGAGAAGCGGCTGGGCGGGGTGGCTCATGTCTGTAATCCCAGCACTTTGGGAGGCCGAGGTGGGCGGATCACAAGGTCAGGAGTTCGAGACCATCCTGGCTAACACAGTGAAACCCCGTCTCTACTAAAAATACAAAATATTAGCCGGGCATGGTGGCGCCTGTAGTCCCAGGTACTTGGGAGGCTGAGCCAACAGAATGGCCTGAACTGGGGAGGCAGAGCTTGCAGTGAGCCGAGATCACGCCACTGCACTCCAGCCTGAGCAATAGCACAAGAATCTGTCTCAAAAAAAAAAAAAAAAGAAGACAGAGAAGCATATTCTAATTAACTAGTTTAAGAGGAACTTAAGCTAAATTTCCTTAGACATCCTAAATGGACATTGGCCCTTTTCACATTCTGAGAAAATTTCTCAGGAAAAAAAAAAAAAAAAAGAAGCAGGGAAATTTACTTAATCCATTACTTCCCAGGTTTCATTGCTGTGGAACACGGTTTCTTACTGACACCGGTGACAATCTAAGAAGCGTATTTTGTAATGTGTAAATTAAAATGTGGCTCCTTCCTCACTTATTAGGAGCTGCTGGCATTGGAAGAAGAAATGGTGAAACTGTAATGAGAAATTAATGAATAAGAAAGAAAACTGAGAGAATACTTTAAACCAACAGCTGATGCTTTAAAAATAAATAAGTTCAACAGTTAGTCTCTGACAAATCTAATCAATAAAAAAAAGAAAACAGATTAAATTAAGCAGAAGAAAGAGGGTGTGATCAATGCAGAGAGGATTCTCAAAGCCTGAGATGAAACTACGCACGGTTCTATGCTGATCAATTAGAAAATCTCCATGAAATGGACAGGTTTCTGTTCCCTCCCCAAATGATTAAAGCAGAAGTAGCTTATCTGGGAAAAAAATGCTATTTCCCATCTCTGGTACCCAGTGCCAGAAATTCCAGTCAATTAGACTTAATAAGTTGAGGGAGTGAGCTTCCTCAAGCAGGAGAGACAGACACTCTTATCTGCCAAGGACATGTTTATCTAGCTAGATCATGAATAATTGAGAAGTAGAGTCACAGGAAAAAAGGACAAAACCCAGCACGAGTCAGATAGAGACTGTCAAGGTAAATGTGATAAAATTAAACTAAGTAGCTATAACAAGAGATGTATAAGACCTGTTTGAAGGAAAATACAAAACTTGATTGTGGAACAGGGTTGAAACTGGAAGGAGACAAATGTCAGAGAGCACTTCCTCTCCACAGTGACCCTGCAGTTGCACAGCCACATGAGTGTGTACAACCTTCAACGGAGCATGTGTATTTACATGCAGTGCGATCTTCCCTTGGTATCTGCAGGGTTGGTTCCAGGACACACCTCCACCCCCACAGAATCTGAAGATGCTCAGGTCCCTTACTTAATGGTGCAGTATTTGCATATAACTGACACACACCCTCCAGTATACTTTAAATCATCTCTAGATTACTTATAATACCTGATGCCATGTCAATGCTATGTAAATAGTTGTTATACTGTATTGCTTTTTTTTTTTTTTTCTTGAGACAGAGTCCCGCCCAGGCTGGAGTGCAGTGGCGCGATCTCGGCTCACTGCAAACTCCGCCTCCAGGGTTCACGCCATTCTCCTGCCTCAGCCTCCCGAGTAGCTGGGACTACAGGCACCCACCACCACGCCCGGCTAATTTTTTGTATTTTTAGTAGAGACGGGGTTTCACCGTGTTAGTCAGGATGGTCTCAAACTCCTGACCTCGTGATCCACCTGTCTCGGCCTCCCAAAGTGCTAGGATTACAGGCATGAGCCACCGCGACTGGCCTTTTTTTTTTTTTTTTTTTTTTTGAGAGAGTCTCTCTCTGTCACCCAGGCTGGAGTGCAGTGGTGTGATCTCAGCTGACTGCAACCTCCACCTTCTGGGTTCAAGGGATCCTCCTGCCTCAGCCTCCCAAGTAGCTGGGATTACAGGCACCCACCACCACACTCAACTAATATTTTGTATTTTTAGTAGAGACGGGGTTTCACCACGTTGGCCAGGCTGGTCTCAAACTCCTGACCTCAAGTGATGCACCTGCCTTGGCCTCCCAAAGTGCTGGGATTACAGGCGTGAGCCACCGTGCCCAGCCTCTTAATTGTTTTTAAAAAGTCAGCTGAGGCTTAGCATGTAGAAAGCCACAAAAGAACACCACTCCTAACCTAACGGTGAGTAAAGGTACAAAACTGGAATTTTTCTTGAGCCCATGAGAGAGCTAAGATTACAAGGAAGTAAATTCCAAATAGTGCCCAGCCCCATCGAGGAGAGATAAGACAAGGCACATGAATTGTGGCGCTGTTAGCAGAGCATGAGAAAACATAGGGCTGCTGGAAAGACAGAAAAGGAGCAAATGGCTAAAATAGTAACAAATTCCTATGGGCTGAATATGGGATACTGTGACCCTCTGGAATAAGTGGGAATCCAGACCCTAGCGGAGGTCATCTCAGTCCCCTACAAACTCTTTCCCTCCTCTGAGTGCTCACTGGGAATATTGGAGACAGGCAGGACAGCATCAAAAGCTGCCACTTCTTTGATGCACAAACATGAAAAACAACACCTTTTCCCAGACCCTTCACTTATATAAAACAAGAGCTCCAGGCCACTGGGGGAAGGGCAGGAAATCCTCCCAAGGCCCACAAAGATCCATAGCTTCTGGGGAATAGAAACAAAAGATAGTTTTCATCTTAAGAAACTTGAGGGCCAGGCGCAGTGGCTTATGCCTGTAATCCCGGCACTTTGAGAGGCCGAGGTGGGTGAATCATCTGAGGTCAGGAATTTGAGACCAGCCTGGCCAAAATGGTGAAACCCCATCTCTACTAAAAATACAGAAATTAGCCAAGCATGATGGTTTGCACCTGTAATCCCAGCTACTTGGGAGGCTGAGGCAGGAGAATCACTTGAACCCGGGAGGTAGAGGTTGCAGTGAGCCGAGATCGCACCATTGCACTCTAGCTTGGGCGACAAGAGCAAAACTCCGTCTCAAAAAAAAAAGAAAGAAAATAAATGAAATTTGAGGCTGGGCGTGATGGCTCACACCTGTAATCCCAGCACTTCGGGAGGCCTGGGTGTGAGGATTGCTTAAGGCCAGGAGTTTGAGATCAACCTGGGCAACACAGCAAGACCCCATCTGAATTTTTTTTAACTGTAAAATAAGTTTATTGGTGGTAACGTGATAGAATTTATTCCCAACATCTGATATTACAAACTTTAGGGTCCTTGAGATATGCAGATCCTTGTATGTAACTGGCATAAATCCCATTATTTGAGCTCTCTTAATTGCTTCTGTGATTTCTTTCTGTTTCTTCCCACAAAGACCTATAATGTACCTTCCATAAATGCCTCCAGTAAATGGAGAAATAAAGTGGGACAAGAGCTGTACATTCTTATCATCTACACGCTTTCCACACAAGATACAATTCTTTTTTTCTTTTTTCTGTTTGAGACAGAGTCTTGCCCTTGTCACCCAGGCTGGAGTGCAGTGCATTATTTGAGTTGTTTTTCTCATTCAGATACAAAAGTTTCTTCTAGATGGCTCGGGGTAGCTGGCATGCTAAGGGTACTTCGCTCTCACACTCCACTCTCCATGCCCTAAAAGCTCCCTCAGCACTGACGGCACCAGTGTCTTCTCTTCTTTTCCTATTTAATAGCTTTGTTGTTTGTGATTTTCATAATTTAAGTGAATTATGTGTAACGAGTTTATTGAGGAACCTCAACTTGTTGAGACTATAAATAGACGCAATTTTATTTCTTGCCAACTCCAATCCATATGGGATCTGTTGAAGCTCTCTTTCCTGCTAGGTAGGAGGTCCCTTAATGACATCTTGGCCAGATTCCAAGGTTTTCTTCTCATTTTCTTTTTTTTTTTTTTTTTTTTTTTTTTTGTTGAAAAGGAGTCTCGCTCTGTCTCCCAGGCTGGAGTGCAGTGGCGTGATCTCTGCTCACTGCAAGCTCCACCTCCCGGGTTCCAGCCATTCTCCTGCCTCAGCCTCCCCAGTAGCTGGGACTACAGGCGCCCGCCACCACGCCCAGCTAATTTTTTTTGTATTTTTTAGTAGAGACAGGGTTTCACCGTGTTAGCCAGGATGGTCTCGATCTCCTGACCTCGTGATCCGCCCGCCTCGGCCTCCCAAAGTGCTGGGATTACAGGGGTGAGCCACCGCGCCCAGCTGGTTTTCTTTTCATTTTCGTCTTTAGAACAGCCTCTTGGTGTTTAAGACTAAGCCCTGTCTATTTCTAAAGAATGTTCAGCTCAAACACAATTCAAGACTTGTGGCCAGAGTTCTCTGTGGCTCTTGCGGCTTGGAGGAGCGGGAAAGGGCCCCTCTGGACTCAACGAAACTGTTTGCCTCACCAGGCTGTGTTTATTCACGTGTTGGGATGGCTCAGAGAGGGCGCAGGGAGAGGGCCCTGGCAGGGTGGTGGCCTCTCCCACTTTCCCATCCACCGCTGAGCATGAGAAGATGTCGGCTCCCACCTGGGCCCTCCCAGGTGGCTCTGGTCCATGATTTCACCTGGCCTCCTCTCCTGGCTGGCCCTGGCTGGTGGTGGTCACACCGCAGTGCTCTGATGCATGAATTCTTGTGTGCTCCCCACCATGGGGATCCCACAACACCGTGGTTCCCTGTCTCATCCACCTTCCTGGGGCAGCAGGCAACTGGAGGGTGGGGATCCAGCTTCCATAGATTCTGGAAAAGGAAACTAAAGGGGTTGATGCTGGCTCCCCTTGAATGAGAAACCTCCTCTCCCTCTGAGTCCCTTAACCCATGGTTCATGGGATGAAGGCAGGTGGGGAGTCCACTGGCCAACCAGACATGACCAGAATGCACTTGTCCCCATCTCAGAGGTGCCTTCAACCTACATGAAGTTCTCAAAGCCCACTCTCCCCTAGCTTTCTCCTATGAAGGAGAAAACAGTACTTACCACCAAGCCTCCATGGTAGCCCCCGGACAGATCACTCCCACAGTCCCATCTTCTGCACGTAAGGACTCACACCTGGTGTTTTTTGGGGGGTTTTGGTTTCTGAAATTTTTTTTTTTTTTTGAGACGGAGTCTCACTCTGTCACCCAGGCTGAAGTGCAGTGGCGTGATCTCGGCTCACTGCAATGTCCGCCTCCAAGGTTCAGGTGATTCTCCTGCCTCAGCCTCCCGAGTAGGTGGGATTACAGGCACCTGCCACCATATCTGGCTAATTTTTGTATTTTTAGTAGAGACAGGGTTTCTCCATGTTGGCCAGGCTGGTCTCGAACTCCTGGCCTCAAGTGATCCACCCACTTCAGCCTCGCTAAGTGCTGGGATTACAGGCATGAGCCATCGTGCCTGGCCAGAGCTGGTGCTTCTTTCCCTTTCAGGGGATGTCCACAGTGTGTGCTCCTGAGCAGTTGGAAGTCTTCCTCCAGCCAGTAACTTGGGGGCCCAGGCCTCCTCATTGCATGAACCTGCTGCCTTCACAGCCTATTTCCAAGGTCACCCTGTCCATCAGCTTGAATCCAGCCAGTGAGAGGGACAGGATCCCCACCTACATTCCATTGGCATGTTAGTCTAAGCATTGAGCCGCAGCTTGTCGTTGAGGGGGCAGAGAGATGTCATTGAGCTTTTTGCCCAGGAAGAAGAGAAAACGAGATCAATAAAGAACCAGCCCATCTATGCAACATTTGGGTTCTGGGAGAATGGCAGGTCTAGGAATTCCCTTCAAGTGTGGTAGCTGATGGTCCGTGGGCAGCTCTCCAGGTTCAGAATACAGCCTGTTTACTGCATTGCATTCTCAGCTTCGGGGCTTCGTTATCATCTGGGGCCAACAGAAAAAGCCCAGTTCAATATCCTGCTATATGTGTATAACTAGAAAACACATCGCTTTTCTTGAAAGGTGGGCGGAGGCTTTGGCAGGTGTCCTGTGACGAAGACAGCTCTCGGAGAGCCACAGGTAAGTCACATGGGTTCTGCTGTTTTTGAAAATGCTGTGACCTGATCTGAGGGAGTTGGCAGTTTCTACTCATTATTTTGTTGTTGTGGTGGTGGCGGTGGTGGTGGTGGTATTGCTTGGTGTGTAAACCATCAGGTTTCTGTGAGCACAGCAACATTTGAAATCCAGAAGCTTTGGAACACACGGAAGGACCACTGAAAGACGTGGTGAAGTGGTACCGCCCAGTGCACCAGGGCAAAGACCACAGAGCGAGGCTGGTGATGGGGCACAGGACTGGCCAGGGAAGCCCACTCAGAGCGTGAGCCAGCTCCCCAGCCTCCCGGCACCCATAAGCCTGCCCAGGCACGAGGAGTTCCCTTCACAGGCTGGGGCAGATGAAGAACAGGATGAGGAAGGGGGAAAGCAGCCACAGTTCCACAGAGGAAGGTGCGTGGTTCCCTCCCCCCGGGCCCACAGCAGAGCCCTCTGGACACCAAGCTGAACAGGCCAGCTCAGGGCATCAGCAGGCTGGCTGCATGAGTCACCAGCAGTGATAACCAGCAGGGCAGTGCAAGCCTGCAGGGACCTCCTGCTGACCTCCACTGACGCTGTGAGAGAAGAAAATAAAATGACAAAATATCACAGTCACAAAAATACCATTATGTCCAAGAGATACGGAAAATAACTTTACAATTTATAAAAATACTGAGATTTCAGGCCAGGCATGGTGGCTCATGCCTGTAATCCCAACACTTTGGGAGGCCGAGGCAGGTGGATCATCTGAGGTCAAGAGTTTAAGACCAGCCTGGCCAACATGGCGAAACCCTGTCTCTACTAAAAATACAAAAATTAGCTGGGCGCGGTGGCAGGCACCTGTAATCCCAGCTACTTGGGAGGCAAAGCCAGGAGAACCACTTGAATCCGGGAGGCGGAGGTTGCAGTGAGCCAAGATTGTGCCATTGCACTCCAGCCTGGGAGACAGAGTAAGACTCTGTCTCAAAAAAAAAAAAAAAAATTGAGATTTCAGGATGTGATGGTTTCTTCGTTTGGGCTGCTATAACAAGGTACCACAGACTGGGTGGCTTGAGCCACAAACATTTACTTCTCACAGTCCTGAAGGCTGGGAGGTTCAAGATCAAGGTGATGACAGATTCAGTGTCTGGTGAGACCTGCTTCCAGGTTGCAGGCCGATGACCAATTGTCCTCTTGCTGTATCTATTCGTGAGGGTGCTACCCGCATGACCTCACTGCCTCCCAAAGGCCCACCTCCTAAGGCCATCCCATTGGAGGCTAGGATTTCAACACACAAATATTGAGGGGATACAAAGATTCAGTCCACTGCAGGTGACATCATTGAAAATAGTACCTTGGGCCAGGCGTGGTGGCTCATGCCTGTAATCCCAGCACTTTAGGAGGCCCAGGCGGGCAGATCACCTGAGATCAGGAGTTTGAGACGAGCCTGGCCAACATGGAGAAACCCCGTGTCTACTAAAAATACAAAGACTAGCTGGGTGTGGTGGCACGCACCTGTAGTCCCAGCTACACAGGAGGCTGAGACAGGAGAATTGCTTGAACCCAGGAGGCGGAGGTTGCAGTGAGCCAAGATTATGCTACTGCAAGAATCTTCCTCTATGTGGTCTGGTGACTGTCGCAATGCTATTTTGTCCTACGTGCTTTGTTTGTTTCTGCAGCTGTCTCCTGCAGGGCATCTCTCCTTCCTGGACTGGGGTCTGTGTGTCTATGTGTTGTGGTTCCCTGGTTGTATCCACCCTGGTCCTCCAGGGCACACAGGGTGAAGAAGCTCTGTCTTCAGAGCACTGTGCACACCACTCGTGCCATGCAGGATGCACCCTGGACTCATGTCAATGACTAGCTTCTGTCCCTGGCCATGGGGGACCATTTTCTGGCCACAAATCCTGGCAAGATTTCCAGCCCCCACCCATGGGCAGACGGCACGTGGTTCCCAGTTATCGCTTGCATTTTAGTTTCGGGGAGATGTTTTCACTTCTGGTCCATAGAAATGTCCTTTCATTATTTTCAAATGCTCCATTCATACAGCTCTTGTGTGTGTCTGTGTGTGTGGTGTTATTGATGTTTTCACTTCGAGTGCATGGACTTGAAGAGGGAGGTTTCTGTATAAACTCAATCTTGACCTAGAAAATTGTCTTCAGCACTCCAAGCCGATTTTCTCATCTGTCAAGTGGGGCTGTTATGAGGATGAACTGAGATAGACTCATCAGCAAGTAGCACAGTCGACCACAGAGGGAACACCCATGGAGCCCATCGAGTCTGCTTTCTGTTAGTGCTGGGAGCAGGACGAGGGTGTCACCCATCAGTCCCGGCAACAGCAGTGCTGGGGAAGTTCCACAAGTGACCTAAGAGGAGGTACAGGCGACAGTCTAAATAAGGAAACAGCTGGGCACAGCAGCTCACACCTGTAATTCCAGCACCTTAGGAGCCTGAGGCAGGTGGATTGTTTGAGCCCAGGAATTCCAGACCAGCCTGGACAACATAGTAAGAGTCCATCTCTACAAAAAATTTTTGAAAAGGGAAAGGAAAAGGAAAAGGAAAAGGAAAGGGGAAAGGAAAGGAAAGGAGGAAAGGGGAGGGAAGAGGAGGGGAGGGGAGAGGAGAGGAGGGGAGGGGAAAGGAGAGGAGAGGAGGGGAGAGGAGGGGAGGGGAAAGGAGGGGAGAGGAGGGGAGGGGAAAGGAGAGAAGAGGAGGGCAGGGGAGAAAGGGGAGGGAGGGAGGGAGGGAGGGAGGGAGGGAGGAAGGAAGGAAGGAAGGAAGGAAGGAAGGAAGGAAGGAAGGAAAGAATTGTTACCAGTAACCTTCCCTGGAGATCTGCCTGTGGGAAGGCTATGGAAAATGCTCTCAGGATGGACACCTGTGGGACGTGAGGCCAAGGACTGGCACTGGGGATGTCTGCAGTCTCTGTGAGTCCCACGGAGAGCTCTGGAGCCGGCTGACCCTGCACGGTAGTCCCGCGTCCCCCAGGCCCGGGGTGAGCATTGCCACAGAAAAGAGGCTCACATGGCCTCGGGTGAGGTGGCACCTTTGCTCGAGGGCAAGGTTCAGAAGGGACCCCAGCTGACCGCTCTCGCAGCCAGCACTCCCAGCAGCAGGGGAGCAGACCCTTTAGTCTTGGAAGGAAACCCAGACGGCCCAAGGCATCCATGGCAAGGGCAGATGATCGCAGTTAATTGGAAACTCTGCTGATTCTGGTGGAAACCCAGTCAGTCCGTGGAATCAACTGAAACATCCCTCAAACGACTACACGTTCAGCGAAGCAGCCAAATAAAAACACAGCATTAATCTTTCGTACGTATCAGCAACGATCTCTTAGTAACTATGAAGGAAGCCTGTGAGACTCGCCATAGGATCATATCGACAACAGAAAACTACGCCCAAGGAATCGTTTAGTGACTAGGATGCTTCTCACAGCATTGTTCACTATGACGAAAATTGTCAACACATTTCTAAAGGAAAGGGATCATTTGGGTGAAGCATGGCCAGTCCAGAGATGGGATATTTACTTACAAATCCTATTTTCAAAGACCATGTCATGACCTTGGCAAGTTCTCATCACATATTAAGCATGTAGAATATTGTCCCATTCTGTAAGAAAGGAAAGTAAACAGGACAACACAGGAGTGCGGCTGGCTGGGGTTTCTGGCTCAGCTTGGTGGCCAGCTGCGATGTGACTGGTTGGCGTGACGTGGACCCGAGACTCCGGCTGTGCTCTGATGTGTGGTCCTTCTGCTCAACCGCTAAACAGACACCTGGTCGCTTCTCCGCCAGGCTCTGGGTGAGGTGCTACGGACGCAGGTGACTCACACAGCAGCCCTGCCCTCTGGGAGCACAGTCGGTTGGGGGAGACAGATAGGCTCAGTAAGGCATAAGTCTATCACTTACTAGGTGTGAGCCTGAGGGTGTCAGGGCAGGAGCACAGCCTGGTTGCTCAGGGAGTGTCCTAAGTGGAGTAACACTGGATCCTTCTTAACAGAACGATAAGAGCAGGAGAAAGGAGGCGGTTAGCGAGGCTGGCTGCCCAGACCTGCAGCGGGCAGTGGTAGTGGGGACAGAGAGCCCGGCTGACCTGACAGTCGCTGAGGACCACGAGGTCCAGGCACTGGAGCAGGTGCAGGAGAGAGGAGTAAGTCAAGGAAGATGCCCAGACGCTAAGCTGGGGATGCCCTGGATAGAGAAGGGGAGGCTCCCCAGAAAATCTCCAGGGCAACAGGATGGAATTTCACCAGGCTGGGCCCATGGGAGCACAAAGTGAGAGCAAGTGTCACAGAGCCAGAGAGTAGAGGCCCAGCTCCAACCCATAATCTGTTCTCTTGCCTCGAAGGGGCCAGACAGTGGGATGGGGAGGGGGCTCAGCCCTAGATCTCCCTGTCAGGCAGAGTCCTTGCAAGGCCAGTCTTTGTAAACCTCTCGGATCAGCCACGTGGGGACAGGCAGGAGGGCACTATGTACACTCCAGGCCTTTCCATAGAAGAAGACACTGACTAGACAACAGGCTAGCCAGAGGGCACCCTGATTTTCACTCCCATTCCCAAACGAGCCACCCGTCACAGAGCAGCACATGGGGGAAACCTCAGGGCAAGGCTTTCTGCAGGGTGGAAGGAGAGCCTTCCCTTCTACTCTGCAGCCCACAACCACAGAGCCCCTACACAGAGCCCCCCACGCTGCACCCTGCACACAGCTCCCCAAAGTGCTTATGCCTCTCCAGGCCCTCACCTGTTACCAGGGTTTTGGGGAAACCATAGAATGTTTTCAAGTTCATCTAGTAACAACAGCTAAGAAAATCTGAAGGGGGAGAGTCCTACTATATGTGAATAGAAATTATAAAACCTGGCCAGGCATAGTGGCTCATGCCTATAATCCCAGCACTTTGGGAGTCTGAGGCGGGTGGATCACCTGAGGTCAGGAGTTTGAGACCAGCCTGGCCAACATGGCAAAACCCTGTCTCTACTAAAAATACAAAAAAAAAAAAAAAAATTAACTAGGAGTGATGACTGGTGCCTGTAATCCCAGCTACTCGGGGGCCTGAGGCAGGAGAATCGCTTGAACCCAGGAGGCAGAAGTTGCAGTGAGCCGAGATCATACCACTGGACTCCAGCCTGGGCGACAGAGACTCCGTCTCAGAAAAAAAAAAAAAAAAAAAAATTATAAAACCCAAGTCAGCTAAAATAGGGAAGTACTGGGCAAGACAAATGGATCAACTGAATAAACAGTGGGAAAGTTGGTCCTACGGTAGATAAGATTTCCCTGCGTGTGAAGGAAAGAACACACGTGACCAAGGGAGAGAAATACTTATTAATAACTGGACTCAGGGTATTTAAATCTTTGAAAGACAGTCTATTTAGAGCCTCCTCTCACATTACATGCCAAATTAATCCCAGAAATAACTGTGTATTAATCTAGAGGGGGAAGAAAGACCTGAAGTTTAAAGCGATGGAACAGTTGGTGATGTTCTCCAAACTGCCAATCCTTGTCTCTCTTTAGGCCAGCAGTTCTCAAAGAGGGGCAAGACGCTTTCGGGGGTCCACAAAATTGTTTTCATAATAATCCCAAAATATCATGTGCCTTTTCCGCGTCATCTCATGGGCGCAGTGGGGCTTTCAGAGGCACCATGGCATGTGCTCTTGCAGGTTAAGCACAGCAGGTAGGAGGCTCCCACTGTCTTCCATTCAGCCAGACATTACAGGCATTTGCAAAAATGTCTTCGTCAATGCCTCTCCTCACAAGCGTTTTGTTTTGGAAAATATAGTTTTTTTTATTTAAAATGTTGTTTAACAGTGTTTTTATTTTCCAAATAATTATTTTAAAATTCTGTTTAAATGTATAATATGGTAAATATTGATAGAGAAAACCTATATAAGCAAAAGCTGTTTGAGGCCCTCAATGAGTTCTTATAGTGCAAGGGGACCCTGAGACAAAATGTGTGAGAGCCTCGGCCTGCGAGCTCTGGAGTGTGAGAGCCTCGGCCTGCGAGCTCTGGAGTGTGAGAGCCTCGGCCTGTGAGCTGGAGCGCGGACTGCTGGATCCATGTGTGGATCCCAATGTGTTGCAGATCCATCAGAGTAACTAACTCAACAAACGTGTACTGAGTGCTTATCACGTGCCGTGGATCCCAAGGCGTTGCAGATCCACTGGAGTAACTAATTCAACAGAAGTGTACTGAGTACCTATCACGTGCCAGGCATTGTCATAGGTGCTAGTGCTACGGCCATGAACAAAACAGACAAAATCCACCTGCCTGCCTTGTGTTCTTGTCTAGCAGACACAGTGCTGTGGAGACAGATCGACTATGTATGTCAAAATTCCAATAAGATAAAACACACAAAAACCCAGAAACAGCTGTAGCAAATATGACACACACCAGGTTAATATCTTTAATATATACCGAGCTCATACAAATTTATCTGACCCCAGAAGATAGAGCAAAGGACACTGACAATCCACAAAGGAGGAAATACAATCGCTCCACATGAAAGATGTTCAACCGTGCTAGAAGTCAGTGAAATGCCAACTGAAACACGATGCTATTTTTTCATTATCAAATTAGCAAATATTTAGCCAGATGATAATTCCCAATACGGGCAAGATGGACATGTTTATCCTTGCTGGTGGCAGTGTAAGGGGATACAAATATTTCCGGAAACCATTTTGTCAATATGTAGTAAAAGCCTCAAAGGTTTTCATATTCTTTAGTTGAAGAATCCC
Source organism: Homo sapiens (assembly GCF_000001405.40). Lineage (NCBI taxonomy): Eukaryota > Metazoa > Chordata > Mammalia > Primates > Hominidae > Homo > Homo sapiens. The sequence goes on from NC_000022.11 coordinate 44,492,937, forward strand.
ACCTCCTGGAGTCTACCCTAATAACTTGACATTGGGAAACAGCCTGTGCACAAAGATATTCATCAATTTATAACTGAAAAGTTAGTAACAGCATTAGTGATTGGCAACTGGCACAATGGTCCATCTAGTCAATGGGAGAGTACACAGCCACTCCAAAATAAAATATTTAGTAATCATAAGGGGAGATGCCCACGATATGCTAAGTGAAAACAGCTGCACAAAACTGTATCATTACAGAAGACAGCAACAAAACTATGTTAAAACAAAAAGCAAAGAAACCATAGTTGGGGGGGAAAGCCTGAGAGACACCAAAATGTGATGTTTTATTTCCTTCTTTCCTCTACTTGCAAAAATTTATCTAACATGTGGTTTACATGGGTAATGAGAAGACCTAGTAGGTTTGGTGCTTGTGTATGCAAAGGCATGAGGCACACGGAAGTGAGGAGCTGGGTTTCCTCCCATCTCTACCGCATCTGCGCTGTGCCAACTGCCACCCCACCCAAACTCAGGTCCCCAAGAGACAGAGACACAGGGGCTGTCTGTTCCACGTGGAAGGCCCTACACCCCAACCTTCTCCCCTACTCTGGGGAGCTTCTCCTGTTGGCCCAACAGTCTGCTCTTGCTTCCCTTACCCAGGAGACCCACCTTGTGCCTACCTCTCTAAGTCCCTAAACCAGTGCTTTCCAAGCAGAGGTGCCATGAGCCTTACAACTGTGGTTGCAGATGGAGGCGCCTCCATTAGGATCTCTTCCCTCTTCCACCCAGAGCTCTGCCCCCAGTCAGTGGCTGCAGCATGGGCCCTTTTGTCCAATCCCAGGGCTTGTTCCCTAAGTCAACCTCAGCACATGCCCAGCTCAGCCATGTCCCTTCACTCCCCTACAGGCTGGAACTGCCAGGGTGGTGCCCACCCAAGGCGGCTGTCTGCCATGACAACAGGAGCGTGTGCGTCAGGCTGGTCCTGCCGCACTTTCTGGGTTTTGTTTTCCACTCCTCCTCATTGCTCATCACATACTTACCTGGGGACAATGAAATAGGTCTTTGCTATTCCCTAGAAGTCACCAAAATGCTTTAGGACATTAAGTTAGTCCCAGGGTCACACTATACTAGGCCAGGGAGTCACCCCTTCACTAACTCCCATCTCCAGTGATACCCTGGTATGCACTGAAGCCTACTTACCAAAGGGGTACCATGTGGACCAGACAGCAGTCACAATACAGTCCAAAGAATGTCAAAACCATGGAAAACAGAACTTTCCTTCACATGCACTGTTGAACACTACTGCCTGTCCCTTTTATCAATCAATACCCGTTCTCCTAAAATTTAGAGAAATTATAACCCCAAAATATGTACAAAGCATCTCCCTTCCCCCACTTTCTTAGCCTGATCCCCTATCACTGAGGTCTCCCTCTGGGGCTGCGCCTCATCCTCCTTAGCTGGAGACTAACGTATCTTCCACTAGAGCCACCATGGGGTCCTCACCTCTCCAATGTGGGCTTCTTCCAAGTCCAAGGTGGAGGGCAAGCCCCGACCCTCTCTCATCTGCTCCGTGTTCCAAAGTGCAGGGAGCTATCAAGAAGGTCCTAAGTGCATACCAGCACTCGTCCCAAGCCCACACACATAAGCACCAAGAGAAAAAACACAAATCACCATGCCAAACAAAGGTGGAGCAGCTGCTTGGATTGGGTGCCCATAGGCAGAGGGCCCGGCTGCAGTTGTGGACAGGGAGTGTGTGGACAGGGAGTGTGTGGACAGGGAGTGTGTGGACAGGGAGCGTGGCCGGCCTTTCCTAGGCAGCTGTAGGATGTGAAGCAGCACAGGCCTGACACAGACATGGTAGGGCTTTCAAAAAGCCACTCGAGTAGAGTGAGCGCTGGCGACACAGCAGAGTTCCCACCCTGCTTCCATGCTGGGCTGGGCCACATGGAAACCTTCCAGGTGCCTTTTCCCAGGTGCCACTGTACCCCTTCACTTGGGGGCACCTCTCCCTGGCAGGTACTAGTCTTACCAATATAGCTGCTGGAGACAGAACAGAACTGAGCACAAAGAGAAAGTGATCTGTACACCTCCCATTCATGGAATGGTGGCCCTGCTGTGTGTCTTCCCTCCGATCACGCTTAAAGAGCACCATGGTCCCACCTGAACAGCCTTGGCTGGAGTCCAGGGGAACCTAAAGCCTGTATTCAGGCAGTTGTTCAGCAGGGCAATTGGGCTAACAGAGTTGATGGTGAGTGGGTGGCAGTAGTCTGCGGACCCCAGCAACCACTGAATGTCCTTGACCTTGCAAGGCAGCGGTTCTTCAGAATCGCAGTCACTTTTCCCAGCATCATCAAAACTCTTAAGAAGCCAGGCCCAAGGACCCAATCTCTGGGATCCCAAGACATATACATGTCTTTAGGTGGGTGCGGAGGTTGTCCTTCTGCAATCAAGCCAAGACCCTTCAGACAGGGGCAGCTGAGCCCAGGATAGGAAGCCCTATGGTCCAGGTCATGTCAATGTGGTTCATTTGGCATTGAAATATGGCGGAACAGCACAGTCCAAAGGGCGTGGCCAAACTCAGCCACAAAATGATTTCTTGGTCATCCCCCTGTGAGGAAGGATGAGGTCCTTCAGAAGGAGGACATGCATGCCAGTGCTGCATTGTCACCACACTAGGACCACGGCAGTCCACAGCTCTTTGCTTTTACAAATGCCACCAAGACCCTGGCTGGGTTGCCAGAGGCAGACACCCCCCCCGGCCTTAAGTGCTTAAGGATGTTTCCCGAAGGGAGTCTGTTTTCCCTTGGACAAAGGCAGCCCATCTGATTGCCCAGGCACGGGGAGTACATGCTACAAGGTGCCTTTGGAGACCCACAGATGGTGCGTGGGTGGCTGCAGGGCTGCAGTGAAGGCCACATGGCACCTGAATAGAGATGGGAACAGGTCTCAAGCTGGGCAAGGCTCGCCATCAGTGACAGGGGGTAGAAGCAGGAGTGACTGAGCATCAGCCGCTGTGGCACTGCCCATGGAGATCCTGGGCAGCAAAGGGAGTCGCTGGTATCCACCCTTAGCCTGCTATGACCCTCAGGCGTGGGTGTGTAGGAACCTGCAGCCTGATAGACCTGCCCAATGGCTGAGAGTCCACCACGACCTTATTTAGCAGGCAAGTTCCAGATTCCCCAAGCCTCTGGCTCCATCAGAACACCAGCAGCTGAAGTCAGGCATTAACAGAGGTGCAACATTGGTCCTTCCCAGTGAGAGCAGTGGGGCCTCCCAGACTGCATATTCATGTGCAGAGTGGAACCTGGCCCCCAGACATGGCAGAACTACGCTCCTTGCAGCAACCACTCGACCACTACAGCACAGATGAGGCCCTGCCCGCTGCACCGGGCCCTGGCAGGGCTGGGAGGCATCTTGGGCAGGAAGCCAGACCCCCTCTCCAGGTACACCCATCAAGCCACCAGCCTGGCCAAACGGGCATCTTTCTGTCCAGAGCTCATCAATAGGAACTGGGCAACCAGGTGGGGAGCCGCCAGGGGAGCTTGGAGAGGGCAGAGTAGGAGCCTCCATGAACCAAGTCAGGCTGGAAGGGGTCAGCCCTCGTGGTCCGTCAGCGTGCGGCGGAGTCCCTGTGCCTAAGTAGCAGAGCGGTAGTCATTGAAACAGGCCGGGATGCCAGCAAGAGGGAGGCGAGCATGCAGTGAGCGATAGGTACAAAGCTAGCACGTAAGAGGAAGCACGGCAAGGTGGGCAACCAGGGCGCCAGGAAGGACGGAAGGAAGATCTCCTCGGGGAACACGTCTGGAGAGGCAAGAAGGGAGGTCTTCAAACAGGGGCAAAGCTGTCGTATGGGCATTTCTTCTACACAGCAAAGAGCGTATGCTACCTGGGTGGCTGCAGACGCTACCAAGTGCTGGCGGATTCTTAAAGATTCCGTGCTCGGGCAGGCAGGGCTGGCGCTGGACTAGTCCCGTTGGAAGCTGGATGCACTGGGCAAGGCCCCGTGCCCGCAGAGGCCAGCTGGCGGCAGAGCATCTGCCTCTCTCGCACAGCCCTATTAGAGGCAGAAGTCTTCCTGATTTGGGCGCGCCGCGCATGCCGGAGCGGAGACTTGTAGGTTCTCCGCAACTCTGCCAGGAACCCCTGATAGTTGTTGCGCAAGGGGCTGTCAGGTTGCATGTGGGGGATAGCCCACTTCTCCGCCTCCCCAGTCAGTCGAGACACAAGGAAGGCCACACGCTCGGCCTCACCCGGGAAGCGGGAGGCCTGGAAGATCATGAATCTGTCCATCTGCATCAGGAACCCCGCCAACCGGCCTGGGTCCCCGGAAAAGGGCTCGGGCAGAGAGGTTGGAGGTGTGGTCATGGGTCGAGTCCCGTTTGAAGTAATTGAGGAGATGGGCGGGGTGATCTGCAGAGCCCCCGGGATCCGCGCCCTGGTGCGTAACAAGGTCAGCTCTGCCATCACGCTCTCCAGCATGTTGGTGAGATTGGCCTTCTCCGCCCGCAGGGTGGAAGCCTCCCGCCTCAGCGCCGAGTTGGTGAGGCGCAGGGAGGTCAGGGTGTCAATAACGTCATCCATCTGGGCATTCGGAGACGCTGCCAAGGCTGGGCTTTCAGCTTTGGACGTCTGCGGCTGCACCATGCTGGCCAGAGGTCAGCCACACGCTGAGATCCGCGGGTGGACCAAGAGGGTGTGGTGACCAGGTGGGCCCCTGTAGAAATGGGGGCAGTGTGGGGTGCACGACGGCAGGGCGCTGCGAGACCCCCAAGCCGAGGGCCCGAGAGAGGGGCACGCGGTGCCAGGCCCTAGGGACTTCGGCCCCGGTCCCACGCGGCTCCTTTACTGCAGACTTCGCGGACTACGGAGCCAGACGGGTGGCTGGACCTGCTCTGGGCCCTGGAGGATTAAGAAAAGATGTTTTCAAGGTTTCAGTTGCGACTAGCGGGCAGGAGGGTGAGGGGCGGCGTGGAGGGCCCGCGCGTGGGTGGCGAGGCTGCACAAAGCCCCGCGGCGCCCGCCCCGCGCCCGCCCGGGGGAGAACAAAGGGGGCTGCTCCTTGGCGGCCGCGGGCCTGGGGGCCACCACAGTGGCGGGGCCCGGCCGGGCAGGGGGCCGGGGGCACGCGTACCTGGGGTCTCGCGGTTCCTCCGCGGCTCTGTCCGCCGCCGGCCGTGACCAAGATGGCCCGCGCGGGGGACGCGGCCAGGCCGATGAATCACCGCGCGGACCGCCGAGAACTGCTTCCCGGTCAGCGCAGCCAAGCGACGGCGCTGGCGATGGCGGCGGGCGGCCTCCGGCAGGTGCAGGGACCGGGCCAGGCCGGGGCCGGGGCAGGGGCGGGGCCGGGGTCGCGGCAGAGGGCGGGTCACCGCGCGGCCTTTGTGCGGGCGGGGCCGGCGCGGTGGCGGTGGCGGGCGGGCCTTAGGCTGGCCCCGCTGGTTGCCATGGATACCGACCGCTCCCGCGCGTGCGGAGACGACCGCTGCCCCGCCCCCGGAAGTGATGCACAAAGTCCCACCCCCCCCCACCCCCCAACTCGGGCTGCTGCCAATCGGGGAAGACTGTAGTTGCTGCGGCGTCTTCATCAGGGCGGGTACCTGGTGTTCTCCCAGTCATTCCTCCCAAGAGGGCTTGCAAGGCTCTTTCTGTGGTTGTCATTGGGTTTATTTTTTTGATGATTTACTGTTCTTCTTATTTTTTTTTTTTTTTGAGACGGAGTCTCGCTCTGTCGCCTAGGCTGGAGTGCAGTGGCGCGATCCTGAGTCACTGCAACCTCCGCCTCCCGGGTTCAAGCGATTCTTCTGCCTCAGCCACCCAAGTAACTGGGATTACAGGCGCGTGCTACCATGCCCGGCTAATTTTTGTATTTTTAGTAGAGACGGGGTTTCACCTTGTTGGCCTGGCCAGTCTCCAACTCCTGACCTCAGGGCATCCGCCTGCCTTGGCCTCCCAAAGTTCTGGGATTACAGGCGTGAGCCACTGCATCAGGCCCTTATTGTGATTTGAATATAAATTTAATGTAACAAATCTTGATGTAAGAGAAGTAAAAAAAACTTTATACTACTCAGACTCCCTCCACCTAAAGATAGCAAATAGTAATACATATATATGTAACGTAGAGATAGTAATATTTCTGTACTTCCATCCAGTCATTTTTCTATGATATGTTCTACAAAATATTTTTTACCTTATGAATATTTTGTAACCATAACAGCACATTGAATTTTGAGCATTTTCCTATTAAAGATAGTTCAGAAGCATGATTTTCAGTTATTGCCTGTGGTCCATGGAACTCCTGTACCGCAAAGTATTTAGCCATGCCCTTTTTGATAGATCCTTATCTTGTTTACCATGCTAAAGTTTTATAAACTACACTTGTATATAAATCCCCACCCTTTTCTCTGCTGGGTTCCCCAGAGTAAATACCAAGGAGTGAAGATACCTGGCTGATATGGTTTGGCTGTGTCTCCACCCAAATCTCATCTTGAGTCGTAACTCCCACAATTCCCACATCGTGGGAGGAACCTGGTGGAAGGTGATCGAATTATGTGGGCAGGTCTTTTCTGCACTCTTCTTGTGATAGTGAGTGAGTCTCAAGAGATCTGATGGTTTTAAAAAGGGAAGTTTCCGGCCGGGCACAATGGCTCACGTCTGTACTCCCAGCACTTTGGGAGGCCAAGGCGGGTGGATCACGAGGTCAGGAGATCGAGACCATCCTGGCTAACATGGTGAAACCCCGTCTCTACTAAAAATACAAAAAATTAGCCAGGCGTGGTGGTGGGCGCCTGTAGTCCCAGCTACTTGGGAGGCTGAGCCAGGAGAATGGCGTGAACCCAGGAGGCGGAGCTTGCAGTGAGCAGACATTGCACCACTGTACTCCAGCCTGGGCAACAGAGCAAAAGTCCATCTCAAAAAAAAATTAAAAAAAAAAAAAAGGGAAGTTTCCCTGCACAAGTTCTCTCTTTGCCTGCCGCCATCCATGTAAGACCTGACTTGCTCCTCCGTGCCTTTCACCTTCTGCCGTCATTGTGAGCCTCCCCACCACACAGAACTGTAAGTCCAATAAACCTCTTTCTTTTGTAAATTGCCCAGTCTCAGGTATGTCTTTATCAGCAGCGTGAAAACAGACTAATACACTGGCCAAAGGGTAAGAACTGTTTGATTCCGGGTCTGGATTCCCAGCTTGACCTAGGTGATCCTTCTGCATGGTCAGTTTCAAGCTGGCATGGCTGGAGAGAAAAGATACTGAGAAATAAAAATAAAAATTTAAGCCCCCCCCCCCCAACCAACTGAACAGACCCCCTCTTGGCCAGGGGACCCCAGAGAAACCTGGGAAGCCGAGTTCCTGGCCATGATGGGATGGGAGGTTGGACACACTTCATTATCTGCCCCCGCTCCATAACCGATAACCACCATTAGGCTTTTTTCCTTAAGAGTTAAACAGAAACAAGCCTCTTTGAAAGACTTCAACATTGATACCAACCAACCATCTGACACTGCCCCTCCCTTTTTGTGGCACACAACAACTGACCAGCATTCTTTCCTAGTAAGAGACCACCAACCCTGGAGTGGTTCTGGCCAGCCTGTGGAGGATGTGCAGTGAAAGCTTTTGTGTCCTCTGATACACCTTTTGACATTAGAGGGCTGAAAACTCCACCTTCAGATCACGCTAACACTGCCATTTTTTGTAGGTGCTACCCATGAAGGGGGATGAAGCTCAGTTGCACATGTGCATATTTCTCTTCTCATAAATATTTATAACTCCTCCTGTAGCTTATTGAATATGTATATTTGGCCACCCTGATCAACATAAATTCCTGTCTTACTCTTCCAACCCTTGAAGTGCCTGTTTATGGCTTCTGGCCAGAGGCTACACTTCCCAGCCTATTCAAATGGCCACTCTGCAGGGTGCAACCTTTTATGATAAATAAAACTCTCCTTTCCAGGTTTATGAACCTCGTCATTCTTCAGTTAACAATACCCAGTATGCCAGTCTTTTGAGGACACAGTATTCAAGGAGGCTGAAGCTGGGAACCATCTGCACTCTTTAGGCAGGCCTGGGACAGAGCTGGATTCACTCAGACCTGCAGTTTTCACTCAAGGGAATTAGGGCATAAGGATGTTGTTACTGAGCAAGTGGTCTTGCTGCCTGATGCACACGGAAGCCGATACATATGGCACCAGCTTTTGAGAAAAGAAAAGCTTTATTGCAAAACTGACCAGCAAGGAGAGAGGAGGTGGGCTCAAATCCGTCTCCCTGATTTGAGGTATGGGGCAAGTTTTAAGGGATCAGGTGGCAAGAGAAAGTATTTATCAATGCTGGCTTGCCAGGGTCTGATTGGAGGGCTTCAAATTTGACCATATGTGGTAATGTATATTAAAGTAGATTTTAGCCCCAGACCTTCCAGGCTGATGGACCCCTTTGCTTGTGAATGAGTTCTGGTTTTCAACTTCTGGTCATGTCCCAGTCTTCTTGGTTCTAAGAGGACGAATCATTGGTTCTGGGTGTTGTTGGAGGTCAAAGTTTTTTCTACGGCACATGCCCAGGCTACATGACTTGCAGTTTTGGGCTCTGTTCTACCTAAAAGGCAGCTTGACATTTTGTTACCAACAGGGTAGGCCCAGTTTGGGCTGGTCCCACAACTACAGTGTCAGAACTTGGAAAGGATACTTGTACCCCAGTGTGCCAAAGTGTGCACCCTTTGTGACCAGGTGAAAACTTCTAGAGCATGAAGCAAGAGGGAAATAAAGAAGACTGTGTGTCCTTAAACTTCTTCCATGAGACCTTCTAAATCAGATGGGGGCAGGAGCTGTGTTAACCTTGACTGAGGTCAATGACTTCAAAAGCAGAAATGAGCCTGCAGCCTTCTACCCCTCCAGGTTCTTCTAAACACACAGAGGAATCCCATCCACTCGTGGGAGTCACTCCATCTGTCTCTCTGTCTCTCTGTCTGTCTAGGCCCCTGGATACTGGGCACATTAGTGAAGTGTCTGCTGCAATTCTAAGTGTGGTTGACACCATGAATCTTAAATTCCCAGGTGCATTGAATATAAGATGCACCCCAATTTCAGAAATGATAAAACATTTAAAGAAATAAATAATTTATCTGTATTTCACTTTACTTCCAAGGGGAAATTAGATGGCAGCCCATAAAATAGAGCAAAATAAAAATTAATGGACTTTTAAAAGTAAAAACAGGAGAAGAATATTTGGCTTCTCATCCAGATGAAGCTATGATTCATGCCCTGAGGTGCCTGTCTGGGCTGTGAACACAGAACAATAAAATATGCAAAGAAAATATTGAAAGGATATAAGTGGGCTCCAATCGATAAACAAGATAAACTTCACAATGGTCCAGAAACACAAACTTCTGAGTATTGACGTGGGCCTGCCGGGCTCTGGACCTGAGACATAATAGGGACCCAAGGCTGGGAACACAGCCAGGCTTCCTATTTGAATCCAGGGGATGGAGGAGAGAGGAGTCACCCCTGTGTCAGAAAAAAAGTCTGAAAAATTGGATTCAGTCATTTCATGGGGGTGGGGTGTGACAGTTTATGTGAAAGTGTGGCCCTGGGTCAAAGGAGAACACAGATATAGTCATCTTAATCTCTTGTCCCCTGGTTTAACAAGTAGACCAAGAGGGTCAGGATTCCAAACCACCAACAAAATATATATACACATATATATTATACACATATATGTATATATGTATGTATATGTGTATGTGTGTGTATATATAATATGCATATATGTGTGTGTATATATATATATTTCTTTACCACAGACCAGACATCAAGTGGACCCACCCCAAACTGCTAGATGGGGGAAGGGAGTACCAAGAGAGAAAGAGAGACAAAGTCTTTCAACACAAAATGAGTCTGAGATTCAAAATTCTGAAGCCCATGAAGACATCTTATGCTAAGAATAATAGTCAAGAAAAATCAATAACTGTAAGGTGAATTAACTCCAGAGGAAATTAAAATAATAGAAGAGTCTGAAAAAAACAGACTTTAAAGTAAGTATATTTGGGATGCTCAGTGAGAACAAGGAAGGAATAATATTTGTGAAAAGAACAGATTGTGGAGAAAAAGCCATATTGTACCAAGATCAGGTACCTGTGAAAAAGTACCTTTTAAAAGAAAATGTAGTTGATTTCCATTTCCAGTGAGATGGAGTAGATGCACTCATGCCTATTCTTTGCAGAAAACGTATCGAAAAACAGCTTTGAAAAAAAAAAACCACAAGATGCAGTAGGTGGAGAGAAGGCACCTCAGGACCTAAGGAATAACACTGTGGTGAGTTCCTCGAGTTTTCTTTTGCATCATATAACCCAGACTTGGAGCTGAAGAAGCTGGCAACCCCGAAATGCCAATGGGTGCAGACAAAAAAAAAGCACCCCCTCCATAAAAGCCTGCTCTCTCTAGACAAAAACAAACAAACAAATAAACAAAGTGGGGGGCAGGGGCAGCCTAGCAAGAGAGGAAACTTAGACAGTGATCACTCTACTCTAGCCAAACACTGGCAACACTCCTCAAATTTATCTACAGACTCAATGTGATCCCTATCAAATTTCCAGCTGCCTTTCTGCAGCAACTAGTGTGCTGATTCAGAAGTTCATATGAGAATTCAATGGACTTACAATAGCCAAAACAATTTTAAAGAACTAAGAGGGTTCACGCTTCACAACTTCAAAACATATCTGTAAAGCTATAGTAATTAAGAATGTGTGGTACTGGCATACATCAATGGAATAGAATTGATAGTCTGGAAATAAACCTTAACATTTATGGTTAATTTATTTTCAAACAGGGTGCCAAGACAGTTCAATGGGCAATGAAGGGTCCTTCCTGAGATACCCAAAGGAAAAATATAAAATTAGACCCCTACCTCACACTATACACAAAATTGACTCAAAATGAATCAAAGACTTAAATGTAAGAACTAACACTATAAAACTCTTAGAAGAAAACCTAGGAGTAAATCTTCATGACCTTGGATTGAGCAGTGGTTTCCTAGAAATAACAACAAGTACAAGTGACAAAAGAAAACACAGATTAATTAAATTTTACCAAAGTTAAAAAACTTCTATGTTTCAAAGAACATATCAAGAAAGCCAAAAGACACCAACCCACAGAATGGAAGAAAATATTTGCAAGCTACATATCTGATGAGAGTCTAATATTCAGAGTGTATAAAGAACTCCTACAACTCAATAATAAAAAGATATCCTAATAAAAATGAGCAAAGGAGTTGAATAGACATTTCTCCAAAGAAGATATATGAATGACCAATAAGCACATGAAAAAATGCTCAATATCATAAGCCATCAAGGAAATATAAATCAAAACCACAATAAGATGTCACTTCACACCCCCACCCCCATATTGCCATACTCTGAAAGACAGTCAATAACAAATGTTGGTGAATATGTTGAAAAATTGGAAACCTCATGCACTGCTGGTGGGAATATATAATAGTGCAGCTACTATGGAAAATAATTTGGCAATTCCTCAAAAAGTTAAACCATTCCTAGATGTATGCTTAGGTGCATTGAAAACATATATCCACACAAAAATTTGTACAAAAATGTTCATACAACCATTATTCCTAATAGCTTCCCCCTCCCACGAAAAGGTACCAACCCACATGTCCATCAATTGATAGATGGACCAACAAAATGTGGTATCACCATACAATGGAATATTAGCAAGCTATAAAAGGAATGAAATACTGATACATACTAAAACATGAATGAACCTTGAAAGCACTGTGCTAAGTGAAAGAAGTCAAGAACAAAGGCACATATTGTATGATTTTTATTTATATAAAATGTCCAGAATAGGCAAATCCATAGAGACAGAAAGTTGAGCAGTGATTGCCAGGGTCTGAGGAGAAGGAAGGAAGGAGAATGACTGCTAATTGATATAGGGTTTCTTTTGAATGATGAATTGTTCTAGAATTAATATTAATGGCTGCACAACATTGTGGCTATACTAAAAACTACTAAGTTTATTTAAAATGTTATGGTATGTGAATTATGTTTTTGAAAAAAATCAATGGTATTTATGATCAAAACTCACATAAAAATGAGAATAAAGGGGAACTTCCTCAACTTGATAGGAAGTATCTATAAAAACCCTATAACTGACATTATACTTAATGGCCAAAGACAAAATGCTTTCCCCCTAAGATGGAGAACCAGGTAATGATGTCCACTCCCACTATTCTCATTCAACATAGTACTGGCAGTTCTAGTCAATGCAATAAGGCAAGAAAAGGAAATAAAATACATACAGATTGAAAATAAGAAATAAAACTGTCCCTATTTTCAGAGGCATAATTGTGTATGTAAAAAATCCCAAGGAATCTATACAACAAACAAACATAAAAACTTCCTACAACTAATAAGTTCAACAATGTTGCAGGATACAATACGAACATGCAAAAATCCATTGTATTTATATAGACTAGTAATGAACACTTGTACAGAAAAGTTAAAAATACAATATCATGGGCCGGGCATGGTGGCTCATGCCTGTAATCCCAGCACTTTGGGAGGCCGAGGCAGGTGGATCACCTGAAGTCAGGAGTTCAAGACCAGCCTGGCCAATATGGCAAAACCCCATCTCTACTAAAAATACAAAAATTAGCCAGGCATGGTGGCAGGTGTCTGTAGTCCCAGCTACTCAGGGAGGCTGAGGCAGGAGAATTGCTTGAACCAGGGAGGTGGAGGTTGCAGTGAGTCGAGATCACGCCACTGCACTCCAACCTGGGCAACAGTGAGACTATTTCTCAAAAAAAAAACAACACAAAAAAAAACCCCGTATCATTTACAGTAACTCAAAAAAACCTCTCAGATGTAAATCTAACAAACTAGGTACAGGATTTACATGCAGAAAACAACAAAAAAACTGATGAAAGAAATCAAAGAAGACCTAAATAGAGACACACTGTGACATGGATGGTGCTGTGGTTTGGATATGATTTATTTGGCCCTGCCAAGTCTCCTGTTGAAATTTGATCCCCGTTTTGGAGTTGGGGCCTGATGTGAGGTGTTTGGGTCCCCGGGGGTGGATCACTCATGAGTGGCTTGGTGCCATTCTCACAGTGGTGAGTTCTACTGTTGCTTCACACAAGGACTGGTTGTTATAAGAGCCTGGCATCTCTCTCCCACCTCTCTCTTACTTCCCTTCTCACCATGTGAGCTGCACATGCCAGCTGTTCTTTGCCTTCCACCACAAGTGGAAGCCGCCTTCTGCCCTCACCAGAAGCAGACGCTGGTGTCATGCTTCTTGTACAGGCTGCAGAACCATAAAAGCCAAACAAACCTTTTTACTTTATACACCACCCAGCCTCGGGTGTTCCTTTATAGCAACACAAACAGACTAAGACAGATAGGAAGAATCAACATAGTAAAGATGTCAGTGGGCCGAGCGAGGTGGCTGACACCTGTAATCCCAGCACTTTGGGAGGCCAAGGCGGGTGGATCACTTGAGATCAGGAGTTCTAGACCAGCCTGGCCAACATGGTGAAACTCTGCCTGTACTAAAAATACAAAAATTAGCTGGGCATGGTGGTGGGTGCCTGTAGTCCCAGTTACTCAGGAAGCTGACGCACAAGAATCGCTCGAACCCGGGAAGCAGAGGTTGCAGTGAGCTGAGATCATGCTGCTGCACTCCAGCCTGGGTGACAGAGTGAGACTCCATCTCAAAAAAAAAAAAAAGTCAGTTATCCTCCAATCCTCCAAGTTGATGTGAAGGTTTAAAGCAACATCTGCCAAAGTCCAAGGAAGACTTTGTGTAGCTATAGAGAAGATTATTCTAATATGTATATGCAAAGGCAAAGGAAGTGGAGTAGGTAAAATGATTTTAAAAAAGAAAAATAAAATGGGAGGTATTAGTCTATCCAATTTCAAGACTTACTACGTAGCTACAATAATCAAGACTATGTTATGTTGATGGAAGGACTGACACAAAGATCAATGAAACAGAAAACTCAGAAATAAACCCACACACATATGCCCAACTGATTTTTTACAAAGTTGCAAAAGCAATTCAATTAAAGGAAGATAGCCTTTTCAATACATGGTGTTGGAGCAATTAAATATCCATAGGTTTAACAAAGAAGAACTTCTGAGTCTCACATTTATAAAAATTATCTCAAAATGGATCATAGACTTAAATGTAAAACATAAAGTTATAAAACTATATATACAGGATAAATTATATATCTGGGATGAAATCTTTAGGATGTAGGGCTAGGCAAAGAATTTTTAGACTTAATATCAAAAGCAAGATCCATAAAAGGAAAAATTAATAAATTGGACTCTATCACAATTTAAAACTTCTGGTATGTGAAAGAGGATGAAAATACAAGCTAGAGACAAAGAGAAAAATCTTTGCAAATCAGATATCCTTTAAAGGACTAGTATCTAGAATATATAAAGAACTCTCAAACTCAACAGTAAAGTAACAAACATCCGATTATAAAATGAGCAAAAGACATTGAACTTGCATTTCACCAAAGAGGAGATACAAATGGCAAATGAGCCCATGGAAAGGTATTTAACGTCATAAGCCATTAGGGAAATGAAAATTAAAACCATAATGAAATGTCACCATGCACATCTAAGGATGGCTAAAATGAAAAATAGTGACAATCTCTAAAGCAGGTAAAGATGCAGAGAAAGTGGATACATTGCTAATGGGAATGTGAAGTGGTACAGCCACTCTGGAAAACAGTCTGGCAGTTTCTTAAAACGAAACAAAACAAAAGCAAACAAAAACTAAGCGGGCAACTACCATACGACCCAGCAATTGCACTCCTGGGTATTTATCCCAGAGAAATGAAAAATTATGTTCACACCAAAAACAGTACACAAATGTTTATAGCAACTACATGGCCCAAACCTGCAAGCAACCTAGACATTAATGATTAGAAAAACTATGATATATCCTTACCACGGAATACTCAACAAAAGAAGGAACAAACTTTTTATACATGCAACAAATGAGTTGAGTTTGTAGAGAATTATGCTGAGTGAAAAATGTCAATCCCAGCCGGGTGCAGTGGCTCACGCCTGTAATCCCAGCACTTTGGGAGGCTGAGGTGGGCGGATCACCTGAGGTCAGGAGTTCGAGACCAGCCAGGCCAACATGGCAAAACCCCATCTCTACTAAAAATACAAAAATTATCCAGATATAGTGGCACATGCCTGTAATCCCAGCTATTCGAAAGGGTGAGGCAGGAGAATCGCTTGAATCCAGGAGACAGAGGTTGCAGTGAGCTGAGATCGCACCACTGCACTCCAGCCTGGGCAAAAGAGTGAGACTCAGTCTCACTCACTCACTCGATCAATCAATAAAACGCCAATTCCAAAAGATATTATTCCCCTTTTTTAAATTTTAGATTTAGGATGCAAATGTACCTATGTGTTACATGGATATATTTTATGTAACATTCTTGAAGTTAACAAAATAACAGATTAGTGATTGCCATGGCTTAAGGAGGGGGTTGGGGCAGAGGAAAAGTGGGTGTGGCTCTACAAGAGCAACAGGCAGCCTTTTTGGTGTCATGACTACATCAGTGTCAAGATCCTGGCTGTGATATTGCACTATAATTTTGCAAGATGTAACAACCTGGGGAAATTGAGTAAAGGGTACGATGGATCTTCCTATATTATTTCTCAGCAACTGCAAGTGAATCTACAATTATCTTGAAATGAAAAACGTTTAAAAGAGAAAATGTGGCTGGGTATGGTGGCTCACACCTGTAATTTCAGCACTGTGGGAGGCTGAGGTGGGAGGATCGCTTGAGCTCTGGAGTTTGAGGCCAGCCTGGGCAACATAGGGAGACCCTGTCTCTACAAAAAATTAGAAAATTAGAAAATTACCTGGTCCGGTGGCACATGCCAGTAGACACAGCTACTCAAGAGTCTGAGGTGGGAGGATTGCTTGAGCCCAGGAAGTCAAGGCTGCAGTGAGCTGTGATCATACTACTGCATTCCAGCCCTGTGGGCAATAGAGCAAGACCTCATCTCAAAAAACAAACCAAAAAAAAAGAAGAAGAAGAAAAAGTAAAAGAAAATAATTGAAGTAAATAGTTAATAGAGAGTGTAAATTTTAGGCTGGACACAGCTAAATAAATCATGAATTAGAAGGAAGTACTGAATAATTCATCTAGAAGGCAGCAAAGACACAAATATTTTGAAAAATATGAAAAAGGTAAAACACTTGGAGGATAGAAAAGAACAAAGAAGGAGGAGAAACAATATCTGATAAGATAAAATAGCTGAAAACTTTTCCAGAACTGGAGAAAGATAGGAGTCCAAAATTAAAGTGTCCACATTCATTAAATCCAGGCTGTATTAGTTAGTCATTGCTGTGTAACAAACTACCCCTATTTGTAATTCGTTAAGTCCCCATTTTTATTGGTGTATTTTGAATGCAGAGCCAATAGGACTTGCTGATGGGCTGGATGTGAAGTGTGAGAAACAGCAAGGACTTAAGGCTGCCCCCAGGTTCTGTAAACGTGGAGACATCAACTGAAGCAGCAACAAGGGTGAGAGAAATAGGCTTGGCGAGGAGAAGATCACAGATTGTTGAGCTTGGAGTGGGAGCTAAGCTATGTGGATGTAAAGGCATAAGAATGGCACAATGGACTTTGGGGACTCAGGGGAAAAGGGTGGGAAGGGGGTGAGGGATAAAAGACTACAAATTCGGTGCAGTATGTACTGCTCGGGTGACAGGTGCACCAAAATCCCACAAATCAACACTAAAGAACTTCCTCATGTCGCCAAACACCACCTGTTCCCCAGTTACCTATGGAAATAAAAAATGTAATAAATAAATTCTCCCAGTGGGATGATATCAGGCTGGCTCTGGAATATGGGATTCTGGAGTTCTGGAAAGAGGTCCTTTGGAGAATCATTAATAACCAGTATTTAAAGCCCAATCCTGTGATCACCTTGGCAGAGAGTGTAAACAGGAAAAGGAAGAAGGCTGAGAATTGTGCAGGCCATGGTTTAGAGGCATAGGGTTTGGGGAGGAGCTAGCAGAGATGTCAGCTGAGGAGTGGCCAATGGGGCAGATGGAAAATCAGGCAACTGCTGAGCCTCAGAAGCCAAGAAAAGGCTTCCAGGAGGAGGTGGGGTGATCGATCATGTCAAGGTCTTAGGAAAGATAGGGTTGCCATTCAAACTGGGATGCTTTTGAGAGTTGCTAGAGATAATTAAAATAATACATTTTCTGAAATATTATGTATTGCCTGACAAATTAGATTGTTGGCCAGGCACGATGGCTCACGCCTGTAATCCTAGCACTTTGGGAGGCTGAGGCAGGCGGATCACAAGGTCAGGAGTTCGAGACCAGCCTGGCCAATATGGTGAAACCTCATCTCTATAAAAAATCCAAAAATTAGACAGACATGGTGGTGGGCGCCTGTAATCCCAGCTACTCAGGAGGCTGAGGCAGGAGAATCGCTTGAACCCGAGAGGCGGAGGTTGCTGTGAACCAAGATCGTGCCACTGCACTCCAGCCTGGGTGACAGAGCGAGACTCTATTTCAAAAAAACAAACAAACAACAAAAAAATTAGTTTGTTATAGTGATGGACCTATAAATGCCAGCATTTTTCTAAAAACTTTTTTTCTTAAGTTTGGTCTTACTATTCTTACTTCTTTGATAAAATCACTTACAGTCTTACTCAAAGTTGCATTCTTTTGTTATAAATTACATCTGTGGACACTAATTAACTGTTCTCTAAAGACCATATTTTAATTGAGAAAATCTTCTTTCTATAGGTGCTGAGGTAATAGGTAAGCTCAGAAAAAACTCTACTAAATGGAGGATATACTGAGTCTTTCTTTTTTTTAATTGAAATGTGTAAATATTCCAGCTCAAATATCTCCATAGATTTCAATCATGCTGTTTCCATCCAGGGTAATTTTCATCAACAAATATTTTTATAAGCCAAAACTTATCCCCTCCCCCCTGCCAAAATTGATTATCCTTTCGAATGTTTAATCAAATTTAGATGCTGCAAAACAGGAGACCTTCTTGATTTCCTTCCATTCCAGTACTGAATATAAATTTTTCCAATTAAAACTAAGAATCTCATCAAAAGTTTCTTCCCCACATGTTGAGCTATTCCAAAAACAATTATGGGATTTAAAAATTATACCTCGTACACCATTGGAGCTCTCAGCATTTAATTTCTTCATCTCCTCCCTTGCTTTTGTAGGAATGAATTTCAATGTTTCTCTATTGGCAAGGATTGTTTCTGATAATTATAATTCACTAGAGCTTCAAAGCTCAAAATTCTTGGCACTGGTTTATTGAACACATTGATTAAAGACTTCCAACAAGGCGGCAGGGCCCTCTGCCTAGGAAAACCAGAGACCTTTGTTCACATGTTTATCTGCTGACCTTCCCTCCACTATTGTCCTATGACCCTGCCAAATCCCCCTCTCCGAGAAACACCCAAGAATGATCAATAAATACTAAAAAAATTTAAAAAAAAAAGACTTCCAACAAATTTGAAAACAGTGCGACAGAAATTTAGAGGACTTATTTATAAAAAGTTGCGTCCCTCTCGAGGACATTAGGTTGATGTACAAAGGGCTCCAACCTCTCGAGGGTCTGATTAATGACTGCAGCAAAGACAGGACACCTTGGAGGCTGAAGTCTATTTTGGTACTCAGCATTAACTTTGTTGCAATATTTTTTGTAGCCCAATTTCCAGAACTGTATATATAAAAATATTTGTAAGGCCAGATGCGGTGGCTCATGCCTGTAATCCCAGTGCTTTGGGAGGCCCAGGCGGGCAGATCACCTGAGTTCAAGGTGATCTTGAACTCTGAGGCAGAGGTTGCAGTGAGCCAAGGTCATGCCCCTGCACTCCAGCCTGGGTGACAGATCGAGGCTCCATCTCAAAAAAAAAAAAAAAAAAGTTGTAAACATTTGTAACAGCTTCTACTGTTAAAATATCAGATAAAATGTCAGAGATGCTTTGACTGCAAATATGAATAACAGGTTCACCTCAAACAATGCCAAATACACCTCTGCTCTACAGGTCTCTTAACTTGGTGAGAACATCGCTTTTTGTCAGGACACTGTTGCAAATTATCTGTCTTATTAAACTCTCCTCATCCACCTGGATTGAGTTTGTCTTTTGTTTTCCTTTTGAGCTTAGTTATTTTGTTATTCAAATCTTCTTCATCTTTCCTAAATTTTTATCTTCTTAATCTATCAATGGCTGAGAGAGGTATACTAAAACTTCCCAACATGGTAGTGAATTTATCTCTCTGTAATTCTATCAATTTTTGCTTTTTGTATTTTGATTTATATTATTAGATACATGCAAAATTGTAATTGTTACAGACTCCTAGTTAATTGAACTGTCCATTATGAGCAGCACTTTTAGTCTCTGGTCAAGTGGTTTATATTAAAGTCAATTGGTCTGATATTAATATAGCTATAGCTTTCTTTTAGTAAGTGGCATTCAATTTTTCTATGCCTTTACGTTTTAGGTGTATCTATTGTTAATAGCCTGTAGATAGATTTTTTTTTTTCCAAGATGGAGTCTTGCTCTGTCACCCAGAGCTGGAGTACAGTGGCGCAATCTTGGCTCACTGCAACCTCCACCTCCCGGGTTCAAGCAATTCTCCTGCCTCAGCCTCCCGAGCAGCTGGGATTACAGGCACGTGCCACCATGCCTGGCTAATTTTTGTATTTTTAGTAGAGACGGGGTTTCACCATGTTGGCCAGGCTGGTCTCAAACTAATGACCAGATTTTTTTTTTAATTTCAGAATGACAATCTTTAACCGTAGAGTTTTACAAGTTTACTTCATTTATGTATAGTAGTTATAGTTCTATTTGGATTCGTTTCCGCCAACACATTATGTGCTTTCAAATTGTGCTACCGATTTTGCTTTTTTTTCTAACCTGCCTTAACTCCTGTTGGATTAAATTCCTTTTCCTCATTCCAGTATCTCCCTCTGTTAATTTGGAAATTATAGTTTCTATTTTTATTCCTTTAGTGGTTGCCCTAGTAATTTTAGTAAGGAATTCTGAGATTCATCACAATCTTTACTCTTTTTCTAAACAACACAAGAACCTTAAACACTTGAACTCTGATCAGTCTTTTCCTGCTGTATAATATTGATGAATAATATAAACACATATCTTTTAAACCCCACAAAATGCTGGTTTTCTATGTAATCAGTTTTGTTTTGATTTACTCACGTATTGAGCACTGTTTTCACTCATCATTCTTCCTTATGTATCTGACTTTTCTTTACAATTCTTTCTAGTGACAATCTTTTGGGAAAAATTCCTGCAGATTTTTCAATATTTGAAGATGTCTTTATTTTACTTCCATTTTTTTCTTTTTCTCCTCCTTTCTTTCTTTCTTTCTTTCTCTCCTTCTCTTTCTTTCTTTTTCTTTCTTTCTTTCTTTTTGAGACACAGTCTCACTCTGTCACCAAGGCTGGAGTTCAGTGGTGCAATCTTGTCTCACTGCAACCTTCGCCTCCAGATTCAGGCTATTCTTGTGCCTCAGCCTCCTGAGTCGCTAGATTACAAGCACCTGCACCCATGCTTGGCTAATTTTTTATATTTTTAGTAGAGACAGGGTTTTGCCACGTTGGCCAGGCTGGTCTCGAACTCCTGGCCTCAAGTGATCCTCCCGCCTTGGCTTCCCAAAGTTCTGGGATTACAGGCATGCGCCACCACTCGTGGCCTTTTTTGTTTATAGAGACAAGCTCTCACTTTGTTGCCCAGGCTGACCTTAAACTCCAGGGCTCAAGTGATCCTCCTGCCTCAGCCTCCCAAAGTGCTGGGATTACAACAGGTGTGAGCCACCACACCCAGCTTTACGTTCATTCTTAAAAGTCATTTTTGCTAGGTAGATATTTTCTTTATGCATATTGAAGATATTTTTCACTATTTTCAGATTACCATTTTTGCTAGTGAGAGCCAGCCATTGGTCCCTCCTACCCCTCCTCCTTTTTTTTCTCTCTCTCTCTCCTTCCTCACATCTCTCTCTCTCTGTCTCGCCCCCATCCTTCCTTCCATCTCTGTTATTCTTTACCTAAGTGTGAATTTCTTTTATTTATTCTGTTTAAAATTGATAAGGTTTCCTGATTTTAGGGATTGGTGTCTCACATTCATTCTGGAAATTTGTCTAAACATCTCCTATGTTGCTCACTCACATGGACTCCCTAATCCCCTTCTGGAACATAGGGGATGCTAACTCTTCTCATCCTTCTCGGTCTATGCTCCATGTCTATTATCTATGTCTCTCAATGCCTCTTTCAGATTTTCTGCCACTTTGTCCCACTGTGCCATGTTCTAGATAATTTTTTCAGGTACAGTTTCCAGTTCATTGATTTTTTTTTTCACTTTGCCCTGCTGTATTGGAGGATGTGACACATTTATTTCCACATCTTTTGCAAAAATCAATAACACATGGATAAAAGACCTAAAGACGAGTAGCAAAATTCTAAAACTTTTAGAAGCAAATATAGGACAGTATCATTTGGCCCCAGGGTTACGAAGTCTCCCTTAAGTAAGACACCAAAACTCAAACTACCAAGAGAGATAGATAAATTCAGTTAATCAAAACATGTAACACTTCCGCATGTGCAAGCATGCACACACACAAATAACACAAAATGAAGGTCAAGATGAAGGCCAAGGTCAAGATGAGAGAAGATCGTTGTTTAAGTTATGACCAGCAGTACATCCAATAGAAAAATAAGGAAAGACTATGAAGAGTTACTTTTTAGAAGAAGAAACCCAAAAGGCCAGCAAACAGACTGGAAAAAAAAGAAAAAAGAAAAAAGAAAAGAAAAGCTCAATTTGACTAACAATCAAGAAATTGTGGCCAGGTGCAGTGGCTCACGCCTGTAATCCCAACACTTTGGGAAGATCCCCAACAAGGCGGGTGGATCACCTGAGGTCGGGAATTCAAGACCAGCCTGGCCAACATGGCAAAACCCCGTCTCTACTAAAAATACAAAAAATTAGCCAGGCGTAGTGGCTCATGCTTGTAATCCCAGCCACTCGGGAGGCTGAGGAGCAAGAATCACTTGAACCCAGAAGGCGGAGGTTGCAGTGAGCCAAGATCATGCCACTGCACTCCAGCCTGGGTGACAGAGTGAGACTCTGTTTCCAAAGAAGAAAGAAAAAAAGAAGAGAAAAGAGAAGAGAAGAGAAGAGATTGCAAGCTAAATCCAAAACGGGTTTCCATGTTTTTGTATTGTCTTTATTTGTTCATGTGTGAGGGGACCGCTATTCAGTGTTTTTGCTTTTATCTAAATTTTAGGTTAAAGAACATGGATAAAGAATTGAATTTTTCTATAAGTATTGTTTTACTAAAAACAGCAATCTCTTACCCACATCCCCATTTCCCACTTCCCAAAAACGTACTCTTTTGCCTGATTTTTTAACATGTAGCTATAAATCTATCAATATCATTCTTAGATTGTTACTGATTACTTAGATTAGGCATTATCTATCAGCTTCCCATTGTGAAAGATGATGATTTAGCTTCACTTCATGCCTGCAAACACTACACAATCTCCTCTTTCCTGACTTCTCTCTTAATCCTCAACCTCTTGCTTTCTCTCTCCACCCCTCACAGATGTGTATATTGTAATTGTGTTTAGATCAATATCCAATACTTTTTATGACTATATAAGTATATTTACAGCTGAACCATACAGTATTCTATGATTACTTTTCCTTTCTTATATTTTTTTCCTGAATTCATGATTGTCTTGTTTTTTATTTGCTTTGTTTTCAATTACATATTGCTAATTTAGTCTCACATTTACCACTGATTGTCTAAATGGCCTCTCAATATATTTATACGCAACAGAATTCTAACACTTTTACGTTATTGGTGATAATTCTCCTAGAGAACTTTAATATGCCCCAATATGAACTGGTAATCCTCTACATCCTGGGATCTGCCTTCATGAATCCCTTCTAAGGATTCTCTTCATTTCTCCTTCAAGTTGAATTCCCTACTTCTTTTTCTTCTGCCTTCTTTCTTTTGGTTTATGTCATTGTTTAGTGGTGAAAACGCCTTAGTAGCTTTCTCAGAAAAGGTGTGTTAAAAGTTTTTGGTTTTGGTTTTGTTTAAAATCTAATGTCACATTTCAGCTGGTTTTAGAATTTAAATTCTAAAATTGAAATGCCTTCAGAATTTTGAAGGCATTCTTCTATTATCATCTAACTAGCAATATTGCTGCTGGGAGGGCAAAAATCATTCTGCCTCAAGATCCGTGCTTCCTCTTAGGAAGTGTGTGAGTATTTGCTCTGTTGTTCTAAAATTCTAAAAAATTTATTTTTACCCATTGTGTTGGAAACTCATTGAGCCATTTCAATCAGAAAACTCAAGTCCTCCAGTTCTAATTTGCTAGACGAGTTCCTTCTGTCTTTTCTCCTTTGTTTCTCTTTCTTACCAGACAAGCTGAACTGCCTGTCCCCACTAATGAATCAGAAAAAAAATGCTTGTGAACCAAACTTTGGTTAAGCTTGTCTCCTTCCTCAAAATTCAAAAATCTCTGAACTTTGAACATTGCCCTCCACCACCTCACCTTAGCTAACTTACAACCCTTCCTAAGAATAGGCTGGCCTCACAATAAAATATTCTTTGATCTACTATTTAATCACACTATCCTTTCTTTCTTTCTTTCTTTTTTGAGACGGAGTTTTGCTCTTGTCTCCCAGGCTGGAGTGCAATGGCGCAATCTCAGCTCACTACAACCTCTGCCTCCCAGGTTCAAGCGATTCTCCTGCTCAGCCTCCCAGGTAGCTGGGATTACAGGTGTGCACCACCACGCCCAGCTAATTTTTGTATTTTTAGTAGAGGCAGGGTTTCACCATGTTGGCCAGGCTGGTCTCGAACTCCTGAGCTCAAGTGATCCGCCCACCTCGGCCTCTCAAAGTGCTAGGACTACAGGCATGAGCCACCACACATGGCCACAGACCATCCTTTCATCCCATTTCCCCACACCTAGCTCTTTCTAGCTTTGCTTACTCCTCTCTAGAAAAGAAAAGTTCTTTTTGTCTAACTCTGGAGATGCTTGCAGACCTCATGGGCAGAGTGTTCTATTACAATAGTTCCCCTCCACCCACTTGCAATAGTCCTTCTGAATAAAGTCTTTCTTTACTACAACCAAATTTGTGTTTCCTCTGCCAGCATAAGCCTCAGGGTATAGGAGGGCAGCACCCCAGCATGGCACCAGGGAGAAGAATCAGGATCAAACTGCCTCTTAGCCAGGCACCCTTCATCCCTCTTCCAGGGGATTCTGTGGGGATAAGTCAGGGCTTCTCAGATTTCCCCCATACCTGTTCTGATTCATCTTTCTCAGAGCTGCTGGGTCAGGTGCTGCGTGTCTCTTTCTGCTTCTCAAATCTTATTTCCATCATCTCCTGTCCTGTTCTCTTTGTCCTTGTGGATAAACATCTGTAAAAATCCACTGAATGTCATGCTAGTGGGTTTGAAGAGGGAGAGTGAGAAATAGTGTGTGTTTCATACACCATCTTTACCAGCCTAATTTCCATCCTAATGTCTGCGTCTATTTTTATCTTGTTTACTGTAGGAATAATGTCTCCATAATCCTAAGACACAAATTTTTCAAAGTGTAAATGTTTCTGAAATGAGCGAATTCATCTTACAGTGGCTGTCAAAGACCTGGCCAGTCCCAAGCCTAGGTGGGCATAGAGTGACCCCACCCCCCAAACTAAGAGGGGTCTTGGGATTTGGGAATTTCCATTTTAAACATGGGATAAGCAAGTCATCCTATGCAAGGGTGACCCAGCTGTACAGGCCAGAGGGTGTGACCTCAGCCCACTTGGTGTCCTCTCAACCTCGTCACTTCAGTTAATTTGTGGACAGTGGTAGCACCACAGCATTTAGACTGAAACCTAAGTGTGCACACCTAATTTGACTTTAAAATTGGGTTTCATGGGACAAGATGGTGAAGTATTAAAGCCAAACATTCATTTCTCCTTGTTGGTCAGTGCAGGCTGCCTGGAGAAATGACGAGTTGTCCACATGGAAAAGAGGCATCTGCAGAGCTGCCCACGCCATCAGCAGCTTCATCACAAGTTGATGCCTGCATGTGGCAGGGGGCGGGGGAGTTCCCCCTCACCTTTTTTTTTTTTTTTTTTGAGATGGAGTCTCACTCTGTTGCCCAGGCTAGAGTGAAGTGACACGATATCGGCTCACTGCAACCTCCACCTCCCGGTTCAAGTGATTCTCCTGATTCTCCTGCCTCAGCTTCCTGAGTAACTGGGATTACAGGCACACATCACCACGCATGGCTAGTTTTTGTATTTTTAGTAGAGATGGGGTTTCACCATGTTTGCCAGGCTGGTCTTGAACTCCTGACCTCAAGTGATCTGCCTGCCTCAGCCTCCCAAAGTGCTGGGATTACAGGCATGAGCCACTTTTGAGGCTCATGTTTGAAACTGTGTTGGCGTCTGTATCAGTCAGCTACAGTTAGTGATGCTGCCTAACAAACCACCCCAAACTCAACGGCTTCATACAATAATCAAGTCTTCTCTCCCACATGCCTGTGGTTAGCTGGAGGTCAGTGGACGAGGACTGGGCCAGGCTTGACTCTAAGCTGCAGGTTGAATCCAGGTGTGCTCCACCTGTGTTCATTTGCGGCTGCAAGCCAAAGAAGCAGCAGCTACCTCAGGGCAGCCTCCTCATGGGTGGCAGAAGCGCAGTGTGGTGAGGCCACTTCATCTGAGCATTTCAGGTCTTTGCAGGGCCAAAGCCACTCATTTCCATTTGACCAAAACAAGTCACACCAATAAGTGGGCAACTGGGCTCTACCCACTGTGGAACAAATGCAGGTCACATGACCAGGTCCAGCACCAAGGGGTGAAGAAGTACCATCCCCCATGGGGTTGTGGGGCAGAGGGTGAATATTCTGGAACAATAATCTAATCTATGTCAGCATCTTTATACTCACAGCCTGTCTCTCTTAATAGGCAGTTAAAAAATTTAAAAAGGCCAGGTGCGGTGGCTCACACCTGTAATCCCAGCACCTTGGAAGGCCAAGGCAGGTGGATCCACCTGAGGTCAGGAGTTCGAGGTCAGCCTGGCCAAAATGGTGAAACCCCGTCTCTACTAAAAATACAAAAATGAGCAAGGCATGGTGGTGGGCGCCTATAATCCCAGCTACTCTGGAGGCTGAGGCAGGAGAATCGCTTGAACCCAGGAGACAGAGGTTGCAGTGAGCCAAGATCGCGCCACCTCACTCCAGTCTAGGTGAAAGAGTGAAATCCCCATCTCAAAAAGAAAAAAAAAAGGAAAAAAAATTTCCTATACTCTCACCACCTCTTCCCTTCTGACATCAAATATGTCTTCCCAAACCAACCAATTCTGCAGCTTCCTAGACACTGGCTGGCTGTTCCACAATTTAACTCAATTCTGACACTACATAGCTGGCATTAGTGCAGACCCCACCAGGTAAGGGCCAGTCCCACAAGACTGTCCCCCACTTCAGACACCAGTTGCAAGTATTGAATCCCCACATCGCCCACATTTCCATTCAACTTGGCTATAAATTGACTATAAGTCACCCATGACCCCCTCCTCGGTTTCGATTAATTCACCACGACTCAGATCTCAGGGAAACGCTGCACTTGTGCTCCCTGGTCTATTATAAAGGAGATGATAAAGGGGGCAGGTGAATAGCAGAGGAGGATGCGTACATGGAGAGGCCTGGGAGGGCCCCTAGAGCAGGAACTTCTGTCGCCCTGAAGTTGGGGTGCGCCTCCCCCCGGCACCTGGATGTGTTCACCCACCTGGAAGCTCTCTGCACCTGTAGTTCAGGCTTCATCATGTAGGCAAGACTGATTATTAGCTCAATCTCCAGCCCCTCTCCCCTGCTTCTAATCATGTCTGGGTCTTTCTAGCACTTAACCCCCACCCAGGAGCCACCAAGCATCACCTCATTAGAATAAAAGATGCTTCTATCTCCCCAGAAATTCCAAGAGATTCAGAATCACTGTCAGGAACCAGGGTCACAGACAAAATGTCAGAACAAAAGGTTTTCCTAGCACCCCTGTCACTCAGAAGATTACAAGGGTTTTCAGAGCTCTGGCCCACAGCCAGGGACAAAGACCAAAATATACGTTTCTAATTATATCACAATATCACAGCAGTCACATGGACCTACTGAAGCACTTCAGTGCTGGTTGTTCAGGATGATGAGTGCCTCTGTCTTTGAGTGCTGCCTCAACTCCCCTCCACTCCACCCCCAAGTGAATTTTTCAATTACTTCTTGGAATACATTTTATGTTGGGCCATCCCAACCATAGTCTCCCAATTCTGTGAGTGTATTCCTGAGCTACAGTAATAGACAAAAAGGCCAAAAATTCATTTTGCATGTAAGACCCATGCTTGTCACACACCTGCCAATGCATTAAAGGCAGGTGAAATTGCCAAATCTCTCAGAATAGAGTCCAGCATTTCCGAGGCTTGGGAGAGGTTTCGGTGACCAATTCGTGTGTTAAAAAGGAATATCACTCAGGAGCCAAACATCCCTCCATCTGAAGCGTCTGGCTGCTTTTCAGAAAGAGTCATTTAACTTCCAGTGATAAGTAATTCAATTAAGGGGAAAATGAAACTCTTGCTCCTGTACAAACCCCCTGGATTCTTCAGTGCCACTCAGATCCATTCTGCCAGTTCTGAGGGTGCGGTGGCAGGCAGATCACAAACAGGGTTTGGAAAGCAAAGTGTGATGTTACATGCAGTGGCCAAGTGGGATTCAGAAGAAATCGTGGGCTCAAATCTTGATAGTGATCACCAAAAAGAAATTGAGCAATCGGGATGGAATTGTGTGGTTGGAGGTATGCACTTGTCACTGAGGTTTCTTTTCTTTTTTTTTTTTAATCTTGGAATTATAGTGGTGTTTGCTAGTGTCCTGGAAAACTATCAAATTAGTGTTGCCTCCCATGCTTGGGGGCATCTTAGGGATGAGGAATGGATTTTGCATGCCACCTCGAATCTAATTTGGGAAGAAAGCTGCGAGTGGGTGGAGGGACGGAGAGAAAGAAAACACAGTGTGGGCTGGGCGCAATGGCTCATGCCTGTAATCCCAGCACTTTGAGAGGCTAAGGCGGGCAGATTGCTTGAGCCCAGGAGTTTGAGACCAGCTTGGGCAACACAGGGAGACCCTGTCTCTACCAAAAAAAAAAAAAAAATTATTGGGCATGGTGGTTCTAGCTACTCAGGAGGCTGAGGTGGGAGGATGGCTGGAGCCTGGGAGGTAGAGGCTGCAGTGAGCCATGATTGCACCACTGCACTCTAGCCTAGGCCACACACTAGGACCCTGTCTCAAAAAGAAAGAAAAAAGAAGAGAAAAGAAAAGAAAGAGAGAGAGAGGAAGGAAAGAAGGGAGGGAGGGAGGGACAAACACAGTGTGTATGCTCTACTGTATGAGGGCAGGGCAACCCACAAATCTACATGCCGTGGTGACTCAGGATCAGTTAACCAGAAAAGGTGAGGGAAGTCCCTGTGCCTGGAGGATGGGGACCTGGGATCTGGTCACGGAAGCACCAGTAGCCATCTGGGATGTATCCCAGGAACAAACCCACCTCCCATGTGGCCCAGAGGCTGATGCTCAGGGGCCTTTCTCAGCCGGCAGCTTCAAGCCCTGCCTCTCCATTTGTTCTGTGTCACGGGGCCACCTGGTCTGGACTGTCACCTTCGAATCAAAATTCACTGAAACATACAAACCTTCAATGCTTGACTTAGTGTAGGGTGTGTGGCTCTAGTTATATTTTTTTCTAGTGTACGTTGGAATAAATGAGAAGCTGGCTTAGTTTGGGCCTCTTCAGAAGTTCACAGCAGGCTCGACAAAGCTGAGGTCTGATGGTCAGATTCAGCCAGTATGAACACAATAAACCACTCTTGGAGACAGTTTATTACTGACATACACAGTGAATGGAAGAGGAGCTGAAAGTGCCAGCTCCCTGGGTCTTTGTCCCACACACAAAAGGACAAGACTGAGCCACAAGGGACTGGGGACTGTGACTGAGCGTGTGGGGTCTCCTGTGGTTGAGGACCCACGTCTCGGCTGCAGATACGCGTGCTTATATTCTGCATTCATCCCAAAAGCTGGGGACGCTGGGAGTCCCTTGAGAGCTGGTGCCTCAGGGACCCCTGGCAGTGTCTATCCCCCACCCTCAGCACTCACTGGATGAGGGGTGTTCCAGGGATGTGAACTCTTCAGGACTTTTTTTTTTAGAGACAGGGTCTCTGTCACTCAGGCTGGAGTGCAGAGGCAAGGTCATAGCTCACTGCAGCCTCAACCTCTCATGCTCAAGCGATTCTCTTGCCTCGGCCTCCCAAGTAGCTGAGACGACAGGTGGGTACCACGATGCCTGGCTAATTTATTTACATTTATTTATTTATTTATTTTTGTAGAGATGAGGTCTCACTATGTTGCCCAGGCTTGTCTTGAACTCCAGGGCTCAAGCGATCTGCCTGCCTCGGCCTCCCAAAGTGCTGAGATTACAGGTATGAGCCACCATGCCTGGCCTCTTCAGCACTTCTGAGCAGGACCAGCTCTTGCAGAGATGCTGCCAACCAAATGGACGTTGTTGGTCTTTAGCGACAGCATGAGCCTGTACAAGCCACTGGCCTCCCTGTGCCTCTGTTTCCACATCTGCAAAATGGAGACACCACCTTCTGGTGTAGGAGACCGTTTTGGCCCCACGCCACCCCCTCAGCTCACCCTGCCAGGCTCAGCAGAGCACCCCCAATGCCGGGACCCAGGCCACTGCCCATGCCCCGCCCCTAGTGCCCTCCAAATGTCCCCACCTCTGTGCTTTCAGGCTTTTTCTGAAGCCAGGAGCTTACTCAGCCTTCCCCCCATGGGGAGCCTGGACGTGGAGGGGAGTCACCACCCTTCGGGACAAACCTCAACTTGTGGGATTGGGGTCAGTGGAGAACAGCCCTGCGTCTTATTGTCAAGGTGCCTTCTACACAGCCACAGGGCCCTGGAGGGGCTGGGCACCCCCTGCAACAGTAACACTCTCTGGGCAGGCTTCCCTCCTGACCTGCCTTGCCCTGCTTCCTGGGACTGCAACCTGTACCAGCACCTGCTTCCCTGGCGGCCCACACAGAGCCGCCTCCCTGATGGGCTTGCTGTGGGATTCGGTGAGTTACACAGCTCATGGCAGGGCAGGAGCTGTCACTGAGAGGTCTGCAGGGCAAGGGCAAGGGCAAGAGGAGAGAAGGGAGGGCGCCCATTTGTGCTTCGAAGCAGCCGCCCAGGCCATTGAATGGCAGTGGGCCTGGGGGAGCTCAGAGCATGTCCTAGAAGATGCTGTCAGGATGGTCCAGCCTGGAGATGGGGCCTGGGATGAGGGGCTGCGGTGAAGATGGGGGTAGAGAGGCAGACTGGATACTGTGAAGAGGCAAAGTCCTCAAGATTTGGTGATAAATCAGGAAAAGAAGATGAGGGAGAGGGAAATGTTAAGCATGACCTCTAGGCAGAGCGGCTGAGTGGGTGGTGGTGCCAGCCACGGAGATGGGGAGCTCTGGCAAAGAACCAGATGTGGGGACCACTTCCCACCCTGCCCTGAGGCTACCAGCCTGGCTGTGACCTCTCAAAGGGAAGACTCCATGTCGAGAGAAAAGTCAGAAAGGTCCCCCAGCCCAGACAGTTCAGGGAATTGTTTTCCCTAGAGAGTCATCACAATTTTTTTTTTTTTAAGACGTTTTGCTCTTGTTGCCCAGGCTGGAGTGCAATCACACAATCTTGGCTCAATACAACCTCCGCTTCCTGGGTTCAAGCAATTCTCCTGCCTCAGCCTCCCAAGTAGCTGGGACTACAGGCGTGCACCACCACACCCAGCTAATTTTTTTGTATTTTTAGTAGACACGGGGTTTCACCATTTTGGCCAGGCTGGTCTTGAACTCCTGACCTCAGGTGATCCGCCCGCCTTGGCCTCCCAAAGTGCTGGGATTACAGGCATGAGCCACTGCACCCGGCCAATTCATCACAGTTTTTAAAAGCAATTGAAGTGAAGGTGATACTGAAAAACAAGTCATAATAATGACTGTTTCCTATAAGTTTGAGAGATTAAATTTGTATCAAGCTGGCTATGGCCCCAAGGCCAGAGAGATTGAGTTGTGGATTCCTTTTCTTTCCAGCTCCTCATTTCTACTGAATTAGAAAATCCCATCTCACAATTCCCGACCTTTGACAACGGCAGGCAGCACACTATGGCTCCTTCTGGAAAAGACAGGCTGAGATCACACAAGAGGCAGTCACTTTTGACAGATTTCTTGCAGAAAACGGATCCTGCCACTGCCAGACTCAGTCAAATGCTGGAGAGCAGGCTGCAAGGAAGATAACAGGAAATGGGCTCCTCACCCGCTTTTTCACTGTGCTCAGCTCTGGACATAGTTCACATTTGGTGGCAGCTCGTGGATGTGATCCCTTGTGTCTGATCCTCAACTGCTTTTCCCAGCAGTTCTATGATTTGGTCTTTTTGAGGCATCTGTGACTTTCCTGGCCTGAAACAACGGGTCCGGGGCCTTCCTGGTACTAAACAGACACTAAATGGATCCTCCTTGAGCCCCTGGACATCTGGCAGGGATATCCACTCACTTTATCCGTGTCAAGAAGCAGAGGTTTATGTGCTGTTTCGTTTCAAATCTCTTCGTGAGAATGTGGTGCCTCCTGTCAGTGACCTCCCAGGGAGAATTCAGACGCCTCAGCAGCTGTGCTTCGTCCTGCTGTCAGTGATTCACGTTAATTCCTTCGATGTGAGGCAAAGTTAGGGCATGGAATTTTTTTTTTTTTTTTTTTTTTTTTTTTTTGAGACAAGTCTCACTCTGTCATCCGGACTGGAGTGCAGTGGTGTGATCTCGGCTCACTGCAACCTCCACCTCCTGGGTTCAAGCAATCCTCCCGCTTCAGCCTCCCAAGTAGCTGGGATTACAAGCACAAGCATGCACCACCACGCCAGGCTAATTTTTGTATTTTTAGTACAGACGAGATTTCACTATGTTGGCCAACTGGTCTCGAACTCCTGACCTCAAGTGATCCACTCAAAGTGCTGGGATTACAGGCCTGAGCCCCGACGCCCAGCCAGGCACGGATTTGATGGTTGCCCCTACAGGGAATTAGATGGTGACACATTGTAAGAACCAACTCGAACATGCCTTTTCCAGTCCACACCATGGCTACCAGAAAATTATCATCCTCATAACTTAACTCTGTGAAAAACCTCTTTTCCTGAAACATGGGCTTTCAAAAGTCAAGGAAGAAAAAGGGACTTCTCCCTCAGGTTTGACCAGAAGCTGTTTGGCATGGTGGTTAAGCGTGTGTATGGAGATAGTTGGCAGGGCATGCACCTCTCCACTGCTAGCTAGCTGTGTCACCGTGGGCAAGGTAGCCTGCCTCCATGTCCCTTGGCTTGTTAGTTATAAAATCTAAATAATAAAAGTATCCCGTATTAAATAAATACATAAATAAAATAGAAGTAAATGTTACTGAATGCTTGCAAAGTGCTTTTAGCACTTCCTGGCCCAAGCACGTACTCACAAAATGCTAGCTGTGATCACAATCACTTTCCTCAAAACCATCATGCTTCATACCGAACCTGTCAGGACCTGATTCACCCTCTTTGCAGCAGACGTTTTCCTGGGTAAAGAGAAGTGACCGCTGACAGGCACATATCCAGGAATTGCTCTTCCACATTCTACGTCCGTGCTGTCAGACAATATGCCAGAGTGCCACTTGATAGAGGATTCTGCTGGTCCTTTAGTTTTCTCCCCGAGCATCACATTTGGCACTAATTTGGGGGTTGCTTTCACTACCTCCTCAGCAGCCACTTCACCTCCTCTGCTTTCGCTACAGAAAGAGCAACTTTGAATGGTGTTGTTTTTGTCTCATTTCAGCCTTTATTAGTGAAATTACTCAATTTTCATGGGCACGCCTGGTTTTGTGCTTGAAATGCGATTTCCTTGCCAGAGAGATCCCCACACTTTCCTTGAAAAAGAGATGAAGCGTTCCTCCACTTCAGGAGGCTGTTTGACAAAGCTTCACAACAGATAATGAAGTGCAAGGTCTAAGGGGTGAGTTCACTGCTATGATGCAATCCATTTTTCAGAAACATGGATTTGCTATATTTTAACTCATGCTTGTGTGTTTGGGCCACTTGTGGAAAGTCATCTTTCAGGAGGTTCTCCTCTCAGGACCAACACAGACACCTCTCACTTGATTTACGATTGCGAGCTCATTCTGCATTCTCGCCATCATTCCACTGTCTTAATCACACCGTTGTGCGCTAATGGATCAATTCTGAGCTGCTGAAGCGTTTCTGCAAATTAGGAGCACAACACACTGAATTGTAACTATGATAAATGTAAATTAACTCAAGGAAATAATTAGAGGAACATGACGTGAAAGTATAGCACAGAGACAAACCGCCACCTGGTAGCCCCGTGCTCCCTGCGGCACCCTGGGCAGCGGCAGCCCCTGTAGTCTAGGTGTCCTTTGCGTCTTCCATGGATGGACAGGCCCCAGGGTCTCCAATCACACATGCACATAGTTGAATGAACGAAGAAGAATGCCATGCGGCATCTGGCAGTCATAGCCACCTGGCAGTGCTACGTCTGCAAGTGCAGTGTCCAAGTCACATCTTTGGTAGCTGTCATCCCTTCTAAGGACCTTTTGGTTAAATCCCAAGGGTCCAGGGACCTGGCTGATTGAGCAGGTGACCACAGGAAGGCAGGATATGGGGGATCATGGGGCCAGGAGGGCAGCCCAAGGAGCAGAGGCTCTCAGAACCAATGTCTCATCATCACAGACCTCAGACAGCGGCAGGAGCCCCGAGGCTGCCTGTTGGAGAGTGTTTCTAGTGCAAACACCAGTTGCCAGGCACTTCACAGCCTCTCACGTGATGCTCTCAGCAACCCTCCGTAGCTGCTCCCCTAGTTAGCCCGACTTTACCGATGAGGAGATGGAGACACCGAGAGCTGAAGGGACTCACTCAGCGGCATGAGCTCACAAGTGGCAGAGCCGCGACCCGAAGACCAGCCCCCACATCCGAGCTCATCACCAGCTCCCTAATCTCCACCACAGACAGCGATTTAATTTCCAGGGGCAGCAACCTCCTGGCTCTTGTTTCAGAAGAGCTGAACAGAGCCCGCTCTTCTTTACCTCGGGAATTCAGATAGCAGAACCCATGGCCCGGTGGAGCTCTTTCTACATCTTATTGGCGAAACCACGTCGTTTGCACATAAAAGATGCTCCTCTTTGATTCTCAGAGCAGGCAAGCAAGGCAAGGACAAAATGAGGCAGGAAGAAAGAGTGCACCAGGAGCCTGGAATAGAGCAGGGCTTTGGAACATGGGGGACCACTTGTGACAAGAACCCTCATAAAACCCTCATAAAATGTTCATCTCAATTGTTGTTTTAAGCGTCTTTATTCATGGGGTACACACAGCCATGATTTTACAAAAATGTGCAAATGTGATACCATCATTGATTGTAACAGGATATGCAATAGTGCAAAAATGGAAACGACCTAAGTTCCCAAGTAAAAGGCTGTAGCAGGAAAGTGCAGACTATTGAAAATTAGTGGAAAGGCACAGGATGAGGTGACATTCATTCATTCACTCATTCACTTATATATTCAACATATATTCAATATATGTTGGTTCAACAGGAGTATATAAATGAGGCTCGCTCTTTCTTCCTTTCTTTCTCTCCCTTTCTTTCTTTCCTTTCTTTCTTTCTTCTTTCTTTTTTCTTTCTCTTTTTTTTTTCTCAAAGTTTCACTCTTGTTGCCCAGGCTGGAGTGCAGTGGGGCTATCTCTGCTCACCGCAACCTCCACCTCCTGGGTTCAAGCGATTCTCCTGCCTCAGCCTCCCAAGTAGCTTGGTTTACAGGCATGCGCCACCATGCCTGGATACTTTTGTATTTTTAGTAGAGACAGTTTTCTCCATGTTGGTCAGGCTGGTCTCGAACTCCTGACCTCAGGTCATCCGTCCACCTCAGCCTCCCAGAGTGCTGGGATTACAGCCGTCAGCCACTGCACCCGGCTGAGGCTCCTTGTTTCTTGACTTACATTATTTTTTCTTTTTTGAGACAGAGTCTTGCTCTGTCACACAGGCTGGGAGTGTAGTGGTGCAATCTCAGTGCAACTTCTGTCTCCAGGTTCAAGTGATTCTCCTGCCTCAGCCTCCCGAGTAGCTGGGATTACAGGCACCCACCACCACACCTGGCTGATTTTTGTATTTTTAGTAGAGATGGGGTTTCACCATGTTGGCCAGGCTGGTCTTGAACTTCTGACCCCAGGTGATCCGCCTGCCTCAGCCTCCCAAAGTGCTGGGATTACAGGCGTGAGCCACTGCCCCCAGCCTTGACTTACATTCTAATAGGGATAATAAACACATAAGTAAACAAGATAAGTTAATAAAACAAGTGTTCTGAAGACAATAAAAGATGGAATGTACTGGAAAGATGGAACATGCTGAAGGCTGAGATGGAATGGGTTAAGGAAGCCTTCTTGAAGGCGTTGACCTTTGATTTGAGACCTGGACGAGGAGCAGGTACCAGCCACGTAAGTATGTGGGAGTTCAGTTTTCCAGGCAGCAGCAGAAGCAACTGCCAAGGCTGTAAGAACCAGGGTCCAAATCCTAACAGCACTTCAACCTGCCTGTGATGCCCAGTAGCCACCTACTGTCATATAATTGCAGGCAAAGAGCCTCACTCCCCTGAGCTGCAGGTTCCTCCTCCTACAATGGGGAGGGCAATAACGCCATGCAGCTTGCCAGGAGGATGGCAAGAGCAAGTTAGGTAGAGAGCTTAGCTCAGTCCCTGGTGCAGAAACATTGTGCCAAATTGTTACCCACATGGCGGAGGGCAGAGAGCGGTTAGAGGCAAACAGCCAGGGTTGGCTTCTTGGAGTGGTAGACTGGGGTGAAATTGCATTTGTTTTTTTAAGAGTTATTTTAATACAGCTGGCCCATTTCGGGGGCATGAACACAGATCAGGGTGAATTGCTGTTTTCCTTCAACAACTATGACCCCAATGGAATCACTGTTCTCGCCAAACCCCCGCAATCTCTCACACACACACACACACACACACACACACACACACACACACACACACACGTCAGGGGTGGAAGAACACCCTAAATTGGAGTTGTAGCTCTGCCACTGGCAAATTGCACAGATGTGGACTAGTGATCACTCCTTCTGGCCTTTTTACTTATCTGTAAAATGGGAAGCTGGAACTAGATTGCCCTTAAATCAAATTCTGTCTTCCTCAGTGTGGGTAGGCTGCTGGAACAGAATGCATTAGACGGGGCTGAAACAACAGAATTCTCTCTCTCAGTTCTGGAAGTCCAAGAGCCTGGAAGTCCAAGATCAAGGTGTTGGAAGATCCTGTGTCCTCACACAGCAGAGGAGAGAGAGAAAGAGAGAGATGACACACACGCTAACTCCCTGGGTTTCTTTCATAAGGGCACTAATCCCACCATGAATGCCCCACTCTTGTGACCTAATTACCTCCCAAAAGCCCCATCTCCAAATACCATTGCATTAGGGATTTAGGTTTCTACATGTGGATTTGGAGGTGACAACAAACATTCGGTCCACAGCAAATTCCTTAATAATCTGGCCCAACAAGATAATTCCATTTCCGCCAAGCACACTACTCCCCCTGAGGCCTCCATGCCTCTGCCTCTGATCTTTACTGGCTGGAAACCTTTCCTTCCCTTCACCTGGCAAGCTTTTTATGCCCATTTTATTTTATTATTGAGGTATAATTTATATATAGTAAAAGGCCCAGATCTTAAGTACAATTCACTTCCATAAATAAATTCACCTGATTAAGCCAAACCCCCGTTAAGATACAGAATATTTCCGTCACCCCAGAATGTTGCCTCGTGCCCCTGGTCCCAAGGCTGGGGTTGGGGTAAAGCAAACCACCAGAGCACATTTAAAGCTCTCCTTGGCCCAGCATGTTCCATTGGCCTGAACGGATCATACAGCCAAGGCCTGAGTTAAACAGGAAGGCTCATCTGCTTGCAGCACAATATGGAGGGTGAGAGGCTACAGGAAGCTAGGATCACACTTAGCTGAGGTCATTCTGACTTCACATGCCATAAAAATCCAAGCTGATAATACAACGTTATGCTGTCATAACAACCATCATAATACTTGTTTTTACCTTCGACTGAGCAAAGGTGAAAAAAAATGCTTGATCGTATTGGCCAGGTGCTGGAG
The DNA here is from genome assembly GCF_000001405.40 of Homo sapiens. NCBI lineage: Eukaryota > Metazoa > Chordata > Mammalia > Primates > Hominidae > Homo > Homo sapiens. The sequence continues at coordinate 44,530,206 of NC_000022.11, forward strand.
GTCAGTCTCGCATGCCGCTGGTAGAAAGATAACTTGGTCATCCTTTCTGGAGGACAACTTGGTAACATTTTATGAAGCAATGAGAAAATGCTCAGATCATTCATCAGGCATTACCTTGCCATGAATTTCATCAGATGAGGCCACAAACATCTCCCTCCCTCTGAGGGTGCATCACCAGGGTTGCATGGAGTGGGTGGAAACTCCATTTTCTTTCCACAATCTTCCTTCCCTGCCCTCAGCCCTGCCACAGTCCCTGTGGGTAGTGTCGCTTTCAGAGCTTCCTTGCCTCAAGGCTGGGTCATGAGACCTGCTTGGAACGCTGGGATGTGGGCAGAAGGGACGGCATGGCTCTTTGAGGCATGCCAGGGTTCCACTCCCCCTCTGGCTTTCCTGCCCCCCACCATCAGAAGAGATGTCTGAGCTGACACCACTCCTTCTTCCTGGGTTTTGGGGAGAGGGGGGCAGAAACAGGTGGAACAGGCCTAAACCCAATCACAGCCCAAAATCGAGCACAGTGCTTGTCATTGGAAGCCACTGAGAGACAGGGAATGTTTGTTATGCAGCATTATTACAGCCAAAGCTGACTAATACGATGGGGGACATTTTAAAACAACTGAGCAAAAGTAGAAAAACATTGTTAAATGCTTACTGTGTTCCATGCAGGCACTTAACCAAGAGCTTTACAAATAATAACTCATGGCCGACTGTGGTGGCTCACGCCTATAATCCCAGCACTTTGGGAGGCCAAGGCGGGCAGATCACGAGGTCAGGAGATCAAGACCACCCTGGCTAACATGGTGAAACCCCGTCTCTACTAAAAATACAAAAAAATTAGCCGGGCGTGGTGGCAGGCTCCTGTAGTCCCAGCTACTCGGGAGGCTGAGGCAGGAGAATGGCGTGAACCAAGGAGGCAGAGCTTGCAGTGAGCCGAGATCGCACCATTGCACTCCAGCCTGGGTGACAGAGCGAGACTCCATCTCAACAAAAAAATAAATAAAAATAAATAAATAACTCATTTAATTCTTACAGCAACTGTATGTGGTCAGCGCAGTTTTCAAACTTATTTTACAGATAAGGAAACGGAGGCCCCAAGAAGTAAATAAGTTGCTGGGCACAGTGGCTCATGGCTGTAATCCCAGAACTTTGGGAGGCCGAGGCGGGTGGATCACCTGAGGTCAGGAGTTCGAGACCAGCCTGGCCAACATGGCGAAACCCCGTCTCTACTAAAAATACAAAAATTAGCCAGGTGTGGTGGCATGCACCTGTAATCCCAGCTACACGGGAGGCTGAGACAGGAGACTCGCTCGAACCTGGGAGGTGGAGGTTGCAGTGAGCTGAGATTGCGCTACTGCACTTCAGCCTGGGCAACAAGAACAAGATTCCGTCTCATAAAAAAAAAAAAGAGAGAGAGAGAGATAAATAAGTTGTCTCTGATGAATCACCAGTGCCTGGCAGAGCCCAGATCTGAACCTGTGCAGCTTGGCTCTGGCACCCAGATGTTTATTCACACTGGTGGCAGAGATTTGGCTCCGTAAAGCCGTTAACAACCCAGATAACGGAATGTCTGCAGCCCTTAAAAAGACACAGTCAAGCAGGTTAAATGGTCAGTCCTCAACCTTTCCTTTTGCTGAACAGCCACTGTAGATGGTGTCCCATACCCCTCTCCCCTGAGCACACCCCCTGACCAGTGCAGCACACACCACCTGTCATGTGACCACGGCCACGAGCACCCCCTCATTCCAGCTAAGCAAATGCCTCAGAGCCCCTGTACCTGATGTCGACCTTGAACTCATGATGATTTCTGAAAAAGGTCATGGACTTTCCAAAGCATCAGCATATAAAATGCTTACAAGCCTTCATGCATCCGTGGTGGCCATTATTTTAAAGGGTTTTTTGTTGTTGTTGTTGTTTTATTGAGACAGAGTCTTGCTCTGTCACCAGGCTGGAGTGCAGTGGTGTGATCTTGGCTCCTGGCAACCTCCACCTCCCAGGTTCAAGCAATTGTCCTGCCTCAGCCTCCCGAGTAGCTGGGTCCACAGGTGCACACCACCACGCCCAGCTAATTTTTGTATTTTTAGTAGAGACGGGGTTTCACCATGTTGGCCAGGATGGTCTCGATCTCTTGACCTTGTGATCCCCCTGCCTCGGCCTCCCAAAGTGCTGAGATTACAGGCGTGAGCCACTGCGCCCAGCCTATTATTTCTTGATGTAGAGAAGAAGCTGTGTGTGTGTGTTTACAGAGAGGGATAGGGATCCCAAATTTGGAAGGAAGGAAGAAAAGGAAGGAGGGAGAGAAGAGAGGGAGAAAGAGAAGGGAAGACAAGGAAAGTGAAAAGAAGCAAAATAAATATCCTCCCACACATAGCCCTGTTGGGTTGTTTTGTCTGTTCTGGTTTCACATATAAATGTCATCTTGGAATGGGTCATCTTTTCTGTCTGATGTTTTCCACTCAACACTGAGAGAGTCATCGTCGCTGCTGCCTTTGTCTGTGGCACCTGCGTTCTTGTTATTGTGAAGTATTCCATTGTGTGGCTCTCCCAAGTGCACCTCTCCACCCACTGTGATGGGCGTACGGGTGGACTTCTAGTCTGAAACGGTCAGGAACACCCCAGTGGGTGTCTCTGCACCTGCGGTGAGCAGCTGTGTGCATTTCCGCCCTCTGCAAACATCCTTCGGAGCAGGATGGCCGGGTCACTGCGGGGCTCAGGTTCAGCTTAGTAGATACTGCCAAGTGGTTTTCAAAATGGCTGAGCCGGTTTCCAATCCTGCCAGCATTTATTTCATCTATGGCACAGAGGCTATGATTATTGCAGGGAGGAGCAGAGACTAGAAGGGGCGTGGAGGAGGTTTTTTGTTTGTTTTGGATTGTTCGGTTTTGGTGTTGGTTTTGGTTTCAGAGACAGGGTCTCACTCTGTCACCCAGGCTGGAGTTCAGTGGCGTGATCTTAGCTCACTGCAGCCTCCATCTCCCAGGCTCAAGTGAACTTCCCACCTCAGCCTCCCGAGTAGCTGGGACTACAGGTGTGCGCCACCACCCCTGGCTAGTTTTTTTTGGTATTTTTTTGTAGAGACAAGGGTCTCACTTGGTTGCCCAGGCTGGTCTCGAACTCCTGGGCTCAAGCAATCCCCACTCCTCGACCTCCCAAAGTACTGGGACTACAGGCATGAGCCACCATGCCAGGAGGCAGTTTTTGAGGTGCTGATAACATTGTATCCAGATCTGGGTGCTGGATACATGGGTCTGTAACCATTGACAATTCACCCAGCTACACACTCAGAATTGGTGCACTTTTCTAGATACATATTATACTTCAATATGTTTTAGAAGAAATATGTCCATAAACGCAGATACATATACACAACTCTGCAGCAAGGGGCATGAAAAATTAAAAAATAAATAATAAATATTTTTAAAAGATACATGGCTGCATGTGGTGGCTCACGCCTGTAGTCCCAGTACTTTGGGAGGCTGCGGCTTGAGCCTAGGAGTTCCAGACCAGCCTGGACAACAAAGTGAGACCTTGTGTCTACAAAAAAAGTTTTAAAATTAGCCAGCTGCGGTGGCATGCGGGTATGGTCCCAGCTACACAGGAGGCTGAGGCAGGAGGATCGCCGTAGCCCAGGAGGTTGAGGCTACAGTGAGCTGAGATCGTGCCACTGCCCTCCAGCCTGGGTAACAGAGTGAGATCTTGTCTCAAAAAAAAAAAAAAAAGATAAACGCATGAGTCAAATGTCCCCACGTCCTCTAGTTATTGCCATCTTTCCCCTTAATACGCAAATATGTATGGGTCACCTGCTATGTGCCAGACACTGGGTGTACAGTGGTTCGCCAGACAGTGCTTGCACACACAGGGCATACATGCTAGGGGCAGGAAAAAATCATACACAAGTAGCCAGATAGGCACATCAATGATGGCGGCTGTGACGTGTGCTCTGAAACAAAAGGGGCTGCAGAGAGGAATGAAGGATCCAGCCTTCACTTAGCCAGGTCATCCAGAAAAAGCTGTCCTCGTGGGGCCAGGGGGCCCAGCCAGGAGGAAGTAGCAGGTAACAAGTATCCTGGGTACTGGGAACAAGAGGAGAAGATCTTGGGGCACCCAGGGACCAGCAAAGAAGCTGTAGGCCTGAGGGCCAAAGAGCAAGGCAGGGGAATGGCGCAAGGCAGGGTGAGGAGGCAGCTGGAGGAACAAGGAGCTGGAGTCTCATCCTAAGAGCAGTGGGAGCCACAGAGTGTTCAGGCAGGAGAGTAGCATGATCAAGTTTAGGTGCCAACCTGCACCTCCCCGTGATAACGCCACACAGGCCACCGTCTCTCCTGGAGTTTCCTGGCCTCACCCTCCAAATTCCTGGGCAGTCATACTGGCAGTCACACACCCCTCAAAGGAACACTGGTAGGAGCTGCACGAAAAGGCTGTCATCATTGTCCCTGGGAGGAAGAGTGAGGCAAATGTGCCTCTTAATATGAGGTTTGCACCCAAATTTTCTTCAAGTAATTCTTACATTATGATTACATATTACATACAAATACATGTTTATTATATACAAATGCAAATACATGTTTATTATATATTAACGTATAATTAAGTTTTTTTTAACTTGGGGCAACGAATATTTATGGTTCATTCAAAGGAGGGTTTCTTTTTTTTTTTTTTTCCTTTTGAGATGGAGTCTCGCTCTGTCACCCAGGCTGGAGTGCAGTGGCGTGATCTTGGCTCACTGCAGCCTCCGCCTCCGGGTTCAGACAATTCTCCTGCCTCAGCCTCCAGAGTAGCTGGGATTACAGGCACCCGCCACCACACCCAGCTAATTTTTGTATTTTTAGTAGAGATGGGGTTTCACCATGTTGGCCAGGCTGGTCTCGAACTCCTGACCTCAGGTGATCCACCTGCCTCAGCCTCCAAAAGTGCTGGGATTACAGGCATGAGCCACTGCACCCGACCCAAAGGAGGTTTTTGAAAAGGTGTGCCATGCATCCTGGCTTCAGCTAGTGCAGGAACAGGTCCTAATCCGTTCCACCCTGGCAGTTTTGCTGAGAAGGGACTCTGATCCAGGTACTTCTCTAGGCTCATGGGACACATCAGTGAACAAACAAGTAGGAGTCCCTGTCCCTGGGGAACTTATCTTCCTGCAGGGAGAGAAAGATGGTAAAGCATGAAGGAAGTAGACAGGTTCAGTTCTTACAGTGCTGGAAGGAGGTAAGAACAGACAAGGCAGGTGGGGAGCACCCAGGGTGGAGTGTCCTACCCCACGGTGGTCAGGGAGGCCTGGGGAAGGGAAGGCCTGCGGGCACCTGGAGGGAGAGCTCCTCAGGCAGAGTCAAGGCTCTTGGGGATGTGGGGGCTGTGTGCCTGGCAAGGTCAAGGGCACAAACAAGGAAGCTGGCATCGGGCCTGGAGAGGAGGCGGTGAGCAGCTCACGGAGGGTCACTTATGGCCATTGGCTCTCACTCTGAGTGAGATGCCTCCAGGTATTGTGCAGAGGAGAGAACTGACCAGCCTCATTTTACAGGGACATTTGGGCCGCTGCGCTGCAAGCATCAAGGGCAGCAGCAGGGACGCCCCCGTGGTCCCTCCATCGGCTCCAGGGGAGACGCGGGGACATGCCAGCCATAGCAGTGGGCTGCAGAGAGGCACCGCCGTACCTGCATCAGCTCTGCTGGTGGAAGTTTCGGGGTCCCCCATGGGTCTTGTGTGGGGAAATGAGAGAAAGTGGAGGGCAGTAGCCAGCTTCATCCCACCAGCACCTAACCAGCCCGCACCCTCACTCTATCGCCACCATTGCCTGGGGCGGTGGGTTTGCCATCCCCTACTGTGACCATGGCATGGTGGTGGCCATCTGGCCTTTGGAAACAGCAGCTTTCCTAGCACATCTTAAAGAGTCTACATCCCACCCTCGGCTTTTGGGGAATCTCATGTCCAGACACGGCCATAAGGTGGCCCTGGCCTTTGCCACAGTGACAAGGTTGGGCACTGCATCCAGGTCATTCACCAGGACCCCCGCAGGAAGCTCCACTTGAGGCCACAGTCTTACATCCAGGCTGGGAAAAGCTCTGCCTCTCCTGAGAAGCCCCCACGATCTTTTCTTCTCTCCAGGACCAAGAACCTGCCCCCACGGCCCGTTCTTGGAGCCAGGCTTGACCATCTTCCCAGCAGCTCTGTTCAGCGTGATGTATTCCCTTTGTGTCGGTACCTCTTGATTCCAAGAATCAGACTTACACAAAGTTGAGGGGCTTATTTTCAGGATAATGCAGAAGTTTGGGAAAGCCTAAGAATGGCTCAGAGCAGAGCTGCTGGGCTGGAGGCTTCCTGGGGTTTCCACTCCGTGCCTCTGGCTTCATTCTCTCTACCCCATCCATCCCCGTGCAGGAGAAACAGTTTCTCTCCGGGTGACAGGCTCTGTGACTCAGTCGCCCTGGCACTTGATTTCTGTGTCTCAGCCCAGACCTGAATAGGTCATCTCTGTCCAAGGGCAGGAGGTGGCAGGACCTGGGCAGTACCCAAAGAACATCAGGTGGAAAGGGGCAGGCCTGGGGCAAGGATGCAGCCCCTGCACTGTGCAACAGTAGGCATCCCCTGCCTCTTCTTTCCTGTACTTAACTTTTCTGTTCTTATTCTGTGAACCACTTTATTTTTTATGTATTTATTTGTTTGAGACAGAATCTCACTCTTTCTCCCAGGCTGGAGTGCCGTGGTGCAATCTCGGCTCACTGCAACCTCCACCTCCCAGGTTCAAGTGATTCTCCTGCCCCAGCCTCCCAAGTAGCTGGGATTACAGGCAAGTGCCACCACGCCGGGCTAATTTTTGCATTTTTAGTAGAGATGGGGTTTCACCGTATTGGCCAGGCTGGTCTTGAACTCCTGACCCCAAGCGATCCACCCACCTCAGCCTCCCAAAGTGCTGGATTACAGGCATGAGCCACCACACCCAGCTAGCATTTTAAACAAGCCTATTTTGGAAACATCTATGAAACAGCAATGGTATTTTATCTCATGATCTCATTGTATCTTCAATAGAGTCCAACAATGGAGGCACTGCATGCTCCCATCGTGCAGATGAGGAAACAGGCTCAGAGGGGTGAGGTGACTTGTCCAAGGACACACAGCTACAAAGTGATACAAAGGATTCATACCCAGTCCTTTCTGACTCCAAAAGCTGTGTGGGGGTTTTTTTCCCCATATCAAGACAAACTTGTTCTTAAGGCTGATTCCAACCCTCTCTGAAATGTGGGGAAGAGTACAAATGCATCCGATAAATAAACAAAAGCATTAGGATGTCTGCCCTCATAACGCCCAGCTGTCTGGGGTCGAGCTTAGGAAGAACCGGACGCTTCAGTTCTCCCGCAGGGCATGAGCTCCCGTCTCAGCAAAATGCCTCAAATGTCAAAACCTGACTTTAATTAGCAGAAATCTCTGGGTGTATGTGGTGCCAGGATCCATCTAGGATGCAAAGAGGCAACAGCTGTTTATTAGCTCAACAGCCAGAGGCGGGCGCAGGGAGGGTTCCTCCAATAGCCCTGGAGCCCGCCCACTCCTCCAGGGGATGTGGGGAGGTAGCGAAGCCCCTGGCATTGCCTGCTCCAGGCGATGGAATCCCTGGCAGCAACATCACCTGTTTCTGGGGTGGGACATCCTGGGGCCCAAGATGCTAGAGATTCCTGGGGCTGGCAGGGGAGCCTGTGGCTGAGGAACTACCACCGACACCTGTGCCCACAGTCACTGGACTCAAAGTTGGAGAAGGTTTTATCCATGTCCTTCTTGGAGGCCTTTTTGAAGGACCTAATTATCCCAAACCTGGTCCGGTCGGTACCTTGATTGACCCGCTAAAACCTAAGTCTTGTTAAAAGCATCTGACAGCCGCTTGTCACCCAGAAGCCGCCAGCGTCTGAGCAGGGAGCCGAAAACGCTCTTTTTCAATGCCAATGAGAAGGTCGTCAGCAGCGGGACTGGAAACCTGTTTGCCTGTTAAGAATTTGCATTCATGCTGTTATTTCCTCAAGCTGCTCTCCACTGCAGAGAGCGGGAGATAAAAAAGCCTAAAGAGATGAGAGCACTCTCCGATGAGTCACACGGCGTTAACCTTAACTAACATTTGCACAGTGCTTTCGGCACACGGGCACTGCTTACAACGCTGCACGCGCATTCCTCTTCCAATTCTCTCAACGGCTCTGTGTGGCAAACAGTGTTGCTGTCATCCCCAATTACATATGGGACACTGAGGCATGGAGATAAGTCAGGTGTCCAGGGCTGTACATCTAGCAAGTGGCAGAGCAGGGATTTGAACGCTGGCAGCCAGACCTGGAGCCCAAATGTCAGCCAGGACGTGCCTCAGTCACCTTTGCACCTGCCCTCATTTTCACCACCTGAGTCCCTACCCTCCTGTGCACCAGGCCGACCTTCTCAGCCTCATGACTCAGCTCGACCCTGATATCTTCCCGGAGGCTTCTGGGCACTCCGGGTGATTGGCACTCCCTACATTGCAAATGCAGCAGTGGAGGCTCAGAGAGGCTAAGTCACTTTCTCAGGGTCACACAGCCAGGAAGTGGCAGGGCCGGGATTCAAGTCCCAGGATGCCTGATCTGTGAGCTCAGACACTTAACCAGTGCTCTGAGATGGCTCAGGCAAGTCTGGAGCCCCCCTCATCTGACAGCAATGCCCCTGCTTTCTCCCAAAGTGCTGAGATTACAGTCATGAGCCACTGTGCCTGGCCCATCATTTCTAACCTGAACTGGCCCACACAGAGGGCTTGCGTGAAGGGTCAGCATCGAACCCCAGGCAGATCCTGGCCTTTCCAGGTCCAGCTGTCAGAGCTGCCTCCAACCCTGCAGCCTGACCCCAGGCCAGCCTAGGTTTGGCCCTGCTCACTCCTCCAGCCTCATGGACCCAGCACACCTGGCCCAACTTGACTCAACTCCCTGTACCTCTTGCCCTGGCCTGGCTTCCCTGCCCTGGCTTGGGCTGACCTCTCTCCCCTGCCTAAAGCCCTTTCTCTCACCCCTTGCCTGGAGTCCTCCTTCAGATCTAACTAGATTCATCTCAGATGTCCTCTCCTGAATCTACCATGCCCCTGGGCACTGCCTCTGGGCTCTCAGCCCCTGCCCTTCTTCCCTCCTCCAGCATCAAGGCCAACAAAGGTTGAGGAAAGTCAATACCAAGTCCTAGGGCTTGAGGTCTGCAAGGGGTCAAGGCCAGGGACTAGGTTTAACTTTGCTTAGCATCCTTGGAGTATGGCACAGAGCAGACACAAGTATTTGAGGGACAGGTGGGTAGTTAGGTGGGTGGGTGGACGGGTGGATGGATGGATGGATGGATAGATGGATGGGTAGGTGGATGGTGGATGGATGAATGGGTAGGTGGATGGATGGATAAGTTAATGAATGTATGGGTAGGTGGATGGATGGATGAGTAGGTGGATGGATGGATGGATAGGTGGGTGGATGGGTGGGTGAGTGGATGGATGGATGGATGGATGGATGGATGGATGGATGGATGGGTAGGTGAATGGGTCAGTGGATGGATGGATGGATGATGGATAGGTGAATGGGTCAGTGGATGGATGGATGGGTAGGTGGATGGATCTATGGGTAGGTGGATGGATCTATGGGTAGGTGGATGGGTGGGTGGGTAGATGGATGGCCAGATGGGTGGATGACTGGGTAGATGGATAGGTGAGTGGATGGATGGATGGATGGATAGATGGATGGGTAGGTGGACGGTGGATGGATGAATGGGTAGGTGGATGGATGGATAAGTTAATGAATGGATGGGTAGGTGGACGGATGGACGGGTAGGTGGATGGATGGATAGGTGGGTGGATGGATGGGTGAGTGGATGGGTGGGTGAGTGGGTGGATGGATGGATGGATGGATGAATGGGTCGGTGGATGGACGGATGGGTAGGTGGATGGATCTATGGGTAGGTGGATGGGTGGGTGGGTGGATGGGTGGGTGGGTAGATGGATGGATGGATGGGTGGACGAGTGGGTAGGTAGATAGGTGAGTGAATGGATGGATGGATAGATGGATGAATGGTGGATGGGAGGATTGGTGAGTGAATTGATGGTTGGGCATATGGATGGATGAATGGATAGAAGGAAGGAGTGGAACTGACGTCCTGTGCTTTAATATGATGGATCAGTTTTGTTTCTTCTATAGCAAGAAAACCCCCAAGCCCCACCCTGCCGCACCCTCCCCCAACAATGTTAGGAGCCTTTTCTGGGCTCCCTCTCCCCTTCCTGAACTCCCTTGTGCCACAGCCCTGAGCACATTGTGTGGTCACCCTCTGGGTCTGCATTTATGTCCACCCCCTGACCATGAGAGCCTGAGGGTCAGCTCCGTGTATACAGTGCCCCGCACAGGGCCTGGCATATAGCCCCTTGAGTGGCAGGACTCATACTCAAGTGGCAGGTGCTGGAGAGGCAGATGACTATGACACATTGGCACCTGCACCACTCACTCTGCACAGGGCTCTTCCAGGAAGGCCAGCATGGCCTCCACCAAATACACTGGCATTGGCAAGAGCCTCTCTGGCCTGGGACCACATAGGAGCAGCAACCAGGGACGGCATCCCTCACATTTATGGTGGAGCTGTTTATGTAGAAATAAAGGCAGAAGGCTAGAGCCAAGCCAGCCAAGCCAACTGGGGTCAGGAGGGATCCTCCTAGGAGGGAAGCCTGGCCCACCTGGGCCCCAGGTCTACAGGGTAACCAGCTAGGTGGGAGTGACAGTGGGGACATGGGACTCAGCCTCTTGTTCTGCCCCTTAAGGGATGCTGCAAGGTGATGCCGCAAGACATGAACTCAAGGACTGACAGCCCCAGGTTCAATGCTGACTCTGCCACTGGATGGCTGTGTGCCCTTGAGCCTGTCCCTTGCCTCCGGGGTCTAAGTTCCCACATGGGTGCTGTGAGAATGGGTGGGTTACAGTGGTCATTACTGTGCGGTGTGTTGCAACGAGCCATTCAGTTGCGTCACCTCACTCCTACTCCTTCCTCCCTCCCCAGCTTCTCCCCTACCCTGCTGTCTGCTCCTGGCTTCCCCGCTGTTTCTCAAACTTGCCAAGCAGGCTGCCCACTTAGGGTCTTTGGGTCTTTGCACTAGTACTCCTGTAGATGAGCACTGCCAGCCCTCACTTGCCGGGTCTCTGTTTGATGCCATCCCCATGGAGAGAGCACCCTCATCCCCATGGGAAACTCCCCAGGGCAGCTGGGGTCATGTCTCTCATTCACACGGTGTTTTGGCAGCACCAGGAGTGAGGGAGTATCTGCTTGGAGGAACTGGGAAAGGTTCACAAAGAAGGTGGCATTTCTGGGTTTTGAAGGATGAGTAGGAGTTGGCCTGATCAAGAAGAAAGGCCTCACGATTCCAGCATCAGAACAAGTATTGGTTAATAGAGTGCAGAATGGAAACACTGACTGAGAAGCAGGGAAAGAAGTGATGGTAAAGAAGAGGGGGCGGTGTTGACGCCAGGGTCCCAGGGGAGTTTTTCCAGCATATTTTCAGCTGAGGGCGTAGGGTTTCCTGGGAGCCTTGCAGGCACAGGAGTTATGAGAGCCATAGGGCTGCTTGTGTCCCCACCCAAGATCTGCCCAGGCCTCAGCACACAGTCAGTGCTCACAGACAGTGCACCCGTACCCATGCAGGCTGATGTACCTGGAGGAGCCAAGATTCTGGGTGTCCCGAGCAGTGGCTTCATCAGCCAGAGCTAAGGGGGTCCAGCCCCACCAGGATGGCCTCTTGCAGTCAGTCCAGAAACACCAACCATCAGAGTAGCAGCCTCAGAGGGAAATTTCACAAAACCTATGCCAGATACAAGAGCACTTTGTTAGCCTCAAATCCTTGGTGGTCAAGAACATGTGCAGAGGTTCGAGTGCTTCACTTTGCAGAAAGGACGAACTCCCACCACTGGGGCCCATGAGGGAGATGTGGGGGAGACACCGGCTGGCGCGCTCACGGCAGACCTTAAGAATGGTTGGCGGCCAGGTGCAGTGGCTCACGCCTGTAATCCCAGCACTTTGGGAAGGCGAGGCGGGTGGATCACCTGAGGTCAGGAGTTCAAGACCAGCCTGGCCAACATGATAAAATCCCATCTCTACTAAAAATACAAAAATTAGCTGGGCATGGTGGTGGGCACCTGTAATCCCAGTTACTTGGGAGGCTGAGGCAGGAGAATCACTTGAACTTGGGAGGCAGAGGTTGCGGTGAGCTGAGATCGCGCCATTGCACTCCAGCCTGGGCCACAAGAGCGAAACTCCATCTCAAAAAAAAAAAAAAAAAGAATGATCGGCAAGCAAGGGAGCAGTTGTTCTCAGTGTATGGGGAGATGGAGCCTGGCAGGCTCTGCTCTACCTCTCCTTGTCATGGCTCTCAGGCAGGGGCATCAGTGTCAGCCCCTCACCTCTCTTTGGCATCTGGCCAGGAGGAGCCTCAGCCTCCTGCTCCATGCCAGGCTCCTGTGTCTGTGCCCTGCACCTGTTCATTTCAGCTCTGCCCACAGTGATGTGCCTCCGCTCTGGCTCTGGCTCTGCTCCAGAACCTTCTCAGGCTCAGCCTTAACCCCAGCCAGATGCATCAGAGCCTTTAAGGTTGGCCCCTGCTCTGAGCCTGAACAGACGGGGGCAGAACCCACGTGGGCATGAAGTGGGAGGCTGAGCTCCACCGCTCTGAGCAGCCCCTTCCCCCTTCCCTGTGTGTGACTGCCGGGCTCCTGGGTCCCAGCTCCCTGGCCAGCAGTGCGGGCTGCAGAGGAAGACTGATCTGGGTTCGACTTATCATCCTGTTGCCTCGCAGCCACGTGGCCTTGGGCAAGTCACTTCACCTTTAGGAGCCTCGGTTTACTCATCTGTGAAATGGGCATCACAGAGCCTCCTTCAAGGCATTGCTCTCCAGATTAAAGGGGAAGCTATATAGTCCCTGCACATGAGCATCCCTCGCTTCTGGCTGCCAGTTTCCGCAGCATTCCCTGGCCGGGGAGCAGCCATCCCTGCCCTCTCAGACTCTCCCTCTGCCCACCTGGACCCCACGTGGGCATCCACTCAGCATCTCACATTCCCCACGGCCCAGGAACATCACCAAGTCAGGCGGGGCTGAGAGAATGGCTCATAGCAAAAGCAGAACGTGGAGAAAATCAGATGCTTTTCTTAAGGGGAGCTTTCTAATGAACGTTCTTATTTTACTCTTTAAAGCTTTCAAATAAACAATAAATATAACTCCATTCAAAACACAAATTAACTTCTATGTTATAATATTAGGCAGGCTCCCACACTCTGCCCCTGCCTCTGAAGTTGTCGTTTTCATTCATTTCTCTTTGCATCTTCCGAAAGTGTTTCTTTATGCAAATATAGCAAATCTATGTTCTTACTCAGAGTGTAGCGCTTTGAGTGGCTGTTTTCACTTAGGGGCATAGTCTTATTGACAAATGGCAGTCTTTAAGTTTCTTCTGCTCCACACTTTATCCAGTCAGCCCCCTATTGATCGACTTAGGGGCTATTTCTATTTTTTGCTACTGTAAGTCATGCTTTGTGAATTTCCTCGCCTGGACGCTCTTGTCCGGAGGGGTGCTCGGCGGGGGCGGGCGGGGGGCGGGGCAGGGGTTTCTATAGGACAGATTCCTGCAAGTGGGGCTGGCGGGTCAAAGTGTAGGTGCACCAGGTAGTTGCAGCAGAAATCGCCAGGTTCCCTTCCTGAGAGGATCAGCACGTTCCACTCTGCCGGCTGCTGTGCATGCGGGGGCCTCTTCCCCTGCCTCATCCAGAGGGCGAGGCCACATTTATCTGCAGCACGTTTATACTCAACCATCAGGATTCCAGAGCCGGCCTGGGCTGGGCCAAGCGTGCACCCTGGGGACAGCGTGGCTCTCAATTTCAGAGCAGCTCTGTGGATCCACGGAGCCCAGGCTCCATTTCTGCCTCAGCCTGGCCTGACCCCATAGCCAGCCCCACCCCTGAGGCGGCGCCACACAGAGAAGCTGTCACTACTCATCCCTGCCTCAGTCAGCCTCAGTCCTGCACTGCCTACCCGCCCCCTCCACTGTCCCCACACCCCACCCAGTCCACCTGCCCGAAAGCCTCCTGGCCCTTGACTTCCTGACACCTTCTTAGTTTGCACAGAGAGGTTAAGTAACTTGTCCAGGGCTGCACAGCTGAGAAGCAGAGCCTGGAGGGGACAGTGGCAGCCTGACTCCAGGGTCCCTGCTCTCACTCAGGACACCCTCTTACCTCTGCATCATCAGCATTGCTCAGCATTGTGTCATTTGAGAGGCCTGGGGCCATCTGTTAGGAAGTGGGGGCAGGTGGGGACAGGAAAGGGTTCAGGATCAAGGTAGTGATGAGGGGAGTAAGCCCAGCACACCCAAGGGGCTTAAAGCCACCGGGGTACCTCACAATCCAGGAAGAAGCAGGGAGAACGCTTGAGGCTGGGGCATCGGGGAGGTGAGCCCTGTCCAGCCTGGATGCCCTCCGCTGAGCTCTGCTGACACCACCCCACGCTCAGCATGCACTGGCCTCTCCTCTTTCCCAGGTGAAATTTCACTCATCTTTATAACCCAGCTGAAACATCCCCTCCTCCAGGGGCTCCCCCTAGCCCCATGTCCTGCTGATACCTGAGCACACAGGTTCCAGCTCCTCTACGTGCCCCAGGCTCGTCAAGGGCAGAGCCTGGGCCTGACCTGCCCCTCTGTCCCCAGTGTGTCCAGCCCAGACTAGATCCAAGCAGGTGGCACAGAGGGACACTCACTCAATGGGGCTCCCTCCACATGTGCTAGGGGCTGAAGTGGGCAGAGCAGGGGAGACAGTGAGGACATCGGGGAGGATGTGGGACTTCGGCACAGTGACCCACAAAATGTGGACCACGGCTAGGCAGAGCAGGTGCCTCTGAACCACACAGCCACTCAGACCAGCTCTTCCCAGCTCAAGCCCACCCTGGCTCGACAGGGTGCCATTGCCTCCCACAGCCCAGCATGGGCACCTCAGCCCATCTCCACCCAGCTCACCCGGGCCCAGGTGCCAGCCCTAAGCTCCCTGCCGGGGATCCATAGCAAGAAGGGAGAGCTTCGGGCAGCCTGCAGCAGGGGATGCATGTGGCCTGGAGTGACACTTACCTGAGTTCAGATCCCACCTCCCTCGCTGTGACTGAGCGCAGGCCCCAAGGAAAGGCCAGCAAGAGGCCTAGAAACAGTATATGCAAATCAGCTACACCTGGCCCAGGTATCCCGCACGTGTTGTTTGCTCGTGGTCTCAGGTGCATGGGATCTGCTGCTGCTGGTTGTTGGTGGGGGCCCGGCCCAGCTCTCCACCTTGACCCTGGTCACCCTCAAGCCTGGGCTCAGGACTTCTCCCTGAGCTGTGCTCACTCTGGGTGCAGGGTATTGAGGGAAGAGCATGGGATTTGCCTTCAGGACCTGCAGTTTGGGTTCCAGCTCCCCCTTTAGCAGCCAGGTGACCTTGGGTGGGACTCTGAGTCTCAGTTTCCCCTTACCTGTGAAATGGGACTGATAGGATTTACCTAATCTGAGGTTTGATGTGATAAGTTGAGCACACCCTTGGCTCAGGCTCTGCTGACATTTGCCATTATTATTGGGACTGAACCGGCCTCACCCTTAGCCCAGGTTGGGTTCTCACTGAACCCCCAATCCTGCCCTGATTCTCTGGGGCTAGTAAGGGTGGAACTAGAAGGGGGACTTGGCCTGGGAGACATTCCTGAGAAAATGCCCCCAGGGAGCCTGGGTTTCCTTGGCTGGAGAGGCAGGGGGAGGAGAGGAAAGGGCACGCACTCATGAGCCCCTGATAAAGCATACCCTGTGTCAGGCGCCGGGGAAACAGATCGACCCTCACCTCTCGGCATCCCAGCAAGTCAGTGGGTCTTGTGTCCCCATTTGACGACTGAGAAGACAGAAGCCCAGAGCGGTGATCAGTTGCTAAAGGTCAGCTCCAGGCTGCCTTTCCTCCACACTTTGTGATCTTGGGCAAATTCCCTCACTTCTCTGAGCGTTGAGATCCTCATCTGTAAACAGGGGTGCTACCACCTAATTTCCAGGGTACTCAGGTCACTCAGACCTCGCCCATTAGACACGGAGCTACCCAAGGGCAGGCCATGTCTTTTTCTTTTTCTTTTGTTATTGAGACGGAATCTCAATCTGTCGCCCAGGCTGGAGTGCAGTGGCATGATCTCGGCTCACTGCAACCTCCGCCTCCCAGGTTCAAATGATTCTCCTGCCTCAGCCTACCAAGTAGCTGGGATGACAGGTGCCCACCACCACACCTGGCTAATTTTTGTATTTTTAGTAGAGACAGGGTTTCACCAGATTGGCCAGGCTGGTCTCAAACTCCTGACCTCAGGTGATCTGCCCACCTCAGCCTCCCAAAGTGCTGGGATTACAGGCAGGAGCTGCCGTGCCCAGCTTGTCTTTTTCAACTCTGAAGTCCAGTCCGGGGTCACTCTCAGGCATGTGGATCGCTCTGCATGCCTGGGATCCATTCTGTGAACTACAGATCCATGTCACTCCCTTCTTAATCCCTGTCAACAGCTCCATAGGACTCCAGGGCTGAGTCCAAACTCATAGTCCTGATATTCAAAGCTCTCCAGGACCCAGCCTCTGCTTAGATCTGCAGTCCCATGTCCTGTCCTGCTCACACTCATGCCCTGTGCCCTTGCAACCTTCAAGAGCTTGGCCCCTGCTTGTCCCTGCCAGGGATGTTTTTCAGTCACCTCCTACACCTGGTGAACTCCTACTCAACCTTTAGAACCCAGCTTGGACATACCCTTTCCTGCATGCCCGACCTGGCTGTCCTTCCCAACCTGGACTCCCATGCCCCCTTGTTGCTCTCTGTCCGCCTGTTGCTTTCTAGCTGTCTGGACGTCGGTCCCCACCTCACACTGAGATAGCTCAGGATTGTTCCTGTCTCATGTCTGTGGCCCAGGGCCTGGGCCACCTGCCCTCAGCATTCATTAAGCTCCATAAACATGAAAGAAGTGACCGGGCTCAGGCCCTTGGCTGAGAAGCCGAGAAGACTCAAGGCTGCCTCGATCTCTGCTCCCTGAAAGCGCCGGCCTCCCTGGGCTCCTCTTCGGGCCCTGGCCTAGCAAAGGCAGCTCATGAGGAAACAGCCGGGGGCCCCTCTGCCCTGGCAGCTGTGAGGCTGAATAACGTATCAGCCTTTTCCTGGGCACGTGGGTAAAATATTTCAATGGAGACGAGATTGTTCATCAAAGTTGGCATCACGCAGAGTTTTGCTTTGCTCAGGGCACCAAGAGAGTTGGCCTTTCTTAAAAATAGAGGTATCAGTATCGGCTCTCCATCCAGCCCAAGAGGTTGGTTTCAAATGCAAATCCCATCCTTGTACCTCCCGCAGGCCCCGGAAACCCTTCAGTTCCGTTGTCCAGGTCAGGGGTAAAGCCCAAGCTCCTGCTGCTGCCTGCCATGGGTGGTGGGTAACTGCGCCTGCAGGACCCAGCCCTGCCTGGCTCCCAGGCCCCTGCCCTCCCTGAGGAAGTGACATTTGATCTGAGACAAGCAGAATTTTTTTCCTTTTTTTTTTTGAGATGAAACCTTGCTCTGTCACCCAGGCTGGAGTGCAGTGGGGTGATCTCGGTTCACTGCAACCTCTGCCTCCTGGGTTCAAGTGATTCTCCTGCCTCAGCCTCCCAAGCAGCTGGGATTACAGGCACCACCATGCCTAGCTACGTTTTGTATTTTTAGTAGAGACGGAGTTTCACCATGTTGGCCAGGCTGGTCTCGAACTCCTGACTCATCCACCCGCCTCCACCTCCCAAAGTGCTGGGATTACAGGCGTAAGCCACTGCATCCCACCAGAGATAAGCAGAACTTAATCCCCAGAAAAGGGAAAGGAAGAACATTCCAAGCAGAGGGGAGAGAATGGGCAAGGGCCCTGAGGCGGACAAAACCATTCACTGGAAGCATCGCTCATCTTCCCAGGTCCGAGGAAGACTCTGACCCGCAGCCCCCCTTGCACTAAGGTAGGGCCATGTTCCTGAGCTCTGCCCAATGGGATAGGGTGGTCTGCACAGCCAGGCCATGCCCAGCTCTCTCCTCCTCCTCCTCCTCACTGGAGAACATGAAAGTGGCCTGGCTGGGTCCCTGAGTCACTGTATGGAGGACACCACCCAGGAGAGTTACCGGCTTGTGTTAAACCTTTCGTGAGAAAGCAAGCAACTGTGGCCGGGTGTGGTGGCTCACCCTATAATCCCAGCACTTTGGGAGGCTGAGGCGGGCAGATCACCTGAGGTCGGGAGTTGGAGACCAGCCTGACCAACATGGAGAAACCCCGTGTCTACTAAAAATACAAAATTAGCTGGGCGTGGTGGTGCATGCCTGTAATCTCAGCTATTCGGGAGGCTGAGGCAGGAGAATCGCTTGAACCTGGGAGGCGGAGGTTGCAGTGAGCCGAGATCTCACCATTGCATTCCAGCCTGGGTGACAAGAGCAAAACTCCATGTCAAAAAAATAAAATAAAATAAATTGCAAAATGTCTCTTTAACAACTCATCTAGAGTCCATGTTGTACCAATATTTTGGATATATTGAGTTAAATAAAATGTATTATTAAAATACTTTTACCTATTTCTTTTCTAAACGTGGCTGCTAGAAAACTTTAGCCACAAACTCTGTATGTGGCTCAAATTCCATGTCTATTATAGTGCTGGTCTAATCCACCCACTTTATTTTACAGATGGGAAAAGTAAAACACAGAGAGGTTAATGAACTTGGTCAAGGTCACACAGAGGCGTGAGAGTTTGGAGTTCTCTGTGAAGCTGAGCTGCTTCACAGGTTTACAGAAAAAATCTGAAGTTCCACTCATGGCAAAGAAAACTTCTGAGCGGTAGGCCTCTCTTGCTGGGATTGAAAGCAACTGAGGCTGAGCGATCTGCAGGTGTCTGCCTGAGAACAAGGGTGGCTTCTCCCACCAACGGGCTTCTTAGAGAAAGGAGAAACACAGAGGTGGTCAGCAGTGAGGACCATGGGCCTCAAGGCAGTGAGAGCCCGGCTCGGGCCCCAGGCCGTAACTCATATCTGAGGATCACAGAGACAGGAGGGAGCAGACGTTGACCCTCTCCTTCCCCACCTTCACTCCCCACAGCAGTAAATTAGAGATCAGGTGGCGACTTGCCGAGTTGATGCAAGAATGCAGTGTGATGTCTGTTACCGACCAGGTCAGAACCCAGCTCAAACTGACTTAAGGAAAAAGTGCAACTTACTGGCTCCTAAAATGCAGAGGGCCCTGGATTGACCAGCTTCAGGCATGGCTTGACCCAGATTCTCTTGTGATGCCAACAGGGTCTCCCCTTCCTTCACCCTGACAGGGTCAGGAGAATCGCTTGAACCCAGGAGCAGAGGTTGCCGAGAGCCGAGATAGTACCACTGCACTCCACCCTGGGTGACAGGGTGAAACTCAGGCTGAAAAAGAAAAGAAAAAGAATCAATCATCAGTGTTCACATCGCAATGACTATGAAAATGCTATTCACAGCTGATCGCAGAGTACACTATGCTATGTACACTTCCTTAAACAACATTTTGTCTTTCTGAAGTTAATATTCTTTGCTTTGTTTTGTTCTTAGCTTGTTCCCAAGTTCCTGTTACCAAACTCCCTATCAATTGTCTACCCCTCGAAGCATTCCCTTCTCGAAGCTCTCCCCTGGGGCCCCCAGCAGGCTCAGGCTCTCGCCAGACTGTGGTCCACAGTGCCTCGGTGCAAGCTGGTGCCCCAGATGCTCCTTCTCCTCTTTCCTGAGTGGGAGTGTCTGTGTCCATTGTCCTATATCCATTGTCATACAAGCCCATACAAAGTGTTTGCTATATTGCAAAACTCGAAATATCTTTTTTTTTTTTTTGAGAAGGAGTATCGCTCTGTTGCCAGGCTGGAGTGCAATGGAACAATCTTGGCTCACTGCAGTCTCTGCCTCCCAGGTTCAAGCGATTCTCCTGCCTCAGCCTCCCGAGTAGCTGGGACTACAAGAGCACAACACCACGCCCAGCTAATTTTTTTTTTTTTTTTTTTTTTGAGACAGCGTATCACTCTGTCGCCCAGGCTAGAGTGCAGTGGCGTAATCTTGGCTCACTGCAACCTCTGCCTCCCGGGTTCACGCCATTCTCCTGCCTCAGCCTCCCGAGTAGCTAGGACTACAGGCGCCTGCCACCACACCTGGCTTTTTTTTTTTTTTTTTTTTTTTTTGTATTTTTAGTAGAGACGGGGTTTCACCGTGTTAGCCAGGATGGTCTTGATCTCCTGACCTCGTGATCCACCTGCCTCCCAAAGTGCTGGGATTACAGGCGTGAGCCACCGCGCCTGGCCCACGTCCAGCTAATTTTTGTATTTTTAGTAGAGACGGGGTTTCACCATGTTGGCCAGGATGGTCTTGATCTCTTGACCTCGTGATCTGCCTGCCTTGGCCTCCGAAAGTGCTGGGATTACGGGTGTGCGCCACCGTGCCCAGCCTCGAAATATCTTTATTCTACTCTCCTAGCTGATCAGTGGCTTGAGTGGTTATCCTAGGCCCAGTTCAGTCCAGGAAGAGAAGCCACAATGAGCATTGTGGGAGGAGGGGCCCATCATAGGAATGAGACCTTGCACAATCCTAGGAAGAGCAGGGGAGCGGAGCTGGGGAGGAGGGGAGCGGGAGAGTCAGGAAAGACTCAGCAGCCAGCCCTCCTGAAGCCTGGGGCAGGAGGCCAGCTCGGAGCTTGCAGGAAAGTCATGAGAAAGTCACGCACATCCAGCTGCACGGGTCAGGGCGCCGGGGGAGGTCTGGCCAAGAGGCTGCAGGAGCTGCTGCCTCTGCAGCTGCCACCTCTGTGGGGAAGCCCAGGGCCACTGTCGGGGCAGCAGGGTCAACGGTGGGGAGCATGAGCAGGACCCAGGGTGAGGAAGAGTGCGGACACCCTGGAACTCACGGAGCACCTGTGCAGCGGTCTCTCCCCATCTCCGATCACAAAGTCGCTCAGAGGAGCGCAGCCTGCTTGCTTTTGCCTGCCAACAGCCCGCGAGTTGTCAGCCTGCCATCTAAACAAACCCCTTCTCACTATATTTAACTTCCTAATAAAGACAGCAATGAAATCAGGCTGCTTCCTCACACGATGCAACTGTTCCTTATTAAAATCGAAAGTGCACTAACCTTCTACCCTCCCAGCCTCAAAAAGAGACTTTCTCCATCTGCGAAGGGGGCAATCCCCCTTCTGGCTGAGTCACTCCCTCTTTGACATCCTGTGACTTAAGTATCAAGACGTAAGGCCAGTCACGATGAACACAGCTTATGTGAGATAGCAGGGGAATGGAAGAAGGAAATGATAATTGGTTAATATGGGGGCCGGGCGTGGTGGCTCATGCCTGTAATCCCAGCACTTTGAGAGGCTGAGACAGGTGGATCATCTGAGGTTAGGGGTTCAAGACCAGCCTGGCCAACATGGTGAAACCCCATCTCTACTAAAAATACAAAAATTAGCTGGGCGTGGTGGCAGGTGCCTGTAATCCCAGCTATTCGAGAGGCTGAGGCAGGAGAATCACTTGAACCTGGGAGGCGGAGGTTGCAGTGAGCCGAGATCACACCATTGCACTCCAGCCTGGGCGATAAGAGCAAAATTCCTTCTAAATAATCATAATAATAATTGGTTAATGTGATTGAAAATGTTAGTAACAACAGCATAAAGTGTGAGTACTCCTAACTGACCCCCTTCCCTTCCACCACCGCTCACATGGCTGTGCCTGGTGTGTAGGGCCTCCTCTCCTGTATTCATCCGGTATTTCCTCTGCCCAAAGCAAGCACTGCAGCTGGATTCCTTGTCTAGTGTGGTGACTATGCCTTTGGTGATCCCTGGCATTGCTATTGTCATTGTTTTGGGGCGCCAAAAACCACGGCAAACTTAATGGAGGAATATCGTGTGTTCTCTAAGGGTTCCGCCCACCCATCTTTCCCTTGTCTCTCTTCCTCTCCTCAGGCCTCTTTATTCCCTGGGACACAGTAATATTAAAAATAGGCCAATTATAACCTTACAATGGCCTTTAAGTTTTCAATGAAAGGAGGAGTCCACATCCCTCCCTTTAAATCAAAAGTTAGAAATGGCTAAGCTTGGTGAGGAAGGCATGTGAAAAGCTTGAGACAGGCCAAAAGCTGGGGCTCTTGAGCCAGTTAGCCAGATTGTGAATGCAAAGAAAAAGTCTCACTCTGTTGCCCAGGCTGGAGTGCAGTGGAGCGATCTCAGCTCATTGCAACCTCTACTTCCCAGGTTCAAGCGATTCTCCTGCCTCTGCCTCCCAAGTAGCTGAGATTACAGGCACGTGCCACCACGCCAGGCTAATTTTTGTATTTTTAGTAGAGATGGAGTTTCACCTGTTGGCCAGGCTGGTCTTGAACTACTGACCTC
Source organism: Homo sapiens (assembly GCF_000001405.40). NCBI lineage: Eukaryota > Metazoa > Chordata > Mammalia > Primates > Hominidae > Homo > Homo sapiens. The sequence continues at coordinate 44,552,573 of NC_000022.11, forward strand.
AGGTGATTCGCCTGCCTCAGCCTCCCAAAGTGCTGGGATTACAGGTGTGAGCCACCGTGCCCGGCCAAGAAAAAGTTATTGAAGGAAATTAAAAGTGCTACTCCAAGCCGGGCACAATGGCTCACACCTGTAATCCTAGCACTTTGGAAGGACGAGGTGGGTGGATCACCTGAGGTCAGGAGTTCGAGACCAGCCTGGCCAACACGGTGAAACCCTGTCTCTACTAAAAATACAAAAATTAGCTGGGCCTGGTGGCGCATGCCTGTAATCCCAGCTACTTGGGAGGCAGAGGCGGGAGGATCGCTTGAACTTGGGAAGTGAAGGTTGCAGTGAGCTGAGATTGCACCACTGCACTCAAGCCTGGTTGACACAGTGAGACTCCTCTCCGGAAACAAACAAAAAAAAAAAGTGCTACTCCAGTGAACATAGAATGCTAAGAAATTGAAACAGCCTTCTTGCTGATGTGAAATTTGAGTGACGTGGATTGGCAGATCCCAGCAGCCACAGCATGTTAAGGAAAGAGGCCGTCTCCTTAACGTAAAAGCATAACGTGGAGCAGCAAGTGCTGATGGAGTAGCTGCAGCAAGTTATCCAGAAGATCCAGCTGAGATCATCGATGCAGGTGGCTACACTAAACAACTGATTTCCAATGTAAATAAAATAGCCTTCTATTGGAAGAAAATGTCATCTAGTGTATAGCTAGAGAAGAGAAGTCAATGGTTAGCTTTGAAGCTTCAGAGGACAGATCGACTCTCTTGCGAGGGGCTAGTGAAGCTGGTGACTTTAAGTAGAAGCCAATGTTAATTTGCGATTCTGAAAACCTTGAAAATTCTAGGACCCTTAAGAATGATGCTATACCAGCCGGGTGCGGTGGCTCACAGCTGTAATCCCAGCACTTTGGGAGGCCGAGGTGGGCAGATCACCTGAGGTCAGGAGTTCGGGATGAGCCTGGCCAACATGGTGAAACCCCGTCTCTGCTAAAAATACAAAAATTAGCCAGGCATGGTGGCAGGGACCTGTAGTCCCAGCTACTGGGGAGGCTGAGGCAGGAGAATTGCTTGAACCCGGGAGGCGGGGGTTGCGATGAGCCGAGATCACGCCATTACACTCTAGCCTAGGCAACAGAGAGAGACTCCGTCTCAAAAAAAAAAAAAAAAAGAAGAAGAAGGATGCTATATCTACTTTGCCTGTGTGCTCTATACATGGAACAACAAAGCCTGGTGACAGCACATCTGTTTACAGAATGGCTTGCTACATATTTGAAGCCCACTGTTGAGACCTACTCCTCAGAAAAAGATTCCTTTCAAAATAGTACTGTTCATTGACTCTGCATCTGGTCACCCAAGAGCTCTGATGGAGATGTATAAGAAGAATGTTGTTTTCATGCCTGCTAACACTTCATCCAGCCAGGCACGGTGGCTCACGCCTGTAATCCCAGCACTTTGGGAGGCCGAGACAGGCGGATCATGAGGTCAGGAGATCGAGACCATCCTGGCTAACACAAGGAAACCCCGTCTCTACTAAAAATACAGAAAAAAATAGCCAGGAGTGGTGGCAGGTGCCTGTAGTCCCAGCTACTCGGGAGGCTGAGGCAGGAGAATGGCATGAACCTAGGAGGCAGAGCTTGCAGTGAGCCGAGATTGTGCCACTGCACTCCAGCCTGGGCGACAGAGTGAGACTCCGTCTCAAAAACAAACAAACAAACAAAACACTTCATCCATTCTGCAGCCCATGGATCAAGGAGTCATTTTGACTTTCAAGTCTTATTATTTAAGAAATACGTTTCCTCAGGCTGTAGCTGCCTGATGGATCTGGGCAACGTTTCCCAGTTTATATAATACTGAGAAGCCAATACATTTGTGTGACTTGCTTTATTATGACTCTCTTCATTGTGGTGGTCTGGAACCAAACGTGCAATACACCCAAGGTGAGCCTGGCTGTGGTAGTGTACTTTCCTCCTGGTCATTCTTTGTACCCAGCGCCCTGGTGCCAACTGGACATGAGTCTAGTGACAGGTCTGGAAGAAATGAGAGGTGGTGGGGATCGGCCATCTCAGAAGAGGTCACTACAGGCTCTTAGGCAATGGGAGACTGACCTCCACACACGCAGGAGGAGAGGCTGCCTCTATTGAACTAAGGATGCATAGCAGGATTCAGGGGTCGCTGGTGCTCGGTTTCATCACAATCTGCCCAGGTGTCCGTTCATTCCAATTCTGAGAGTCTTGCTTTTTCCCAATCATTCTAATTTAGATATGAGGTGTTGTGAATTTAATTGCATTCTTAAACTGCATTCACCTGCAAGATTAGACTTTGGGATGGGTTTTCAAAAATCTCTCAATCCTGTGGCTAAAAGAGATGAGGATGTCTTTCCAGGAAGTCAGAGGCACTCTCGTCTTCCCAACCTGGAACTTGTGCTGGGAATTTACAATCCTGAGCTATCATTTCCTTCTCCAAATTCCCCAAAACACTTACATGTCACCAGCCAGACCCACTGTCCGTCTATTCCTCATGGTCACTAAAACATTCTCGGCTGCAGCTTCTCAGTCACTCAAAGCCTTGCCTCTATAGGCACTTGGTCTGGGAGACCCTGAGTGATGATTTAAGTAGTTGCTTTGCCAACGTATGCCATGGATGACAAATCTCCTAATTACCTCTGGCCATGGGGTTGTTAATGCCTTTAAATCTAGTCGAACCAGAAAATCAATTCTAGATTGCTACGCATTTGTTTCTGCTCCCTGGAAACACTTCTAAAAGATGCCAAAAATTCTATCAGACAGTGATTGGTTAGGGAGCAGAGCTAGTATGGATGTTATTGCAGAAATTAGACCTTGTGGCCAGGCATGGTGGCTCATGCCTGTAATCCCGGCACTTTGGGAGGCCGAGGAGGGTGGATCACTTGAGGCCAGGAGTTCGAGACCAGCCTGGCCAAAATGGTGAAACCCCATCTCTACTAAAAATACAAAAAATTAGCCGGGTATGGGGGTACGAGACTGTAGTTGCAGGTACTTGGTAGGCTGAGGCAGGAGAATCGTTTGAACCCTGGAGGCAGAGGTTGCAGTGAGCCAAGATCGTGCCACTGCACTGTAGCCTGGGTGACAGAGCAAGACTCCATTTAAGAAAGAAAAAAGGAAGGAAGGAAGGGGAAAGAGAGAGAAAGGAAGGAGAAAGAGAAAGAAAAAGGAAGGAAGGAAAGAAAGAGAAAGAAAGAAAGAAGAAAAAGAAAGAAAGAGAAAGAAAGAGAGAGAGAGAAAAAGGAAAGAAAGAAAGAGAAAGAAAAAAAGAAAGAAAGAAAAAATTAGACCTTGCACAATAGTGAGAGGGGTTGGAAAAGGGAAGGTACAGATGGGCAGAGGGTCACTAGCCACCTGTTGTCCACACAGGTGGACAAGTCAGGGCTTTCAGGAAAACCCCTGAAGCCAAGCATATCCAGCCATAGATGTGAGAACAAGCCGGAGGGGTTTTTAGGGAGGGTCTGGGAGAAGCCATTGCCTCTGAGATGGGCCTGGGGCCGCAGGTGGTCAGTGGGGCTGGCAGGAAGAAGAGTGTGGGTGAAGAAGAAAGACTCTGAAAATAAACTGGAACCCACTGGGCACGTCTGCAGAACCCTGTCATCAATCAGAGACTTTCAGAAAGTAACGGCTACTACACCCCATCTGCTGCTCAAGTCCTGCAAATTATCTTCTTGGCCAAACTTCATGGATAAAGGAATTTTGTTCACAGCAATCATTTTCAGCACACTGGGTGTAGAATTCTGCAGGAATTGCTCCACGGTTCTCTCACTCCCAAAATTGCTATTGAGAAGTTAAAAGATATTCTTTTCCCCCATCTTTTGTATACAGCTCCTCCTCCCCATCCCCCAGCTTCATTTCTCTGTCCCTAAGCATCATGAAATGTCACGGTCATCTGTTTGGTCTTGGTTTATTTTCATCCGTTTTTCTGGACAATCAGTGGTCCTGCAAGTAGAAAATGTTTTCATCGTTTCCTTGATAAATGCTTCCCTCTGCCTTTCCGTTCTCTCCTTGTGGAACTTCTGGGCTTTCCCCTCATTTTCTTACCTTTTCTCTTCTATTTTCCCTGTGTCTTTTTTTTTTTTTTTTTTTTTTTTTTTAGACAGTGTCTCGCTCTGTCACCAGGCTGGAGTGCAGTGACGCAATCTCGGCTCACTGCAACCTCTGCCTCCCGGGTTCAAGCGATTCTCCTGCCTCAGTCTCCCAAGTAGCTGGAACTACAGGCAGGCACCACCATGCCTAGCTAATTTTTGTATTTTTAGAAGAGATGGGGTTTCACCATGTTGGCCAGGATGGTCTCGATCTCTTGATCTCATGATCGGCCCGCCTCGGCCTCCCAAAGTGCTGGGATTATAGGTCTGAGCCACCGCAGCTGGCCCTCTGTGTCTTTTTTGTTCTGCTTTCTACCATAGTGGATTGCATTTAGTTTCCAGCTTTTCTATTGAGTTTTTCATTTCTGCTGTAATATTTTTATTTTCTAAGCACTCCTGTTCTGTTTTATGGCTGCTTGTTCTGATAGAAGGATGTCTTATTCCTCTGAGGAGATCAGTGATGGTATTTTTAACTTTTTCTTCTCTTTCCATAGTATCATTTCCTCCAAGTTGCTTCTTGCTGATAGTTTATTTTGGTCACACCTTTCATCAGGTGACCCTGGGTTGTTGATCATATTTGACTGTGCAGTTCTAGCAGAGCTGGTTTCGAGTGGCTGCTCTCAGCCACGAAGGTACGGCACTTGCCCTGCTGCCGTTAATAATTATAAAACTGGAGGGGAGGAATAGATGAAATATTGTTTTCAGATCTTCAACATTCAAAACTCAATTACTGTAATTCATTACAAGATGAATCAAGATTCACAAAATAAAGGTGACAACCCATATGACCAGCTCCACAGATGCAGAAAAAGCATTTGATAAAATTCAACGGTCATTTGTCAGAAAAAACTCTTAGCAAACTAGGAATGAAAAGATACTTCCGCAACCTGATGGAAGGTGTGTACAAACAAAGCTCAACAAAATTCTACAGTTCGCATCACACATCACCATGAAGAATAAATGCTTCCTCCCGAAGATTCAAAGCAAGGCAGGGATGTGAGCTTTCTCTTCAACATTAGACTGGAGGGCCTGCCCAGGGAAACTCAGCAGGAAAAAAAATGTTTAAGCTTACAAATGGAAAGAAAGAGATAGACCTGTCTTTATTCACAGATAATATTATATATGTTGGAAATGCTAAGGGATCTTTTAACTGCTTTACTAGAAAGCAAATTTAACAAGGTCACAGGATAAAAAGGCAATAGAGAAAGACACATTTCTATACACTGTAATGACTGATATTAAAAGTGATACCTTTGCAATACCATAAAAAACATCAAATACTTAGGAATACATTTAATAAAATACATGTAAAGCCTCTACACTAAAGGCTATAAAATAATGTGTACAGGCCAGGCACAGTGGCTCATGCCTCTAATACTAATACTTTGGGAGGCGAGGCGGGAGGATCACCTGAGGTCAGGAGTTTGAGACCAGCCTGGCCGACATGATGAAACCCTGTCTCTACTAATAAAAAAATACAAAAATTAGCCAGGTGTGGTGGTGGGTGCCTGTAATCCCAGCTACCCAGGAGGCTGAGGTAGGAGAATAGCTGAAACCCGGGAGGTGGAGGCTGCAGTGAGCAGAGATCATGCCACTGCACTCCAGCCTGGGAGCCAGGCTCCATCTCTAATGATAATAATAATAATAATAGTAATGTGTACTGAGATAAAATAAAGACGAAATAAGCAAACGGGGAGAGATACCATGATCATTGACTGGAAGATTCAATATTTATAAGATAGCAATTTGCCCCAAATTTATCTAATGATTCAATGCAATCCCAATCAAAATCTCGACAAACCAATCTATAGTGGCAAAAAGCAAATCGGTGATTGCCTAGGGGCCAGGGTGGGTTGGGCATTAAGGAAACAGAAGAGTCAGAGGAAAACTCCTGGGGCTGAGGCTCATGTCCATTGTCTTGATTGTGACGATGGCCCACACATGAACACACGCTTCATAACTTACTAAACTGTGTACTTTAAATGTGTGTCATCTATTATATGTCAATTATAGCTCAATGATAATGTTTTTTAAATAATTTAATCTCAGTAGTCATTTTTTTTGTTTTGATTTGTTTTTTTTGTTTTGTTTTGTTTCAGACAGTCTCACTCTGTCACCCAAGCTGGAGGGCAGTGGCACAGTCTCAGCTCACTGCAACCTCTGTCTCCCGGGCTTAAGCAATCCTCCTGCCTCAGCCTTGTGAGTCACTGGGACTACAGGCACGCACCACCACGCCCAGCTAATTTTTTTGTATTTTTGGTAGAGACGGGGTTTCACCATATTGCTCAGGCTGGTCTTGAACTCCTGACCTCAAGTGATCCACCCACCTCGGCCTCCCAAAGTGCTGAGATTACAGGTGTCAGCCACCGCGCCCAGCCCTAGCAGTCATTTTTAAAGTTAAAAGTTGATTCTTTTTTAAAAATAAAGAAAAGAAGTTGAATTGGCTCACAATTCTGCATGGCACCAACATCTGCTTGGCTTCCGTCAAGGACCTCTGGAACTTTGCAGTCATAGCAGAAGGTGAAGGAGAGGCAGGCACCTCACATGGCAAGAGCAGAGCAAAGGAGATGGGGGAGCAGCAACGCACACTTTTCCTTTTTTTTTTTTTTTTTAATTTTTTTTTTTTGGAGATGGAGTCTCACTCTGTTGCCCAGGCTGGAGTGCAGTGGCACGATCTTTGCTCACTGCAACCTCCGCCTCATGGGTCCAAGCGATTCTTCTGCCCCAGCCTCCCGAGTAGCTGGGACTACGGGCACGTGCCACCATGCCCAGCTAATTTTTGTATTTTTTTTTTAGTAGAGACAGGGTTTCACCATATTGGCCAAGCTGATCTCGAACTCTTGACCTCGTGATTCACCCGCCTCGGCCTCCCAAAGTGCTGGGATTACAGGCGTGAGCCACCACGCCAGGCCGCGACACACACTTTTAAACAAGCAGGTCTCATGAGTACGCACTCACTACGCGGAGAACAGCACCAAGCCATAAGGGATCCACCCCCATGATCCAATCACCTCCCATCAGGCCCCACCTGCAACATTGAAGGTAATCAACGTGAGATTTGAGTGGGGACAAATATCCAAACTACATCATTCTGCCCCTGGCGCCCCCAAATCTCATGTCCTTCTCACATTGCAAAATACAATCATACCTTCCCAATAGTCCCCTGAAATCTTAACTTATTCCACCATTAACTCAAAAGCCCCACATCTGGTCTAAAGTCTCACCTGAGACCCACTCCTCAGTACAGTTTCTGTGTTAGACCACTCATGCATTGCTATAAAGAAATACATGAGACTGAATAATTCATAAAGAAAAGATAATTAATTGGCTCATGGTTCTGCAGACTGTACAACCACGGCTTCAACATCTGCTTAGCTTCTGTGAGGGCCTCTGGAATCTTACAAGCATCACAGTTGATTCCAAAACGTATGCAGAAATTGGAAAACATTGAATAGCCAAAAAAAAAAGTTCAAAAAGAAAAATAAGTTTGGAGGACTTTTACGACATAATTTCAAGACTTGCTATAAAGTTATGATAGTGAAGACAGTACAATAATGGCATAAACATAGACAAATAAAAGCACTAGAACAGAATAGAGGCCAGAAGGAAACTCATGTTTATACGGTCAATTGATTTCTTTTTACCTTAGGTGCTAAAGCAAGTTAAGGAAAAGAAAAAACTTTTTAACAAATGGTACCCAAACAACTGACTATACCTACATCTATAACCCTGAGGGGTTACCCTCCATTCTTTAGCTGAGTACTGATCAGCACATGCGTGTGAGGAAGTGACCTCAGATTAGAAAAAGAAACACTGGAACAAAGCTTAAAATCAAGCCTCAGAAGGATCCAACTGTTTCCAAGTAACTGATTTAATGCCCAGAAAATTTTGTAAAAAATATTTAAAGGAATACAGGCAAAATTAATTAATTAAACCACACCCAACAACCAGAGCTCACAATTTCTTGTACCTAATCAAAAATCACCATCTATGCAAAGAGGTAAAAAAGACAGGTCATAATATGGGGAAAAATCAGTCAGTAGAAACAGACCCAGAAATGACATCGATGATAGAATTATTAGACGAAGATACTAAAACAACTCTAAGAAATAGACTCTATTTGTTCAAGAAAATGAGGCAAATGTGCACCTGATAAGAACAGACTGAAAGAGTTTTTTAAAAGACCCAAGTCGGATTTTAAGAGATGAAAAACACACAACAAATTAGACAACACAGAAGAAAAGTTAGGTGAATATGGATACATAAGACTAAGAAGCTATCAAAAAAACGCAGGAAAAAAAGGGAAATATAATGAACAAAGCATCAAATGACCTATATGCATGTCACTGGAATCTCAGAAAAGAAAAGCAATGGGGAAGAGGGATGGACACCCAAAAAAAAGTCTGGAAAAATAGTGGTTATATTTTTTCAAATTTAATGAAAACTATCAATCCATAGGTCCAAACATCTCAATGAACTAAAGCATAAGAAACATGAAGAAAACCACACCAAGGTGCCTCATCATCAAATTTCTGGAAACAGATGTTAAAGGAAAGCATTAAAAGCAGCAAGAGAGCAAAAAAAGACACATCACACACAGAAGAACAAAGACAAAGTTTACAGAAAGCTTTTTAGAAGAAACAATAGAGGTCAGAAGATGGGTGACATCATCACTTTGAAGTACTGACGGAGAATTAACTGTCAAGTTTGAATTCTATATAGAGATAATATATTTTTAATGAAGACAAGGTAAAGATTTAATTTAACGTAAGAAGCAGAGAGATTTGATCCCAAGCAGAGCAGCACTACAAGAAATTCTAAAAGACCTCCTTTGGGCAGAAGGAAAATGATGCACATACTAAGCAGAAACCTGAATAAACATGTAGGAACAAAGAGCATCAAAAATGGTGATCAGGCCGGGCACGGTGGCTCACACCTGTAATCCAGCACTTTGGGAGGCCACGGCGGGAGGATCACTTGAGCCTAGGAGTTTGAGACCAGCCTGGGCAACATAGGAAGACCCTGTCTTTACAAAAAAAACTACACAAATTAACTGGGTGTGGTGGCATGTATCTGTAGTCCCAGCTACTCAGGAGGCTGAGGTAGTAGGATCACTTGAGCCTGGGGAGGTTGAGGTTGCAGTGAGCCAAGGTCACACCATTGCACTCCAGCCTGGGCGACAGTGAGACCCTGTCTCAGAAACAAAACAAAACAAAAATGGTAATCATGTCAGTAAATGTAAAAGACATTTTTAAAATTGTTTATGCCCTTTAAAAGATTATTTCTGTTTCAGGCAAAAATAACAACAATGTATTGTGAGATTTATAATAAATGTAGAAGTAAAATCATGGCGGTACTAGTGGAAAAGCAGAGAGATGTAAAGGGAAGGGCACTGTCGTGGGAGCTTCACACTCCAAGTGAAGGGGCGCAAGAGTCCTCGAATGTTAACTGTGACGAGTTAAAGATGTCTACAATAAATACTAGAGCAACTACTTTTAAAACACAGGATGGGGGGTAGCTAATACGCCCATGGAGGAAATAAAGTAGAATTATAAAAATATCCAATTAAGGCAAAAGAAGGAAAGAGAAGCAAAGAATAGATGAGACAAATAGAGGGGGAGAAAGCAAAGTAAAAGATTTAAATTCAGTTGTAACTATATCACCTTTAAGGTAAGCAGTCCAGACACTCTAATTTAAAGGTAAAGATTGTGAGACTGATGTCAGGTTCCTTTTTTTTTTTTTTTTTTTTTTTTTTGAGACGGAGTCTCGCTCTGTTGCCAGGCTGGAGTGCAGTGGTGCAATCTTGGCTCACTGCAACCTCCGCCTCCCAGGTTCAAGCAATTCTCCTGCCTCAGCCGCCTGAGTAGCTAGGGTTACAGAAGTCCATCACCAAGCTCAGCTAATTTTTTGTATTTTAATAGAGACGGGGTTTCACCATGTCGCCCAGGCTGGTCTCAAACTCCTGATCTCAGGTGATCTGCCCGCCTTGGCCTCCCAAAGTGCTAGGATTACAGACATGAGCCACCATGCCCGGCTAAGATTTTTTTTTTTTTTTTAAGCTAAGACTCTTATACACTGATTACAGAAAGTCAACATTAAACATAAAGATACATATAGGTTAAAAGTAAAAAGGTGGAAAAAGGCTGGGCGTGCTGGCTCATGCCTGTAATCCCAGCGCTTTGGGGGGCCGAGGTGGGCAAATCACCTGAGGTCGGGAATTTAAGACCAGCCTGGCCAACATGGTGAAACCCTGTCTCTACTAAAACTACAAAAAATTAGCCATGGTGGTGCATGCCTGTAATCCCAGCTACTCAGGAGGCTGAGACAGGAGAATTGCTTGAACCCAGGAGGCAGAGGTTGCAGTGAGTTGACATCGCACCAATGCACTCCAGCCTGGGTGACAAGAGTGAAACTCCATCTCAAAAAATAAAAAATAAATAAATAAAGATGGAAAAAGATATGCCATCTTAAGATTAACCTCAAAAAAAGTCAAAGTGTGGATATTAATATTGGAAAGGTAGAGTTTAGAGAAAATAATATTACCAATAATACAGAAGGTCATTGAATGATGAAAGGGTCCCTGCATCAAGAGACGAATAATGCTAAAAGTTTATGCACTTGTTAACAGAAATTCAAAATGCATACAGCAAAACTGACAGAACAGAACTGAAAGAAGAAATAGACATATCTACAGTTATAACTGGAGATTTCAATACCCCTGTTTAATAATATAATGATGAGATAGAAAATCAGTAGTATATAAAAGATTTGTACATTATCAACCACATAACCTAATCAACATATAAAGCACTCCACCCCACAATAGCAGAAAGCACACTATTTTCAAGTGCACAAAACGTTTACCAAGATAGACGATTTCCTGGGCCCTAAAACCAGTCTCAAAAAGTTGGAATGGGTTTAAATCATACAAAGTATGTTCTCTGACCACAATTGGGCTAAGTTAGAAATCAATAATGGAGAGATGCCTGAAAAATGCCTAAATATTTTGAAACTAAAAAATACATTTCTAAATAATTCACTGTTTAAAGAATAAATCACAAGTGAAATGATCATTTTTAACTAAATGAAAATGAAAACTTCACATACCAAAATATGTGGGATACAGCCAATGCAGTGCATAGAGGGAAATTTTTTTATTAATAAATGCTTCTATTAAAAAAGAATAAAGTTTTCAGATTGACTTAAACTTGCACCTTAAGAAATCCGACAAAGGAGAGCTAAGTAGTCAGAAAAAGGGGAATGATGAAAAGCAGAAATTAATGAAATGGAAAACAGGAGAACAACAAAGAAAATAAATAGAAACAAATGTTTGTTCTTTTAAGTAAGTTGTTAAAATTAATACACCTGTAGCCAGACTAATCATGACCAAAAGAGAGCAGACACAAGTTTTCAGCATCATGAATGAAAGAGGAGATACCACTACAGACCCTATAGACATTAAAAGGCTAATATGAACAATGTGATGCCAATATGTCACACAACTTACATGAACTTGACAAATTCCTTGAAAATGTTTGCACTACCGAATCTCACTCAAGAAGAAATAGACAACCTAAATAACTTTACACCTAGTAAAGAAATTTAATCTGTAATTAAAAAAAAAAAAAAAAAAACTTCCAACAAAGAAAACTCCAGGTCCAAATGGCTTTGCTTGTGAATTCTACCAAACATATAAAGAAGAAATAATGCCAGTCCTATACAAACTCTTTCATAAAACTGAAAATGCTGGAACACACCTCAATTCATTCTGTAAGGCCAGCAATATCCTGATATTAAAACTAGTCAAAAATATTACAAGAAAAAAAAAACTACAGGCCAACATCTCTCACAAAAGTTCTTAAACAAATTTTAGCATATCAAATTTAAATTCACACACACACACACATACACAGAGACAGACAGATAGATAGAAATAATAATGTACCTTGTTAGCATGGGGCTTACCCAAGGAGGGCAAGCTTGGTTTAACATCTGAAAATCAGTCAATGTAATTCACCATCTTAAAAGACTAAATAAGGAAAACATTAGATAGAAGAAATAAGACGTGGTGTCCAACAGATGAGTAGGATGATTATAGTTAATATTAATTGATTATACGTTTCAAAATAGCTAGAAGGGAGTAATGTGAATGTTCCTAGTGTAAAGATAAATATCCATCCATTGCAATTGCAATTACCCTGATTTGATTATGTAAATATATCAAATTATCACGTGTACCTTGAAAATATGCACAGCTATTATTTATCAATTAATTAATTAGTTAAAAATATTTTCAAAGAACAATAAAATCCTCTCAATAGATACAGAAAAGACATTTGACCAAATCCAACATCCATTCCTGATTCTGCTTTTTTAAACTCAGCAAACTAGAAATAGAAGATTACTTTCTCAACCTGAAAAGCGGCATCTAAGGAAAACCCACGGTTAATATCATAGTCAATGATGAAAAGCTAAATGCTTCCTCCTTCCTCCCCAAATCAAAAATGAGGCAAGTATGCCTATTCTTACCACTTGTACTTAACATTGTATTGGAGGTGCTTACCAGTGTGTTGGGGCACAAAAAATGAAATAAAGGCATCCAGGTCGGAAAGGATGTACTAAAACTCTCTTTATTCATAGGCAACATGACTGTTTCTATAGAAAATCTAAACAAATCTACAAAAACCCACAAGAACTAATAAGTGAGTTTGGCAAGGTTTCAGGATACAAAATCTATATATAAAAATTAATTGATTTCTATATACCAGCAATGAACCATCAGAAATTGCAATTTTAGAAAATAACCATTTAACATAGCATAACATGAACTATTTGGATATAAACAAGAACTGTTCACTGGAAACTATGGAACATTGGCAAGAGAAATTAAAGACCTAAATAAATAGGGTGATACAATGTGTTCACGGAGTGAGAGACTCGGCATTGTTGTGATGGTTACTATTACATGTCAACTTGACTGGGCCAAGGGATGCCCAGGTAGCTGGTAAAACATGATTTCTGGGTGTATCTGGGAGGGTGTTTCTGAAAGATATTAGAATTTAAATCAGTAGACAGAGTAAAGACATCCACCCTTATAAATGTGGGTGGGCAAAAATGCAGAGGAAGGATGAATTCTCTTATCTCTCTCTTTCTCTTTATTTCTCTCTCTCTCTCTCTCTCTCTCTCTCTCTCTGTCTCTCTCTCTCTCTCTCTCCTTGAGTTGGAACATCCATCTTCTTCTACCCCTGGACACTAGAGCTCCTAGTTCTTGGGCCATCAGACACTGGAACAGACACCAGCATTCTTTTGCCCCTACCCAGTACTCAGGCCTTCAGACTAAATGACAGCACCTGCACTCTTGCATCTCCAAGTTGCAGGCTGCACATCATGGGACTTCTTGGCCTTCATGATTACGTGAGCCAATCCCTACAATAAATCCTCTCTCATATCCATCTAACTAGATATATACAGATAGAGAGATATACTATCGGTTCTGTTTCTCTGGAAACAGAAGAATCCTGAGAAAACCCAAACTAATGTAATTGCTAGGATGTCAATTCTCCCCAAATTCATCTATAGATGTAACACAATCCCAATTAAAATCCCAGCAGGCTTTTCTGGTAGAATTTGACAAGCCGATTCTAAAATTTGAAAATGCAAACAACTCAGAATAACCAGAGCCGTTTTGAAAAAGAAGAACAAAGTTGGAGGATTTACACACTTGGTTTCAAGACTTCTTATAAAGCTACAGTAATCAAGACTGTGGAATTTGCATAAAGATGGACATAGAGATCAATAGAAGAGAAAACAGACTGTAGAAATAGACCTACACATATATAGTCAATTGATTTTCAACAAATGTTTAAATAAACTTTTTTCAACAAAAAGTGCTGAAATGATTTCACAGCCGTATGTTTTTTAAAAATGAACCTTGAAACTTCACATTATATACAAAAAGTCACTTGAAATGCATCCTAGACCTAAGTGTAAAAGCTAAAGACATAAAACTTTTTCAAGAAGATATAGAAGAAAATCTTTGTGACTTCAAGTTTGGCAAAATATCTTACAAAAACCACTAATTATTAAAAGAAAAATTGGATATATTGAACTGCATCAAACTTATAAGTGTTTGTCCTTTAAAACACACTGTTCCAAAAATGAAAAGGAAAGTCACACACTAGAAGGAAATATATACAAAATATGCATCCGACAAAGGGCTTGTATCTAGAATTATGTAAAGAACTCTTGGTGGGCAAAACCCAAGCCCTGTCCTCTCTCCCTCCTCCCCGGACAGCTTGAGCTTCACCACTTGCTCCACATTCTCCACCAACTACCGATCCCTGGGCCCTGCCCAGGCGCCCAGCTACGGCACCGGCCGGTCAGCAGTGTGGCCAGCGTCTATGCAGGCACTGGGAACTCTGGTTCCAGGATCTCCGTGTCCTGCTCCACGAGCTTCCGGGGCAGCATGGAGTCCGGAGGCCTGGCCGCGGGGATGACTGGGGTCTGGCAGGAATGGGAGGCATCCAGAACGAGGAGACCATGCAAAGCCTGAACGACTGCTGGCCTCCTACCCGGACAGAGTGAGGCACCTGGAGACCAAGAACCGGAAGCTGGAGAGCAAAATCTGGGAGCACCTGGAGAAGAAGGGACCCCAGGTCAGAGACTGGAGCCATTACTTCAAGACCATCAGGAACCAGAGGGCTCAGAGCTTGGCAATTACTGTAGACAATGCCTGCATTGTTCTGCAGATCAACAACACCCATCTTGCTGCTGATGACTTTAGAGTCAAGTATGAGACAGAGCTGGCCATGTGCCAGTCTGTGGAGAGCAACATCCATGGACTCTGTAAGGTCAATGATGACACCAACGTCACTCGGCTGCAGCTGGAGACAGAGATCAAGGCTCTCAAGGAGGAGCTGCTCTTCATGAAGAAGAACCACGAAGAGGAAGTAAAAGGCCTACAAGCCCAGATTGCTAGCTCTGGGTTGACCATGGAGGTAGATCCCCAAATCTCAGCACCTCGCCAAGATCATGGCAGCCATCCGGGCCCAATATGACGAGCTGGCTTGGAAGAACGGAGAGGAGCTGGACAAGTACTTGTCTCAGCAGATTGAGGAGAGCACCACAGTGGTCACCACGCAGTCTGCCAAGGCTGGAGCTGCTGAGATGACGCTCACAGAGCTGAGATGTACAGTCCAGTCCTTGGAGATCAACCTGAACTCCATGAGAAATCTGAAAGCCAGTTTGGAGAACAGCGTGAGGGAGGTGAAGGCCTGCTACACCTTGCAGATGGAGCAGCTCAACGGGATCCTGCTGCACCTGGGGTCAGAGCTGGCACAGACCCAGGCAAAGGGACAGTGCCAGGCCCAGGAGTATGAGGCCCTGCTGAACATCAAGGTCAAGCTGGAGGCTGAGATCGCCACCTACTGCCACCTGCTGGAAGATGGCAAGGACTTCAATCTTGGAGATGCCCTGGACAGCAGCAACTCCATGCAAACCATTCCAAAGACCACCACCCACCAGAGAGTGGATGGCAAAGTGGTGTCTGAGACCAACGACACCAAAGTTCTGAGACATTAAGGCAGCAGAAGCAGGGTACCCTTTAGAGAGCAGGAGGCCAATAAAAAGTTCAGAGGTTAAAAAAAATAAAAGAACTCTTACAACTCAATAATTTTAAAAATCCGGCTGGGCGGGGTGGCTCACGCCTGTAATCCCAGCACTTTGGGAGCCTGAGGAGGGCGGATCACCTGAGGTCAGGAGTTCTAGACCAGCCTGGCCAACATAGTGAAATCCCCTCTGTACTAAAAATACAAAAATCTAGCTGGGCGTGGTGGTGCATGCTTGTAATCCCAGCTATTCAGGAGGCTGAGGCAGAAGAATCACTTGAACCTGGGAGGTGGGGGTTGCAGTGAGCAAAGATCACGCCATTGCACTCCAGCCTGGGTGACAAGAGCAAAACTCTGTCTGGAAAAAAAAAAAAAAATTAAAAGTTCCCAAAAATGGGACAAAGATTTAAACAAACACTTCACCAAAAAAGATACATAAATGGCAAATAAGTACATAAAAATCATCTTCAACACCATTAGTCATTGGGGGAGGGGAGTACACATTTTAGTCACAGCAAGATACCACTACATATCCACCAGAATGGCTAAAATTTAAAGACCCTAACAAGTGTTGACAAAGATACGGAGCAACTAGAATGCATACATTGTTGGTAAGAATGTGAAATGGTACAATTGCTTTAAAAATCAATATGGCAATTTCCCGTAAAGTTAAACAAAATTGCTGTGACCAAACAATTCTATGTCTAGTTATTTATTCAATTAAAAAAAAAAGCAAGCACATGTCCACATAAAAACTTGTACAAGAATGTTCATAGCACTTTTATTTGTGATAGCCAAGAACTATTAAGAACTCAAATGTCCGTCAAGAGGAGAGTGGATAAATATTCCATTCTAAACCATGGAAGATCATTTAACCACAGAAAGGAGCAAACCCCTGAGGCCTGCAATACATGGATGACTCTCAAAAACATTCTACTAGGTGACAAAGCCTGATATAGAAGAGTATGTGCTGTGTGATGTCATCTATATGAACTTCTAGAACAGACAGGGCTCCTCTATGCTGATAGAAATCGGAACAGCACGGCCTGCAGGGGATGGGGAGGACAGGCGATGGAGACGGGGATCAGATGGGAGGGTGACCTGGTGAGAGATTTTCCAGCTGGCAGAAATGTCCTCTACCTTGAGGGAGGCGTGTGACATGGGAGTAAGTTTGCCAAAATTCATCAAACTGTGCTAAGATCTGTGCACTTCACTGAATATAAACGTCATTTAAATGTCTACTTCATTTAAAAAACAAAGAAGCTGATTGGAAGTGCTGAGCCCTTGGGTAGCGTTTTCTGACTGCGGTCTCCACTGCAGGTGATCTGGCGGATTGCTTCCCCGGGGGGTCACTGGGGGTCAGAGTGTGAGGATTTCCACTAGGAAGGTCAGTGGAACTGACCCCAACCAAAATGATCCCCCAGCTCCCCCCTGCTGCACGTGAGGCCTGGCTGCCGGTTTTCCGGGGGCTGCAAGGAGAAAGAGGCGGGGGTCTCCAATACTCAGTACATGCCCTGCTTTTGGAGTGGCATCCCCCAGTCCAGAGGCCTCTGCCAGACCCTTTCTTGATAATAAATCTTGGGGTTTCTGCCAGGCTCAGGGAGGGGCAATCTCCCAGTTGTGTAAGCAGTGGGAGTGGATAGCTGTCTCTGTCTCTGTCCCTCCCGTGAGAGGAAGACTAACTGCTGTTGTTTGAAACAATCCTCCTTCACTCCCCTCCAGAAATATCTGGCATCTCCATCCTCCCAGCCCATTGTTGCTTCTCATCTTTGCATGCTGCTGGCCGGCCATGTTTCAGCTTCTCAAGCTCACCTAGTGGGTTACGGCTCATCCACCAGGTTTCCAGTCTCCAAAATGTTGGTGCTTGGGCCTCCTCCCCTTTTCTCTTTCTGCTTGAGGGTAATGTCCGTAAAGTGATCTTTACCATCATTTTAGTGAGGGTTCAAGAAGAGGCAAATGTACATGTGTGCATCTGTGCCACCATCTTTGTCAGAAAGTCCAGTCTTTGCACCTTTTATCCTCATGGTTGCAATGTGGCTGCTCCTGCTCTGGGCATCAGATCCACATTCCAGGCAGGAAGAAGGGTGTGTGCCCCTGAGACCATCCCCTTTTATGGGAAATTAAACTGGCAGACTTCCTCTTATGTCCATGGCCACTCCTAGCTGCAAGGGAACCTGGTAACACCTATTTTTAAGGGGGCAAACTTTCACTCCAACAAAACAGGTTCTGTTTAAAGAGGAGAATGGATGGTTACACATCCTGCTTGGGATCCAATCACTGAACCAGAGGGGAACACCGTGCATGATGGGCTGGTAAGGCGTGGGGGTCAGTACAGCATGACACAGAAGGTGAGCTGGCTCCTTGAGGGAAAAACAAAGTGCTGGCCCCAGAGGCAAGGAAGGGTTGCTGGCGGGCAGAGAGGACGCTGTCCGGAGCCCACAGTAGATTCTCCTTGATCATTCACTCCCAGTTCCCTTCCTGCTCCTAGTTCAGTCCCTGACTCCTCTTCTCAGTGCTGTCACTGTCCCTGTCCTGGGACCAGGGTAGGGGATGGGAGGAGAGGTCTGCACGTTGCTGAGCCTTGTGGAAAGGTGACCGTGGACCTCTGGGAGGATGATCTCATCACTTTCTGAAGGAGGCGTCGAGCTGAGATGCTAACAATAGCCAAGCACGATGCCGGCCTGATTGGAGAGGCTAAAAAAAGCAGCTCATTCCAAAGCCTCATCAGGGAAGAAAAGGGCCACGAAGGCAGGTTTGCAGGGCTTTAGGGAGGAGGGGGAGAGGGATGCAGAGGGATGAACTGAGTGGCCTGAGTCTCAGCACAGCTGTGGCCATGGGCTGCCTCCATGTCCAGGAACACCAGGTCTGCCATGCACCACCCACCTGCCCCCATGTTTGCACAGGGCACCGGGGAAGACCTTCAGCCCTACTGGGCTACCCCTTGAGTACCCTCTCCTCCCACATTGGAAGGTCTTCTGCTTCCTGGAGCTTGGCCTGCCTCGGGAGGAGGAGAAAATGGTCCATGTCCCCAGAGAGCCCATGATGTGCCGGCCTAGGTGAGCACTCTTCGCACCTCATGCCATGGAACTTTTGCCACAGCCCTACCCACTTTACGGATGAGGAAATGGAGGCTCGGGAGATGAAGCTGGCAGACTTCCTCTGGAACTTCCTCTGGACATCTGGAGGGACGTCCTGTCAGCAGAGCAGGCTGGACTGGTGAGTTTCCTGCTGCTGGGAGTCCTGGCTAATGTGTTCAGCCCCCACTGACCTCTCTGTGCCCTTGATGTTTTTGAGCCTCATGGTCTGCCTCCCACCAACATCTTCTGTCTCCTCCCCCATGCCCCAGTGGCAGCTGGTGTAGAGGGTGGCAAATGACAACCTCAAGGCCAGAGAGGACCATAACATGCCCACAGCCACACAGCCAGTAACAGGCAGAACTAGGGCTGGAACCCACATCGCCTGCCTTCTGGCTTCTTCCTTACACCATAGCACAGCAGAGACAGCATCAGAGGCGAGGCTGGACAGGCCAGCTAAAGGAGGGTGCTCGGACCCTGCCCCATGGCCAGCAGCACCATGCCTAGCTTTCCGCCATAAGCCTAGAGAGAAATAACGAGGCCCGAACTTATCTGCACTGAAAAGGCAAAGTTACAAATAAAGAACGGCTTCAAGCCCGATGATTGGAAACTTAGCTGCGTTGCCATCTGTCGCAAATGCCACCGCGTTCTTCGTAACCCCCGATGACAATTTCCTCTTCATTTTCAGCTTCACAAAGAGGATGCAGCCCCACCTCCCAGCGGGAGTCAGTTCTGCTCTGAGACGTGAGGCTCAGAATCAGATGAAGACTCCTGCTGCTGCATCTTGAAGATAATGATGCTGTTGCTCCCGGCTGGAACCACAGCAGTGGCGATGAGTGAACAGCCAGCAGAGTGGAGCGGCCACACTGATACAGGTGAGGCTCCAGCACTGCCGCAGCCCAGGGCCAGGCAAAACCGCCTTCCTATCCCCCGGGAGCCGAGGCCTCCGAGATCGGCGCTGGGAGGTCGCACAGTGCAGGCAAATCACACGGACCTCAGAGCAGGGTCCCTGGCCGTGAAAACTCAAAAGACACAGTCTTTAAAATAAGGACAGAAAACTGTATTTAGTGCCACAATAAAGCTGTGTCACAAACTACCCAAAACTTGGAAGCTTCAAATAAGTGTTTATTTGACTCACAGTTCAGCAGTTTCAGCTGGGCTCTGTGGCGCGATTCTTCTGGTCTTGGCGGGGCTCACCCACGTGTCTGGTGGGCGGCTAGCTGCTGGCAATGAGCCTGAGTGCTCCTCACCCTCCCAGGCTGAGCTGGGTGTGTCCTCGTGGCAATGGCAGAGGTGCAGGAGAGCAAGCAGAGGGTACACAGCCCCCCGAGACTCAGCTCAAGGTGGGCCACAGCCACTTCCGCTTTGTCCTGTTGACCAACATGGATCACAGGGCCAAGCCCAGAGTGAGAGGTGGGCAGGCCAACCCAGCCCCGGTGAAACGGGCAGCTCCAAAGAAGGTGGGAGAGTGGGGCCATCAGTGTGACCTAGCGCCAATGCCTGTCCCCAGGGCTATAATCTGGAGGATTAAGTGAATGAAGGGTCATGAAAACACCTTATGAACAAGTGCAGAGGTCTCCCACATCCAGTCACCAGTGGAGGCTGCCTTGGTGAGTCCAGGTGCCATCTCTGCACCGCGTCCCAGCCTTCAGCCTCTGGCCCTCTGGGCCGGCCTTCTCAGAAGAGTCAGCTTGCTCATGCTGAAGCACAATTCTGATCATGCCACTTCCCTGCTTTAAGCTCACCCACAGCTCCCCACTGCCCTCTGGGCCTCTCTGATTCATCCTGGGCTTGCCTCTTGGGCCTCAATGTCCCCTTTTATCCCCTGCCTCAGGGCAACACCAACAGAATGGGACCTATGCTCTCTCCTGACCATGGACCTTTGCACAGGCAGCTCCCTTGGCCTGGAATTTTTGCCTCTTATTATTTCTTTCTCTTTTTTTTTTTTTTTTTTTTTTTTGAGGTGGAGTCTTGCTCTGTCACCAAGGCTGGAGTGCAGTGGTGCCATCTCAGCTCACTGCAACCTCCGCCTCCTGGGTTCAAGTGAGTCTCCTGCCTCAGCCTCCTGAGTAGCTGGGATTACAGGCGCCCGCCACCACACCTGGCTAGTTTTTGTATTTTTAGTAGACACGGGGTTTCACCATGTTGGCCAGGCTGGTCTTGAACTCCTGACCTCAGGTGATCTACTCACCTCAGTCTCCCAAAGTGCTGGGATGATAGGCGTGAGCCACCAGGCCCGGCCTGCCTCCTATTATTTCTGCACCCATCACTCAGGCCCCTGCAGCCTTCCTTGACCCTCCATCCAGGGTCAGGTGCCTCCTCTTGGCTTCCACCACCCAGGGGCTTCTCCGTGTCCACCACAGGCCACACTGTGGAACTGCTTACCCTGTCTCTGGAATGCCAGAACATTGTCAGATCCATCTTCAAGCTCCCATTGCCCTGCACAGGGCCTGGCACACAGTTGGTGCCTAATAAATGTTCCCTCCACCTTACCCTATCTGATCTTTGGAGCGCTGGGTGAGGGCAGCATCATGAGGTTGAGAAGCAGGAGAAGGCTTAAAGATGGGCTGATTTATAGATGGGGAAACTGAGGCCCAGAGAAGGAGAGGAGCTTACCTAGGGATACAGAGAAAAGTTATTCATTCATTCATTCACTCAACAAATTTTTATTACACACCTACTGTTTGCTGGGGAACATAGAAAATACAGAAACCCCTGCCCTTGTGAAGCCCACAGTCATCAAATAAGTCAAGAAAAAAGCAAATATAAAATTGCAATTGAGACGTGCTACAAAGAGAATTACTCAGAGCTGGGAAAGCCTTCCTGGCAGAGATTGCCAAGAGCCTGCCCAGTGCCCCTCCTTCCCTCTCCTTAGAAACTGACTCTGCCAACCGGGTGAGGTGACTCATGCCCGTAATCCCAGCACTTTGGGAGGCCAAAGCGGGTGGATCACCCAAGGTCAGGAGTTCAAGGCCACCCTGGCCAACATGGCAAAATCCCGCCTCTACTAAAAATACAAAAAAATTAGCCATGCATGCTGGTACAAGCCTGTAACCCCAGCTACTTGAGAAGCTAAGGCAGGAGAATCCCTTGAACCTGGGAGGCAGAGGTTGCAGTGAGCCGAGATCACTGGGGGTGGGGAGGAAGAAGAGGAGGAGGATGAAGGAGGAGAAAGAGAAGGAGGGAGAGGAGGACCGGTAGCTGAATGGCATGAAGATGACACCACTGCAGGATGGGCCCCAAGGACCACGCCACAGCGGGGGCAGCCGTCATATTGGTGGGCTTCCTGATGGATGGTTCATGTGGGATGGGATTGTTATGGTGATAGGGCAGGCTGCTGAGCCGGAAGGGGCTTGTGAAGGGAACTGCAAATCGGAAGAGGACGGAGCCCACGGTGGGAGCTGGGTTGAGACACCCATCCTGCCCTCCAGGTCCACAGTGCCCTCCCCAGCCCCTGGGACGTGTAGGGTGCCCCCGCCATAGCGCGACTGCCCATCCCCAGAACTGGGAGAGCCGAGAAGCCCTCTCCCCAAGACAGAGCCCTGCGGTCCCCAGCCACAGGCCCTAGGGAGTTCCAAAAGCCTCCCAGGCAATTTACCAGAGCATGTAGCCAGCTAATAAGGTGACTGGATCCTTTGTTCAAAAGTTATCTTTAGACAAGAGCATTTATCAAGTTTAATTAACGTGTCACGGGCTGCAGTGTGAGCGATGGCTCTGAAAGCAGCCCTGATAATACTAATTTTTCTACATTAATGCCAACTCGGCACTGAGTCCCAAGCAGGAAATAGACCGTCAATGCTAACACCACCGAAAAAATAGAGATTTCCCTCCCTAAATCAAATTAAATGTGTTGTGGATGCCTGAGTGGTGTGTGGGAGGCTAAGGTGGGGAGCCTGGGAGGCTCTGGCTGAGAAGCCAGGGTGCGTTGTAAGCTGCCCTGCATCCTGTGGGCTGGGCACCTCCCACCTAGGTCCCACCTGGAGTGGAATCTTTGAGGCAGGTTGGTGTCCTTTCCCCAATTTTACAGAAATAGATGCTGGGGTTCAGGGAGGCCCTGTGAGTCATCCAGGCCACACGGTTTTATAGAGTCTGGCACCAAGATCTGTTCTTCCTCCATCTCACGAGACCCCCAGGCACATGTAACTGCTCAGTCAGTAAACGCTCGCCCAGCACTTACTGTGAGCAGGCACGATTCTAGGTGCCCAGCACCCAGCAGCAGGCAGAGCAGACAAGAGCAACTTCTCCTGGAGCCAATGTGCTGCTGGGACACAGAGGAGGAGGAGGATGACAAGGAGAAGGGGGATGGGAGAAGGAAGAGGAGGAGGAGAAGAAGAAAGAAGGGAGGAGGAGGAAGAAGAGAGAAGCAGAGGAGGGAAAGGAGGAAGAGGAAGAGGGAAAGGAGGAAGAGGAAGAAGGGAAGGAGGAAGGGGAAAGAAGAGGAGGAGGGGGAGGAGAAAGAGGAGAAAGAAGGAGAGGAAGAGAGGGAGGAGAAAGGGAGAAAGAGGAGGAGGAGGGAGGAAGAGGAACAAGAAGGGAGGAGGAGAAAGAGGAAGAAGAGGAAGAAAAGAGGGAGGAGAGGGAAGAAGAGGAGGAGGAGAAAGAAGGGGAGGAAGAGAAGGAGGAGAAGGGGAGAAAGAGGAGGAGGAGGGAGGAAGAAGGAAGGAGGAAGAGGAGGAGGGGGAAAAAGAGGAGGAGGGAGGAGGAAGAGGAGGAAAGGGAGGAAGAGGAGGAGGAGGAAGAGGAGGAGGGAGGAGGTAGAGGAGGAGGGAGGAGGAAGAGGAAGGAGGAGGAGTAAGAGAAAGAAGGAGGAGAAAGAGAAGGAGGCGGAAGGAAGAGGAAGGAGGAGGAAGAGGAGGAGGCAGAGAAGAAAATTAAGTACTGCACCTGCACGTGTTGCCATGTGCTAAGAAGAGATTAGAACAGGATAACGGTCAGGAGAGATGTGAAGTGCTGAGAGGCCACGGGAGATGGGGTGGCCAGGGAAAGCCCTACAAGGAAGTGGCATTTGGGAAGATGCCCAAATTAGAAGGAGTGGGCACAAGAGTAACTGGATCAATGGCATCACAGGCAGAGGGGACAGCAGGTGCCAAGGCCCTGAGGCAGAAGTGAGCTTGGTGCACTGGATGGACGCCAGGAAGCCACCGTGGCTGGAGCAGAGAGGAGAGAGTCGGTCCCCAGCCCTGGGAAAGGGGAGGCTGTGATGGCACTGGCCTGTGCAGTCAGGGTCCTGTGTGGCCAGGTGTGTGGGAGGAACAGCTCCTCACTGGCCTTGCAGGCATCTGAGGCTCAGCAGGATGCCTGCTTTGGATGAGCAGGGCCATTTTGCCAAGCCCTGAGCAGAAGCGTGTGGGCAGCCAGCTGGGATGGAGACTGAGGGAGCTGTGGGGCAGCCAGGTGCCCGTGTGGCCCAGCTGTGGTCTGCTAGAAAGGAGTGCAAAGCTGGGGGGATCCTCTCTCACTGGGGGTGCAGTCTAGGCCCTAGAAACCCTGAGGCACCAGCCTGAAGACAGAAAATGGGCCAGAACCACTCAGTGAGGTTGTCCAGAACTGAGACCACTTTCCCTGCAGAGCATGTGGGGACCGAACAGGCGATCTCAGAGGGAGCCTGGTCCTCATAGAGGTGGGGAAAATGGGCACCGGATCACACCACGGCACAGAGGGTGGAGCAGCCCAACCTAGCCTGGGATCCTGCTTCCATGGACCAGCCGTGTGACCCTGAGCAAGTCCCTTCCCACCTCTGTGCTTCCACGATCTCATCTACGGAAGGGCGAGGAAATCTCGGACTCTTGGATTTGTTGTAAGGAATTGACAACCTCAGACAGGGGAGGTGCCCAGCCCTGCACTTGTCCCAGAGCCCTTGGAAAGTGGAGGCCATTGTCATTAGCACACAGAACCCTTGGGGAGACCAGCAAATAACTAAACAGTAGCAGGCGCGTCCATTTCCTCTGCTGGGTCCTGGGAATAACTCCAGGCCGGTTGAAGGTAAGATCCCAGAGGCATGCTACACAGGGGCAGACTTCAGCTCAGTAGGGACTGAGGGACCCCATGAGGGGCTTACTGCCTGTGTGGAGGTGAGCTCCCCGTCACAGGAGGATGCCAGCAGGGCAGGAGTGGGCTGCCTGCATTAGCTGAGTTCACGCAGAATGGCCTCTGCACTCCCTGACTCAGGTCCCAGGACTGGAACGCCCTCTAGTCCTCCAGCCCCTGCCCATTAGCGTTAACTGTGGTCAGGGCCACCTCACCCCAAGGTCGCGGCACATTCAAACCCGGCCCTTCTGTCTGCCTCCCTGGTATGGCGTGGAGCTCCGGCCCCCACTCTCCCTGCACCTCCGTCGCTACCCATGTGTCTCATGTCCTGAGATGCTCTCCTTGTTCTGAAGAAGCCTTTCTCTCATGCTGGCCCCTGTCCCCATCCCTTCAAACCCTCAAAATCCCCAGTCGGGGCTACTATGCCATAGACCAAGGCTGAGCTTGGCAGAGGGAACTAGTGGCTGGCACGGCCTAGACCAGAAGGAGCTGGAACCGCAAGCCACGGCGCCCACCAGCCAGCATGCACCATTCCCCGTGGGGACTTTACAGCTGGGCTCCCCCCATTCCTGGCTCTTCTCCCCGCCCACTGCTGATGCGCAGTGCTCGGAGCATGAACTTGATTGGGGCCTGAAGTGCAAGTCTGAAGCTCCGCAGAAACCGCTGCGCCTGGCTCCCCACTCTCGCTGG
Source organism: Homo sapiens (assembly GCF_000001405.40). Lineage (NCBI taxonomy): Eukaryota > Metazoa > Chordata > Mammalia > Primates > Hominidae > Homo > Homo sapiens. The sequence continues at coordinate 44,578,068 of NC_000022.11, forward strand.
CATCTACGCCTTCCCTTCCCAGCTTTGGGTAGTGACGCTGGGGCTCCACAGGAGTTACAAAATCTTCAGAGTCCCTGTGTATGGTGGGTTCGGGCACATGCCCCTCCCCCCCACTCAGTGCCCCTCCCTCCTGGGTCCCGGCTCCCAGCAGAGACCCCTCTGTAGGTCTCAGGTGTCACCTGCCCCTGCATGTACAGACAGGCTCCAGGAAGGCCAGGTCACAGCCTGCGGCACACCAGGAGCATTGAACAGGGAGCTGGGAGCAGGTGCTGTCCTAGCACCTCTACAGCTTTGCAGGCACTTTGGGCAAGTTGCTGTCCCCCTCTAGTCCTCAGTTTCTTCATCTGTAGAATGAGGAGTGAGAGGAAACACCCTGGGCCCTGGATTCTCCAGGTCTCAGCATTTCTAAGTAATTGTCCTGGGCCAGCTCTTCCTAAGCCCTGGGTCAAACCTTAGGGAGCAGAGGAGACATGAGCTGATGTTTTCATCCAGCCACCTGCTTGCAAGGGGCAGCAGAGAAGGCTTTGTTCTTCAGGTGTGGGGCCCGAATCAAGGAAGAAATGAAGAAGCGAATCCTTCCTCGAGGGCATAACTCCCCGCCCTGAAGCCTGGAGTCATCCCTAACACTCCCTGGGGCATCCAGCCTGGGGATTCCTGGGAGGTTTCCTGTGGCCTCCTGGGCTCTCTCTGTCCCTTCCTCATCTCCCTGATACTCAGCTGGTCTCCGTCCCTCTGGGAAATTGATAACAAGAGCGCCTCCCCTTTCCTTTACCTGAAGGTACCGCCTAACGGCTTATGATGTCAACAGGGCTGTGCGATCCCCTGACAAATCCCTGCCCAATCTCATTTGTAGTCTTCACCACAGTGCATGCTGGACAATTTTGGCTCGGAGGCAGGAGAAGATGCTCACACAATCATGTCCAGCTAAGACCCCATGACCTTGGGCCTGGGCACTGCAGAGCCCCTCATTGGACTCTAGTTGCTCCCTCCAATCTCTCCTCTGAACTACAGCCCCCAGCCACCTGGCATCCTCCAAGGGCACCTCACTGCCCATGGGAAGCTCTCTCTCCCTACTTCACCAGTCAGAATTGGTCTAGCTACATAACACAAAAACCTGAAATAAGAGAAGCTTAAATGAAATAGAAGCTCATTCCCCATCCTTAAAAACTCAGAGGTGGGCCTTTCAGAAGTGGAGTGATGGCTGGTCCTTTATCCAGAATGCTGGCATTGCTATGTCTGCATCACCATTCTCAACACAAGGCTTCCGTCCTCAAAGTCGTCTCATGATCCAGGACGGCTGCTGGAGCTCCAGCCATCACATTCTCCTTGCAGATTGGAAGGAAGAGGAAAAGCAGACAGTTAACAAGGGCCACTCCCCAAGGGGAGCCAGTTCCCCTTAAGCATCAAGTCTGCTTATCTTCTTAGCCAAAACTTCATTCTGAGGCCACATCTGTCTGTAAGGAGGGCTGGCAAAGGCAATGCTTTGTTCCCAAAGCCGTGTGCCTATCAAAAGCTCCAGGCCTGTTTGACCCCTGAAGAATGGGAGAGTGGGTCCTGGAGGGACATCTGGCAACCTCAGCCACATCACCCTGCAGAACAAGGTTCCTGTCCCACCTCCTCCAGGAAGCCCTGGAGGCTCAGAAGAGGGTTAAGGTGAGAAGTCAAATGTGTTTGGGGGTCTCTGAACTGGAAAAGGGGGACCCACATGATAAAAGTGGGTCCCAAACTTTGGCACACATCAGAATCCCCTAGAGGACTTGCCAAGACACAGATTGCCCACCCCACCCTGAATTCATCGGGTCTGTGGTGAGGCCCTAAAATGTGCATTTCTAGCAAATTTCCAGCTGATGCAGGCTAGCTCAGGAATCCCACTTTGAGAACCACCAGGGTAACAAGAAAGGGCAGCCTAGCAGGAAGGATGTGGACACTGGGATTTTCCTATTGTTATTTGTAAAACACAGACAGACCGCACTTCACAGTTTGTGAGATAATTTTACGTCTCGTCTCACCTCTCCGCCACCCTGTTCGTATTATTTTTCATTTTATATTTGCCCAAGAATATCACATGGCTTGCCCCAGGTCTTGTGGCTTGCTCAGCAAGTAGTTGGAATCGAATCGAATCCAGACCTTGTACCTTTTCCCATTCGTCTTAACTCCTCTCTTTATTCAGCCCACACTTCTGCCACTTTTCCTAAGTACCTACTCTGTGCTGGGCCCTGGCTCACACATCACATACATTGTTCCATGTGACCCCCGTACCCAACCGCCCCAGTGGCCTGTCCCATTATCTTTTTTTACAGGAGAGGAAGCTGAGGCTGGGGCCAGGCATGCCGGAGTCAGGATTTGAACCCACATCATTCAGTCCCGATCCCCAGGTCACCCTGAGCACCTCTCTTCCTCCCGAAGGCACTGGAGAGCAGAAGCCCTTGGAAGCCATCAGAGTCCATGGAGCTATGGGGCAGGTGGTAGAGGGAAGAGACCCCGGGGGGTAATTGGGTCCCTTGAGCCTCTGCATGGCCCAGCCGTGCCTTCCCAGTGCAGAAGGCTTTGTTCAAGGTCCTCTTCAAACAGTCTTTTCAACCACCCACTTCCCCCGTTTTTAGCTTGCTTCACCCAGGTCTTTGAGTTAATTATTCCCAGACAGAAAATTACTTCTAACGCTCAGAACAAGTAATTTCGGATGGCAGAACTCATTATCAGCATTGTCCACATTTCTCCGGGAGAGCAGGGGAGATTTTCTCCAGCCTGGGAGCTTAATTATGGGAAACAGTGGAACAGAGCTGCAGTCGGCACAGACGTCAGTGCGTGGTGGCTCCTGGCAGGGGCTGAACCCAGAAAGCCAGTGGCCAGGGTGAGGAGGTTCGGAGCCCAGCTGCCATTACCTTCCACTGGCAGGATTGGGGGCGGCAACCCTTGGGGCCCACGCCTGACACAGAGTCCCTGTGTGGGTTGAACGGCCTACCCCAAAGGTTCGTGTCCACCCAGAAGCTCAGAGTGTGACCCTATTTGGAAATAAGGTCTTTGCAGATGGGATTCGAGATCTCTAGAGCATTCTGCATTTAGGATGGGCTCTAAGTCCAATGACTGGTGTCCTTATAAGAAGAGGAAAAAAGACGCAGACACACGAAAAAGGCGGCCGTGTGAATAGAGGAGAGATGGGAGTGATGTGTCCCAGCCGAGGACCGCCTGGAGTCAGCAGAGGCGGAAGAGGCAGAGAGGCTCCTCCCCTCTAGCCTTTGGAGTGAGCGCTGCGCTCCCAACACCTTGGCTTTGGATGTCTGGCCTCCAGCAGAGCGAGAGAATAAACACTCATTTTGTTTTTTGTTTTTTGTGTTTTTTTTACTTTAAGTTCTGGGATACACGTGCTGAACGTGCAGGTTTGTTACATGGGTATACACGTGCCATGGTGGTTTGATGCGACTATCAACCTGTCATTTAGGTTTTAAGCCCCGCATGCATTAGATATTTGTCTTAATGCTCTCCTTCTTTCCCTACACAAATCAATAAACATGATATATCACATAAACAGAAGCAATGACAAAAACCACATGATTATCTCAATAGATGCAGAAGAGGCCTTCGATAAAGTTCAATACCTCTTCATGCTAAAAACTCTCAATAATCTAGGTATTGATGGAACATATCTCCAAATAATAAGAGCTATTTATGACAAAACCATAGCCAATATTATACTGAATGGGCAAAACCTGGAAGCATTCCCTTTGAAAACTGGCACAAGACAAGGATGCCCTCTCTCACCACTCCTATTCAACATAGTACTGGAAGTTCTAAACATTCATTGTTTTAAGGCCTACGTGTGTCCTCCTTTGTGACTACAGCCCCAGGATATTTCCAGAGTCTCGCCCAGCAAAGGCCCTCCTGGGGGGACAGCGCTCAGTCCCCTCCTGCTGCCAGCAGCATCTCTGCCGTCTCTCCAGCCTCCTCCTGAGACTCCATGTGGGCATCCCGCAGCAACCTTTCCTTTTCTCACCGTTTCTCCTGCCCACTCTCTGCTCACAAATCCCAATGTCCCTCTCCAGCCCAGACCCCAACGCCCCACCCGTTGATCCAGCAGACCTACGGTGTTCCTCCTGAAACCCAGCCTTCCCCACCACCTCCTCCCCTTCCCGCTCTAGCTCCCAAGCTCCTCATCCCGCTGGTGCCACTGCCATCCTTCCCTCTTGCAGCGAAAAGGTATTTGGCACCTTCCCCAGGCCAGGCCCTGAGGATACCCCAGTTAGCAAACCCAGGTCCTAGGAGAAAGTGGCGACCGACATTAGCTGGAGGCTTGGAGTCTGGATGAACCCTAAATAGACTTCAGGCACAGGCTGCTCCCAAAAGCCTTCCTGCTCCCAGAGTGGGGCAGGGACTTCTCTGACCTCCACCAGCCCCTGTATGCTCAGTCATACCATGTGGCTGCTCAGGAGTAGACAGCCCAGGGCTGGTGAGGTGCTCGGGAAACTCATGTAGACCCGATTTCTTCTAGCTTCCTGCTCCACCACCCTCAAGAGCATCTCTGTCTTCATGGTCAGAAGATAGCTGCTGGGCATCCAAGCATCACACCCACATTCCAGGCAGAAAGAAGAGAAAAGCTAAAGGCTGAAAGTTACAAACCATCTCCTTGGAAGGCTTTGTCATTTTATTAGAAGACAGAAGCTCTCTCCAAGGAGTTCCACCCACCTTTCACTGGCCAGAGCTCAGTCACACGGTTGCACGTGTCTGGCTGTAAGGGAACCTGGGAATTTGAAAGTTTTGTTTTCCAGTCTGTACATTACCGGGAGGTAAGGAAGGGGATTGGACTAGGTCATTCAAAGCCACCATCTCTGGTTCAAGCCTCCCATCGCAGCTCTCGGGAGGCTGGTGTGGACACCTTCCTGTTCCTATGCACCCTCCGCCCCTCTCAAATCCAACTCCTTTCCACCTCCTGCTCTTTGATGCCTCTCCTCCTGCTTCCTGACTGGACTTCCCTTCCGCTGCTACCCGCTCACTGTCCAAACCTAAAGCATCACTTAAGACTCAGCTAAAAAGCCACATTCCCACCCCAAGGTGGACCCCCACTGCTGGCCACCTGCACACCTCTTACCCACCCACTGTGGTATCGTGTCCACTGCTTGCTTTTCCCACTGGATGAGCCCCTTGTCAAGTACAGGGACCATGTCTGGCTTGGCTGTGTCTGCAGCACCCAGCCAAGTGGCCTCGGTGAGCACTTGCTGAGCTGAGCCACTGATCGGGGCTGAGTCAGAGCCAGAAGAGATGGCGCCATTTCCTCCTCCGCCCTGATGCTCAAGGAAGCAGGGAGGGAGAGAACAGCCCGCAGGAGGAGGTCTGCTTGTGTTTTGATCTTGGAAATGAACAAGGATGGGCTCTCATTAATCAGCGGAGACAGGGACAGACGCCGCTGTTTGTTTCCAGTAATAACAGACACCCAATAATAACAGGACATTGGTGCTGATGACTCCTCTCCTCCTGTCATAGGCACCAGGCAGGCTGGAAGGACCTCAGTCACCTCTCACGGAGCCAATGGGGAAACTGATTATCCCAGGAGGCAAGTGACCCACTACGTCACTCAGCAAATCAGTGCACAGCCAGGGGTTGCACTTCTGAGGCTAGGACCAGGGTCGCGAGTGGGATAGGAAGGACGACGGGCAAGGACCTGTGCAACCTCCTCCTTCCTAGAGACCCTTGAAAGGTGAAATCTGCTTTCAATCACTCTGTGGGGTCCTGTTTCAAGACCCCTTCCCAGAGGACAAAACAAGGACATGGCCAGTGTTATAGGCTCCAAACATCATCGGCCCTCCCCCCTTATTTCCCTCTGCACCCCCCACGATGGCCCCAGGCAGAGCCACCAGCAGCTCTCCCGTACGCTGCTCCAAGCAAGCCCTTAATGGTCCCCGCCATCGCCCCCTACTGCCCCCGACCCAGCCAGACCACAGGTCTCCTCCCCATGCAGTGGCTGCTGTGATCCCAGCACATCCATCCCATCACAGTCCCGTGCCAGCCTCTACTCCAACCCTATACCCTGGAGATCCTACATGACATCCACCCCCCACCGCCCCCTCACCTGGCTCCAGGCACGCGCCAGCCTCAGGGTCTCTGCTTTAGCCGTTCCTGCTGCCTGGACACTTGTCACCAGGTACTGGGTATTGGCAGGGCCCCTCCCTCACCTCCTGCAAGTCTCTGCTCAGTGTCACCTTTCTGACCGCCCTGTCTAAACCTGCCAGCTCCACTAGCACCCTGGTGCTCCCACCCCATCACCTGCATCATGTTTCTTCCCACGACCCATTTCCAACCCCCTGCTCTATGCTTTATATAAATATGCATTTGTATGCAGGGTCATCTGATTCCCCCACCAGATCAGCCCCTCCACGGTTGGGGCAGGGGGGCGCGCTCTGTCTATCCTGATCTCAGACCTCACTCAGGCCCCCAGAACAGTGCCTGGCACCAAGTGGCAGCCCACATCTTCACTGACCCGACAAAAAAGGAGATGAGCAGAGGGTGCCTTTTGGAGACTGAGAGGTTGTAGGCCTGAGTGTGGTAGTTACTGGCACCTCTAAGAACCTGGCCAGCAAGCCCAGAGGCTGCCTGGAGGAGAGGGTTTTGGAGAAGGCTGGTGTGGAGCAAACAGAGCCTGCCATGTAGAGCTGTGAGTGCCTGGTGAGGTCAGTGAGGAGGAGGGCCTGGCACGTGGCCACAGGGGAGCAGCTGACCTCTGCTGGGCACAAGCTTTGGTCCACACCTGTATAAAGGGCTGCACAGTGAATCCCTATGATAGCTTCACAAATTATGCACTGTTACTGCCTCCCTCCTACAGATGGGGAAACTGAGGCTCAGAGAGGCCAAGCGATTCCTTCAAGGTCACCCAGATAATGAGGAGACCAAGATTCAAAACCATGTGAGCCCTGACTCTTCACAGCAGTTTATTATTTCTCTTAATAAATAACACATTCAGTAGGGTTTGGGTCTAAAAGTCACCGCTTTGCTAGTAAAAAACTTCCACAAATGGCAGGTGCAATAAAGATGTGGTGATAGAAAACAGAAACTCTAGGAAAAGAAAGAATGGAGAGGCCAGGTGCGGTGGCTCACGCCTGTAATCCCAGCACCTTGGGAGGCTGAGGCGGGAGGATCACCTGAGGTCAGGAGTTCAAGACCAGCCTGCCCAACGTGGCAAAACCCCATGTCTACTAAAAACACAAAAATTAGTTGGGCATGGTGGGAGGCGCCTGTAGTCCCAGCTACTTGGGAGGCTGAGGCAGGAGAATCCCTTGAACTGGGGAGGCAGAGGTTGCAGTGAGCCAAGATCAAGCCACTGCACTCCAGCCTGGGCAATAGAGCAAGACTCCATCTCAAAACAAAATAATTAAAAAAAGAAAAGCAGGACAGGAAAAAAGGAGAGAAGGCAGGAAGGAGGACAGACTTGGGGGAATCATAAACTGGCATTAATTACCTGAAGACAAAATGGTTAGAAGCCAAGTACCTGCCCTGCAGGCCATGGAGGGGTCGACCATCGTTAGGGGCTGGAAGAAAACCCGCCCACTAGGAATGAGATGCGGGTCCTCAGGGGCCCATGCTCCAGCAGCAGGAGCCAGGGGGTCGCCTCAGAGCCCTGTGGTCCGGGACAAGACAGCTTCCCTCGAGCACCCTGCCGCCATCACCATCTGACTTGGGTGTTGAGATGAAGTTCATCTCACCCTGTGTCCTGATGGCATCAGTCCTCAAGAGAAGCCGGGGACCCCATCACCGTCTGCCTCATAAGGCCCTGCATATCCCTCCCACAGCAGTGCCCCCCTCGGCTCCTCTCCCTTCCCCTCCATGACACCCCCCGGGCTTCAGTCAACTGTCAACAAAACCACCTACACCTTCAGACTCTGCCTGAGTTAAATCCAGTCCATCCCCGAGGACCCTGCCACCCCCATGGGGTCTGCTCTCAGGGGGCTGTTCCCTCGCCCACATCCCACTGGCCATGGCGGTCTCCTTGTCCCTCACTGTGGCTTCTATGCCATTCTCCCTCCCTCCATCCTGAACGCCCCACACTCACCCAATTCACGCTGTTGGACTTTGTCACCCAACACCCTCCCTGCAACAGTTGCGGCCCACCCCCAAGTCACACCCCTCCTCAGTCACTGTCACCCCCTCAACACCACTCCTGATAGAATTCCTGGTGACTGCCGTGGCCACAGGCTTGATCCTCCCAACAGCCTGGCCTCTGGGCTCCCGGGATCCCCTTTTCTCATAACCTTCCTCCACCTGATCTCAGCCACCCACTCCCAGGGCCAGGAGTGATTTCAAATCCCTAACAGCCAGCCTGGGAAGGGGTGGCCCTGCAGACGGGTGTGGCCATGCAGGTGTGCACCAACCCTGCGTTCACCCCGCCCTGCGCCTCACCATCCGCAGCCACTGAAGCACAGAGCTCCTTCTCAGTGGGAAGCACTCACCGCCAGCCCCACCTTTCCAGCTCGGCGCTCTCATGCCCCAGCCCCGACCATCTCTTGCCCCCTCCTTCCAAACGAACACAGCAAGGTGGGTGGTGTTCTGAGCTTCACTGCTTTCTGACCACAGAGGAGTGAACCCAGCTCCGGCCGGGGGGGTACGCAGAATGGAGAATGTGAGCTGCGGGGCTGAGCCTCTTCACAGACTCAGGAACTACAGACGGCATTCTGTGGGATCCCCACAGAGGCTCCTAAGTAGGTGTGTGAGCTGCAGTGTAGACATTTAACACCATCTCAAGACAGAAAACCAAGCCCGGTTTTCCAGCCCAGCTGGCATTTCCCCTGCTGTGCTCAGAAACAGGGGCTGCAGCCAGACACCCACCGTGGGCAGAAGCTGGAAGGTAAAGTGACATCCCAGAAAAGTGGGGGCCAATCACAGGGGTGCCCCAAAAGTCACCCATGGCAAGTGTGCATCATTTTGCAAACACTAAGGTGCGATTTTCAAAGAAAAACAAGAGAGAATGCATCCAAAGAGAAACTGGAACCAAATACGCCAATTCCCCAGAACAAATAGACGGTCAGGACCGAGCTGCCCAAGCGTGAGCGAGATGAAACGATGCCATGGCAACCGCGCAAGCAGACGGCACCGAAGAGAAGGGAGAAGGAAGGGGGATCTCATAAGCCAAAGTGAGGCAAACAGCCCAACCCAGACCGCGTCAGCCACAAACAGGTGTGGCCTCCCGGTGGCTTCATGCTGGAGAACAAATGGCTGAGGACATGAATTCCACAAAAGCAACACTCCCAGAGGCGAGAAGCCAGAAGAATGAGATGAAAAGGGAGATTTGGAACCTGAGGAAAGAAATGTGGGACAGTCCATCCTTGTGAACCTAACAGATGAGAAGCAGCAAAGGACCTCACCTCCCTCACGGCTTTGCTCAAACATCCCGTTCCCAGGAAGTCTTCCCGGCCACCCTCCCCATCGTGGTTCACGCTCCTCACAGCCCTTGTGGACATCTCGTGTGCTGGATGCGCTGTTTATTTTGCCAATCCTCTCTCTATCCCCACCACTTCCAAGAGGAGGCCTTGCCTGTCCTGCCATGCTCTTGCCCCAATACCATCTTCGCCTGGCACCTGGCCAGCACTTGATAAATACTTAGTGAAAGACTAAATGGATGACTAGACACTGATGAACGTGGAATTACCGGTATAGAGGAAAACCTTGAGATAACCATAGTGATTGCAGTTGAAAAGATAGAGATAAAAGGGAATTTGAGAACAGTTCCTAGACTTGGAGAATGAGCACAACCCAAAGAAAACTGGCTTCCCTGATTCAGAGCCCCTGATACATGCTGCAAATGACGCAGTAAATACAGCAGATGAGAGAGAGTCTTGGAAAGGGAGGAGGCATTGGATCCAAAATTAGAGCAAGCACTCCACATTTCAGGAAAATCTGCTAGAGTGCTCCACACAGATTTCTTAGCAAAGTTATGAATTTCAAGGAAAAAGAATCCTTCCATCATTTAGGATAAACAAGAAAAACATTTGCAAGGAGAACTGCCTGCCTCAGGCTCTGCACAGCAACCTTTGGTTCCTAAGGCCATGAGGCACCAGGCTTTGAAGGAAAGAAACCATGACTTGCAAAATTATTCACTTCCGGGATGTCACTTATTGTATGGTAAATAAACTGACCTGACAGAAAAACTTAGGGAGAACATACCCACGAACCTTTTTGGGAAAAAATATAAATAAGCTACAGTAAAATCCAACTGACTAAAGAACTGCTGAATGTCCAATGCATGTAAAGATACAACTAGTGGCTGGGCATGATGGATCACGTCTGTAATCTCAACGTTTTGGGAGGCTGAGGCGGGTGGAGCACTTGAGGCCAGGAGATCGAGACCAGCTTGGCCAACATGGCAAAACCTCGTCTCTACTGAAAACACAAAAATTAGCCTGGCGTGGTGGCGGGTGCCTGTAATCCCAGCTACTCGGGAGGTTGAGGCAGGAGACGCTCTTGAACCCGGAAGGCAGAGGTTGTGGTGAGCTGAGATCGCACCACTGCACTCCGGCCTGGGCCACAGAGCGAGACTTTGTCTTTAAAAAAACAAAAAAGATACAACTAATAACAAATAATTATAGGAATTGTGGTTACAAAAAATAATGCAAATGTTTCAGACTAAGATATTGTAAAATGATGATAATATAACTGAAGGGAGCGGCGAGGGGAGGGGAAGTGGGGCTCTGGATTCACGTTCCCTCCAGGGAGCTGGTGGACACTGTCTGAAATTGGCACAAGTCAGTAAATACTGACCACAATTTTCATCCTTTAATGTTCTTCAGAAGCTTTTTTAAAAAAAATTCATAAAGAGATCTTTGAAGAAATAGTTTACTTGAAGTTTCACGATTGCTTCAAATTCTTCTTAATTTTACTTGAATGTAAAAATTAAATAGAATATGTTCATTAATCATCTTTTTTTTTTTTTTTTTGAGATGGAGTCTCACTCTGTTGCCCAGGCTGGAGTGCAGTGGCACGATCTCAGCTCACTGCAACCTCCACCTCCCAGGTTCAAGCGATTCTCCTGCCTCAGCCTCCCAAGTAGCTGGGACTACGGGCACCCGCCACCACACCTGGCTAATTTTTGCATTTTTAGTGGAGACTGGGTTTTGCCATGTTGGCCAGACTGGTCTCAAACTCCTGATCAGTGATCCGCCTGCCTCAGCCTCCCAAAGTGCTGGGATTACAGGCATAAGCCACAGTGCCCGGCCCATTAGTCATCTTTTATAGTGAAATAACATCTTCAAAAAAGTCTCCCTCTCTCCCTTCATTTGTCCAGAGTGATGTTCAAATGCTATCAGAGATTGTTACTTCTGGAGAGCAGGATGTGCGTACTTTCTGCACCCTCAATATTGTTTTTTTCCTCCCTTATTTGTGTCCTGTTTGCCGAGTGTGGTGGTCACTTGAGTGTCCAGATCTCTTCCCGGGGCACATGATGGGGTCACGCACCTCCTGGTCCCCTTGATGCCAGGCGTGGCCATGTGGCTTTCTTTGGCCTATGCATGTAGAAATGAGATGTGAGAAAATGAGAGCTGTCACTTCAGAGGAGAGGCTTTAAAGTTACCGATATGTGGGGCTGTTTGTTACTGCAACACAACCTACATCCTTCTGACTGATACAATGAGCATGGATCATTTTATAAAAAGCCATAGAGTGTTTTTTTTTCCTAATCAGAAGGAGGAGAGAGGAGGAGGCAGAAAAGGAGGGAAGGAGGGAGGGAAAAAGAAAATTAGAAGCAAATATGCCAAAGTGTTCATGTAATTAATTTTGTGAGGTGGAAACCTGCATCCTTGTTAGTCCTTTGAAGTTTTCATATTTCTTTTCATTAAACATTTTTTTCATGAAATGAAATCAACAGTAATAGCTTGAGAGGCCACTGCCACCTCAGCACAAAGTCCCCATGATAGACACCCAAGTCCACCTGCTGGACCAAGCCTGCCACGCTGACCACCAGCCACAGACCACTTGTGGCATCCGCCAACGCTTGATACAGTCCCAGAGGAGACCCTCGAGTTAGCAGAGAGGTCGGACAGACCTCAGGCCAGACCTTCTGGGCCCTCCAGCCATGCAAGCACTGGCACCAAGGGTCTGCTCCATCTTGCACAGTTAGCCAACCTCACAATGCAAGGGCTACAGCCCCACTTGGCAAATGGCAAAGCTCACATCAGACTGGCCAACTTGTCTGAGGCTATACGGCAAGTAAGGGAGGTCAAATTCAAGCTCCGGGCTGGTCTCTAAGTCTCTCCATCCCTCATGAGGGCAGCCAGCCTCTCGGGATGGATTTAAAGTGTCATGGCTCCAGGGCCGAGAGAGCTTCCAGGCCAGGACCTGAGTGTATTCTGGGTGGTAAAAGGACCACCGGGTAGACCTTGGGGCCGGGCTGCCAAGGCCACCCTGTGAGCGAGGACAGGGGCGGCACTGGCCCAGGGCTGAGGGGCTGCGGGCAAGGCGGCTGGCACCCTGTGGGACACCAGGCATGTCGAGAGGCCCCACGGGAGGGAGGAAAGGGGCCGTTGTATGAAAGCTGGTCACAGAGCTCCTCTTTGGGGAGACTGCCCAGGATTTGCCCACACCCCAGCCCCCTTTACCCACGGCTGGTGAGAGTGTGGCTTTCCCAGAGGCCTGTTCCTAGAGGCTCCCGAGAGGGCCAAAGAGAAGACAACAGCTCAGACCACTGAGTGGGAGACAGGGGCTTTGAGAGAGGGGAATCGAGACCACACAGGGCCCTGGGCTGAGACCCTGGGAGCTGAGGAATTCCTGGTGGTGAGAATTCCTGGACCAGCTCTAAGATCAGCAATGCCGTACCAGGCTGGTGGAGGTAATTGTCCACTCCCCACCACCACGTCCCCCTATCTAGAACCTTCTGCAGAGCCTGAGGCACACCGTGGCCTATGAGAGCGGGTGCTTTAGTGCAATCAAGGGCTGGAAGCAACACTTGGGCCAAGGCAGGTGGAGACGGGAGAAGAAACCTCCAGGGCTGGATTTGAGGAGCTGGAGAGGCGCCTCCGACGCTGGCATCCCAGCAAGAGGAGACCAGGAAAGTCAGGTGTCAGAAAGTCACCAGGAGGCGGGGCCACCAAATTAGACCCAGCTGAGGAGCTGGGACAACAACCCCAGCGCCCAGCCCATCTCACCTCACTACATGCTAACGTGGTGGAGAAGAGAACACCCATAGCACAGATGAGGACACTGAGGCTCAGGGAGAAGCCAGATCTCCCCAAGGTCAACTAGCACTTAGAGTGGGGCCCAGCCCGGACTTCTAGGCCTGGGGAGTGGCAGAAGGGTCCCAGGTGTGGCTGTGACTGCGGGAGCCTCCCTCTGTGAGTGCCAATTCCCTCACCGACTTGGGGTCTCCCAAGAGGCCACCTCACCTGGCCATGCAAGGAGGAAGCAGCAGAGACCTAAACAGTCATACTCCCTCCCGGGCCTGCGGTAAGGACAAGTGAGGACCCATACCCGGGCTGAAGCTGCTCACCCTCAGCAGCGCTGGCGTCCTTGTCTGCCCACAGCTGCCCAACCGCCTCCATGAACTGGGAGGTAAAAGACGCCTCCTTCCGCACCCTGCCGGGCTGTCCTGCCTGTGACCACACTGCTGCCGACCCAAGTCCTCGCAAGGCCCTGCCCCACTCTGCAGCAGGCAGGCCCCCAATTCAGCCCCCTGTCCTTGCCCGGAGACTCTGAGACCCCAGCACCCCCTCCAGGCAACCAACCTCCAAACTGTGGCTGCGGCTCTTTGAGGCCGTATTTGCAGGCAACTTCAGAGCTAAAAATTTCAAGGCAGGTAAAGGGGAGTGGGGGTGCCCCTCCTTTTCCATCCTGCTGTTACGGCCTCCCCCTGGCACCAGGAGGCCCTGCTCACTGCATCTGGGTGTGCAGATGGGATGGAGACGCTGATACAGGGGCAGAAACAAAGCAGCAGGCAGCAGCCAGCACATGGGGAGACACAGGCTCCACAAGCACACACCGTCAGCGCCCCCACTCCCAACTCCACCAATGCAGGGCGTGGGGACACAACCAGGCTGCCCTGTGACCTGTGACCACTGGGAGAGGGCTTGGCCCTCGCAGACGCTGACCCTGAAGGCACAGTGGACCTGCCCACTGCAGCTAGAGGCTAATTTTCAGTTCTCTAAATTGGGGAGAGAAGAGCATGTGTCTCCCAGCCGTGTGGGGAGGACACAGAGGACAACCCAGAGCGGGGCTCTGTTTTCTTCAGGCACTGGGGCTGCTCCCAGAGACAGCCACGTGCAGAGAAGCAGAGATCAGTAGCTCTCAGGTCTCCATTGATGTGGGGAATCTTGACGTTAGTAGCAGGCACTTGGATATGATTTGGGGCAACTTCTCACTCAAATGCACTCTTTTAGAAGAACTTTTCATGCAGAGGCATGGCAGGGGCGGTTTTTTTATACTGAGGTTCTGGGAGTTGTAATGGTATATTTAGGACTCACTTGACCTACCCACCACCCTGAGGTTTGACACCCCTCCCATGCCCCTCCCTTGCCCACACCTGGACACAAGGAGCCCACCTCCAGACTAGGGCCAGCCCAAGCCCCTGTTGGGAAGGGAATTTGCCTCCTCCCGTGGCTGCCCCACCAAGACCAGCTCCATGCTAGAGGCCTCAGACCCGTGGTTCCCCCGCCCAGCAGAGCAGGTCAGCAGTTTGCAGCCATCGCAGCCCTGAGCCTGCTCTCCTCCAGGCTGGCCAGCCCCTCCACCATCACTCAGGGGACACTTAACTCTCAGGCCCCCTCCTATAGCAAAGCTTCCAACCTCCGGCATTTATGGAGAAAATGATTTCCTGATCAAATATTCATGGGCCTGCCAAGCTTAAAATAGGTCTAAAAGGAAGGAGGGCAATTTTTGTCCAGCACAAATGCTTGATGAGGTGACGTGAAACCACGGGGCTGGCTTCTCCGTGCTGTCCCTCTGCCCATCCCCCACACCACCAAAGGCCCCGAGACACTGAGCAGGGTGGGCCTCACAAGCATGTGATCTGTGCAGCTACCCAGGGCCTGTGCAGTGCTTAGCCTTCTGTGGTTTGTGACCATTCTTTTTGTTTCTTTGTTTTGAGACAGGGTCTCGCTCTGTTCCCCAGTCTGGAGTGCAATGATGTGAAATTGGCTGACTGCAGCCTCAACCTCCTGGGCTCTAGCAATCCTCCCAACTCAGCCTCCACAGTGGCTGGGACTACAGGCACACACCACCACCCCTGGCTAACTTTTGTATGTTTTGTAGAGACGGCGGGAGGGGGGGGTCTCCTTATGTCACACAGGCTGGTCTTGAACTCCTGGCCTCAAGTGATCTGCCTGCCTCAGCCTCCAAAAGTGCTGGGATTACAGGAGTGAGCCACCGTGCCCAGCCTGTGGCAATTCTGAAGCAAGAGGCCCTTGCTTCATGCTGACCCCACCCCACCAATGATGAAGTGGTCCTGGCTGTCCGGGAGACACCTGCCCTCCAGACCCTGGGGACACAAAGGCAGTCCTCTCAGACTGGGCAGAAGGAAGGTGAGAACCATAGTTTCCGATGTGCTATCACCTCACTTCATCCTTAACCAGCCCTGCGAGATCAAAACAACATTCACAGAACAAAGGCCTTCATCCCTGTGTACTGGACACCCACTGTGCATGGCAGGTGCCTAGGTCACCTTGAAAGACCTCCAACAGCCTTGGAGTTGTGGAGATGGGGCGCATGGTGAGGGGACCATGGAGGCTGAAGACGGGGGCCAGGACCAGGCCAGCAACCACGGTGACAAGTGACTGGATTCTAGAGTGACAGGACCACTCTTTGTCAGTGGCTGCAAGCCCAGGATCCCTCTGCACTCCTCCGTTTCACATACCCTGTGTCCAGTTGATCAGAAAATACTTTCAGGTCTACTTGCAGATTTCTTTAGGATCCAGTCACTTGTGGCCGGGCGCAGTGGCTCACGCCTGTAATCCCAGCACTTTGGGAAGCCAAGGTGGGCAGATCACCTGAGGTCAGGAGTTTGAGACCAGCCTGGCCAACATGACGAAACCCCATCTCTACTAAAAATACAAAATTAGCTGGGCGTGGTGGCACATGCCTGTAATCCCAGCTACTTGGGAGGCTGAGGCAGGAGAATCGCTTGAACCCAGGAGGCAAGATTGCAGTGAGCCGAGGTGGCACTATTGCACTCCAGCCTGGGCAACAAGAGCAAAACTCCATTTCAAAAAAAAAAAAAAAAAAAATCCAGTCACTTGTCAACCATGTTCCCTGACCTGGCCCAGGTCCCTGTCTTCAGTCTAGGTTGTCCCCGACCCCCGCCATCCCCAGTCTCTCTCCAGTCATGGCCCACAGTGTAGCCACATCTCAGGGGCCGACCACCTCCCTCCTCACCTACTCATAGTAAAGCCAAAGTTTGTAGGAGGCCCTGACGCCCCACTTCCTCCTGCCCCCTCCCACCCCTAGGCAGCCTCAAAGCTCCTTCCCTCACCTCCCTATTGTGACTGACCTGGAGGGGAAGAGGCTGGATCATGGAGGACCTTATAGCCCCAACAAGGATGTGGCTTTTTCCTGAACAAGTTTCAGCTGCTTACATGAGACTCAGGCATTAAAGGGTGGCAGGTGCTGTGGCGGGGAGCACATAGCAGGGGGTGCCGGACGGCAGGAAGACCTGTTGGGGATATTGCAAAAATCCAAGTAAGCCATGAGGACGGCTCAGCCCAGGGTGAAGACCGTGCAGGTAGGAAGATGGGGCCTGATTCTGGCCACGTATTTTGCAGACAGATTTGCAGGTGGGTCATCTGTGGATGTTAGAGAGAGGGAGACATCAAGGACGACCCCCAGATTTTTGGTTTGAGCCACTGGAAGGTTGGAGCAGGTCTGGGGGGACAGCAGGAGTGGAGGGGGCCATGGGAGTCCACCCCCAGACACCCAGATGGGTACATGGAGCTGGCAGTGATGTGTGAGTTTAGGAGTCAAGGGAGAGGTCTGGGCTGGAGATGGATTCAAAGGCTGCCAGGTGCATGTGAGCCAGGCACTTGGAGGGGCTTCCAGGGAGGAATGAGGGAAGGGAGAGAAGAGACCTGAGGGCTGGGCCTGCGGGGCGTGCCTGTGGTCAGAGGTCACAGAGATGGGAAAAGCAGCGGCAGGAACCAGCAGGGAGTGGCCAGAGCCGGGCAGTGAGTCGTACAAGCTGGTGTTTTGCGATTCAAAGCCGGGCTTTGGGGAGGGGGAGAATGATTTGGGAAAAGCAGCATGCAGCGAGGGGAAACCTTGTCCCAGCTCCAGGCCCAGGAAAAGGGGGCGTGGGGGAGGAAAAGAGATCCCCTCGAGGGCTGCTACGCACGCAGGGTCTTCAGGGACAGTGCGTGAGAGATGAAGGACAGAGTAAAGAGAAAAGGGTGAAAATCACAAATTTTGCTGATAGGCCAGGCAAGGTGGCTCATGCCTGTAATCCCTGTACTTTGGAGGGCCGAGGTGGTGGATCACCTGAGGTCAGGAGTTCAACACCAGCCTGGCCAACATGATGAAACCCTGTCTCTACTAAAAATACAAAAAATTAGCTGTGCGTGGTGGCACACGCCTGTAATCCCAGCTACTCAGGAGGCTGAGGCAGGAGAATTGCTGCAACCCAGGAGGCAGAGGTTACAGTGAGCCGAGATCGAGCCACTGCACTCTAGCCTGGGCAACAAGAGGAAAACTCTGTCTCAAAAAAAAAAAAAAGAATTTTGCTGATAAAAACACTGACTGAACTAGTGAATGAGTGAATGAATGATGAAACACAAGTTTGGAGAATGAAATAACAGTACCCGCCCGCACCTGGGCCAACCCCCAGCCGTTCCCCATCCCCAAAGCCCCTCTGATGGAGCCTGGGCAGCCGTGCTGTCATTTAGGCTGTTTTTTCTGGTTGTTATCCCACGCAATTGCTTGCAGCTTCTCCTAGGAGACCACCAAATGATGACGCAAATGTCGCCCTGCTCCGCGGCGGAAGCAATCACCGCGGCTGTTGGTGTGGATCTGCTCAGCCATCACTCTGCCCTCTGCCTAATGGAGCAGCCCTTTCGCCAGGGTCATTTAACAGCCAGGCTGACATTTATATGGCAGGCAGTTAGCGGCGAGGAAATGAGACTTGCGCCCGTTCCTGACAGCTTCCCGCCTGACTCAGGCAGGGTCACACTTGAGCGAGCTGGTAATCTCTCCTTGCCAGAAGTCGGGGCAGAGGGGGTAGGGGAGCTCTCAGCGGGGGGCACAGGAGGGTGCCTGGGAAGCTTCTGGCAGGTGAATGCGATTCCGTCACCATCTGACATGAGCCCTTCTGCTGCTTCTCCCATGAAACAGCGTCTTGTTGTTCTGAAACACACTCTTGCATTTATTGTCTAATATGATCACAGAGAGGACAGCGTGGCCCTCTCTCTTCATCCCTTAGGGTGAATATCCCAGGGGCGTTCGCAGGTCATACCAGGAGAGTCCTGGGATACTCACCCTCGGGGATGAAGGGAGAAGAAGGCTCATTCCCCTGTTCTGATCTGCACCAGCCCTGGCTTACTAACAGGTGGGGTTGCTGGCCCTGATTGTGGGAACTGCCCCCGTAACCCTGCAACCCAGCCTGCAGCTGCCTGGACAAGCACAGCAAAATGACACCCTGAGAGCCTGAGAGGACAAAGCCGATTCTTTGGCCCCATTAGCCCAGGACCCAGTGCACCTTCTCCACCGTCACACCCAACAGAGGGGCACCAAATCCCACCCCTTCGACAGTGTTGACCAGCAGGACCCCGGCCAGCTTTGGTGGACAATGAGCAGCACCTAGGACGGTGCCCACTGCAGGCCCACAGCGGTGGCTTCTGTGACTTTAGTGGGGTCACCAGCCACCACAGCAGCGCAGGGCAGGCTTTGTCCTCCAGGACAAAGGCTGGGACAGCCACTTGAGCCGTGCTCTTCCCCGACTGGCTCTATCCAGTGAGAGGCCAGTACCGGGCGAGGCTGGGGACAAGCAGGACACCAGAAGCCAAGAAGGCCAGACCCGGAGGGCACAGCCTCCTACCCAGGGAGCTCATCCCAGCAATGTGGGAGCAGCCCTGCCCAGAGAGGGAGAGGGAAAGGGCCTGGCCTGGGGACACACAAGCAACTTAGGGCAGGCCGGAGCTGAGAGCACTCAGGAACGTGGCTGGGGGAGGGAGGGTGTGCGTGCTCGGGCAGGGGCAGGAGGCTGCAGGGTCGGGTGAGGGAAGCACCAACTGTGTGCCCATTCAACCTTTACATCAGCCCACTCCCCAGATGAGGAGGATGAGGTAGGAGTCAGGAGGCTTGCCTGACTCAATGGCCCGGGACAGGTCCGAGTGGGTGCCCAGCTCCCCATTCCTGTCCATGGCCCACACATCTGCACGCGCCCTGCATTCCCAGCACTGGGCTCCTTCTGAAGTGGTCAGGAGCCATCTGTACACCCCCCAGGCCCCGCACCAGCCCCCTCTGGGGTCATCAGAACAAGCAGTGGTGCTTTCCAAAGTAGGCCGTGGGTTTCCACAGCACCAGGTCACACCAACTCGAAGGGTCCCTGATGAGGGTGTGGAGGCTGCCACCAGGAAGCCCCTCTGCATCGGCCCCCTGCCGTGAGAGCCTGGCCAAGTCCTCTCACCTCTCGCAGCCTGGGTCCCCCACCCGTAGGACGGGGCCATTAGAGAATCTACGCCCAGGACATTGTGAGGACTGGATGCGCCAATGTCTGAGGCAGTGCATTAAGAAATGCCAGGTGCCGGGCAGATGTGGGGGATTGTTCCTAGGACTGGGGTGTTGCCATGGTGACGGGCACTCCGTGTTTAGCGGGTAAACATTCCCAACCCACTGGAGCAGCTGTTCCTGTCTCATCTGACATCTCGAAACAGGCACGGCCTCAGCACAGCAGTGATGGGAAGGTGGAAACAGCCTGTCCCGGTTGAGCGCAGGGCACCCCGTCCAGGGGAAGGCTCTTTAAGGCTCCTTCCTCCAGAGAACGCTAGGCAGTGGTTCTGCTGTTAGCTGCCGTCCAGAACCTCCCCCCAGGACTGGAACTCACCCTGTTTAGTGCTGCTTAGACCCAAACACAACCCCTCCCACATTCCATCTCCACCTGGGACAGAATGCCTCCCCCGCGTCTCCTGGGGCCACGAGGTGACCCAGCCCCTACCCCTCAGTGAGAGGAACCCACCCATGCAGTGATTGAGGGAAAGAGGTCCTGACAATGCAGCGAGCTCAGAGCTTGGGGGCGGACACCAAGTTCTCTAGGGCCCTGACCATGGAAACTTCCAGATCCTGGGTTTACAGGAAACAGCCGCCAAGAGGGAGAACTTAGGATCCTGCAACGTGCGTTGCCCTGCTCGCCACCCTGGATCCTCACCCAACTTCCTTGCTGTAAAACAGGGATCATTCATGCTCTACAAAGCTGCAGCACCAATGAGACCAGGACCATGGCACAAAAGGCACAGTGCCCGGCCCCAGTCCGTGTCAACAAACTGTAGCCAGCTGAAGGTGGTTTTGTGAATCCTGTGAGGCTGCTGGTGGAGGGGAAGCATCACTAAGCCCATTTCGTAGACTTGGTAATTCATGTGTTCCAGATATACCCACTGAGGCCGTCCAGGTAGGCCCTGAAGACTCAGCAACAAATGGCCAGCCCCACCCCACTGGGGGACAGAGAAAGCCTGGACAGACACACAGACGGGGTGCCCTTCACAAACGGATGCCACAGGGACATCGGAATACAGTGGACTGTGAGTATCTATTAAAAGCCATCCTCAGAGGAGCCCTTCTGCCTCTGTCATCAGAAGCCCTAAGACATCATCAAGAAAAAAAGAAAGGAAAATAAGGAGAAGAAGAGGCTGCTAAGAAGAGGAAGGAGGGGAGAAGAGGAGGAGGAAGAAGGGGAAGAAGAAAAGGCAGGTTTCCAGAACCTCCATATTTCCAAAGTGAGCTCATCTTTGGACCCATAGCCCAGCCACCTCCCTGGGGAAGCAGTGTGGGGAGCTGAGAAGCCAGAGAGGGGGTTCCCTGAGCACTGGGGACACTCAGGCATTTCCCCCACCCCTGGCCATGGGGGAGACAAGTGGGTCCTTCGCCTTGACCTTAGCCTGGTGAGAAGGCAAAACTGTTCCCCACAGTTTGGGGTGCACAGCAGGTGCAAAGACCCTAGGGTGGTGCTGTGCTCGCCCAGGGAACAGCAAGTCCTGGGGTGGATCCAGTGGGGTGGGGAGGCCCTGGGGAGGGTGAGGAGGCCAGGAGCCGGAGCTCAGGCCCTGAGGCCCCCAAAGACCACGGTGAAGACTTGGGGAGCAGCTGGAGAATGCGGAGGCCATGTGGCAGGGCCTGCTGTGTACCCCAACAGGCCACTCTGACCGCTGTGTGGAGGAGACTGCCCGGGTTAAGGGTGGCAGCAGGGGCCCCTGCAATGAGGCCGGTGTGGCCACACAGAGGCTGAGCAGTGGCTCCCCCGGGGTATTCAGAAACCAGGACCCATGGGACTGGCTGTGAGCTGAGGACCCTGAGGCCCAGGGAGGGGACATGGCCTCCCTCCAGCCCTAGACGCTCTTTTCCAGATGAGTGGGACCCAGGTTGCAAACCCTGGCAGAGACAGGATGCTCCTGCCAGCAATATTTGCAAATTGTGTTTTAATTAGTTGAAAATGATTAGCTCTGTAGCTTCAAAGCCCCGAAGACTTTGATTCCCGCCTCTCGTGGAAAAACACCAAGTGGCTGTGAGTTAGAGCAGGAAGAGGGAGGGAAGCTGGGTTCCAGGGGTGCCCAGGCCCGGGCAGCTCCAGGGCTTGGCCTGCCCTTGGCTGGGGAGCCTCCAGCTTTCCCGGTCCCTGGCCTCAGGGGGTCAGAACCTGGTGGGACTTTTGCACAGGCTGAATAGGGGCAGTCCCACCAACACAGCAGCTGTGTTTCTTTTTTTTTTTTTTTTTCCGAGACGGAGTCTCGCTCTGTCACACAGGCTGGAGTGCAGAGGTGTGATCTCGGCTCACTGCAACCTCTGCCTCCCAGGTTCAAATGATTCTCCCGCCTCAGCCTCCTGAGTAGCTGGGATTACAGACACATGCCACCAAACCCTGCTAACTTTTTTGTATTTTTACCCAGGTTTCACCATGTTAGCCAGGATGGTCTTGATCTGCTGACCTCAAGTGATCTGCTGACCTGGGCCTCCCAAAGTGCTGGGATTACAGGCGTGAGCCACCGTGCCCAGCTGGCAGGTGTTTTTGTGTGTGTGCTTTTTTTTTTTTTTTTTTTTTTTTTTACCACAGGTGTTCAGTGAGTGTCTCCTTCACACTAAGGACTGTCCCAGAGTGTTGGTGAGGAAAGCCACAGCCAGCCCTGGCCTTGAGGAGCTTGTAACTCAGTGCAGGGGACAGACAGAGGAACACACAAATGTCACACAGAATCTGCACCGTGGTGAGTCCCACAGGGACAGTAGGTGTCTCCAGGAAAGCAACTTTGACAGAGCAGTCACAAAGGGGTCTCAGAGGGGGAGGCCTCTCAGCTGAGACCTGAAGGCTCAGAAGAAGCAGCGTGTGCAGAGAAAAACCACAGCAGCCGGCACATGCAGAGAAAAACCACAGCAGCCAGCGGTCACACGCATGGCCGGAGCATCGGCAGAACCGGATCACACAGGTCAACCCTTCATTTCGCAAAGGGCGTCCCCACCCGCCTTCTCACAGTAATGCTGTGGGGAACGTGTTTTTAATCCCTATTTTACAGATAAGAAAAGTCGAGGCTCTGGGAGGTGAAATGACCCCCACAAATCTCAGCACTCTGGACCCACTCCCAGGACTGTGTCCCTCTACGTGCCACCAGCCCACTCTCTCCAGGGACCCCCAGACTTAGCCCAGAAGGGTTTCTCTTCCTCTCCCTTGGCCACTTGGAGAAGCACCAGCTCAGCCAAGCCATGGCTGGGAGAAGGACTGGAGCGTCCGGCCACCTCCTCTCTCTGGGGCAACTGCAGCAGCCCCTGGCCAGCCCTCCCTGCGTCAGCTCAACCCTGACCCAAGGCAATGGGGGCAATGGGGAGGGTCTTCTCCAAACAGAAGCGCTGCTGGCAACAGAATTGAGCTGAACAGGGGAGACATGGCCCCATCTCTGCACTCACACGCTGGGGGAACTTGGCCAAATTCTGTCCCCGGTTTCCCATGCTAGATAACAAACTACCACAAACTTCACAGCTTCACACAGCCCTCGTGAGCCCGCAGCTGTGCAGGTTGAAAGTCCAGCCTCAGCATGACTGCGTCTCCACCCAGGGTCTCAACAAGGCTAAAATGGGCCGGGTGCAGTGGCTTACGCCTGGAATCCCAGCACTTTGGGAGGCTGACGTGATAGGATCACTTGAGCCCAGGAGTTCAAGGCCTGCCTGGGCAACATAGCAAGACCCCACCTCTAGTGAAAATAAAAATCATCCAGGCATGATGGTGCGTGCCTGTGGTCCCAGCTACTCCAGAAGCTGAGGCAGGAGGATAGCTTGAGCCCAGGAGGTGGAGGCTGCAGTGAGCTCTGATTGTACCACTCTACTCCAGCCTGGGCAACAGAGCCAGACCCTGTCTCTCAAAAAATAAATAAATAAATAAATAAATGTAAATAAAATGAAAGAATGATAATGGTGATGATGATAACAATAAACAAAGGCTATAATCAAGGTGTCTTCCCGCTGTGTTCGCATCTGGAGCTCAGAAACCTGTTCTAGCCTCAACTGCATGCAGTAGAATCCAGGTCCTCCAAGCATGGAATTGAGTCCCCGTGTTCTTGCTGGTCAGAGCCTCCCTTAGTTGCTAAAGGTGCCATCCCTCTTTGTCATGTGGTCCCTCCATCTTCAAAGCCAGCCTTGGAGAAGCTCTGACATGTCAAATCCTCCCACACTTTGAATCTCTCCCGTCTCGAGGGTCCAGTCTCTTTACAGTCTCACCTGCTCACCTGATCAGGTCAGGCCCACCAAGATGAACCACCTTTTTTTTTTTTTTTTTTTTTGAGACAGGGTCTCAGTCTGTCACGCAGGCTGAGTGCACTGGTGCAGTCATGGCTCACTGCAGCCTTGGCTTCCTGGGCTCAAGCAATCCTCCTGCCTCAACCTCCCGAGTAGCTGGGACTACAGGTGTGCAGCAACACACCTAGCTAATTTTTTAAATTTTTTTGTAGAGATGAGGTCTTGCCATTTGCCCAGGTTGGTCTCAAACTCCTGAGCTCAAGCAATCCTCCTGCCTCAGCCTCCCAAAGTGCTGGCTGGGACTCCAGGCATGTACCACCACGCCCTGCCTAATCATCCTCTCTCTTAAGGGCAACTGATTGGGGTCTTAACTGTATCTGAAAAACCCCTTCACAGCAGCACCTAGATTTGTATCTGACTGAATAACTGGGAGGAGGATGCATCCATCAGGGGCGGAAATGTGGAGGCCATGTCAGCATTCCACCCCATACATCCCCCTCTGAGGGGATGCTAGACCCTCAAGATCTGCCCTCCTTCCCAACCTGCTTTGCAAATGCGCAAAAGCCAGATGCCAGCATCTACAGTCAGCAAATGCCCCCCCCCCCCACATCACTTTGTATCTCTGTGGAACTCCCCTCATTTCTTTTGAGGGGTGGGAGAAAACAAGTCCCAACATTTAGAACCCTCCAGAGCTCTCAGCAGCCATGAAGCTCCAGACCAGCTGGAAATGGTCTCTCCCACTCCAGCATATGCTCAGGCCCTTGGAGCAATTGTTACATAGCCCAAGCAGAACCTTCTTTAAGGACTAATTTTTTTTTTTTAATTTTTGAGATTGAGTCTTGCTCTGTTGCCCAGGCTGGAGCACAGTGGTGCTAACATGGCTACTGCAGCCTCGACCTCCCTGGTTCAAACGATCCTCCCACCTCAGCCTCCCAAGTAGCTGGGACTACAGAAGCCGCCACCATGCATGGCTAATTCTTTATTTTTTGTAGAAACAGGGTTTCACCATGTTGCCCAGGCTGGTCTCAAACTCCTGGGATCAAGTGATTGTCCCACCTTGGCCTCCCAAAGTGCTGGGATTACAAGCATGAGCCACTGTGCCTGGCCAGTAATTTTAAAGTATGATATATGGCCAGGCACAGTGGCTCACACCTGTAATCCCAGCACTTTGGGAGGCCGAGGCTGGCAGATCACTTGAGGTCAGAAGCTTGAGACAAGCCTGGCCAACATGGTGACACCCTGTCTCTACTAAAAATACAAAAGTTAGCTGGGCGTGGTGGCGTATGCCTGTAGTCCCAGCTACTCAGGAGGCTGAGGCAGGAGAATGGCTTGAACCCAGGAGGCAGACGTTGCAGTGAGCCGAGATCTCGCCATTGCATTCCACCTTGGGCAACAGAGTGAGACTCTGTCTTTAAAATAAATAAATATGAGTTTGCTGAGGCTGCCATAACAAAGTACCACAGGCTGGGACTTAAGCAACAGAGATTTATTTCCTTACACTGAGATCAAGGTCAGCAGGGTTGGTTTCCCCTGTGGCCTCTCCCCTTGGCTTGTAGATGCCACCTTCTCCCTATGTCCTCACACGGTTGTCCCACACTAATATGTCTGTGTCCTAATCCAATAGGACTGGTGTCCCTATCATCTTCTCTTCTTATAAGGACACCGGTCCTATTGGATGAGGGCCTGCTCCAGTGACCCCATTTAACTATAATCGCCTCTTTAAAGACCCTGTCTCCAAATGCAGTCACACTCTGAGGGCCTGAGGATGATGACTTCAGCATAGAATTGGTGGGGCCTGGGGACACAGTTCAGCGCATGGCACACAACCCCTCATTGTTCCAGAAATCTCTAAAGTGCAAACGAATGTTCAGTTCTTATTACCGTTGGCTCTCCAACAGCTGCAATCGAGGGTGCTCCCAAGCAGGCCACAGATGCAGAAAGGTTCCCTTACAAACAGGCCAGCACAGAAGGCTAAGGATCCTCCTTTTTCAAGGAGGAAAAAAATGGTTTTTTGTGGTTCACACATAAGGAGAACTCACAGACTCAGTTTCACAACTTTAACCATGAGTCACAAGTTAGCACAGGACACAAAAACCCACTGGGCGGCTGAAGCGGCTGCAGAAACGCGGAGCTCCGCGAGCCCCAGAGACCTCAAGGGGCTGCTCTCTGCTCCAGCCGCACAAGATGCATTTCGGGAGTGATTTTCACTCATTGAGATTCAACAAGATCAACATAGAGGACCCTGCCCGCGATGGAAAAGACACACAATATACACAGGTGGTGAGGATGAGACCGGGGCGCCCTCCCAAGCCCACGGTCAGGACGGGCGGCCCTCGAGCCGACCAAACCAGAATCTTGGGACCCATGATCAAGCGGTGGGTGTTGCTAATGCTGAAGATAGCAGGATCCTCAAGGCAAACAGACCCACACAGGCAAAAAACAAAAAGGCCCAGATTCCCCGTGTCTGCCACCCAGCAGGGAGCCCGGGGGGTGCACTGAAGCCGCTTCCCCCAGAAATGCAGCAGCCGGGCTCCAGAGGCACGTGTCAGAAACCACACACATACACACACACACGTGGTACATGCCACATATCACACACATACACCACATACATCATACACACACCACACACATCACATACCACACATGTCACACACATACACCACATACACCATACACACACCACACACATCACATGGCACACACCACATATCACATGCACACACCACATACACCATACACACATACACCACGCACACACCACAGGCCACACACCACATATCACACACATACACCACACACACCATACACCACACATTACACACACATGCACCACACACATATACCACACACATACCATATAGCACACATATACCATACACACATCCCATGCCACACACCACAAACCATGTGCCACATATCACATGTCACACACACACACCATGTACCACATACATCGTACACCACACACACCCTGCACACACACACCACATATCACATACACACCACACACACATCACACATCACACACACATCAAACACACACACACCACACACACACACACCATATACCACACAGATACCACACACACACACACATACACACATACACAGCCCTTCTCTTGCTGCATGAGTCCACCCTGGGGAGGAGGGGCATGAGGGCACAGAGAGCCCACAAGATGCACTTCTGAGGCCACACACACAGCCCCATGGTCTGGAGCCTCAGCCTCATGGGCATGTAGCGTGTGTGCGTGTGTGTGTGTGTGGTTTCTGACATGTTTGCCCCTGACTGGAGCCTGGCTGCTGTATTTCTGGGGGAAGTGCCTTCGGTGGCCCCGCATGCTCCCTGCTGGGTGGCAGACAGGGGGAATCTGATCCTTGCCAGAGGATCAGATCCAGCAGTGGACGATACTCAGAGAAGAAGGTTTGCAGACTCAAGGGAGCCCAGACGCAGAAAGGACGGCTTGCCCAATAAAACACACAGCAGGTGTTTAGAGGAAAAAACAAGCCCCAAGATCGCCAAGCATCCTGGGTTCACTGCTTAAGATGGAAGAGGTGCAGCTCTCCTCTGTGAGGATGATATTTGCAAAGGTTGCCAAAGGTCTGCAGACACTCAGCGCCAAAAGGCAGGGCCGTTAGGGGAAGCAGCGGCCTCTGCGAAGACTCCAGGTGTCCTTTACTTGGGGGACTGGAACCAGACAGGCAGCCCTTTGTGCTGTCACTGTGGTTTGGGGATGTTCCATCTCTGCTGCAAGCTGCCACTTTTTCCTCCTTCCTGAGGGTGGGGTGTGATGGCCACACTTACTCAGCTGGAAGGAGGGCAACTTGTCAGTTTTGATTTCGTGAAGACCAAGGAAGAAAAGCTGTGAGATGCTGTTTCTGGGCAAAGGGATATCGCTTTTCATTCAGCAAATACCCGCTCGTCTCCCAGATGCCAGGCAGAGCGGGAGCACCCAGAGAGAGGGCGCCTGGAGGGGAGGCTCTGGACGGGGTGGATTTCCCACCAGTAGACCACAGGCAGTCTGGAATTCTAGATGTCACCTCCTGGACTGCCTGAGTTGGCAGAGCCCTTAGAGGTCATCTCACCCAATTTCGCCATTGTCTATTTGGAAAACTCAAATAGACAATGCCCAGAGGAAGGAAGCAATGTGCCCTTTGTCATCAAGCGAGGTAGTGGCAGGAGCAGGGTGGTGCTCGGGCTTGCCGTTGTCCCGCCCAGCGAGCTGGCCACGGTGGTACTGGGCCTCTCAGAGCAGGGCAGCATCCCCCAGGGGCTGTGAGCAGCACCTCCCCTGCCCGGGAGGGGAAAGAGCTAAATTCTCACTTAGCAGCAGGATGCTTCTGGGCCTCATTACGATGGTGCAAATTAATATTTATCATGCAATTATTCATCTTTGTAATTGCTAGTATTTCAAAGGGAGCGCAGAGGCTTTCATTAGAACACTTGGAACGTTATTCAGATGAAATGTCAAAATGAGCAGCGTCCCTCTCCACACTGGCAGCCCCTGTGTCCAGCTGCCTCCAGAAGGTTCCCAGCACCGGGGTCCACACAGCCGTGTTGCTGCCACTTCCAGGTGCTGGCTTGGGGTTTGGGTCCATTTGTTAGAAATCTTGACTTCTGGAAACCTGGGGGCATCTGAAGCCAGAAACTCGAGATTCAAAGGGCCTGGTGGACGTGGGACTCCATGAACATGAGCAGCAGAGCCTCTGAGGGCAGAGACAGGACAGTGTCATCAGGAGCCCCCACATCCTGCTGCCCCTCTGCACCCACCTGGCCGGCCTCCCTGCCTCGCACCCTCACCCCCTCCGGCCACATGCAGCTTGTGGCTTCCCTCCCTTCCCCTCCCTCCTACCTGGAGGCAGGTCTCCTTACACCCTGCCTCCAAGCCCACCACCAGGTGTGCCCGCCAGGGCTCTACCCTCCTACCACCTCCAAGCCCACCACCAGGTGTGCCCGCCAGGGCTCTACCCTCCTACCGCCTCCAAGCTCACCACCAGGTGTGCCCACCAGGGCTCTACCCTCCTACAGCCATCCAGCAAACATTTTAAGGTGTCTCTTGCCCTTTGAGGTCCATAGAACACTTTCAAATATTGGATGTTTCGTGGCAACCTAAGAGGATAAGAAGGTGGGCTCCAGTGGTGAAAAAGCAAGATTTGGAAAACGGAGACCCCCTCGCCCAGGGGTAGCAGTGCCTAGGCCACCTGCAGCATTGACATCAGCAAACTGCCAGGGAGGAGAGTGGAGGCTGCAGAACAGTCAGGTGCAGGCAGGGGCCCAGGGAGGAGGCGAGACCTGAGCAGGGGTGGAGCAGAGGGATGGCCGGTGGTGGGGAAGGAGGATGGGGATGGAGGAGGAGGAGGGTCAGACATGGCGCCCAGTGCCTGGCCTGGGCAGCTAAAACGGCAGCCCCAGGGGAGATGGGAGGCTCAGCCTGCGGTGAACTGAGGGGCCCGGGGCTTCCTCGGGGGATGCCAAGGCTGAGGATGCATGGGGGTTGCAGGAGGGCACAGGCAGAGGCTCAGATGAGAGAGTCGGGGTCGTGGAGATACCAGGAGCCATCAGAATTTGAGTTGACCCAGAGAGAGGCACAGAAAGAGCGGAGGCAGCCGGGACAGGCCCCGAACACACACGGCCAAGAGGAGGCCTGGGAGGGGCATTCAGAGGGAAGGGGCCTCAGAAATGGGGCAGAAAGGAAGGTTCTAGACAGCAAAGGGGCACAGGGTCAGGTGCGGCAGGGAAGGGAGGTGTGGGTACAAATGCGGTCCCCTAAACAGGTTGAGATCCTCACCCCCAGCACCTGTGAGTATGACTTTAAAACCTCACCCGACGGAATCCAGGAGGTGGGAGAGTGTTCTGGAAACAGCAACATCCCCCACAAACGAAGCTTCAGTGACTTCCTTGGGGCCCCTAAGTTCTGAAGGCTCTGGATGTCTGAGACTGGGTCCCAGCCACAGCAGCCTCTCCCGATCCTAAGGCACTGCTAGAGGACCCCTTGGTGATGCCCCATTTCCCTTCCCCGCCCGACTTACGCTCCCAGGACCAGCAACAACAGCTAGAGTGAGGTATATTCCTAGAGCTCTGTCGTTTAACCCTCACGGTGGCCGAGTGGGCAGGTGTGATGATTTGCGCATCTCCCAGGGAGGAAACCCACACATATCAGGGGAACCACAACTTCTCCCAGCTCAGAGAGACAGAGCTGAGCCCTCACCTGCTGGCTGTCAGGTCAGGCCAGCCTCCCACTCCATGACACAGAACGGACCTGAGGGGACCCCTCGGTGAGGCAGGCCTGGGCTCCAGTGCCGGCCCTCTCCCGCTGTGTGGCCTCGGGGAAGCCTCTTCCCCTGTCTGAGCCTCTGCATTCTCATCTGTAGAATGGGGATGCTCTGTCCTGCCTTCCAGAGCGTTGCTGATATCAGAATCCAGGTGTGGAACTTGGGCAGCAGAGTAGCGCCGGTGCCCTCCAGGCCAGCCCATTCTGTCCAGGCTCCAGTTCGGCAGTGGACTCCTCCTGCCCTGACCCTCACCCTCCATCCGCCTGTTTCCCGGGGTACGCTAGTCACCACGCTAAGGATGCCCTGGGGCCAGATACCCTTATGCCCCACCTCCAAGCCCACCAGGTGTGCCTGCCAGTGCTTCACCCTCCTGGGGCTCCACAGGCATCTGGCACCTTGAACCCAGCAGGGCCCCTGGAGACAAAACCCTCATCTACCTTTCACTTAAGCAGGGCCAGAGAGAGGCAGCCTCCTTTCCTTTGCTTTTCAACTGCTCCCAAACCAGCCCCGAAGCAGCCTGCCATGAGGCCCAGACAGCCTGTCCCATCCCAGCCCAGGCAGGATTAATATGCATGTATGGTAATCAGCGAAGCCCAGCAATTTGCATAACAATCAGAGGGAGTGTCCCCTCTCCTGGACTGCTTCCAAGGGCAGCTCCCACCCTGGTTCCCCACAAGACAGCAGGGGAGGGTATGATGGGGCCCCTGGACCCCCCAAGTGCTAGACCGGTGGCCTGGCTTTCAGCCCTGGAGGCTTCAGCCTGGAGAGGGCGGGATAGGTGGGGTACGGGGGTCCTTGGGCAGGGGAAGATACCAGTGAGACACTCATCTGACTGTCTCCAGAACTGTTTCCCGCATTCTTGAGGCCATGCTGGGGAAGCAGGAGAGAAACAAGGGTGTGGCCTCTCCTGGGCCTGCGTCCTGGGGAGGTGTGGAGTTGGGGGGCTCCGGGAAGGGACTCTGCTCGCCTCATCGAGGGGGCCTCTCCTGGGCCTGCATCCTGGGGAGGTGTGGAGTTGGGGGCTCTGGGCAGGGACTCTGCTTGCCTCATTGAGGGAGCCTCTCTTGAGCCTGAAAAATTGGGAAGGTGCCAGGACTCCCTTATAAGGTCGTTTGCCCTTAAGGAGATGGAGGAGAGTGTGTTCTGGAAGCAGCACCGTCCCCCATAAATGAAGCTTCTTATGACTCGGCTGCTTGGCCAACCTCACGGAGCCCCTTCCTTGGGCCCCTGGGGACACAGAGATGCCTGGGCATGGCCCCATCCCTTCTTAAGGGCTCGGCAGAGAGCAGCCAGGCCCTGCAGATCACCCTCATGCACGGGCCAGTCCAAGGTTTCCAGCATCTTGGTAGCTCTGCAGGCAGCGCCCTTCCCCGAGGGGGTCTTAGGCTGTCCCTCCGAACAGATCCCCACTTGCAGGAGGCTGGGCTCTGCTCTCCAAATGCTTGTCCATAATAATGAAACCCTTGCACATCTGCCCAGCACCTAGGAGCTGTCCAGAGTACCACCACATCCCGACCCCTATCACCCCGTGACGGCCCCTCAGTGGGCACTGGAACAGTGGAGCTCAAAGAGGAAGGATCTGGTGCCACCACGCCCCACCCCAGATCAGAGGTAGGAAAACCCAGGACTCAAGAGAGCTGGTCCAGGCCCTGCCCACCATGTCCATCACCCAGCCATCCATGGGCACAGTATGAGCTGGCCCAGGCCCTGCCCACCACGCCCATCACCCAGCCACCCACTGGCACAGTGCCCAACCACTCTTCTCCCCCGCCCCCTGCCTACTCTACTCAGTGACCAGATGAATCTTCTAGCTCCTCCTCTGCCCTGACCTCAGGTGACAAGCTGTGGCTTGCTGGGGAAGCCCAGTGGCTCACCGGGCACCAAAGCCCTCCCTGCAGGTGAGGACCAAGGAGCCCACCCAGCTGGTGCGGAGGCAGGAGGGACACGTCTGCCCTGCACTCTGAATCATGCAGGCATTTGATCCTTAATAACAATATGAGGAGGAGCTGTATCAAGTCTCAGGGTTTTTATGGGCCAAAAGTGATCCCACATTGGCAATTTCGTATAGTTCAATGTGATCATAATTATTAAGGTGTTAGGAGCCCTCTTAACAGAGCAGGCATCGTTCCAAGTTCTTTACACGTGTTTACTTCACCAGCATTTCTGACAGCCGTATCAGACGGCCCATGATGAGGACATAGAGCTCAGAGAAGTGAAGTAACTAACTCAATATCACACCTCTCCCACACACCTAACAGAATGGCTAAAATGAAAAATAATGACACCAGACACTCACAAGGATGTGAAGAACCCGGATCATGATATGCTGCTGCTATGGATGTCTTGGGACAGACACACTGGAAAAACAGCTTGGCTATTTCTTAAAAAATCTAAACATAGGCCGAGCGCGGTGGCTCACATCTGTAATCCCAGCACTTTGGGAGTTTGAGACCAGCCTGGCCAACATGATGAAACCCTGTCTACTGAAAATACAAAAAAATTAGCCAGGCATGGTGGTGCGTGCCTGTAATCCCAGCTACTCGGGAGGCTGAGGCAGGAGAATCGTTTGAACCCCAGAGGCAGAGGTTGCAGTGAGCTGAGATCGTGCCACTGCACTCCAGCTGGGCAACAAGAGCAAAACTCCGTCTCAAAAAAAAAAAAAAAAAAACTAAACATATAATTACCGGGTGACCCAGCAATTGCATTCCTGGGCACTCGTCTTAAAGAAATAAAACATCTGCACAAAAACCTGTACACAAGTGTTCATAGCAGCTTGACTTGTCATAGCCAAAACTGGAAACAGCCCTGATGTCCTTCATCCACCAATGGTTAAACAGGAACATCCAGGCCAGGCGCGGTGGCTCACGGCTGTAATCCCAGCACTTGGGGAGGCCAAGGCAGGCAGATCACCTGAGGTCAGGAGTTCGAGACCAGCCTGGCCAACATGGATAAACCCTGTCTCTACTAAAAACACAAAATTAGCTGGGCGTGGTGGCGCATGCCTGTAATCCCAGCTACTTGGGAGGCTGAGGCAGGAGAATCACTTGAACCCAGGAGGCAGAGGTTGCAGTGAGCCAAGATCATGCCATTGCAATCCAGCCTGGGCAACAAGAGGGAAATTCCATCTCAAAAAAAGAAAGAAAGAAAGAAACAGGAACATCCAGGCCGTGGGACCGTACTCTGCAGTAAAAAGGAACTATTAATCCACTCAGCAAGCTGGAGGAATCCAGGGAATTAGGCTGAGTGAATAAAAGCAATCCCAAAAAGTATGATGCAGCACAAGTCCGTGTATACATTTTTGTAATGAAAAAACTTTAGAATTGGAGGACAGATAGGTGGTGCCAGGGATTAGGGATGTGGAAGAGGGGTGGGTGTGGCCATAAAAAGGTAACTCCAACTCCAAGGATTCTCATGGTGATGGAGCTCTTCCACACCATGACAGGGGTGGTGGAGACAGGAACCTGCACAAATGATAAAGCTGTACAGAATTCACACACACACACACCCACGCACACACACATACACACTAGTACAGGCAAACTGGAGAAATCTGAATAGGATTGGTGGATTGCCCCAGTGTCCATTTCCTGGTTGTACTATTATTGTACTATAGTTTTGCAAAATATTGCCATCGAAGGAAACTGGGCAAAATGTGTAAAGGACACCTTCCTGTTCTTCTTTTTTTTTTTTTTTGAGACAGAGTCTTGCTCTGTTGCCCAGGCTGGAGTGCAGTGGTGCCATCTCTGCTCACTGCAACCTCTGCCTCCTGGGTGGTTATAAGTAAAATGCTTATTCCCTTAGAAATGCTTGTTCCTTGGTGCCAAAAAGAACAACTAGAGCTCAGACAAAGAATTTTCTCAGCAAGGCAACTTTGCTTTCTGCAGAAAGGGTGCTCCTCACAGATGCAGCAATGGCGAGAGCACACCTGAACAAAGGAGGGAAGCAATTTTTATCCCTTATGCGGTTTGTCCCTGCTACTGTGTCCTGTCTCCATTGGCTGGAGCTGGACCTCACAATCTAAGCTAAACCTGACTGGTTAATAACTTAAAACTTTCCTAAATAGGTAAAGTCAAGGGAGAACAAAGGAAAAGAGGAAGTTGCTTATGAAAAGACTTAGAGAAGTAATAACATTTCCAAATAAAGAAGGTGCATAAGCTGTGAGCTGGGACATGCCTGAGCATGTCTAGAACAAATACCTTGGTTAAAGTACAAGGACATAGAATGCACTCATTCCCTTATATCTAAAAGCTACCTAGGATAGGGCTTAACAAACAGTTATTAGCACAAAGCAAGGAGGCTTGAAGGAAGTTAGCCTTTAAAAGAAACTATTATTTCTAACACTTATGATTTATTCTTTAACAAGAAGGGAAACTTTGAAGAGGAATCTTTTTACTTTCCACACTGGGTTCCAGTGATTCTCCTGCCTAAGCCTCCTGAGTAGCTGGGATTACAGGGGTGCACCACCATGACCAGCTAATTTTTAGTAGAGACGGGGTTTCACCATGTTGGTCAGGCTGGTCTTGAATTCCTGGCCTTAAGTGATCTGCCCACCTCAGCCTCCCAAACTGCTGAGATTATAGGTGTGAGCCACTGCACCTGGCCTCCTTGCTATTACTTTTTTTTTTTTTTTTGAGACAGAGTCTCACCCTGCACTGGAGTGCAGTGGTGCGATCTCAGCTCACTGCAACCTCCACCTCCTGGGTTCAAGCGATTCTCCTGCCTCAGCCTCCCAAGTAGTTGGGACTATGGCCGTGTGCCACCTTGCCCAGCTAATTTTTGTATTTTCAGTAGAGACAGGGTTTCACCGTGTTGGCCAGGATAATCTCAATCTCTTGATCTCATGATCCTCCTGCCCCAGCCTCCCAAAGTGCTGGGATTAAAGGTGTGAGCCACCGCACCCGGCCTATTACTTCTTACAACTGTGTGTGCATCTACAATTATCTCTATGTTTTTAATTAACATTTTCTTTAAAGATGGCAAATTAAAAAAAAAAAAGGCTGTCACCACCCAGAGGAACCTAATGGGACATGACAACTAAATGTCATGTGGGATCCTGAGTGGGATCTTGGATCAGAAAAAGGATGTTAGGTTAAAAACGAACAAAACTGAATAAAATATGGGCTTTTGTTAATGAGAATGTTAGCAACATTGGTTTAATACTCGCATCAAATGTACCATGCTGATGCAAGATGCTAAAAATAGGAGAACTAGGGGCAGGGTGTGTGGGAACTCTCTGTATTATCATCTTAATTTCACTTGTAAGTCTACAAATGTTCTTTAAAAAAGTCTACTTAAAATTTTTTGAAGATACCAAATAACTACTTTATAAAAAGGTTTGAAAGCACCTGTGAAAGCTACATTGAGTCCAACCCTTTGACCCAGCAATTCCACTCCTAAATATATACCCAAAAGTAATGAGATCTTGTGTCCACCAAAGGCATATAAAATAAAATTCAGTCAGGCATGGTGGCTCATGCCTGTAATCCCAGCACTTTGGGAGGCTGAGGCGAGTGGATCACCTCAGGTCGGGAGTTCAAGACCAGCCTGGCCAACATGGTGAAACCCCATCTCTACTAAAAATACAAAAATTAGCTCGGCGTGGTAGAGCATGCCTGTATCCCAGCTACTCGGGAGGCTAAGGCAGGAGAATTGCTTGAACCCAGGAGGCGGAGGTTGCAGTGGGCCAAGATCGTGCCACTGCACTCCAGCCTGAGTGACAGAGTGAGACTCCACCTCAAAAAAAAAGAAAAGAAAATTCATAACAGCTTTTTTCAAAGTAGACAAAAACTGAAAACAAACCCAATATCCATCAATAGGAGAAGGGATGGTAAATTAGGTATATTCATACAATAGAATAATACAAATAAAAAGGGAACAAACAACTGCTCCTTTTTGTAAATGGGCAGATCTTGTGAGAATAACGATAAACAGAAGAACTCAGACAGAAATGGCTCTGGCTGGGATGATTCTGGGGACGTGAAGCTCAAGAACAGACAAAACTACCTGCAGTGCCAGAAGCCGTGGCACCACCAGGGTAGGAAATGTGCTGAGGGAGAGAGAACACAAGGACACCTTGGCCAGGTGGCAGCCACAAGGGTGTATAGATGTGTATGTATGTTATCATACATTTTTTATAGCAAAAATAAATTTTGAAAAAAGATCACACATGTTATGGACTGAATGTGTCCCCCCAAATTCATATGTTGAAGCTTTGAGACCAGGTTCAGTGGCTCATGCCTTCAAACCAAGCACATTGGGAGGCCAAGGCAGGAGGAGCCCTTAAACCCAGGAGTTTAAGACCAGCCTGGGCAACATGGCCAAACCTTTTCTGTACAAAAAATGTTTTAAAACCTTAGCCAGTGTAGTGGTGCATGCCTGTGGTCCCAGCCACCCAGGAGGCTGAGGTAGGAGGATTGCTTGAGCCCAGGAGGTTGAGGCTGCAGTGAGCCATGATTACACCACTGTACTCCAGCCTGGGCAAAAGAGTGAGACTCTATCAAAAAAAAAAAAGAAAAAAAAAAGAAGAAGCTAACCTCCAATGTGATAGTACAGTATATGGAGGTGGAGTGTTTGGGATGTGATTAGGTTTAGATAAGGATGGGGCCCCTGTGATGGGATTAGTGGCCTTATAAGAAGAGGAAGAGACACTGTAACTGCCCTCTTCCTCCTCCTCCCCTTCATGCTCCTCTCTCTCCCTCTCCCTTGTGAGGACCCAGTGGCCATCTGCAAACCCAAGGAGAGAGCCCTTGCCAGGACCTGAATCCACCAGCCCCTCGAAGTTGGGCTTCCAGCATACAGAATTATGAGAGATGAACATCCTTTGTTTAAGCCCCTAGTCCATGTTATTTCGTTCTAGAATCCCAGGCAGGCTAAGTCTACACAGCAGGAAAATGTTGAAGCCAAGTAGGAACCCAGAGGTCTGGTTTGCAGAGCTTTAACCGTGACGACCCCATGCTCATTTTCCCAAAGAAGACTCTAGAAACCTGAACCCGCTCCCCCCATCAACTCCCTGCTGCCCCAGCAAAGGGCTCCAGCTGCTCTGGATGATGTGGAAGCCAGGGCGCCATTGACATTTTGTGCAAGGTAACTCCCTGTGGTGGGGCCTGACCTGTGCATCGCAGGCCCCAACCACGCCTCTGGCCTCTACGCAGTAGCGCCAGCAGCCCACCTCCCCACAACTGTGACAACCAGAAATGTCTCCACACGAGTGTCTCCTGGGGGGCAAAGTCGCTGTGCTGAGAACCGCGGCTGCATGGGAAGTTGGCACACAGCCGGGAGAGTCGGCACCAAAGAGGAATAACAATTAAAGCGGCGATAATAAATGCAACAATAACAGTGACTGTAGAAACAACAATAATTTTGATAATCACAACCATAACAAAAGTGATCGCAGTAGCGGGGATAGCACCACGCACAAACTCACAATGCAACAGTAGGGATAATAAACAGCATGACACGGCTAATGACAGCACTAGTGTGGGGGTTTGCTGAGAGTGGGTGCACTGGGGTCCTGTCTCTCCAGCCCCCTGTGAAGACCCAGTGGCCACCTGCAAACCCAAGGAGAGAGCCCTTGCCAGGAACTGAATCCACCAGTCCCTCGAAGTTGGGCTTCCAGCATGCAGAAGAGGGCAGTTATGGTGTCTGAGCCAAGCTCAGAACCCTCCCCCCCGTCTCTCCAGCTCCCTGTCCCTGTGGAGGTGACTTCACCCTCTCTGAGAACAGGATCCTCCTCTATAGGTGGCCAGGTGGGTCAGCTGAGGTCATCCCTGGAGAGCACTCAGCCAGGGGCCCGGCTTCCAGGGAGTATGGTAAATGGTCCCTGCACCTCCCGGGGGGGATCTGTGCCCAGGGAAAGAAGAGGTTTTTGCCCAGGCCTGCAGGTTGGGCCCTGAGCATCAGGAGGGATCTGAGGATTCTCCCTGGTGCTTGGTTTGTCTCCAGAAGGAGCCCAGGACTCTGGAGACTCGGGTTCCAGTGACTCTGCCCACACCTGGCTATAGGACTCGGGCCAGCCCCTCCACCTCCAGTCTCGGACAGAGAATGGAAAAACGAGCTCTGACCTTTAGACTGACCTCCAGTCCTGCTGTCCTTGGAGCCCTCTCCCTTCTGGTCAAGTCCTCTTTTTTAGGGACACTTCTCCCCAGCCCCGCTTATGCCCAGAATGGCCGGTGACAGGCCAGTGTAGCCACAAATCCACGGGGAGCCAAGCTGGGGGTTCTCCGTGTCCCTAGTAAATGCACCTCCCTTGAGCAGTTTCTCAACAGGAGGACTCCCAGTGCCTGCTAAGGAAACAGAGAGCCAGGCCACCAGGACACCTTAGAGATCAAAGGCCACCTGTTCCTAATTAAGCAACAAAGTCGCCCTCTCCACATCTTAGCACTGCATGGGGTGCCCACGCTGGCCCCACAGCTGAGGCTCCCGGTCCCCACCCCATCAGTCCCCAGGTGCAGACACAGGCGTGCCAGAGCCCAAGTCACCGGGCCACCTGGGAACCTTTGCTACCCGCTCTTCTGCCCGGCAAAGGAATGGGAGGAGGAAAGTGTAGGCAGGGAGGGCTTCTGACCTCTGGTTCTGGAACCTTCCACCCAACACACCTGCACACCTGCTCACACCCGTGAGCCAGGAAACAAAAGTCGGGGCAGGAATGACCAAGATCAGTCAGGGAGGGAGGCGGCCAGGATGAGCCCCCACCCAGGCCAGCCCGGGAGGAAGGGAGGCAGGATGACTCCCCACCCAGGTCAGCTTGGGAGGGAGGCGGCCAGGATAAGTCTCCACCCAGGTCAGTCCGGGAAGGAGGGAACCAGGATGAGTCCCCACCCGGGCCAACCCGGGGCCCCTCTCCACACGGCCACTTCCTGTTCCCAGAGGCCCTGAGACTGCCACATCCACCCTCCCTGCCCCACACATGCACCACCCACCAGACACACTGACACACCACACACATACACACAGGTATGCACACACGCACACACGCACACACACACCACTCCACACTGGATACACACACCAGACAGCCACACCACACGCGTACACACAGGGGCATACATACACACACACACACACCAGACACACATTCACCACACAGAGACACACCACACACGTACACACAGGCGCACACATACACACACA
This sequence comes from Homo sapiens, assembly GCF_000001405.40. Taxonomy (NCBI): domain Eukaryota; kingdom Metazoa; phylum Chordata; class Mammalia; order Primates; family Hominidae; genus Homo; species Homo sapiens. The sequence continues at coordinate 44,617,341 of NC_000022.11, forward strand.
CACACACCAGACGTACATTCACCACACAGACACACCACACATATACACACAGGCATGCACATCCACACACACACCAGACACAGATTCACCACACACACAGACACACCACACATGTACACACAGGCGCGCACATACACACACACACCAGACACATTCACCACACACACCACATACACACACCAGACACACACACACGACACACACAGACACACCATACATGTACACACACACACACCACACAGGCACACCACACACGTACACACAGGCGCACACACACCACACCAGACACATTCACCACACACACCACATACACACCATGCCAGACACACACATGACACACACATTCACCACACACACAGACACACCATGCATGTACACACACAAACACCAGACACAGACACACCACCCACGTATACACAGGCACACACACACAACACACCAGACACATTCACCAAACACACACACCACACACACACATACCTCACACACACCACACTGGACACACACACAACACACACATTCACCACACACAGACATACCACACATGTACACACACACGGCAGACACAGAAACACCACCCACGTATACACAGGCACACACACACACCACACCAGACACATTCACCACACAAACACACACACACCACACACACACCACACTGGTCACACACAACACACACATTCACCACAGAGACACACCGCACATGTACACAAAGGCACACACAGCACACACACACCACACGCACATGCACAGCACACATGCCACATAAACACACACCAACCACACATGTGCACACACACACCACACACAGCCACCACACACACCACACACCTCATGCACATACCACACTCATTCATACACACCACACACACACCACACACCTAGGCGGAAACACTGGCACACGCATTCACACCCAGATGTACTCAAGCCACACACACACTTTCCAGCACTGGGTGCAGCAGTGAGGAGCAGCACGAAGCTGTGCCCAGCAGACAACAGAAAATTAAGGTGACACGACCATACTCTACGAAAGGAAAAAGGCACCCTGTCCCTTCAGCCAGGCTGGGCCAACCCGGACCAAGGCTGCTGTGCACCCATCCTCCCCCCAGCACCCTGGGGAGGTCCAGACGCACCCACCTGCCCCAGCAGAGCAGCCTCACGTGCGGTGTCCGGGCTCCCCGAGGCCCAGAGCGCCCGTGGCTGGCCTGGGGCTGCTGGACGGCGGCTTCTCCAGGTGCAGAGGGAGAAGGGAGGGGCAGAGGCAGGGGCAGGGGCAGGGGCGTGCATCCTGCCTCCCATGCTGTGCCCGCACTCCTGAGGGGCAGCCGCAGCTTTTGAATTCCCTGGGGCTACAGAGAGGTCTGGACTGGAGAGTGCAGACAAACAGACGGACAGACAGACCGACAGACAGATGGACAGATAGACAGGGCTCCTGGGCGGGAGCTGGGGGAGACGCAGGGGGCCTCTCTGGGTGGATTTCTCAGGGGTGGGGGCTCCAATCGGCCAATACCCTTTCTGGGCAGCCCACCGAAAGTGTGGTGAGGTGTTGGGTGTGGTGGAATTTCAAGCAAAGGGGCCTGTGGAGTGAGTGTGTGGGTGTGTGTATGTGGTATATGTGTGTGTCTGTGTAAGGTGTGTGTACTGTGTAATGTGTGTGTGTATGTAGATGTATGTGTGTCCATGAGTGAAGGAGCATGGTATGTGGTGCGTGGTGTGTGTCTATGTGCGATGTGTGTACTGTGGAGTATGTGTGTGTGTGAGTGTGTGATGTGTGGTGTGTGTCCGTGTGAGGTGTGTGTACTGTGGAATGTGTGTAAGTGTGTGTGGTGTGTGGTGTGTGTGTGAGGTGTGTGTACTGTGGAGTGTGTGTGTGTGAAGTGTGTGTGGTGCGTGGTGTGTGTCTGTGTGAGGTGTGTGTACTATGGAGTGTGTATGAGTGTGTGTGGTGCGTGGTGTGTGTGTGAGGCGTGTGTACTGTGGAGTGTGCATGTGAAGAGTGTGTGGTGTGTGGTGTGTGTCCATGTGAGGTGTGTGTGCTGCATGGTGTGTGTGTGAGTTGTGTGTACTGTGGAGTGCGTGTGTGGTGTGTGGTGTGTGTGTGAGGTGTGTGTACTGTGGAGTGTGTGTGTGTGAAGTGTGTGTGGTGCGTGGTGTGTGTCCGTGTGCGGTGTGTGTACTGTGGAGTGTGTGTGTGTGAAGTGTGTGTGGTGTGTGGTGTGTGTCCGTGTGAGGTGTGTGTACTGTGGAGTGTGTGTGTGTGTGAAGTGTGTGTGGTGCGTGGTGTGTGTCTGTGTGAGGTGTGTGTACTATGGAGTGTGTATGAGTGTGTGTGGTGTGTGTGTGAGGCGTGTGTGCTGTGGAGTGTGCGTGTGAAGAGTGTGTGGTGTGTGGTGTGTGTCCATGTGAGGCGTGTGTGCTGCATGGTGTGTGTGTGAGTTGTGTGTACTGTGGTATGTGTGTGAAGTGTGCTGCATGGTGTGTGTGTGAGTTGTGTGTACTGTGGTATGTGTGTGAAGTGTGCTGCATGGTGTGTGTGTGAGTTGTGTGTACTGTGGAGTGTGTGTGGTGCGTGGTGTGTGTGAGGTGTGTGTACTGTGGAGTGCGTGTGTGTGTGGTGCGTGGTGTGTGTCTTTGTGAGGTGTGTGTACTGTGGAGTGTGTGTGTGAAGTGTGGTGCGTGGTGTGTGTCTGTGTGAGGTGTGTGTACTGTGGAGCGTGCGTGTGGAGTGTGCGTGGTGCGTGTCTGCGGGTACAGGATGAGTCTGTGGGTGTGGTGTGCGTGCCCACGGGGGTGGGAGAAGCCCAGGGGTGAGCACAGGGTCAGCGCTGTGACGGGGCCCAGGCCGCTCTCAGTGACGCCCGCAAAACCCCACGTGGCGGGAACCAGGCTCAGCCACACTGGCGGGGTCAGCAGAGCCTGTCGGTGCAGGCGGCGTTCCCGGAAACTAGGAGGCCGCTGTGACCCCCAGACGTGCAGACCTGCTGAGGGTCCAGCGCTGCGGCTGGGCGGGGTCGAATTGTGTTCTGGGCAATGCTGGTGTCACTTAAAGTGAAATACACAAGGGGCGGACGGGCGGCTCCCGGGCTCCGGGTCCTTGGCCTGGACCTCGGCCTCCCCAAAGTGACCCCGGATGGCACCGCGAGTCCCCGTTTCCGACAACCACACGGCGCCGGCTGCACACGTCCTGTTTGCGTGGTTGCTAGGAGGTTGCCATGGCGACTAATCGGGGATGAGGGAAGCCTAGCGCTTAACACATCCCCCTCCGACGGTCAAAATTGGGCCTCTCTGGCAGCTGCTCCTGGGATCACAGCCGCCCACGCAGGGCCTGGGGATGGCTGGGCCCCCACAGACCCTTCCAGAAGCCGACACACCGGGGGATGATGGATGAACAGGAGCAGAATGGGTTAAGGATGGAGCGCAAACACAAACGGGATTGGGCCAGGTGGCCCGGAAGTGCCTGGGTCCCCAGATGGCTTGGATCCGTGTCTGTGGGTCTGGCGGGCCCCTCATGTATGCCGGCTCCCCCGGCAGCCCCTTGGCCTTGGACAGGGCCACTGGGTCTCCCTCAGCCACAGATGAGGAACCCAGGCTGTCAGAGGTGAGGTGCCCTGACCCCACCAGGAGCCTCCCCGAGTTACTGTCAGGGCGCTGGGATGCGCCGGGATGGAAACACACACCTCCCACGGAGGTGACGAAGAGACGCAGGCTCAGAGAGGCCTAGGGCCTTGTCCTGGGTCACCCAGCACACCAGGGATGCTGCAGTGTGCAGGCAGAGGCACTGGAACACCCAGTCCAGAGGGACTGGGGAGAGGCACCGGCCAGGGACACAACGATGGGGATGGGGCAACAGGCAATTGTGTAATTAAATGCCCGGGAGGCCGGGTGCTGTGGCTCATGCCTGTAATCCCAGCACTTTAGGAGGCCCAGGCGGGCGGATCACCTGAGGTCAGGAGTTCAAGACCAGCTTGACCAACATGGAGAAACCCTCTCTCTACTAAAAATATAAAATTAGCCGGGCGTGGTGGTGCATGCCTGCAGTCCCAGCTACTTGGGAGGCTGAGGCAGGAGAACCACTTGAACCCGGGAGGCGAAGGCTGCAGTGAGCCGAGATCGCACCCCTGCACTCCAGCCTGGGTGACAAGAGCGAAACTCTGTCTCAAATAATAATAATAAATAAATAAATGCCCAGGAGATGGAGCCAGGTGAAGGGCTACGGCAGGGAAGCCGAGTGTGGAGGAGACCGTGGCGGCACGAAAATTGGGAGAAAGAACTGACCTCTCCTGCTCTGCGCCCCAGTCTCCGGGGAGGAGGCAGTGACCCCGCTGCTTCCCTGTGCTCCCAGCCCCTGTTTCTCTTTGTCTCAAAGCAGCCCTTGTGGAGGCAGGCAAGGGAGGCTCACTCCTGCCACACACAGGGAAACTGAGGCCCAGGGCAGAACTGGCCCCAGACCCCGGCTTTGCTGCCCCCAGCCCTGAGATTCTCCATTTCCACACTCGTGACTGCTCACTTACCCGAACAAGCCTGGGGCCCCGATCACACAACCCACACTATGCCAGGCAGCAAGGGGCACCCTGGCCAATGCAGTGCCTGGCATGGGGCAGACGCTCCAGAGACGCTTGTGAATGGGAGGGAAAAGCAGAGACTGCCACCACATGTGGCAGATGGGGACACTGAGCCCCAAAAAGGGCAGGGGCACAGGAGAGTCCATGGAAGGGCCAGGAGCAGATCCCAGGGCTGGGCCGTGGTGGCCCCCACCCCACAGCCCACCCCGATCCTGAAGCAAGGGTGGGAGGGGGAAGGGAAAGAAAAGCCCCAGAAGTGGGTGGCCGAGTGGGCAGGGGCAGCCCCACACCACTGCCTCCCCCACCCCCGGTCTGCAGGGTGGGGGGTGCCGAGGCTTCTGCGGCCTCTGAGGAGGCAGCTGTTGCTATGGTGACCACCGTTACCTGGCAACTAAGCCGCATCGTCCTGGGCACCTGCTGTCTCTTCTCTGGAGCTGCTGGCTGGCTCTGGGGACAGACCTGTGTCCAAAAGCCCCCTTGTCTCAGAAAACCCACCTGTGGGGACAAGCCAGGTAGACGTGGGCACCAGGGGACCTGCAGAGCCTCTCCCGGGTCTGTGGGAACGAGAAGTGGAGCCACATCACTCAAGGCTTTCACTTTTTCAAAGCTGGGAATAATTGTATTGATTTATAGGATAATAAAAATAACATTGTAAAAAAATTTCAAACAATACAGGAAAGTATACAAACAAAAGTAAGACTCACTGGCATCTCATCTTGGTGGTATCTCCCGTCATCTCTCTGTGTGGTGTATCGAGGCATAAAGGCAGACGTGGTTTAACAAGGGGGTCATGCTCTCCACAGCCCTGCTCCCCCTTGGCCCTGCACAGAGACAGGTTTCTGGGTCAGCGACTTCACTCCATCACGCCGTCGCTGCCTGGTGTCTGGCGGTGACTCACTGAGTGTCCCCTGAACTCCCGCTCAACACCCAGGTGGGCACTGGGCTCCTGAGATCTGAGACTCCATGCCTGGCCTCGGGAAAGTGGGGGCTCGAAGGCATCTGGACCAGGAGACCTTTGGCCGGCACATCCATGACCCCAACTTTAGGCCGGAGGGCCCCACTTCATGAGAAAGGGGCAGCTTCCACAGGGTGGGGTTCCAAGGAAAGAGGGAGCCTGCTCAGCCAGGGAATCAGGGCAGGCTTCCGGGAGGAGGTCTTTTCTTGGCTGAGATTAGAAAAATGAGAAAGAGGCCGGGCACGGTGGCTCACGCCTGTAATCCCAGCACTTCGGGAGGCCGAGGTGGGCAGATCACCTGAGGTCAGGAGTTCGAGACCAGCCTGGCGAACATGGTGAAACCCCATCTCTACTAAAAATACAAAAATTAGCCAGGCATGGTGGCGGGTGCCTGTAATCCCAGCTACTTGGGAAACTGAGGCGGGAGAATCACTGGAACCCAGGAGGCAGCATTTGCAGTGAGCCGAGATTGTACGGCTGCACTCCAGCCTAGGCGACAGAGTGACACACCATATATATATATAGAGAGAGAGAGAGAGAAGAAAAAAGAAAGAAAGAAAGAAAGAAAGAAAGAAAGAAAGAAAGAAAGAAAGAAAGAAAGAAAGAAAGAAAGAGAAAGAAAGGAAGGAAGATTAGGAAATAGAAATAAATTTGGGGGACAAGAAGGAAACACAAAGAAGAAAAATGGGGTGTGCAGGGGCATGGAGGTGGGACTGTGCTGTCATCAATCGAGTCTTACCCGGCGGGGGCATCAGGGTACCCTGACCCATCCCTCACAGAGAAGGCTGGAAGGAGGGGGTCGGGGGACTGGGCAGCAGGAAAGTGGGAACGGCACGTGCAAAGCCCAGAGGCAAGAAGGAGGTCTTTTCAAGAAACTGCAGAGGGTTCCAAATGTAGGGGTGCTGGGTGTAAGGTGGCAGCCGACGGCAGCCACGCCACCAGGGCCCAGGCTGAAGAGCATCGCGGGGCTGAGTGACGGCGGCTCTGGAGCCCGAGCGCCACCCCTTGGCCGTCTTCACGGTGCAAAGACAGAGAGTGAGCGGTGGGGGAGAAGCTCCTGGGACAGAGGGCCCCCGCCTGCCCTCTCTGTGTGCTGGGGGGAGGGATGGGTGCTCTCCCACCACCTGCTGGGCCATCTGGGGGGGTCCCAGGCTATGGGATGGAGCACAGGGCGCTAGACCCCTGGGGCCCTGGGTGAGCCCCCAGTCTGAGATCACAATGGAGTGGTCTGGGCTGGAGAGAGGGAGCCCAGAGGAGTCCCAAGCATGCCTGGTGGTCTGCGACGGTGTCCAGGAGGAGGTGAGGTTTGGGCGGAGCTTTGGTGACAACCAGGGTGTAGCAAGGGGAGGGTGATATTCAGGATATTCAGTCCCTTCGGGGTTCCCCGGGCAGGCCTCTGCTGCCAGCTCAGCACCAGGCCCAGGCTGGTGGAGGCCACCAGAGACCACTCAGTAGACCCTCCAGAGTGGGGGTGGGGAGCCCCTCCGGATGCTGATAGTGGATGACAAACAGACGGAGAAGGGGGGCCCCCAGGACAGAGGGGCACAGGGCCGGGAGACGGGTTGCAGGGTCTGAGCCGGTTCTGCCCTGCCTGCCTGGGGACTGCCCACATCCTAATCCCCTGAACCTGTGAGAATGACCTTATTTGGAGACAGGATCTAATTGCATCCTGGATTTTTTCTGGTGGGCCCTAAGTCCCATGACAGTGTCCTTGTAAGAGACAGAAGAGGAGAAGACACAGAGGGAGGCCACGTGAGGATGGAGGAAGAATGAGAGGGACAGGACCACAAGCTAAGGAACCGGGGCCCCCAGGAGCTGGGAGAGGCAGGAAAGATCCCCCTGAGCCCTCAGAGGAGCCTGGCTCTGCCGACACCCTGATTTCGGACCTCTGGCCTCCAGAACTGCGATCGAATAAATGTCTGTTGTTTTAAGTCCCCCAGGCTGTGGTCATCTGTGAGTCCGCAGAACTGACTTGGGGACCTTGGGTGGCAGCAGCTCCCCTGCACACGGTCCCACGGGTCCAGCGCTGCCCACACTCTGTCCCTCCCAAAGGCAGCCCGGGTGATGAGGGCCGACAGGGTGCTGTGGCCAAGGCCGTGTCAGCGTGCAACATGGAGGGCCCGAGGCTGCTCTTGAACAACACCCACTGCCTGACCCCAAAGGCACCGTCATAAGGCAGGGGCCCGGCAGCAGCACCAGTGTACCCTGAGCTGCTGCCCAAGGGCCTGGCCTGGGCACACACAGAGGGGCCAGCTGGGCTCGTGGCCTCTCAGGGCCATTTCAGGCCGGCCCCCATGCTGGCAAACCACGGGGAAGGCCCAGAGAGGGTGGGGCCCTGTGGGATTTAGGGGGGATCAGAGGGCACACACTCTTCCAAGAGCCAGAAAGAACCCTGGACCCTGCGGGAACCGCACCCTCAGCCCCTCCCGGGCTGCAGTAGGTCTGGGGGCTGGGAGCACCTGGGCGGGGGGACGGCGTCGCCTGCCAGCCACAGGGTCTCCAGACGGCTCAGATGGGGAGCCAGCCCCAGTGTCGCTTGGAAGGAGGCAGTTCTAGGTGGTCCAGGTTCCCAGTGTCATGGAAACAACAGTGGCTGTTTGTTAAAGTGACAGCGTCATTGTTTTCATCATCATCATTACTTGCTGGACGCTGAGCGCCGGGAGCCTCACTCACCCATCCCAGGGGGTCCTCTCCACACCCCATCAGGAGGCGGATGGGCAGGGACACACCGCTGGTGGGTGGGGACTGGCCTGGGACTCTGAGGGCCAACCCCCAGCTCCTATGGCAGTGACAGTGGCTCACGAGCAGAAGGCCAGGGAGATGAAAGGGATGGGGGTTCCCAGGGAGGCCCCTTCCCCTCCCTGAGCCTCAGTTTCCTCCTCTGTAAAATGGGGATGAGGCTGGCCCATCCCAGGGCAGGCAGGGCTGCTGGGAGCTGACCAGGCAGAGGGTAAGACTTTGTGGACAGCATTTCTCCAGACATTTGGGAAGGGGAGTGCAGGGAACTAGCAGGTCCCATGACCAGAGGACCCCGCGCTGGGTTGAGTGCTCTGCCATCCTGTCTTGAGATTCTTAGTCATTGGTGAAGGAGAGCCCCCATTCTGGTTCACCTTGGCTGGGCCAGCTCATTATTTGGCTGGTCCTGGATGTGGGCAGCCCCAGGATGCAGCCCTCCTCCTCAGGCTGCCCCCACACACCCCCGGCCGGGGCAGGCTGGCCGCCTCCCCGCTGGGCCTTCCTCCCGGGAAACTTCCCTGACTGCCATCCCCCCTCACCTGGGGGCCTCCCTCCCACAGCCTGGGCAGGGGTCAGACACAGCAGGAAGGGTTTGCTGATGGGCTACATGGTGATCCTTGGGGAACACTGAGGGGCGCAGGTGTGGCTTCCCCAGCCCAGCCCTAGGAGGGCCCACAGCTGGAATTTTCATCGTCCAGAACCGTCCTGGACGGCGCCCACGAAGGGGGCCAGGTGTGAGGCAACCCCAGGAAGGACGGTGGCTCTCCAGTCTCCGCCTGCAGGCGGCCTGATGGGATCTGTGGGGCACTGCTGCCACCTAGTGGTTGATGAAGAGAAGGCAGCACACACCCACCTGGGAAGAATAATGTTAATTAAGTTAGAGAGTGAGTTAGAGAGTTGTTAGTTAGAGAGAGTTAGAGAGTTAGAGAGTTAGGGTTAGGGTTAGGATTAGGGTTAGGGTTAGGGTTATGGTTAGGGTTACCTTTACGGTTAGGGTGAGACGGGGACATCCAGTCAGGATAAGCATGGGGGACCAATGCAGAAGATACAAGTTTCCTGGATGCTTCAGACAACCCAACTTTCTTCCCTTCCCCACCACTGTTCTCCAGTTAACTACTTATCAGCTTACCCTGTGCACAAGGTAATGAAGACGGTCATACAGCCAGTGAGTTGCAGGGATCGCAGGAACCCCACGACCACCAGGTGGACATTCAAAAGGCAAATCGCATCCCTGAGGACCCCACACTAAAAGCCAAGCTCGAGCCAGCTCTTCCCTCCTCAGGTGAAAGCTGTGAAAGCTTGAGGCTCTGTTGCAGGCTGCAGGGAGGAAGGGGCACCACCCTCTCCCTCCTGCCCTTCCTTCCTTGTGGGTGGTCCTATTCTTCTGTCCTGGTTTTGCAAACGCAGCTTCCAATCCCCTTTCCCACGGGGAGCCCCTCCTGTGTAGAGACAGGAGCCTCCCTGGGCAGAGACCCCAGCTCTGCCTCCGAGATGCCCCCAGGTGACCTTCAGAAGTGAAAATGGACCTCCAGCCCCACCTCTTCAAGGTGCAGCTGGCCAGTGAGTTAGCGAGAGAAGGAAGCCAGGCAGGGGGCAGGGGCACCGTGCTTAAGAGGCGGCCTCGGGGCCAGGTGCAGTGGCTCACACCTGTAATCCCAGCACTTTGAGAGGCCGAGGTGGGCGGATCACCTGAGGTCAGGAGTTTGAAACTAGCCTGACCGACATAGAGAAGCCCCGTCTGTATTAAAAATACAAAATTTTTTTAGTAGAGCTGGGCGTGGTGGCTCATGCCTGTAATCCCAGCTACTCGGGAGGCTGAAGCAGGAGAATGTCTTGAACCCGGGAGGCAGAGGTTGTGGTGAGCCGAGATCTCGCCATTGCACTCCAGCCTGGGCAACAAGAGCAAAACTCCATCTGGAAAAAAAAAAAGAGAGAGAGGCAGCATCGGGCATTTGGACCTAGATTCACAGCTCAGCTCTGCCGCCTTCCCAGCTCTCCCTGCTCCGTCACCTCCCTGGGCCTTGTGCCTTCACCGTAAGACTGGGGCAGTGGTGCCTCTGCCCTGGGACGACCATGTGCATTCAACAGGAAATAGTCGCAGAGCTCCTGGCCAGGCTCAGTGTCCAAGGCGAGTCCTGCAGGCCCCGCAGAGCCCATGCATGTGCCTGGAGGCACCGCGGCCTGTGCTGGGAAGGAGGGAGAGGAGGAACATTCCACTGCCTCATCACTGTCCCAGAGGCACCAAATCAATGCCCCCACCTGAGGCAGGGAGGAGACAGGGCACGAGGGGAGGAAAGTAGGGGGAGGAGCGGGGCCTGGACAGAGGCAGGGGAGGAGCAATGGAGAACAGCCAGACGCCGGCTTGCCAGCAAGAATGGAGGCCAGTGCCTGGCGCAGCCACACCTGAGCTTTCCGACTGTTCATCCTGGAGATCTGCAAACCGCACTCCCCCACAACAGCCCCAGGTGCCCCTCCTGAACCCCCCTCCATCTGCCTCCTCCTCGCCTCCCAGAGCCCCCTCTGCAGGTCAGACCGTCTTGGTCTCTGGCCTGAACTTAAAACCGTTAATCAGAGCTGCTGCACCTCTGTTTGAACATCCTCTGCTCATGTCTGGGGTCCCCGTATAGGATCTAAACTCCTCCCAGGGGCTGGGGCCAGGGCAGCCTGCCTGCCTGCACCCTGGACTTCCTCTCCCTGTCACCCACCCATCAAGGTCCTCTGCTGCTGGTGCCCTGAGCCATGCTGGGGACCTCAGCTGGGCCTTTGCATGGGCTGTGCCCTCTGTGGCAGCCTCTCCCATGCACCTGCCCACCTGTTACCTTCCCCTGGCCACGGCCCACTCATCCTTCGGCTATATCAGAACCTCTCTGACTCACAGCCTTGCCTCCCCCTGACACTCCAGGTGAGGCCCTCCCAGGGCAGGCCCACTGGTTTCCCGGGGACAGGCCTTGTTGGCATTTGCCAAATGGTGGTGCCCTGGCAGGCTCCTGCCTACCTGCCTTCTCTCCACCTCCACCAGTGGCAGCCCCCACCCCCCATGACCCTTGCTTTGGGGTCCTGAGTCTCGATGAGGGTTTTAGGGCCCACCCGGGAAGCGTAACCCCAAATCCAAGCCCTTGTCACTCCATGCACATCTGCTGAATGACCCAGGGTCACAGAGACTACTGCATCCCATAGCCCAGCCCTGGAGCCTCAAGGGGAAGAAAGGCACCTACACAAGTAATGCTGTTGAACGAAGCCAAATTGATGGGAAGCAAACAGGACGTGCTTCCACAGGGGAATGGGTGAATAAACTCAGGCACAGCCAGGCAATAAGATGTGATTCAGCGATTACAAGAAATGGGCTATGAACACCGCCTGGTAAGTGAGGAGCGCCTCTGCCCAGCTGCCCACCATCTGGGAAGTGAGGAGTACCTCTGCCCAGCTGCCACCCTGTCTGGGAAGTGAGCAGTGCCTCTGCCCGGCCGCCGCCCTGTCTGGGAAGTGAGGAGTGCCTCTGCCTGGCCACCCCACCATCTGGGAAGTGAGAAGCACCTCTGCCCAGCCCCCCCGACCCTCTGGGCCGCTGTGCAACCTTCCAAGTGTGAAGTGACAGCCTTGTATGGGATCTTTCTGCCTTCCCCAAGTTTCCATTTTCAACATTAAAGTTTACTTAGAAAGAAAGAAGGAAAGAAAAAGAAAGAAAGAAAGAAAGAAGGAAGGAAGGAAGGAAGGAAGGAAGGAAGGAAGAAAGAAAGAAAGAAAGAAAGAAAGAAAGAAAGAAAGAAAGAAAGAAAGAAAGAAAGGAAGGGAAAGAAAGGGGCTATGAAGCCATGAAAAGCCATGGAAGTGGCCAGGCACAGTGGCTCACACCTGTAATCCCAGCACTTGGAAGGCTGAGGCAGGTGGATCACCTGAGGCCAGGAGTTCGAGACCAGCCTGACCAAAATCGGGAAACCCTGTCTCTACTAAAAATACAACAAAATAGCCAGGTGTGGTGGTGGGCACCTGTAATCCCAGCTACTTGGGAGCCTGAGGCAGGAGAATCACTTGAACCTGGGAGGCAGAGGTTGCAGTGAGCCGAGATCGCACCATTGCACTCCAGCCTGGGCAACAAGAGTGAAACTCCATCTCAAAAAAAAAAAAAAAAGGCATGGAAGCACTCAAAATGCATCTCACGAGTGGAAGAAGCAAGTCTGAAAAGGCTACAGACAGTGTGATCCCAACTACACGACCCTGTGGGGCAGGGCAAACTACGGAAACAGTGAAAGGAGCGGAGGTTGCCAGGAATGAGAGGGAGACAGGGATAAGCAGGTAGGGCATGGGGATCTCAGGGCAGTAACACTGCCCTGGATGATGCTACCATGGGGGTCCCTGTCCTTGCACAATGTCCAATGCCAAGAGGGGCCCCTCATGGAAACCGTGGACTCTGGGTGGCCCTGATGTGGCTGGTGGACAGTGATAGAGGGGAGGGTGTGCATGGTGGGGCCATGCGGCTGTGGAAAATCTCTGCACCTTTCAATCAGTTCAACTCTGAACCTAGAACTGCTCTAAAAATAAAGTCTATTAATTTTGTTAAGGCAGATTGAGAGGTACCATTAAGGATACGCAAGAAGTAGGGGGCCAGGAGTGTGTAGGGGCCCCATCCTGTCTGGGAGACTCAGCAGTCACCCAGCCAAGCCAAGCTCAGTGTCTGTGTCTGCAGGGGGTATCCCTGACAGAGTCCCAGGAGTGTCTTGGAAAGGGGAGGTCACGAAAGGCCTTTGTAAGTCAGGGTCCTGGGTCTAAGCAGTTTGTGGAGATGGACTGGGACTGGGTGAACCTAGTGACACAGCAGAATGGCACTGGGGACGCAGTGAGGCGTGGGTTTCAAGCATGTCCTGGTGAGAGAGCAGTCATTTCACGAGCAAGCAGCTCACCCAGTGAGGTGAGCTATTGTTCAGATAAATGGATTCCAGGAAGTTCCTGAAACAAGAAAGTCCTTTGCAACTGTGTCTTCCTGAGCAAGGATTTTCTGGAATGGCCTGGTCATAGTATCACGTGCAGTTGTAGCTCTCGGTTGGATGAGCTATGGGCTGGCGGTTTGTTCTTAGGCCCTAGAGGATGGACCCAGGGACTGGCAAGGGCAAAACCTGAGGCTCCAAAGAGCTCAGAGGAGAGCAGGGAGTCAATCACATGAGGCCTCAGTTTTCCCATCTATAAAATAGATGGTGGCCTGCGTGGATTCATAGGGCCCTTCTAGCTCTCCTGGATGAGTCTGTTTGAATCCAGGCCCTGGGGAGGAGGGATGGGTGGGGGCTGGGAAGTCGCCCATGGGAGATCACAGTGGAGCAGTGACAGAGGCAGAGTTGGATCCAAATGTCCCAACGCCCAGTCCAGCCTGCTCCCTGGCCCCTCTCCCTGACCAAGAAGGGTGGGGAGCCAGGAGTGGGGCTGGGCCTTCCAGAGACACAACCACCTCATCCCTCCCTACAGCCCACCAGTCTGAGACCCTGGTTCCTCTGCCTCTCTCGGCTCCTTGTCCTGTGGCCAGCCCATGCCTGTCACCTCATGGCCAGCCCCTGGCTGTCACCACCTCTCCTTGCATCCCCCTGGGCCTAACCCACTCCCTCAAATCCATTCCCTGTGCTGGGAAGATCCATCTTAGCAAAACTCAAGTCTGATCCTGTCACTCACCTGCTCAAAAACCCCCATGGCTCCCCATTGCCCTGTAGACAAAGACTCTCCTCACCGTATCGGAATCCTAGCTGCCTATGTTGTGTATATTGATCCCAAAATTCACATGGAAATGCAGCGGGCCCAGAAAAACCAAACAATCTTGAAAAAAAAAATAGGAGGACTCATACTTCCCAACTTCAAAACTTACAGCAAAGCTACAGCTATCAAGATGGTGTGGTACTGGCATAATTAAAGACATATAGGTCAATAGAACAGAGTAAGAGTTCAGAAATAAACCCATACATACATATATGGCCAATCGATATTCAACGAGGGTGCCAAGACAATCAAAGAAGAATCATCTTTCAACAAATGGAGCTAAGACAACTGGGTATCCACATGCAAAAGAGTGAAGCTGGACCCCTACCTCACTCCATATACAAAAACTAACTCAAAATGGATCAAAGACAGCCATGGAAGAGTTGCCACTACAAAAATCAGAAGAGGTCAGGTGCCAATCTTCGTGACTGAATTAGGCAAGAGTTTCTTCGTTGTGACACCAAAAGCACAAGCAATGAAAGAAAAAACATAGAAAATGGATTTCATCAAAATGAAAAACTTGTGCTTTGAAGGACATTCACAAGAAAGTGACAAAACAGCTCAAAGAATAGAAGGAACTATTTGTAAACCACATATCTAATACAGATATAGTATTTAGACTATATAAAGAACTACTACAACTCAATAATTTAAAAAAACAAATATCCACATTAAAAAGTGACCAAAGGAGGCTGGGCACAGTGGCTTACACCTATAATTTCAGCACTTTGGGAGGCCAAGGTGGGGTGATCACTTGAGGTCAGGAGTTCGAGACCAGCCTGGCCAACATGGCAAAACCCTGTCTCTACTAAAAATACAAAAATTAGCGGGACATGGTGGCGGGTGCCTGTAATCCCAGCTACTTGGGAGGCTGAGGCAGGAGAATCACTTGAACCCAGGAGGCGGAGGTTGCAGTGAACTGAGATCACACCACTGCACTTCAGCCTGGGTTATAGAGTGAGACTCTGTTTCAAAAAAAAGTGACCAAAGGATTTGAAGATACACTTCTCTAGACAAGACATACTCATGGCAACAGGCACGTGAAAAGGGGCCTGATATCACTAGTCATCAGAAAAAATGCAAATCAAACCCACAATGTCACAGCACTTCACAATCACAATGATGGCTATACCAAAAAAAAAGAAATGACAATAACAAATTGAGGCAAGGATGTAGTGAAATTAGAGCCCTCATACATTGCTGACGGGAAGGTAAAATAGCGCAGGAGGTTTGAAGAAAAGCCGGGAAGTTCCTCAGAAAATTAAACATAGAGTTACAGCAATCTCACCCCAGATATCTACTCAAGAAAACAGAAACACATGTCCACACAAAAATGTACACTTGAATGTTTACAGCAGCACTATTCACAACAGCAAAATATGGAAACAATCCAAATTTCCATCAACAGAAAATGGATAAACATAACGTGCTATGCACATCCAACCATAAAAAGGACTGAAGTCCTAACAAGTGACACATCGTGGGTCAACCTTCAAAACATGGTGCTCAGTGAAAGAAGCCTGACATGAAAGGCCACAGATTCTAGGTTTCCTTGTGTATGAAATGTCCAGAATAGGGAAACCTACAGAAACAGAAAGATTGGTGATTGCCAAGTGCTGGGGGTATGGGGGAAGGGGAAGTATCTACTAACGGGAACAGAGTTTCTTTCAGGGAGATGTAAAGGTTCTGGAATTAGATTGGTGGTTGCACAATCTTGTGAATATACTAAAAACTACACTGTATGCTCTAAGAGGGTGAATTTTGTGATATATGACTTGACCTCAGGTTTTATCAAAGGCCCTCCAGACTCCTTAGCTGGCATTTGGGAGCCACCCCAGCAGGTCCCACGGCCTCTCCTGCCTCATCTCTCACTCAAACCTCCTAACCACATCCTCATCCTCTACCACCCTGGGAACCCTGTGAGGTCACACCCCACCCCCACTGAACAACCCCATCACAGCCCTCATCACCCAGCATTGGGGTGGTGAACTGTCCTCCACCCCACCGTGAGCTCCCCTGGGTCAGAGACCAGGCTGGCTACCCCTGTGTCCACAGCACCCAGCAGGGGCCCCATAGATCCACAGAGTAGACATCAGACAAAGAGCAGAGGTGGATGAATGGATAGATAGATGTTTGGATGGGTGATGGATAAATGAATGGATGGATGGGTGGATAGTTGGATGGGGGGATGGAAGATGACTGGATGAATGCATGGAAAATGGGTAGGTGGATCAGTGGATGGATGGATGAATGAATGATTGAACAGATAAATTGATGGATGGATAAATGAGTGGATGGATGATGAATGGATAGATGAACGGATGGTTGGATATAGGTGGAAGGATGATAGGTGGATGGATGGGTGGATACATAGTTAGCTGTGGGGGATGAGTGATGGTGAATGAATGGATGGATGATTGAACAGATGGACGGATGGATGGATGGATGGATGGATGGATGGATAGATGAGTAGATGGATGATGAATGGATACATGCATGAACAGTTGGATGGGTGGGAGGATGATGGATGGATGGATGGTTGGATGGATGGGGGGATGGATATACGTGGATGGATAGATGATGGGTGGATACCTGGATGAAAGAATGGATGGATGAATGGATGGATGGATGATTGAATGGATGGATGGATGGATGGATGGATGGATGGATGGATGATTGAACGGATGGATGGATGGATGGATGGATGGATGGATGGATGGTTTGATGGGGGATGGATAAGTTGATGGATGGGGGATGGATGGATGCATGGATGGATGACTGAACAGATGGACAGATGGACGGATGGATGGGTGGGTGGGTGGGTGAATAATGAAGGGATATGTGGATGTATGGGTGGATGTGTAGATGGGTTTTCAGGGGCCTAGATTGTCCGACCATTGCCCCTGTTTTGGTACAAGGGAATGGCCATCACTCCTTTCATTCCTCTATCCTCTTTCTCCCTGCTGATTCTAATGGCTCCAGATTGGCCAAGGGCTGTAGGAGGGGATGGTCAGGCCTAGTGAGCTGGGTGAAGGAGGGTAAGAGTCAGTGCTGCACTTTGCCCTGGACTTCAAGCCAAGACTTCCTTGCTAGGAGCTCTGGCAGTGAGAACAGGACTCATGGGAGCGCCTCAGAGCAGACAGGCCACTGCCCTAAGCCAAGTGGTGACAAAGGCCCTGGCCCATGGAGAGGGAAGGAGAGAGGGCCCAGGCTTGGCTTCTCTGCTGAGCCCCAGGAAGGTGACAACTCAGCAAGGTACAGGTAGGGGAGAAGACAGATATGCCTCAAAGTGGGCCTATGCTGGCTGGAGCCTCACAAATATACAGCATCCCCCAGCAACCTGCACACGTGCATATGCACATTCACGCACACATCATCCAGCCAAGGGGCGCACTGGCTGGCTCGGACCACAGCCACCCCACTGCTGTCTCAGAATGGATCCCACCACCACCTTCTGATGAGGCAGATTTCCTTGTGGCCATTTCACAGAAAGGCAAACTGAGGCAAACAGACTGAGTGGCTTGGTCTGAGCCTGGTTCCCCCGACCAGTACTCCCACTCACTGGTCTACAAAAGCCAAGAGTTGTTTCAAAGGGAACCCACAGCTGTCACTGTCCCCCTGGGGGTGCAACCTCATGGGTCACATCAGTGGTGGCAAAGCTCATTTTCCATTTCCTGCCCACACTCCTTCTGCAGAGGCTTCCTGAGTATCTACTCCATGCCCAGCACTGTGCCCCTCACCAGAGGTGTATGAGAAACAAAATCTGGTCTGTGGGCTTGCAGCGCTGGGGTCCCAGGGCCTGTCACTGAGTCCTTGCTGACTCAGAGGTCAAGGTCATCTCCCCACTGCCAGGAGGCCGGAAGGGACACGTGGCTGATGCCCTTGCATCAGGGCAGGACCAGGGAGGACTTCCCAGAGGAGGTGATTTTGAACCTGAAACCCAAAGATAAAAAGGGAGGCATCCAGGTTGGGGGAGAGGGGGCATGGCAGGGAGAAGGGGAGAAGGGCTGAGGAGGCAGCGTGAGCTGGAAGCCCAGAGCTTGTGGGGAAGGAAAGCAGGCTCCAGGCAACTCTGCAGCCAGCATGGCAACTGAGGCCAGGCCAAGCCTGGGGGGCTTAGTGTCTAAAGACAAGATGAGGATCCCAAAACACTCAGGCTTTAGGAGGCAGCTTTGAAGCAATCAGGGTACTTTTTTTATTTTTTATTTTTTGAGATTTTGTGTAACCAGGCTGGGCGCAGTGGCTCATGCCTGTAACCCCAGCACTTTAGGAGGATGAGGTGGGCAGATCACCTCAGGCCAAGAGTTCAAGACCAGCCTGGCCAACATGGTGAAACTCCGTCTCTACTAAAAATACAAGAAAAAAAAAAAAAAAAAAACCTAGCCAGGCATGGTGGTGCGTGCCTGTAATCCTAGCTACTCCGGAGGCTGAGGCAGGAACCTGGGAGGCAAAGGTCGCAAGTGAGCCGAGATTGCACCACCGCACTCCAACCTGAGCGACAGAGCGAGACTCCATCTCAAAAAAATTTTGATGTAACCAGGGCTTAAAAGAAAAAGAGAGGTTGGGTGTGGTGGCTCATGGCTGTAATCCCAGCAATTTGGGAGGCCAAGGCGGGCAGATCACCTGAGGTTGGGAGTTTGAGACCAGCCTGACTGACATGGAGAAACCCCGTCTCTACTAAAAATACAAAATTAGCTGGGCATAGTGCTGCAAACCTGTAATCCCAGCTACTCGGGAAGCTTAGGCAGGAGAATCGCTTGAACCCAGGAGGTGGCAGTTGTGGTGAGCCGAGATCGAGCCATTGCACTCCAACCTGGGCAACAGGAGCGAAACTTTGTCTCAAAAAAAAAAAAAAGGAAGAAGAAAGAAAGAAAAAGAGAAAGAGCTATGGCAATATATGAATTATTTGCAACCTGCTTCCCCTGCAACCCCCACCCAGACCTCTAAGGCAGCTGCTGCGCTTCCTCACCCAGCAAAATCTGCAAATTGGGATACAAGGGCAGAGAGCAGCCAGAGAGGCTGTGGGGGTGATGTCCAGGACAGAGTTGAGTGGAGTGGAAGGGCTCAGGAGGGGCCCAGATGGAATGGGGCGAGGACAGCTAGGTTTCGGGAGCTAGGAGTAAGGGAGTGAGACTCCTAGAGCACCTGAGATAGGAGCAGAGCATGAGCGATGGGGAGATCATTTGTACACATTTGGCTGCAGGTTATGAACATCCATCCACATTATGGTGCTATCCCAGGAGTCTGCAGTAGAGTCGGCAGTAGATGGATGGATGGATGGATGGATGGATGGATGGATGGATGGATAGATGGATGGATATAGGTGGATGGATGGATGGATGGATGGATATAGGGGGATGGATGAATATAGGTGGGTGGATGGATGGATGATGGGTGGATAACTGGACGGACGGATGGATGGATGGATGGATGGGGGGATGGATATAGGTGGATGGATGGATGATGGTGGATGGTTAGATGGGTGATGGATGAATGATTGAACAGATGGATGGGTGGATGGATGGATGGATGGATGGATGGATGGATGGATGGTTTGATGGGGGGAGGGATATAGGTGGATGGATGGATGATGGTGGATGGATAGATGGATGATGGATGGATGATTGAACAGATGGATGGATGAATGGATGGATGGATGGTTTGATGGGGGGAGGGATATAGGTGGATGGATGGATGATGGTGAATGGATAGATGGATGATGGATGGGTGATTGAACAGAGGGATGGATGGATGGATGGTTTGATGGGGGGAGGGATATAGGTGGATGGATGGATGATGGTGAATGGATAGATGGATGATGGATGGATGATTGAACAGATGGATGGATGGATGGATGGATGGATGGATGGATGGATGGATCGATGGATGGATGGATGGATGGTTTGATGGGGGGAGGGATATAGGTGGATGGATGGATGATGGTGGATGGATAGGTGGATGATGGATGGATGATTGAACAGATAGGTGGATGGATGGATGGATGGATGAGTGGGTGGGTGGATAATGAAGGGATATACGAATGTATGGGTGGACATGTGGATGGGTTTTCAGGAGCCTAGAGTGTCCAACCATTGCCCCTGTTTTGGGTCAAGAGAATGGCCACCACTCCTTTCATTCCTGTGTCCTCTTTCTCCCTGCTGACTCTAATAGCTCCAGAATGACCAAGGGCAGTAGGAGGGGATGGTCAGGCTTTTCAGCCAGGCTGGGTGTGATACCAGACCAGTAGTTCTTTTCAACTGTCATGAGGTGCTCTTGGTCAATGGGGTAAATGCATTTACATGTTCTTCCACTATAAAAATAATACCCATTTATTACTGGATATTTGGAAATTGCTAATTTGGAAAACTAGAAAGAACAGATAATTTTCCATATTGTCAACATCCAAAGATTTGTATCAATCACAATTCAGTGCATTTCTTTCTGATCTTTTCCTAATCTCTGCATTTTATGTCATCTTCATAGTTTGTAGAATGTTTTGAATATTGGTTGTTTTTTAAAATTTAACATGATTGCATAAACATTTCCCCATGCCTTTAAAAACTTACTGTAGGCTGGGAGCAGTGGCTCAGGCTTGGAATCCCAGCACTTTGGGAGGCCGAGGCAGGAGGATTGCTTAAGCCCAGAAGTTCAAGACCAGCCTGGGCAACATAGGGAGACCCCGTCTCTACAAAATATTTTTTTTTAATTACCTGGGTCTGGTGGCACCCATCTGTGGTCCCAGCTACTCGGGAGGCTGAGGTGGGAGGATCACTTGAGCGAGGGAGGTCAAGGCTGCAGTGAGCCATGATGGTGCCACTGACCTCTAGCCTGGGTGACAAAGGGATGCCCTATCTCAAAATAAATTAATTAATTAATTAATTTTTAAAAATCATCATAAACCTATTTTTTTTTTTTTTTTGAGACAGAGTCTCGCTCTGTCACCCAGGCTGGAATGCAGTGGCGCAATCTCCGCTCACTGCAAACTCCTCCTCCCGGGTTCACACCATTCTCCTGCCTCAGCCTTCCGAATAGCCGGGACTACAGGCGCCCACCACCACGCCTGGCTAATTTTTTGTATTTTTAGTAGAGATGGGGGTTTCACCGTGTTAGCCAGGATGGTCTCGATCTCCTGATCTCGTGATCCGCCCGCCTCAGCCTCCCAAAGTGCTGGGATTACAGGCTTCAGCCACCGCGCCCGGCCCGTAAACCTAATTCTAATGGGTGCATCATATTCCAGAGAGAGGACGTATGAGAATTTCATGATTCACTTTGTTGGGCATTTTCACTGTGGGTATTTCCTGCTGCTCTAAATAGTGCTCTGACAAACAGTGTGGAGATTTTCCTCAATTTCGAGAGACTCCCTGAGTGTGAGTTTCCAGAAGTGGAATCATTGAGTCGACTCACTTCCTGAATGTACAGCCAAGCTGGCCTCCAGAAGTTCTGCAGAGATTTCCACTCCCATCAGGGGAATGAAAGCCTCTGCTGCACAGTGCCCAGTACAAGGGACCCATGTGTACTTACTCGCCTATGATGTGGTGGACTTGAGGGGCCTCTCCGTGCCCAAGAAGCATTTCTATGGCTGTGTTTTGTGGCCCTTGTTCCTGCCACCCCTGGGAACTGTCTCGTGGGCTTGGCTGGGGCTGTGAGCCGGGGAGTGGACGCTGCTTGGATTGAGAAGCCGGCAGCCCCCGGCCTTGGCTCGTGCCTTCCTCATCTGCAAATGGAGAGACCGGGAGGCCATGAGACATCAGCGTGGACAGCGGGCATGGCTGGTGACCTGCCACTGCACTCTCGCCCCTCACAGCCCGCCGTCTGCTGGCAGGGCCGCTCGGGAGCACACGCTGTTCCTGGTGCAAAGCCACTGCTGCCTGTTCCGGGAACAGCAGAAGATCAAACGCCCCGGGCTCCTGGACTTCATTAAAAACGTATTTCTTTCTCTTTGCCCGCAAAAGTTTCCATGTAACCAGGGAAACCTTTTTTAAATTACACACTTCCTCCAACAGCCATGCAGTCTGGGGCCTGAGAATGGACGAGGCCGGGATCTCTCAAGATCTCAGAATCTCTTCCTCCGCTGGAGCCCAGGGCCTCATCGGGGAATGTGCAGCTCAGCTTCCAGATGGGCAGAGATGCCACATGGAAGGAGGGCAAGGGCCAATACCCAGCCGGTCAGAGGGCACCCAGATAGCCCCAGAGTCCCCCAGCCACCGCGAGCCCGGCTAGACAGCTGGGACAGCCCGGGGAAGGTGCCGGGCATGCATTAATCAGCTCATCTCCCCACCGGCTGACACTCTGCCAGGTCCTCTGTGCTTCGATAGAGCTGGGACGGGGGACAGAGAAATAAATCAGGCAAAAATCCTTTGGCCAAGTCACTGTCAGGCTCTGGAGGGGGAGATGGCACCTGAAACATATAATTATATTCACGTCGCTGTTGAAAACACATTTTCTGAGTACTTACTCTGGGTCACTAACTATGCTGGGAGGTTCACATCATAAACATTCTGTGAGCTGGGGACTGAATGTGTCCCAGGCCATGCCTGGCTGAGGCAGACAGAAGCCCAGCGAGGGCCACAGAGTCCACCTGGGGCCTCGGGCCACCAGCAGGAGCCAAAGCCAACCCAGGGTCCCAGGCCACCAACAGGGACCAGAGTCAACCCAGGGTCCCAGAACACCAGCAGGGACCAGAGCCAACCCAGGGTCCCAGAACACCAGCAGGGGCCAGAGCCAACCCAGGGTCCCAGGCCACCAGCAGGGGCCAGAACCAACGCAGGGTCCCAGGCCACCAGCAGGGGCCAGAGCCAACCCAGGGTCCCAGGCCACCAGCAGGGGCCAGAGCCAACACAGGGTCCCAGGCCACCAGCAGGGGCCAGAGTCAACCCAGGGCCCCAGGCCACCAGCAGGGGCCAGAGCCAACCCAGGGTCCCAGAACACCAGCAGGGGCCAAACCAAGACTAGGCTGCTCAGCCTGCCTGGCTCCATGATACTGCAATGGGGGCAAGCAGGAGGCCCGGGAGTTCCCTCAGGGTCACAAAGGCGCCCCCCTCCCCGAGCACTGGGATGGGGTCAGCCAGGAAACAGAACACAGTGCCTGTCCCAGGGCCGGGGAGGAGGGAGGAGGGGAGGAGGGGGTTGGGCAGAGCCAGCTCCGTGGACAGCCTGTGCAGGAAACAGCTGAGGGAAGCTGGGGCGAGATGGGAGCAGTATCGCCTCCACAGCCCACCCTCCCGTGGGAGCCAGGGCCAGGGCGGCGCTGCCACTGCTGAGGTTGGAACCACAGTGGCTGAGGCCACAATCCAGCTCTGGGTCTGCCAGCTCCCACCAGCCATCACTGCCAGAGCCCAGGGACCTCTCCTGTAGTGTAGGACTGTGGATTCCTGCCCCCGAGTGTCATGGAGATTCCAGGTCCCAGAGGACAAGACAAAGCCAGGAGATGTTGTTTCTCCCAAGACTGGGGGCAATTCTCGGACCTGGAGCTGAGTCAGCCCCATTCACCTGCTCACCAAGGGGACTGTGGCCAACGCCTGGGCAGTTGACAGTGACCAGCAAACGAGTGAATGGAGGAAAAAGGGAATGCTCGAGTGAATGAGAGGAGGCAGAGCCCTGACCAGACTCTGGGAGCCCCAGGTCTGGCCGGTTCACAGCCTCACTGGAGGCCTGCTGCAGGCCAGGAACACGGCGAGGCAGCAGCCGGGGGGTATGGAGGGCAGAGAGACTGCAAGCCTCTCCCGGGGGTGGCTGTGTTCCTGTGGCCGCTCCCAGAGGATGAGACGGAGATTTCTAGACAGAAGAGATGGTGGAGGACACAAAAATACAATTCCTGCCCCATGGAAGTACCGAGGCCAGCTTCTAAAGAAAAGGGGGTGAAAACTGACGGGATTTCTTTCCTAACTGACTTCTGTATGTTCCAGATTCTTTTTCCAACCTTGGTTCAATTCTGAACTGAATCCTCAAGTCCCTGGCCTCCAGGAACCCAGCTCCTAGGCCAACAGACCAGCGGAGGCAGCAGACAGCAGGACAAACAGGGCGGACAAGAAAGATCTTTCTTCAACCTCAATCCCAGAATGAACGCTCAGGCAACTGCTGGGAGTAGTGAGCCCACCATCTCTAGAAGCAATCAAGTTGCTCTTGGATGCCCAATAGCCAAGAAGCCCAGGAAAGAATCTATAAGTGAAGGGGGGTGTTATTATATCAAGGTTTACCCCAAGGCCCCTCATCAGGAAGCCCCATAGGAATGGTGCTATGTCCAGGGTTCAGAGCCACCCAAGTCCTCCAGACAGACCAGAGGGGGGTGCCCCAGGAGCCCTCTAGGTTCCAGAGAGCAGCAAGAAAGGGCTAAGCACCTGCTATATGCTGGGCACTGTGCCAGCCAGGAGTTTTCTCTCATATTATCTCAAATCATCTCAATATGCTGCAAAGTATGTATTTCTGTACCTTTTTTTTTTTAGACGTAGGCTTGCTCTGTCACCCAGGCTGGAGTGCAGTGGCACGATCTCGGCTCACTGAAACCTCCGCCTCCTGGATTCAAGCGATTCTCCTGCCTCAGTCTCCTGAGTAGCTGGGATGACAGGTGCCCACCACCACGCCCAGCTAATTTTTTTGTATTTTTAGTAGAGCCGTGGTTTCACCATGTTGGCCAGGCTGGTCTCAAACTCCTGGCCTCCAGTGATCTGCCTGCCTCGACCTCCCAGAGTGCTGAGATTCACAGGCGTGAGCCACGGCGCCCGGCCTCTGTCCCCATTTGACAGATGAGGAAACTGAGAGTCAGGGAGGTAAAAGGCTTGCCTGAAATCACACAGCTCCCTGGGAGCAGAGCCAGGATACGGAGCCAGAATTGGCTGGCCCACAGCCTAGGGCCAGCGCTCCCCTTCAGCTGTCATTCAACCCCTAAGTATTTATGAGTGCTTGCCACGTGCTACGTCTTGGTCTGGGGTTTGGGTCATAATCCCTAATGACTGTTTTGAGTACCATAATCCTGAATGCTGAAATCCCAAAAGATCAAAATCCCTAAAGTCTAAATCCCTAAAGTCTAAAATTCCTAACATCTAATTGACTCCTCCAGTCATGACAGATTTGGGATTAGAGGTGATCAAGGCTTCTAAAAGCGAATGGCAAGGTGTTACCAATAAAGTTTGTTTTTTCCATTCAGCCTAAGGCATTTGGTGGAAAATGCAGACAACTGGATGGGCCATTTGATACAGCAGCCACAAAAACTTCAGCTTAAAAGTGTGTCTTTGGCCCAGCGCGGTGGCTCACGTCTGTAATCCCAGCACTTGCGGAGGCCGAGGCAGGAAGATCACCTGAGTTCAGGTGTTCAAGACCAGTCTGGCCAATGTGATGAAACCCCATCTCTACTAAAAATCCAAAAAGTAGCCAGACATGGTGGCAGGCGTCTATAATCCCAGCTACTCAGGAGGCTGAGGCAGGAGAATCGCTTGAACCTGGGAGGCAGAGGTTGCAATGAGCTGAGATCACACCACTGCACTCCAGCCTGGGTGACAGAGCAAGACTCTGTCTCAAAAAAAAAAAAAAAAAAAGGTCATTTGCCTGCCTTGGCATTCCTTCCAGCTGACAATATTCTAGGAGCTTTCATGTATTTATTTTTTTCTATTTCTAGTTTTTCTTTTTTTCTTTTTATTTTTCTTTTCTCATGCCTCGGAGAGCTTTTAAAGAAATACAGCCACATTTGCCTGAAGAAGCCACTGAAGTTTCTGACTGGTTTGAATATAATTATGTGCACGTAGGATAGGAAGACACGTACAGCTGGCTGGGCGTGGTGGCTCACACCTGTAATCCCAGCATTTTGAGAGGCCAAGGCTGGCAGATCACTTGAGGTCAGAAGTTCGAGACCAGCCTGGCCAACAAGGTGAAACCTCGTCTCTACTAAAAATACAAAAATTAGCTGGGCATGGTGTCGGGCACCTGTCACCCCAGCTACTCAGGCGGCTGAGGCAAGAGAATAACTTGAACCCAGGAGGCGGAGGATGCAGTGGGCTGAGATTGCGCCGCTGCACTCCAGCCTAGGCAGTACTGTGACCACCAAATCTGTGGTCTGCATGTGAGTGCATGTGGAATGATAGAATGCCCATGTCGGTGTATGTCAAATGATAGAAAACTTTCATAAAGAGCAGAGCCATGTAGAAAATGAACATGAACATATTCTCACAGGAGAGGTATGCTCTTAATAAAAAAGAAAAAAAAAAAAAGCAGCCGGGCGTGGTGGCTCACGCCTGTAACCCCAGCACTTTGGGAGGCCAAGGCGGGTGGATCACGAGGTCAGGAGCTCAAAACCAGCCTGGCCAATATGGTGAAACCCCGTCTCTACTAAAAATACAAGAATTAGCTGGGGGTGGTGGCGGTAGCCTGTAGTCCCAGTTGCTCGGGAGGCTGAGGCAGGAGAATCGCTCGAACTCGGGAGGCGAAGTTTGCAACGAGCTGAAATCGCGCCACTGCACTCTAGCCTGGGTGACAGAGTGAGACTCCATCTCAAAAGAAAAAAAAAAAGCAGCTACTCATCGAGATGCAAGACTTCAAACTATAGTTAATAACAATGAAAGTTGGCCAGCTCTTATGGACTGTCTCTGAGTAATAGCCCATAGTCTATCCGAGTAATACATTTTTTCATATCGAGTCGTCTTTTTGGTTTGTTAGTTTTCTTTTTTCTTTTCTTTTTCTTTGTTTAGGTTTTCTTTTCACTCACTCTTTTAAACTAGCAGCATTGTTTTTTTACAATTTGTTATGCTATGGATTTAATCTTTGCATCATTTCCAATCCTGGAAGTATAAATTGCATGGAGACTTTTAGAGAGTTCTAATTCATTTTTTGCATCTTTTGCAAATTTGACTCCACAAAAGTGCATTATCACAGCGTTGACTTTGTGTGTAAGCACTGTGTGTGTGTGTGTGTGTGTTATATAAAAATGTTGAAACTTCCTCAATGAAGTGACGTCCTTTTTGTCCATCTGCACTTGGAAAAGGTAAAGTTTCTCCAGATCTCAGCTCTCTGGGTGAGTGCACAGGCACTGGTGGCCCATCACAGATTTTGAACGGTCTTATCAAAAGACTTAGGTTGCTCATCCAGGTATTCCAGATGACTGCGGTTATAAAGCTGGGTGCACATAATTACCCACCATAGTATTATTTGTTAGTACATTTTCCTTTTCCTTTCTTTTTTTGAGACAGAGTCTCACTCTGTCACCCAGGCTGGAGTGCAGTGGCATGAGCTCAGCTCACTGCAGTCTCTGCCTCCCAGGTTCAAGCGATTCTCCTGCCTCAGCCTCCCGAGTAGCTGGGATTATAGGAATGCGCCACCATGGCAGGCTACTTTTTTTGTATTTTTAGTACAGACGGGGTTGCACTATGTTGTCCAGGCTGGTCTCGAACTCCTGACCTCAAGTGATCCACTCGCCTCAACCTCCCAAAGTGCTGGGATTACAGGTGAGCCACCACTCCCAGCTGAATAGCCTGCTATTGACTGAAAGCCTTACTGATAACAGAAACAGTTAATTAACACATATTTTGTATGTTGTGTGTATTACACACTGTATTCTTACAATAAAGGAAGCTAGAGAGAAGTAAATGTTTTAAGAAAACCATAAATAAGAGAAAATGTATTTACAATTCATTAAGTGGAAGTGGGTCACCATAAAGGTCTCCATCCTTGTCATCTTCATGTTCAGCAGGCTGAGGAGCAGGAAGAAGAGGAGGTGTTGGTCTTGCTGTCTCAGGGATGGCAGAGGTGAAAGAAAATGCAAGTATAAGTGGATCCAAGCAGTTCAAGTCCATGTTGTTCAAGGACCAACTGTAAAGTCACATTCAGTTTCCAGGTGGCCAGGAATTTTTGGAGGATGAAAGTCAACACAGTATAAGTAAACAGCCTGGAACTATGGAGCTACTTTTTCTCTGCAGAGTAAACAGCAGGCACGCTCACCACCTGCTATAAAAGATTCAGGTTCTCTGAGCTCAAGGCTCCTCTTCTACACAATCCCCTGAATACAAAGCTGCCATTGAGCCCTATTTGTGTTATTCTTGGAACTGGCCCATAAAAATGCAGATACTCTGGCTCCCGCTGCTGCTGTGGGTCATGAACTGTTTCTTGTTTCTGACCCAGGAGTCTCATATCTTCTGCCAGAATTTACGGAACGGAGGCAGGCTCTTTTCTTACCTTGCAAATAGGGTATAATCTCATGTCCTTCACAGTTCTTGGCGAGTAGGACCTGTGGCTAAGGGAATGGCTTCGTGACTTACAGAGGAGGAGAGTGTGAGAATCGTGGAGGCGAAACTCTAGGAGGAAAGAGAAGACAGGCAGCGAGGAGGAGTGGCAAGAGCTGTCTGGGAGGCTCTGAGGAGGGGACGAGGTCAGGGAGGGAGACGCTAAGGGGGCGTTGTCCCTGCTGGCCGTGTGGTGGGTGTGCAGAGCCCCTCCTGGCCTGGCCCACAGATCCTCAGCGGAGCTCATCCTGCTCACTGACGGTTTGTGCAGGGGACTGGGGGTGACCCTGAGAGGGGATGGGATCTGCTAACAGGTTGGCATGGGCATGTGGGCAGGCAAGATGAGGGTGAGTGCCAGGGCCAGGGAAGAGCTGGTATCCCGCTGACATCCCACAGCTCATCTGATGGTTCCGTTAAAACTGAGGTGGGCCCAGAGCCCTGCCTGCTCCCTCCCCCAATGCCAGGGGCCCCTTCAGGATCCCCAGAGCTCCAGAGGCATGATTAGGAGATATCTGGACCCGACGACCTCGGTCTGACCTTGATGTTGAGGTTTTGGCGGTTAACCCCCTTGGGGGCAGAAAGGGTGGCTGCTCTGAGCCCGCCTCCCCATTTCCTTACAGGCTTCATAGAGTCGTTGAGTTTGACCCCAGCCAGGCTAATGGGTGCAAAATGCTTGGACGAATGGTCAACCTGGAAGATGGAAAACTGCTGCCAGGAGCAGTGATGGCTTCATGTAGAGCAAGGGCTTCGCAGTCGGCAGCTGCAGGTTCTAATGCTGCCTCTGCGAACCTCAGTTACCACGCTTTTGAAATGGGTCCATGGAGCGGCAGGGCTCAGTGGTGGAACCGGTTTTCAAAACTTAAGAAGCTGGACTGTCAGGCCGGACATGGGGGCCCACACCTGTAATCCCAGCACTTTGGGAGGCCGAGGTGGGCGGATCACGAGGTCAGGAGTTCAAGACTGGCCTGGCAAGCATGGTGAAACCCCGCCTCTACTAAAAATACAAAAAATTAGCCAGGCATGATGGCACCTGCCTATAATCCCAGCTGCTCAGGAAGCTGAGGCAGGAGAATTATTTGAACCCCGCAGGCAGAGGTTGCAGTGAGCCGAGATGTCGCCATTGCACTCCGGCCTGGGCGACAGGGCGAGACTCGGTCTCAAAAAAAAAAAAAAAAAAAAGAAGCTAGACTGTCTAGGCCCGACCCTCTCAGCTGACAGTGCAGAGAAGGGCAGGGCTTTCTCAAAGCCAAGTGAGTTAGAAGCAGTTAGTCAGGGTTAGCTCCAGCCTGAGAGTGGCCCCCGAGCTAATCACCAGTTTCTACCAATCAAAGTGAGGTCAGACCAGCAGATGGGGGAGGGGGAGGGGGAGGTGGCGGCAGAGCAGGGCCCAGCAGTGCAGGTGGGGCAGGGAAATGGGGAGCAAGCTGATTTTAAGCAAGCAGCATCCTTCAACCACCTCCCCCAGGTCTCCTGTCTGATCACAGTTGGAACTCCCAGCCCTGGAGACTACATCATTTCCTCTGATAGATTCCCATCATAGTCAATTTTTTTTTTTTTTTTTTTTGAGACAGAGTCTCACTCTGTCGCCCAGGCTGGAGTGCAATGGCGAGATCTCGGCTCACTGCAACCCCTGCCTCCCAGGTTCAAGCGATTTTCCCACCTCAGCCTCCCGAGTAGCTGGGATTACAGGCACCCACCACCACGCCTGGCTAATTTGGATATTTTTAGTAGAGACCGGGTTTCACCATGTTGACTAGGCTGGTCTCAAATTTCTGACCTCAAGTGATCTGCCTGCCTTGACCTCCTAAAATGCTGGGATTACAGTTATGAGGGTATGAGCCACAGCACCTGGCCAGTTTTTTTTTTTTTTTTTTTAGAGACAGAGTCTTGGCTCTGTCACCCAGGCTGGAGTGTAATGGCGTTATCACAGCTCATTCCAGCCTCAAACTCCTGGGTTTCAAGCAGTCCTCCCACCTCAACCTCCCGTGTAGCTGGGACTACAGGCATGCATCACCACTCCCAGCTTTTTTATTATTATATTATTTGTAGAGATGGGGTTTCACCATGTTGCCCAGGCTGGTCTTAAATTCCTGGCCTCAAGCCATCCTCCTGCCTTGGCTTCCCAAAGTGCTGGGATTACAGGCAGGAACCACGGCCCCTGGCCCCTCATCATAGTCTTAAGTGTCGTTGTTGCCTTCAAAAACCTGTTGAAAAGGGGCTACCTCTTCCACAGAGAGGGCAGGGAACCCTGTATCTAGCTCCCTGAACTGGCACATGTGAAGCAGTATGGATTTGTGATGCTGGGCTGGTGCCAGGACTCACCTGTTCATTCTACCTTTGCCCACCGAGTGCCCACCAGGTGCCAGCCCCTGCCCCAAGGCTCTGTGGCCAGAGTCTGATTTCATCCCTGTGACAAATGTTCAGGGTAGATAACATTAGTCTATTTTACAAGTTATCTTTTTTTTTTTTTAGATGGAGTCTCACTCTGTCACCCAGGCTAGAGTGCAGTGGCACGATCTCAGCTCACTGCAACCTCTGCCTCCCAGGCTCAAGCGATTCTCCCACCTCAGCCTCCTGAGTAGCTGGGATTACAGACACGCATCATCACACTGGGCTAATTCTTGTATTTTTAGTAGAGACGGGGTTTCACCATATTGGCCAGGCTGGTCTCGAACTCCTGACCTCAACTGATCCACCCACCTTGTCCTCCCAAAGTGCTGGGATTACAGGTGTGAGCCACTGGGCCCGGCTTAGTCTGTTTTACAAGTAAGGAGCCCGAGGCCGAGAGAGACAGGTCTGCAGCTAGAAGGTGGCCATGTAGGCAAGTGGGGAAGGAAGGAATGAAGGAAGGAGGGAGAGAAGGAGGAGACAGGCAGGGCTCCAGTCCCAGGGATGGGAAACAAGGGCAGCGTCCTCACCAGGTTCAGTCCCAGTTGTAAGAGGCTCAAGAAAGGGGAGGACCTCAGAGGGCAGGGCGGGGCTGCAGCAAGTCACACACAGAGCAGAAGTGCTGTGTCTGCTTTTCCAGGAGGACAGCTGCAGCCTCAGATCCCCCAATTACTCAGAGGGGCCAATCCTACCCCTGGCTCACGCAGGTGGGGACCTCGGCCCCAGACCTCAGGCTGCACCCCACCCTCCCCCACTTAACATCCTCCTGACTGGCTTTCTGCTGATGGCTAGGAGGTTGTTCCCATCTGAGCCCAGGCCTCTCACTAATGCTGCTGACCCAAGGTTCATGGGGGTCCCCAGCCTCCAGCCTGGGGGAGCGGCCACCAGGGCCAAGACTGGCTGACTCAGTGGACATCTCAGGCCAGGCCTTCCTAGTCTGTGCTCCCTCATCCAATCCTCCCAGCTTTTCAGGAAGTAAACATCACTCCTCCCATCCCGGAATCGGGGGGAAATCCTGAGCCCAGAGACGTGGCATGACTTGCTTTAGACTGCAGGGAGAGAGACAGGCAGACGAGAAGTGGACACCCATTTGTGCCGTGATTCCTCCCCCAGGAATCTTTCTGCTACTCTGCTTGGCCTTTCGTGGTAAACAACTGGGCGTGTGAGCGAGCGGCGGCGTGCACGCCAGAGACAGATGGATACAGTGAGTGTGCTAAGCCCCAGGCAGCCCAGGCACTGAACACCCAGATAAAGCTGCCAGGCCGCCTTCTTCCTTCTCCGGGAGAACAGGAGTCAGTGGCCCAGGGACAGGAGCTGGACCAGAAGGGCTTTGGAAAGCCTCTGAAGGGAGGCCACGAAAGGATGGAGGCAGAGAAGGAAGGACCCTGTGGGGAGTGGTGCCCACAGAACACCGCCTCCATCGAGGGCTGAGTAAGGAGAAGCATGTTGTTTGAATTAGAACGCTAATATGGGACAGACGTGGTGGCTCATGCCTGTGATTGCAGCACTTTGGGAGGCCAAGGCAGGCAGATTGCTTGAGCTCAGGAGTTGGAGACCAGCCTAGGCAACATAGAGAGACCTCATCTCTACAAAGAAAAAAGTTAGCCAGGCATGGTGGCACACGCCTGTAGTCCCAGCTACTTGAGAGGCTGAGGTGGGAGGGAGGATCACTTGGGCCTGGGAGGTAGAGACAGCAGTGAGCCATGATCATGCCACTGCACTTCAACCTGAGTGACATAGTGAGACAACGTCTCAAAAAAAAAATTCAACAAATATTAGTCTTAGATAGAAGACAGGGCCAGGTGCGGTGGCTCACGCTTATAATCCCAGCACTTTGGGAGGTGGAGAGGGGTGGATCAGCTGAGGTCAGGAGTTCAAGACCAGCCTGGCCAACATGGTGAAACCCCATCTTTACTAAAAATACAAAAATTAGCCAGGCATCATGGCACATGCCTGTAATCCCAGCTACTCTGGAGGCTGAGGTAGGAGAATCACTTGAAACCGGGAGGTGGAGGTTGCAGTAAGCCGAGATCGCACCATTGCACTCCAGCCTGGGCGACAGAACAAGACTCTATCTCAAAAAAAAAAAAAAAGAAAGAAAGAAAGATAGAAGACAGAAAAACAAATGAAAAAATGTGAAAATAATTACTAAAAATGTTTCAAATGTAATTATCCACAATGCAAGTTTGCATCTAGCAAAAACATCAGCCCATGGATGTAAGAAGTTTAGAAAAATTCAAATAATAAATACAAAGCAACCAACATAGACATATTTTAGCTAAGCTGCTGAAAAACCAAATCTAAGGAGAAAGTCTTAAAGGCAGCTAGACAGAAACGGCATATAACATACAGGAGAATAGCAACAAAAATGACAGCTTACTACTCATCAGAAACAAGAGAATCCAGAAGACAATGGAACAATATCTTTAAAGCACTGCAGGGGGTGGGGACAGCAGGGGACTGTCAGACTGGAATTTTAGATCCAGCAAAAATGTCCTTTAAAAATACTGGCAGCCTGGGCGCAGTGGCTCACACCTGTAATCTCAGCACTCTAGGAGACTGGCGCAGGAGGATTGCTTGACGGCAGGAATTTGAGGTTACAGTGAGCTATGATTGCACTGCTGCATTCCAGCCTGGGTGAAAAAGCAAGACCCTATCTCAAAAATGAATACGTTAATTAATTAAAAATAAAGGTAAACTAAAGTCATTTCTGGTTAAATACAAGCTAACTTCTTCACTACCAGGTGTAAACTAAAAGAACTTCTAGAGGGGCCAGGCACGGTGGCTCATGCCTGTAATCCCAGCACTTTGGGATGCCGAGGTGGGCAGATCACTTGAGTCCAGGAGTTCGAGACCAGCCTGGCCAACATGGTGAGACCCTGTCTCTACTAAAAATACAAAAATTACCCAAGCATGGTGGCACATGCCTGTAATCCCAGCTACTCAGGAGGCTGTGGCAGGAAAATCGCTTGAACCCAGGAGGTGGAGGTTACAGTGAGCAGAAATCACACCATTGCACTTTAGCCTAGGCGACAGAGTGAAAGCCTCTCTCAAAAAAAAATTTAAAAAAAAGGAACTTCTAGAGGAACTTCAAGAACTTCTAGAGGGCTGAAGGAAAATTATGCAAGATGAAAACTCAGATATAGAAAAAGGGATGAAGAGCAATGGAAATAAGTATATGGATACATATAGAATACTATTTTCTTCTTTTCAATTTCTTTAAAAGACAATTGACTATATAAAGCAAAATAATAACAATGTATTGTGGGGGTTATAATATATTTTCAGGTAAAATATATAACAAAACAATAACACAAAGGATGAAGGAATTAGAGGATGATGTTGTAAGGTTCTCACATTTTCTATTAATTCAGGGTAATCTGTGATGAGTTAAAAATACACATTGCCAGCCAGGCACAGTGGCTCACACCTGTAATCCCAGCACTTTGGGAGGCCGAGGCTGGCGATCACGAAGTCAGGAGTTCGAGACCAGCCAGGCCAACATAGTGAAACCCTGTCTCTATTTAAAAATACAAAAAATTAGCTGGGCATGGTGGCGGGCACCTGTAATCCCAGCTACTCGGGAGTCTGAGGCAGAAGAATCTCTTGAACCCAGGAGGTGGAGGTTACAGGGAGCCAAGATCGCGCCATTGCACTCCAGCCTGGGCAACAGTGCAAGACTCTGTCTCAAAAAAAAAAAAATACACATTGCCTTTTCCCTCCACGATTTCTCTCTACTCCCGTGAGTTACTTGACTCTGGGGGCTCTGTTTGTCTGCCTGCAAGCTACACATTTCCCAGGACCACACCGCTGGCCTCTGCCACGAGCAGACTCCTTCTGATGGCCCTACTGCACAGGCGGGAACATCCTTCCCCCATCTTCAGAAAGTTTGAAGAGTGGAGAAGAGGGGAACGTGAACATGAGGAGGAGACTCCACGTGGAGCTGAAATACCAGACCCCACCCGCTGTTCTAAAACTTGTCTTGGACAATTGCCAATCAAGTGATGGAAAAATTGAGGGCTTTACAGTTGAATTTGTGAACTTAGAGTTCCTTCATTTAATAACTGCAGGCTTGATTTCATTTTCAAATCTCCCCTGGCTGCCATGACAATAGAGTCTTTGGAGATCTGGACATGTTAGAAACTCACACATCTAAACTTGGATGGAAATACACTGAAAGATATCAGAACTTTAGAACCTTTGAAAAAGTTGGAACGTCTAAAGAGCCTGGACCTCTTAAACCGTGAGGTTACTAGCCTGAATGAAGACTGGGAGAGGGTCTTCAAGCTCCTGCCCCAGCTGACCTACCTTGATCACTATGACCAAGAGGACCAGGAAGCCCCCAACTCAGATGCTGAGGGGGATGATGTAGATGATGAAGAGGAGGATGAAGAAGGAGGAAACAAGGAAAATGAGGAGGATAAGGATAGTGAAGAGGAAGAGTTTGATGGCGACGAGGATGAAGATGAAAGTGAAGATGTAGACTATGAAGAAGGTGAATATGAAAGTGAAGATGTAGACTGTGAAGAAGATGAAAATGAAAGTGAAGATGTAGACTGAAGAAGGTGAAGATGAAAGTGAAGATGCAGACTGTAAAGAAGGTGATGATGAAAGTGAAGATGTAGACTGTGAAGAAGGTGAAGATGAAAGTGAAGATGTAGACTGTAAAGAAGGTGATGATGAAAGTGAAGATGTAGACTGTGAAGAAGGTGAAGATGAAAGTGAAGATGTAGACGGTGAAGAAGGTGATGATGAAAGTGAAGATGTAGACTGTGAAGAAGGTGAAGATGAAAGTGAAGATGTAGACGGTGAAGAAGGTGATGATGAAAGTGAAGATGTAGACTGTGAAGAAGGTGAAGATGAAAGTGAAGATGTAGACTGTGAAGAAGGTGAATATGAAAGTGAAGATGTAGACTGTGAAGAAGATGAAAATGAAAGTGAAGATGTAGACTGAAGAAGGTGAAGATGAAAGTGAAGATGTAGACTGTGAAGAAGGTGAAGATGAAAGTGAAGATGTAGACTGTGAAGAAGGTGAAGATGAAAGTGAAGATGTAGACTGTGAAGAAGGTGAAGATGAAAGTGAGGATGTAGACTGTGAAGAAGGTGATGACGAAAGTGAAGATGTAGACTATGAAGAAGGTGAAGGTGAAAGTGAAGATGTAGACTGTGAAGAAGGTAAGATGAAAGTGAAGATGTAGACTGTGAAGAAGGTGAAGATGAAAGTGAAGATGTAGATTGTAAAGAAGGTGATGATGAAAGTGAAGATGTAGACTGTGAAGAAGGTGAAGATGAAAGTGAAGATGTAGACTGAAGAAGGTGAAGATGAAAGTGAAGATGTAGACTGTAAAGAAGGTGATGACGAAAGTGAAGATGTAGACTGTGAAGAAGGTGAAGATGAAGTCAGTGAGGAGGAAGAAGAATTTGGACATGATGAAGGGGTCAATGAAGATGAATATAAAATACGTAACAGATGGTGGGCCTAAACCCAACTATATCAGTAACTACATTAAATGTAAATGGAATAAATGCTCCAATTAAAAGGTGGTGATTGACTGAGTGCAGTGGCTCATGCCTATAATTGCAGCACTTTGGGAGGCCAAGGCGGGTGGATCACCTGAGGCCAGAAGTTTGAGACCAGCCTGGCCAACATAGTGAAACGCCATCTCTACTAAACATACAAACAAAATGGCTAGGCACGGTGGCTCACACCTGTAATCCCAACACTTTGGGAGGCCAAGGCAGGTGGATCACTAAGTCAGAAGTTTGAGACCAGCCTGGCCAACATGGTGAAACCCCGTCTCTACTAAAAATACAAAAATTAGCCAGGCCTGGTGGTACATGCCTGTAATCCCAGCTACTCAGGAGGCTGAGGCAGAAGAATCGCTTGAAACCGGAAGGAGGAGGTTGCAGTGAGCCAAGATTGCGCCACTGCACTCAAGCCTGGAAAACAAGAGCGAAACTCCATCTCAAAAAAAAAAAAATTAGCCGGGTGTGGTGGTGGACGCCTGTAACCCCAGCAACTCCTACTAAGGCAGGGGAATCACTTGAACCCAGGAGGTTGAGGTTGCAGTGAGTGGAGATTGTGCCACTGCACTCCAGTCTGGACAGCAAGAGCAAGACTCTGTCTCAAAAAAAAAAAAAAAAAAAAAAAAGAACAAGCTCAATAATTGAAAGAAGGTATAAAAGACCAGGTCCAGTGGCTCACACCTATAATCCCAGCACTTTGGGAGACCAAGGCCAGGAGTTAGAGACCAGCCTGGCCAACATGGCAAAACCTCATCTCTGCTAAAAATACAAAAATTAGCCGAGCCTGGTGGTGGATGCCTGTAATCCCAGCTATTCAGGAGGCTGAGACATGAGAATCACTTGAACTTGGGAGGAAGAGTTTGCAGTGAGCTGCTATCCCACCACTGCACTCCAGCCTGGGTGACAGAGCAAGACTCTGTCTCAAAAAAATATAAAAGAAGCTATAAAAATAAAATAGGCCAGGCGTGGTGGCTCACGCCTAAAATCCCAGCAATTTGGGAGGCCGAGGGGGGCAGATCACGAGGTCAGGAGATTGAAACCATCCTGGCTAACACGGTGAAACACTGTCTCTAATAAAAATACAAAAAATTAGCCAGGCATGGTGGCAGGTGCCTGTAGTCCCAGCTGCTTGGGAGGCTGAGGCAGGAGAATGGCGTGAACTCGGGAGGCAGAGCTTGCGGTGAGCCGAGATCGCGCCACTGCACTCCATCCTGGGCGACAGAGCAAGACTCCATCTCAAAAATAAATAAATAAAATAAATAAAAATAAAAATAAAATAAAATTGAGGCAGGAGGATCACTTGAGCCCAGAAGCTCAAGACCAGCCTGGGCAACATAGTGGGACCCTGTTTCTACAAAAACATTAAAACATTAGCCAGGTGTGATGGGGTACACCTGTAGTCCCAGCTCTTTGGAAGGATGAGATGGGAGGATCACTTGAGCCCAGGAGGTAGAGGCTGCAATGAGCCATGACCACACCACTGGATTCCAGCCTGGGTGACAGAGTTGAGACCTTGTCTCAAAAAAATAAATAAATAAAAATAAAAATTAGGCCAGGCACAGCAGCTCACATTTATAGTCCCAGCATTTTGGGAGGCTGAGGCAGCAGATTGCTTGAGCCCAGGAGTTCAAGATCAGCCTGGGGAACACGACAAAAACCTGTCTCTACCAAAAATACAAAAAAGTAGGCAGGTGTGGTGGCACATGCCTGTAGTCCCAGCTACTTGGGAGGCTGAGGTGGGTGGATGGCTTGAGCCCAGGAGGTTAAGGCTGCAGTGAGCTGTGATCATGCCATTGCACTCCAACCTGGGCAACAGAGCAAGATTCTGTCTCAAAAAAAAAATAAATAAATAATTTGAATTTAAATTACATTAAATTAAACCCAATATAAGCAGAAGGATGGAAATAAAGATGAGAGAAAATGAATAAAATTACAAACAAAAAGATAGAGAAAATTGTGACAAAACCATGGCCCCTCAAAGATGTCCATGTCCTAATCTCTAGAGTCTGTCAACATGTTACGATTCATGGCAAAGAGGTATTAAGATTGCAGGTTAAATTAAGGCTGCTAAAATAGGGAGATCGTCCTGAATTATTCAGGTGGGCCCAACGTAATCACAAGGTTCTTAAAAGTGGAAGTAGAGGCCGGGTGCGGTGGCTCATGCCTGTAATCCCAGCACTTTGGGAGGCTAAAGCAAGTGGATCATTTGAGGTCAGGAGTTCGAGACCAGCCTGGCCAACATGGTGAAACCTCGTCTCTACTAAAAATACAAAAAAAAAAAAAACAATAGCATGCCTGTAATCCCGGCTACTGGGGGAGACTGAGACAGGAGAATC
The DNA here is from genome assembly GCF_000001405.40 of Homo sapiens. Classification (NCBI taxonomy): domain Eukaryota; kingdom Metazoa; phylum Chordata; class Mammalia; order Primates; family Hominidae; genus Homo; species Homo sapiens. Next base: position 44,655,784 of record NC_000022.11, read on the forward strand.
ACTTGAACCCAGAAGATGGAGGTTGCACGGAGCTGAGATCGCGCCACTGAACACTCCAGCCTGGGCAACAAAACAAGACTCTTCTCAAAAAAAAAAAAAAAAAAAGTAGAAATAGAGGCAGAAGAGGGCAATGATGAGATGTAAGAAAGATTCAGCTCACCATTGCTGGCTGTGAAGATGGAGGGAAGGGCACATGAACCAAGAAACGTGGGCAGCCTCTAAAAGCTGAAAAAGACAGGGGAGGGATTCTCTCTGAGAGCCTCCAGAAAGGGACACAGCCCTGCAAACATCTTGATTTGAGCCAGTGAGGCCCATGTTAGACTTCTAACCTTCAAAACCATAGATAATAAATTTCTGTTGATTGAAGCTATTAAGTTTGTAGTTCTATGTTACAGCAGCAATAGTAAACTAATACAAAAATGAACAAAACCCAATTGTTGGTTCTTTGGCTTTTTGAAAAGATTAACAAAATAACTAAAAACCTGATAACATTGTCCAAGAAAAAGAGAGAAAACACAAATTAACAATACTGGGAAAGAAAGAGGGGATATCATTACAGATTCTACAGACATTAAGAAGATAATAGGGGAGGCTAGGCACAGTGGCTCACACATGTAATCCCAGCACTTTGGGAGGCCAAGGCAGGTGACCTCACCTGAGGTCAGGAGTCCAAGACCACCCTGACCAACATGATGAAATCCCGTCTTTACTAAAAATACCAAAACATTAGCTGGGTGTGGTGGCGGGTGCCTGTAATCCTAGCTACTTGGGAGGCTGAAGCAGGAGAATTGCTTAAACCCAGGAGGCAGAGGTTGCAGTGAGCCAAGATCACACCACTGCACTCCAGCCTAGGCAGAAGAGTGAGACTCTGTCTTAAAAAAAATAAAATAAAATAAAAATAAAAATAAATTTAAAAAAGATAATAGGGGAACATTATGAACAACTTTACAGCAATAAATTTGACAACACATGTGAAATTAATAAATTTGACAACACATGTGAAATTAATAAATTCCACAACACGTGTGAAATTAATAAATTCCTTGAAAAACATAACTTACCAAATCTGACACAGGAGAAACTAAAAAAATCTGAAGAGCCTTATATTTAGTAAGGAAATTTAGATTTGTAATTAAAACTACCTCACAAAGAAAACTTCAGGTTCTAATGGCTTTTCCAGAACACTTTTTTTTTTTTTTTTTTTTTTTTGAGATAGAGTCTCACTCTGTCACCCATACTGGAGTACAGTGGTGTGATGTCGGCTCACTGCAGCCTTTGCCTCCTGGTTCAAGCGATTCTCCTGCCTCAACCTCCGGAGTAGCTGGGATTACAGATGTGCACTACCACACCTGGCTAATTTTTGTATTTTTAGTAGAGATGGGGTTTCACCATGATGGCCAGGTTGGTCTCGAACTCCTGACGTTAAGCAATCCATTTGCCTTACCCTCCCAAAGTGCTGGGATTACAGGCATGAGCCACCACGCCCAGCCTCTAGCACATATTTAAGGAAGAAATAATGTAACCAGTCTTATGGAAACAAGAAAGCAAGAAGGAGAGAAGGAAGGAAGGAGGGAAGGAAGGAAGGAAGGAGGGAAGGAAGGAAAGAAGGAAGGAAGGAAGGAAGGGAGGGAGGGAGGGAGGGAGGGAGGGAGGGGAAGGGAAGGGAGGGGAGGGGAGGGAGGAAGGGATGGAGGGGAGAGAGAGAAGGGAAGGGGAGGGGAGGGGAGAAAGAAAGAAAATTACAGACCAGTATCCCTCAACATATCCTCAACATGATTGTAGCCCATGGAATCCCCCAATATATACAAAGGGTGAAGAATCCTGGCCAAATGCGATTTCTCCCAGAAATGTAAGGTTACTTGAATATTTGAAATCAATCTGTGTGATTTGCCTCATTGATAGAATAAACAATTGATTTCAGGTCGGGCTTGGTGGCTCACGCCTGTAATCCCAGCACTTTGGGAGGCCGAGGCGGGTGGATCACGAGGTCAGGAGATCGAGACCATCCTGGCTAACACGGTGAAACCCTGTCTCTACTAAAAATACAAAAAATTAGCCGGGCGTGGTGGTGGGCACCTGTAGTCCCAGTTACTTGGGAGGCTGAGGCAGGAGAATGGCGTGACCCTGGCAGGTAGAGCTTGCAGTGAGCCGAGATTGCGCCACTGCACTCCAGCCTGGGTGACAGAGAGAGTGAGACTCCGTCTCAAAAAAAAAAAGATTGATTTCAATAGTTGCAAAAACAATGTTTTTAATCTTTCAGCAAATTAAGAATGGAAAGGAACTTCACCAACCGGAAAGAAACCCGAAGAAAATCTACAGCTAAAGTCACAGTGAATGATGAGAGGCTACAGGCTTTCCGCAGGGCTCAGGAACAAGGCAGGGAGGTCAGCTCTTGTCACTTCCACTCCACCTCATTTCAGAGGCCCTAACCAGTCTCTACGCACTGACAACTCGATCATCCATGTAGAAGACGCTAAGGAATCTACAAAACACCACCCAGGGCTTGGCTCCAGTGAGGAAGCATTGAATTGGGGAAGGGGGTGTCCAGGGTAGTCCTGGGAGGCCCAGGAAGGCTGAAAGGGGGAAGAGCTTCAGAAGCTGCCTCCACCCAGAAGGCCACCAAGGATGCTGAGTTATTTTAAGGCAGGCCAAGAGCCTGGGTTCCCTACACAGGCGAGGCTTGTTCTGGTTGGGAAACCTGAGAGCAGCAATTGAAGACAGATTGTTGGCGGGACTGCCCGGCCGCCGACCTCATGGCTAATCCCACTCCCTGGTACAGGATGTTTGGGCTGAGTGCAGGGACTCGCTGCCAGGTTCTCGGAGTGCACACTGGAGGGGTGGGGGGCAGGGTCTGGCTGCAAGGGAAAGGCCTCATCCCGGACTCCTTTTATCCCCACGTTATACCCCCTGTGGTGTGGGAGGGGCAGCAGGGCAGCAAGAGCCATTCCCACGGGGAGGGGTGAGTGACTGTCCCCAGGAAGAGGGCCTCAGGAAGTGGAATCTGGCCCACATCGCAGCAGGTCGGGTTCTGCTAAGTTCATCCTCTCCAGCACCGCTGCCTTGGCTCAGGGCCTGGACCTAAGCCACAGGCCCTCATAGGCAGGCAACCCCCCCACCCGGAACACTTGAGCAAGGAGGGCCAGAGGTTCCAGGCTCAAGGGAGGCTGTGGGATGCGCACTGGTCCGGGAGCCCCAAACCTGAGATCTGCTCTTTGAAGGAAGCTTCTACTGAACTACTGGAAGGAGAGGGGAGGCCTCCAGTTCCAGCTCCCAAGACCCTTTCTGGGCTTCCAGTATTACAACCTTTGTCACACTTCTGGGGCTGGCTTTCCTGGCCTGGAAGGTCCCCAGGGCAGGTCCAACTCACACCTGCACCCCAGCCCCAAACTCAGAGCCTAGCAGCCAGCAAACACTCCTCAAACTGAACCAAAGACTCAGCCGCTGTGGCCAGTGGGATCCGGTCCAGGCTGAAGACAGAAGGCAGCCTGGCTTTCCCCTGGGACAAGTCCCGGGAGCAGATGAGTCTGTGCTGAAGCCAGAGCCAGCGGGACAGGGCCAGGAGGCTGGCAGCTCTCTGCTAGAGCTCCCACTCCTCCAGCCCAGCCTGGCAAGGATGCCCACTGCCCAGGGCTGGGTCTCCTCCCCCAGTGAGCCTGCCGGGTCCTGTCACCATGGGGATAGCAGCCACAGATGGTCCGCTGGACAACAGGCACAGCCACCAACCTGGGGCACAAGCTGCTCACTCCTCTCCTGCCCTCTTCCCCACAGTCAGGACAGGAGAAGGCTGCCTCTTCGGGGCCCTGGGAGAGGCTCCCCACTGCCAAAGCCCTCCCTCCAGGGACCAACAGGAGCAGCCCTGTGGGTGGACAGCTTGGACCTATCCCTGGTTGCAGTGAGAAAGAGCCCATGGCCATTGAAAACGCAGGGAGGCTCAATAAGGGGGGCACTGGGAAGGGCTTGGTGGAGGGTTTGGGCTTGTGCTGGGCGATTTGGGGAAGATGTAAGCTCAGGACCCCACTCTGGATTGAACGTTCTTGGGAAACTGGGCTAGTTCTCTGACTCAGGTGTTTTTGTGTGCGTGGGTTTTTTTTTTTTTTTTTTTTTTTGAGACAGAGTCTTGCTCTGTTGCCCAGGCTGGAGTGCAGTGGCATGACCTCAGCTCGCTGCAACCTCCACCTCCCGAGTTTAAGCGATTCTCCCACCTTAGCCTCCCAAGAAGCTGGAACTACAGGCGCCCGCCACCATGCCCACCCGGCTAATTTTTGTATTTTAGTAGAGACGGTGTTTCACCATGTTAGCCAGGCTGGTTGCAAACTCCTGACCTCAGGTGATCCACCCGCCTTGGCCTCCCAAAGTGCTGGGATTATAGGCGTGAGCCACCGCGCCCGGCCTGATCTGGGGTCTTAGCAAACCTTGTCTATGTGGCAGGGAGCCCGCAGTGAGGCTAAGGCTGTGATTGATGAAGCAGCTGTCCTCACTCCTGTTTGCTGAGACACAGGGAGTTTGGACATTCGGTGGCTTGGACGATGCTCCTGCAGTTGCCTGTGCTCAGACACGATGACGGAGGGGTCTTGCTTTTGTCCTGACCCATCGCAGTCCTGGAGTGGCCTCGTCTGATGTTGTTGCTCCACGACATTGAAATTTGTGTGGTCCACAAGAAGACAGGCGGGTGTTTGGAGAGGGAGGGCTCCCCAGAGAAGGGGGAGAGCCATGGGGTGCACAACATGGGCCCTCCCCAGGGCCCCTCCAATGTTCAGGAAAATTACCAAACACGCTCGGGCAGGAGGGCTCAGCTGTGGGCGTGGCGGAGGGGCCAAACTCTGCCCTGAGGTCTCGGGGGGCTCTGGATCTCCTGTAGGGCTCAGGGGTGAGGCCGAGGGGCTGCCCGGCAGTGTAGCAGCCATCAGAAACCCAGAAACCTGGGGAGATGGCTGGGAGCAGGGGTGGACTCTCCCCCGTGAGAGGTCTGTGTGGGGCCCAGGGAAAGGCCCTCCTGACCTTGTTTGTGATAGTGGGCTCCATTCCCATTCTGTGACACAGGGCAGTGCCCTGTGTTAGTCCGACTGCATTACTAGGAAGGAATACCTGAGACCGGGTCATGTACAAAGAGAAGCGGTTTAATTGGCTCACAGTCCGACAGGGTGTACAGGAAGCCTGGTGCTGGCAGCTGCTTCTGGGGAGGCCTCAGGAAGCTTCCAATCATGGTGAGAGGCAAAGAGGGAGCAGGCATCTCACCTGGCAAGAGTGGAAGCAAGAAGCCAAGGAGAGGGCATCCCAGACTTTTAACCAACCAGATCTCCTGTGAATCAATGAAACAAGAGCTCACTCGTCACCAAGGAGGTGGCGCTAAACCATTCATGAGGGATCCGCCCCCATGAGCCAATCCCCTCCCGCCAGCCCCCAGCTCCCGCGCTAAACCATTCATGAGGGATCCGCCCCCATGAGCCAATCCCTCCCGCCAGCCCCCAGCTCCCGCGCTAGGAATCACTTTTCAACAGGAGATTTGGAGGAGACAAACACTCCAACCGTATCAGCCCCCAAGGTGGAGCTGGCACTTCCAGAGTCCAAAGGAGCCCAGAACCTCCTGAGAGAGACACAGCCGAGGGGCAAGCTCCCCCAACCCGACCAGCCCTGGGCTGGGAGCAGAGGGTGGGGTCCTCAGGCCTGGCTGGAGTCCGAGTCTCTTCCAGCTCCCACAGACTACTCTCACTCCACTTGCCAACCTGAGCTCGGCACACAGGTGTGGTGCACATATGTGGTACTCAGGTGTGATGCCCAGGAGTGATGCAGAGATGGGGCACACAGGTGTGGTGGACAGATGTGGTGCTCAACTATGAGGCACAGGTGAGGCATTTATATGAATCTGCAAGGTATCTTTCATTCCCCAGATGTTCACCAAGCACCTACGGTGTGCCAAGCCCTGTGCTGTATACACAGAGCTGACACAGAGCCGAGAGCCAGGATCCTTGCTTTCGAGGACTTTCCACCCTAGAAGGGAAGAGAAGGAGGTGAGGAGGGCACAGCAACAGCTGCTCCTGCTTGTTATGCTCTGGAATTCACCCCTGCGTGGCCAGGGCTGAGGACCTCCCTTCACCCCTGCATGTGAAGTGCTGCCACCAAGCTGAGCATCTGAGACCAAAGGTCATGTCTGAGAAGCTAAAACGCAAAAGAAAAGCAGAGCACACGATGGGGAAAATACACACAAAGGTCATGTCGTTATTATTCAGAAAACTTTATTTCCCCTTCAAATCACAAAATGCTACACAGACACTACCTTTCTTTTTTTTTATTATACTTTAAGTTTTAGGGTACATGTGCACAACGTGCAGGTTTGTTACATATGTATACATGTGCCATGTTGGTGTGCTGCAATTAACATTAGGTATATCTCCTAATGCTAACCCTCCCCCTCACCCCACCCCACAACAGGCCCCGGTGTGTGATGGTCCCCTTCCTGCACAGACACTACCTTTCAATCACAGTCAGATCTGCAAGTCAAGAGGAAGGGCCCTTCAGCAGCTGCAGGGGGCGGGGTGGTCAGGGTGGCAGGGGTGAGGCCTGAGAGTCGAGGTAGCAGGTGTTCCAGGAGCCCCAGGCAGAGGCTGAGAGCTGCTTCCCTGTCCGGCCTGTCATCAGAAACTGGCTTCTGAGGTCATTTTCACCTCTCTCAGGAGACGCTGCAGCCCTGTTTGGGACAGAGTCTCCATCTTCCTTACACACCCCTGGCTGGCACGAGTGTCCCATGAAAGGTGCCCTGTGGGCACAAATGTGTGTAAAACTGTAAAGCACATGCTTCAGGTGGGTAAGCACCTCCAGGAGGATGGAGCAGTGTTTGCCTGGGGAGGAGCCCATAGGGGCTTCCAGGTTCCAGTTCTGCCAGTGAGTGCTGGCGACGCTGGTGAGCTTGGGTGAGCTTTTTCCACATTATTCAAGTTCTTTTATACAGATAATATTCTTTGTAACATTTTAAGCACTCTATGGAAGGAAAAATAATCTCGAAGCACCCAGGCAATCTCACAGCCCGGGAGCTCTGGATGGAAGGCCGTGGAACAGGGGTCCCATCCCGGGCAGAGAGGCTGGGTGGCAGAAGTCCCAGGCTCCAGTCACAGCCTTGCCGGGTATCCTGGTTTCTGGTGGCCGCTCTAACAAATAGCCACAAACTTAGAGGCTTAAAACAACACAAATTTTGGCCAGGCATGGTGGCTCACACCTGTAATCCCAGTACTTTGGGAGGCCGAGGCGGGTGGATCACTTGAGGTCAGGAGTTTGAGACCAGCCTGGCCAACATAGGGAAACCCCATTTCTACTAAAAATACAAAAATTAGCTGGGCGTGGTAATCCCAGCTACTCAGGAGGCTGAGGCAGGAGAATTGCTTGAACCTGGGAGGCAGAGGTTGCAGTGAGCTGAGATCACACTATTGCACTCCAGCCTGGGCAACACAGCAAGACTCCATCTCAAAAAAAAAAAAAAAAAAAAAAAAAAGAAAGAAAAGAAAGAAAAAAAAGAAAAGAAAAGAAACCCATAAATTTCTTCTCTTACAGTTCTGGAGGCTGTGGTGTGGGTGGGGCTGTGCTCCTTCAGGGGCTCTAGGAGAGAATCTGGTCACTCATTGCCCTTCTGGCTTCCAGAGGCACCTGCATTCCTTGGCTTGTGGCCATTTCCTGCAGCTTCAAAGCCACAGAGGTGGCATCTTCCAATCTCTCTCTGTTCCCATTGTCATTTCGCCCTTTTCTCACTCTGACCCTCCTGCCCACCTCTTATAAGGACCCTTGTGATGATGTCAGGCCCCCTGGGAGAATGCAGCACCTTCTCCCTATCTCAAGACCCTGATTCACATCTGCAAAGTTCCTCTCGCCATAAGGAGTGCGTGAGGCCACAAATTCACAGGCTACAGGGATCAGGACATGGAATTCTTTGAGGAGAGGGCCATTATTCTGCCTAACACATGGTGTGGCCCTGGGTTAGTCACTGTGCACTGTCGGGCCTGTCTCCCTGACTATGGTGACAGGGGACAGGGTAGGGTCCAGGGGTGCCCCCCAGTGCACAGAGCCCTCAGACAAGTCAGGTTTTCACTCAGTCCTTCAATGGCACCAAAGGCCCTCTTGGCCTAGGCTACACAGGGGCAGTGGTGGGAGGTACCCAGACGCCCCCATCAGAGAACTACATTTCATACAGGGCTTTAGATTCACAGAGCTCTTTTCTTAGCTGCAGGCTATAAACAAAGGCTCATTAACTATGTTTTAACGGCTCCATCCACCAATGGATAGGCAAATAAATGAAAGGATAAACATGTGAAATTAGCAAGTGCAATGGTCCCCATTGCAGGAGCAAGGAGCCTGGGGTCCCTCAAGAAGGGACTCAGCCTTAGTATTCAAGCTGCAGAGCCTGTGCCCTCTCCCTCCGATACATTGCCACGGTGCCCCCCTCGCCCTCAGGGTGTCAGGACGGTCCTGGCACGTGGTGGGTGCTGGCCACATCTGCTCACTCAGAGAAGAAGCGAAGGAAATGTGAGGTCAGGCCGCCACTGTGGCTGGGGCAGGGGCCTCACTTGAGCCTCCCAGCAGCTTCCCACAGTCTCACGTGACTGAGCAGCAGAAACACACACAGGCTGGGTTTCCTGCCAGGCCCCAGAGACATGCTCAGCTCTCACAGGGAGGAAGAGGCCAATGGGCTCGTGGTCACTGCCAGAGCTATGACAGGCACCCGCGTGCCTTTGAGGGGGTCCAGGTCTCAGCTGCCTTCTGGGTCACCTGAGGCACCTTCATGTTGACCCCAGTCCTGGGCCCCTCAGAGGAGAAGAGCTCAAAACCCTCTGAAAGCCAGCAGCATGGGCTCCAAGCCAGGGAGCCTGGGCTCAACCCTGGCTCTGTCAGGACTTGCTGTGTGGTCCTGGGCATGATGTATAACCTCTCTGAGCCTCAGTTTCCAATTCTGTAGAGTGGCAACAATAATATCTATCTGTTGGCTGGGCACGGTGGCTCACATCTGTAATCCCAGCACTTTGGGAGGCTGAGGCGGGCGGATCACGAGTTCAACAGATCAAGACCATCCTGGCCAACATGGTAAAACCCGTCTCTACTAAAAATACAAAAATTAGTTGGGCGTGGTGGTGCACACCTGTAGTCCCAGCTACTCGGGAGGCTGAGGCAGGAGAACCCCTTGAACTCAGGAGGCAGTCGTTGCAGTGAGCCGAGATCACGCTATTGCACTCCAGCCTGGTGACAGAGCGAGACTCCATCTCAATAATAATAATAATAATAATAATAATAATAATAATGATATCTATCTGTTACAGTCAGGGTCCCAGCAGAAGGCAGAGCTGACCAGGTGGTTCATGTTCACAGAGGCGTGGGCAGGTTAGGGAGAGCCAGAGGCCAGCAAAAGAGGGAAGCTGCTACCAGCCCTGGGGCTGCAGAAGGGAGGGAAGGAAATGGTGCTTCCCCCGGAAGCCAGTGGAGCTAAAGCCTGGCAGAGCATCCGGGAAAGAGCTGTGGTCAGCATGCAACCCGCAGGGACTGCAAGGGTCAGCAGAGGGCAAGAGGAGAAATGCCTCATTCTCTCCGGCTGATCTCCAGCAACTGCCTCCATGGGTCAAATGTAACCAGGTGGGGGATGCCGTCCACCCAGGTCAGCCTCAGGGAGCACAAAGTAGGCAGTGAATGGATCTGGGGAGCAGGGGGCGCCACAAATGACGTGGCCAGAACCACGCACCATGGGGTCATGTATTCATTTACTCACTGATTCTTTCAACAAATACCTATTAGCCACCTTCTAATACGTGCCAAAGACTGTTTCCAAACACCCAGAGATACTTTGGGGAAGAAAAGAGACAACTCTCCTCTCTCTCAGGGAATTCATGAATTTCTGAATAAACTACACCATAAAGAAATAACCAGCCGGGCGCCGTGGCTCACGCCTGCAATCCCAACATTTTGGGAGGCCGAGGTGGGAGGATCACCTGAGGTCAGGAGTTCAAGACCAGCCTAGCTAACATAGTGAAACCCTGTCTCCACTAAAAATACAAAAAATTAGCCAGATGTGGTGGCGCGCGCCTGTAATCCCAGCTGCTCGGGAGGCTGAGGCAGGAGAATCGCTTGAACCCAGGAGGCAGAGGTTGCAGTGAGCCAAGATTGTGCCACTGCACTCCAGGTTGGGCAACAAGAGTGAAACTCCATCAAAAAAAAAAAAAAAAAGAGAGAGAGGGAGAGAGAGAGAGAGAGAGAGAGAGAGAGAGAGAGAAAGAAATTTAATGAACATTTTTTAAAAAAAAAATCCAATTAGAAAATAGGCAAAAGACATGAACACACCTACCACTCATAGGATTTACAGATGGTAAATAAGCTCTCAAGATCGTTTTGAATCTTTAACATCAATAGTCGTTAGAGGAAGGCAAATTAAAACCATGAGATCTCACTACACACCTATCAGCATGGCAAAAATAAAACACAGGGACAAGACGAAATGCTGGTAGGGATGCAGAGAAACTGGATCACTCAAGCTTTGCTGCTGGGAAGGCAAAGTGGTACACTCTGGAAAACATTTTGGCAGTTTCTTAAAAATCTAAACATGCAACTCCCATACGACCCAGCAATTACACTCCTGGGCACTCTTCCCAGACAAATGAAAACTTATGTTCACACAAAAACCTGTACACAAATGTTTATAGCAGCTTTATTGGTAATAGCCCCAAACTGGCAATCAACCCAGATAGTCTTCGACAAGTGAATGGCTAAACAAATTATGATGCACCCATTCCATGGAATGCTGACCACTCCACAATAGCAAGGAACAAACTACTGAAACACAAAGCAACCTGGAAGAATCTTCAGGGATTTATGCTGAGTGAAAAAAGCAATCTCAAAAGGTAACATACTGTATGACTGCATTTATATAACATGCTTGAAATGATAAAATTACAGAAATGGAGAACAGATAAGTGCTTGCCAGGAGGGAGGAGGGAGGGAGATAAGCACATAAAAAGTCCACGGGGGGGTCCTTTGCTGATGGAATGTTCTGTACCTTGATGGCATCTATGTCAATATCCTGGTTGTGATATTGTAGTATAATTTTGCAAGATTTTACCAGTGGAGAAAACTGGGTCCAAGACATCTCTACTGTTTCTTATAGCTGCATGTGAATCTACAATTATCTCAAAATAAGAAAGTTTAGGCTGGGCGTGCTGCCTCACACCTGTAATCCCAGGATTTTGGGAGGCCCAGGCGGGTGGATCACCTGAGGTCAGGAGTTTGAGACCAGCCTGGCCAACATAGTGAAACCCTGTCTCTACTAAAAATACAAAAATTAGTCGGGCATGGTGGCAGGCACCTGTAGCCCCAGCTACTCAGGAGGCTGAAGCAGGAGAACCACTCGAAATCAGGAGGCAGAGGTTGCAATGAGCCAAGATGGCACCACTGCACTCCAGCCTGGGTAACAGAGCGAGACTCGGTCTCAAGAAAAAAAAAAAAGAAAGAAAGAAGGAAAGTTTAATTAGAAGTGGGGGAGGTCCTAGTGGTCACACACCAAGAGGCTGGATTAGATGACCTCAAAGGTCCCTCCAAGGCCAGGACATCCCTCTTGGCAGCACGGGGCTCAGAACAGCTCCACCTCCTTCTGGCACCTCTTGGGCCGTTTCCAGCCCCACCCCAGTACTCGATCCAGGCACTGTCTGCCCAGTCTAGATGCCACCCAGACACTTTAGGCCCCTCTGTCCAGATGCCCTCTCCTCCCTCTAGGATGCCCCATCCTGCAGTTCAGGCAGAGCTGCTCACTCCCAGGGCCCTATGGACCCCATTAGAGTACCTGGGGTCTGGCCGGGATGCTTGCTGTCCTGAAATCTGGTCACCAGGAAGGCCGGCCATCTGATCTGCCTCATGTCAACACTGTTTCTGGGGGATGAGTGGCTTAGCGTCAAACAAGCACAATGATGGAAGGGGAAAAAAAAAGCTTTACAACTGAATATGGACACAAATATTTGCACAATTGCATTCTAAAACATTAAAACAATCACTACACCAAAACACAATAACCATAACCATCACCGCCCGAATGCCCACAGCCTGGCCTCTGGTACAGGACTTGCGGCTTCTACCAGGCACTGACTGTCAATCCTTTCGGGGATTCCTGGGACAGACACCACTGCTCCCCGCCCACTGCCCCCACCACAGCCACGTACCAACGGAGAGGTACTTAAACAGGGTGAGGCTGTTTAAGTGAAGAGTGAAAAGAAGCCCTTTTCGAGACACTGGGGTGTGGGATGTGGGTTGTGGGGTGCAGGATGTGGGGTGCTGGATGTTTCCACCAGGGCAGTTCTTCTCAAACTTTACTGAACTCTGGAACCACCCAGAAGGCTTGTTAAAATAGGGGGCCCAACCCCGAGTTTTGCTTCTGTAGGTCCGGGGTGGGGCCAGGGACTCTGCACTAACGGAGGCCACACTTTGAGAACCACAGCCCTGGGCTGTTTTTGGTGCCAGGCCCATTCGTCTTCCCCTCCCTCCCCGCTCCGCCCGCGGCTGGACCCCGATCCCCGGGACAGGGACTGAGTCTGACCGTCTGATTTGTCCTCCCGGCTTCTAGCGCCCCGCTCAGGTCGGGGCTTGGGGAGGGGGCGCTCTCTGGACGTTTGCGGCCCGCCGAGGGGTGGGGTGAGGGCGTCACGGGCCGATCCGGGCCGCCGGGTGACCCGGGACGCCCCCTGCCCCGGCGGGCGCCGCCCACAGCCTGCGCAGTGCTCAGGGGCGGAGGCCGGGAGGGGGCCCAAGCGCCAGCCCCCCAGCTCCGGCGGACCCGGGTGGGCGTGCCCGCGGACCCGCTTGCCGCACTTAGGCGAGTCTCCCCTGCAGCGCCCCGAGTCCCTGGGGGCTGCGGCGGCTGCGGGCGCCCCCGCGCGGGCCCGAGGGGCGGGACGCGGCGGAGCGGGGCGGGGCGGGGCCTCCGCGGCCCCCTCCCCCGGCCCCGGGCTCCGGCTCCGGCTCCGGCTCTGGCTCTGCGCGGTGGCAGCGGCGGCGGCGGCGCGGGGACCGAGGTGAGCGGCGGCTACGGGTCCGGAGGCCCGGCCGGAGAGGGGACCGGGTGGCTGGGGTTGGGGGGCGGCACGCGCGACCCTGCGGAAGGGGGGGCCCCGGGGCGGTGCCGGCGGAGCGGCGCGCGCGTGTGTGTGCGCGCGTAGGTGCGCGCGCGCGCGACGCCGACTGCGGGGCCCTAGGGTGGGGTAGGGGTCGGACGGAATCTGCGGGGCAGGGGCGGCCCCCTTGGGTGAAGGTCCAGCCTCTCCCACCCCAGCCTCCCGGGACCTCCCGAGCTCGTTCTCTCCCAGCCTCTCTCGCTCGCCCCCCGCCCCGCCCCCTTCCCTCTATCTCTGAGTTTGTCCGCGTCTCTGTGGGTGGGTCTCCGTCCAGCCGCCCCGTGTCCCCATCTCCTTCCCCGACACCGCTCTCTCCCCATGGCAGCTCTCCCCTCCCTCGCCATTGCTCCCCCTAATAGGGCAAACAAAGATGGTCGAGGATGGGGGACCCTTCCTTTCTGAGCCCTGTCCTGGCTCAGCCTGTGGCCCCCACCGCTCTGGCCTCTGGCCTGGGCCTCCAGCCACTTCCTGGCTGGTAGCTGGCCCTGCAGAGTGGGTGGGGGCAGGTGGAGGCAGCAGGCAGACCCCGGGACAGAGACTCCAGGGCTGGAGCGCTTAGTGGTCTGTAAGGTCAGAACCTGGGGAGACACCCTCACCATCCCTTGGCAGGTGGGGATACTGGGCAGGTCTGCCTGGCCACGGGTCTGCGCCTCTGACCTAATCAGATGGATTTCTAGACCCTGTTCCCATAAGCAGAGCCTGACGCTTTCTAAGATTTTTTCCACCAGAGCCAAGGTAGAAGGCTGGGGGAGGGTCCCATGTCCAAAGGTCACAAGATGTGGTCCCAGCGACTGGGTCACTTCCTCCAAGCGGCCTCCACTTCCCTACCAGTGGCATGGGTGGGAGTGACATCTGTGGACAGAGGCCATGAGGACCGTGTGGGGTGGCCTAGCTGCAAGGTGATGAGTGATGCTCTTGGTGGGAGAGTGGTGAGTCCCATTCCCTGGACTGGATCTGGAGGCGGGAGGGCGCCTCCCTGTGGCCCCTCCGGCCTTCTGCACTCGGCGCAGCCTCCAGAATCCTGGGGGTAAGCTGGGGCTCTCCAAGTGAGGTCCTGGACCCCCAGATCATCCTCCTTGATGACAGTGCTTGATAAAATGTCAATTCCTGGTCCCTGTCCTGAGCTGGTAAGGGGGCACCAGGAATCTGCATTTTGTAAGTCCCCCATCGTCATTCTAATGCACATTCAGGTGTGAGCACCGCTTGGTGTTAACATCGGATGAGGGGGACAAAGTCATCTACCTTCCTCCGGCTGGCGGACAGCGAAGAGGACCAAGAAGGGCCCATCCTGGCGTCTACAACTTTGCTGTGTCCCTGGGCAAGCCGCTCCCCTCTTGGAGCCCAAGTCCCCCAGCAGTCAGAGGAGGTTATGGCCTCCCCAGGGACCTTTCCTGCCAAACAGTCTGGGATTCTGAGCCCTTTGTTTAAATCGTGGGGCGGGGATTGCTGTGAAGTCCGGCAGGCCTGAGTCAGGATCCCAGCTCCAGCACTGGCTGGCTGTGTGGCCCTGGACAAGTCACTTTGCTTCTCTGGTCCTTGGGTTACTCACCTGAAAACTGGCGATCATCATATTACCCCCACTCATCCACCCACAGGGGCAGTCAGGGAGGTCCAAAGAAGTGTGGTACCCCACGTCGCAAGCACACCATGGTGTGGGTGGATCGGCCGTGAGAAGGGCTGGCACTTCTGTGTCTTGGCTGTTTTAACTGGGTGGCGATGGGGATACTTGCATGGACTTAATTCCTCACCGGCAGGGAAAGCAGCCTGTGCAGAAACATTTGTGAGCTAATGGGTTTTTTGTTTCTAAGGGATGGCTTAAAAGGCCTGGGGACGGTAACACAGAACTGCCTGGCAGAGGCGGGCAGCGTGGTGTGGTGCCAGCTTTCCTGCTCACGCCCAGTAAGTCAGGGGCGCAGACACCAGGAGGGGTGGGTGACGAGAAGGAAAGAGGAACACCAGCCCCTCTCTGGGTGCCGCAAGTTGTGGACATTTGTGGATGTGAACAAAACCGTCTTCTGGGACATGTGTGAGAAGAACAGAGCTCTCGTGAGACTCCCATAGAGGAGGGGAGTCATTCATTCATTCATTCATTTACTCATTCATGAAGACCTTCCCCAGGCCCCACAGATGGCAAGGAGGGCCCCTCAAGATAGAAAAACCCAGGCAGAAACAGACAGGCTACTGATGCTGTGTGAATGTGGTGCTATCCGGGTCAGATGGCAGTGTGGGTCACCCACAGGCTCAAACAGCAGGGTCAGGGCATCCTGCTTCAAGACCCTCATCCTGAAGCCCAGAGGGGGGCCGCAGGGGGCCAGCGCTGAACAGGACCAGCCATCTCTTAGATTAGAGGCAAGAAATGTGAATCAGAATCTTGGGCCATCATGAAGACATGGTTTAGCTGAACAAAGAGGTGGCTTCTTGGTGACAAGACAGCCCTCATTTTTTATTTTAACCACATCTCTCTTTTTTCTTATGTCTTAAAATTGAATCTTGCTGGGGAGCACGTGGTGGCACGGGGGCTTGGAAGTCTGGTGAGCATATTTCTCGGTGACTTCAGAAACCCTCCGTCTCGGAGAGCAGCCCTGGTGCTGCTGCTACCCAGAGGCTTGGCTGCAGATCCTCAGACCCTCAGCTTCTGGTGGCCCAGCAGGAGGAGCCTTCAGAAGCCAGGGAGAGGGGAAAGGTTAGGGATCCCAGAGTCAGGGCCACCTGCCCTGACTAAAGCTGGGAAAATTGCCTAAGCTCCCTGAGCTTCAGTTCTCTCATTGCAAGGTGCAGATTGGAATAAACAGCTTAGGCGACTGAGGGGGTGGGTTCTGGAGCCAGCTGCCTGGGTTCGAATCCTGTCCCACCTCTCAGGAGGTCTTGGCAAGTTACTTAACCTCTGTCTACCTCCACTTCTTCATCAATGAAATAGTGATTCCTGCCGCACTCTAGGCTGTAGGCTGCTGTGAGAGTTAAGCAACTTCATGTCAGGTGCTTGAACAATCCCAGTTAGGACTGTTCCCTGTGAGTTGTGTAAAGTAGTGATGTCATTCTGTAGCCACGTGGTCTTGCTATACTGATGTCTAGTGACATAGCCTTGTGGTGCATAGTCTTGTAGTGCTGTGGTCTTGTAGTGTCGTGATCCTGTGATAACCCTGCCTTGGCATCAGCCGTGGTATTGGTATTAATGTTAATGTTGGGGTGGCCCTAAGGGTACAGGAAATGAGATAAATACAGTGCTCACTCTGGGCCTGGCCCAAGGAAGCCCTCAACTGATGCCTGTGCCCTTCTGTCCCCTGCCCCAGAGGAGTAGGGAGAGAGATGGAGTTTGCTGTTGTGTTACACGGATACCCACATGCTGGGGCAAGTGGGGATGGGGAAGGGCCAAGTCCTGGTTTAAAAGATGTCAAGATGGCCGGGCACGGTGGCTCATCCCTGTAATTCCAGCAGTTTGGGAGGTTGAGGCAGGTGGATCACCTGGGGTCAGGAGTTCGAGAGCAGGCTGGCCAGCATGGTGAAACCCCATCTCTGTTAAAAATACAAAATTAGCCAGGCGTGGTGGCACACACCTGTAGTCCCAGCTACTCGGGAGGCTGAGACAGGAGAATTGCTTGAACCCAGGAGGCAGAGGCTGTAGTGAGCTGAGATCACGTGCCTGCACTCCAGCCTGGGCAAGACAGAGCGAGACACCGTCTCTAAATAAATAAATAAAATAAAAGATGTCAAGAAAACACATGTATTTGTCTCGGCACAGAGGGCATTGCTGTCCTGAGTTCTGACTCCCAAGCGTGGGCTACCCTCTGGAAGGGAGGGGCTGCCTGCCATCCTCTGAGCTCCTGTCCTGCCAGCCAGCCCCTGTGCATAGACCTTCCCAGGCACTGTCTCACCTACTCCTCCCAGCCAGCCCACGAGGTGGGCGTGGCCCTGCCCAATTGACAGATGGGCAAACTGAGGCTCAGGGAGACCAAGTGACTGCCCAGAGCCATAGCAAGGGGGCACGGCTGGGACTCAAACCTGGGTCTGCATGCTCCACCCCACTACACAGCATGCGCGAAGGTCAGGAAATACTGCCACAGAGCCTTGCCATCAGGAACCACCATGGCGGGCTCCTCTGACCCCAGCATGAGTCCTGCTCATTTTCTGGAAGGTTCTTAAGGCTGTGCTTTCTGTGCCATCTGCTGGGTTGGTTAAAGGCCTTCACTGGGTTGCAAAAGCAGTTTCCCCAGCAAAAGCAATCCACCTAGTGCCCAGAAGAGAATCCAGGCCAGAGACATGAAGGGAGAGAGGACCTAGCCTGGGGGCATAGCCCCCACTTAGTGCCAGAAGACCCGAGTTCTGGCCCTGGTTCCACTGCTTACAGCCCCTTTGAGTCTGAGGGTGTTACTCTCCGTGCCTCAGTTTTCTAATCTGTGAAACAGGAATTTTGATTTCTGCCCTGCATAGCTCCTGGGGTGAGTAGGCGAAAGCTGCCAAATAATAATGGCCAATGCATAGGCAGCTCTTGGGAGGCACTGGACAGCGTCTTAGAAGTTTACCTACTTGCCCTCTTTTAACCCTCTGAAGGGCCTCTGCGTTCACTGTTCCATCATCATCCCATTGTACAGACCAGGAGGGTAGGATAGAAAGATATCAGTATCTTGCCCAAGGTCACCCACTGGTGAGGCATTTGGGTCTGATTTAGACGAACAGAAAGCCATCCGTTGTGGCCACTTCTTGGTGGATAGACGTGTGGCTCCCTACTTGATTATTCTCAATAACGGGGAGCTCACTACTCTCTAAGCCCCTATGACTGATAGTCTAGGGCTTGGGTAGGTGGCGGTGATGGTCCTTGGTAAATAGACCCCCTGTGGAAAGGGAAGACAGGGAGAAGATCCTGAGCGTGGCTTTGGCTTTGCTGTGATGGAGGGGCCAGGAGATCTACCTATGGCTGGGAGAGGGTGGGCCCACGTTCTGCTTCATGCCTTCCACAGGCCAAACCTGAGGCTGAGAGAGGAGTAAAATGCTCAACAAAGAGGACAGACAGTAGCTGCTCATAAAGCCTTGGGGTGGACAAATCCTCTTTCTAAGGGAAATTTTAAATATAAAACCAACATCGCCATATTGGACAGAGTCTGGAGAACGGGCTCTGATTCTGCCTGCAGCCTTTCTCCCTAAACATATTCATTTCCAGTCAATTTGTTCTGAGGTAGAAGTCCTGTTGCACAGTGTCATTGCAGCACTACACCTACAGCTCTACGGTTCTGTATCCTGCTTTTTTCTTGTTTTCTTTTCTTTTTTTTTTTTTAGACAGTGCCTTGCTCTTTTGCCCAGGCTGGAGTGCAGTGGCACAATCACCACATTCCGGGTAGCTGGGACCACAGGCACGCACCACCACACCCTGCCAGTGTTTTCGTTTGTTTTTTGTTTTTGGTTTTTTGGGTTTATTTTTATTTTTTATTTTTTGTGTGTGGAAATGAGGTTTTGCAGCCAGGCACGGTGGCTCATGCCTGTAACCCCAGCACTTTGGGAGGCCGAGATGGGTGGATCGCCTGAGGTCAAGAGTTCAAGACCAGGCCGGGTACGGTGGCTCACGCCTGTAATCCCAGCACTTTGGGAGGCTGAGGCGGGCGGATCACGAGGTCAGGAGATCGAGACCATCCTGGCTAACACGGTGAAACCCCGTCTCCACTAAAAATACAAAAATTAGCCGGGCGTGGTGGCAGGCGCCTGTAGTCCCAGCTACTAGGGAGGCTGAGGCAGGAGAATGGCGTGAACCCGGGAGGCGGAGGTTGCAGTGAGCCAAGACCGCCACTGCACTCCAGCCTGGGCGACAGAGAGAGACTCCGTCTAAAAAAAAAGAAAAAAAAATAGTTCAAGACCAGCCTGGCCAACATGGTGAAACCTAGTCTCTACTAGAAAATACAAAAATTAGCCGGGCATGGTGGCATACACCTGTAATCCCAGCTACTCAGGAGGGTGAGGCAGGAGAATTGCTTGAACCTGGGAGGCAGAGGTTGCAGTGAGCCGAGATCTCGCCACTGCACTCCAGCCCAGGTGACAGAGCAAGACGCTGTCTCAAAAAAAAAAAGAAAGAAAGAGGCTGGGCGCGGTGGCTCACGCCTGTAATCCCAGCACTTTGGGAGGCCGAGGCGGGTGGATCACGAGATCAGGAGATGGAGACCATCCTGGCTAACACGGTGAAACCCCTTCTCTACTAAAAATACAAAAAAAATTAGCCGGGCGTGGTGGCAGTCGCCTGTAGTCCCAGCTACTCAGGAGGCTGAGGCAGGAGAATGGCGTGAACCCGGGAGGCAGAGGTTGCCGTGAGCCGAGATCTCGTCACTGCACTCCAGCCCAGGTGACAGAGCAAGACGCTGTCTCAAAAAAAAAAGAAAAAAAAGAAAGAAAGAAATGGGGTTTTGCCACGTTGCCCAGGCTGGTTTTGAACTCCTAGGCTCAAACTGTCCTCCTGCCTTGGCCTCCCAAAGTGCTGGGATTACAGGCATGAGCCACCACGTCTGGCCTGTTCTGCTTTTTTCACTCGGTGTAATATCGTGAGCATCTTCCCTGTCCCTAAGCAGCCCAGGAGCTCGTGAGCAGTCATGCTGAGTTTTCAGCAGCTGCACAGTATCTGTCCCATGGCTGTTCTGTCATTTGTCTTGGAGCCCGCCTTTCAGTGGGGCCTCCACATGCACAATGACGTGGAAAGCTGTGTGACCCCAGGCAGGGCTCTCACCCTCCCTGCATCTCAGTTTCCTGCTCTGCTGTCAAATGGGAGCAAGAAGCAACCCACATCCTAGGGGTTCTGGGAGGAGTAAACGAGGAGATGGGATGTGAAGTGTCTGGCATGTGGTGGGGCTTAAAACTCGGTGGCTGTTGTTACTGTTGCTGTTGTTATTATTATTATTATTATTATTATTATTATTATTACTTAGGTCACATATCCTAATTAAATTGTGGATCCTTGCAGACAGGAGCCAGATTCTCTGCAGTCCTGTGCCCCACTCCTAGCCACGATCAGTCATGTTTATGATTTGATTCCTGATGTTCGGTTTCCCCCAAATAGAATGAGTCTCTGTGTGGGCGAGGTGCTGGGAGAACTTGATTGGCACAATCTCATTTTGTCCCCCATGAGCGGGGATCCTTAGCTCCATTGTAGAAACTGGCTCAGATGGGCAAGTTACTGAACCTGGGAAAGTGAAAAGAAAAAGAAAAATCAAAAACAAAAAAGAAGGCTGGGCGCAGTGGCTCATGTCAGTAACCCCAGCACTTTAGGAGGTCAAGGCGGGCAGATCACTTGGGCCCAGGAGTTTAAGCCAAACCTGGGCAACATAGCAAGACCCAGTCTCTATTAAAAGTACAAAAAAAATGAGTCAGCCGGGCATGGTGGCATGCACTTGTGGTCTTAGCTACTCGGGAGGCTGAGGTGGGAGGATCACCTGAGCCCGGGAGGTCAAGGCTGCAGTGAGCTGTGATTGCGCCACTGCTTTTCAGCCTGGGCAACACAGTGAGACCCTGTCTCAAAAAAAAAAAAAAAAAAAAAAAAAGAAAGAAAGAAAAGAGAAGAGAAGAAAAGAAAAGAAAAAAGAAAAAACTGGCTCAGAGAGTGTGATGGCCCTCCCCACAGTCACACAGCAGAAATGGAGGATCCAGGAATGCTTCCTAAAGGAGGCGGCAATGGCCCTGGGCCAGCAGGATGGGGGGTTCGACTGGGCCAACAGGCAGAGGGTTGGTGTTCTAGGCGGGGTGAAGAGGAGGAGGGGGGCTGTCCAAGGGGCATAGCAGTCGGAGCCCAGCACCCAACATAGGGCAGAGTGGAGTGTGGGTGGGGCTCAGGGGCGTGTGCTGAGCTTACCTGAAGTCGGCAGGGCAGGAATGAGCTGTCTGGGCTCCTGACCCCACCCTGTACCTTGGACCTGGCCAGTTCCTTCTGTCCGGGCAGGAAGGGGTGCTCTGTGGGCTTGGAGGATGCAGGCGCCTTCCTGGGGACTGCTCTGTGAGCAGTGATAAAATATTTATCAGCCAGCAGCTGGGCTTCCCTGCATAGGGTGCAGTCGGGGGCAGCTCCCACCCGAGCCTGCAGCCTGAGTTCTGCTGAGTCATGGGGGAGCCCAGTGAGCCGCCTGCCCTCAAGCTCCTGGGCCCCCTCTGCCCTTTGGCCATGTGAACGCCTCCTAATGTGTAAGCCATTCGGCTGCCCCCAAGGCCAGGCATCCAGTGTGCTTAGTGCTGAGCAGGGTTTCAGAGCTCACCCCCAGGAGGGTGCAGACCTCAGCCAAGGTCGCAGAGCAGAGGAGACCCGTGGGCTGGGATTCCACCTGTGCCCACCCTGGCAGCATCCCACCTCCTGAGTCCTCTCGGCACCCAGCAAGGTAGGCACTCTTTGCGTCTGGTTTTAGCGGTGGGGACGCCTGGGCGTGGAGAGGGGGTGCGGCGTGTCGGGTCTCATAGCTTAGCGGCCGAGCAGAGGTTTGGCCCTGGTCTGTCTGAGTCCAAGACCCTGCTGTGTGCCCCTGCCCCGGAGGAGCCCCACTCCGTTTCAGCCCTGAATCAGGACTAGGGTGTCTGTCCGCCCTGATGTGACACAGTGCTGTGACTTTGGGTTTGTGCTTTCGATTTTTAGAGTAGCAGCAATAACAAAAAACAGTAGCAGATGGCTTCTTCCTACTGCTGCATGGGGTGGGACGAAGGGCAGGGGGTTCAGATTCTTTTGTTCACTCATTCATAAAAAACATTCTGGGTGCCCTGGCCACGGGCCAGCGCTCAAGGCTCCAGGGACCAGCGGGGGACATGTCAGATGGACCTTCCCTAGGGGAGCTTATGCCACGGTGAGGGGAGTCAGAGGGGTGGGCTCAGTGCCTGGGCCTGCTCACATGCTGTGTGACCTTGGACAGGTTGCTTCACCTCTCTGAGCCTCGGTCTCTAATTTGTGAATTCAGGATAAACTTGGCTTTTTCTCTGAGCAAGCAAGGATCACACCTGTGTCCTTATTCTTTCTCACGGCCTCACATCCACCAAAGCTTGTGGGCACGGATCATCCTTTGCACCGGCTCCAGTTTCCAGAGAGGCCCTGGCAGGCTTTGCATTGGCTCATCCAGGAAATAACCGGGAGCTGGTGCTGGGGGCCTCAAGGACCAGCTGGTTTTAAGGTGGAAGTTTTGCCTAAGGTGCTTAGAGTTCTGAAGGGAAGTGCTGGTACCCAGAGTCACGCGTGCAGCAGCTGTGAGAGGGAGCGGGCTGCATGCGGGCTCTTGATGGGAACCCTGTGGATGGTCGGGTCATCTCCAATGCCCAGTCCTGGCTGGGCCCTTGTTGCACCCGCTCACCACCTGCCCGGACATGCAGTCTGTTCCTGCTCACTCTCAGCCTTCTCTCCTCTGGGCCTTCCTCCTGCTGTTCCTATGCCTAGTCTGATTTTTTTTTGTCGTCCTTCACCTGCTGGGCTTCTGCTGGCTCTTTTTTTTTTTTTTTTTTGAGATGGAGTTTCACTCTTGTTCAGGCTGGAGTGCGATGGCGCAATCTCGGCTCACTGCAGCCTCTGCCTCCAGCAATTCTTCTGCCTCAGCCTCCCAAGTAGCTGGGATTACAGGCGCCCGCCACCACACCTGGCTTACTTTTGTATTTTTAGTGGAGATGGAGTTTCACCATGTTGGCCAGGCTGGTCTCGAACTCCCGACCTCAGGTGATCCACCCGCCTCTGCCCCCCAAAGTGCTGGGATCACAGGTGTGAGCCACCGCGCCCTGCCTGCTAGTTCTTTAAGCCGCTGCTGGAAGGCATCCTTCTCTAGAAAGTCTTCCTGGCTGCCTCCTGTTCACCGCAGGCCAGGCGGACCCACGGCCCCCTCAGTGCCATCTCACCCTGGGCTCTGCTCATGCCTTTGGGCCAGCGCTTGTCATACAGAGCTTCTCTGCCCTGTTCCCAGGTCTCCCCGACAGCCTGGGGCTGCTCTGTGTGATTCATCTCTGGGTCCCAGGGCTCAGCTGGGGGCTGGCACAGAGTGGGACCCCAGCAGCATTCGATGAATTGAGAGCACGAGTGAGCGACAGACATCAGGGCACCTGCGTTAGGGGACAGGAGGAAGCCTGGGATGATGGATGGTCAGCTGGACAGTGGAAAATTAAGATTTCTGGGGCCTTGAAAGAGACTGCCATGGGAGTCAGTGCCTTGGGGGGTCAGGAGCACTGGCCTCCAGGTCTGAGCCTCTCCCCTTGTAGCTGAGTGACCCTGAGTGACTCCCCACTCTCCTAGGCCTCAGGAGATACGTGCGGCCACCCCAGGTCCATTCTGCAAACGCAGCATTTATTCATGCGAGGGAGGCAGGCAGGAGCAGGCTTGTGTTCTTAGGATGCTCACAGTGGTGTCCCACAAACACACAGACAGAAAAAAGACCTAAATGAAATGTACCGAGATGGGGAGCAGTAATTTCTTTGGTGGTTTGTTTCTTCTTCCATCCTTTTTGTATTTTTCAAATTTTTAGAGTCCCTTCAGTGACTTCGAGCGTGCATTGAGAGCCCAGTAACACTGGGGGGCAACTGCCACAAAGACACAGCCTCAGCCAGGCGCAGTGACTCATGCCTGTAATCCCAGCACCTTGGGAGGCCAAGGCTTGTGGATCACCTGAGGTCAGGAGTTTGAGACCAGCCGGACCAACATGGAGAAACCCCATCTCTACTAAAAATACAAAAAAATTAGCTAGGCATTGTGGCGCATGCCTGTAATCCCGGCTACTCGGGAGGCTGAGGGAGGAGAAGCACTTGAACCCAGGAGGCGCGGTTGCAGTGAGCCGAGATCGCCCCATTGCACTCCAGCCTGGGCAACAAGAGCGAAACTCCATCTCAAAATAATAATAATAACAATAATAGTAAGACTCAGCCTCCCCGCTCTGGGACACTCAGTCTGATGGGGCAGGCTGGTCAGAAGACATAGAGCCATGGTGTGTTTGGAACTTTCACAGAGGGAAGCCTGGGGCTCGGGAAGCCCGGAAAAGATGCCGGCGCAGCCTGAGGGCTTGTACAGGTGCCACTGTGCCGAAGGGTGGCTACGAGGGAGGCAGGTGTATGGGTGAGGGTGAGTGCAGTGTGGCTGGAGGCTTAGGGAAAGGTGAGTAGGACGGCGAGAGACCCACGGGGAATGAGGGCTGGACCTCAGCCTGAGTGAGTGTGTTTGGTGGGGTGAGCAGTGATGTCAGTCCCTCCTGGGAGCTGCTGTGATTTGGGGCTTTCTACTTTATTCACTCAACAAACGTTTCTCAGAATGGAGGGTGCTCGGGGCCGTAGGGCACAGATACTGATGTGGCCCTTTAGGGTCACAGGGTCCAGGGTTCAAGTCCCAGCTCCACCACTATCCAGCTGTGCAACTTTTGACAGTTTGCTGTACCTCTCTGAGTCTCAGATACTTCATCTTTGAAATGGGCAGAAGAGCACCTGCCCCGTGGCTTCCTGTGAGGATGTATAGAAAATGCTGGTCCAGCTCCTGGAATGGCATGTCCCTCCCCCACCCTAAAGTGCACGTTTAGTGGAAGGAAAGGGGGGATGGGGAAGGATGGGGGATGGGGACAGAAGTGAGCATCTGAACCTAACAGGAGGGCTGGTCCCTGCCTGGTGGGGCAGCAAGGGGTCCTGCCACAGCCCAGCGAGGAGGTGGGCATCCCAGAGCCGCAGCAGTGGCAGCGCTGCCTCCATGGAGGTCCCACAGCAGGACTCGCCAGCCTTTGTCCTCCCCACCCTGGGTGCCCGACTTTCCCATGGAAGCTGCTGCATCTTCCCATGCCTGCCCACCACAGCAGGTGGGCTGGGACGTCTCTCTGAGCTGCAGATCCCCTGGTTGGGAGAGTAGGGGACGGACATCTGGCCTGAGACCCCCCCACACACACCAGGGCAGGTTCCTGGCTCCCTGCCAGAGCCTAGCTGCCTGCCTAGAGGCTCAGAGTCCCCAAGAACTCAAGGTGACACAGTGGTGGCAGTGTGTGACAGAGGAAGGAGCCAAGGTGGGATTTGAGAACCTGGGGCAGGGCAGGGCAGACCTGGGGCACAGGCTGCGGGACCCGGACAGAGCAGGGTCGGACTACAATGTGGTCTCCACATTCATGCATCCATCATGCAGCTCTCACTGGACCCTGGCATTCCAGGGCCACGATTGTCTGCCAGACTAGCACGGCAGCGGCTCTGCCTTCCTCACCCTACTGTGCTGCCAGTGGTTCCTGTGTCTCTTCTCTCTCGGCCCCTGCATCTGCAGAGCTGAGGTGCTGATCCTCCTCTCCTGGCCTCTGTGTGAGGCTCAAATGACACCAGCCCATGAAGGGCTCAGCACATGCCTGCCACATAGTAGGAGTCTGCAGGATGATGGCTGTTCACCCGGAGGGCCAGCCTTCCTTTGACTGGGTTCCTGGGAACTCTGGGAAGTGCTTTGCAAAATGTTAGTTAAAAAAAAAGTTTGGGAGGCCAGGCGCAGTGGCTTATGCCTCTAATCCCAGAACTTTGGGAGGCCGAGGCGGGCAGATCATGAGGTCAGCAGTTTGAGACCAGCCTGGCCAACATGGTGAAACCCTGTCTCTACTAAAAATATAAAAATTAGCTGGGCATGATGGTGGGTGCCTGTAATCCCAGCTACTCAGGAAGCTGAGGCGGGAGAATCGCTTGAAACCGGAAGGCAGAGGTTGCAGTGAGCCAAGATCGCACCACTGCACTCCAGCCTGGGCAATAAGAGCAAGACTTTGTCTCAAAGAAAAAAAAAAAAAAAGTCTGAGAAACATCCCTTTTTGAAGAGTCCAGCAGACAGTGCAGGCACAGCTCTGGGGAGGCGAGGATGGCTGTTGAACTTTGTTTGACTCTGTGTTTTCCAGCCTTATGGGACCAGGGGCCCTGCTGGGAAAGAGCAGCCACTGAGTCCCAGGGGGACACCTGTGCCTTGTGTAGCTGTGCAGAGGGTGCTGTGGGGCTCACGGAGGGCTGAGGCAGGAGATGATGTGGGCAAACTGCCCTGTTCAGAGGTCCCTGTGGCCACAGCCTGGAGGGCAGGCAGGAGGAGGAAGCCCAGCCACAGGGAGGCCAATGTGGAAGGGATGCTGTGGCCAGAGCCGTGGCCTGAGAGCACAGTGGCTGGAGGGAGGAGCCGGCAACAGTAGGAATCTGCAGGGCCTGGGAGACAGCACAGAGGGAACCTGCTCCACGCGGCCATGGACCTGCCTCACCACTGGCCCACTGAGTTACAAGGGGCGTGGCCAGCAGAGCTGAGATGTCCTCAGGAGAGGAGCCAGCCCAATGAGGCAGGGAGGCCTGCATGCTAGGGTCAAGGTTAGCCACACTCCCTTGCTCTGCTGGCCCCAAAGCTGAGAGGACCCTCCAGGGAGGCCTCTGGCCACAGTGCCGGGCAGATTATGGGAAGGCAGTGTCACGGTCACTGAGCTCAGGTGAATTTCCTCCTTACGTGTACTCTAATACAGGGGATGCCATAGGCAGACGGTGGAGAGAATGGGGGGAGGAGGAAGGGGATGGGGAGGAGGCCCATCCAGGCCCCAGCCAGAGCTCTTCATCCACCTTCCACCGTGGCTGTCAGCTGCCTGGACATAGCCTCTGGTGCTGGGCTCTGGATTCCACCATGTCCCCGCTGGCCTCTCTGTGCCCATAGGTGAAATGAAGACCCCCTGCGCCTCACACTCTGCCTTCTCACAGAGCAATTATGAAAGCCTGGTGAAGACATGGAGGCCGGCACGGGGTGACTGATTTGGCCAAGGTCAGATTTGAATCCGGCACTTAGCTCAGGCCTGGCCCATAGGAGGTTCTCAAGAAACACTTGAGTTAAAAGGAGGCTGCAGATGGCTCTCTCGACACGGGAATGTCGCAGAGACAATCATGGTACCTGGCGTGTGGCCAGAGCTGAGTAGCTGCTAAGCCATGTTATAATTACAGGAGTCACCTAAGGAAATTGCCGCTCTCATTCTGCAGGGCCGCCCAAGGCCTCTCTGAGCCCACTAGGGAATGTGCCCACTGTAGCGGGAGGTCTGGACAGTACTGTCCTCTAAACGCAGATGTGTGTGTGGTGGGGCAGGGCTACAGAGAAGACTTTGGTGGATTAGGTTACTCCAAGAAGGGTTTTGCAGGATGAATAGGAGTTGGCCAACCAGACCAGGCTTAAGGGAAGATCATCCCAAAATAAGTGAAGGGTGAGCATGTGGACATGAACTGAGCCTGACTTCCAAGGACAGAGCCTTCCACCAGGAAGCTGGCCTCTGCTCCCATTCACTCAGGAGGTTTCAAGGAGGCCCCTGGGTCCCCTGCCTCTCCTCTCAGACCCTGGGAGCTGATTGCTCAGGCTGCCTGCAAGAAGCTGGGAGCTTCTAACTGCATGGCCACCCTCTGGCCTTATCCCTGCAGTGAAGCCCTGGAGAGCCCCTTCCTGTCATCTGCCCCTTGAGTCTGGGGAAATCCAAGTGGGCCAAGCCAGTGCTTGGGGAGCGACAGAGTTTGTAGTCGAGATAGCCACCCACCTTGAGGGCCACCTGGCAGCCCCAGCTCCTGAGGAAGAGGCTTCTTGCCTTGGCCCCCACCCCATCTGCCACCCACACCCAGAACCACAAGACAGAGGGCCCAGACCTAGGTTACTCAAAACCAGAAACTGCCGAGAAGATCTGAATGAGGAGCCCCCTTGGGGCCAGGGCCAGGTGGCTGGGCAAAGCCTTCCTCCCACGCCCAGCACCCCGAAGGAGGGCAGGGGCTGGGGGGAGCCAGCCAGGAGACTGTGTCCACCCTCCCAGGCCACCCTGCCTTAGGCCCCAACAAAGGGCAACTCATAGACCCTTGGGGACCTCTGAATCAGGTCCTCTGATTGGCCTCAGATCCAGTCCCTCTGGGGTCCCAAGCCCTGGCTGCAGAGTCACCCCCTCTCTCCTCCCCATGGCTCATTAGCTACATCCTAAGCCTCAGTCTCCCCATCAGTAAGATGAGAAGCCTACTCGCGAGCCACCCGGGGAATGGAAGCAGCTTCCACGGATGAACAACTGTGTCCACCCCTGTCATCCTTGATAGGGTTCATGGATGGCTGAAGAGGGGCCAGCCCAATCCTTTGTCAGAAGCCCTAGCCCAGGAACAGGGGCTGGGCCCCTCGCAGGGGTTGGTTTCATTGGCTTTGACTGCAGCGACAGGTAGGGTGTGTCCCCCGGACTGGGTGGGGGTGTCGAAACCAGGACTTCCAGAATTGATTGAGGGTCCAGGAGGGCCCGGGCCAGAGGGGTGGGCTGAGGAGGGGCCTGGGGCTTTTCAGTTAAACAAGCCACCTGTGGCCACCCCAGCCCCCACCCCAGTGCCCACAGAGCCTGAGCTGTGAGCCCAGTGAGGCCAGGAGCTGGAAGCCAGTCTGATCCAGCCTCGAGAGTGGTAGAAAATGTGCTGGTGATGGCCAGGCGCGGTGGCTTATACCTGTAATCCCGGCACTTTGGGAGGCCGAGGTAGGTGGATCACCTGAGGTCAGGAGTTCAAGACCAGCCTGGCCAACATGGTGAAACCCTGTCTCTACCAAAAAAAATACAAAAATTAGCTGGGCGTGGTGGCGGCAGCTGAGTAGTTCCAGCTACTCAGGAGGCTGAAGCAGGAAAATCACTTGAACCTGGGAGGTGGAGGTTGCAGTGAGCCGAGATCGCGCCATTGTACTCCAGCCTGGGCAACAGAGCGAGACTCAAAAGAAAATGTCCTGGGGATGATGGGGAAGGGGCAAAGAGCACTGGGGACCAGGGTCAGGATGCCTGAGGGTCACCTCCTACCCGCGGTCCAACTGCCTGTGCTGCCTGGTGTTGCCCAGCTTGCACCCGCCCCCAGCTCTCTGCCCAGGGCACTGTTGTGAGGTTAGGGGCAGACAGCGGGTGTGGGTGCAGAGCACAGGGCCGGGCTGATGTCAGCGTCCACAGTAGGGGAGCAGCCCCTTCCTGTCGCTCTGGTCTGTGCTCCACTTGGCCGTGCTGGGTGAGGTCATCCTTCCAGGCCCTGGTGAAATGTCATCTCTGGAGGCTCAGGCGTCCTCCCTCCTGGGGATTCTGGAGCCTCCCTTTACTGCCCTCTTGTGGCTCTCAGGGGAAGGGAAGTGGCAGCCCGGGACTCAGGGCCCGGCACGAAGTAGGCGCTCCTGGTGGCCGCTGGGGTTACTGACCGTGGGAAGCGTGTAGCTCCAGAGTCACAGCTGGGCTCTGATTTCAGCCCTTCCACTCACTCACCCTACAACCCGGGCAAGTCAGCTTTCCCTCGGAGCCTCTGGTTCCTCTTCTGAAAAATGTGGGTGGAAATTCTGGCCTGTAGGTCTGCCCCAGGTCGGAGGGTAGATGGGTACGCAGTGCCAGCACCCAGTAGGGCCTCCGTGAGTGAGCATGTGTCCTTTACCCCATGCACTGGGACAGTCCTGCTCTGCTGGTGACCCTACATATCCCACTCCTGTGCAAGGCCTCAGTCTCACCATCTGTAAAATGGACAGTGGAGACTAGAATGGACAGAGCAAGACCCCATCTCAAAACAAACAAACAAAAAACGATTTCTCCTCTGTCTGGAATAGAGCCATGTGTATTTAATCAGAAAAATGTTTTCCCTCCTCCACCCCAAATCTGTGGATGCTCCATAGAGAAGGGCCATGCTTATCCCTCAGTTTCTCCTTAAGGTGGGAGCCTTGCGCTTTCAGAGAAGCCAGTGAAAGCCACACCCCTCTCGCCAGTGAAAGCCACACCCCTCTCCCCAGTGAAAGCCACACCCTCTCCCCAGTGAAAGCCACACCCCTCTCCCCAGTGAAAGCCACAAGCTCTCCCCAGTGAAAGGCACACTCACAGCCACCGTGACTCTGCCAGGCGTGGGCTGTGGTGCCTGACACCCTCTCAGACATGCCCAGGCACATGCTGGAGTTGCTCAGAACTTCTACACAGAATCCCAAGCACCAAGGGTGGGGCTGGAATCAAAGCCGAGATACGTGATGCCCCTTCCGCCTAACTTTGTCCCCTTCTAACCCAGATAGTGCCCAGAAAGATGGTTCCACTTGCAGGCCCTGTGCCCAGGGCCCTGGCTTCCGTGGTACCATCCTTTCTCCCTGGGGGAGCACCGTGATGATGCCACACATCAGAAGTTCCCCTATTGGGGCCCGGCATGGTGGCTCACGTCTGTAATCCCAGCACTCTGGGAGGCCAAGGCAGGCAAATCCCCTGAGGTCAGGAGTGAGAGCAGGCTGGCCAACATGGTGAAACCCCGTTTCTACTAAAAGTACAAACATTAGCCAGGTGTGGTAACACACACCTGTAATCTCAGCTACTTGGAGGCTGAGGCACAAGAATCCTTGAACCCAGGAGAGAGAGGTTGCAGTGAGCTGAGATCGCACCACTGCACTCCAGCCTGGGCGACAGAGTGAGACTGTCTCAAAACAAAAAGAAAAGAAAAAGAAGTTCCCCTATTGGGCACCTGGCTTTCACAACATCTTGTTCTATTCTTGTGTTTTTGTTGTTGTTGTTGTTGTTGATTTTTTTGAGACAGGGACTCGCTCTGTCGCCCAGGCTGGGGTGCAGTGGCATTAACTCGGCTCACTGCAACGTGTGCCTCCCGGGATCAAAAGCTTCTCCTGCCTCAGCCTCCCGAGTAGCTGGGATTACAGGTATGTGCCACCACGCCTGGCTAATTTTTTTTATTTGTTTGTTTTGTTTTGAGATGGAGTCTCGCTCTGTCGCCCAGGCTAGAGTGCAGTGGCTCGATCTTGGCTCACTCACTGCAACCTCCACCTCCCAGCTTCAAGCGATTCTCCTGCCTCAGCCTCCTGAGTAGCTGGGATTACAGGTGTACACCACCACGCCCAGCTAATTTTTGTATTTTTAGTAGAGATGGGGTTTCACAATGTTGGTCAGGCTGGTCTTGAACTCCTGACTTCATGATCCGCCTGCCTTGGCCTCCCAAAGTAATTTTTGTATTTTTAATAGAGACTGGGTTTTGCCATGCTGGCCAGGCAGGTCTTGAACTCCTGATCTCATGATCTGCCCACCTCGACCTCCCAAAATGCTGGGATTACAGGCATGAACTACCACACCCGGCAAATACGATATTTGATTCCTTCTTTTACATCTTTAATTATGTGAGGCAAATTTAATTTTACAGTCTCCTCCAATGGTTTCTCGGGAATTTCCTTCTGGTATGTGTGGTGTTTGCTTGTCCCTCCCTCAGGCTGGTCTGTTTCTGTGTGTTGTGTAATTTGGGATCATGAGTTTATCTCCAGCAAGGGCTTTATCTGTGAGAATCCCAGCTCGTGGGCATGCCTCCCAGAGCATTGTTTATTGTTGCTGATATAGAACACTTGTACATACTTTTGGGGTATGTGTGATATTTTGACCCCTGTACACAATGTGTTTGATCAAATCCGGGTAATCGGGAAACCCATCGCTTCAAACATCTATATTGTCTTTGCATTTGGAACATTACAATTCTTCTAGCTACTTTGAAATATATGATAAATTATTGTTAATGATGATTTCCCTATCCAGAGCGTTTTATAATTGCTCTCCCAAGCAGCCTACGGCTGTCACAGGCCTGGGGCCACTTTCTCATCGGTTGGGTTAGGCTTTATAAATACAAACCTAATCCCAGGCTAGAGCAGACCCATGGCTAGAGTCCCTCAGGAGAACTGCACACTTTTTCCTACCTCAAGCTCAGGAGGAGTCAGACAAGTTTTCTTGTCATCTCTTATTGTCAGTGGGTAGATCTTTTTCTAGGCTACATTTTATTAAGGTTGCAGCTCCTCAAGCCCTCTGGTGTTCTGTGGAGAATTCAGTTTCACCTCCCAGCATCCTGCTTGCTCCGCGCCTGGTCTCCTGGCTGCTATCACAGTTTAATAAACCCTCCGTCTCAACACCCTCTCTCCACCCCCACAAGGCTGCCACACTTTCACTTAATGTCTGAGGTTGTGTTTTGTTTTGTTTTGAGATGGAGTCTCACTCCGTCGCCCAGGCTGGAGTGCATTGGCGCGATCTCGGCTCACTGCAACCTCCGCCTCCCGGGTTCAAGCGATTCTCCTGTCTCAGCCCCCCGAGTAGCTGGGACTACAGGCGTCCACCACCACACCTGGCTAATTTTTGTATTTTTAGTAGAGACGGGGTTTCACCCTGTTGGTCAGGCTGGTCTCGAACTCCTGACCTCAGGTGATCTGCCCGCCCTGGCCTCCCAAAGTGCTGGGATTACAGGCGTGAGCCACCGCACCCGGCCTGAGTTTCTAGTTTAAAACATTTTCCTAGCCGGGTGCAGTGGCTCACACCTGTAATACCAACACTTTGGGAGGCTGAGGCAGGCGTATCACTTGAAGTCAGGAGTTTGAGACCAGCCTGGCCAACAAGGTGAAACCCCGTCTCTACTAAAAATACAAAAATTAGCCGGGTGTGGTGGTGCACCCCTGTAGTCCCAGGTACTGGGGAGGCTGAGGCAGGAGAATCGCTTGAACCTGGGAGGCGGAGGTTGCAGTGAGCTGTGATCGCACCACTGCATTCCAGCCTGGGCTACAGAGCGAGACTTCGTCTCAAAAGAAAAAAATATTTCCTGCAATGTTACTATTATACTAGTTAGAGTGCAACTAGTAGAGCATAATAGTTAAGAACACGGACGCTATGACCAGACTGCTTAGGCTTGGAACCCAGCTCCATCGGCAAGGAGGGGGCTCAGTTTCTTCATCTGTGAAATGGGGGGCAGCAACAGTCTACCATATGGGGTTGCTGCCAGGCTAGAGGGCTTGATCCATGAAGGCAGGGAGGCTGTCACTCCATATGTGTAACTGCGTACTTCAAGCACTATGCTGGCCTTCAGTAATGTCAGTATTAAATGTGCTATTACATCCTATATATGGCCAGGTGCAGTGTGGCTCACGCCTGTAATTCCAGCATTTTGGGAGGCCGAGGCAGGCGGATCACTTGAGGTCAGGAGTTCGAGACCAGCCTGGCCCACATGGTGAAACCCTGTCTCTCCTAAAAATACAAAAATTAGCCGGGCATGGTGGTGCACGCCTGTGATCCCAGCTACTCGGGAGGCTGAAGCAGGAGACTGGCTTGAATTCGGGAGGTGGAGGTTGCAGTGAGCCGAGATCACTCCACCGCACTCCAGCTATTACATCTTATATCTTATGTGTTATAATATAAATATATCTTAAGGAGAATTGTAATATTATCATGCTGGCCCCTGATTTTCCACACTTTTTTACAAGCTCGATCATAGAAGATGTTTGTAATTTTTTATCTAACATTTCTAGGACACAGGCAGGGAGGGAATTTTTAGGTTTTCTCGTTCTCTAAATTGCCCAGCTTCTTGATCTTCATGTGATGAAGACAATATAATAATAACCCTCCCATTTATTACCATTTCTTACGGGGACCTTACCGGATCCTGCCCACCTGCGTCCAGTTAGTCTGCTAACTCACGGGTCGTCTTTGGAGTTCCGAGGAATCCAGCTTAGCCACCTACCAGCTTGGTGACTCATCTTCCCATCTGTACACATCTTTCATCCCTTATCAGACACCCCCAGGGCCAGATGTGGCTTGGAAATTCCTATGGGATGACCCCTGGGCATCTGGGCGGCAAGTGGGAACCACAGCTACGAGAGTTTCTGTAGCCAGATTACCCGAAGAGGGTAAACAAAGGCTCTAAGTAGCCTCCCTTTAGGGACCAAGTGTGTTCAAGGACTGAGCTCCGTGTAGGCTGGGACTTGACCATTGGATTGCGCACCATGGAAGTCACCTGTGGCCTGGGCAGAAGGGCCATGGAAAAGTGGTGGGGACAGGAGCTCATCTCAGAGTTTTGTTTTGTTTTGTTTTGAGACGGAGTCTCGCTCTATCACCCAGGCTGGAGTGCAGTGGCGTGATCTCGGCTCACTGCAACCTCCACCTCCTGAGTTCAAGCAATTCTCCCATCTCAGCCTTCCGAGTAGCTGGGACTACAGGCGCCCGCCACCACGCCTGGCTAATTTTTGTATTTTTAGTAGAGATGGGGTTTCACCATGTTGGTCAGGCTGGTCTCGAACTCCTGACCTCAAGTGATCTGCCCGCCTCGGCTTCCCAAAGTGCTGGGATTACAGGCGTGAGCCATCATACCCGGCCTCATTCCAGAGTTTTGCTCTAAAAGGGAACAGGAGAAGGCACTGCTGGCCAAAGGTGGTTTTGTGGTCCAGAGGGAGGGGGCAGCACGGGTCTGACAGGAGAAGGTGAGACTGAGCTTACAGAGGAGGGAAGCGGCACCTGAGCACTGGGGCCCAAGGAGGATGTGGGAGGGGGCAGGCTGCAGAAGTCAGGGATGCGGGGGCAGGTGACCAGAAGGCCAGGAGGGAGAGAGAAGACCCTGTGGGCAGACAGAGCCCCCAGGAGAGGAAGCACCGGATCAGGGATCCCCAGCTCTGTGTGGGCAGGTGAATGTCCACTGGGTGTTGACCTGTGCCTGAACGTTGACCTGAGCACCCAGTCTGATGGAGGAGACAAGCACAGTCTGAGACCCTGACACAAGGCAGGGGGAGGGAGGAGGGCCAGGGACTGTTGGCTAAGTTGGGTAAAGGAGAGAAAGGATTCCATGGTGGGGTTGGGGGGAACCTGACAGAGGGCATGGCAGGGCCAGAGGCCACCTTGGAGGAAGAGGCAGCCCCGCTCACTGTCACGGCCAAGGCTGAGTGAGCACCTGCAGCTGTGAATACGTTTAGAGCCTGTGGTTACCCAGGGAGGGAGATGTGATGAGGATTCTCATTTCACAGATGGGGAAACTGAGGCACAGTCAAGCAGAGGGAATCAGCCCGAGGTCGACATCTATTAAGTGGTGAAGCCGCGATCCTCTGGCTGCACAGCCCATGCTCTGAATCGCACTTTACTACCCACTGTTATTATTATTATTATCACTGAAAAAATAACCCAGCCGGAGGATGAGGAGCAGGGCACCCCAGGCAGAGGGCAGAGCCTGGGTAAAGGCCCAGATCTTCCAGGCAACAAGTGGGCACTTTGTCTCCTGGTTCGGGGGGTGGCGGGAGAGGGGCCTGGCAGGGCGTGGCGGGAGACGAAGCAGAATTGGAAGGAGTGGAAGACTGTGCTCAGACTGGAGGGTCTTGGATGCCAGGCTTGGAAACCTGGAATTTATCCTGCAGGCAGAGGGCCTCATCCAGAGCCTCTGAGCAGCCAGGGCAGAGGCATCCTGGGTGCCCAAGTGAACGTGCTGGCAGCCTCGGGAAGGTGGATTCCCGGGGCGGGGAGGCAGGAGAGTCCTGAGCCCCCGAGGGCTGTGTGGTGGAGGGGGTGGGCAGGCTGTGGGCAGGGGCTGAGAAAGAGGGCAGAGGAACGGTGAGCCCAGGCTTCAGGTAGGAAGATCTGGGCTGCTTCCGGGAGGATTTGGGTAGAGAAAACCGGGGTCTGGAATGGGGATTCTGAGGTTGGTCCTGGCCCTGCCCCTCACCAGCCTGTGACCCTGCAGGTGACGTCAGGACTCAGAACCTCCATGTCCACCTCGGTGGCACGGAGAGGAGGCTACCCAGCTGGAGGGGTTGTGGTGGGGAGGCCGTGGCCCGCGCTGGGCACAGCATGTACTCAGCGGTGGGGACCCTGCCCTAGACTCAGTGCCCCTGGCACGCCTGGAGCTGACTCCTCCTGCCCCTGTGAAGAGTTGGGGCCCCTCCAGCGCCCCTGCAGTTTGGGAGGCCGAGCAGTTTGGGAGGCCGAGGCGGGTAGATCACCTGAGGTCAGGAGTTCAAGACCAGCCTGGCCAACATGGCAAAACCCCGTCTCTACTAAAAACACAAAAACTAGCCAGGCGTGGTGGTGCACGCCTGTAATCGCAGCTACTCAGGAGGCTGAGGAAGGAGAATCGCTTGAACCTGGGAGGTAGAGGCTGCAGTGAGCCGAGATTGCACCACTGCATTCCAGCCTGCGCGACGGGAGCAAGACTCCATCTCAAAAAAAAAAAGACACTGAAATCCACCAAGTTTTTTCCAGATGAGGACTCCTTGGTAGCAGAAGTGGGGGCATGGCTGGTGGTTGCCACCCTGGTTGGACGCCCCTCCTCCACGAGGGAAGCCAGGGCCTTGCCAGTGTCCAGAGGAGCCGACATCACCTCCACAGTCGGCTCTGTGGGCTCAATTGATGCCATCAGGAACGCGGGCCAAGTTTTGATGGGCTGTTTCCTGCCTCCCTACCCTGCTGGACCGGAATTTCTGACTGGGAATAGTCATTCCTGCCTCCCAGGGCTGTTTGGAGGAGCGATGAAAGAACGAGTGAAAAAGCACTGCCTAAGCCCTCAGATCCCACACCCCCAAATCCTACACCAAGCCCACACCCGTCTCCTCCTCCTCCCGGGGCTCCTCCACCCGGGGCTCCTCCTCCCACGCTCCTCCACCAGGGGCTCCTCCACCTGGCGCTCCTCCACCCAGGGCTCCTCCTCCCGGGGCTCCTCCTCCCACGCTCCTCCACCAGGGGCTCCCCCTCTCGGTGCTCCTCCTCCCGGGGCTCCTCCTCCCAGGGCTCCTCCTGGGGGCTCCTCCTCCCAGGGCTCCTCCTCCCGGGGCTCCTCCACCTTAGCTCCTCCACCCAGGGATCCTCCTCCTCCCGGGGGCTCCTCCTCCTGGGGCTCCTCCACCGGGGGAAATTCTTCCTCCCGGGGGCTCCTCCTCCCAGGGCTCCTCCACCTGGCACTCCTCCTCCTGGGGGCTCCTCCTCCCGGGGGCTCCTCCACCTGGCACTCCTCCACCCAGGGCTCCTCCTCCCGGGGCTCCTCCTCCCAGGGCAGTGTCAGGCAGGGCTTCACATTGCAGTGTGAACTCTGACATCCCAAGCAGCATTCCTTCCATCCAAGATTCTTCTAAGAAAAGGCTGCCAGCCAAGAAGGTGCCTTGGGAAGAATACAGGTTGGGAGTGCAGCCCGGGAGTCCGTCCCGCTCTGCCGCCTGCCCTGAGGAGCCTCAGTCTGCAGGTCTGCAGAGCGGGGATGTTCCCCGGGCCTGCCTGGCAGGGCGGCTGCAAACACGAAGGTTCGGAAGTGCACGAGCTCTCAGCACGGGGCCAGGCACAGCTGGGTGGTGTTAGGCTGCCAGGCTGGGATACCTTTGCAGAGGTTACTCCTCCTGGCCCCAGGAGTTTGTGTTTTTCCCCTAAAGAAAGCAGAGCTAGAGGGAATGAGGGTGTCTCCAGTGTGCTGAGTGTCAGGGTGGGACCTTTCCCCATCTGGACATGGGGTTTCCTGGAGGTCAAAGCCAGAGCCTGGCAGGGAGTGGGCTCTGTTTGGGGAAAGGCAACGTATTTGTGTCCTGGGCCTGCCATAACTAATGACCATAAACCAGGTGGCTTATAACAGAATCTCATTCTCTCACAGTTCTGGAGGCTGAAAGTCTGAAATCAAGGTGTCCTGGGAGGCCAAGGTGGTTGGGTTGCTTGATCCCAGGAGTTCGAGACCAGCCTTGGCAACATAGAAAGACCCTGTCTCTACCAAAAATACAAACTAGTCAGGTGTGGTGGCGTGTGCCTGTAGTCCTAGCTACCAGGGAGGCTGTGGGAGGATCGCCTGAGCCCAGGAGGTCAAGGCTGCAGTGAGTCATGATCACACCACTGCACTTCAGCCTGGGTGACAGAGCAAGACCCTGTCTCAAAAAAAAAGTGTCAGCAGAGCCAAGAATCCTTCAGCTTCTGGTGACTCCAAGGGTGCCTTGGCTTGTGGGCCGCATCACTCCAGTCTCTGCTTCCATCCTCACACAGCCCTCTCCTCTGGGTCTCTGTATCTCTGTGACTTCACATTTCACATGGACTTTTTTTTTTTTTTTTTTTTTTTCTGAGGTGGAGTCTTGCTGTGTCACCTAGGCTGGAGTGCAGGCTCAGTGGCTCACTCGGCTCAGTGCAAGCTCTGTCTCTCAGGTTCACGCCATTCTCCTGCCTCAGCCTCCTACAAGTAGCTGGGACTACAGGCGCCTGCCACCACACTCGGCTATTTTTTTTTTTTTTTTTTTTGTATTTTTAGTAGAGACAGGGTTTCACCGTGTTAGCCAGTATGGTCTCGATGATACGCCCACCTCAGCCTCCCAAAGTGCTGAGATTACAGGCATGAGCCACTGCGCCCTGCCCACATGGCCTTCTTATAAGGACATCAGTCACTGGATTTAGGGCCCACTTACTCCAGTATGACCTCATCTCAATTTGATTACATCTGCAAACACCATCTGTCCGAATACTGTCACATTCATAGGTGCCAAGGGCTGGGACTTCAGTGTCTTTGGAGGACACAATTCAGCAGTTGAGCAGTCTGAATACCCAAGGACGGCCAAGAAGGGCCAGCACGTCATTGTCAGAACAGGAAGCTTCGAGGGACAGGCACCTGTGTGGTGCTGGCCCAGCCCATCCCCTGCCTCCACACTCTACTCATAATGTTGGTTAAAGAAAAGGTGACTGCTGGCCAGGTGTGGTGGCTCATGCCTGTAATCCCAGGACTTTGAGAAGCCAAGGCAGGTGGATCACTTGAGGTCAGAAGTTCGAGACCAGCCTGGCCAACATGGTGAAACCCCATCTCTACTAAAAATACAAAAATTATCCAGGTGTGGTGGTGCATGCCTCCCAGCTACACGGGAGGTTGAGGTAAGAGGATCACTTGAACCTGGGAGGTGGAGGTTGTAGTTAGCCGAGATCGTGCCACTGCACTCCAGCCTGGGCAATAGAGCAAGACTCCATCCATGCACGGACACTCTGTTCTGGGTCGCTGGCAGACACAGGCATGGTCCTCATTAGTGTAGGGAAGACACACTGAAGCCTGCCCTCCTGCCTGAGTTTGAATCCTGGCCCAGCCATGTGACCTAGGATAAGTCACCTAACCTTTCAGAGCCCCAACTAACCCACCTGTAAACTAGGATGATGGGAATAGCTGCCTGCCTTGGAGTGCTATGGAATTCAAGGGTGGATACCCCATGGCTGGCCCATAATAAGTGCTCACTAACCCCAGGAGGAACGTGGTCTTATCTCCCCACTCCAAGGACAGAGACTAAAGCTTGACAGGGAAGGTATTGCAGCTATCAACCTAAATGACAAGCAGTGGCCAGGTGCCGTGACTCACACCTGTAATCCTAGCACTTTGAGAGGCTGAGACGGGCTGATCACTTGAGGTCCGGAGTTCAAAACCAGCCTGGCCGACACGATGAAACCCCATCTCTACTAAAAATACAAAAATTAGCTAGGCGTGGTGGCAGGCACCTGTAATCCCAGCTACTCAGGGGACTGAGGCAAGAGAATCGCTTGAACCCAGGAGGCAGAGGTTGCAGTGAGCCAAGATCGTGCCAGTGCACTCCATCCTGGGTGACAGAGCAAGACTCTGTCTCAAAAAATAATAATAAAATAAGAAGGAGAGAGGGGCTGTCTACAAGAAAATCATATTTCTTCAGGAATCAGGCATTGCAATGGGAATTCGCATGCCATATTAAACTATGTGTTATGTTCAGGGACAAAGAAAGACAAAGGTTTTTAAAGGAAAAAGGAGGAGGATTACATAATTGTTTTGAGATAATTGTCCCTGGCTACAAGGATCAATAACAAGGGTGGCACCAGCCCGAGGTTGGACAGGCAGTTGCTGAGCAGATGTCCTCACAGAGGTATTTTTGGTGTGTGATTGCTATGGCCTTTGTGCAAGGTTGTGGTTTTTTAGAGCCTTTTGTGATCATTCTTGTTATCAGGCATTTTTATATAAGAAGCCTCTCTTCATGGCCTTTCCTGGCTCTATTTCTCAGGGGGTTTTGTTTGTTTGTTTTTTGTTTTTGTTTTTGTTTTGAGACAGAGTTTTGCTCCTGCCACCCAGGCTGGAGTGCAATGGCTCAGTCTGGGCTTACTGCAACCTCTACCTCCCGGGTTCAAGCAATTCTCTTGCCTCAGCCTCCTCAGTATCTGGGATTACAGATGCACACCAACATGCCCAGCTAATTTTTTTGTATTTTTAGTAGAGACAGGGTTTCACCATGTTGACTAGGCTGGTCTCGAACCCCTGACCTCAAGTGATCCACCCATCTCGGTCTCCCAAAGTGCGCCCAGCCTGTCAGGGTTTTTTTAAACACAAGTGATTCCATTTTGATTCTGACAACTTTTTTTTTTTTTTTTTTTTTTTTTGATACAGAGTCCCTCTCTGTCACCCAGGCTGGAGTGCAATGGCACAGTCACTGAAACCTCCACCTCCCAGGTTTAAGTGATTTTCCTGCCTCAGCCTCCTGAGTAGCTGGGATTACAGGCACACACCACCACACTTGGCTAATTTTTGTATTTTTAGTAGAGATGGGGTTTCACCATGTTGGCCAGGCTGGTCTGGAATTCCTGACCTCAGGTGATCCACCCGCCTCAGCCTCCCAAAGTGCTGGCATAACAGGCATGAGCCACCGCGTCCAGCCAATTCTGACAACTTTGACACAAAGGAGGTGGCAGAGCTGAGGGCAGACCCAGTTTGGGAGATTCCAAAACCTGTCTCTGCAATGCCATCCTCGAGCTTGGACAGTCACCTCCTTATACCACAGAGGCACCTATTGAGAGACTAGAATCAGGTTATAAAACACCTGCCCCAGAAGAGACTTTGGAAACCGATTGGTGTTCAAGACCTGGCTGACAGGTGGGAAGGTGGCTTGGAGAGAGAATCTTATGCAGGTGCATGTGTGACGTCTGGTGTATTAAGACCAGGGACCTGCTGGCCAGAGCCCCCTCCCCGGCCCCTAGAACTGAAATCCAGAACAAAAGGAGGGCACGTGTCTTGGGTGCACAGAACCAGACCACCAGGGTGGAGAAGGGCTCAGATGGAGTCCTGGTAGCTCAGCTGGTCAAGAGAAGACTTAAAGGAAGCGGTCCACCTTCAAACCTCAAGGCTGCTGTGGGACCAAGGAAGACATGAACTTACGTATTTATTTATTTATTTATTTATTTATTTATTTGAGATGCAGTCCTGCTCTGTCGCCCAGGCTAGAGTGCAGTGGCACGATCTTGGCTCACTGTAAACTCCGCTTCCAGGGTTCGAGCGATTCTCCTGCCTCAGCCTCCCTAGTAGCTGGGACTACAGGTGTGCACCACCATATCCGGCTAATTTTTGTATTTTTAGTAGAGACAGGGTTTCACCATGTTAGCCAGGGTAGTCTCCAACTCCTGACCTCAGGTGATCCACTGGCCTCAGCCTCCTAAAGTACTGGGATCACAGGCGTGAGCCACCACACCCGGCCAGGACATGAACATATCAGATGGCAGAGCTAGGAAGGGACGATGGGCTCACCTTCTGGTAGCAGGGACCATGTCTTTCTTGTTCCTTGCTGTGTTCCCCACACAGCCTCAGTTTCCCCAGTCGTGAAATGGGAATAATAACAGTTGATCCTGGCTCCAAGGCCACCAGGTCCGGTGGCCTGGTGCTTGGTGCCGGAGTCACCGCGAGTACCCTGGGCTCCCCCAGCGTGGTGGCCCTGACTCAGGAACCTCCTTCTGCCGTGCGACCACCCTGGCGGCGGTCACCAAGCCCTTGGCGTGCCCCTGTGACTGTGTGTGGATTTTTTCTGTGCCCTCACAGGGCAGTGGTGTCACCCTTCTCGCCCATCTCAGGGAAGGGATGGGACGGCCCGGATGGCAGAGACTGTGGGGACAGAGCCAGGCACTCCCCATGGCTTTCCGTGCCCAGCACGTTGCCAGGCCTCTTCCAGGGTGTCCGGGACTGACCAGGCTGCTCCTCAGGGGGCAGAAGGCACTTTTGGGTCGGCTTTGAGGGAACACCAGGCTTCGCCACCAGGGGGCGGACGTGCCCCTCCAGAGCAGGCAGTGCCTAGGAAAGCAGGCAGGGCGTGGGCAACTGAGGTCACCACCTGAGGGCCGTGCCCCGGGGAGAGTGGGCGAGATGGAGGCTGTCTCTCTCTCCCGCCCAGCCCGCAGGGCTCCAGCCTCAGCTCCCCCACTTGCTGACTCTGACCTCGGACATACGCCTCGGCCTCCCTGGGCCTCTGTTTGTCTGTCTGTAAAATGGGACTGGTCTCCCACTTGGCAGCCTTGTGGGGACGAGTCGGGGCAGTGTGTTTAGTGGCCGCCCCTGTATCATGCCTATAGTACCCCTCCCTGGGCCCCAAACTGGCCCCTTCAGGGGTATGCTGTCTCCTCCCTTTGGCTGGCCTGTGTCCCAGAGATCATGATGTCACTTGCAGTGCTGATGGACTAGAACTCAGAGTCCCGGGTTCATGAGCTGCCCTGACTTACTGGTCTGTTCCTGTCCCCTGGGTGTCCAGCCGGGGCTGAGCCAGGCTTAGGGATTGCAGGCCCTTCAGAAGGGTAGTTCTGAGGATATCAGGGTCCCCCTTGGTGACCAAGGGGATCCTCTACCAGCTGCCGACACCCCACTGGCCAGGGGGAGTTTGGAATGAGTTTGGGTCCTGGGGAGGAGAGGACGTGGTTGATGCCATCGGGCCTGGCACCTTCCTGGAGCAGGGGCCACTCTGGTGGCTTTGGGGATGTGTGAATGAGTCTGGAGCAGGGGTGGCTCTGGTGGCTTTGGGGTTGTGTGAATGAGTCTGGAGCAGAGGTGGCTCTGGTGGCTTTGGGGATGTGTGAATGAGTCTGGAGTGGGGGCCACTCTGGTGGCTTTGGGGATGTGTGACTGAGTCCCTTTGTCTCTCATTTCCTTAACAGAGGGACATTTCCCTTCCCTGGTCTCAGACACAAATGAGCCCTGCCCAGGGTACCCCGCCACAATACAATTGCTGGGTCCCCCAGCCCCCTCCTCAGACCCAGAAAGCCCCATAAGTGAGAGGAGGGCCCGGTGGGCACCTGGAGGCCTTGTGCCTGCTGGCAGGGGCAGTAGCCGGGTGGGAGCTGTCACGTGGGGCTCAGGCCCAGCAAGACTGTCACCTGATGCTTCAGGGCGGCCAGAATCCGGGTTTCTGTGTCAATCTCTCCGTTGTAAAATGTTGTAAGATGTTGGCCGCACGCAGTTTGGTTTATTTTCCTCCGACGCTGCAGGCCACACAGAGCACACTTAGGGGCTAGACTCCGCCCTTTGTCCCCCAGTTGCCCCCTGCTCTGAGGGTTTGTGACAGCTCTGTCCCCTTGTGGCCTCTGCCTGGGGTTTCTGGCCCCGGGGCAGCCCCGCAGCTGTGCCCTCTCTGCCTGTCACGGCCCAAACCCAGAGCACTAGCACCTTTGCTTGAGCCTCCACTGCCCTCCTGGCGCTGGGCTGTTGGGTGTAGACAGATTTTACACATCTGTGGCTGGGGCCAGGGAGAGGTTATAGCTAATTCCTTAACGCTGACTAGAGATGCCTTTTTTAAAGATCTCTTTAAAATTCCTCAGCCATCCCCACCTCCGGAATTTCTGGCTGGCCGCTTCTCCCAGATGCCTACAGCATTCCCAGCCCCCTGTTTCCCTCCTCCTGCCTCCCACCTCGGGCTGCCCATTTCTCTCTGATTTCTTATCCCAAGCAGTCAGGCCTCCCTCCCTCTCTGGAGCTGGCCCCTCCTGCCAGCCAGGCCCTGCCTGTGGTCAGCAAGCTTGGGACCAGGCTGTGCTGAGCCCACAAAGCCAGTCCTCTCCTGAGAGCCAGCCTCCGGCGTGGGAAACCATTTCATCCCATCCGGATCCCTGGCGGTTCTGCTTTGCTGCGTTTACACCAGTGGCCATGACGGAGATTCTCGCTCACATC
The DNA here is from genome assembly GCF_000001405.40 of Homo sapiens. Lineage (NCBI taxonomy): Eukaryota > Metazoa > Chordata > Mammalia > Primates > Hominidae > Homo > Homo sapiens. The sequence continues at coordinate 44,699,487 of NC_000022.11, forward strand.
TGTCCAGCCTGGGCACTTTTATGAGGCATTTTCACCAGTGGGGTCCAATGTAATCCCTTTATTCTTATGAGATAAATGTTCATCCATCCGTTAAACCAAATATCTATGAAGCACCCAGTCTGTGCTAGGCACGGGGACTGTAGCAGTGAACAAGTTGTTACGGTTCTTGCCCTCCTGGCTTATGGCATAGGATGGAAAAAAAGTCATCGGGTGACAACAGGACGCCCCCTGAGCCTAATTGAGAGTGAAGGCGGTCAGAGACAGGGGCAACTAACTTCTCTGAAAGACGTTCTAGGGCAGGGGAGGGACCCGCAGCTGGAGGGCAAGCAGGTCTCAAAGGCCCCTCCGAGGAGTCAAGGATCTGGGCTTTATCCTCTGTTTTCATTCTTTTCAGAGACAATTCAGTACATGCTTTAGTATTTTTATATGTTTTTTGTTGTTGTTTTTGTTTTTTTTTTTACAGCAGTAAGGTAGGAAATCCTTGTCTGGCCATGAAATTTGGTTTGGGATCTAAAAGATACAGTGTTCCCGTAAGTTTGAGAGCGTGGGCTAGGCACAGTAGTTCATGCCTGTAATCCTAACACTATGGGTGGCCAAAAGTGGGAGGACTCCTTGAGTCCAGAAGTTTGAGACCAGCCTGGGCAACATAGCAAGACCTTGTCTCTATTACAAAATTTTTTAAAAATTAGCCAGGGAGCCGGGCACAGTGGTTCATTCTTGTAATCCCAGCACTTTAGGAGGCCGAGGTGGGAGGATCACCTGAGGTCAGGAGTTTAAGACCAGCCTGGCCAACATGGTGAAACCCCATCTCTACTAATAAATAAAAAAATCAGCCAGGCGTGGTGGTAGGTGCCTATAATCTCAGCTACTCACTAGATTGAGGCAGGAGAATCACTTGAACCTGGGAGGCAGAGGTTAGCAGTGAGCCATGATTGCGCCATTGCACTCCACAGGCGACAAGAGCGAAACGCCATCACACACGCAAAAAATCAGCCAGGCATGGTGGCACATGCCTTGTAGTCCCAGCTATTCAGGAGGCTAACGTGGGAGGGTTGCTTGAACCCAGGAGGTAGAGGCTGCAGTGACCACAGTGGTGCCACTGCATTCAACCTGGGCCAAAAAGTGAGACTCTGTCTCAAAAAGAAAAGAAAACGTGTACAGCACTTGACAGTTAGTTTATAAAGCACCTGTTGCTGCCTGTGGGCCCCAAGCTGCCTGTGAGATGAACCGTTCCATCCCGCTTTACTGATGAGCAAGTTTGTCTGTTTATGTCTCTGTCTCCCAAAGACGATGGTATTTATGTCTGGAACACAGGAGGTACTCAGGAGACACTGGTTGATTTGCACTAAACAAAGACTCTTCATGAGGCTCTCTTACTTTTTATTTTATTTTATTATGATGATGATGATTTTTGAGACGGAGTTTTGCTGTTGTTGCCCAGGCTGGAGTGCAGTGGCGAGATCTCAGCTCTCTGCAACCTCTGCCTCCCAGGTTCAAGCGATTCTCCTGTCTCAGCCTCCTGAGTAGCTGGGATTACGGGCATGCACCACCACGCCCAGCTAATTTTGTATTTTTAATAGAGATGGGGTTTCTCCATGTTGGCCGGGCTGGTCTTGAACTCCTGACCTCAGGTGATCCTCCCACCTCGGCCTCCCAAAGTGCTGGGATTACAGGCATGAGCCATCACCTCTCTCTTACATTTTATATGGGGCCCTCCCAGCTCCTGGAGCTGTGGCTGTCACCCCCCATCTGATGGAGGGGTCAGGTGAGCCTTGTGGGAATCCCAGAAGCTGGGGACTGGGAAGGGCCCTGTTCAAGGGGCTGGACGCTCCCTGTGGTGAAGCCCAACTCTACCATTTGTTGATTGCACAATGTTGGCACAATGTTGGGCAAGTTATTTCACTCTGTGAGCCTCAATGTCCTCAACTGGAAAATGGGGAGAAGAATAATCTCTACCTCACGGAAGTAGTTCATGTTAGTTCATGTGAAATCAGACATCTAAAAGTGCTCTGCGAAGCAGGCAGGAAGCACCGGCTGTGCCCTGCCTTCACTGGGATCACTCTGCCCCCACCACAGGGACTTGGGAAACTGCTTGGTTTTACCATCCAAGAGACCTGGGGGTGGGAGATAAGGAGCAAACCCTCTACTTCTTCAAGCCCTCACTCCAGCAAATCCTCCAGGCAGCCAGGCAATGCTGAAGTCCCTGTCCAAGGGGGTCTAGGCTGAGCCCGGGTGGAGTGGGTTCTTGGGCCAAGGTGCCTGGAGGGGACTGAAGGCCTCTACCCAAAGTCCTCATGAGAACTGGGTGGGGGAGCCTGTGTTCAGGTGAGGGGTACGGAGGCACCTCTGTGGCACAGCCTTTGCGAGGAGGGCTGTGGAGGGAGACCTCCGGGGCCGGGGTCGAAGGACATCGTGTGGGCGCGACCGCAGTGCTGGGCGGGGGGCGGGCGCTTGGGCTTGGGCCCTGCGTCCTGTGCGTGTTGGTTTCCTGTGGGCACGTGGGGCCCTCGGAAGAGGGGAGGAGGGTGAGCACGTCCTCAGAGGGCAGACCCAGCGAGGCGTCGTGGCAGCTGCGGCCGCGGAGACGCCGGCTCCGCCTCTTGCACACGCCCCCTCGCCTGAGGCCCCGCCCCGCCCGCGATGCCCCCGCCCCCTTCCCCGCCCCGCCCCCCGGGGCGCCGAGACCCGCCCCTGGGCCCGCCCCCGGGTCCGCCCCCGGCCTCCGTTTGCGCCGGGTCTGTGCTGGCCGCGCGCCTGGCGCTCCACGCTGAGCCTCTCCGTGCAATGATTAACCCGGCGGGGCGGCCGGCGCGGGACCCGAGACGGAGGCGCGGGGCCGGGGCGGGACCCCGCAGGACCGCTCGGCTTCCTGCTCTCGCCGGAGTTTCCGCGTAGAGGGCGCATCGCCGGCCCGGGGCCCTTGGTGCGGCGTGGCGCAGGGCGCGGCGTGGGGCGCGCGTGGGCGCGGCGCAGGCGGCCCGGGTCACCATGAGGACTCTCCGCAGGTTGAAGTTCATGAGTTCGCCCAGCCTCAGTGACCTGGGCAAGAGAGAGCCGGCCGCCGCCGCGGACGAGCGGGGCACGCAGCAGCGCCGGGCCTGCGCCAACGCCACCTGGAACAGGTAAGGCCGCGCCCTCCCGGCCACCCGGAGGCCCTGGAGCCGGGGGAGGGGACCCCTGAGCCGTCCGCGGGCTAGGGGCCGCCCCGAGCCAGGAACGCTGCCGAAGGCGGCGCGGCGCTTCACAGTTTGCAAAGAACTTGCCCCGCCGGAGTGGTGCGGGCCTGGAGGAAAGTTCAGTGCAGCGTGGTTCCAGAACCCAGGGAAGGGAGCGAGGCCCGCCAGCGCCCGGGGCTGGCCCAGAAGCGCCCGGCGGGTGGGCGGCGGGGTGGGCCGGGAAGCCGCGTGCCCGCCTCCTACCCGGGGTCTTTCCACGTCTCCACTGCGGTGCTCGTGACAACCTGGGAGGCTAACGGAGCAGGAAGTATTTTTCCCATTTTGCGGCTGAGCACGGGAGCCTCGGGGCTCAGTGGGTGGGTCGCGCAGGCTTCCTGTGTCTCTTTAAGCTCCCTTCGGCTTTCCCTTGAGAGGCCCCCTGTCCTCCAGCTGTCAGCAGGGGGTGCGGCAGCTGCGAGGCATTCTTTAGAGGACTCTCCTCCAGGGGTCATTCCCAGACAAGCAGGGGCCTGGGAAGCCCCTTCTCCCAGCTTTGTTTGAGGAGCAAGTCCGGGATCTGGAAAAGAGACGGTTTATTTAGTGGAACTCCCCAGCGTCTCTGCTCCCTAGGAAAATGAGAGGCAGGAGAAAGTGAGGCAGGCTGTTCGCGGGAGGCAGTGGACACTGTTCGGGGGAGGCTGTGGACACTGTTCGGGGGAGGCTGTGGACGTTGCCCCTCTCGCGCCCACACCTGGCAGTAAAATCTTGCCAGATGCTCCACCGGCTGTGGTCTTGGCCACCGGGAACCCGGCTGTCACTTGGACACACGTTATTTTCAGTTCATTGAATGCATTGTGAGCGTCATGGTGGGCTCAGGGCTGCCAGCGAGACCCTCTTCAAACGTGGTCTCTTCTGTCTCTGAGTTGCAAACTGCTAGAGGGCTGTCACATGCCTGCCTCCGTTTCCCTCTCCGTCAGTGGGTATTCGCATTCCTCCCTGTGGGGAGGGCTGGTGTGGGAACAGTGAAGGAAGGACTCCTGTTGGGAAATCTCCCTGACCCAACGACTGCACAGTGTCTTAAGAGCTGTGTTCTCCACCAGGCACGGCGGCTCACACCTGTAATCCTAGCACTTTGGGAGGCCAAGATGGGAGGATTACTTGAGCCAGGGAAGTCGAGGCTGCCATGAGCCATGATGCCACCACTGCACTCCAGCCTCGGTGACAGAGCAAGACCCTATCTCAAAAAAAAAGAAGAGCAGTGTTCTCCTCCAGTATTGAGATGAAAGCCATCTCTCTGTCCTTGAATCTCTGCCGTGATTTAGAGGAAAGAGTTAAATAGACTTATTTCAAATCCCAACTCTGCCTCTTCCCTACTCTGTGGTCTTGAGCAAGTCAGGTCCTCAATTTCCTTATCCATAAAACGGGCAGATAACAGTGCCCACCTCATGGGGCTGTTGTAGGGATGAAATTTGAACATGCAAAATAAAGCCCTCAACACAGTGCTTAGCACATAGTAAGTCCTCTGTACCTCACAGCTCAACCCCAGACTCACGCAGTGGACCAGTGTCGGGGTGTCCCTGTAGGGATGGCATTTGGAGGGCTCCACAGGAATCAGTCAGTTCCTGAGCACCCACTGACAGCCACTTGGTGAGCTCCCTCCCACCCCCGAGGTGGGGCGTCCTGCTGCGGGTCCCCAGACAGGTGGGGGCACTGGCTGGTTGCTGGCTTAGACACTGCCCTCACCCAACCTTGGGTGACCCTGGAGTGGGCTCTGAGTCTCAAGTGTCTTCTCAGAGTTCAGGGAGGCCTCAGGGGGACTCTGCCTGAGCAACCCCCGCCCCACCAGATTTCACTCAGCAGCCTGGCAGATTGCAGAGAAATGCCAGCCCCTCCCCGCGGCACCTGCAGGGCTCCAGGTCTCCCAGCCCTTAGGCCTACATCAGCTCCCACCACCCCAGGCAGCAGGGGCACGGCCATTTCCTGCACTCCTCTTATGTGCCAGGCCCCAGGCCAGCCCCGTTCACTGCCCTTAACTGACTTTGCCACTCTCCTAGCCCAGCGAGGTATTACCAGCACCCCCCACCGAGAGATGCAGAAGGGCAGAGAGAGCACCCAGGAGACATGCCCAGCTCATCCATCACCTGCACAGGATGCAGCAGAGCCTGCGCCCCAGCTCTCCTCCCCAGCAGATGTGGGAGATGGAGCCAAGAGAAGGCAAACTGGCTTCACCAGCCAAGTCCCTGAGTGGAAACTGCAGGGAGCAGGGCACCCCTTCTGGTCCCTGTCTGCATGCTCCTGCTCCTAGCGGTGCTCCCTGCCAGGGCCCCCTAGGACAACAGATCTGTGCAGGGTCGGGGACAGGCGTGTCATTCTGCAGGGCCTGGCCGTGTACTCCTCATTATGAGTCCAAGACACACCCCCTTTTATCTGTGTGACTGTATTAGCTTCCCAGAGCTGCTGTAACAAAGACCACAAACTCGGTGGCCTAAAACAGCAGAAATTTGTTCCCTCACAGTTCTGGAGCCAGAAGCTTGAAGTCCAGGTGTCGCTCCCACCAGAGGCTCTAGGGGAGGAGCTTCTTGAAGCTTCTGGTGGCTCTTTGGCTTGTGGCTGCATCACTCCAATATGTACCTCCCCATGGCTTTCATTTCCACGTCCAAATCTCCCTCTCCTTTCTCTCTCTCTATTTTTTTTCCTTTCTTGAGACGGAGTTTCACTCTTGTCCAGGCTGGAGTGCAATGGTGTGATCTCAGCTCACTGCAGCTTCTGCCTCCTGGGTTCAAGCAATTCTCCTTCCTCAGCCTCTGGAGTAGCTGGGATTACAGGCGCCCACCACCACGCCCGGCTAATTTTTTGTACTTTTAGTAGAGACGGGGTTTTGCCATGTTGGTCAGGCTAGTCTCTAACTCCTGACCTCAGGTGATCTGCCCACCTCGGCCTCCCAAAGTGCTGGGATTACAGGTGTGAGCCACCGTGCCCAGCCTCTTTTTTGTTTTCTTTTGAGACGGAATCTTGCTCTGTCACCCAGGCTGGAGTGCACTGGTGCAATCTCAGCTCACTGCAACCTCCACCTCCCGGGTTCAAGTGATTCTCCTGTCGCAGCCTCCCTAATAGCTGGGATTACAGGCGTGCACCACCATGCCCAGCTAATTTTTGTTTTTGTTTTTGAGGTGGAGTCTCACTCTGTCACCCAGGCTGGAGTGCAGTGGTGCAATCTCAGCTCATTGCATTCTCCGCCCCCACAGGTTCAAGCAATTCTCCTGCTTCAGCCTCCCAAGTAGCTGGGATTGTAGGCGCCCACTACCATGCCACCATGCCCAGCTAATTTTTGTATTTTTAGTAGAGACAGGGTTTCACCGTGTTGGCCAGGCTACTCTCAAACTCCTGACCTCTGGTGATCCGCCTGCCTCAGCCTCCGGAAGTGCTGGGATTACAGGCATGAGCCACCACACCAGGCTCCCTCCCCTTTCTCTTGTAAAAACACTAGTTATTGGATTTAGGGCCCATCCTTAGTTAAGGATCATCTCCAGGTCCTTAATTAAATACCGCTGCAAAGACCCTATTTCCATCAAGTGTAAGGCTTGCTCTGTCATGAGAACTGAGTCATTGATTGATTGATTGATTCATTCATTCATTCGTTTATTCATTCATTCATTGACTGTGCCAGCACTGGGCTGCTCAGGGCATAGATTCAGCAGAGAACAGCCTCCTGGAGCTTAGAGTTCCCAGAGGGAGGCATTGGTAAATAAACAAGGAGGTAAGTAAATGCAGGTGGGCTTAGTGCTGGGAGGAAAGCAAACCAGGGGCCCTGGAGTGCTGAGCATTTCGCTGGGGTCTGCCTTCCATTCTTTCCTCCATGGATGTTGATTCTGTAGGTGTGCAGGAAATGTTTGGTTTTTCTCTTTTGAGAGAGGGTCTTGCTCTGTCACCCGGGCTGGAGTACAGTGGCACAATCATGGCTCAGGCAGCCTTGACTTCCCAGGCTCCAGCGATCCTCCCACCTCAGTCTCCCAAGTAGCTACAGGTGTGTGCCATCACACCGGCTAATTTTTTTTTTTGTATTTTTGGTGGAGATAGGGTTTCGCCATGTTGCCCAGGCTGATCTCGAACTTCTGACCTCAAGCAATCCACCTGCCTCAGTCTCCCAGAGTGCTGGGATTACAGGCATGAGCCACTGCACTTGGGCCAGGGAATGTTTGTAAGGGAGCTATGGATGCCCGGCTGGCCTGCCGGCCGGGCCCCCCTTACAGAACATAAACCAGGACTGCAGAGCTTGTTTCCTGAGTGCCCACTCCTTATTTATTGGTCAGGTTTTGCCCCTAGCCTGTGACAGATCTGCCTCCCAGTGCCAAGGTGGCAGAGATGTGTCCCCATCGGGCTCTCCCAGGCTGGTGGGGTGACAGATAAAGACACGAAGTCTGACCTGCCATACCCCTGGCACCCCCATCCTTATCCCCTTCCTTCCTTCCTCCCTCCTCAAGGGCCCCTGTCCCTGTTCCCTGCTAGCTCCCAGGCAGCTCCAGTTCACTCCTCCCTGGGTCTGGCCCCTGTGCCCCTATGGGGCTTCCAGCTATGAAGGCCGTGCTCTTGGGCTGCGGGGCCAAGGTGTACTTTCACATCTTCCCACTGGAGGAGGAGGAGGTGGGACAGGAGTGGCCGGCCACTGGGGCGTGCCCTGCAGGCAGAGCTGAAGTGGCCCCAGGGAGGGCCTGTGTGGAGGAGGGCCTGCACGCCAGCCTCAGGACCCAGGGCATGAGGGTGCCCTGCTTGGAGGCTCCGGCAGGGTCAGGCGGCCCGGTGACCCCTGACTAGGCCCCAGCTGCCGGCATGCCCTTGGCGGGCTCTGTGCTTGTGCCCTAGGCCTGGCCCCAGCCTCTGCCTCCTGGCAGGGATGCATCTTGCCATCCCCTTCTGCCTCCCCCAGCCCCATAGGCTCTAGAGAAACTCCCAAAAGATGCCCCAGACCCAGAGCAGGCCCCAAAATGCCATGAGGGCACGTGGGGGTACCAAGCCCTCTGAGCCAGTGCCCCGCCAGTTGCCCTCACCTCTGTCTGGGGATCCCCAGCAGGGCTCACCACTGCAGAGACCCCAGCTGGGGGTGGGAGGAGCTCCCCAAGCCCCACCCCTGCAGTCCACACCAACACAGACCCCTCCATGTGTTTGGGCCAGAGGGCCTCAACCATGATGGGACACTTCCTCCTTGCCAGGCCTGTGTCTCCCAAATGCTTGAGGCTTTAGAGAGCCGGGCCCACCTTCTGCTTGAAGTGGAGGCCCAGGCAGGCAGTTGTAGTGCGTGGCCCCAAGATGCCAGCCTCGTGCAGGGCCGGCGATGATTCGCTTCTCACTCACTCCACACAAATCCACCTCCAAGGCTAGGGTGACTGTCTTCAGCCTACAAATGGGGAAACCTGGCCAGGCGTGGTGGCTCATGCCTGTAATCCCAGCTACTTTGGGACGTTGAGGCAGGAGAATCACTTGAATCCGGGAGACGGAGGTTGCAGTGAGCCGAGAACACGCCACTGCACTCCAGCCTAGGTGACAGAGCGAGACTCCAACTCAAAAAACAACAAACAAAAAACAAATAGGGAAACCAATGCCAGAGGAGGAAAGGCACTCGATCAAGATCCCCTGCTAATGTCAGGGTCCGGGGTCTGAATCCAGGTCTAACATGGGGCCAGGACATAGTGACACATGTGGGTTCATGTCCCAGCTGGGGCCAGGGCTAGGTGGGTGTTGGTGGCAAGAGCTGGCTTCCATAGCTAGGGTCAGAGCACAAAGGCAGGGCCCTAAAGGACCTTGTCTGCACTCCCTGGTCCTGGACAGGAACCAGCTGAGGCTGTGACCACTCCAGCCACCTGCCCCAACCCTGCACCCGTGTCTCCCCCAGCAACACCGTGCTCCCCATTACACAGCAATAGTACCACCTACACCCTGACCTGTACCGGGCCCTATGGATGAGCTTTCATTCCCCACAGTAACCTTTAAGGTGAGCTCAATACTCCCATTTTGCAGATGAGCAAACAGGCTCGGAATGGTACAGGGAGGCCAAACGCCGTAGCTCATGCCTGTAATCCCAGCACTTTGGGAGGCCAATCCAGGTGGATCATCTGAGGTCAGGAGTTCAAGACCAGCCTGGCCAACATGGTGAAACCCCGTCTCTACTAAAAATACAAAAATTAGCCCAGCGTGGTGGTGGGCGCCTGTAGTCCTAGCTACTCAGGAGGCTGAGGCAGGAGAATCACTTGAACCTGGGAGGTAGAGGTTGTAGTGAGCTAAGATCGTGCTGTTGCACTCCAGCCTGGGGGACAGAGTGAGACTCTGTCTCAAAAAAAAAAAAAAAAAAAAAAAAAAAGAAGGTACAAGGACTGCCCAGGTTCATGCAGTGATTTGGGACGGAAGCTGGGATTCAACCCAGGTCTCACCGGGAGCACGTGCTCATGGGGGTCTCTGAAGGCCAGAGGATGTTGGCTGAAGCCTCCAGGCTGGATGGGGGCCTGGGGCCAGTGAGGGGGCCTGTGTTCGGCTCCCCACCACCCCTGCTTGTGGCTCCCCACCACCCCTGCCTGCTTGCTCTGGGTCCCAAGCTCCGTGCCTCTCAGAAGCAGCCTGAGCAGATTTCTTGCCCTAGTTCCCAGAACCTGTGACTCTGAGGCTTTATGTGTTGAAAAGGACTTTGTAATCACAAGGGTCTGTGTGAGGGAGAGGCGGGGGTAAAAGGGACAGAGATGCAGTGACGGGCACAGAGAGCTTGGAAGGTGTCACGCTGCTGGCTGTGAAGATGGAGGAAGGGGCCCCAAGCCAAAGAATGTGGGCACCTCTGGGAGCTGGAAAAGGCGGGGACAGGTATTTCTCCCCCCGCCCGAGCCTCCAGAAGGAACGGCCCCACCAACACGTTGATTTTAGTCCAGGGAAACTGATTTAGAACTTCCAGGCCAGGCGCAGTGGCTCACACCTGTAATCCCAGCACTTTGGAAGGCCAGCGCAGGCGGATCACCAGGTCAGGAGTTCGAGATCAGCCTGGCCAACATGGTGGAACCCCATCTCTACTAAAAATACAAAAATTATCCAGGAGTGGTGGCGCGCACCTGTAATCCCAGCTCCTCTGGAGGCTGAGGCAGGAGAATCGCTTGAACCCAGGAGGCAGAGGTTGCAGTGAGCTGAGATTGCACCGCTGCACTCCAGCCTAGGTGACAGAACGAGACTCCATCTCAAAAAAACAAACAGAGAAAAAGAACTTCCGACCTCAGAACCGTAAGGGAACAAATTTGAGTTGTTTTCAGCCACCGAGTTAGGGGTAATTTGTTATGGCCGCCACGGAAACCCACACACTGAGCTGCTCTTTTCTCACGTGTGTGGTGGTACACCACCCTGACCCCCTACCCGCCGCCCCTCCCAACCCGGCCTCATGCTGGGGAGGTGGAGGGTGGAGGTGGGATGTGAGGCGGGTAGGCAAGCAGCCAAAGGGAGGCCATGGGTGCGGCACTGTCCTCCCCCATGGCCTGTTCTGGACAGACAGGGCCCCCGGATCAGCCCCTAGGGCCTCAGCCCTTCTCTTCAGCCCAAGCCCCAGTGGCAGCAGATCTCAGCACTGCCAGGCAGCATGGAGCCTCCCTAAGGATCCTCCCCTTCTCTCCCTCACCTGCACCCCCCCCCCAGCGCTCAGGAGGGGCTGGCCCCCCTGCTGGGACTTGGCCTCAGGAGGACTTACCCTCCTGGGATGTGAGGCCCTGCCCTGGGAGGGCACTGCCTGCTGGGGCTGGGGGGGCTTCCTAGAGGAGGCGGTCCACATCTGGACAAGGGAGGTCATGGGCCGTTTCCACTCAAGCCCTCACCCAGAAGCCATGACATTTACACATGCCCCAACTGGGCCCGTCTTTGCAGGGCCCAGAGGGGCAGCTGGGGTTTCGTTTCTGTTTTGGGAGATGACAGGTCACATGAGACCCTCCCACCCTCCTCGCCCTTCCTGTATCCCTGAGTGGCCCGCAGCGAGGCTTTCTTGTTTACCAAACACCCTTAGCCTACCTTCTCCCAAGGGTTTGGCTGGGGTGGAGAGGAGCAGAGGTCCTGGGTGTGGGGGAGGGGCCTCTGCGGGTGCCAGGCTGTGTGCCTCTGTGTCTTCTGTAATCTGGGGGCTGGTGGTTAGGTGACTGAGAAGCCACAGAGTAGGTGGGCCCAGGCTGGGTGTGGCCAAGGTGTGGTAGATACAAGCCTCTCCCTGTAGCTTCACAGAAAAGGCCGCAGGGCAGGGCAGGGCAGGGCAGGGCGTGCTGACCTTACAGCACCCCGGGCGGTCGGCACTGTACTGAGAAGTCCATTTTCCAGATGGGGACACTGAACCACTGAGTGATTAGGTGGTAACTCGGCCGAGTTACCCAGCCCAGAAGTGTAGTTCAGAGTCCACAGAGGGAGCAGGCAGGGGTGGGGAGTGTGGGTGGGAGAACACCCAGGGCGAGGAGCCCAGGAGAGGCTCAGGCCTCCACGGAGGGAAGGGCGTGCCATGGCGTTCGCGGGCAGGTGTTCGCTGGCAGGTGCTTGCTGGGCTTTGCTCTGTGCGGCCAGAGTGTGAGGCCAGGTGGGGCGTCAGGAGGTCTAACCGTAAGCCAAGTAGACACTTCCTCCCCCAAAAAGAAGTAGCTAGCTTTCCCACACAGCTGCGAGGGAGGGCAGGTGAAGGGCGAGCCCCAGGCAGAGGGAACAGCAGGATGGAGGCCCCGGGGCAGAAAGAAGCCAGGGCAGCTTCAGCCTGGGGCCTCAAGGGGGTAGTCAGGAGGGCAGTGTGAGTGACGCCAGACCCAAGAGGGCCACAGGTCAGAGGGAGAACCTCATCCAGAGGTCCCATGGTGTAGGGTCACCTCTGGCAGGGTGACCAGAGTGGGCTGGAGTTCCCCAGGGGAGTTAATGAAAAGGAAGGAAGGACAGGCTGCTCAGGGCAGATCACTGAGGACAGCAGGGCTGAAGCCTGGGGCCCACTGCGAGCCTTGGAGGCCCTGGCTACACCGCTGCACTGTCCCCTCTGCCTGAATTGGGTCCAGCAGTGGCTCCACCGTCCGCTGTAAGGGAGGCCTGGGCTCCAGGAGAGAACTTGGGAAGGCACCTCTGAACCTCCATCCAGGGTGTGGGGACAGTGGCCAGGAGTACCTCCACTCGCCATATCCCAGAGGCTCTCCCAGCAGATGCAGGGCTGGGTGGAGGCAGCCCTGGCATCTCCACTGCCTCCAACCCACCCCAACAGCTGCCACAGGGCTGGGAGGGTGTCTGCAGCTGCCAGGATTGTAGGGTGGTTGCCGTTGGGGGACAGCTGGTTTCCTAGCAGACTTCCCTCGGGATTTTCAACTTTTTTTAGTCTGAAAATGGGGGCAGGGGGCAGCTCTACTGTGACATAGTTGTGGGGCTGGGGCCACCCCAGGGCTTCTCACAGGGGAGCGTCATCCCAGCCATGAGGGGATGACCAGCCACCAGCCTCTCCCCTGGGCTGGCTCATCCTTCAAACTCTCTAGGGGTGGCGCTCTCACGATTCCTGATTTACAGACAGGAAACAGAAGGTAGAGAGCCCGTGTCCCCAGACACGGGACTAAGGAGCATTCCGGTGCAGTCGGGCACCCCAGGCCAGGGATACGTATCTGGCGTGATCTCGGCCAGTGCCCGCTGAGAAGCTGATGAAGCCCTGGGCAGAGCTGGATCTCAGCCTGTGGCCGGGCCAGGCCAAGCACCAGCTGTGGAACCTGGCACAGCCCCCATGCTGCTCAGAGCCTCCTCGAAGCATGTGGGATATGCAGCCTGTGACCCTGCCCTGCGCCAGCGAGGACAGGGAGGATAGGGAGACGGGAAGCCCTGGCCAGTCCCGGCTCCGTGTGGGGACGCTGCCTGGGAGAAGGAGCACAGGGGAGTTCAGGTGCACAGGGGCCCAAGATGCTGGCCGCTCTGTGACCTCCAGCAGAGGACTTAGCCACCTGGGCCTTGGTTTTCTCATCTGCAAAATGGGTGGCCAAGTCACAGGGAAGGGTAGAGTTAAAGCAGATGAGGACGTTAGGAGCATGGTGGCAGCTGCCTGCTTTGTGGTGTGGGCAGCATCGTGTGGACAGCTGTCCCCTCCAAGGTGAGAAGTGTGGTGCTGGTCTGCCATAGGAACCTTGGAGCTGCAGCTAGGTCCTGGGTGGGCGGTGGCTGTTGTACCCAGACCTGGTTCTCACCCTGAGGACCTCGTGGCCAGCAGCGGGCACTCATGACCAGGAAAGTGAATCAGCAAAGTGCTAGTGGAGAGTCTGCACTGGGAAGGGAGGGGTTGGGGGTCAGAGGGCTTCTTGCAGGTGATGGCCTCTGAATCAAGATGAATAGCTGCTTGCCTCATGGATAGGGATGAGAAGGGCCTTCCAGACAGGAGAAGCAGTTGCTACTAAGACCCAGAGATGTGGCGCTACCCGGAGGGTCCTGCAGTCTCTGGGGTCAGAGCTCAGGATGCCCGGGAGTGTGGGGAGGGGCCATGTCGGGAGGAGCCTGGATGCTGCCTGCAGGACCTCAGGCTGTGCCTGCTGGGCAAAGCCCTGGGCAGGGAAGGAACTGCAGCCTCCACAGAGGGTGGATGTGGTGGAGAGGTGGGAGGCCAGCTCCTGTCATCCGAGGTCCAGGCAAGCCAGGAAGGGGTACGGGGAGAGCTCTAGGAGGTAGAAATGGGCTAGACTTCCCGACCTCAGGTGATTCGCCCACCTCAGCCTCCCACAGTGCTGGGATTACAGGCGTGAGCCACCCCGCTCGGCCTAATTTTTGTATTTTTGGTAGAGGCAGGGTTTTGCCATGTTGGCCAGGCTGGTCTTGAACTCCTGACCTCAGGTGATCCACCCATCTTGGCCTCCCAAAGTGCTGGGATTACAGGAGTGAGCCAGCGCACCTGGCCTGGTTTTGGTTTTTGTAGAGGCAGGGTCTCACTATGTTGCCCTGGCTGGTCTTGACCTCCCAGCCTCAAGCAATCCTCCTGCCTTGGCCTCCCAGAGTGCTGGGATTACAGGCGTGAACCGCCATGCCCGGCTGCCACAGCTACCTTCCCATCACACCAGTCACGTTGAGCAGTTGTAACAGAGACTGGTGACCCAGGAAGCCTAAAAGATTTGCTTTCTATCCCTTCACAGAAAACGTTTGCCAGCTCCTGCCTCAGAGAGTTTTGTTTCGTTTTCTTTTGTTTTTTTGAGACGGACTGTTGCTCTGTCGCCCAGGCTGGAGTGCAGTGGCGCGATCTCGGCTCATCGCAAGCTCTGCCTCCCGGGTTCACGCCACTCTCCTGCCTCAGCCTCCCGAGCAGCTGGGACTACAGGCGCCCGCCATCGCGCCCTGCTGATTTTTTGTATTTTTAGTAGAGACGGGGTTTCACCATGTTCGCCAGGATGATCTCGATCTCCTGACCTTGTGGTCCACCCACCTTGGCCTCCCAAAACACTGGGATTACAGGCGTGAGCCACCGCGCCCGGCAGCCTTAGAGAGTTTTACAAACAGGGGCAGGAAGCATGAGGGGGTCGGGAGCCCCACAGCTGGCTAGGGACGCAGTGATGATCCTGAACTCCGGGTGGCCGTGGAGGTAGAGAAGGGGCAACAGTCCACAGGACTTGGATGTGTTGGGGGGTGGGAGAGGCGCAGGGGTTTCCTGGTTTCTGGCCTGGGCAAGGTGGGGTTAAGAACCCAGAAAGGAAGCTGGCTGAGGTTTGGCCACATAGTGTGTGCAGAGGACACGGGAGCAAGGTCCTGCGGCAGTGACCAGAGGGCATCTGGTGATACAGGCTGGGCTCCAGCAGGGCCGGGCTGGGGGTGCAGGGCCTCGGAGTTGAAGTGGGTGTGAGCAGGGTCCTGCAGGGATGGCTATCCTGCCCTTCTAGGAGAGAGGGAAAGAGGAATGGGGCCTGATGGGCAACCAGGGGGCTCTCAGACCTCAGGACTGCAGTGTTTTCTTCCCTCTGCCCCCAGCATCCACAACGGGGTGATCGCCGTCTTCCAGCGCAAGGGGCTGCCCGACCAGGAGCTCTTCAGCCTCAACGAGGGCGTCCGGTGAGTGCCTGTCCCACCTTGGTCCAGGGTCCTTGAGTGGCAGGGAGGGCTAGGCCCAGAGTCGAAGGCCCCAGCCAGGCCCCTGACCCGCCAGCCACGCCTGTGCTTCCTCCCCTAGAGGCCATCTGTCAACAGGAGAGCGAGGCCCAAGTTAGCAGTGGCCATGGGGCCAGGACGTGGTTTCCCGAGCTGCCATGTGGGCCATGACCTCCATAAACCACTTCAGGCCTGGTGGCCCTGCACCCCCACAGCCCCAGAGAAAGTTCTTCAAGGGGAAGCAGGGTGGGACTTGGACAGCCGCTGGAGATGACGCTGACGGCCCCCACTGGTGCTGAGCATCGTGAAGGATATTTATTCTGTTAAAGAGGAAGGACCCACCTGCCTAACGACGGGAGTGTTATTCCCGGAAAAGCAATTCCAGCCCTGCCAAACACCCCTCGTTTCCTGTGAATAGCCGGGAAATGAGGATTGCGAAGCAGCAGGCTGGACACACACCCGACAAGCTGCTGCCCCAAGCCAGGTGGCAGGAGCTTCAAGGGAGTCTAGGGTTGCCATTTGTAGTGGAGGAGGCCAAAGCTCAGAGAGGTCAAGTGACTCGCCCCAGATCACACAGCTGCTCCAAGGAGGCAGTTCCCAGCTCTGTGCTATTTCCTTTGGCCCTGACCCTGTTACCTTGTCCCTGTGTCAAAAGAATACTGGCAAAATAGGCAGTAACCCTTCCCCTTGTTATTCAGGAGAAGAGTCAGTGGACTGGCCAGACTTTCATACGCAGGCGCCCCCCTCCACCCTGTGTGGCAAAGCTGAAGGGGCCCTTACATGTGGGTAAACTGAGGCCCAATACATGCCGCTTGTTCAGGGTGTCCTGCTTTTCTCTGGCTTATCTGGCCCACCCCTGGGTGGGGCTCTGGGAGCTCATTTTCCTGATGAGCCTCTGCTTCAGGAAACAGGAGCCTAAAGGATCTGCCAGGGGGCGGGGTGGGGGGCAGTTTGGTTTGGTTTTTGAGACGGGGTCTTGCTCTTGCCCAGGCTGGAGTGTGGGGGTGCAATCTCAGCTCACTGCAACCTCTGCCTCCTGGGCTGAAGCAACCCTCCCACCTCAGCCTCCTGAGTGGCTGGGACTACAGGTAGGTACCACCACACCCGGCTAATTTTTTATTTTTTGCAGAGATGGGAGTCTCACTACCCAGGCTGGTCTCGAACTCCTGGGCTCAAGCCATCCTCCCACCTCCAGCCTCTCAAAGTGTTAGAATTACAGGTGTGAGCCACCATGCCCGGCCAGCTGGGTATTTAAACAACAACAAAAGGAGTTACTGTTAAATTTACAAATCCAGCAGCAGGCACAGTCCCCAGCTTTGGACATCCTTCTCCCCTGCCCTCCTTGGTGTGAACAGCATTGGTAATTGGCTGATTCTTGCTGCTGCCTCTCCACAGGGCTGACACAGAGCAGGCAGCCTCCCCAGGAGTGTGTGCTGGGGGTGGGGGCACAGAGAAGCTGCCCTGGGCCCCAGGCTTCCCTCGTCAGCCCCAGGATTCTACCCAAGAAATGGGTAAAAATCGGGGGCTGTGTTAAACTTTGAGCCCCTGGACAGTTAGGTTATTTGGGGCAACTTCTTTTTAGTCAGTTCAGAATGAAGTGCTGGAATGTTTAAGGAATAATAGCAGGGTCTTTTTACTGAAGCCTTGCTCTGTGCCAGCCTTAGACCAGGAGTTTTTCACACCAAACCTGTAGTGGCTCTTGCCCGTAATTTCAGCACATTGGGAAGCCAAGGTAGGGGGATCGCTAGAGGCCAGGAGTTTGAGACCAGCCTGGGCTGAACATGACAAGACACCTTCTCTATTAATATGTGTTAACGTTTTTTAAAAGTAAATTAAAAAAATACTCATCCACTCGTCACTGCAGCCCTGAGGAGTAGATGCCTTGTTATCTCCATTTTACAGGTGAGGAGACTGAGGCAGAGAGTGGTTGACGTGGGTTGCTTGAGGTCACAGGGCTAATAATGAATAGAGCTGGAGCTCAAGCCCCTGACATCAGGGCCACTGGGTTGTTCAGCTTCTGCCCTACCCCAGCTCTTCTGGACGGTGTGGCCACATTAAACTCAGTGACATTAGCCTGGGCACAGTGGCTCACCCTGTAATCCCAGCACTTTGGGAGGCCGAGGCAGGAGGATTGCTTGCGTTCAGGAGTTCAAAACCAGCCTGGGCAACATGGTGAAACCCTGTCTCTACCAAAGATACATAAAATTAGCTGGGCATGGTGGCAGGCACCTGTAGTACCAGCTACTCAGGAGGCTGAGGCATGAGAATCATGTGAGCCCGGAGGAGGAGGTTGCAGTGTGTCAAGACTGTGTCACTGCACTTCAGCCTGGGTAACTGAGTAAGACCCCATCTCAAAAGAAAAAAAAATGAAAGGATTTTAATTATACATTAAATCCATAATTGGTCACTAGCTTTGATCCCATGAGAGAATCTGTTACTAGAGACATTGATTACACCAGCCTCCAAATGGTCCCCCTTACCCTTTTTTTTTTTTTTTTTTTGAGACGTAGTTTCACTGTTGTTGCCCAGGCTGGAGTGCAGTGGTGCGATCTCAGCTCACTGCGACCTCCGCCTCCCGGGTTCAAGCGATTCTCCTGCCTCGGCCTCCTGAGTAGCTGGGATTACAGGCACACATCACCACGCCTGGCTAATTTTTATATTTTTAGTAGAGACGGGGTTTCACCATGTTGGCCAGGCCGGTCTCAAACTCCTGACCTCAGATGATCCACCCGTCTCAGCCTCCCAAAGTGCTGGGATTCCAGGCGTGAGCCACCATGCCCGGTATCCAGGAGATTTTCATCACCCCAGCAAGAAGGCTTTAGCAGCCCTCCTCATTACCCTTTCCCCAGCCCTGGCATTGACCACAGACAGCTTTCTGTCTGTGGATGTGCCTATTCTGGACATTCCATATCAATGGAGGTAGAGCAGGTAGCCCTTCACGCCTGGCTTCTCTCACTCAGTGCAGTGCTCTTGAGGTCCGCTCAGGGAGGAGTACTTACCCCTGCTTTGCTTTTTTTTTTTTTTTTGAGACGGAGTTTCACTCTTGTTGCCCAGGCTAGAGTGCAATGGCGTGATCTCGGCTCACCACAACCTCCACCTCCCAGGTTCAAGGATTCTCCTGCCTCGGCTTCCTGAGTAGCTGGGATTACAGGCATGTGCCACCACGACCGGCTAATTTTGTATTTTTAGTAGAGACGGGGTTTGTCCATGTTGGTCAGGCTGGTCTTGAACTCCCGACCTCAGGTGATCCACCTGCCTCGGCCTCCCAGAGTGCTGGGATTACAGGCGTGAGCCGTTGCACCCAGCCTGCCTGCTTCGCTTCTTTTCATGCCATATCATATTCTATCGTGTGTATGGAAAGCACAGCATATCGCATCCACCTCGGCTGATGGACGTGGGTTCTTTCTACCTTTTGGCTGTGATGAATAACGCTGCTGTGAACATCTGTGTGCAAGAATTTGTGTGGATGCACGTTTTCATCTCTCTTTTTTTTTTTTTTTTTTTTGAGACTGAGTCTTCATCTGTCACCCAGACTGGAGTGCAGTGGGGCGATCTTGGCTCACTGCAACCTCCGCCTCCCGGGTTCAAGCGATTCTTGTGCCTCAGCCTCCCGAGTAGCTGGGATTACAGGTGTGCATGACCACGCCTGGCTAATTTTTATATTTTTAGTAGAGACAGGGTTTCACCATGTTGGCCAGGCTGGCCTTGAACTCCTGACCTCAAGTGATCTGCCAGCCTCAGCCTCCCAAAGTGCTGGGGTTACAGGCCTGAGCCACCGCAACTGGCCTCATTTCTCTTAGGTTCATATATCTAGCAGTGGAATTGCTGGGTCCCATGATGACTCTGTGGTTATCTCTTTGAGGTACTCTTTCCTTTCCCACAGTGGCTGTACCATTTCACTGTCCCACTTAGCAGCGTATAAGCAGGGCAGGAGAGTTCAGTTTGTCCACATTCTCACCAACACATGTTAATTTCCAGTGCTTTCATTCCGAGAAGTGGCATCTGTTTGTGGTTTTAATTTGCATTTCCCTGATGACTGATGATGTTGAGCATCTTTTCAGGTGTTTATTGGTCATTTAGATATCTTCTTTGGAGAACTGTCTGTTCCCATCCCTTGCCCATTTTTCAGTTGGGTTATTTGTCTTTGTATTATTGAGCTATGAGAGTTCTTTATATATTGTGGATCTAGAGTCTGTTAGATACTGGTTTGTAAATCTTTCCTCCCATTCTGTGAGCTGTCATTTCACTTTATTTCTGTGTCCTTTGAAGCACAAAAAGTTTTTATTTGTATAATGTCCAGTTGTCTAGCTATTTTCTTGATCCCGTCCTTTGATCACCTTTCTTCCTCCTAAGGTACAGAAATGAACACACTTTGCATAATCTTTTTTTTTTTTTTTAAGAGACTAGGTCTCGACTTGCTGAAGAGCAGTGGCATGAACATAGCTCACTGCCGCCTGCACCTTGTGGGCTCAAGTGATCCTCCCACCTCAGCCTCCTGAGTAGCTGGGACTAGAGGCGTCCAGCACCAAGCCTAGCTAATTTTTTTTTTATTTTTTGTAGAGATGAGGTCTTGCTCTGTTGCCCAAGCTGGTCTCAAACTCCTGGGCTCAAGCAATCCTCCTGCCTCAGTGTTGGGATTATAGGCGTGAGCCGCTGCACCTGGCTGAGAAAACAAGAAAAAAATCTTAACAAATAAGTCACTCTCTGTCCAGAGGGCTGCGGATTTAAGGACCCAAACCTCTTTTTATCTTGATGGCTTTGGATGACATTATCCCTGACATGTCATTGTTATGTGACCCACCCTCTTAGACAGAATCTGAGGCCCTGGGCGCCCTCGTTGTGCTCAGCCGTGAGGTCCGTTTCCCCTGTGCTTAGTGGCCTGGGCTGCTATGTGCCGCCTGTGTTGTCCGTGCAGAATACAGCCAGGGTGTCTGTCTGGGGCAGTCTCTCTTCTAGCGTCCCATGTGGCTCATACTGTTCTGCTTTTGACCATGAGAAGCGTGCATCTGAGTCCTCAGGTTAGCGCAGGAGTTCATGGACAGGAGCTGGGGCCGCCTGCTCCCTGCAAGGCCTCTCCTGCTGGCTCCTGGCCAAGTCACAGATGATCTGTCCCTGCCCAACTCCAGCACCAAGTCCTGCTGGCCTAGCTGCTCCCAGGAAGCAGCAAACCCCCTGGATGGGATGTCCCAGCCTCTGCTTTCTGGCCCTGCAGACCCTTCCCACAGCTGTCTCTCTTGAGGCTGACATCCCAGGTATACCCAGGCTGTCCCCTCTGTGGCCTGCTAGCCCCTAGGGCCTGGGATTTGCTGCAGCTTCGTCCCCTGGGCTCCCCTCCTGTGATTTGAGGACATCCACACCCCCTCTTCTCCCTCCCTGGCATGGTGTCCTCTATTCCTAGCATGCCTGGGGCTGGCTTGGGGTTCCCCTTAGGGAGTGGTCCCCTCCCACTGTCAGGGAGCCCGTGCTCAGCTCAGCTCAGGCCAGGTGGCCGTGCCCGCAGCCTGTCAGCAGCAGGTCTCACGTGCAGGCCAGAGGTGCTGTTTGGATTTAAGCTACTTGACTTTGAAGTTTCCCACAATCCCGGACTGGGCAGGCCCTCTCTTCGTGTTCTGTAGAAAGGATGTCTGTTTTTCATCTGCAGGACTAGGGCTCCAACCTTGGGTTCCCTGATCCAGCCTTTGACTTCAACAGTGCGCTTCCAGAGCCTCAGTCTCCCCATCTCTGGAGTGAACATGGTTCCCATCTTGTAGGGCTTTTGCATGGTTGGAGTTGGTGTGCGACCCCTCCTCTGCCTGGAAGGGGTCTCACAGGTCAGGAATGAGGGGAACCCAGGTGCTGGCAGCTGCCAAGTGGAAGTTGCCCGTCCGTTTAGCATTCATTGTGAGCACCCACTACTTACACGCTTGGGAGGTGGACGAGGCCTTCGGCAGCATTCCTGGCCAGGGGCAGTGGGTCCTGAACTGGCCACTCATCCTCAGCCTGTGGTCAGTTCAGATCTGAGGCCGTGTCTGTGCTCTCATTGGGGTCCGGGAGAGTTGGTGGGCACCGTGCAAATGGGGGGATGCTCAGCCAGTGATGCCCCTCACCCCTGCCCAGAGAAGGAGTGCGCTGAGTTCATTCATTGTGAGCTGTTGGGTGAGAGGAAATGTCAGAGGAGGCCAGGGGAGCCGGAGAGGTGGCCAGTGGGTTGGAGCCACCCCAGGTAGGGCTTCATTAGGGCCTCTCCGGGATTTCCAGCCATTGTGAGCCAAGGGGCCATTTGGTCCTGAAGGAGGCATTCATTTGTTCACTTATTCCTTCGTCAGCATTCACACCCGCACTCATCATGGGCAGGGAGAAGACCAGAAAGGCTTTTCTGAGCTACAGCTGCTCCTGATCCCAGTTGACCCCCGGGACCCTCTGTTACCGGTGGAGGGTGTCCAGGTTCTTGGCGCTTTGAACAAAGAATTGAACAAAACACACAAACAAAGCAAGGAAAGAATTAAGGAACAAAAGCAGAGATTTATTGAAAACGAAAGCACACTCCCCAGGGTGGGAGCAGGCAAGCAGCTCAAGGGCCAGGTTACAGAATTTTCTGGGGTTGAAATACCCTCTAGAGGTTTCCCATTACTTGGTGTACACCCTATGTAAATGAAGTAGTGGCCCGCAATCAGTGTGATTGGTTGCAGAAAGCGACCAATCAGAACCTGGAAGTGAAGCACCCTATGCAAACATCCGATTGGTTGTGGAAAGTGACCCATCAGAAGCTGAAGTTACAAAGTTATACTCCTATGCAAATGAAGACTTGGCCCAACCAATTGTGGTAGGGGACGAATCAGAGGTTCTTGCAGTTTTTCATCTGCCGTGTAGAAAAGAGGGGTTGCAAAGGAAGTAGCCTCCGGTCCTTTTGTTACTTGGGCATGGAACATTGGGGTCTTCCTTTGGATTTAGTTCTAGGAAGTCAGTGTGAATTGGCCTTAGATTCCCTGCCTCCAGACCCTACTCTCCTGCCTCACCTCCTGCTGTATGTTCACATGGATCTCAGGCCACAGACAAGGGTGCCGAGGCCCAGACAGGGGAGGGGTCTCGTCCAGAGTCACATGGCGTGCTAGCAAGCACCGGGGCCTGCCCTCCAGCCCTGACTTGCTGAGCAGACGCCCTCGGGTTCAGCCTCATGCCTTCTATGAAGACCCTCCCTTCTCACCTGGTGCCCTGCTCTCTGGCATCACTGAAAGTGGCCCTGCAAGTAATGCCTGCGGTAACTTTGAGACAGATGCTGCGTGGACGTGGGGATCACTCCATGAGGTTGAGGTCACAGCTTGGTCCTTGGCGGACCAGAGGACAGGTCACGGGGACAGTGGGAGAAGGTTGGGGGGACTGCTGGGGCGGGGGCTGCCTCGGGGCACCATTGTCTGTGATCACAGGGTGAACCTCAGCCTTGTTAATGCCACTGCGCTGATTTCACAGTTGTGCAAGGGAGGAGGTTGGGCCTCAACGCCAGTCCTGTTACTAAGGGAAGCTGCTGGCCAGGAGCAGGGCCAGGCTCCAGGGCTGGAACCACTCAGCTGCGCTGTTAGCCTGAACCTCAGCTTCCCCATCCATGAAATGGGGACACTAACATCACCTGTCAGGTGGCTGTGAACGGAGGCCTGTGACTGGCCTGCCTCAGCACTGCCCACAGAGCTGTGCAGGAACGTTAGTATTTTGCCCTGTGCTTCCGTGCACCTGCAGTACTGCCCGAGCCCCAGGCTCCGGTGATGGCCAGGTGCAGAAGCAGGAGCCACCTCCATCCCAGCACCTGAGTGCCGGTTCCCTCAGCCCAGGCCACGTCTCTGGGCTTCACTTAGCTCCCAGATTCCACACCCCATGGCATGGTGGGGGCAGCCAGCCCTGAACTGGGGTCCAGCCTACAGCTTCTCCAGGAATAAAAAGTACAGCCACCCCAAAAGGGCCTCTGAGGACTAGATCATGCAGTCACTGTGTTTGGGGGGATGGTATGTTTATTGCATCTCCACCAGCACCCCCAGATCCATGGTTAAGAGAGCTGACCGGAGCAGGAACAGGAGACTTTGTCACCCTCTGACTCCTGGTGGCCAGGGGCACAGTGAAAAGGGTAGGCAGCTTGCAGGAAGCAAGCCTTATTTGGGCTTTTTTTTCCCAGCATGTTGCTTTTGAAAACTCCAGCCAGTCCTCTCTTTGCACCACAGTGCAGGGCTTCCAAAATGACTACACATTGAAACTGTGTGATCCTAGTAAACCACGGGGAAAATGACAATTGTTCCATAATCTTTAAAAACTTTTCTTTTTTTTTTTTTTTGAGACAGAGACTCGCTCTGTCACCCAGGCTGGAGTGCAGTGGTGCGATCTCAGCCCGCTGCAACCTCCGCCTCCCGAGTTCAAGCAATTCTTCTGTCTCAGACTCCCGAGGAGCTGAGATTATAGGTGCCCACCACCACGCCCAGCTAATTTTTGCATTTTTAGTAGATGGGGTGTCACCATGTTGGCCAGGCTGGTTTCGAACTTTGGACCTCAGGTGATCTGCCCACCTTGGCCTCCCAAAGTGATGGGATTACAGGCATGAGCTACTACACCTGGCCAAAGCTTGTCAGAACATTGAAAGCTGTTGTACTGTTGGTCTATTGGTTATAAACATAACCAACGTATTTTACTGTTTGGTTATAACCATACAGAGAAATGAAAAAGATTGTATAGTAAAATGAATATTTAGTGCACTATAATTTAAAACATTGGGGCCAGGTGCAGTGGCTCACGCCTGTAATCCCAGCACTTTGGGAGTCCGAGGCAGGTGGATCACCTCAGGTCAGGAGTTTGAGACCAGCCTGGCCAACATGGTGAAACCCTGTCTCTACTAAAAATACAAAAATTAGCTGGGCGTGATGGTATGCGCCTGTAATCCCAGCTACTGGGGAGGCTGAGGCAGGAGATTCACTTGAACCTGGGAGGTGGAGGTTGCAGTGAGCCAAGATCGCACCACTGCACTCCAGCCTGGGTGACAGAGTGAGATTCCATCTCCAAAAATAAAAATAAAAAATAAAACAGTGGGAACATAGTACTTTGAGCAGTGTTTGCCCGTTCAGAACATGATCATTTTTCATTGATGTGCTGCACTTCCATCTGTGTTGGCCAGTTGCTTTTTCTTGTATCCATTTTTACAGAATGCCACATGGGTTTCACACTGGCAGACAAGGAGGCAACACAGGTCACAATTTGCTGTCTGTGCATGAACTGCTGACAGATACTTAGGGACCAATCAGAGACTGACTTTGAAAGAAGTGTTGCAATTGGTCAGTGATCATTGTACACATCTGTTATCTACATTTTGATTTGTGGACTGGAGAGCGGGCAGCAGAGCTTGTACTTAACCAGGATAACTGAAACTTGTATGTATCAGAACCATGCAAAGAGAGGACTGCCTATAATTCAGGACTGATTAGAAAGTTTTCCTAGGCCGGGTGTGGTGGCTCATACCTGTAATCCCAACACTTTGGGAGGCCAAGGCGGGTGGATCACTTGAGGTCAGGAGTTCGAGACCAGCCTGGCCAACATGGTGAAACCCCGTCTCTACTAAAAATACAAAAATTAACTCGGCCTGGTGGCGCATGCCTGTAGTCCCAGCTACTCAGGAGGCTGAGGCAGGAGAATCGCTTGAACCCGGGTTCACCGCAACCTCTAGGTTGAGATTGTGCCACTGTACTCCAGCCTGGGTGACAAAGCAAAACTTCGTCTCAAAAAGAAAAAAAAAAAGTTTTCCTAAAGGGAATAGCAACCTAAAAAGTAAGATTTCTGATGTATTTGGTTCAGAAGACTGTTGGGAGGTCATATCTGGGGCCTCAGCGCTGACAGTGCCTGTGTACTTTCAGCCTGGCTGGTGTGGAATGTGGTGCTCCCATTCTCTCAGGCCCTGGAGGTATGTAGGGAGGGAAGGAGGAATTGTCAGTGTTGAGTGCCAAGGTGGAGGTTCAGATCTCAGCTCTGGCGTGTCCCATGTGGACCTGGTCTGGTGTCTTGACCTCTGCGAGCCTCTCTTGCCTCCCCTGTAATAAAAGGGGAACCCCGGTGAATGCCTGCGGCTGGGTTGGTGAAGACTGAATGAGCTTCTCTGGAATAAAGAGTAAACACTTGGGAAGAAGCTCTGCAGGCGGAGAGAGGAGGAGCCCGTGGCATCCGGGATTTGGACAGGTGGAAGGCAGGAGCAAACCAAGTGTTGCAGGCCCAGCCCTGCCAGGTGTCTCTCCAGAAGGTGTGAGACGCAGAGGCCACTGTCTTCCCTCTGAGGACCCCTTGGCTTCCTCTGCTATGACATGAGTGCAGGGATCTAGTTGATGAGCTGCCACTGCGGACCATGGAGGCCCCGGTTGTGTGGCCGACCCAGCCCCTGCAGGTCTGGACAGGTGGGACCTGTCCACTACCCATGTTTTTGGGCTGGCTGAGCATGCTGATCTCCCCCTGCCCAGGAGGCCCCACCCCAGTCCGTGGGTCCCCCATGCCAGTGCCGTGTGGTCTGGGACTCACTCTTGTCTCACCTCCCACCCACAGGCAGCTGTTGAAGACAGAGCTGGGGTCCTTCTTCACGGAGTACCTGCAGGTAGGTGGGTCTTGCTCCAGCCAGGCTGGGCCTGCCTCATGAGCCAGCCAGAAAGCACAGGGGCTCACCTGCCCCCGGGGGTGTGGAGCGCCGGCTCCCCCACTGTCTGCCTGCAGTTCCAAGGACCTGCCTCGTTCCTTATCTAGCCACGTGGAATGTTGTGGAGGTTAAATGATAAGATGAGGTGAATTCTTTTTTGAGATAGTCTCACTCTGTCATCCAGGCTGGAGTGCAATGGCGTGATCCCAGCTCACCGCAACCTCCACCTCCTGGCTTCAAGTGATTCTCACACCTTAGCCTCCTGATTAGCTGGGATTACAGGTGCCCACCATCACGCCTGGCTAATTTTTGTTTTTTGTCTTTTGTTTTGTTGTTGTTGTTGTTGTTGTTGAGATGGAGTCTTGCTCTGTTGTCCAGGCTGGAGTGCAGTGGCGCGATCTCAGCTCACTGCAACCTCTGCCTCCCGGGTTCAAGCGATTCCCCTGTTTCAGCCTCCCCAGGAGCTGGGATTACAGGTACCCACCATCTTGCCCAGCTAATTTTTGTATTTTTGTAGAGACAGGATTTCACCATGTTGGCCAGGCTGGTCTCAAACTCCTGACCTCGAGGTGATCTGCCCGCCTCAGCCTCCCAAAGTGCTGGGATTACAGGCGTGAGCCACCGCGCCCGACCAATTCTGTACATTTCATATTGGTGGCATAACACGGCCTGCGGACTTTTGTCTGGACTCTTTCTCTTAGCATCAGGTTCTTTCTCATTGGAGCACAAGCCAGTGCTTCATTTCTTTGTGTGGAGATGGGCTGCATTTTGTGGTCCATGCTTTCATTGGCGGGTGCTTGGGTTGCTGAGACCACACAGCGTGGTTCTTGGCCGAGCCACCCCAGGCAGTGCGTCCAGGGTCCCTGAGGTAGGATGGCAGCTGACGGGCCCGGCCTTTGGTAATCAGAGTCACCTCTTGATGCAAAGTCCTTTCTTCACTGTGGGACATGCCAGGCTTCTGCCTGCCCAGCTGAGCCCAGTGCAAGGAGCTCTAGGCCCTGCCCACCTCTCGGGATGTCCGTGTGACCACCTCCTGTCTCGTGACAACCCGGGGTTGGGTCAGTTACCCTCCTGGATGAACTGATGCTCAGGCCCTGCAGCAGGTGGACTGTGGGACCTCAGTGAGTCTCCTCCCCCTTTAAGCCTTGGCTGCTCACTGGTGGATGGACTCTCGGGGGCCCTGCTGGCCAGGACACCCCCGGGCATCCACAAGGGCGGTGACAGCCCCTCTGTGTTTACCTTCAGAACCAGCTGCTGACAAAAGGCATGGTGATCCTTCGGGACAAGATTCGCTTCTATGAGGGTGAGTGTGGGCCCCTTGGCGGCCACTCTGGGCCATGCTGGGTCCTGGCTGGCTGCTGGACTGCTGGGCCTCGTGCTGGGGGCCTCTGGGTGCAAGGTGTGGCTCTCTGGTCCGGAGGGCTTGGAAGGAACACGTATAGCCTTAGGGCAGCAGGGCCGAGATCCTTACCCAGAGGGAACCCTGGGAGAGGGTCTGCCCCCCGAACTTGCTGGAGCCCAGGAGGGCTATGAGACATCGGGGAAAAGCCCCCTGCTTCCCCTCCCTGCCCACGGGACTTTCTGGCCCTAGTGAGCTCTGTCCCCGCAGCCTGGGAGAGCCCCTGTCCTGGTCTTTGGGGGTCAGAGGAGAAGTCGGTTAGGGCTGAGGTCACCGATACTCACAGAGGAGGGGACAGGGTGGGGGACTCAGCTGAATTTTCTCTGTCGAGGCTCACAGCCACCCACTGGGACCTTCAGGTTATTGTTCCTGAGTGGGAGAGTACAGTGATGATAAGTGATTTGCCCAAGGCTACAGTGCACATCAGGGGTGGGGGCGGGACTCAAACCCAGGTCTGCCTGACTTTAGGGCACACACCCTTTGCCCTTCTCACGGCCCGGAGGTCCCCGCTGGCCTCACTGTGCAGGTTGGGCTTCCCGTGGCCGAGAGCCTCGGGCAGCAGCAGCAGCGTGCGCATCCTTGCAGGAGCGAGCTGCCCTGGGAGCGGGGTCAGGTGAGGGGGTCCACTCAGTTCCCACGGATGCTGCTTTGCTCGGGCTGTGCTGGGATCGGGCCTGCGCTGTACCCGTGTGTTGAGCACCTGTGCACTAGGCACCGGGTGTGTGCGTCCCTCCGTGCTGGACTGCCCCGAGTGTTTCACATCTACTAACTCATTTGATTTCCACAACCCTGTGAAGAAGCCACCGTTGTTAGCACTGAATGAATGGGGAAAGTGAGGCACGGTGTCCTGCCCAGGCCACACAGCTGCACCGTGGCAAGGCCAGGGTGCCAAGCAGGCCACCGGGTCCCGAACCCATACTCTTCACTCTGCTGCCCCAGGCTCCTCCTCCAGGTCTCCCTCTGACCCTGGGAAAAAGAGCTACTAGCCCACTCCACAGAGAAGGACACAGGCCCGGAGGCCTGGCATGTTCCAGGGGACCTTGGAGCTGCGTGTCATGGTCCTTCCTCACGTCCACTGAACATGTTGGGTGGGGCCAGCCAAGACAGGAACACAAAGAGAGGCCATGAAAACCATCAGACCGTCGGGGAGACATGGGGGTTCTGGGAAGGCTTCCTGGAGGAGGCAACATCTAGACTGGCAGGACAGAGCTGTGAGCATTTGGCACCTGACGAAGATGGCCACCCACGCCCCTCGCTTGATGCGGCACATTCTGGCGGTGCCTGTACCTCCCACCAGATCTGGCCTAGGGGAGCCGGGGCTCTCGGAGAAGGGAGTTTTGTGTGGCTTGAAAGGAGCTCTGCGTGGGACAGCCAGGTCTGCCAGGCCTCCCAGCAGGGGTGCCTGCCCAGCAGAAGGGGCAGAGGACAGCCCTGGGAGGCCCAGCATCCTCTTCTGCCTCGCCAGCCCTTCCTGGCCTCCCCAGGTCTCAGGGACAGGCACTGGGCTCTACGCTGGGAGTCTGAGGCCCTGGCCTCCAGTTCCCATGTAGCTGCAGACACAGGGTTTCCTCTCCAGCCTCAGCACCCCTGTCTTAGCAATGTGGGGTTGAACAGGCTCTGTCCACTTGAGTGTTCTCTACATGTCAGGCCCAGGTGACCTCTGGGAGCCCAGAGATGGAGGAGAACCTGGCCCTGCCCTTCAGGGACTCACAGCCCAATTGGGGACACAGACACGGACCCGAGGGTGACAGTTGAGTGTGATTAATGTCATTGTGAAGGAGTGTCCTGGGGAAGAAAGGGTTCATTCCACCTTGGCAGTCAGAGAGGGCTGCATGGAGGCAGTGGCCCTTGAGTAGGGCCTCAAAGTGTGGTCTGTTCAGGGGAACTTGTGGTCCCTTTTGGCCCCATGCAGTGGGGACATAGCCACCTCCACATCCTGATGGGCGGCCTCAGGGGCCTCCCCCTTCCTGCTCCCTACCCCTGCTTGGGTTCCACTGGGAGCTCTTCACTTTGAGCCTGCTCCTTGCAGCTGTCCCTACAGAGCCTCTACCAGAGGTGGGTGATGGCCCCCTGTGGGGAAGCCCCAGGACCTTGCCCCCTGCCCCTTCTCAGCCTCCAGGGAGGCCTTGGACTTCAGCCCCTGGGCAGAGCCGGTCCTGGAAGCGGAGAGCCTGGAGGAGTGGCCTTGAGGTGGAGGGCTGCCTCCCTAGGAAGGGGAGGAAGACTGGACCGCGGCCGGGGTTGTAGTTTGATGGCCTGTGTGTGGCTTAAGGGAATCGGCTCCAGCTGCAGCCAAGCAACTCCTTGGAAGCCAGAAACTTGGGAACTCTGGGCGGGAGCTCCTGGTCCTCTGCTGGGCCCTGGGATCTGCCGTCGCTCATCCACCAGGGAATCCAAACCCGGTATGGGTCACGTGACCCAGCTGTGCTGCCTTACACGCTTGCCTCCATGCCTGTGCCTCGGCCGTCCCCGCGCCAGACACCCTTGACCTGGTCCACCCAGCGCGTGGCTTTTGTCACTGCCCTGCGCTCCTCACTGTTCCTGAGTCTCCCGACGGGCTGAAACAGGGTTGTTGGTTTGCAGGGCCTGCACAGGGCCCTCAGCACTCGGATAAAGAAAGGAAAGACGGACACCAGCCTGCGCCCACAGCGAGAACCCCAGAGTGGGAGCCAGCACGGAGCCAAGGCTACTGCGGGGCCGCTCGCCTGCATCAGCCCCTGCTACTGCCAGGCTGGAGCCAAGGTACGGCGCGCACACACCCGGCCCCGTCCTGCCGGCAGCAAACGCCCAGTGCTGTTTCATCTCAGCTTTCGACCTGCCCACGTGGGGACGTGTATCACGCCCCTTTCATAGAGGATGCCACTGAGTCCGCCTGGAGGAACTTCCTGGGGTCGCCCCATACCTGCCTCCGACTAACCCTACTGCCCCACAGAGGGGCCCCCACAGGACAGGCCCCGGCAGAGAGCCCCAACAGCCGCGAGGCTGCCCTTCCTGGCCTCTCGTCACCGTGTGGCTCCAGCTGGGGCCTGGATTCTGTTTTACAACATCTGCTTTCCGCAGCATTTCCGCCCCGTGGGCTGGAGAACAGCCTGCGCTGAGCAGAACGCAGGCCTGGCCGGTGCCCAGAGCCACCCCCCGGCCAGCCCGGGAACTGAGCTGCCTTTCTTCCTGCCGCGGCGGAGGGGGACTGAAGGGACTTTGTGTGTGGGCACAGTTCGGCGGGGCGGTGAGCATCCATCCGTCCGGGGCATTCCTGCTGGCCCCCATCACCCTCAGAGCCAGGTTTGGGCTACCCGGGTGGGCAGAGGGCTGGCCACTGGGCTGGGAGCCAAAGATGGGACCCAGTCCAGCTCGGCCCCAGCCCCCAGGGCTGCCCCTGGCGGGGTCCCACTCCTAGTGCCCTCGAACCTACATGAAGCTGGGGGCTTCCGGGAGTGGGGGCAGGGCCCAGAGAGTGAGAAAAAGGCAAAGGTCCCTGTTCAGCCTCCGCATTCCCATGGAAACCTCAAAGCAGTTCTGGCCGGGGGCGCAGCCTGAGAGACAGCCGGCAACGCTTCCCTCTTCACTCAGAGGCGCCCACACCAAGATCTCTCTCGCCAGTTGTTCGTCTGGCTTCCAGGGGACAGCAGAGGCCTTGGGGACACGTCCTTGGACTGTGCATCCCTGGACCCAGCAGCCCTCATCCCAGCTCCGCTCAGTCCAGGCAGAAAGGCCAAGGGTTCTTCACGTTGCCTCTCCCACTGGAACCCAGAGCCAGCTTGGGCAGCTGTCCCCGTCCCACAAGGGTCACTCACCTGGTGCATGGCACCGTTCCTCTCAAGGCCAGCAGAAATCCTACAGAGCTGGTCCCGATGTCTGCTACCTACGTATCTGTTTCAGAGACTCACCTGTCAAGATGTGTCCCCATACCACTACGTCTGGCAAGCCCAGCTCCTATAGCCAGCTTGGATGCTCTTCCTCCAGGAAGCCCTCCCTGCCTGACCCTCTGCACCCTCTTCTTCCTTCGACGTGGTGCTGCTATTGGAAGGGGTCTCCGTGGATCCCCAGACCTGACCACAGGCAGAGCTGGCCTGGCCCTGGGTCCTCTGGGCCACTGACTGTGGTGCACCCTTTCCTCGGAGGCTCAGCCTCTGTCTGCTTGGTGGGGGGTCGATCACCCCTGGCTACTGCCCTTATGATCCTGCTCAGTGTCCCACTTCCCTGTCATGTGATGGATGGGCAGCTGTTTGGGGCTCAGCTGGGTCCCCAGTGCCCAGCATCAGCGCCAGCACACAGTAGGTGTTCTGTGTTTGTTGGAGGGGCAGATAGTGTGGGGGAAGGAGGGAGGAGGTCGGTGGGTAGAAGAAATCAACTGCTTAGCCGGGTTGTTAGGAGGATCTGATGAGACTAGGATGTGAGTTGAAACTGCTGTGCCAGGCACACCTGTGTGGGTCTCACTTGTGCCAGGCATACCTGCGTGGGTCTCACCTGTGTAGGTCTCACCTGTGCCAGGTGTACCTGTGTGGGTCTTACCTGTGCAGGTCTCCTGATGCAGGTCTCACCTGTGCCGAGTGTACCTACCTGTGCGGGTCTCACCTGTGTCAGGCGTACGTGTAGGGGTCTCACCTGTGAACGTCTCACCTGTGCCAGGTGTATACCTGTGTGGCTCTCACTTGTGTGGGTCTGGTATGTGACAAAGGCCTGGGAATTGGCAGCTGTCATCTGCCAGGAGCAGACCCTGAGCCAAGTTCCCTGTGCCTTAGGCTCATTTCATGCCCTCAGCTCTGGGAGGCCAATCCCTTTACTGCCACATTTTATAAATGGAAGACTGAGGTTAAGCAGTGGGCCCAGGGCCATAGAACAGCTGAGCTGTGGAGCTGGACATCGACCTTGGGCAGGTGCTGCCAGGGGCCTGAGCCCAGGCCCTCCACTCCCGCATCCTCTGATGACCCATCCTGGGTGAGTGGAGGCATCTGCCCGCGCCAGTCAGGCCCAGTGGTGATGGCCCCCATGCCCACAGGACAGAAGCTGCTGGACTCACTGGCAGAGACCTGGGACTTCTTCTTCAGTGACGTGCTGCCCATGCTGCAGGCCATCTTCTACCCGGTGCAGGTGGGCAGCCCAGCCCTGGGGAGGGAAGCCCAGTGCCCCTGCTGTGCCCACCCTGGCCTCACTCTACAGAGGGGGGCCGCCAGGCTTGGGGACACACACACCTGCTCTGCTCTGTGCTGCTCTCCTTGGGCTACCTGAGTTGCTCAGAGCCTGTTTCCACCCCTTCAAGCTGCAGATATGGACGCCTCCCTCCCTGTGAATCCCCCAGCAGCGAGGCACAGCGTAGGGGCTCTGTGACAGTAACCCTTTCACTGCCAGAGGAAACTGAAGGGGCCCTCTATCCTTGGGACGGGGTCATCTGAGGAGAACGGGGTGGAGGGGCCTGAGGGTCGGCAGGTCTCTTCCCCCTGTGGGGTCCCAGGACCGGGAGAGGGGAGATGAGGACGCATGTGACCACAGCCGGTGGGGTGGGGTGCCTTCCGTCCACAGGGCAAGGAGCCATCGGTGCGCCAGCTGGCCCTGCTGCACTTCCGGAATGCCATCACCCTCAGTGTGAAGCTAGAGGATGCGCTGGCCCGGGCCCATGCCCGTGTGCCCCCTGCCATCGTGCAGATGCTGCTGGTGCTGCAGGTGGGCACAGTGGGCAGAGGGTCGGGCATGGGGACCGTGGGGCAGTAATTGGGCTCAGGTCCCCACAGGCAGAGCATGAGATGAGGATTTAGGGGCACGAGACTTAAGGAAGGGCCCGATCAGAGGAGAAGCCTGTCAGGGCCAGGGACCGGGGAGCAGCTGGTCAGAGCTGTGGGTGCAGGAGAGCTCAAGCTGCAGACCCGTTCCTCTTGGGCACAGGGCTGGGCCTTTACACCCTGTGTCGGCCAGCCTGGGGCTGTGCCCACCCCCAGCACGCACACGCACATACACACTACACACATACTTGTGCACACGCACATAGTATGCACGTGCACATGCATACACACCACACACGTGTGCACGCACACGCTACACACATGCCTGTGTGCACGCACATACTACATGTGCACACGCATACACACTACACGTGTGCACGCACATACTACACACGTGCACACACGTGCACACGCACATACTACACACTGCACACACACACCACACACGTGCACACGCATACACACTACACACGTGCGCACGCACATACTACACACGTGTGCACACATACGCGTGCACACGCATACACACTACACACATACATGTGCGCGCACACATACTACACACGTGCACATGCACATACACACTACACACATACTTGCATGCACGCACACATACACACAGTGTCCCAGTCATTTCTGCCCAGAGGGCTTTTGTCAGTGGGTCAGCTCTGGGGAAGACACTCTGAGAGCTGTTAGCCCCCCTCACAGCAGGTGGGGAGAGGTGCCTGCCCCAGAAAGGAGTGGGGCCCCCAGTGGCATCCACCGCAAGCCAGGGGTTTCTGCACACGGCCCTTCCCAGGCACCACACTTTGCAGTTGGCCGGCTCATCACACTGTCGCAGGACCACACAGTCACTGCCGGCCACCCCATTTTACAGGTAGGGGACCCAAGTCCTGCTTGCTATGAGCTAATAAGGGCGGGAGCCCAGCTTCACCCCGGCTCTCGCAGGTGCAAAGCCCTCTTTATCGTTCTGAATCCCCGTGAAGCTCTTTTAAAATTAGGGTCTGTGAGGACACTCGGGACCCTCACAGGGCAACCAGAGCAAGGAAGGGGCGGCCAGTGTGGAGCTGTGCAAGGTGGGGGCTGCCCTGGGTGGAAGTTGAGAGAGTTTAGGTCAGGCCTGGCTGGGTTGAAGCGGGGACCCTTGAGGGACTTTGCTGTGTCAGCTTCAGCTTCCCGGTCTTTAACAGAGGGAGGCCTCCTCCCTGGCAGGATAGGTGAGGACTTGGTCATTCACAACCAAGTCACTGCTCCTACAGGCAGACAATTCCAGGGACACGTGGGGTCCCCTGTGTTAGTGTAGGTGACCTTACTGTGGGCACCTGTGGAGTCCCACCTACTCATTGTAACACAGGCCAGGACATAGGAGCCTGTACCAGCCCCGAAACCCCAAGAGTTCAGGCGACTTTGCTCACCCCCAGGGACGTGGCCTGGACCGTGCCTCACTCCCTGCCTGGAGTGGCCTCCCACAGCCATCCCAAGAGTCCTGGGTTAGTCCTCGCCTCTGGCTGGCTGGATTGTCACTTACAATTGTACCTGGGTGTGGCCGGGTGCAGTCACTCATGCCTGCAATCCCAGTACTTTGGGAGGCCAAGGCAGGCAGATCACAAGGTCAGGAGATTGAGACCATCCTGGCCAACATGGCGAAACCCCGTCTCTACTAAAAATACAAAAATTAGCCGGGCATGGTGATGCATGCCTGTAGTCCCAGCTACTCGGGAGGCTGAGGCAGGAGAATCACTTGAACCTGGGAGGCGGAGGTTGCAGTGAGCCAAGATCGCACCACTGCACTCCAGCCTGGTGACAGAGCGAAACTCTGTCTCAAAAAAAAAAATTCTACCCCCGTGTATCTTGTCCCTGAACCCCCTGACAGCCCCTTGAGGCCTGCTGTCTTCCATTCATTCACTTATTTAATGAGTGCAAGCACTCGTTATAAGTCAGCTTTCTCCCAGCCCTCTTTGCTGGGTGCTGAGGTCCCAGAGCTTTTGTCCCAGCTCAGCGCACAGCTGGGTGAGCAGCCTCATCTCCCGGGCCTTGGCTCAAATACACCTGGAGGTAGCGGTGAGCCCTTCAGAGCTCCGGATGAGGGGAGATGATGGCGTGAGCCAGTGATGGGAAGAAGAGAGTGGGGCTTGTGAGGTGGTCCCTGATGGATGTGGACTGCACCTGGCCCCATGGGGCAGGGAGCCCCAGGTGAGCAGCTTGGCCCTCCCTGCGTGGGGTCAGCCAGTGTCTCTGGAGAGACTGTCCAAAGCCTCTAGGACTCTTGAGTACAGGGCCCCTCCGAGGGGTGGAAGGTGCAGAACACCCATCTCATCTGGCCACAGGGCCTTTTTCCAGGGCACACCATGGTCTCCCAGATCCCGACGCTGCTGTGAGCAGCAGAGTGACTCAGGCCACATGCTCTGAGAGGGGCTGGGAGGCCACCGTGGGCCCTGCCATGGGGACAGAGAGCCTGTGGGAATGGGGAGGCGGGAGGCAGAGGACAGGCTGTCTGGTGGGTGGGACATATGGTTGAGAGCCTGGAGCCACCAAGCTCGGGTGCATGACCCCCTACCCCCTGCCCCACTCTCCTGCAGGGGGTACATGAGTCCAGGGGCGTGACTGAGGACTACCTGCGCCTGGAGACGCTGGTCCAGAAGGTGGTGTCGCCATACCTGGGCACCTACGGCCTCCACTCCAGCGAGGGGCCCTTCACCCATTCCTGCATCCTGGGTAGGGGTCCGCCTGGGCCTTGGGCTGGGGCAGGGGTGACCACGGGCCCCATCCATTGTGAACAAATGGGCAAGCCGAGGCCCCACGACAGAACCAGGATCTGACTCCAGACTGGTTCTCAGCCGGGCAGCAGCCCCCAGCCTGCCATATGCTGGCCTGGACGTGGGGATCCGTGAGAGTGGGCACACACCCTGAGCGGTGATGTGGCAACACCTTGGAGAGCTCCACCAGACCTCCGTGTTCCCCAGGAGGCCACATTCATGTGCAGTCTTGAAAGTCAGAAGTGGGCCAGGCGGAGTGCTCGGAACATGCAAATGCCGAAGCTTGAGGACTCCTGGCTCAGTTAGGGGACCCAGGCTGGGAGGGACTCGGCCTGGGGGTGGGCAGGCTGAGCCCTGTGGGCAGCATCCCGGGACTGCTTGGCGCGTCCAGCACAGCTGGCCACGTTGCTCCCTTGACGGAGGGCCTCTGGGTTCCTTCAGCAATGTCCCTTGAGTACCTGTTGTGCCCCATCCCGAGCCCACGCCCTTCCCCTCCCGCGGGGGAGGCCGACCAGTGAGTCTCCTCCACGACCCACCATTAGCTGGAAGCTGGGAGCATCCCAGGCAGAGGGGACAGAGCTGGGGCAAGGCCCGCTTGGGACTATGCCCTCCTCATCCAGAGGGGCTCCCCGTCCCCACCTGCTGGTGTAAAACCTGCCCACTGGTGTGTCTCAGCTCAGGCAGTGCCCTGGCTGCTGGAGAACTTTGAGCCACCCAGGCTTGGTGTAGCCCTGGATGGCAGGACCCCAGCCCCTGCCTGATGGGACCCGCATCCTCTGGTCTGGGAAAGGCCCCTGAGCCGCTCGTGTGTGTCGCCCGCCACCTGGTGGCCACTCTTGGGATTGCAGGGTCCTGCATGGGAACCTGAACCCTGCCCCCCAACCAGCCTTGGCCACCTGTGCCACTGCCTCCCGCCCAGATGAACCAAGGGGCCTCCTCCCTGGGTCCCCACGTCTACCCTCAGCCCCCACAGTCTATTACTCTCCACGCAGCGGCCAGCGAGGCCCATTTACAACTGCCTGGCTACAGGCTCCCCGCATCCCCAGGATGGAATCCCCGCCTTGACCTTACATGGAGGGCCTGTCCCCATCTGCTCCCATCACAGCCCCACAACCTGGCCCCATGGCTCGCCTCTTTGGGCTTCTTGGCCCTCCCACCATCCCCTTGGACACCAGCTCCAGTGGGGCAGGGGCTGCGCCTGCCTGGGAAAGTACAGGTGTCCAGCAGGTGCCAAAGTCCATACACTTCCACAAGTGGGGAAACTGAGGCACGGGGGTGAGGTAACTTACCTAAGGTCAAACAGAGGTCGCTGGCGGGGTGCAGGTTCAAACCCAGGCATTTGACTTGAGGTCCTGTGTGACCAGGCTGGGCCTAGGCTGGAGAAGAGAGACTGGAACCTGAGCTGGTGTCAGGGCTTGTGGCGGTGGGACCTGCTGAGCCGGGCCCCGGGTCGGGCCTTCCCTGCAGCTGCCCCTGCACAGGGACCCAGTGTGCAGTGAGCAGCAGGTGCCAAGGCGGGCGGGGACCCAGGTGGCCTCTGGTGTGACAGTGCCCGTGTCTCTCCCCAGAAAAGCGCCTCCTCCGCCGCTCCCGCTCGGGGGACGTGCTGGCCAAGAACCCTGTGGTGCGCTCCAAGAGCTACAACACGCCTCTGCTGAACCCCGTGCAGGAGCACGAGGCGGAGGGCGCGGCGGCCGGCGGTACCAGCATCCGCAGGCACTCTGTGTCGGAGATGACGTCCTGCCCCGAGCCTCAGGGCTTCTCCGACCCGCCCGGCCAGGGCCCCACCGGGACCTTCAGGTCCTCCCCGGCGCCCCACTCAGGGCCCTGCCCCAGCAGACTGTACCCCACGACCCAGCCCCCTGAGCAGGGCTTGGATCCCACCCGCAGCTCCCTGCCCCGCTCCAGCCCGGAGAACCTGGTGGACCAGATCCTGGAGTCCGTGGACTCGGATTCTGAAGGGATTTTCATTGACTTTGGCCGGGGCCGGGGCTCTGGCATGTCCGACTTGGAGGGCTCTGGGGGCCGGCAGAGTGTCGTGTGAGGCCTCACAGCTGGCCTTGAGTTTTTACTGACACGTCCCTGTGTGCGGG
Source organism: Homo sapiens (assembly GCF_000001405.40). Taxonomy (NCBI): domain Eukaryota; kingdom Metazoa; phylum Chordata; class Mammalia; order Primates; family Hominidae; genus Homo; species Homo sapiens. Next base: position 44,737,297 of record NC_000022.11, read on the forward strand.
GGTGTCCATGTGGCGTGTGTGTGAGTGAGACTTTTTTACTGCGTCCCGTCCCGCCAGCCCTATCGGCCTCGTCACTGGCCTTGGTCACTTTGTATTTCTGTCTTGGTTGGAAATACCATCAGCCTTCCTTGCTCGGCCCAGGTCTGTTTCAGGCATCTGAGTCGGCGTTTACCCAGGGGCCGGGCCAGAGACGGGGGTCGGCCGCTCGCTCCCACGCTCCTCCTGCCCCAGCCCTCTGGTGTCCACACCTGCCCACAGAGAATGTAAACCCAGTGGGCTCTGCCCACGCCGGGCCCCAAAGTGACCAGACTCCAGCACACCTGTCTCCTCCTGCCTGGGGTGGCCATGGGGATGGAAGGGGGTGGAATAAAACCTGTCAACCTGGCTCATGTCTGCAGTGCCTGCCCTGGGGGCGCCCCTTCAGGGTGCTCACCCTCAGGCCTTCGCTCCCTTCTAGGGAGCGCAGGTTTCCAGGGTCTGTGTGGAGGGGGCAGACCTGTGCCTGTTGTCCAGGCCTCCCTACTGCTCCACCGTCCCTGTCCCTGATGGGAGGACCGGGAGGTTGTGGAAGGAAGGGCTGGGATGCTAGGGAGTGGGGCTGGCCCTGCCGCACAGGAGTCTGGCCCTGACTTTGCCCCTGGCCTTAGCAGGGATGGACTCACTGAAGCCTTTGAAGGAGGGAAGGAGGGGTGGGGGCGGGATCTGCCAGCTCCTCCCGTGCTACAGAAGCGTCCAGGTGGCCTAGGGGGTGGGGGTGACCTGCTGAAGGCCATCCGGCCTGGGAAGCACAAACTAACACCTGCTCTGACCTCCCCTGCAGCCTCACTATCCCCAGACAGGCTTTCCCCGGGCCCTCAGGTGGGCAGGATACCGCATCAGCCGTAGCAGGCAGGGCTCTTTGTTCCCCCGTCAGTGGGGCCCGAGTGTTACTGAGAGCCAAAGGCCAGCCCAGCACCACGGGCACCCCTACTATCGGGGCAGGAGCTGAGCCTGGGGCAGCCTTCCCTAGCCACCCCCGCCGTTTTAAAGCATCGGGTCAGCGTGGCCTCCATGGGGAGGGGTGGAGGGGTCTCTAACGGCGGGCACCTTTCCACACCCCGTTCACCTGCTGATCTGCCACCCCCGCAGCCTTCCACGCGCTCGCCTCTCATGGCGTTTTCTCAAGGTGGGAAAGGAGTGCTGAGCAAATGAAGGACAGGCCCAGGGCAGGGGAACCAGGTGTGATTGGAGGGAGAGGGTGGGTGTGAGCCGGGCGTGAGCAGGAGGACGTCACCTGACCCCTGAGTCACGGCCGGAGCTGGCCCAGGCTGTCTCCCAGCAGAGCCTTCTGGATGGAGGAGTTTCCCTCTCTGGTGGGAGAAGCAGACCTGGCGCCCCTGCTTCAGCTCAGGATAGGAGGGTGTAGGGGTGGGGGCAGGGGGAGCTCTGGCTTTCTGACTCTGCTGAGCCGCAGTTTTGTCATCTGTGATACGGGTGCATACCAACCCTGTGGAGCTCTCTGAAGCTACTCGGAATGGGTAATGTGCCCCAGGCAGGGCTCAGCTGGGCAAGTAGGGGAGCAAGAGCAGCCTCGGGACCCAGGCCTGGGGGACAGGTGGTCGTTGAACAGAAAGCCAGAACCTGGTCTGAGAACCACTAAGCCAGGCTGATGAGGCCGAGATCCGTGGACCAACCTCTTTGGCTCCCAGCTCCATCATGGAGCCCGAGGTGGCCTGAGGCGGGGAGTAGTGGGTGACCATTAGCAACATGGGCAGGAGGGTTCCCAGCGGTCACCTCAAGGCAGGAGGACCAAAGACCAGAAGCCGTGGCAGGGAGTTGCTGTCTGGGCTCTGTCCACACCAGGGTGCTAGACCCTGTGTTCTGTCCCCTGAGTGGTGGGGGTTCCATCGTGGGGGGTCGAGCATCCCTGGCCCCTGGATGCTGCCGGGCCTGGGGTGGCCCAGGGACTGGTGGCCCCTGCTGGCTGGCACTTGGACCCTTGGCAAGGCAGTCCCTAAGCTCTCAGTCCTCCTGCCCTGGGGCAGGAGGGGAGGCCCCTGGGCAGCAGCCAGCAGCATCCCCAACCACAGATTGGGGGGCTGCAGTCCAGGAGGGTGGGTGCTGGGCCTGGGCCCTGCAGCAGCTCACAGGACTCAGTGGGGGCCCCAAGGAGGTGAGGAGGCTGCACTCCCACTCCCAGAAAGCAGCAGCCCACCAAGAGGGTGTGTGTGTGTGTCCTAGCCTTGTTCCCAAAGATGTCAGAGGTGATCTGCATTCAGACATCTTATAAATTGGTAAACACCTGTAATCCCAACAGAGTCTCGCTCTGTCACCCAGGCTGGAGTGCAGTGGCGCAATCTCATCTCACTGCAACCTCTGCCTCCTAGGTTCAAGTGATACTCCTGCCTCAGCCTCCCGAGTAGCTGGGGCTATAGGCATGCATCACCATGCCTGGCTAATTTTTCTATTTTTAGTAGAGACGGGGTTTCACCATGTTGACCAGGTTATTCTTGAACTCCTGACCTCAGGTGATCCGCCCACTTCGGCCTCCCAAAGTGCTGGAATTACAAGCATGAGCCACTGCACCCGGCCCTTATTTATCTTTTAAGGAATAGAGTGACTCAGGGAAGAGGCGTGGGAGACCGTGTGCTCCATCCTGTTTGGTCTTCAAGGCATCCTCCTGGAGAGCTGCGCCTTGTCACAGTCAGGGCTCGATGAAATTATGTTGACAACAGAAATGAGCAGACACGGCTTCTTAACATTTGCTGTTCTGTCTTCCACACCCTAAGGTTTGTTAAACGAGTGAAATCGGTGGTTAATTAGTTAGTGGTTGGTCTACCATCGGCATCACCGGGGTGTCCAGTGGGGTGGATTCCTCTGCATCTCCAGGGCTGGGGTTCTAGAAACTGCTTTATCGTTGTTGTCTTTTGTGTGCTTGTTGTAAGTTTTGTGCAGGATTCTCGTGAACGCTCTACCCCTTACCTCTCAAATGCACAATCTCAGGCCCTGGCCCCATCTGCTGACCCTAAATCTGCATTTCAGCCCCGCCTTGGGGTCCGTGGGCCTGCCGGGACATGTGAGCCTCACCTGCACTGTGACAGCGTCTGGGGTGGAGGTGGCACTTAGGAAAACCCAGGGTGGGTTACGATAGGCTTCCCAGTGACCCTGACTGCACCCCTGCTGAGAGCTCAGATTTGTTTGGGCGTCCGTGTGTGTGTGTGTGTGTGTGTGTGTAAGTGGGTAGGTGTGTGTGTCTGCACGCACGCACAAGTGTTTGGGGGTGTGTGTGTGCGCGCGCGCGAGAGTGGATGGGTGGGTGTGTGTGTGTGTGTGTGTGTGTGTGTGTGCAAGTATACACCACACAGCAGCTAAGCCCTGGTAGGAGGTCTCAGAGGCGGGTCCATTGGAGTGCTGATGCCCACCCCGCGTGCCCTCTCAAGCACCCACTTTGGACCCCGTGATATTCATCTCCAGAAGGAATAGCTCCGTTTCAGGAAAGTGCTGCTGGGTGGGCTGTGGCCCAGGAATCACGAGGTAGGGGGCAAACATGCTCTCTGGATGTGCTGGCCCTGGGAAGAGGAAGAGGAGGAGTCCCAAGGTGGAGATGCCTGCAGCCGAAGGCCCTCCCAGAGAAGGGAAGACTCCAGAAGAAGAGAGAGGGACTGGGAAGCGTGTAGGCCAAAGGGGTGCCCACAATAAGCGTGGGCCCATTTGTCATTTTCCATCTGACCATGAAAGTAATAGCTTACAGCCAGGCACGGTGGCTCACACCTGTGGACCTAGCACTTTGAGAGGGCAAGGTGGGTGGATTGCTTGAGCTCAGGAGTTGGAAACCAGCCTGGACAACAGGGTGAAACTCTGTCTCTATAAAAAATATTTTAAAAATTAGCCAAGTGTGGTGGCACGTGCCTGTAGTCCCAATACTCTGGAGGCCGATGTGGGAGGATCACTTGAGTCTGGGAGGTTGAGGCTGCAGTGAGTCGTGATCACGCCACTGCACTGCAGCCTGGCCAACCGAGTGAGACCCTGTCCCTGCCACAAAAAAAAAAGTTGGCCTATAATTGAGACTTCTGGGTCTATACCCAAAAGAATTGGAAGCAGGATCTCAAAGAGATATTTGCACACCCATGTTCATAGCAGCATGCTTCACAACCGCCAAAAGGTAGAAACAACAAAGTGCCCATCGTTAGCTGAATGGATATGCAACGTAGTCATCCATACAAGGGAATATTCTTCAGCCTCGGAAAAGAATGAAGTCCAAATGATAATAATAATGAAGTCCTGATACATGCTACAACATGAATAAGACTTAAAAACCTGATGTGAGGCCGGGCGCAGTGGTTCATGCCTGTAATCCCAGCACTTTGGGAGGCAGAGGCGGGCAGATCACGAGGTCAGCAGATCGAGACCATCCTGGCTAACACGGTGAAACCCCGTCTCTACTAAAAATACAAAAAATTAGCTGGGCGTGGTGGCGGGCACCTGTAGTCCCAGCTACTCGGGAGGCTGAGGCAGGAGAATGGCGTGAACCCGGGAGGCGGAGCTTGCAGTGAGCAGAGATCGTGCCACTGCACTCCAGCCTGGGTGACAGAGCGAGACTCCGTCTCAGAAAAAAAAAAAAAAAAAAAAAACCTGATGTGAGGTGAAAGAAGCCAGCCAGGAAACACCACATACTGGATGATTCCATTCCGAGATGTTCAGAATAGGCAAATCCACGGGGACAGAAAGTAGAGTGGTGGTCGCCAGACCCTGCGGGAGGGGGTTTAAGGAGTCATCGATGGGATTCGAGTTTAGTTTTGCAAGATAAATAGAGTTCTGGAGATCGGCTGCTCAGCGACATGAATGTGACTTAACACTACTCAACTGCCCACTTTATGGTGTGTATTTTACCACAGTAAACACACAAGGAAGGGGAGAGGAGGGGAGGGGAGGGGAGCCAAGGAGAGAGGGAAGGGAGGGAAGGAAGCTTCCACCTTTTGGCTGTTGTGAAGAATGTTGCTATGAACACGGGTGTACAAATATGTCTTTGAGATCCTGCTTCCAATTCTTTTAGGTATAGACCCAGAAGCCTTTTTTTTTTTTTTTTTTTTTTTTTTTTTTTTTTTTTTTGAGACGGAGTCTCACTCTGTCGCCCAGGCTGCTGGAGTGCAGTCTCACAATCTCGGCTCACTGCAGCTTCCACCTCCCGGTTTCAAATAATTCTCCTGCCTCAGCCTCCCAGGTAGCTGGGATTACAGGCGTGCACCACTACACCCAGCTAATTTTTGTATTTTTAGTAGAGACAGGGTTTCACCATGTTGGCCAGGATGGTCTCAATCTCTTGACCTCATGATCCACCTGCCTGGGCCTCCCAAAGTGCTGGTTTCACAGGCGTGAGCCACCATGCCCAGCCAACCCAGAAGTCTTAATTATAGGCCAACTTTGTTTTTTGTTTTTTGTTTTTGCAGTGGGGACAGGGTCTCCCTCTGTTGCCCAGGCTACAATGCAGTGGCATAATCACAATCATGTCTCACTGCAGCCTCAACCTCCCGACTCAAGTGATCCTCCCACCTCAGCCTCCAGAGTAGTTGGGACTACAGACACATGCCACCACACCTGGCTAATTTTTTTTTAATAAGGAAGGGAGGGAGGGAGGAAGGAAGGAAAGGAAGGAAGGGAGGGACGAAGGGAGGAAGGAGAAAGAAAGGAAAGAAAGGAAAGATAGAGAAGGAAGGAAAGGAGAGAGGAAAGGACTCCTTCCTTCCTTGCAGTCCCTGTAGCTGCTTTCCTCAGGGAGCGTGAACTGATCGTCTTGGCCCCTCTACTGAGACTGGAGTGGAGGGACACAGCACTCCATCGGGGGACCGTGGTCCCCAACTCCAGGACTGTCCAGCAGTAAAGCAGGCAGTAGCCTCAGAAACGCTGGGAGGAGTAGGGAGGATGCCAAGGCACAGGAGCCTCTGCCAGGGATGCAACTGACACAGACTGGAGATGAGCACCTAAGAATTATGATGCTCTTTCCGGTCCCCATGTAGCTGGGGGTGGCGATATGACCAGCCCTGGCCAGTGAGTTCTAAGTGGAAGTGATGCGGGGTGCTCTAGATCTGGAGGATTTCATTGCCAGACACAGGCCCCTCCAGGACTGTCCTTCCCTCTGCCACGGTGGTTGGCAGTGTCCCAGGCAAGCCTGCTCCAGCAGGTAGACGTGTGGCCTGGATAAGAAGGCCGGCTACGGTGGTGGAGGCCCCTGTGATTGGGAGATGCTTGTCGCTCGGCACAACCAGGTTTGACTTGACGCTACACTCCTTCTTCCCAGTACCCTAGAATCACGTAGTCCTTGAGTGGGGAGAAGGCCAGCATGGGATATTTCATTGTATATATTTATGTATGTCATACACCCCTCATGGGCAGAGCCAGGACCTCCAGGATCTGATCGTAAATTGGGCACTGTGTGATATTGGGCAGGTCGCCCTGTCCTCAGTTTCCCGATCTATAGCCAGGATCTCCCCAGCTATGAAATCAGTGACCAGCACTGTTTCTTTGCCTGTCTGTGCACCGTGGACTCACATGCAGAGCAGGGCTGTTAGATTGTAAACTCCAGACACCAGACATCTCTGACAAAGGAGCTCTGTGCAGATGACAAGCATCGGGCAGACGCGTACTTAATGGTTTTTGACCTGAAGGTGATAATGGCTTAATAATAAACGGATGGTTTTACCCCCAAGAACCCTTCTTCTCATTGACTGATGTGTTTGCAGAGAGCTCAGAACTGCTCTCACAGGCTGTAAAAAGCTATAAAAATGTAAACTATCATTGACATCATCTGCAAGAGGAATTTCTCATACTGACATTCCTCTTCTCACGATGGGGATTCATGTCAGCCTGTGCTTGGTAGGGGAAGAGGCCAGGGGAGTGTAAAATATGAGGATGCAGGATCAGGCGGGCTCTGATTTGCAAGCAGCCGAGGCAGATGCCAATGATCATGCAGAGAAGGAGTTTATTGAAGAATGTTGCGAGCTCCTACAGCTGTGATGAGGTGGGTGAGCCAAGCCCACTTCCAGGAACGGTGTCCCAAATCACCCCACAGGACAGTGGGCCTGATGGGAAACCGGCAGCATTGCAGCCACCGAACGGGGAAGGCACCCATCATATGGGGATGCTCCCACAGCACAGAGAGGTGCCCATCATATGGAGATGCTCCCACTGCACAGATACTCCCATTGCACAGATACTCCCACAGCACAGAGAGGTGCCCATCATATGGGGATGCTCCCACTGCACAGATACTCCCATTGCACAGATACTCCCACCGCACAGAGAGGCACCCATGATATGGGGATGCTCCCACTGCACAGATGCTCCCACGGCACAGAAAGGCACCCATCATATGGGGATGCTCCCACTGCACAGATACTCCCATTGCACAGATACTCCCACCGCACAGAGAGGCACCCATCATATGGGGATGCTCCCACTGCACAGATGCTCCCACGGCACAGAGAGGCACCCATCATATGGGGATGCTCCCACTGCACAGATACTCCCATTGCACAGATACTCCCACCGCACAGAGAGGCACCCATCATATGGGGATGCTCCCACTGCACAGATGCTCCCACGGCACAGAGAGGCACCCATCATATGGGGATGATCCCACTGCACAGATACTCCCATTGCACAGATGCTCCCACCACACAGAGAGGCGCCCATCATATGGGGATGCTCCCACTGCACAGATACTCCCATTGCACAGATGCTCCCACCGCACAGAGAGGCACCCATGATATGGGGATGCTCCCACTGCACAGATGCTCCCACCACACAGAGAGGCGCCCTTCATATGGGGATGATCCCACTGCACAGATGCTCCCACTGCACAGATGATCTCATTGCACAGATGCTCCCACTGACAGAGAGGCACCCATCATATGGGGATGCTCCCACTGCACAGATGCTCCCACGGCACAGAGAGGCGCCCATCATATGGGGATGCTCCCACTGCACAGATACTCCCGTTGCACAGATGCTCCCACCGCACAGAGAGGCGCCCATCATATGGGGATGATCCCACTGCACAGATACTCCCACCATGCAGAGAGGCTCCCATGATATGGGGATGCTCCCACTGCACAAATGTTCCCACTGCACAGATACTCCCACCACACAGAGAGGCGCCCATCATATGGGGATGATCCCACGGCACAGATGATCCCATTGCACAGATGCTACCACTGCACAGAGAGGCACCCATCATGTGGGGATACTCTTGCTGCACAGATGCTCCCCACACACAGAGATGCCCCAGTTACGCTGGACCAAACCCAACTGCCACCAGCGCCAATACCCATTGTGTTCCAGGCACTTCACTTTGTAGCCACTGTGTCCTCCCTCACCACCCAAGCTGGGCATCGCTGGGTGATGAATTCTAGGGCAGCCTCCTCTCTCAGGGTGGACATCACAATGGTGCAGTCTGTCACTGTCTGGTCCCTGGTGGCAAAGGGACCGGGTAAACCCGTTGTCAGGCCACCTTGGGGCTGTGAGATGTCTGTAAGGTCGGTAGTGCCAGTATGGTAAAGGCATTTGAGGGGTGGGCAGGTCGGTGCACAAGATCAGCGTCCACCCTGCTGTCAACCAGGGCAGCAGGAGCATGGCCACCTCAGCTGCAAATCAGGAGGGTTTCCATTATTGGACCCAAAGATCGCAGAAAACCCAGTGGAGGCAGTTTGCAGGCGGTACTAACCACACAATGCATTTGCTCTGACACAGGACCAGGGCACGTAGTAGACGGGCAGGGGTCAGGGAACCTGCCTGGGGTTCTGGGCCAGGCTACATAGGGATAAAGCAAGCCCCTTAACCGACTGGATCCCAGGATCCTGGCCCATAAAGGGAGAGGGTTGGAAGAAGATCTTCCACATCCCTTTTGCCCTAACCTGGCAGTCATACACCCAAACTGGGGGGTAGTGTTGGCTTTGTGGTTTTAATAAGGTTAAAAGCAGGCCAAGTCTTAGCTCAAGAAGCTGGCAGGCTGAGTTAATTCCGGAGAAAACAAACGGGAAGCCCAAGACCTTGGACATAGATCTTTTATTCCCTCCTCCTTGAAATTCTCCATCCCCAAGCGCTTATTAATGTGGAATTTGCTGCTTGGGGGAGAACCAACTCTCCGACTTCAGAAACATTTGTAAGAGCAAATTTAATAAAGCTAAGAATAATACCATTCAGATGTAATTCCTTTATTTTGCATGATTATTCCTTCTTTTCTATCGCAAGGCATTTGAAATGCAAGGAGTTATTGAGATAGCAACAAAAGGAAATGGCTAACTGGTTGATTACTGATTAAACAGTGCTTGGGAAAAAACAGAAGAAAGAACTTGAAAGGGGAACCAGCCTGGGTTGTACAGTTCTTTTATATTTCTTTTTCCTTTGATTATGAATGGCAGAACACACCTGCATTCTTTGCCACACAATCATTCGGTATTGTTGCTTTATTGTATGTATGTTAATATCGCTAAGCTATGGGGTGAAATTTGTATGAGATTTTCACAAAACACAAATGCAAGGAGGGTGGTATTTCCCCTGACATCTCTTAATACTGTGAAATTATTCTGCCAGCCGTAGGCCGACTGCGGGGGGAGTTTCCCTTACTCCCGTCCAAAGTCGCTTTTTAAAACAGAAACCCTGCAAATTGCCCTTCTTTCATGAGGGCCGGATCTTACATTGGTAATATAAAAGATGTTTACATTCCACAAAAGGAAAAGAGAACCCTGCACCCAGCGCCAGATGAAAACGATCCAGTGTGTGTACGTTGCTGGAATAAGACATTGTGACTTCCTTGTCATGTTTTGAGAGCAATGAAGTGTTACCACTTCAAGTCCTTCGAGAGCCGGGAAAGTATAAAATAATAACACACAAATTGTGTTGTGTTAGTTGAACAGGCCACAGGCTAGGATGGCTACGAATTCTTTGCTCAGGAATAAGGCAGCTGCTTGAGTGTTGAGAGAATGAAATGGAGGTTGTCCGTTCATGTTGTCAGAGATGTTTGAACCAAAACGACTCCATCTTGAATAGGGGCTGGGTAGAATCAGGCTGGGACCTACTGGGCTGCATTCCCAGGAGGTTAGGCATTCTTAGTCACAGGATGAGATAGGAGGTCAGCACAAGCTACAGATCACAAAGACCTTGCTGATAAGATAGCATGCAGGGCCGGGCATGGTGGCTCACAGCTGTAATCCCAGCACTTTAACAAGCCGACACGGGTGGATCACCTGAAGTCAGGAGTTCGAGAGCAGCCTGGCCAACATGGTGAAACCCCGTCTCTACTAAAAATACAAAAATTAGCTGGGTGTGGTGGCAGCGCGCCTGTAATCCCAGCTACTTGGGAGGCCGAGGCAGGAGAATCGCTTGAACCCGTGAGGCGGCGGTGGCAGGGAGCCAAGATGGCGACACTGCACTCCAGCCTGGGTGACAGAGTGAGACTCTATCTCAAAAAAAAAAAATAGCATGTGGTAAAGAAGCTGGCCAAATCCCACCAAAACCAAGATGGCGATGAAAGTGACCTCTGGTCATCCTTACTGCTCATTATATGCCAATTATAATTCATTAGCATGCTAAAAGACACTCCCACCAGTGCCATAACAGTTTACAAATGCCTTAGCAACATCAGGAAGTTGCCCAATATGGTTTAAAAAAGGGTGGACTCTCAGTTCCAGGAATTGCCCACCCCTTTCCCGGAAAACCCATAGATAATGCACCCCTTGTGCCTCCCTCAGACTCCCAAGTAGCTGGGATCCTCCTGCCTCAGCCTCCCAAGTATCTGGGATTACAGGCACCCACCACCACGCTCAGCTAATTTTTGCATTTTTAGTAGAGACGGGGTTTCACCATGTTGGCCAGGCTGTTCGCAAACTCCTGACCTCAGGTGATCCACCCACCTCGGCCTCCCAAAGTGCTAGGATTACAGGCGTGAGCCACCACGCCCGGCCAGCTTGGGTCATTCTAATCTCTTCTGAAATGAAGGAGAAACCACTGCCCGAGAGCCTCTGGAAAGGCCTGGTGGGCAGCAAGGGTGCTGGGGGGGGGGGTCCCAACTATTCATGGGGGCTATGTCTTCATCAGCAGCGTGAGAATGGACTCATACATCCTCTAATCAGACCCCTCTGCAATTGTCTGGTCTTCATCAAACCGAAGCATAGAAATACACATTGGCCGGTTGCTTTGGGCCTTCATTTCCTTAGGAAAGTTCCTGTGTCACATAAAACGTACATTAAACACGTGTGTAGGTTTTTCTCTGATAAATCTGTCTTTTGTTATAGGGGCCTCAGCCATGAACCCAGCCATGGTTGAGGAAAAGATCTCTTTTTATCCGCAACACCAGCACTCCCCATGTGCCAGGCTTTGTCATCAGGGCTTGGAGAGAGAGAAAGAGAGGGCACAATAAGCCCCAGCCATCCAGGCAAAGTCCAGTTACTCTGACCTGAACTGCTCACTGTGGCCGGAGGAAGGCCTGGGGTGACTGGCACAGGCCCAGTTCCTTCCAGAACCTGAAATAATCATTGTGGCAGGGAGTCGTTGATCCAAAGGAAAAAACCGAGGCAAAATCAATACAAGTAAGAGTATATTTGGGGGCTGGGCGCGGTGGCTCAGACCTGTAATCCCAGCACTTTGGGAGGCCGAGGCAGGCAGATCACCTGAGGTCTGGAGTTCGAGACCGGCCTGACCAACATGGAGAAACCCCGTCTCTACCAAAAATACAAAATTAGCTGGGCGTGATGGCGCATGCCTGTAATCCCAGCTACTTGGGAGGCTGAGACAGGAGAATCACTTGGACCCAGGAGGCGGAGGTTGCAGTGAGCCGAGATCACGCCATTGCACTCCAGCCTGGGCAACAAGAGCGAAACTCTGTCTCAAAAAAAAAAAAAAAAAAAAAGAATATATTTGGGTCAAGTTTGAGGACTGCAACCTGGGAGTATACATTCAAGTTGCCCTGAATATTCACTGTGATTAGCAACAGTTACAAGTAGGTTTTTGAAGGAAAAGAAGAGGCAGTTCCTAAATTGTTTACCAAGAATTTACATTAAAATAACATAAATTGGCTAGGTGCAGTGACTCATGCCTGTAATCCCAGCACTTTGGGAGGCCAAGGTGGGTGGATCACCTGAGGTCAGGAGTTCAAGACCAGCCTGGACAACATGGTGAAACCCTGTCTCTACTAAAAATACAAAATTAGCCGAGCATGGTGGCGGGTGCCTGTAATCCCAGCTACTTGAGAGCCTGAGGCAGGATAATTGCTTGAACCCGGCAGGCAGAGGTTGCAGTGAGCCAAGATTGAGCCATTGCACTCCAGCCTGGGCAACAAGAGCGAAACTCTGTCTCAAAAAAAAACAAAAACAAACAAACAAAAAAAAAGTAAATTGTTCTAAAGAGCTTCTGCATAGCAAAAAGAAACTATCAACAGAGTAAACAGACAATCTATAGAATGAGAGAAAATATTTGCAAACTATGCAGCTGACAAAGGACTAATATACAGAAACAATAAGGAACTTAAATGAATCAACAAGAATAAAATAATCCTATTAAAAAGTGGGCAAGGGGCCAGGCACGGTGGCTCATGCCTGTAATCCTAGCGCTTTGGGAGGCCCAGGCAGGCAGATCCCTTGAGGTCAGAAGTTTGAGACCAGCCTGGCCAACATGGTAAACCCCATCTCTACTACAAGTACAAAAATTAGCTGAGTGTGGTACCGTGTGTCTGTAATCACAGCCACTTGGGAGGCTGAGGCAGGAGAATTGCTTGAACCCAGGGGAGGAGGTTGCAGTGAGCCGAGATGGCGCCACTGCACTCCAGCCTAGGTGACAGGGCAAGACTCTGTCTCAAAAAAAACAAAGAACAAAAGACATGAACAGACACTTCTCAAAAGAAGACATACACGCATACAAGCAGCCAACAAACATGAAAAAATGCCCAACATCACTAATCATCAGAGAAATGCAAATCAAAACCACGAGGAGAAACCATTTCACATCAGTCAATGGCTATTATTATTATTATTTTTTCTGCCAGCATCTTGATTTTGGACAGAATGGCTGTTATTAAAAAGTCAAAAAATAGGAGATATTGGCAAGGCTGCAAAGAATGGGGAATACTTATACACTGTTGGTGGGAATGTAAATTAGTTCAGCCACTGTGGAAAGCAGCTTGGAGATTTCTCAAAGAACTTAAAATAGAACTACCCTTCAACCCAGCAATCCCGTTAGTGGGTACACACCCAAAAGAAAAGAAATCTTTCTACCAAAAAGCCATCTGCACTCATATGTGCATAGCAGCACTATTCACTATAGGTTAGATATGGGGTCAACTGAGGTGCCCATCAATAGTGGATTGGATAAAGAAAATGTGGTACATTTCCAACATGGAATACTATGCAGTCATGAAAAAGAATGAAATCTTGTCCTTTGCAGCAACATAGATGCAGCTGGAAGCCATTATCCTAAGTGAATTCATGCAGAAACAGAAAACCAAATATGACATGTCTCACTTCTAAGGGGGAGCTAAACCTTGGGTACCCACAGATATAAAGATGGGAACAAAAGACATTGGGGACTCCAGAAGGGTGGGGGGAGTAGGGCAAGGGCTGAAAAACTTCCTATTGGGTACTGTGCTCACTACCTGGGTAAGGAGATCAACAGAAAACCAAACCTCAGTGTCACCCAATATATCCCCTAACAAACCTGCACATGTACCCCTTGAATCTAAAATAAAAATAAAAATAATAAGTTGTTGATTGGCTACACATTTTTCTCTGTATCACAAGTTGCAGGAACATGCAGATAATGGGTGAGGCAGTGAGTCAGGAACAAAATGCCTTTAAACCATGGCCCCCACGGCCGGGTGCGGTAGCTCATGCCTGTAATCCCAGCACTTTGGGAGGCCGAGGTGAGTGGATCACTTGAGGTCAGGAGTTCAAGACTAGCCTGGCAAACATGGTGAAACCCCGTCTCTACCAAAAATACAAAAAATTAGCTGGACATGGTGGCAGGCCCCTGTAATCCCAGCTACTTGGGAGGCTGAGGCAGGAGAATTGCCTGAACCCAGGAGGTGGAGGTTGCAGTGAGCTGAGATCGCGCCATTGCACTCTCAGCCTGGGTAACAAAGCAAGACTCTAAAAACAAAAACAAAAAACAAACAAACAAACAAAAAACTATGGCCCCCCAAGCACTGCAGGGGGACCTGGACTGAAGTCCTATACTACTGTTTCTCTGGGCCTGATATATTTTGTTGTATCTAAGCTGCTTTCCTCAGATACAAATCCTTCAACAAACCCTAGGGAAAATTTCCTCTCAAGTCCCTCCAATTCTCCCAGTTCTGCCACGCTTTGTACACCCCTAACGAAAGGGGCCAGGTGCAGTAGCTCAGGCACGTAATCCCAACACTTTGAGAGGCTGAGGAGGGTGGATCACTTGAGCCCAGGAGTTCCAGACCAGCCTGGACAACATGGCAAGACTCCTGTCTCTACAAAAACTACAAAAATTAGCTGGGTATGGTGGTGCACACCTGCGGTCCCAGCTACTCGGGAAGCTGAGGCCGGAGGATCGCCTGAATCCAGGAGGTAGAGGCTGCAGTGAACCAAGTTCAAGACACTGCACTCCAGCCTGAACAGAGCGAGACCCCTGTCTCAAAAAAGTAAAATTAAAAATGGGGCCCGGCGCAGTGGCTCACGCCTGTAATTTCAACACTTTGGGAGGTGGAGGCGGGAGGATCGTTTGAGGTTGGGAGTTCGAGACCAGCCTGGCCAACATGGTGAAACCCGGTCTCCACTAAAAATACAAAACTTAGCCGGGCTTGGCGGCGCACGTCTGTAATCCCATCTACTATGAAGGCTGAGGTGGGAGGATCGCTTGAACTCGGGAGGTTGAAGCTGCAGTAAGCCGAGATCGCGCCACTGCACTCCAGCCTGGGCGACAGCGCGAGACTCCGTCTCAAAATAAATAAATAAATACATACATACATAAAGTAAAATAATGAATAAATAAAATAAGAAATGGGGAAATGGATCAGCAAGAAAGTGCCCGCCCCAGGCATGGGTGCCGTGCGGGACGGGGACGCGGCCCAGCCGGGAATCGGGGTGCCCAGGGTGCGATGTGCGAGGGGCTCCTGAGCGCGTGTGCTCCGCCCGACCCCGCCCTGTCCCCCCGACACACAGGTGGACCCAGGGTCAGCTCGTGCACCTGGGAAATGGCTCCCGCCGGGTAGCAGGGGCGGAGGGGCGGGGCTGGGCGGAGGGGCGGGGGGGCGGGGCCTGCCCGGGAGCCACGTCCGGGGAGGGGCCAGGTGAGCGGCAGACCCGGCACGCAGGTGGGGGCCGGCGGGGTCCGTGGCCAGGTAAGGCGGGCGGCGGCGGGAGGGAGCGCGCAGGGAGGAGGCCGTGCTCGGGGTGGGGGGGTGCGCCGCGGGGGCTCCCAGGGCGTGTACGGGGACAAGGGGCCGCTGGCCGGGTAGGGACGCCCAGGCGGGCGCGACGCCACGTGCGGCCGGGGGGAGACCCTCCGGCCGGCGCGCAGCCTCCGGGTCCCCTGTGGGTTCTAGACTCCCTCTCCCTTCACCTCCTTTCTTTCCCGCCCCCCCACACTCCCCTCCTCTGCTTTTTCCCCTGTCCTGTTCCTTCTCACCCCGCACCGCCTTCCCCGCCCTCGCCTCTCTCAGCCTGCGTTTTGGTCTGGTCTGGCCGGACGGTGTCAGCTCAAATGTTCCTTTTTTGCTTCCGTCCTGGGGTCTCAGGTTAGGTCGGGTCAGCGCCTGGGGGAGGCACCTCCCCCGCCCCCACACACCCCAAACCTACAAGGTGGGTGAGGTCATTCCCGTTTCATAGATGAGAAAACGGAGGCCGGGGCAGGTGCTGCGCTGATTCAAACTCAGGGGGTGGGGGGCTGGCCGGTTCAACACACAGCGGTGGAACCCCCCGGGAGTTAAAAGCAGAAACTTTTTTTTTTTTTTTTGACACCGAGTCTTGCTCTGTCCCCAGGCTGGATTGCAGTGTTGCATCTCTGCTCACTGCAACCTCCGCCTCCTGGGTTCAAGCGATTCTTGTGCCTCAGCCTCCCGAGTAGCTGGGATTACAGGGACTGACACCATGCCAGCTAATTTTTTGTATTTTTAGTACAGACAGGGTTTCACCATGTTGTCCAGGCTGGTCTCGACCACCTGACCTCAGGTGATCCGTCTTCCTGGGCCTCCCAAAGTGCTGGGATTACAGTCGTGAGACACCGCGCCCGGCCTAAAAGCCCAAAGTTTAAACCAATCCGCTAGCAGCCTCGGAGGTCGTCAGGAAGGCAGGGAGGCCCTGCCTTTCACTTTCCCTCAATCCTGTGGGGGGTGGGGGGGCTCCTGAGAATCCCTCGGGCTCTGCCACACCCTGACTTGGAAATTTCTCCGCTGCCTTGGGAGGAGTGTGAAGGCCCCGGAGAAGGAACCGCAGAGTCCACCCGGGAAGGAGGGTGGGATTGTTTGGCGGGATGGGGACAGCACCTTGGCCACCGACTTCAGGGTTTTGTGACAGAGGCTGTGTAGATTCCAGAGAGCTCTGTGCCGTCCCTCGCTTGCCTGTGAAATGCAGTGTTGGCATTTGTCCAGCTGAGAACTCAATGCTTAAGACTCAGCCGTTTCAGAAGTCGATGTCCTTTGGTTGGCCTCTCTGTTGGCAGCTTTAGGATCATGTTTGTGGACTCCTCATTCGATTCACTGACTAACCATTCCCCAAACCAACGCCAGAGTTGGGGGTAGGGCGAAGAGGGACATGGGATGTGGGCCTGAGCCCAGCTGATTCTTGTGGACAGCCAGCTGCCTGGTCCCTGCCCTCAGGGGCCCAGAGTCTGGCTTCTGTGTAGAGAGAATCCAAGGGTTTGTGGGAGCTTAGGAAGGGCTTCCTGGAGGAGGTGGCCATTGAGCTGGAAGGTGGATGGGAGGTGGATGGGGAAGAGAATGGCACCTACTGGCTAGGGATACTTCGCTTGTGAGGTACGGGTGGAAAAGTCCATGGAGTGCCTGACGGGGTGGGCCAATTTACTTGGATAACATCATTGGGTCATTGAAACTTTGTGTGTGTGTGTGTGTGTGTGTGTGTGTGTGTGTGACGCAGTTTTCGCTCTTGTCGCCCAGGCTGGAGTGCAATGGCACGATCTCAGCTCACTGCAACCTCTGCCTCCTTGGTTCAAGTGCTTCTCGTGCCTCAGCATCCAGAGTAGCTAGGATTACAGGCGCCCACCACCACACCCAGCTAATTTTTGTATTTTTAGTAGAAGTGGGGTTTCACCATGTTAGGCAGGCTGGTCTCAAACTCCTGACCTCAGACGATTTGTCTGCCTTGGCCTTCCAAAGTGCTTGGAGTGCTGGGATTACAGGCATGAGCCACCACACCCGGCCGAGTCATTGAAACTTACTTGACTTAAACATGCCTGGGACATCATGCCATCTGCCTAACAAGCCAGTTCTAGGCTGAGCTATTCATGGGCACACTGTAAACGATGGAGTTAAAGGCGGCTTCGGTTAAAGAGACGAGAGCAAGGAACTCAGGTCCTGGAGGTGCCTGACAGTATGTTTCACCACATTAAAAAAAACCCATCCCATTCCCTGATTTTACCCTCATTTCACTGATAGGGAAACTGAGGCACAGGCAGCATGAGGGTGAGAAAGAGATGGAGAAGGAGTCAGCAGACCTGGTTTTTAGGCAGGTCACTCTCCTTCTGGGGCACTCAGCCTCCTCATCTGCAAAAGGAGCTATTGGCTGTCCTTCCCCACTGCGATGGTGGTCACCAAATGGCCATGAAACCCTCACTGCACACTTGGCTGCCTGACTCCTTGCTCACATCAGGAGGCACGGACTGTTACTGCCCCGTTCACAGATGAGGAAACAGACAAGGAAGGTTAAGGTCCCATGGCTAGTGATTAGAGAGCCAGGCTTGGAAGCCAGCGGTGCTGCAGCTACAGTGTTCCCCGTGTCCCCACCTTCCTCCCACACACACTGTGCTGAGCCACCTCCCTGGGCACTGAGGTGTGCCTCCCACATGGGAGCTGGTGTCTGGTGTAAGATGGAGCCATTCGGAGCCTGCCGGTGACTACCCTTCAAATCTATGTGAAATTAGCATGGGGAGAGAAAATAGACGTTTTCCATTTCTTTCCAAATTATTTAACTTTTACCCCTTGGTCCTTTAATTAAAACTGATGCTCAAGGAAGATGCATCACGTGTGTCCAGATGCTTCCCAGGCCTCCCTGGGGTGCATTTGAGGGGAGAGCCTCTGGGCCCTGCACTGTGGGACTTAGCTGCAGGAGAGCGCGCTGCTCCGGAGTCCTGCCCCAGCTGCCTTCACAGGGCGTCTCCCTGGAGCTTCTGGCAGCCTGTTGTGTCCAGATTTCTGTGTCCCTGGAAGGCAGAGGACCTGGCTGAGTGACTCTCTCTCCAAGTTAGGTCTTTGGGCCCCCATTTTCTCACCTCTCAGATGGGTGTCATAAACCATCGGTTTGTCTTGAGGCTGGGGAAGTGGGGGGTGGGGATAATGTCAGGGCTCAGGAGAGGCAGGCGCTGCAATGGTTAACAACCGGGATGGGGCCTGCCTTCCTCTCTCTTGACCTGGAGTCAGTTGCTGTCCACTCTGCTTGGTTTCCTCGTCTGCAAAATAGGGGCCATGTCATTACCGACTCATAGGACCATTAGGAGAACTAAATGAGTTAATGCATGAGAAGCGCAGGTGTTCCTGTTTATTGGTCTTGGTTCTGTCTCCTGACCTTGGGGGAAGATCTTGCTTGGGGAGAAGAATGCGCTTTGTTTAGAGCCTGCTCCTTCCACGCTGAAGGCCAAGGCCAAACAGTTCTTTCTTCAGTGGCCTGGACTTTGCAGGGGAGGAGAGTGGAGCCGGTGACTGTCCAGAAGGAACTGGTTGGGCAGGTCTGAATTCCTGAAACTCCTGGGTAGCTCCCCGCTCCCTTCCCCTACCTGGCCGTAAAATGAAAACAAGCAAAGGAAACTCAGACGGGGCAGTGGGTTTTTCTGGGCTGCAAGTTTGTTATCACAGGAAAGGTTGACCCCGTGTGGCACTCGGGTGGGGCTCCCTGAAGGTACCTCTGAGGCCCCTGCAGCTGGGACTCCCACCTGACTCTCCAAAGCGGACCCCACGCTGTTGTAATTCCTTGCATTTTGTATAAGAGGGTTTATTTTTTCATTTCAGTTCTTTTTATTTGTGGAGAATTTTAGACACTCAAATGATGTACAATGAGCCGCCATCTCCCAGCGTCAACTATAGCCACCCTGCAGCCAACCTGGCCTGTGCTCACCCCACACCCCGCCCCCCCACCCCATACACCTACCCCCACCCTTCCTGCAACTCACCCTTCCACCCTCTCACCCCTTCTCTCCCCTCCCTATTCCCCATATCATTTTAGAGTAGCTCCCAGACCTCATGCTCCATAAATACTGTAAGTTGAATCCCTTTTCTAAAAAATTATTTTTTCCTCCAGCTTTATTTAGGCATAATTGGCAAACAAAAATAGTACACATTTACAGTGATCAATGTGATGTTTTGATATATGTATGCATTGTGATGTTAAATCAAGCTTGAATCCATCCCTCACTTTTTTTTCCGCATTACTGCAATACTATTATGTTTAAAACGATTAGCAACAATTTTTTATTTTTTCCTTTTATTGAGATAGGATCTTGCTCTGTTGCTCAGACTAGAGTGTGATTATAGCTCACTGCGGCCTCGAACTCCTGGGCTTAAAGGATCCTCCCACCTGAGCCTTCCCGAGTAGCTCAGACTACAGGTGCACACCACCCTGCCTGGTTAATTTTTAAATTTTTGTAGAGACGAGGTCTTGCTTTGTTGCCCAGGCTGGTCTTGAGCTCCTGGGCTTAAGCGATCCTCCCATCTTGGCCCCCCAAAGTGCTGGGATTACAGGTGTGAGCCACTGTGCCCGGCAGCAACAAGTTCTTAATATCAGCCAATGCTCAGTGTTCAAATTCCTAATTGCCTCAAATATTTAATTTTTTTTTTTTTTTGAGACAGAGTTTCGCTCTTGTTGCCCAGGCTAGAGTGCAATGATGCCATCTCAGCTCACTGCAACCTCCGCGTCCCGGGTTCAAGCTATTCTCCTGCCTCAGCCTCCCAAGTAGCTGAAATTACAGGCATGCGCCACCACACCTGGCTAATTTTGTATTTTTAATAGAGACAAGGTTTTACCATGTTGGCCATGCTGGTCTCAAACTACTGACCTCAGGTGATCCGCCCGCCTTGGCGTCCCAAAGTGCTGGGATTGCAGGCGTGAGCCACCATGCCTGGCCCTTTGATCTTTCTTTTAAATTCCTTCCAAACTTTAACCCCCTGCTCCTTTGGAGTGTTTTTGTTGTTTTGTTTTGTTTTTGACCTGGAGTCTCACTCCATCACCCAGGCTGGAGTGTAGTGGCGTGATCTCAGCTGACTGCAACCTCCGCCTCCTGGGCTCAAATGATTCTCGTGCCTCAGCCTCCGGAGTAGCTGGGATTACAGGCACCTGTCACCATGCCTGGCTAATTTTTTTTTTTTTTTTTTTTGTATTTTTAGTAGAGATAGGGTTTCACCATGTTGGCCAGGCTAGTTTCGAACTCCTGACCTCAAGTGATCTGCCCACCCTAGGCTTCCCAAATTGCAGGGATTACAGGCATGACCCACCGCCCCCAGGCTGTGCTGCTTTTTCATAGCAGCCAGTGGTCTCCACCTCAGAGGTACAGAGGGGGATCCCTGGATGGGGTCACAGAGGGAGTCGGAACAGGTGGGAGGCACAGGGCTGCCTGAACTTCTCCAGGGACCCATGGCAGTTTCCTCTGGCTGCAGGGAGGGCAGGTCTCTTTAGCCTGGCTAAAGAGTAACCAGATCTTTCTGTGAAGAGGCATCTGAGGCCGGGCACGGTGGCTCACACCTGTGATCCCAACACTTTGGGAGGCCGAGGCAGGCAGATCACAAGGTCAGGAGATTGAGACCATCCTGGCCAACATGGTGAATTAGCTACTTGTGGTGGCGTGCACCTGTAAACCCAGCTACTCGGGAGGCTGAGGCAGGAGAATCGCTTGAATCCGTGTGGCAGAGGTTGCAGTGAGCCAAGATTGTGCCACTGTACTCCAGCCTGGGTGACAGAGTGAGATTCTGTCTCAAAGAAAGGAGGCATCTGAAGGCCAAGGCTGGGTGTATGGGGGCTCCGTGAATCCCCACTTTAATTTCCCAGGCAGCCGGTGAGGAGGTAGATTTGAATTGAGACTGAGTCATTGAATTGGACTTTAGCCAATGATGATAATAGAAACCATCTGTGGCTCACTTACTTTGTGCAGGGCTGTGCGTTCCAGGTAGTGGGGAGGGGGGGAACATAGCGTGTGCAAAGGCCGTGAGGTGGCAGTGGGGGGTGTATTTGAGGGGCAGCCGGGAGGCCGGTGTGCCAGGGCAAAGGCAGTGGGGTGGGAGTGAATGACATGAGCTCTGGAGGGCAGCAGGTCCAAACCACAGGCTCTTTCAGGCTTGTGCAGGGGTTTGAATGTTATTCCAAGAATGACAGGAAGCCCTTGACAGAGGGTTGTCATGGAAGGTGTTGAATAGGCAGTTTGGATATTCAAGTTTGAGTTGGGAGAGAGGTCGGTCCTGAGATCTGGGTTTAGGAGTGGAGGACACGGATTTACCATTTTTTTAGGCGGGAGAAGAGAAAGCCCAGTGTGAACCCAGCAGGCACAAGTGTGGATGGTAGGGATCATGGCAGAGGCCCCAGCTGCATCCACTTCAGGGACAGCCTGGAATGGCAGAGAAAGAGGTGAACGAGGTGGATGGTGGGGTGACCCTGGAGTGTGGGTGGAACCAGGCCACGCTGGGCCTTGGATCCCGGGGTCTGTCCCAAGCCCTCTGCTTGTTCTTTTATTCAACAGACCTCCCAAGTCCCTGCTCGTGTCCCCAGCCCCGGGTTGGCTGAGTGCAGAGACTCAGACGTGAGTCAGACATGGCCCTGCTGTCAGGGCACACACAGTGATGGGTCAAGAAGAGCATACAGGTACATGGTGCAGACTGATGAGGGCTGTGATGGACCTGGGGGCTGCCAGAGCCCACAGGAAGCCCCTCTCCCAATCTGGGGTAGGCAGGGCACCTGGAGCATCAGGACGCTTTTGGCTGTAATTAACAGAAAACACAACTCTGAACCGGCCCAAAGTCAAGGGGGGTGCATTAGCCCATGTAGCTGCAAAGGTCTGGGGATAGTATGGAGATCAGGTGTGGCTTGATCAGGGGTTAGCTATTCCCTTCATTCTCTGTGGGCTGCTGGGTCTGCAGAGGGGCGGCAAGTTGGCTGCAGCCCTCCGGGTCTCATCTGCATACCCAGCTGCGCAGAGACTCTCACAGTGGTTCTGTCTTGAGAAACAGGATCTTCTGTCTCAGAAGTATCCTGGAGCCTCAGGGGCCTGAAGGGAGATGGTCAGGGAGATTGTCAGGGAGATTGCCTCGTGCTGATTAGCTCTGGCTTGGGTTTCTGAATTAACCTTTGAAAAGGGAGATATGATTACTCTTAGCCTAACTGGGCGGGCCCTGGGAGGCGGGACAGCCTCACCTCTTGCAGCTGGAGGGTGTGCAGGTGAGAGTTGCGCACCCGAATGATCACCTGGGTGCCCTTGCGCAGGGCAGCAGAGATGCTTGGTGTTCCCTAAAGGCTGTGTGAGGAGCCCTGAGTCTTGACCCACAGGAGAGGGGGTGACCCCAGCAGCCCTTTAGAGACCCCCTTGCCCTTTCAGGGTGCTGAAGGTTTCCTGCGGTTTGTGGGCAGGCCTCTGACAAGGTCCTGATGCAGGTCACAGTCAGCTTGTTTGGACTTCGCTGCCGCCACCTTCGGGGGTCTCATGTATCTGCTACCTGGACAAATGGCCTTGCGCATGCCGTCTTGCCAGCGTTGGGGACCCAGTGGTGGTTGTGATGAAGACTGGGTAGTGAGGGTCTGTATTAACGAATTCATGCATAGCTGAGACAAAAGAGTGGAAGTTACTTTTTATGGGATGCCACTGGGGGACCCTGGAATCCCAGCTCAGTAGTGACCCCCATTCAGCCATGAGCAAGATCTCCTGCCCCCATCATTCCTGGACTTTCCCAGGAGTCGCTGGCCAGTGTCTGCCTCAGGTATGACTGTGTGCAAGCTTCTTTGTCTCTGGGTCTTGGAAGCTTAGGCCTGGGTGGCATCAAACTCATTGCCTCCTTCTCCCAAGAGCCCTTTATCAGAACACCCAGTTCCAAAACGAGAGCCTGCATTGTGCAAATACCACAGCGAGCTCTTCCTCTGTATGCCCTGCACATCGGACTTGCCACTCAAATTAAGTTTGGTGCTAATTTGCCCGAGGTAAGTAGGTGTTAATTTGTAGCTACAGCATTAAGATAATTGCTGTGAGGGTCTATTTGTGTAATGTGCAAATATATTTTTACAGCAACAAACCATTTTGCTATGAATTATAAATAGAACAGTTGGGTGATTTGAATTTTCCTTTGCATAACATCCACTCTGCCAGCATGCCTGTTCGGGTCCATGTCTAATGAGGGGCTGCAGCTGGCCCAGCCCCACAGATGCTGATGGTGCCTCTGTGTCCTTGTCCCCGACCCTGGGGGGGATCCGAGAGAAAGGGCTTGTCAGGGAGGGTCGGGAGGGAGTTGAGGCATGTGCGGACTCACATGCAGGGCGAGGCAGGCTTTGGGGGATGGAGCTTCTGCTCTGAAGCCCACTGGCCAGGAGAAAGGGCCCACTTGTAATGTCTGGTTTATTTTCACTTCATTTTGATGATTACGAAGGACCTGCATGTACCAGGCCCTGTACTAGGCACCACGGATACTGTTTGAGCAAATCCAGGCATGGGCTTGGTCCTCGTGAAACTTTGATCTGCTAAGGGAGGCCCATGTTAACATTAGCAAAAGGATCACGGAAATAAGTGCCATCAGCCCTCCGTATTGGTGGCCTCTGTATTCGTGGGCTCTGCATCCGTGGCCTCTGTAACCGTGGACTCTGTATCCATGGGCTCCATATTATGGGTTCCTCATCTGTGGATTCAACCAACCGCGGATTTAGTGTATTGGGAAAAGAAAATAAATGGTTGTGTGTACTGAATTTATACAGACTTTTCTCCTTATTCCCTAAACAACACAATGTAAGAACTATTTACAGGCATTTACATTGTGTTAAGTGTTACAGGTAATCTAGAGATGATTTAAAGCATACAGAAGGATATGCATAAGTTATATGCAAATACTACACCATATTTCAGCAGGGGCTTGAGCATCTGTGGATTTTGGTATCTGCCAGGAGTCCTGGAATGAATTCCCCAAGGGACGTCTGTAAACTTGCACCTGGTTGAGAGCTATGAGTAATGGATACAGGGAGCTAAGAGTATATGGAGAGGGGCCTGCCATGCTCCTGTTTGGAAAGAGAGAATATGTTAGTCAATTTTTACGCTGCTGATAAAGACACACCCGAGACTGGGTAATTTATAAAGGAAAGAGGTTTAATTGACTTACAGTTCCATGTGGCTGGGGAGGCTTCACAATCATGGTGGAAGTGAAGGAAGAGCAAAGGAACATCTTACATGGTGGCCAGCAAAGACAGAGTGAGAACCAAGCAAAAGGGGTTTCCCCTTATAAAACCATCAGATCTCATGAGACTTATTCACTACCATGAGAACAGTGTGGGGGAACCCCCCCCAACTCATAATTCAGTTACCTCCCACCAGGTCCCTCCCATAATGTGAGAATTATGGGAGCTACAATTCAAGATGAGATTTGGGTGGGAACACAGCCAAACCATATCAGAGAATTGTCTTAACAGAGATCAGAAGGACAGACAGGAGCTGACCTGCAGGTGGGGGCTGTGGTATAATGAATCTTAGCTGAGCACAGTGGTTTGTGCCTGTGATCCCAGTGAGCCGGAAGGCTGAGATGGGAGGATCACTTGAGGCCAGGAGTTTGAGACCAGTTTGGGCAATATAGTGAGACCCAGTCTCTACAAAATACATGAAAAAGCCAGGTACAGTGGTGTGCACCTGTAGTCTCAGCTACTCGGGAGGCTGAGGTGGGAGGATCGCTTGAGCCCAGGAGTTCAAGGCTGTAGTGAGCTATGATCATACCACTGTACTCCAACCTGGGCAACAGCATGAGACCCCATCTCTAAAACAAAAAAAAATCTTTGTTAGGTCTTTGTCCCTGGTTCCTGGCAGAGCTCCTAAAACCCTTGGAAGAGCATCTTTTGTTACTCATTATGAACTCTCTCTCTCTCTTTTTTTTTTTTTTTTTTGAGATGGAGTCTCACTTTGTCACCCAGACTGCAGTGCAGTGGCACAGTCTCGGCTCACTGCAGCGTCCACCTCTCGGGTTCAAGCGATTCTCCTGCCTCAGCCTTCTGAGTAGCTGGGATTACAGGCGCCCACCACCCCTCCTGGCTAATTTTTGTATTTTTATTAGAGATGAGGTCTCACCATGTTGGCCAGGTTGGTCTCGAACTCCTGACCTTAGGTAATCCACCTGCCTCAGCCTCCCAAAGTGCTGGGATTACAGGCATGAGCCACCGTTCCCAGCGATTATGAGCTCTCTTGACCGTACCTGAGTTTGTACTGTAATGAGGTGACTCAAGGAGGGGCCTAGATAGCTTCAGGATGGGGGCTGTCCCAGAGGAACCAGCCATGAGATTACAAGTTGGAGCTATCAGTCCCTCACAACCTTTGGGGAGGGGAGAGAGACTGGAGGGTGAGCGGATCACCAATGGCCAGTGATTTATCCAATGACGCCTACATAACAAAACTTGGGTCCAAATTGTGAAACAACAAGGCTAAGAGTCTGTTTTCATGCTGGTTGGGAAGGTGGGGAGAAAAACGACTTTCCTTTTTTCAGTGCCTGCTCATTCAATGGGCTTGGTTCCCAGAGCAAACTTAGAGCAAAAGATAATTTTCAGGCTGGGTGTGGTGGCTCACACCTGTAATCCTAACACTTTGGGAGGCCAAGGCGGGTGGATCACTTGAGGCCAGGAGTTCGAGACCAACCTGGCCAACATGGTGAAACCCCATCTCTACTAAAAATATAAAAATCAGCCAGGCGTAGTGGTGCGTGCCTGTAATCACAGCTACTCGGGAGGCTGAGACACAAGAATCACTTGAACCTGGGAGGCAGAGGTTGCACCGAGATCACGCCACTGCATTCCAGCCCGGGTGACAAAGCGAGACTCTGTCTCAAAAAAAAAAAAAAAAAAAAAGATACTTTTCAGAAGAGGGTAAAATCATGACTGTCATACAGATGTAAAAATGAACGCATTAAAGATTTTATTTAGCTCATGAGAGAATCAGGCAGATGTTAGCGACTGAAAAGGGAATCGGAAGGACAGGGCATTTGTAGATCAGGGTATTGAAATGGAAGTGCAAATGGAGGCAAATTCGGGGAGTTTTGGCAGGAGAAGGGGAGGAAGGGAGAGAAGGCAATTGCACTTCCACCAGACAAGGCGGAATCGGTGTGTTTATTGGTGAGAATGATTTTCTTTTTCTTTTCTTTTTTTTTTTTTTTTGAGACGGAGTCTCAAAAAAAGTACAAACTCAGGTATGGCTGGAGTGCAGTGGCACAATCTCGGCTTACTGCAAGCTCCACCTCCTGGGTTCACGCCATTCTGCTGTCTCAGCCTCCCCAGCAGCTGGGAGTACAGGTGCCCGCCACCACGCCTGGCTAATTTTTTTTGTATTTTTAGTAGAGACGGGGTTTCACCGTGTTAGCCAGGATGGTCTCGATCTCCTGACCTCATGATCCGCCCACCTCGGCCTCCCAAAGTGCTGGGATTACAGGCGTGAGCCACCGCGCCCGGCCATGATTTTCACTGCTATAAGTTATCCACAGCTTGCAGAGTTGTAAAACAACTCCCGAAGAGTCAGAGTCAGAGAACCTGGAGGAGCGTTCTCTGGTCTTCATGATGCAAGCGTGTTCTGTTGAGGCCCACATTTGTCACTACAATTACAGGGAAGCCCCTGCAGGGACTGGTAGCAAATGCTGGAAAAATGGATTTGTGGCATGAGATCTAAATAATAGTTCAAGACAACCGATGAGGAAGAGGAGAGGGGTCCCATGGCAAAGACAGGCCTGAGAGTGACAGCCACGTCCTGGTGCCATACAGAGCAGCCCCTCGAAAGGCAGGAAAGGGTCGGCTGCGGTGGTCCGGGGTGGTGGCGCGTGCGACGGTGGTTCTTCCTGCTCACGTTCCTTCATGTGTTTGACATTCCCTGCATGTTCTGAGTCATGCAGGTTCTCTGCTGGAGCCGAGAGACCTGGGCTGCAGACGCAGCTCTCTGCCAACTTGCTGTGTGCCTTTGGGCAAGCCCTCACCCTCTCTGGGCCTCTGTGTTCCTCCTTTACAGTGTCAGTTGACGACACAAGATGCTCGCTGGGGTGGTCCTGGTGCCACTCTCTGGAATTCTGGCAGTTCACGGGAAAGAGAAACCTGAGTGTGCGGAAAAGTCCTGCGTCAGTCAGTGTTCTCCAGGCCAACAGAATCAATAGCAGTTACGTGTGCGCATTACGTGTCCCTGCGAGAGGGAGCTGAGAGTGCTGTCAACTGTAGGACTGAGAGAGGGGAGAGGGGCTCCCGGGGCTCACCCTGGCACACTCCCCTCCTGGCTGTTGCTACACAAGGCCCGGATTATGTGGTGCTCACATTGAGTGAGGAAACTTCAAAACAAATCATCCCATCAGTGGTTTTTGAGGTAGGGGAAGGGGTGAAAGGCTTTGTCCTTGTTTGGATGATGCAGAGGCTGGAGGAAAAAACAAAGCCTTCTTGGCTTCAGAGGTGCTGGGCTCTGGGCAGGCTCCTCAGCCCTGTGACCTGAGAGTGGCCCTGGGGCCACAGCTGGCCCGGGGCCTGCACTGGGGTTTGCATGTGACAGGGAAGAGGAAGAGACCCAGGGCCGTTTTGGCTGTTCCGTCTCGTGTCACTGTCTCCTGCAAGGCTTTGAAGCAAGAATGCTGTAGCTGTGTCCCTGTGCCCTGGGAGGGGTGCATACCTCAGGAGGTGCCCCTGCATTGCCAGGGAGGGGGATGTGTCCAGGTGGGACCTGGTGCCCCCAGAAGTTTGCTTCCCAGCTGTTTGCTTGGCTTGTAACAGGTTTGTCACGGAGGCTGTGTCGCTAGTGAGGGCCGGGTTTCCTGGCCAGCCCACAAGGGGGGTGTAATCGGGACCCTAGGGGCCCTGGGGAGGGGTGGGACAGAGCTGGAGGGGCCTAGAGCCTGGGCTGCAGTGAGGTCCAAGTGGTGGGAGTGAGGACAGGTCGGGTCTGTCCCCGGCTGGAAGCTGCCCTCCTCCCATCATCAAGCATCGGGACCCCCTCCTGCCTGTCATGAGGTTTGAGTGGCATGACAGGGTGGCAGGGAGTCCCCCCGGGCCAAGGACAGGAGCAGCCCTCGTCACCTCTGCATCTGGAAGCCAGGGCTTGTTGGGCGGCCAAGGGACACATGACCAGCATGTGCCAAGTTCTCAGCTCGCCAGGCGGCCCTTCTTCCTGACCAGCTGCCTGCGGTTTGGCCGGAGCTGTGGGTGTAGATGATTGAGTTTCTTTTCTCACTTTTCCAGCAGGCAAGGGGCAGCTCCCCGAAGGGTGTGAACACAGGGTCCCAGCCTGGGTCTCGCTCCTGTGCCCCTCTCCAGGCCCTAGCAAGCTGCTCCCTGGCGCAGGGAGGACTGGGAAGAGGCACTGGGGCTCCGCCTGGAGAAGGCAGGCCCAGGGGCCTCGGCTGGGACACGCTGGGCCTCCCCTGCTTGGCACCCGGGGTCCTGCACCCTGCCAGGGAGGCCAACCTGATCCTGGGTCTGCATGCGAGGCCCTGCCAGCTGGCTCCACCACCTCCACCCATCTGCCTCCTGCCCTCAGAAGCCGTGGTCTGGTCTCCGGGATCAGGTGATTGTGGAAAAACAGAGGACCAAAGCCCGGGGAGGCTGTGGGGCGGGGCGGGCAGCAGGTCATGTACCTGGTGTGAGAGGTTGTGCGTCCCTGGAGGGTGCTCTGGAATCAGTTGTCTATACTGGAGGAGGAAGGAGTGTCCTTGAGGAACTTGCTGGAGTCTGACGGCCCAGAACTGCAGGTGCGGAGGAGTCAGAGTGTGTGTGGGCACGTGTGTGTGTGCATGTCTGTGCACACGTGTGTCTTTGTGCATATGTGTGTCTCTGTGTACGTGTCTCTGTGCATATGTGTGTCTCTGTGTACGTGTGTCTCTGTGCATGTCTGTGTGCGTGTGTCTGTAGGCATGTGTGTCTGCATGTGGGCATGCGTGTCTGGGTGCATGTATGTGCATGTGTGTCTCTGTGTGTAAGATATGTGGAAAGTACGCACATGATTCCAAGACCCCGCCTGCCTGTCTTCCTGGGGACCCTTCCGGGGGCTCTCTCTGGGGGTCTTTGCTGCCCTTTCTTCCTTCCTCTCCCCAGTCCTGGGCTCTGGCAATGCTCTGGAATCCCTCAGGTGCTTGGCACCAAGTCGGTGAGTAGTGGGGCAGGGTTCTTGCTCCATCTCACAGCCCAGAGAGAGCAAAACTCCTGGCCAAGGCCACACAGCAGTCTGGCAGCAGAATGCAGCCTGAGGGAGCAGATGACAGGGGCTTTGGGGAGGCCTTGGGGTGGGGGTGGGGCTGCCGCAGGTGGAGTGAGGAGGCTGGTTGAAAATGGATATCAAGTCTGGGAAAATGGCCACTGCTTGGCTCCAAAACCAAAAAGTCTGGGCTTACCTGTGTCAAGGTAAAAGAAAATGCAGAGCCGGGAGTTACAGGAGCCATCCTCAGGCTGGTTTGCTGTGTGACCTTGAATAAGTGTCTGCCCTTGAACAAATGTCTGTAACTTCACCGGCCTTTGTTTGATTCTCTGATAAGTGGGGAAGTTGGATGTATCACGGTAATGGAGCTGTGGAAGGGTTTCCTTCCTTCTCTGCTCCCTCCCTCCTTCCCGCTTTCCCGTGACTACAGAAACATTTCAGAAATATTGCTGAGAACACACATACACTCCTTATCTTGATTCAGAAGTTGGTATTGTTCATTTCGGATGCTCTTTCTCCCCCTCTCTCTCTCTCTTTTAGCTGAACTATTGGAGAGTAAGCTGCAGACCCCCAGCAGTCCCTGCTGAACATGTTAGCTGCCCCTCCTGAACAGAAAGATATTCTCCCGTATAGCCTGATACCATTATCACACTAAGAAAATTACCAGCAATTCCTTAATGTGATCGACTATGCAGGCCACATTCAAATCCCGCAGTTGTCCCCAGAATGGTTGCAGCACTCTTTTATAAACCAGAACCCACCGAGGCTCCCACGCTGCCTTTAACTGTTGTGTCTCTTTAGCTTCTTTCCTTTGGAAAACAACCCCCTACCACCTCCCTCCTTTTAAAAACTGACATCCCAGCCTGGCCAACATCGTGAAACCGCGTTTTTACTAAAAATAAAAAAATTAGCCGGGCGCAGAGGTGCGTGCCTGTAATCCCAGGTACTCAGGAGGCTGAGGCAGGAGAATCACTTGAACCCAGGAGATGGAGGTTGCAATGAGCCGAGACCGAGCCACTGCACTCCAGCCTGGGCGACAGAGTGAGACCCCATCTCAAAAAAAAAAAAAAGAAAATTTAAAAATGACATCAACATTTAAAGCAACCAGGCCAATTGTCCTGTAGAATGTCTCTCCTAGATTTGTCAGATTTCCTCCCCGCATGATGTCTTTTTTTTTTTTTTTTTTTTTTTTTTTTTTTGTGAGACAGAGTCTTGCTCTGTCACCCAGGCTGGAGTGCAGTGGCACGATCTCGGCTCACTGCAACCTCCACCTCCCGAGTTCAAGCAATTCTGCCTCAGCCTCCTGAGTAACTGGTATTATAGGCGCCCACCACCACGCCCGGCTAATTTTTGTATTTTTAGTAGAGACAGGGTTTCACCATGTTGGTCAGGCTGGTCTCGAACTCCTGACCTCGTGATCCACCCGCCTCAGCCTCCCAAAGTGCTGGGATTACAGGCGTGAGCCACCGCGTGCGGCCTCATTTCTTTTTTTGTTGTTTTTGAGACAGCGTCTCACTCTTTCACCCAGGCTGAAGGGCAGTGGCGCAATCAGCCTCAGCTGCAGCCTCAACCTCCTGGGCTCAAGCAATCCTCCCACCTCAGCCTCCTGAGTAGCTGAGACTACAGGTGCACACCACCACACTTGGCTAATTTTTTTTTTTTTTTATCTTGTAGAGACAGGGGTCTTGCTTCATTACCCAGGCTGGTCTCTAACTCCTGGGGTCCAGCACTTCTCCCGCCTCAGCCTCCCAAAGCACTGGGATTTTGGGCATGAGCCACCGCACCTGTTCTTGATGTCTTTTCTCTTGTTCTTGGACCTAGGGGTATTTCCTGTAAACCGAACATTAGCACCGAAGGCTTAATTAGATTCAGATGAAGCCTTTTGGGCAAGAGTTCCTTACAGCCCTGTGTCCTTCCTGTTGCAGGAAGGTATGACATCAGGTCGCCCTTCTGTCATGACGCCAGATGAGCTTCTTGGCTGAGGTGGTGGCTGCCAGAGTCCCTGTCGTGGAGGTGTGTTTTTCTTTTTTTTTTTTTTTCAAGACAGAGTCTCTGTTGCCCAGGCTGGAGTGCAATGGCGCGATCTCGGCTCACCGCAACCCGCTTCTCCTGGGCCCAAGTGATTTTCCTGCCTCAGCCTCCCAAGTAGCTGGGATTACACGTGTGCACCATCATGCCTGGCTAATTTTTGTATTTTTAGTAGAGATGGGGTTTCACCATGTTGGCCAGGCTGGTCTTGAACTCCAGACCTCAGGTGATCCGCCTGCCTTGGCCTCCCAAAGTGCTGGGATTACAGGCATGAGGCACCGTGCCCGGCCTAAGCCACTGCTCTGGGCTGTGTTTTTCCCTTTGAGCAGCCCTGGGCTTTGGTGAGCATCCTGTTCTCCATCATCTTTCACCTGAGGCTCCATCATCTGCCCACAATCTTGCCCTGAAACACTTCTCGAAAATCAGCTGAACATATATGTGGTCTATTCGAGACTTTCTGTTCCATTCCACTGACCTGTATGTCTCTCTATGCCAACCTCATGCTGTCCTGATTAGTGTAGCTTTATAATAGGTCTTGAGATCAGAAATTCTTCCAACTTTCTTCTTTTTTGCAATTGTTTTTGCCATTCTGGGCCCTTTTTAGTTTCAGATAAATTTTGGAATCAGTTTATTAATTTCTGTGAAAAAGCCTGCTGGGATTTTGATTGGGATTGTGTTTGAATCTAGAGATTAATTTGAGAAGAGTTGATATCGTTAACAATATTGTGTCTTTTAATCCAGGAGTGTGATATATTTCCCTGTATACTTAGATCCCTTTACTTTTTTTCAACAATGTTTTGTAGTTTTCTGTGTAAAGGTTAGGCACTTCTTTTGTTCTCTCTCTCAGTATTTTGTAATTATTGGTGCTATTGTAATTGTCTGATGGATTCTTCCTGCCTGCTACACAGAAAACCCAATTCATTGAGACCGCAGGATTGCGGTAAAGAAACAGTTTCATTGATTCAAGGCCAGCCCACACAGGAGAACTGGAGTTATGACTCAAATCCGTCTCCTTGAAAATTCAGAGGCTAGGGTTTCTCAAGGATATTTTGGCAGGCAGAGGGCTAGGGAATGGGTGCTGTTGATTGGTTCAGGATGCAGTCACAGGACTGTAGAAAATGATTGGCGCAGTGGCTCAAGCCTGTAATGCCAGCACTTTGGGAGGCCGAGGCAGGTGGATCACGAGGTCAGGAGTTTGAGACCATCCTGGCCAACATGGTGAAACCCCATCTCTACTAAAAACACAAAAATTAGCCAGGCATGGTGGTGTGCACCTGTAATCCCAGCTACTCTGGAGACTGAGGCAGGAGAATTGCTTAAACCCAGGAGGCGGAGGTTACCGTGAGCCAAGATCATGCCACTGCACTCCAGCCTGGGCAACAGAGCGAGACTCCATCTCAAAAAACAAACAAAAACAAACAAAAAAAACAAAAAGAAAATTCTCCTTGTCTGCTGAGTCCACTTCTGGGTGGGGGCTACAGGACCAGAGTCAGGAGTCTTGGGTGCAGGTGGAGTCATCTGCCAGGAATGCAAAAGTCTGAAAAGGCCAACCTTAGATTCTTTTTTTTTTTTTCTTTTTGAGACAGTGTCTCTCTGTATCACCCAGGCTGGAGTGCAGTGATGCCATCTCGGCTCATTGCAACTTCTACCTTCTGGGTTCAAGCAGTCCTCCTGCCTCAGCCTCCTGAGTAGCTGGGATTACAGGTGTCTGCCACCATGTCTGGCTAATTTTTGTATTTTTAGTAGAGACCAGGTTTTACCATGATGCCCAGGCTGGTCTCACACTTCTGACCTCAGGTGATCGACCCACTTTGGCCTCCCAAAGTGCTGGGATTACAGGCATGTGCCACTATGCCCAGCCTAATCTTGGGTTCTACAGTAGTGATGTTATCTATGGGAGTAATTGGGGAAGATATAAATCTTGTGACCTCCAGGACAATGGCTGGTGACTACACCTAGGTCTTTGCAGAATTCAGACCCCTCTCATTAATCCTCACCTTGTAGCCTTGTATTCGTTTTATAAAGATGGTTTAGTTTTGGGAAGGGCTATTATCATTTAAACTGTAAACTAAACTTCCCCAGAGTCAGCTTGGCCCATGCCCAGGAATGGCCAAAGGCAGTTTGGAAGTTAAAGGCAAGATGGAGTTGGTCAGATCAAATCTCTTTCACTGTCATAATTTTTTCACTGTTATAAATTTGGCAAAGGTGGTTTCACTGTTGTTGATGGATTTTTAAGTTTTAATTTTCAGTTTGTTCTTTGTTGGCATATAGAAATAGAATTGATTTTTGTATATTAAGTTTTTTCCAAAACTTTGCTAATTTTGTTTATTGGTTCTGGTAGTTCCTTTGTAGATTCCTTAGGATTTTTACTTAGATGATCATGTAGTTTGCAAGTAAATTTTTTTTTTTTTTTTTTTTTTGAGACGGATTCTTGCTCTGTCGCCCAGGCTGGAGTGCAATGCCATGATCTCGGCTCACTGCAACCTCTGGCTCCCTGGTTCAAGCAATTCTCCTGCCTCAGCCTCCCAAGTAGCTGGGACTACAGGCGCCCGCCACCACGCCCAGCTAATTTTTGTGATTTTAGTAGAGATGTGGTTTCACCATGTTGGCCAGGCTGGTCTCGAACTCCTGACCTCAGGTGATCCACCCGCCTCGGCCTCCCAAAGTGCTGGGATTACAGGTGTGAGCCACCCTGCCTGGCTTTTTTTTTATTTTTTATTTTTTTTTGAGACAAAGTCTTGCTCTTGTCCCCCAGGCTGCAGTGCAATGGCGCAATCTCAGCTCGCTGCAACCTCTGCCTTCCGGGTTCAAGCGATTCTCCTGCCTCAGACTCCCGAGTAGCTGGGATTACAGGCACCTGCCAACACGCCTGGCTAATTTTTGTGTTTTTAGTAGAGATAGGGTTTCACCATGCTGGCCAGGCTGGTCTCGAACTCCTGACCTCAGGTGATCCACCCGCCTCGGCCTCCCAAAGTGCTGGGATTACAGGCATGAGCCACCACGCCTGGCCTGCAAATAAATTTTTATTGCTCTTTCCAATCTTTATGCCTTTTTCTTCCTTGTCTTATTACAGTGGGTGGGACCTCCAGTATACTGTCAAATAGAGGTGCTGAGAAGGGCTATCACTGTTCATTGTTCTGAGCGCTTTCAGTCTTTCAGTCTTTCACTGTTCTGTATGATGTTAGCTGTAGATTTTTTGTAGTTGCTCTCTACATGGTTTAAGAAGTTTTCTTCTGTTCTTATTTTGCTAGTTTTTATTATGAGTGAGTCTTGAATGTTGTGAAATCCTTTTTTCCTTTTCTGTATCTGTTTTTTTCCTCATTTTTTTCCTTTTCTGTTTTACTATGTTTTTATGTTTCTGTTTTACTACTGTTTTGCCTTTTTTTTTTTTTTTTTTTTTTTTTTTTTTCAAGACTGAGTCTCTGTTGCCCAGGCTGGAGTGCAGTGGCATGATCTCAGCTCACTGCAAACTACACTGATTGACTTTTTTTTTGTATTTTCTTTTTTCTTTTTTTTTTTTTTTTAAGTAGAGACAGGGTTTCGCTATGTTGACCAGGTTGGTCTCGGACTCCTGACCTCAAGTGATCCGCCCGCCTTGGCCTCCCAAAGTGCTGAGATTACAGGCATGAGCCACCGTGCTGGCTGATTTTTGAATATTAAAACAACTCTGCAAAGCTGAAACAAACCCTTGTTGGTCATGATAGGTTGTACTTTTTATATATTGCTGGGTTTGATTTGTTAATATTTTGTTAAGATTGTTTATGTCTCTGTTCCTAAGGCAGATGAAGCTTTCTTTTCTTGTATTGTCTTTGGTTTTGGCATAAGGGTAATGCTGGCCCCATAAAATAAGTTAGAAGGTATTTCCTTATCTTCTATTTTCTGGCAGAGTTAGTGGAGAATTGGTATTATTTCTGATGTAACATGTAGCACCAGAGTTTTCTTTGAATTTATTTTCTCTCTCCCACTTTTTTTTTTTTTTTTTTTTGAGACACGGTCTCTTCCCATCTCCCAGGTCTCCCGTGATTGTGCCGTGGTGCAATCATGTCTCATTGCAGCCCTGACCTCCTGGGTTCAAGCGGTCCTCCTACTTCAGCCTCCCAAGTAGCTGGAACTACAAGTGTGCACTACCATGCCCAGCTAATCTTTATTTTTTGTAGATATGAGGTCTCATATGTTGCCCAGGCCAGTCTTAAACCTCTGGGCTTAAGTTACCTTCCTGCTTTGGCCTCCCAAAGTGCTGGGATTATAGGTGCAAGCCACCAAGCCTGGCCAGGAAGCTTTTCTTAACAAATTTGACTTACGTACTAGATAGTGGGCTATTCAGGTTATCAGTTTCTTCTTGAATGAGCTTTGGTAGCTTGTGTCTTTCAGGAAATGTGTCAAATTTATCTAGATTGTTGAATGTATTGTCATAAGGGCATTTGTAATATTCTCTCATTATCCTTTTAATGTCTGTAGTATCTGTAGTGATGTCTCCTGTCTCAAGATGTAGATTTAGCTTCACCTTTGTATTTTAAGACATTTACTTTGTAAACTTTACTGTGTTCTGATTGGTGAATTGAAACATACATGCATTTATATAGTAATAACACCTTTCCCAAAAGACCCTAAATAGCTTGGTTTTTACTAATTACACTGTGTGTTAGCAGAACATTAACATACTTCACAGGACAGATGTTTTATGACACCAGGATGGTATGGGATTTGTAAAACTATGTGAAATGTAGAATTTTTCTTTTTTCTCTCTTTTTTCTTGAGACAGGGTTTCATTCCTGTTGCCCAGGCTGGGATGCAATGACATGATCTTGGCTCACTGCATCCTCCGCCTCCCAGACTCAAGTGATTCTCCTGCCTCAATCTCCCGAGTAGCTAGGACTAAAGGTGTACACCACCACATGTAGCTAATTTTTGTATTTTTAGTAGAGATAGGGTTTTGCCATGTTGCCCAGGTTGGTCTTGAACTCCTGGCCTCAAGTGATCCACCTGCTTTGGCCCCCCAAAGTGCTGGGATTGCAGGCATGACCCACCACACCCAGCAAAATGTAGACTTATTAATATGCCATTTATACTATAGTGATGATGGTTGTGAACATTTACTGCATACCAGTCACATACCAGGTACCATGCTGGGCAATTGACTGCATTATCTCGCTAAATCCTTATATTCTCTCTATGAGGAAGGTGCTGTTGTTGTCTATATTTTATAAACTAAGAAATGGAGACACGGGTTGAGACAGGTGCCAAAGGCTCTCCAGGTAGTCTGGCTGCAGGATGCACACTCATTCTGCTCTAGGGTCTTAAATTTATGCCTTTCTAACTCCAAGTCTTATGCCTTTCCTTCAACACCAGGCTGGTTTTCAACAGTCACGGGGTTAAAGTTAAGGATGAACTGTTGATAGAGATGGATTTTAGTCTTGGTGAAAGGAAGAACGTTTTAGCAGTCATTTCCGAGCCAAGATGTAGTGAACTTCCTGAGAAGGTAGTGAGTGTCCTATCACTGCCGATGTCTGTGCCAAGGCTGACACAGCTGCAGTGATAGGACATTGTAGTTTGAATATAAGTTATCCAATCAACAACATCAACAAAAAAATGCCTTTATAATTAGTGTCTTTATGGTAGCAGAGACTGTATGACATTTGACTATTTTCTTGTTTATTGGTATTTCTTTGGGAGATTTTTTTTTTTTTTTTTTTTTGAGATGGAGTTTCGTTCTTGTTGCCCAGGCTGGAGTGCAATGGCACAGTCTTGGCTAATTGCAACCTCTGCCTCCCGGGTTCAAGTGATTCTCCTGCCTCAGCCTCCTAAGTAGCTGGGATTACAGGCACCCGCCACCACACCTGGCTAATTTTTGTGTTTTTAGTAGAGACGGATTTTACCGTGTTGGCCAGGCTGGTCTCAAACTCCTGACCTCAGGTGCTCCACCCACCTCAGCCTCCCAAAGTGTTGGAATTACAGGCGTGAGCCACCGTGCCTGGCCTTTTTTTGGAGGGGTGGGGGCGGGGGGCGGATGGAGTCTCACTCTGTCACCCGGGCTGGAGTGCAGTGGAGCAATCGTGGCTCACTGCAACCTCTGCTTCCTGGGTTCAAGTGATTCTCCTACCTCAGCCTCCCGAGTAGCTGGGACAACAGGCACTCACCACCATGCCTGGCTAACTTTTTGTATTTTTAGTAGAGACAGAGTTTTGCCATTTTGGCCAGGCTGGTCTCGAACTCCTGACTTCAGTTGATCCACCTGCCTCGGCTTCCCAAAGTGCTGGGATTATAGGCACGAGCCACGGTGTGCAGCCTTGGGGAATATTTTTTAATAGAAATTCCAAGAGGCAAAGGTTTCCTGGGCAGCACAACACATAAACTGAAAGGAGAATGAGCACTCTGAATTTTTCATACTCAGCACCAGCGTTTTATGTACCATATGAGCTGGCCTGGGCCTATGGGTCAGCAGAGATGGCGAGAGTCTGGCTGCCTGGATATCAGCCTCTGGTGGACTTGGCTGCTTCTCCCCTCACGGCCTCCTGGGTGGTAGCTTGGCCATCTGCAGGCAGCCTTTCCCTGACCTGTGGACAACTCCAGCAGGGCTGTCATAACCCTGAGGGGACATAATTCTTTCTCTTTTTTTTTTTGAGACGGAGTTTCGCTCTTGTTGCCCAGGCTGGAGTGCAATGGCACAGTCTTGGCTCACTGCAACCTCTGCCTCCCGGGTTCAAGCGATTCTCCTGCCTCAGCCTCCCAAGTAGCTGGGATTACAGGCATGTGCCACCACGCCCGGCTAATTTTTTTGTATTATTAGTAGAGATGGGGTTTCATCATGTCGGCTGGGCTGGTCTCAAACTCCTGACCTCAGGTTATCCACCCACCTCGGCCTCCCAAAGTGCTAAGATTATAGGTGTGAGCCACCGCACCTGGCCCATAACTCTTTAAGGGAAATTTTTAGTACCTGAATTCTATTTTTTAGCACAAATCGTATCTCATTTTTAATCAGTTTATCTATATTATGTAGCTACTTAGCATTCTGGAAAAATTAGCTTCCCTGGTAATAGAAGGACTCCTTCAGTCACCTAGATTGGCCCACATTTCCAAATTTGCTTGATGTTTCAACTCGAGCTTTGCCTCATTCAGAAACCAGTAGCCTTCCTGATTCTGGTCACTCATGGAGTGAGTCCTCCTCTCCCAGGTAAGTCAGAAGCGAGTGAGTCACCTCCAGATTTCAGGTCCCAGCTGCCAAGCTGTAGTCTAAAACTTCACGGCACTTCCCATCCCCTGAAGATGTCACAAGTACAAGCTGCTTCCAGAGGCTTCTGTAACCCTCATTAATATGTAGGCATCCAGCCAGGCGCAGTGGCTCACACCTGTAATCTCAGCACTTTTGGAGGCTGAGGCGGGTGGATCACCTGAGTTCAGGAGTTTGAGACCTACCTGACCAAAATGGTGAAACCCAGTCTCTACTAAAAATACAAAAAATTAGCCGAGCATGGTGGCGGGTACCTGTAATCCCAGCTACTCGGGAGGCCGAGGCAGGAGAATCCCTTGAACCTGGGAGGCGGACATTGCAGTGAGCTGAGGTCGCGCCATTGCACTCCAGCCTGGACAATAAGAGTGAAACTCCGTCTCAAAAAAAAAGAAAAAAAAAAGTAGGCATCCTTGTACTTGTTAAAATTATTCCTGTGTCTCCACTGTGGTGAGGCCTGTGGTAAGCAACATCTCCTGAAGTGCCACCTGCCTTGTTTGAGAGTCATAAAACGCTGTCTTCTTAATAGGCTCCTGGAGTTCAGATTTTTCATTAATGTAAATGGGCCCTCCCTGTGTTGCCCTTTATTCTGAGTTACTGAGGCTTCACTTGCCGGTTCCCAGCACTGGGCACTCCGGGAGGATTTGGTAATTAACTGAAAGCCTTGCTTCAGCGGGTGGCGT
The DNA here is from genome assembly GCF_000001405.40 of Homo sapiens. Classification (NCBI taxonomy): domain Eukaryota; kingdom Metazoa; phylum Chordata; class Mammalia; order Primates; family Hominidae; genus Homo; species Homo sapiens. The sequence goes on from NC_000022.11 coordinate 44,776,753, forward strand.
CAGAGCAGAATTAATGGCGCTGCGCACTGTAGGTGGCCTGGTGGCGGGGGTAGGGGTGCATGGGAAGAGGTGTTTGCTGTTGCTTGTAACTCACCCCTCCTTCCACTGGGAGCCTCTCCCTGTATCCCCCCTGCCTCAAGGCCCACTGTGCCCTGCCTGCTCTGTCCATCACCCTCGCTGTCTATGCAGCTTGGGACATGTCCCAAGCACCTGCTCCTCCTGCAATGCTGTTCCTGCTGTTTCTGGGACCGGCTTTTTGCCCTCAGGCTCCTGAGCTATTGTAGGTTCTAGAAGCCTCTGCTGACCTTCTCAGGCACTCCTCTGCTCAAGAACCTGCTGTGTCTCCCTAGCACGTGTTCCTCAAGTCTGAATCATTCCACTCCCGTAACACTCTGCTATTCTTCAACAGGCATACTCTACCACCTCCCGCTGGGCCCAGGCCTTCCCCTTGGCACAGTTGGAGCAGCCTCTGTTATGGTATGTGCCTGTCTCACGCTAGGGGCCAGGGCTGGGCTCAGACCCTGGCGGCTGACTCCCCATGTTGTGCTTAAACGTTCGTCTCAATTTTGAACATTTCTCCCAACACTTTTTAAATAAAATCCCTGAGCTCTTCTGCTTGGAGAAAGTCCTGGCAAATCATTCCCAACAATAAAATCTCATGATCAGAATGTAGTAGCACTTTTCTCACTAGCCAGGTAGGTTCATGTCATTAAAAGGTGGCTTTAAACACTTTTCTCTTGGCAGAAATTCAAAGACTTTCGCCCCTGAGCAGGGTCACTCTGTTGGGCCTGAAGTCTCCTCCCTACTGCTCGTTACCCATTTAACAGCTGCTGTCAGACACCCAGTGGCTTTACTTCTGCAGCTGCTTTTTTTTTTCTCCCTTCTGAATTCTTAACTTGTATTTGAGCCCACCCAGTGGTGATTGTTTTGTTTTATTTTATTTAGTTAGTTGTTAATTTTGAGACAGAGTTTTGTTCTTGTCACCCAGGCTGGAGTGTAATGGCACAATCTTGGCTCACTGCAACCTCCGCCTCCCGGGCTCAAGCGGTTCTCCTGCCTGACCCTCCCAAGTAGCTGGGATTACAGGTGTCCGCCACCATGCCCAGCTAATTTTTGTATTTTTAGTAGAGACGGGGTTTTACCATGTTGGCTAGTCTGTTCTCAAACTCCTGACCTCAGGTGATCCACCTGCCTCAGCCTCCCAAAGTGCTGGGATTACAGGCATGAGCCACTGTGCCTGGACTATTTTATTTATTTATTTATTTATTTATTTATTTATTTATTTATTTATTTCCATAGGTTATTGGGGAACAGGTGGTGTGGCTACATGAGTACGTTCTTTAGTGTTGATTTGTGAGATTTGGGTGCACCCATCACCTGAGCAGTATACATTGCATTCAATGTGTAGTCTTTTATCCCTCACCCCCTTCCCACCCTTTCCCTCTAAGTCCCCAAAGTCCATTGTGTTTTTCTTATGCCTTTGCATCCTCATAGCTTAGCTCCCACTTATGAGAACGTAACAATGTTTGGTTTTCCATTTCTGAGTTACTTCACTTAGAATAACAGTCTCCAATCTCATCCAAGTTGCTATGAATGCCATTAATTCATTCCTTTTTATGGCTGAGTAGTATTCCATCGTATGTCTATATCACAGTTTCTTTATCCTCTCGTTGATTAATGGGCATTTGGGCTGGTTCCACATTTTTGCGATTGCGAATTGTGCTGCTATAAACATGGGTGTGCAAGGATCTTTTTTGTATAATGACTTATTTTCCTCTGGGTAGACACCCAGTAGCGGGATTGCTGGATCAAATGGTAGTTCTACGTTTAGTTCTTTAAGGAATCTCCACACTGTTTTCCATAGTGGTTGTGCTAGTTTATATTCCTGCCAGCTGTGTAGAAGTGTTCCCTGTTCACCGCAGCCACGCCAATATCTATTATTTTATGATTTTTTGATTATGGCCATTCTTCCTTCTGTAACTTCTTCAGGTGGTCAGGCTAAAATCAGTTTTCTGTGCCCTGGGACGATAGCAAAACAGCAGAAATAACGGCCTCACCCTTGATTCATTTCTGCCCCCAGTTCTAATGGTCAGCCCTCCTCTCTCTCTAACCCCACATTAAAAGGTAACTTCCAGGAAATGGAAAATCAGAACTCTCACACAGATATAAAACAAACATGTTAATGATTTTCTTTCACCCATAATGAGTGAACCAGGCAGCAGCTACCATCAGTTCAAAAGATGGTCTGCAAAACACACCCACAAATAGATCAGGAATCTTGGAATGGATACGTAACGAAAAGCAGAAAGTGGAATTGCACAGTGACTGACTTTTTGGTCTCTGACTTTTTTTTTTTTTTTTTTTTGAGACAGAGTCTCACTCTGTCACCCAGGCTGGAGTGCAGTGGCGCGATCTTGGCTCACTGCAACCTCCGCCTCTTGGGTTCAAGCGATTCTCCTGCCTCAGCCTCCCTAGTAGCTGGGATTACAGGTCCCCACCATCCACGCCTGGCTAATTTTTGTATTTTTAGTAGAGATGGGGTTTCACCATGTTGACCAGGCTGGTCTCGAACTCCTGACCTCAGGTGATTTGCCTGCCTCAGCCTCCCAAAGTTCTTGGATTGCAAGCATGAGCTACTGCGCCCGGCCGGTGTCTGACTTTTTGTTCAACATATTGCGAGACCACTCACGTCGGTACGCGTGGCTATAGTGGCCTGTCCACCTGGCATGTAACATCCCGCTGTAGGACATCTGCCATTTACATCTCCTTTGCCTGCTGTGGAGATTTACATGGGCGGTTTCCAGTTTGAGGATTTTTTTTTTTTTTTGAGTTGGAGTCTTGCTCTGTCACCCAGGCTGGAGTGCAGTGGGGTGATCTCGGCTCACTGCAACCTCTGCCTACCAGGTTCAAGCAATTCTTCTGCCTCAGTTTCCCGAGTAGCCGGGATTACAGGTGTGAGCCATGGGCCACCACGCCCAGCTAATTTTTGTATTTTTAGTAGAGATGGGGTTTCACTGTATTGGCCAGGCTGGTCTCGAACTCCTGACCCCGGTTGATCCACCTGCCTCGGCCTCCAAAGTGCTAGGATTACAGGCATGAGCCACCACGCTCGGCCTTTTTCTTCATTTTAGACAAAACAACAGGGGGGTCCCTTGAAGGGCATTTCCTCAAACCCTGCGGGCTTGTGTGAAACACGCCTCTGTGTTCTGTGTGCTTCTCCCTCAGGGTGTCAGAGGGAGGGACCCCCAGGCTGGGACCCCAAGAGGTGGCAGCAGGTGTCCCATCTGCCAGGTGAGCGTGTCCGGGCTGGACTTTGAGGAGCTGGCCGGCATAGCTAATGTATGTTCTCCCTCCAGCCTGGTCCTGGGAGAAGATCATTGGTATACATTTAGTTTTTGAGTAGATAATATATTCATGTGGCTCAAAAAAAATCTAACTTTATAAAAATACACTCAGTGGGCCGGCACAGTGGTGCACAGCTGTGGTCTCAGCTACTCAGGAGGCTGAGGCAAGAGGATCTCTTGAGCCCAGGAGGCCAAGGCTGCAGTGAGCTGTGATTGCGCCACTGCACTCCAGCCTGGGCTACAGAGCAAGATCCTATCTCTTAAAAAATAAAATAAAAAACAGGCTGGGCACAGTGGCTCATGCCTGTAATCCCTGCACCTTGGGATGCCAAGGCGGGTGGACCATCTGAGGTCAGGAGTTTAAGACCAACCTGGTCAACATGGTGAAAACCCATATCTATTAAAAACACAAAAAATTAGCCGGACATGGTGGCGGGCGCCTGTAGTCCCAGCTACTCAGGAGGCTGAGGCAGGAGAATCTACTGAACCAGGGAGGCGGAGGTTGCATTGAGCCGAGATCGCACCACTGCACTCCAGCCTGGGCAACGGAGCAAGACTCCATCTCAAAATAAAATAAAATAGGTATTCAGTGAAAAGTCTTTCTTCCACCCCATCCTCAGGCCCTGCCCTCACCCCCACCACTGGCCAATGCCATTAGTCCATGTTTTATCTTTGTAGACTTGCTTTATGCAGATTTAAATAAAGCCCTGGGGATGAGGATCATCCTCCTGGGTTGTGAGGCTTTAGTGAGATAACACCCTCATTCACGGTAGAGCTACCCTATAAGGTGCTAGGTTCTGTTTCCCATTTTACAGAAAAATAAACTGAGGCTCAGAGGCACTGAAGAGCATGCCTGAGGAAACCAGGCGACAAAGGCCAAGCTGGGAGGAGAGCCTCGCTTCCAGGTATCCCCTGGGTTCCACAGACTCCCGTGCACGTGTGTCCAAGTGAGGGGCAGTGGCTGTCACTATCATGTGCGCTGCCGGCGGCTGCCGGGCAGATTTCTCTTCTGGGTTTGAAATAACCAGAGGCGATCTTAAGAACCTACTGACGACCCGCCGCTCTGGAAGAAATCATTTTCCATTCTGCATCTAGCATCAGCATTTCACATCCAGATGCAGGAAGTCTTCGTGGAATTTTACATACATTGCTTGGTTTGCTTCCAAGAACTCATGATTTTGCCTTCTGGTTTACTCTCCTTACTGCTTCAGGCTTGCAGCGATAGGAACCCATTTCTCCCTTGGGTTGCTGTGGCAGCGTGACGGTAATGCAGATTCAGGAGATTGCAGTATGAGGTTCAAGTGTGGGCTGCGTTCAGATGGGGTCCCTTGACCTGCCTCATCCTGTTTCCTTACCATAGTGCTTCCCATGTACTGTAGCATTTTTTTCTTTTTAAAATGATTTATATTATATTATTTTATTTTTTAAATGTTTATTTATTTTTGAGACAGAGTTTCACTCTTGTTGCCCAAGCTGGAGTGCGATGGCGCGATCTCAGCTCACTGCAGCCTCCGGCTCCCAGGTTCAAGGGATTCTCCTGCCTCAGCCCCCAAGTAGCTGGGATTACAGGTGCGTGCCACCACGCCCGGCTAATTTTTTTGTATTTTTAGTAGAAACAGGGATTCACCATGTTAGCCAGGCTGGTCTTGAACTCCTGACCTCAGGTGATCCACATGCCTCAGCCACCCGAAGTGCTGGGATTGCAGGCGTGAGCCACCGTGCCTGGCCTATTTTATTTATTTTTATTTTATTTTTAGAGACAGGATCTTGCTGTGTTGCCCAGGCTGGAGTGCAGTGATGTGAAATTGGCTCACTGCAGCCCTGACCTCCTGGGCTCAGTCGATCCTCCCACCTCAGCCTCCTGAGTAGATGGGATTACAGGCATGCACCACCGTGTCTAGCCCTTCTCTTTTAAATTGGACTGAAATTCGTGTAACATTAAATTAACCACTTTAGGGCCGGGTGTGGTGGCTCACGCCTATAATCCCAGCACTTTGGGAGGCTGAGGCGGGCAGATCACTTGAGGTCAGGAGTTTGAGACCAGCCTGGCCAATGTGGTGAAACCCCATCTCTACTAAAAATACAAAAAAATTAGCTTGGCATGGTGGCACATGCCTGTAGTCCCAGGTACTCAGGGGGCTGAGGCAGGAGAATCGCTTGAACCGGAGAGGAGGAGATTACAGTGAGCCAAGATCGCACCAGTGCACTCCAGCCTGGGCGACAAAGTGAGACTCCATCTCAAAAAATAAAAAATAAATGAAAAGAATAAATTAATCACTTTAAAGCACACAATTCAGGGCTGTCGAGTCCACTCACAGTGCTGTGTACCCACCGCTGCTAGTTAGTTCCAGAACGTTTTCATCACCCCAGTGGGAAACTCCCATTAAGCAGCCACTCCCCTGCCCTCCCTCCCTCCATTCCTGGCATCCACCCATCTGCTTTCTGTCTCTGTGGATTTGCCTATTCGGGACGCTTCATGTAAATGGGATCATACCGTGTGTGCTTTTTTGTGCCTGGTTTCTTTCACTGAATAGAGCGGTTTCAAGTTCCTCTATGTTGGGTCATAGGCCAGAACTTCATCCTGTTACGGCTGAGTAATATTTCACCATATGGCTGGACCGCACGTGGCTTATCCATCCATCCACTGGTGGACATCTGGGCAGTTGCCACCCTTTGGCTGTTGTGAGCAGTGCTGCTCTGAGCATGCGTGTACGTGTATTTGCTCAGTCCCCGTCTCCAGCTTTCCTGGGCTTCTCCTTGGCTGGGTCGTAGGTTTGGCTTTCTGGGGAGCTGCCACGCTGTTTTCCACGGCACGCTTTAGCACTGAAACATCAGGAGGCCTCCACTTGTGCAGTGATGGGGGTGTCCACGTGGCTAACGTGTAGGGCCACGGGGGTTTCCAGGATGGTTCCCGCAGTGGGCCTGGGCCAGCCCAGCTCCAGCCCGATACACACGCTCCCCTCCCTCCCTCCCTCCCTCCCTCTGGGCCAGGCTGCCCCACTCCATGTTTCTGCTCAATCTTCTCAGGGCCCAGGAGGTTTCACCACGTTGGCAGGGCTGGTCTCGAACTCCTGACCTTGCATGAAGCCCAAGTCCTCCCCACGTTCAAGGTTCCATGGTCTGGCCTGGCTCTCCCATAGCCACGCTGACCTTGGAGGCCCTCCCCTGCCTGCAGGGCTTTGCCACTCTCTGAGTGCCCCCTCCCCACCCCCGCAGCGGTCCATCCCCGAGCTGTCCACACAGAGGCAGGCGGGCAGTCCATTTCACTGCCACTCAGGGCCAGCACCAGCCAGGACCCACACCCGGAGCTTGTCATTGAAGAGCTCGGCCCCCACAGGCCTCCTGCTCCCCCTTCTCTGCAGCCAGAGGGATCCTGGAAGCCCCATCAGGCAGGCTCGACTCAGGACATCCAGCCGCTCTGTCACACTTGGGGTGAAGGTCCCTGGAGGCCCACCTCCTGCACCCACCTCCCCTAGGTCTCTCTCCTTTCCCTGTTCATGCCTCTGCTCCACCGCACTAGAACCGGCATCCCTGAGGCCAGAGCTGTGCAAGCTTCCAGTGGCTGCCGCAGCAGGTCCCCACCCCGTCAGCGGCACAAATAGCACAGAGACCTTAGCTTCCCGACCTGTCCGAAAGGTGTTTCCTGGGCTGAGGTCAAGGCGTTGGCGGCCGGCTGTACCTCCGGAGGCTCCAGGGAGGCTTTGTTTCCTGCCCTTTGCTGCCCACATTCCTGGGCTCGGGCCCATCCTGCCTCCAGCCGCAGAGCCTGTCCCCATCATTCTCTCTGCCTCCACCCATGGTCATGGCTGCTTCCTTGACTCAGCCCTTCCTGCCTCATTCTTGTAAGGACCCCCTGCAATTATACTCAACCTCTGCACCCACGGGTTCTGTATCCAAGGATGCAACCAGCTGCAAATCAAAAATACTTCATAACATAATACATAAAAAATACAATAATAAAAGCAATGCAAAAATCTTAATACCACAATAAAACCATGCAAATTAAAAATAAAAAAAAAGTACACTGCCAGCCACGGTGACTCACACCTGTAATCCCAGCACTTTGGGAGGTCAAGGAAGGCAGATCACTTGAGGCCAGGGGTTCGAGACCAGTCTGGCCAACATGGTGAAACCCTGTCTCTACTAAAAAGACAAAAATTAGCTGAGCGTGGTGGTGCATGCCTGTAATTCCAGCTACTCAGGAGGCTGAGGCAGGAGAATTGCTTGAATCCAGGTGGTGGAGGTTGCAGTGAGCAGAGATCATGCCACTGCACTCCAGCCTGGGCGAGGGAGTGAGACTCGGTCTCAAACAAAACAAAACAACAACAAACAGTATAAAAATTCCTTACATAGCATTTACATTGTATTTGGTATTATAAGTAATCTAGAGGTGATTTGAACAATACGGGAGAATGTGTGTAGGTTCCTTGCAAACACTATGCCATTTTCTATCAGGGATTTGAGCTTCCAAAGATTTTGGTATCCCTGGGGGGTCCTGGAACCAATCCCTCCAGGATACTGAGAGACAACTGTACTTTGGGCCCAACTGGATAATCCACGATAACCCACTCATCTCAGGATCCTTAACTTAATCCCCTCTGCAGAATCGCTTTTGCCACAGACAGTCACATGCACAGGGTCCAGGGAGCGGGATGTGGACCTCACTGGGAGGCCTCTGTTCTGCCCGACGCAGGGGCTTTGCCTGTGTGGCTGCTGGGTCCTCACTGCCGGAAAGTGTTCTTGGCACATAGTAGGTACTCAATGCATATTTGTTGACTGACTGGAAGGAGGGGTGTCCTGTGGCACCCCCTACTCACCCCACCCTGGGACCCTCACACCTGTTGATGAACAGGGGCCTTGGCCCCATCCCCCGCCCCATTCCTGCACAGAGTGGTGCTGAGTAAATACCAGGTAAACACCCCAAGGACTGGGGTAGACCGGGACTGAGTGGGCAGGGAGGTGTGGGAAGCAGCTTCCAGCCCATGTGAGGCAGCCCTCAGGCCCCGCCTCACGCTCCCTCCTCGATGGGGTGTTGGTCTGGATGAGTGAATCTCAAACCTGACTTTGCATCAGAATCACCTCCAGAAATTGTTAGAAAAGCCAGTGCTTTCTCCTCGGGCACCCTCACCAGCCTCGTCATGCCCTAGGCCTCCTAACTCCATGGGACCTGAATCTACCCATCTCCTCGGGCCGCCAGCAAAGTGCCACAACCTGGCGGCTTAAGACAACAGGTCACTGTCTCAGTTCTGGAGGCCACCAGTCCAAAGTCAAGGTGTCTGCAGAGCTGCACTTTCCCGAAGGCTCCAGGGGAGGGTCTTTTTTGCATCTTCTGGTGGTTCCTGGTGTCCCTTGGCTTGCGGCCGCATCACACTAGTCTGTGACTCCGTCCTCACACACCCTCCCCTTGTATCTCCTGAGTCATTGGATTCAGGGCCCACCTTGATCCAGTTGACCACATCTTAACTACTTACATCTCCAAAGACCCGACTTCCAAATAAGGTCACATTCCGAGCTCCAGGAGGAATACTGGGGTGGGGAGGGGATAGTCTTCAACCCCCTACACCTGGGATCCTACATCTGCTCTAACCTTGAAATTCAAAATTCCTGTTCTTTTTTGCAGCTGAAAACATTTCTCTAAGAACCCTGATTGGTTTTGCATGAGAACCTCCCCTGCTAAGATTCAACTTAGGAGGGCAGCCTTTTCTTTCTTCCTCATATGGCAGTGACCCCAGTGCCTGCCCTCAACCCCAGCCCACCTTGGTGCTTTCGGCAGCACTGGCTTCCTGCTGGCTGCCAGTGTCAGGGTCTTTCATGGAGGCCTGGCTCAGAATTTGGAGCTGGAGGTTCAAGGTTAAGTCCACACCTTGCTGCCAGTTAGCAAGTCACTCTCCCTCTCTGAGCCTTAGTTGCCACCCCTGTCAATGTGGACAGTATCTGACCCTTAGGTCTTATTTTTCTCCCTCCATGGTGCTGGACACTGGATGGGCACTTGGTGTACAACCGAGGTAGAGTACACAGTGGGTGCATGGCTGAGGTAGGTCGCATAGTGGGTGCTCGGCTGATGTCGAGTGCATAATGGGTGCTCGGCTGAGGTAGGGCGTATAGTGGGTGCTCGACTGATGTAGAGTGTATAATGGGTGCTCGGCTGAGGGAGGGCGCGTACTGGGTGCTCGGCTGAGGCAGGGCGCCTAGTGGGTGCTCGGCTGAGGCAGGGCGCGTAGTGGGTGCACGGCTGAGGTAGGGCGCGTAGTGGGTGTGCAGCAGAGGTGGGTGACTGTCTTATGAAAGGCATCAGGAGGCTCCCTCATTCCCCGCCTTACTGGAGAATGCACTGACTTCCTTTAATCTTCTTTGCCGCAGAGCTGCAGAGAGACAAGGCGGCGGCGGCTGCTGTGCTGGGTGCAGTGAGGAAGAGGCCCTCGGTGGTGCCCATGGCTGGCCAGGATCCTGCGCTGAGCACGAGTCACCCGTTCTACGACGTGGCCAGACATGGCATTCTGCAGGTGGCAGGTAGGGCCCCAGCTGGGCAGTCTGCAGGACCATGGGCAGAGCAGCCTTCCTCTCGGCAACTTTGAGGCAAAGTGGGCTCGTCAGGGGCTGCCTCACTGCAGCTGGGCAAGATTGAAATCTAATTAGAGCCAGGTGCAGTGGCTCATACCTTTAATCCTAGCACTTTGTGAGGCCAAAGTGGGCAGATTGCTTCAGCCCACGAATTCGAGACCAGCCTGGGCAATGTAGTGAGACCCCATCTCTACAAAAAAAATACAAAAATCAGCCGAGCATGGTGTTGCATGCCTGTATTCCCAGCTACTTGCGGGGCTGAGGTGGGAAGATTGCTTCAGCCCGGGAGGCAGAGGTTGCACAGTGAGCCAAGATCACACCACTGCACTCCAGCCTGGGTGACAGAGTGACAGAGTGGTGAGACCCTGTCTCAAAAAAACAAAAAAAAAAAAAAGAAAGAAGTAAAACTAATTGGAAAAGGAGGGCCTGCTAGTGTGTTTGGAGAAATAAATTACACACTTGTCAAAGCATTGCCCAGGTGCTCCGAGAAGCCAACGGGCAGTGTCCTGCTAGGCTTTAAAGAGCAGAGGCTGAAATTTAATGAATTGTTTTATTAATCAAGGGCACTGTTATGTCTCATCCAAAGCAACAAACATCTGCAAAAACGTAGACAACAAACAACTCCGTGCCCAGCAGTTGGTCAGAGGAAAACATCTTGCGTTGCTTTGTTTTGTTTTGTTTTGTTTTGTTTTGTTTTGTTTTGTTTGAGACAGGGTTTCGCTCTGTCGCCCAGGCTGGAGTGCAGTAGTACGATCCCAGCTCACAGCAACCTCTGCCTCCCGGGTTCAAGAGATTCTCCTCCTCAGCCTCCCAAGTAGCTGGGATTACAGGCGCTCACCCCCACACTCAGCTAATTTTTGTATTTTTAGTAGAGACGGGGTTTCGCCATTTTGGTCAGGCTGGTCTTGAACTCCTGACCTCAAGTGATCCACCTGTCTCGGTCTCCCAGAATGCTGGGATTATAGGCGTGAGCCACCGTGCCCGGCCTTGCATTGCTTTAATTTAGGTCTGAGCATGCATTTCTCCCATGGGCAGTGAGTCCAACCCTCACGTTGATGTCCCCTGCACTGAGCTCCATAATCATTAGCTGTCATCTCTGAGGGGCCTGGAATCTTGTCAAGGTAATAATAAAAAGAGGCCAGTTCTCAAACAGTTAAAGACCCCAGAAACATGATAAACACTTTAGTGCACACTGTGTACAGGAGGGACAGCAAGAGGGCAGGACTTGACAGGCACTCAGTCATTTGAAGCCCCAAATGTCCTTTTTTTTTTTTTTTTTTTTTCCCCCCAAATGTCCTTTTAAGAAAACTTCTAGGATTTAGGTAGAGGGAACACTGGACCGAGTGTGAGGAATGCAGATCCCCTGGCCAGGTGCCAACAGAAGGAAGGCAGGAAATATATATTTTTAATTTATATAGTGTTTAAAATTTTTATTATATGTTATTATTATTATTATTATTATTTTATTATTGTTATTTTGAGATGGAGTTTCATTTTGTCACCCAGACTGGAGTGCAATGGCACGGTCTTGGCTTACTCTAAACTCCACCTCCCGTGTTCAAGTGATTCTCCTGTCTCAGCCTCCCAAGTAGCTGGGATTACAGGCGCCTGCCACCACACCCAGCTAATTTTTGTGTTTTTAGTAGAGACAGGGTTTTGCCATGTTGGTCAGGCTGGTCTCGAACTCCTGACCTCAGGTGATCAACCTGCCTTGGCCTCCCAAAGTGCTGGGATTATAGGCATGAGCCACCATCCCTGGACTTTAATTTTATTTTTTGAGACAGGGTGTCACTCTGTTGCGGAGTGCAGTGGTGCCATCTTGGCTCACTGCAGCCTCACCCTCCCAAGTGCAAGTCCTCCTGAGAAGCTGGGATTATAGGCATATACCACCATGCCTGGCTAATTTTTATATCTTTAGTAGAGACAGGGTTTTGTCACGTTGGCCAGGCTGGTCTCGAACTCCTGACCTCAAGTGATCCGCCTACCTCTGCCTCCCAAAGTGCTGGAGTTTATAGGTGTGAGCCACCATGCTGGCCGGTTATTATTATTTTAAATGAATAAATATTTTTGAATTTTCTGTTTTAGTTTTCTAATATGGTAAATATATATGGATACAATCCGCTTAAAAAGATAAAGCTCTTCGAAGTCCTTAATAATAACCTTAGGAATACTGATGGGTTCTGAGACCTGAAAGTTTGAGAACTAGTACACTTGCCTATGATCTGTCTAGGTAAATAAATGTTTCCTGTGCACGTGGAAAGAATGTATGTTATGCGTTGTTGGGCAGAATGCTCTATGTATTTCAGTTAGGTTAAGTTGATTAATGATTAAGTTGTGTTCACATCTCCTACATCCTTATGCATATTCTGTCTGCTCTCAGTTACTAATGGAAGAGTGTTCACAGCTCCCAAAATTGGACTTTGTAAATTTCTTCCTTTAGTTCAGTCCGTTTTTGCTTCCTGTGTTTTGATGCTTTTTGGTTTTTTTGTTTGTTTGTTTTTTGTTTTTTTGGAATGAAGTCTTGCTCTGTTGCCCAGGCTGGAGTACAGTGGTGCGATCTCAGCTCACTGCAACCTCCAGCTCCCTGGTTTCAAGTGATTCTCCTGTCTCAGCCTCCCAAGTAGCTGGGATTACAGGCACCCGCCACCAAGCCCCGATAATTTTTGTATCTTTAGCAGAGACAGGGTTTTGCCATGTTGGCCAGGCTGGTCTCAAACTCCTGACCTCAGGTGATCCGCCCGCCTCAGCCTCCCAAAGTGCTGGGATTACAGGTGTGAGCCACTGCGCCCGGCCGATGCTTTGTTACTAGGAGCATATATACTTAGGATTGTTATGACTTCTTGATGTATTGACCTTTTTTTGAGACAAGGTCTCACTTTGTTGCCCAGGCTGTGCAGTGGCGCTGTCTCGGCTCACTACAGCCTCTACCTCCCTCGGCTCAGGCAGTCCTCCCACCTCAGCTTCTTATGTAGCTGGGACTACAGGCACAGGCCACCACGCCTGGCTAATTTTCTTGGTTTTTTTGTAGAGACAGGGTTTTGTCATGTTACCCAGGCTGGTCTTGAACTCCTGGGCTGAAGCAATCGGCCTGTCTTGGCCTCCCAAAGTGCTGGGATTATAGGTGTATTTTTTACCATTATTAAGTGACCTTCTTTATGTCTGGTGATACTGCTTGTCTTAAAGTCCGATTTTTCTGATACTAATATAGCCAAGACAGCTCTACCAGCTTTCTCATCACTGGTGTTGGTAAGGTGTGCCTCTTCCATCCTTTTTCCTTTCAGTCTGTCTCAGTCTGCACAGAAAGTGCATCTGTTACAAACAGCTTATCACTAAACGTTTTTTAAAAACTTTAATTGCAAGATGGACATATAGCAGAAATCACATTGTCAAAGCCTGGGAGGGTCAGCAGAGGAATTTGCATTTGGTCATGGTGGCTCTGGGGCACATTAAACATAGGACGGATGTAATCAGATGTATAATTTAGAAGTCTCTGGGGTTGGAGAATGATGACGGCAGCTACTGGAGTCAGGGAGGCCAGTAAGAGCAAGAATAGAGGTTTGAGTTAATGTCGTGGCAGTGGGATGCAGAGGAGGGCATGGATTTGAGAGATGTTTTTAAAAACGTCCAGCTGGTGGCCTAGCTGAAACCAAAAACTGGGGGTGAGGGTTGTCACATGGGATGAGGTTTCCAGGGGTGTAAAGGAAGAGTTTAAATTAAGAGAAGAGGTGGCCAGGCCACCTACAGGCCATGGTTCATGCCTGTAATCCCAGTACTTTAGAAGCCCAAGGAAGGCGGGTCACCTGAGGTCAGAAGTTCGAGACCAGCCTGCCCAACATGGTGAAACCCCGTCTCTACTAAAAATACAAAAATTAGCCAGGTGTGGTGGCACATATCTGTAATCCCAGCTACTTGGGAGGCTGAAACAGGAGAATCGCTTGAACCCGGGAGACCGAGGTTGCAGTGAGCCAAGATCACACCATTGCACTCCAGCCTGGACAACAAGAGCAAAACTCTGTCTCAAAAAAAAAAAAAAAAAAAAAAAGAGAAGGGGGAGCCCTGGGAAAGAACCTGGCCGTTTTTTTTTTTTTTTTTGGAGACGGAGTCTTGCACTCTCTCCCAGGCTGGAGTGCAGTGGCATGATCTTGGCTCACTGCAATGTCCGCCTCCCGGGTTCAAGGGATTCTCTTGCCTCAGCCTCCCGAGTAGCTGGGACTACAGGCACGTGCCGCCATGCCCAACTAATTTTTTGTATTTTAGTAGAGACAGGGTTTCACCGTGTTGCCCAGGCTGGTCTCAAACTCCTGAGCTCAGGCAATCCACCCTCATTGGCCTCCCAAAGTGCCAGGATTACAGGCGTGAGCCACCGCACCTGGAACTTGGCCTTCTTCTTCAATGTGCCTCCCTCCACTTGCTCTCCCGGTGGGTACCCCGGGGACTGGGAACCTTCCAGATTATTCATCCTTCTCCCAGCAAAAAGAAAACTAATTGGAACAAGAGGACCTGCCAGGGTTTAGCCTGGGAGGGATGTTGTTGTGGGATTTCAGTGCAGTCTACTGTGGTCCTTCCGTGTCATTAGGGGGCTGTGCGCTGTGCTGGGGTGTGTGCTCCTCCCGGGGAGTATATGAAGTTGTCAGAGTCGACACTTGAGCCAGGGCCTCGATGCTGCAGACTTCCTTGGGAGATGATGGCACAGGAAGCAGTCTTCAGCTTTTAGATAGTTCTCTTGTGTTGGAGCAGAGTTTTCACTTATTTAAAACCCAGCTTCGCCGGGCGCAGTGGCTCGTGCCTGTAATCCCAGCACTTTGGGGGGATGAGTCAGGTGGATCACCTGAGATCAGGAGTTCGAGACCAGCCTGACCAATATGGTGAAACCCCGTATGTACTAAAAATACACAAATTAGCCGGGCGTGATGGTGGGCACCTGTAATCCCCGCTACTTGGGAGGCTGAGGCGGGAGAATGGCTTGAACCCAGGAGGCGGAGGTTGCAGTGAGCCGAGATTGCATCATTGCACTCCAGCCTGGGTAATAAGAGCAAAACTCCATCTCAAAAAACAAACAAACAAAAATACCCCCAGCTTCTTGAGAAACTTAACCATATCAAGAGACCATATGAGGGCCTCAGCCATCCTGAAAAGATGCCGGCCTTAACCAGCAGTCATCAGGAACAACAAGGATGGAGGTGCCTGGAGAAGAGCTTAGTGGAAGCCACTCTCCACTTGGGTGAAATAGAGTTTACAGTCAAAGCACCAAAGCAAGAAAAATCTAAACATTCCAATGCAGGTGCATTGGATACAGAGAAAATTATTACAGCAAAACTTCCAATTGCCAGCAGCTTTTTCTTCTTTTTCTTCTTTCTTTCTTTCTTTTTTTTTTAGATGGAGTCTTGCTCTGTTGCCCAGGCTGGAGTGCAGTGGTGCGATCTCAGCTCACTGCAACCTCCACCTCCCAGGTTCAAGCGATTCTCTGCCTCAGCCTCCCGAGTAGCTGAGATTACAGGCACCCACCACCACGCCTGGCTAATTTTTGTATTTTTAGTAGAGATGGGGTTTCATCATGTTGGTCAGGCTGGTCTTGAACTCCTGACCTCATGATCCACCTGCCTCGGCCTCCCAAAGTGCTGGGATTACAGGCGTGAGCCACTGCACCCGGCCTCCAGTTGCTTTTTCAGTTGGGACAACCAGCAGAGAACATCCCCAGATGGCCCCTCACTGAGGACTGTTCTTGGCAGAACAGAGGCCTCTCCCCTTCCTCCTCCTGGGCCTCACCTTGGCATCAGCTTCGTTCTCTCGTACCCTAAGTGCAGTTCATGCACCTGAGTTTTCTGTGGGCCCAGGGGGACAGTTCAGGACCAGGAACCCCCTGCCCTCCTGCTCCTCCAGGGCGTGGCATGGACCCCTCCAGGACTTCTTCGGCCAAGGGCTCTCCTGCGTCCTTCAGGTGTGACTAGATGTCACTCCCCACCAACGCATTTCTGAATTTTTCTGTCCCAGCTGCTGCTTCCCCCATGACCAACATCTGGAACCACAGCCAGAAACCAGACTCCTGTCAAAAGGAATTTTGAATGATCTCTCCCTACTTGAGTGACCATATGCTTGGCCAAATGGAAGCTTTGTAGAATTTTGACACTAACGACAGTGGTGGTGGTGGTGGTGGTTTTTTTTGTTTTTTTGGTTTTTTTTTTTTGAGATGAAGTCTTACTCTGTTGCTCAGGCTGGAGTGCAGTGGCGCAATCTCGGCTCACTGCAACTTCTGCCTCCCAGGTTCAAGTGATTCTCCTGCCTCAGCCTCCTGAGTAGCTGGGATTATAGGTGCCTGCCACCATGCCCAGCTAATTTTTGTATTTTTAGTAAAGATGAGGTTTCATCATGTTGGCCAGGTTAGTCTCGAAATCCTGACCTCGGGATCCTCCCACCTTAGCCTCCCAAAGTCCTGAGATTATAGGCATGAGCCACCGCACCTGGCCAGAATAGTGTTTTGTAAATAAAGTTGACTTCAGTATCTTAAGAAGTGGTCATTGTGGGGCTGAGCATGTGTTTCAGAGTCTGAAGCTCTGGTCTGGGGCTGAGGCTGGGAGCTCAGAGTGGAGATCCATCAGGTGGTGTGAAGCAGGGTGGGGGATGGAAGGTTCCAGGTCTGAGGACCAGAAGAGGTAGAGGTAGACGCTCAGAGACGTGGAGGGTGGTGAGTGGCAGGGGAGAGGGAGAGAAGTCCACGCCGGACCTGGCCCTGCAGGACAACACACATCCACCGCCCTGGGTTCGGATCTTTTGGCACACAACCCATTCCGTTGCCGGCTGGGCTTTCCTGCAGCACGCAGGCCTAAAGGGGTCTTCAGCTCTCCTTCCACTTTTGCAAAAATGGTTGGCAACTTCAAACAAAAACCATAGCAAACTTGCGACTCCCTCCCGATAGATTGCTACTGCCTTTATGATGCGTTTTAATCGCCGTCCGCTGGGAGAGAATGATGACTCGCCCCACGCACCCTGTGGGTAATGGCTGTGGGAATCGTTTCTTTATTCATAAACCAGGCTTCTCCTATTGCAGAGACAGTGAGTGATGTGGTGTTGTAAACAGCGAGGGGAGAAACAGGGGTCATGAATTCATCTGATGCCTTGCAGAATTTGCATTTTATTGATAGTTTTCATTTCCTTCCATATTATATCATATTGAAGCCTGGTTTTGATGTGCTGGCCTGTGTTCCCAGAGAACAGCGAAGGGTATTTACTCATATTGACTGATGGCATCAACACAGATGCGGCATTGATGGCTTAATAAGTGGGAAGGTTGAAGGTTCCGGGGATTCCTCTCAGCTGCTGGGGAGACCGAGGGAGCGAGGGAGGCCGGCCTCAGTGCGGGGCATGCGCAGGGCAGAGGAAGGCGCGGAGGCTTGGCTGGGAGTCAGCCTCGGCCAGCTGCTCGCGTCAACCCACCCTGACGCTCACTTGGCCTCTGGGCCTCAGTTTTCTCACCTGTAAATGAGAAGATGGGACACAGCACTTCTGGAAGCACCCAGCATCCTACCTGGTCCGTGGTAACAGCTCACAGTGCACTTACTGTGTTCTGGGGCCGTGCCAAGACTTCATGCAGGTTATTGATTTAACCCTTCCTGTAACCCTCCAAGTCAGTTTCATTATTATTTCCGTATTGCAGATGACCAAAGAGGCGCCAGCCCAGCTCAGCCAGGGATTGGGCAGAGGAAGAGATTCTACCCTGGCAGGCTGGGTACAGCCCTTTGCTTTTTTTCTCTCTCTCTCTTTTAAACTTTTTATTGGCCAGGCACGGTGGCTCACACCTGTAATCCCAGCACTTTGGGAGGCCGAGGCAGGCAGATCATGAAGTCAGGAGTTCGAGACCAGCCTGGCCAACATGGCGAAACCTCATCTCTACTAAAAATACAAAAAATTAGCCAGGCATGGTGGTGCGCACCTGTAGTCCCAGCTACCGTGGAGGCTGAGGCAGAAGAATTGCTTGAACCCAGGAGATGGAGGTTGCTGTGAGCCGAGATTGGGCCACTGCACTCCAGCCTGGGTGACAAAGCAAGACTCCGTCTCAGAAAAATAATAATAATAATAATATACTTTATTATGGAAATTTTCAAATGCTACAGATGTAGAAATAATAGAATAAGGAACCCAACTTCTCTGTCATGGCACTTGCTCTAAGCTTCATAAGCTTATGAGATCTGAATAATGCTGTGTGTTCACTTGGAAGGACATTTAGAAATCTATTGATATGAGCCAGGTGCTTTAGCTCGAGCCTGTAATCCCAGCTACTTGGGAGGCTGAGAAGGGAGGATCGTTTGAGCCCAGGAGGTCAAGGCTGCAGTAAGTTATGATCATGCCACTGCACTCCAGCCTGGGTGACACAGCCAAACTCTGTCTCAAAAAAAAAAAAAACAAAAAACGAAATCTGTTGGTATGAAAACAAAATACCAAATTAGTTGCCCTTCTGGTTTGGGAGGGAGTAAAAAGCCTTCAACAACAGCTCACTCTCAGAGTTCAGTATCATGCAAGACCATGGGCTCTGCAAACAGTAGGTGTTTAATAAGTGTTTATTGAATGAATGAGTCAGCACTGTATGCAAGCAGGATGCTTGTGAGGAACAGGGACGTGACCCAGTGTGGGCTCTGGGCTGGGGTGTCTTTGCATGTGCCGTACTCTGCCCTGGGACCCTCTTACCCTCATTGCAGATGGCAGGGTGGAGGGGGCCCATGGCGTGGTTGGGTACCTCGGGCCCTGTGGCTGGCTGAACTGAGTCCAAGTTTCTCAGGTGGGAATTCATCATTACCTGCTTATCTTGGCTTCACCCCACACCCCCCTCTACCCTCTGGGCCAGCTGACCAGAGCCACAGGTCCCCTCCCCACACTACCCCAGACAGCACAAAGCCCCCTCACCAGCAATAGGCACTGGTGCGCTGGCAGGCCACGAGCCCTCCCCTCCCCACCACCTGCAAACCAGACGAGGGCGGGAGGCAGAGGGGAGCCCCCTGGTTTGGGATGAGCCTGTAGGTGTGAGAAGGAGGGTGCTGGGACCTGCGGAAAAGCTGCCAAAGACCTGCGGTGGCCCATTGTGGCCCACAGGCTTCTCTTTCTTGGACACCAGGTCTGAGCCATGTTCTCCCACCAGGCCTCCCAGGACACCTCCCGGGACCCACCCAGTCTGGGGGGCTGCTCCTCCCACAAGCCTCCCAGCCCCTCCCCCACCCCAGGTGGCACCGCAGCCCCACTTGCCCACACATGCACAGGCAGCTCCTCCTCCTGTGTCCTCTCCCCTGTAAGTGGCCTTGCCACTGTCCCTGGGATCCCTACTCCTTTCCATGTCTGCAGCCTCCACTGGCCTTGCTGTAGGCTGTCCCTCCCCCTCCTCACCTGGCTTCCCAGGGTCAATAGAAAAAGTCAGACCTCAGTCCTTGCCCTGGCGACCTTGACCCTCCCTCCCATTTGGGTCCCAGTAGCCCAGGGAAGCACATCTGTGATCTCTGAACACCCCCTGAGGTTCCTCAGTGACCAGGGGTCCCAGAGCAGACGCTGTTCTGCTCCCGGGAATGGCCTGGAGCTGGGCAGCAAAGCCACTGCCCGCCGTCCCTGCTTCTGCTGCCTCTGCTCTTGCTGGAGACCGGCCTCTGCTGCATCTCTGTGCCTGGTGGGTGGAGGCCCCCACAGTTTGCTCCTCGGGGGCAGCTGATGGTGGGCTGGGGTGCAGGGTGGGCCGATGCTGTATCATTCGGAATGCGGCTGGCCCTCGTCCCCAGTTCCCTCGAGGTAGCTCTAAGTCTTTGGAATTTCCCAAGTGAAAGGAGTATTTTTGTTATTCATGGCGGGGGTGGGGGGCTCTAAGACCTCCAGGAAGGGAGGGGCTGGAGGCTGAGTTCACTCTGTGGCCTGTGATCCCATCAATCCCACTGAAGAAATGAAGCTTCAATGGGGGCCCTGGATTTCCAGAGGTTCCGTTGGCCCCTCGCTCCCCCAGTTGGTGATGCTATGATGATGGGCCCAAAGGGGAGGCCTCTTAACTCCACGGGAGAAGTCACAGACGCTCTGAGTCCAGGACGCTCCCAGACCTTACCCTGCGCGTCTCTTCCTATGGCTGGTCCTGAATTGCATTGTTCGTAATAAAGCTGTGATTGTTAAGTCTAGTGCCTTCCTGAGCTCTCCAAGTCATTCTAGCAAATTATCAAATGTGAAGGGATTGTAGGAACCCCTAGATTTGTAGGCAGCTTGTCAGATGCGTGGGTGGCCTTCTCATGGGGGTGCCCTCAACCTGTGAAGGGTGGTCTAAGCCCAGATACAAGCCGTTGCAGACATAGATGATGGGTGTGGCTGCCAGGGCTCCCACGGTTCTTGTGGGGCTGGGCATAGACCTCCCATTTCCCCCGGATCCCTTTCCCCTGGACCCTGGGGCCTGGCAGGGGCCGTGTCTCATCTTCTCTCCCCGGAGCTGAGTATACAGTGGGCCCCCAACAAATGCTGGTTGAGCTGATCTTCCATTGGTCCAATTATCTGGCACATCCCCCAAGACTTGCACTTGGTCTGATTCCAGACATGATAATGCTACTTGGCTTTTTTTTTTTTTTTTTTAATCCTGATGTTATCTTTCTCTTTCAACCCTAAAGGCATTGATTTGACTCCTTGTTTCTTCAGTAGCCTTATAAATCACCCATCACTTTAGGAGCAAAGTTGTTCTTTCCTCTGTTATTCCACAGGAGGAGGGCTCAGGCTCCGGGTCAGCCATGGAACCCTGGCCTCCGCGGTGGTAGACACTTTGTCTGGAAAACACTCTACTTTCAGGCATAGCCATTGAAGATTTTGTGCCTGAAAACTCCCACTTGGCAAGGGAAGCAAATAAAAGTGTGGCTTGCAGTGCAGCCCTTTAAAACAGAAGCTTGCTAAACAAATGGAAAGCGTGACCAGAATTCGTAAGGAACTGTGAAATGAAGAGGATGCTGTATTTGGAAGCTGTGAAATTGCTCTAGGATTCCAAACCTCGGAGTAGCTTCCAGGCTCCTGGGAAGAATCAGATGCGTGGCGTAAATAAAAGACAGCCCCCTGGCCAGGCAGCCAGGGCGGGGACATCAAAGAGTTCACACACTGTGCGCGCGTGTGTGTGCGCTCATGCCAGTGTGCATGTGAGTACGTGTGTGCACGCAAGTGTGTAATTTTTTTTTCAAGAGACAGGGTCTCACTCTGTTGCCCAGGCTGCAGTGTAGTGGCGTGATCCTAGCTCACTGCAGCCTCGAATTCCTGAGCTCAAGTGAGCCTTCCACCTCAGCCTCCCAAAGTGCTGGGATTACAGGCGTGAGCCACCGCACCTGGCCAATAAGATTTTTTTTTTTTTTTTTGAGACAAAGTCTCACTCTTGCCCAGGCTAGAGTGCATTGGTGTGATCTCAGCTCACTGCAACCTCCACCTCCCGAGTTCAAGAGATTCTCCTGCCTCAGCTTCCTGAGTAGCTGGGACTACAGGCGTGCACCACCACACCCAGCTAATTTTTTATTTTTAGTAGAGATGGGGTTTCACCATGTTAGCCAGGCTGGTCTCGAACTCCTCACCTAGGGTGATCCACCCACCTCGGCCTCCCAAAGTGCTGGAATTACATGAGTGAGCCACTGCACCTGGCCAAAAAAATTTTTTTAGAGACAAGGAAGGTCTCATTATGTTGCCCAGGCTGGTCTTGAACTCCTGGGCTCAAGTGATCCTCCCATCTTGGCCCCCAAAATGCTGCTGGGATTACAGGCGTGAGCCACTGTGCCTCCAGTCATTAGATTTGAAGCCTACGCTAAATCCAGGATAATCTTATCTTGATCCTTAGCTAATTAGATCTGCAGTGACCCTGTTTCCAGTGTCACATTCTGAGGGTCCAGGGGGACTTGCGTTTTTTTTTTTTTTTGGGTAGGGCTGGGGTACTCTTCCCCCACTACACAGGGTTAGAGGTGGACTGAGCGGCCCCACAGCCCCTTCCCTGAGGTCCACACCTAATCTGCACCCTCAAGATCAGCGCTGCCCAGTGGAACGTTCTCTGTGCTGGACACGCTCCATCCCTGCCTTGTCCAGGGCAGCCCCCACCGTGCGTGACTGCTGGACACCTGAAATGTGGCGAGTGCCACTGAGGAGCTGGACTTTTTTTTTTGAGAGGGAGTCTTGCTCCTTCACCAGGCTGGAGTGCAGTGGTGCAATCTCTGCTCACTGCAACCTCCGCTTCCCGGGTTCAAGCAATTTCCTGCCTCAGCCTCCCGAGTAGCTGGGATTACAGGCATGTGCAACGAGGAGCTGGACTTTTAAAAATGTGAATGCTTTCGTCCTGGAAGGTGCAGGTGTGGGTCTTCCCACTCCTGTGTGAGGAAAGGAAGAGGGAGCAGAAAGTGCTGGGAGGAGGGGCTGCACCCTGCTCCAGGCTTCCCATCCCCAGCCCCCACCTGGGGGGCCCCCAAGGTCTCCTGGGAGATGAGCACCCTCACAGAAGCCAGGGCCTGGGCCCCTTTGTACAGCCCCCCGCCCCTGTGCTGGGCCTGGAACCTTGGCCAAGGAACCTTTTACTGCATTGAGCAGAGCCCTTTGAAGGGATGAGCCCAGGGGCCTTCAAAGCCACCAAGGCTGCGTGTGGCCTCTCCCTGTACATTACCCCTCCTGGGCCTGTACCACTGGGGTTGGAGCCCCTGCCTCTGTGCTCACAGCCAGAGGAGCTGCTCCCATATGCAACGGCATGTCCACAGACCGGCCAGAGGGCATTGCGGATGCGGGGGGCAACAGCTTTTCTGCAGAGGTGGGGTTTAGTGGGAAGGGGTGTAGAGTCAGCAAGGAGGCGGGAGAGCATTCCAGGTGGAAGCTCAGGCAGGAGGATGCCCTTGAAGAACTGAAGGAAGGCTGCTGGGCCAGGTCCTCGGGGGCAGAGGTAGGGGCCTCGTGGACCAGCAGTGGAGGGATCTCCGTGTTCCCCACTCCTGACGACAGCCTGGTGTGGGTTTGGCTCCCTCCCCACTGCTGCCTGTACCCCTTTGTGCCCTGTTTTCACCCTTGGCACATGTGCCTCAGGCTGTTCTTACCTGTGTCCTTGTGTGTTTAATTGTAATGAAGAAGCTGTGGGTTCTGGGAAGCGGGGCGGCCCATCTGTTCTCCGTGTCCCTGAGCCGTGGCCGTGGAGTGAGAAAGTGCTGAGAATCCAGGGGGTGGGGGGTGGGTGGTGACATCAGACTGCACTTGAGTCACTGTCAGGGCCTTCCCCAGGGTGTCCTGCATGCAGGGGGTCCTCTGTCTCAGGGCCCTGGGCAGAGAGAGGAGGAAAGTCTGAACCATGAGGTCTCCAACCTCTTCTGGCCACTTGTGGGGTGGGGCAAGGTGGGGTTGGGGCTGGGAGAGGAGAGGCAGCTGTGTCTGCAGGCACGGAGGATGGTCTGCAGGCATGGAGGATGGTCTGCAGGGCCCTCTCCTTCAGGAGTCTGTTCTGTCTTTTTTTTTTTTTTTTTTTTTGAGACAAATTCTTGCTCTGTTGTCCATGCTGGAGTGCAATGATGCAATCTTGGCTCGCTGCAACCTCTGCCTTCCGGGTTCAAGCCATTCTCCTGCCTCAGCCTCCCAGGTAGCTAGGACTGTAGACATGTGCCACCACGCCTGGCTAATTTTTTTGTATTTTTAGTAGAGATGGGGTTTCACCATGCTGGCCAGGCTGGTCTCGAACTCCTGACCTCAAGTGATCTGCCCGCCTCGGCCTCCCAAAGTACTGGGATTACAGACATGAGCCACTGCACCCGGCCTGATCTGTCTTTTTATCTCACTAAGCGCCTGGCCCGGAGCCTGGATTCTGAGGACAGAGATAAGCAGACCCAGTCCCAGCTCTCAAGGGGTACCCCTCCCCGCAGCTGTCCATATGTGGGGGGCACCCCTCCCCGCAGCTGTCCATGTGTGGGGGGCGCCCCTCCCCGCAGCTGTCCATGTGTGGGGGGCGCCCCTCCCCGCAGCTGTCCATGTGTGGGGGGCGCCCCTCCCCGCAGCTGTCCATGTGTGGGGGGCGCCCCTCCCCGCAGCTGTCCATGTGTGGGGGGCGCCCCTCCCCGCAGCTGTCCGTGTGAGGGGGTGCCTCTCCCCGCAGCTGTCCGTGTGTGGGGGCCGCCTCTCCCCGCAGCTGTCCGTGTGTGGGGGCCGCCTCTCCCCGCAGCTGTCCGTGTGTGGGGGCCGCCTCTCCCCGCAGCTGTCCGTGTGTGGGGGGCGCCTCTCCCCGCAGCTGTCCGTGTGTGGGGGCCGCCTCTCCCCGCAGCTGTCCGTGTGTGGGGGCCGCCTCTCCCCGCAGCTGTCCGTGTGTGGGGGCCGCCTCTCCCCGCAGCTGTCCGTGTGTGGGGGCCGCCTCTCCCCGCAGCTGTCCGTGTGTGGGGGCCGCCTCTCCCCGCAGCTGTGTGGGGGCACCTCTCCCCGCAGCTGTCCATGTGTGAGGGGCACCTCTCCCCGCAGCTGTCCATGTGTGGGGGCACCTCTCCCCGCAGCTGTCCATGTGTGGGGGCACCTCTCCCCGCAGCTGTCCATGTGTGGGGGGCGCCCCTCCCCGCAGCTGTCCATGTGTGGGGGCGCCTCTCCCCGCAGCTGTCCATGTGTGGGGGCGCCTCTCCCCGCAGCTGTCTATGTGTGAGGGGCGCCTCTCCCCGCAGCTGTCTTTGTGTGGGGGCACCTCTCCCCGCAGCTGTCTATGTGTGAGGGGCACCTCTCCCCGCAGCTGTCTATGTGTGGGGGCACCTCTCCCCGCAGCTGTCCATGTGTGGGGGGCGCCCCTCCCCACAGCTGTCCATGTGTGGGGGCACCTCTCCCCGCAGCTGTCCGTGTGTGGGGGCACCTCTCCCCGCAGCTGTCTATGTGTGGGGGCACCTCTCCCCGCAGCTGTCTATGTGTGAGGGGCACAGATGTGTCAAGAGACTGTTGTAGCACATGGTGACCCGGGCCATAATGGACGGCAGGGCTGAGCATCTGCATTCCTGAGAGGGCTCCTGTACCCCCGACATGAGGTCATGCCCAGGAGCCATTGTCCCCCAGGCCACCCTGGCCTCCACCATGGCCCAGAATCATGGGGTGGGGGGTTGGAGGAGGAGGTAGAGTGGCTACACCCTGCCTTTGAAGTCAGATGCGTCTCGATTTAAGTCCTTGGTGCCGCCTGCCAGCTGGCTCTGCACTGATGACTTAACCCTGCTGGGCCTCGGTTTTCTATCTGTAAAGTGGGGGGATTATTTCCAGCGTACGGCTGGTCATGAAGATGAACTTGGACCACGTGCATAAAGCCACAGGTGATGGATGCTCACTCAGCAGGTGTCGCCTCCGAGGAACGCTGCTGCCTGTGCCTCCCAGCTCGGGCTGGACTGGCCAAGGAGGCTGCTTTTTGCTAAGTGCCTGAGGATTTTCTAGGAGAAGGTGGCACAGAGGCTCACCTGTGTCTGCTCCTCCAGGGGATGACCGCTTTGGAAGACGTGTTGTCACGTTCAGCTGCTGCCGGATGCCACCCTCCCACGAGCTGGACCACCAGCGGCTGCTGGAGTAAGTGTTCTGCCCCCTCTCTTTCTGTCCCTGTCTCTCCATGTTGCTTGTCCCCATCCCTTCACCCCACCTCACTCTGAGTCATCTGCTGTGGTCTGGGGCCTCCTTTGTGACCTTGCTGGTGTGCAGAGCTCTTGCACTCATGAGCCTACCCGAGGGCCAACTGTGGACACCCCTGGTCCCTGGGCTTCTGTGCACCATTCATTAGCACAGTGGGAGCCAGGTTTTGTTTCCTTTTAGCCACCCGAGCTGTGGGTGCCTCCCTTTGGAGTTGGGGACAGTCCCCTGGTCCTAGGTGTAGGCGAACCTTGCAGATGACACGGCTGCCGAGCGCCAGGCCTCCCCCACGCACTGTCCCTTTGAAACCTCCCTGGGCCTCTCTCTGGGAACACCTTCAGAGCTGTGTGAGTTTCCTGTAGTGGCCATAACAAATGACCACATGCTTGGCAACTTAAAATGCTCTGAGTGGATCCTCCATGGTTCTGGAGGGCACCAGTCCCCAAGGTCAAGGCAGCGGCAGGGCTACACTCCCCCTGGAGGCTGCGGGGGAGCTTCTGGCCTCTTCCAGCTCCAGGGGGCCCCAGATGACTTGTGGCCACCTCATTCCTATCTCTGCCTCGGTCTTCACATGGCCTTTTTGCCTCTGTGTCTTCCCATCTCATAAGGACACCAGCCACGGGACTAGAGCCACTCTAACTCCATGGCACCTCATCTGAACTCATTGCACCAGCAAAGACCCTATTTCCGAATAAGGTCACACTCTGAGGTTTTGGGTGGAATTTTGAGGGGTGGCATTCAAACCCAGGACAGAAGACAAGGGCCTGCTGCTGCTGCTGCTGCTGCTGCCGCCACCACTGGCTCAGCAGGCATCTATTGAGCGCCTACTGTATGTGAGACTTTGGATAGATAGTCACTGTATCAG
Source organism: Homo sapiens (assembly GCF_000001405.40). Classification (NCBI taxonomy): domain Eukaryota; kingdom Metazoa; phylum Chordata; class Mammalia; order Primates; family Hominidae; genus Homo; species Homo sapiens. The sequence continues at coordinate 44,803,087 of NC_000022.11, forward strand.
GGCCCACCTGTGAACTGAGGAAATCACCCCTGTGGTTTGGGGTGGGAGAACTAAGGCCAGGAAATGACTCTGAGACAGAAGGTGGCAGGACGTGGAAGGGGCCGAGTGAGGGGGTGCCTGGGCCCCATGTCCCTTGTACACTCCCAGTGCCACCCAGGTGCGCATGGGCTCCACAGCTGGTACAGGGTGGGGGGCCGTAGAAAATCAAGGTTGTTGTTAGTTTGCCATACCAACAAGCATCAGGAGCATTCAGAAGGGGAGGTCTCAGGCAGTTTCCCAAACTAACTTGGGCAAGGAACCTTTTACTGCATTGAACAGAACCCTTTGAAGGGACGGGCCCAGGGGCCCTCATAGCCACCAAAGCTGTGTGTGGCCTCTCCCTGTACATTACCCCTCCTGGGTCTACACCTTCTGTTCCCCCAGCCTTTGCATGCAGCACCCCCAAACACATCGTCCCTTGCATATGTCCCCTTGTGTGCTTACCTGCGTTCTGTGCCAGTCCCCTACTGTGGCTGTCCTCTCTCCACCCCCCACCACTATGCAGACACCACCTCCCATGCACACACCCCCTCCCATGCACACACCCCCTCCCGTGCACACACCCCCTCCCAGGAACACACCCCCCCATGCATGCACCTCCTCTCATGCACCCACCCTCTCCCATGCACACACCCCCTCCCATGCACACACCCCCTCCCAGGAACACACCCCCTCCTGTGCACACATACCTGCTCTCATACACACACACCTCTTGTGCACACGCTTCTCCATCACTAAGTTGACTAAGTCACATGCTCAGCACAGACTGGGTGTTCAGAGTGAAAGACTAACCTAAAGTAGATTGACTCATGGGTCCTTAGATGGCTGTCACATGACCCCCAGGCCACCAGACCCACCTGCAGGACTGAGCCTTCTCCAGCCCAAAGCAGCTTTGGGTCCACAGTCTTGAGCGTGGGCCCGGGCCTCACGCCCTCTTAGGTCTGCCTGCTTCCTTCCCTCCCTCCATCACCCTCCTCAAAGCCACATGGGCCTCGCACCCTGCACCCTCTGCATTGGCCGTTTCCCATTGCTCAGAAGGAACCACCTGTTCCTCACCTGTGTATGGCCTTGGGCGCCCTGTCATCCTCTTTCATCTGTCCCTTGCTGCTGGTGTCTGCTGTGCTGGCCACACTGCTTTCATAAGGCGGCCACCGAGCCTCCTTCCTGGTGAAACTCCCCGGCCCAGGAGAGCTGCTGCTGGGGGAGAGTTGGCAAAATAGCGAGAGCAGCACCTCTGCTGGAATCCCTGTCTGTGTGAGTGAGAGGCCCCCAGGCCCAGGGGAGAAGCTCAGTCTTAGTGAAGGGAAGTTAGGTTCTGAGGGCCTTGGAATTTGCTCCCCGACAATGAACTGATTGAGCTTCATTTCTGAGGCCAAGCCCTGGCCGATCTCTGGGTGTCCCTGGAAACATTTATGTGCCCTTGTGAGGACAGGGAGCACGGCACCTGGCCTGCTGCAGACTCCCTCACTGCTGGGGACAGCTCAGGACGTGACCCTGGCGGGGAGGCTGTGCCTGCCACCACTTCCAGATGCCAGCATCTAACTGCTAAAGCCAAGGGACTCAGGGAGTGGGCTCGACCTGGAACCCCCAACTCAAGATGAACAAAGGCATGATCGGACATAGAAGCACCCAGAAGACTTTGGGCTGGTTGCTTCATGAGAGTCCCCCCAATATATGCATTCTATCTGGTCTGTTAAAGAATCTTCTGACCACAGCTGAAACTGCAGTGGCAAAGGCAGAGACCTGGCGGGGAGCAGGTGCCGGGAGCGACTTCCACCAGTGCACCAGTGCTGCTGCTGCACGGCGAGACCTGCAGGATTCATGGGGCGAGCTTGGATCCTGGTGCTGATTACCCCAGACAGTGAGGCTGGCTTTCCCCAGGAGGTGCTCACCCCAGTGAGGAGCCGATGCCAGCCTGCAGCCCACTCTTGGTGTTTACCAGGCACACAGGGAGAGATGGATGCTAGATCCAGGAAGAGCTCGTCTCCTGGGGTCCTCTTGAGAGGACGCATTCCCTTGTCAGGTCATTTAGGCACGGAAAGACCTGTGACCTGTGGGTCAGCTCTCCCCGAGGAGGCTGCTGCTGGGCCAGGAATGAGCTCACGATTTGCTGTTCTTATAAAGACAAAAGTGCCTGCAAAGACAGAAAGCGAATTGGTGGTTGCCGGGTACCGGGAGTGTGATGGGGAGAATGACTGTTGAACAGGTCTCAGTTTTCTTTTGGGGTGATAACAGTGTTTCAGAGCTGTAGAGAGGGGGTAATTGCACAGCTTTGTGAATGTACTAGATGCCTGAATTGTTCACTTGAAAGTGGTTAATTTATGTTATGTGAATTTCAACTAAATTGGACAAAAAGCACCCCTGACAACAAATTGGTACCTTGTGCTCTTTTATGTGCTTATCCAAGATTCCTTTACTATTAGGTGGAAGTAGTAAGCATGGCTTCCATGAACAGTTGTATAGGTTGTTCACAGCACAAGGCTAACCAGATGAGAAGCTACCATCACCTGGTGCTTTTTTCACTCAGCGTGGGACAAGCATCTGCCCAGAGGAAAAGGCATCTTTTTCTAACTCATGCAAAGGTGCTCTGTGGGCTTCTCGGCCTTGATAAGAAGAGCCATCAGGCTTACTTCTCCGCAGCCTTTATGAAAAAAATTAACACCCCGTACATTATCCTCCCTATCCATTCCAACCGGATGGCTTTCTTGTGGCCAGATGCATGCTCCTATTTTTGAAGCGGGTGAAGAAACAAGTCTATGTCTTTGAAACCCAACTAGTAATTTAGTTAATGACTTCCTGTGCTGAGCACGCGGGCAGATGCATTGACACTCAGAGGATTTCAGTGTGCTGAACAGAAGGCACTGGGGAGAGCCCAGCGCTGGGGCCAAAGGAAGGGTGCCTGCTTTTACAAGGAGGCGCCCAGAGTGGGAAGAGGAGCTGTGCAAAGACATTGGCCTCAGTTTCCCTCTCTTGAAAAAGTCATTTGCGAAATACAAAAGTGGCTATCCTGAGAAGTGAGGAGGAGTGAAGAGTTCTCAGTGGTTCGTGGACTCTTCCACCCCTCTGTGTTCAGGTGGAAGTCTCGACCTGGGTTTTTCTGAGAAAGTGACTCAATAAAGGATGACCTTGGTGAAGTATGCCCCGGTGGCTTAGCCCACATGGTGTTCGAGACAGCACTCTGGAAAATGAGTTTTGAAGTTACTTCCACAACGGGTGAGCTGAAATCATGCATGGTGTGAGGTCAGATGTGCGTGATTTCTCTACATCAAAGCAGACAACGGGATGGGAGCAGGCGTGGATGGCAGCCCACAGTTCTCAGAGACGCTGAGTGTGTGGAAGCTGGAGCCAGGCCACTTGGTTCAAAGCCCAGCTCTGCCCCTTACTGATTCACCTCTGTGAGTCTCAGTTGACTTGTCTATAAAATGGAGATAATAGTACCTGGCTCCTAGGGTCATTGGGAGAATTAAACGTGTAGAAGGCCTGCAGTTCAGGTGGTATGGGCTTTTGTCAGAGGGCACTCTGACATCACTTAGAAATCAAACGCACAGGCCGGGCACGGTGGCTCATGCCTGTAATCCCAGCACTTTGGGAGGCCGAGGCGGGTGGATCACGAGGTCAGAAGATCAAGACCATCCTGGCTAACTCAGTGAAACCCCGCCTCTACTAAAAATAATAGTAATTAAAAAAAATTAGCCGGGCGTGGTGGCAGGCGCCTGTAGTCCCAGCTACTCAGGAGGCTGAGGCACGAGAACGGCGTGAATCCAGGAGGCGGAGCTTGCAGTGAGCCGAGATCACACCACTGCACTCCAGCCTGGGTGACAGACTCTGTCTCAAAAAAAAAAAAAAAAGAAATCAAACGCACACAGGAGAAGCTGGCATCCTTGGTCTCCAGGCTTCCGGGCAGTGCGGGACCAGCCGAGCCTCTGCAGGTGGGCACAGGCTGCTGCGGCTTTCTCCCGAGGCAGTTCTGGGAGCTTCTGTCTGCAGAGCACCCCACCCACAGCCTCAGAGAGTGGGGCCACGTGGGTGGGTTAATTACAAGATGTGCTCCAGGTGAGAACCTGGACAACCTGAGCTGAGGGATCATGGCCTGACCGGCTCAGTGTCAGGCCCTGCAGAGTGCTGGTGGAGGGTTAGGGGGTCCTTCTGGAGCCCTTCCTTCTGCAGATGGCAGGGCAAGCCCTTTCCCACAGGTGACATGAAGACAGTGCTTGCTAGGTGCAGCAGGGCAGGATGGAACGTGGTCCATGGGAAATGGGTAGAGCCTACACCATAGGGGGTGGCGGGCGACAGACGCAGAGCACAGTGTCAGGACTCTGGCTTTGTAATGAAAAGCAAAATGTTAGGAGCTCACCTGGAGGGAAGGAATTGCTTGCCTTAGAAATGCAGCAGGCAGCCGGGTGTCTGAGGTAGAAGGGCCTGTGGTGTTGGGGGTCAACGGCAAGGGCTGAGCAGTCAAGCATTCCTGGGTTCAAATCCCAGCTCATCCTCCTTGTGAGTTTCCCGGGGCTGCCGTAACCATGATCGCAAATGTGGTGGCGTAAAACCAGAAATGTATTCTCTCACAGTTCTGGATGCCAGAAGTTCAAAATTGAGGTGTGGCCAGGGCCGTGCTCCCTGGGAAGGGAGAAGCCCTTCCTTGCCTGTCCAGCCCATAAAGGCTGTCAGCAGTCCTGGGCCTTCCAGGGCTGGTGGCCACATCATGCTGTCGTCGACACTCTGCTTTGCCTCCGTCTTTACGTGACCTTCCGCCCTCTGACTTCTCATCTTCGTGTCTGCCTTAGAAGGATGCATGTGATTGCACTGAAGGTCCACCTGGGTAGTCCAGGATGAGCCCCTCCTCTCAAGGTCCTAAATTTAATTGCACCTACAAAGACCTTTTTCCCAGATAAGGTCACATTCTCAGGCTCCACGGATTTGATATGGATGTCTTTCCACGGGCAACAATCTGGCCTACCACATCCACTTACTAGCTGTGTGACTTTAGATAAGTCACTTAACGTCTCTGAGCCTCAGATGTCATCTGGGAAATGAGGACCGGGGCCCACGGTGCATGGAGTCTCCATGTGGCCCGGTGCTGGCACCTACTGGGTGACCATAGCTTCCATTATAGGGAAAGCACGTTTGGTTTCAATAATGAGTAGGTGATTTTCATAACTGAATCTTCTGTGTTGTGCCCAGGTATTTGAAGTACACACTGGACCAATACGTTGAGAACGATTATACCATCGTCTATTTCCACTACGGGCTGAACAGCCGGAACAAGCCTTCCCTGGGCTGGCTCCAGAGCGCATACAAGGAGTTCGATAGGAAGTACGTGCCCGCAAGCCTTCAGGGACGTGGGTGTGGGCTGCTTGTGGCAGGAGGAGGCATTGTGGCCACAAGGGGTCGCAGAGTGTGCAGTGGGGGAGGGGTCTGGTAGGGCGGAGGGTGGAGGGTGAGCAAATGTGGGGCAGTGGAGGTTCACCTCCCCTCTGGGCCAAGCTCTGGAATCCCGGGCAGGGGTTGGCACTCATTTTTTTTTTTCTTTCTTTCTTTTTTTTAAGAGACGGTCTCACCCAGCCACCATGGCTCACACCTGTAATCCCAGTACTTTGGGAGGCCAAGGTGGGTGGATCACCTGAGGTCAGGAGTTCGAGACCAGGCTGGCCAACATGGCGAAACCCTGTCTCTAGTAAAAATACAAAAAAAAAAAAACCAAAAACAAAAACAGAGACAGTCTCGCCCTGTTGCCCAGGCTGGAGTGCAGTGGTGCAATCATGGTTCACTGCAGCCTCGGCCTCCTGGGCTCAAGCAGTCCTCTTGCCTCAGCCTCCTGAGTAGCTGGGACTACAGGCGTTCACCACCATGCCTAGCTAATTTTTGTATTTTTTTTTGTAGAGACGGGGATCTCACTATGTGGCCCAGGCTGGTCTCGAACTCCAAGCTCAAGCGATCCTCCCACCTCAGCCTCCCAAAGTACTGGGATTACAGGCAGGAGCCACCATGCCAAGCCAACACTCTTGTTCTTAAAGGGCCAGACAGTCAGCATTTTAGCTTTGCAGGCCTGTTGCTCTATTGCAACAACTCTGCTGGACTGTGTTCCAGTAAAACATTATGGACGCTGAAATGTGAATTTCATGTCATTTTCACGTGTCATGAAATATTCTTCTGTTTTTTTTTTTCAACCACTTAAAAACATAAAAAGCCATTTTTAGCTTGCAGCCTGTACCAAAGCAGGAAGCAGGCTAGGTTCATCCTGCCTGCCCATTCTCCCACCCCTGGTCCAGTGAATTACTGGCAAAGAAACAACTGCATGACCGTTTCTTCACTAAAGCCTCTTCTTGCTTTCACAGCCCTTTACAGTCTGCAAGGGGCATTCTGATGCCTCTTGTTGGTGAGATGGCAGCCTCATTTTACAGATGAGGACATAGGCCCCAGGGAGCAAGTGACTTACCCGTGGTCACTCAGCTTGTGTGTGGTAGGGCAGGATCCCACCCCAGGCCCCCGCCTCCCTCTCCCACCCAACGCTACTCACCGCTTGGCCATGGCCTGGAGCCGGCAGACTTTTCCTGAGGGACGTCCGGCCTAATAATCAACTTGGCAATATATCTGGCTCGTAGACTGCGGCGATGGGCGTTGATGTGGATATCCTAGATTCCTCTGGGTTTTCCTTCTTCAAAGTCCTTTCAAACCTGTAACAGAAATCTGCTTCACAGATATCTGAGTCAGTGGGACAGTGGAAGGCAGTGCCTGAATGTCCCAGAAGTCCTCCCTCCAGTTGCCTTTTGGGTCCTGCTGTCATTATCAATAGGACCTTCGGAGGGACTTCTTGGTTCCCCATCCTATGTCTTAGGGAAAGAATTGTTGCTGTATTTTGCAGTCATTTACTGGGCACCTGTATAAGCTGGAGATGGCCTAGCCCCAGCGCATGTCCTCCTCCAGGAAGGCTTCCTGGGTTGTCCTGGGAGAATCAATAGCCCCTTCCCTGCAGCCTCACTGTGCCTAAGCAGACACCAATCCTAGCTAGCACTTAGGGGTTTGTGAACAGGTCTGCCTCCTGCACTAGGCTGTGATCCCGGACCTGTCTCTGCATCCCTTGCAGGTGGGAAAGGATCTGCATATGGCAGCCTTTTTTTTTTTTTTTTTTTTTTTGAGACAGAGTCTCATTCTATTGCCTGGGCTGGAGCACAGTGGCGAGATCTCGGCTCACCACAACCTCCACCTCCCAGGTTCAAGTGATTCTCCTGCCTCAGCCTCCTGAGTACCTGGGACTACAGGCGTGAGCCACCATGCCCGGCTAATTTTTGTATTTTTAGTAGAGACGGGGTTTCACTATGTTGGCCAGGCTGGTCTTGAACTCCTGACCTCGTGATCCGCCTGCCTTGGCCTCCCAAAGTGCCGGGATTACAGGCGTGAGCCACTGTGCCCAGCCGGCAGGCTTTTATTAAGCGTTAGATGGGAGGATAGAGGAGTGAAGTGGTACTGGCAGGAAGTACCAAGGTTCCAGCTGGCGTAATCAGGAAGGCTGCATGGAGGAAGCAGCCTTTGAGCTGCCTGTGGAGTGGTGGGCAGGGTGTTGTGAAGTGGCAATCACTGGATTTTGCTTCTGGTACGAGGTGTGGCCAGATGCAAGAAAGAGCAGGGTGGACTTTGGTGCAATTGGTGGGGGTCTGGTCTGTAGGGTTCCCGTGGGGAGCCGTGGAGGGAGGCAGCAAAGGAGGGAGGGGCACAGAGGATGCTGGACTGTGTTTAAGAGGCAGCAGGGAGCCATGGCAGGTGCTTGAGGAGAAGCGAGTGATGTGTTTAAAGCAGCCCTTTCAGGAGGCTCAGGCTCACAGCAGGATGTGCACAGTAGCCCTGTCTTGAGCTAAAGCAGATGAAGGTTTTGCCCTCTGCACTTCCCCACGTGAGAAACGAAGATGCACCCGCAGATTCCTTGAGGCAGCTCCCCCACTTCTCAGTTGCCAGAAATCAGCCCAGAGAAACAAACCCGTAATCAGCCCAGGGTGCTTTCCCTTCCCTTTCTCGAGGGGGCTGCTGGTTCGCACATAAGGAGTGGGTCACTCCCGCTTGGGAGAAAGCAGCAGAATTCCTTCACAGCCAGGTAAGATGTGCCAGTGGTCGATGGATGAAATCTAGCCGGGGAGTTGGAATCTGTGTTGCCAGCAGTGACCTGTGAGCAGTGACAAAGCCAAAGGTAACGGCACCAGCCCGGGGAAGGAGGCCGGCCTCGTGGCAACCTGGGGAGGCTGTCAGAGCTCTCACATTGAAGGGCGTTGATAAGTGGAGCCACGCAGGTGGAGAGACTTGAAGCAGTGACTTCCAATCGGCGGTCATTTAACCTTGGCCAGAGGGGACTAGGCAGGGAAGAGAGGAAGGTGGCAGCCGTGGCCTTCAAGGCATCAGATGGAAAGAGGCAGACTTGTTCTGTGTGACTCTCCCACTCCCCGGGAGGTTGGATAGGGGTAGGGGTTAGGGTTAGCGTTACAGATCTTGGCTCAGTAGAAGCAAAAAGGAGGGACACTCTAGGCATCAAACTACCCAAAAGTGTAATGTCTGCAGGGGTGCTGAGTTCCCCATCGCTAGAGGTATGCGAGTGGTGCTCCAAATAGAATTAGATGAGATCGCCTGTAATCCCAGCACTTTGGGAGTCTGAGGCGGGTGAGTCATTTGAGGTCAGGATTTCGAGACCAGTCTGGCCAACATGGTGAAACCCCATCTCTACTAAAAATACAAAAAATTAGCCAGGCGTGGTGGTGCACGCCTGTAATCTCTGCTACTCGGGAGGCTGAGATATAAGAATCCCTTGAACCTGGGAGGCAGAGGTTGCAGTGAGCTGAGATCGCGCCACCGCACTCCATCCTGGGCAACAGAGTGAAACTCTGTTTCAAAAAAAAAAAAAAAAGATTTATGCAGTGAGGGTTTTCAGTCGGCCATTGCCACACCCCATCAGGTTTCCTGCATTCTTTTCTGTTCTCTCTGCCTTTGGCTTCTCATCCTCCAGACCGTCCTGCCAGGTCATTCCTTTTAGGGGTGAACAAATTCGCACGCAAGTGTTCATGACCCCACTTCTGGGAGTGCTTGCCTCACCAAAGAGCTCCTGCCATGGGTGGCAACTAATGGAAGCCACTGGAAGCTCAGTCTCAGGGTGAACCTTGCAGCAGCTGCCCTCTGGGCTCCTGGAGACTCTGGAAGCCACTGCTACTGCCCCCCGCCCCGCCCCTCCTCTCAGAGCCTTTTTTTTTTTTTGCTTTCTGTTTTTTTTTTTGAGACGGAGTCTTGCTCTGTCACCAGGCTGGAGTGCAGTGGCGCGATCTTGGCTCACGGCAACCTCTGCCTCCTGGGTTCAAGTGATTCTCCTGCCTCAGCCTCCTGAGTGGCTGGGACTACAGGTGTGCACTACCACGCCCGGCTAATTTTTGTATTTTTAGTGGAGACGGGTTTTCACCATGTTGGCCAGGATGGTCTCCATCTCTTGACCTCGTGATCCGCCCGCCTCAGCCTCCCAAAGAGTTGGGATTACAGGTGTGAGCCACCGCGCCCTGCCTCAGAGCCTTTTTAAAATTAGTTAATTAACATTTCTTGGAGAGATGCTTTGAGATTATATAAATATCCTGCTCCTTGTCAAAATACTTTTCACTTTCATTGCTGCTGCTTGGCTTAGTTGTTCATATGATGGCAGCCAATGGTGGTCTGATGAGCACTCGGCATCTGACGAAGGGAAGAGCTTTTTCTTCTCCTCACTTATTTATCTCAGTGTGGACATGTGTAAAATGTCCTATTTTATTCATTGAGTTACAATCCATTACTATCATTTTAATGATCAAATTGTCCCAAATTTGCCCATGTGGGTGCCGTTTTAAGGACTCCCAGGTCCTTCTGACACTCCCCCTCACTCTTTGAGTGCTTCCTTTACTTTCTGGCACAGGATATGCCAGGCTTATCTTGTATTTTTCTTGCTCCAGCTCAGGAATCTGCCATTCTCCAAGGAGCACAGTCGCCCTGGCTCCCTGTAGTGGAGAATGCTATTTAGAGACCAAGATCTGGACAAGCGGAGTGCTTGTTGCTTTTGGGGTGTTATGGCTCCCAGGCCCTTTCAGTGGACAGAGTTAGGGTATGTGTGTGTGAATGTACATATACATACACTTACACACACACACACACCCCTACATACACACATACACACCTGGATACAGTACATACACCTGCATACACATACATACAGACACCTACATATACATACACTTACACACACCTACATACACACATACCCACCTACAGTACATACACCCACATACAGACACCTACATGTACATACACTTACACCTACATACACACATACCCACCTACAGTACATACACCCACATACAGACACCTACATGTACATACACTTACACCTACATACACATACATATACACACCTACGTATACTATACACTTATATACACATACACCTACATACAACTACACACACACCACTTACAGCTACATACACCTACACACACTTACGCTTACTTATATCTACACACACCTACACACACACCCACACACCTAAATACACCTACACACCCCTAGGTATACCTACACATATGTAGGTACACCTACACACACTTTCATACACTTACACCTACACACACCTACATACACACCTATATACACTTACACCTACATACACCTACACACACATACAATTACAGTTACATACACTTACATAGAGCTACACACACCTACACACTTAGACTTACATACGTCTACACACATACACAATTGGCTTCCAAAAATTCCTGAAATTTTGACAGCCCGTGTGAGTGGATAAGAGGTGGCTCTGGCGTCCTGCAGGCTGACCCCACGCAGGCCATGTGGATGCCCCTTCTCGCCTCCTGGGCTGTGTCTCCCCAGCAGGACACACCGTCCCCCACTCACCCTCTAGAGCCCTGGCATGTCCTCTGCCCCCATCCCCACCCTGGTTGGCTGCCTACCTTTCTTCCCCAACCTGATGGCTTTGGGCTGAAATATTCAAGAAGGAAGCATGGAGACTGGGAAGGAGGGAGAGAGAGAAGTTCACTGGGTGTTCCAATGTGTGGGTGGCTGTATTGCATTGAACCGGCCTCTGGCCGGCTGATGTTTAGGTTATTGCCGGGTTTATCTGCCATCATAACCAACACGGTGAGCTCCTTCTAGCCCAGGTCAGCTCCTGGCAGGGCAGGTGTTGGCCAAGAGGCTCTGTGCGGTTTTAATTCTGAGAGCTGTTGCCAAATTGCCCCCAGGATGTGCTCCAGCCACCCCCGACCCTGGTGTGAGTGAGCGCCTATAAACAGGGCTCCGACTTGCAGCTGTGCCTCGGCGAACTAAAGCGCTGCAGGCATGCCTGGCGGGGGCAGCAGGTGAGGGGTCCTGATTTTCCCCGAGTTTATTTCATTCTTTGTTTGATGTCCTTAAATTGATCCTGTTGAGAGGAGTAACATTCTGAGACTCACAGTGGAGGCAGCTGTTTCAGGGTTATTGGGCGTGGGGTGTTTCTCGGAGCGCGGCAGCCTGAAGTCATCCCCCGTTTCCCTCCTCAGGTACAAGAAGAACTTGAAGGCCCTCTACGTGGTGCACCCCACCAGCTTCATCAAGGTCCTGTGGAACATCTTGAAGCCCCTCATCAGGTATGCGTCACTCTGGGAGAGGACCTCGCTGGGGTTGGAGGTTTCACCCCTCAGGGTCCATGGGACGGCCTTCCCTATCCACGCATCATGGAGGGCCCGTCTCCAGGGTGCCTGTGTATCTGGGGCTCCCTACCCGCCCTGGGGTCTGCGGGGGGTCACAAGGCCAGCCCAGGTCATGGACAGGAGTGCAGTGCCGGCCTTTGGCACCTGTGGGGTTTGCACCTGGTGTTTAAAAGCCCCCCTTTGCCTGAGCCCCCACACTGTGTGACCACCCTCAGGTGCCGTGATTTTCCAGAGGGACTCACAGATGTCAGGAAAGCTGTTATCTTCACTGTTGTGGTCTGTTACAGAGACAGGGCACAGATTTAAGTCAGCAAAGGTAAAAGGCACACAAGGCTGAGTCCAGGAGGACCAAGTGCAAGTTCCCAGCTGCCCTCTCCGGGCGGATTCATACAGGCAGTGCTCCATTCTCCCAGCAGGAATGTGTGGGGGAGGAGGGAGCATGGCTGGCCGCGGAAGCTCACCGAGCCTTGGTGCCCAGGGTTTTTGTTGCGGGTCAGTCATGTAGGCACGGAGCATCCACCCGGCTGACCTCAGCCACTCGGTCTCCAGCCCCTCCTGAGATGAGACAAATAAAACCCACCCAAGGCCCCCGCCCTCAATCACATTGTTGGCACAAACTCTGTGGTGTTGGCCCAAGGTTCCCGGTGGGCAAAGACATTACCAGGCCGACTCTCCCAGGAGCTGAGAGGTTTCCACCCAGGAGCAGGTCACCCATGGCCAGCCTTCTCTTTGGAACGTGTGGGGCTTGGACACCCCCAGCCTGCTGAGTTAAGCCTTGATTGCATAGCAACCCAAATAAGCGGCCTAAAGAAAGGCAGCCACAGCCCGGAAATGTGGCGACTTCAGTCAGCTTCTTCCATATTTAGACTTGTTCCTGCTAAAGGATTTCTGCCTCAGTATTGGGAAGCAAGAGCTCAAGGGGCTCGTGAGGCCTGGGAGGCTCTGCCTGGGTCGCATGGGCATCTTGTATTTTCTTCCGTTTTGGCTGTATGCATCAGGCACAAACTGTGTGCACAGAGCCACATGACGGGGGTGGGGTGGGGAAGAGACTGACAGATGTCGTTCTTGCACGGTGGCTCTGGCCCTCCCTGGGTGAGTTCTGCAGGCGAGGGAGGGGCTCAGAGCAGGAGGGCGCAGGTGTGCACCAGACGGGTCAGGATAGCCAGGTGAGGTGGCTGCCTCTGTGAGAGGGCGGGAGGACTCCTGGAGGGCCTCCCTAGGATGAAGCCTCTGGGGACAGGGAGGCGCATCCCTGGAGGGGTCGTCATTCTTCCCCAGAGGTTTGCATCTCACAGGCCTTTGCCATCTCCCCCCTCGGCTCCTTCCACTTGTTGAAGCCCACTCGTGGCTCTGAGGCTGCTGCTGACACAGGTCTCTTCTCGTGCCCCACAGACACCGTGTGAGTGGGTGTGACGCTCCGTGTACAGGGAGCACTCAGACAGAGCTGGAATGCCAGCTGGGACCTCGGAATCCACACTGTCTCCTTCCCATTTCCCCATCCATCCCTGGGAAGCATCTCGGCCCCCCAGGAGCATGGACAGCTCAGGCTCTCAGGCACCTGCCTGTCTTCCCACCAGCCGTCTCCCGCCCCAAGGGCTACACTGCCCCGTCCCACCCTTGTCCCTGTGTCCCTTTGTCTCTTAATGTGACTGGTACTCAGAGGAATGTTGGCAAGCACTGGTCCTTGGGCACATCGAGAGCTACTCTGCAGCCAGACACAGTGGCTCATGCTACTAATCATAGCACTTTGGGAGGCCAAGGCAGGAGGATCACTTGAGCCCAGGAGTGTGACCTGGGCAAGAAAGTGAGCCCCACCTCTATAAAAAATATAAAAATTAGCCGGATGTGTAGCATGCGCCTGTGGTCCCAGCTACACGGGAGGCCAAAGCAGGAGGATTGCTTGAGTCCAGGACTTCAAGGCTGCAGTGGCTTGTGTTTGTGCCATTGCATTTCAGCCTGGGCAACAAGCAAGACCCTGTCTCAAAAAAAAAAAAAAAAAAAAAGAACTGCCCTGCCAGGCGGCTTGGAGCCTTTCTTTTCTTTCTTTTTTCTTTCTTTCTTTCTTTTTTTTTTTTTTTTTTGAGACGAAGTCTCGCTTTTGTCCCCCAGGCTGGAGTGCAATGGCGCCATCTCGGCTCACTGCTACCTCTGCCTCCTGGGTTCAAGCGATTCTCCTGCCTCAGCCTCCCAAGTAGCTGGGATTACAGGCACCTGCCACCACGCCTGGCTAATTTTTGTGTTTTTAGTAGAGACGGGGTTTCACCATGTTGGCCAGGCTGGTCTCAAGCTCCTGACCTCAGGTTGATCCACCCGCCTCGGCCTCCCAAAGTCCTGGGATTACAGGCGTGAGCCACCATGCCCGGCCTTCTTTTCTTATCAGCTCCCAAAGCTGTCATTCCAGGGACTGAATCGTGTGGTCCTGAGGCACACTGGGAGAATTCCCAGAGCAGCAGACTTGAGTCAGCTCCTGCTTAATAGAAGGAGAGATTTTTGGGGCCAAAGAGCTCCTTTCATGTCACTAGAATTTCCTGCCAGTTTTTCTCACCTACTGGCCTATGCCGCACACATTCCCCTATTGGAAGGTGAGGTTTTGTTTGTGTTTAACCAGGCCCAGCACCCTTGTGCCCTATGTGACATGTGACATATTTGACATAGCAAAAAAGCTAGTCCTGTCATTTACCTTAGAAAAGTCCTTAGAGGGGCTGGGCGCAATAGCTCACGTCTGTAATCTCAGCACTTTGGGAGGCTGAGGCTAGCGGATCACCTGAGGTAAGGAGTTCAAGACCAGCCTGCTCAACATGGCAAAACCCCGTCTCTACTAAAAACACAAAAAATTAGCGGGTGTGGTGGTGGGCGCGTATAATCCCAGCTACTCAGGAAGCTGAGGCAGGAGAATTGAGGCTTGAACCCACGAGGCAGAGGTTGCAGTGAGTCAAGATTGCACCATTGCACTCCAGTCTGGGTGACAAGAGCGAAACTCCATCTCAAAAAACAGAGAAAAGTCCTTAGAGGGCGAGGCATGGTGGCTCACACCTGTAATCCCAACACTTTGGGAGGCCAAGGCAGGTGGATCACTTGAGCCCAGGAGTTTAAGACCAGCCTGGGTAACATGGCGGAACCTCGCCTCTACAAAACAGATAAAAATCAGCCAGGCATGGTGGCGCGTACCTTAGTCCCAGCTATTCAGGAGGCTGAGGTGGGAGGATTGCTTGAGTTCGAGAGGCAGAGACTGAAGTGAGCTGAGATAGCACCACTGCACTCCAGCCTGGGCGACAGAGTCAGACTTTGTTGTACTTAAGAGTTCTAGAAACCTCTAAGGTTCTTGGAAAAAAAGTTCACCTGCTTGGCCAGGCACAGTGGCTCACGCCTGTAATCCCAGCACTTTGGGAGGCCGAGATGGGAGGATCACTTGAGGTCAGGAGTTCGTGACAAGCCTGACCAACATGGTGAAACCCCGTCTCTACTAAAAATACAAAAATCAGCTGGGCGTGGTGGCGCATGACTGTAATCTCAGCTACTTGGGAGGCTGACGCAGGAGAATCACTTGAATCCAGGAGGCAGAGGTTGCGGTGAGCCGAGATCACACCATTGCACTCCAGCCTGGGCAACAAGAGTGAGACTCCAGTCTCAAAAAAAAAAAAAATTCACCTGCTCCTCCTGTTTTCCACGTGGCAGCGTGATGGTGATGGCACCAGACTGCCTGGGCTCGACTGCTCTGCCCCTTGCCATCCATTACCCATTACCCTCAACAAAAGAGCCAACCCCTCTCTGCCTCAGTTTCCCCATGTGGCTGACAAGGCTATTTAAGTCATTCCATTGTCATAATAATTCACTGACTTAATACATATAGTGTTTATTTTATTTTTCTTCCTTCCTTCCTTTTCTCTTTTTTTTTCATAGGTTCTTGTTCCATCAGCCCGGCTGGAGTGCAGTGGTGCAATCATGGCTCACTGCATCCTTAACCTCCTGGGCTCAAGTGGTCCTCCCACCTCAGCCTCTCACATAGCCGGGATTACAGGTGCGCACCACTGTGCCCAGCTAGTTTAAAACAATTTTTTGTTGAGACAGGGTCTCGCTATGTTGCCCAGGCTGGACTGGAACTCCTGGCCTCAAGTGATCCTCCTTTCTCAGCCTCTCAAAGTGTTGGGATTATAGGAGCGCACCATGTTGACTGTTTAGAATAGGGCCTGCCAGGCAAATACTCAATGTTAGCTGCTAGTACTGTGTTTTTTGTTTGTTGTTGTTTTGTTTTGTTTCATTGCTTTGAGACAAGGTCTCAGTCTGTTGCCCAGGCTGGAGTGCAGTGGTGCCATCACGGCTCACTGTAGCCTCGAACTCCTGGACTCAGGTGATCCTCCCACCTCAGCCTTCCAAGTAGTTGGGACTACAGGCACGCCACCATGCCCAGCTAAATTTTGAACTTTTAGTAGAGACAGGGTTTTGCCATGTTACCCAGGCTCCTCTCCAATTCCTAACCTCAAGTAATCCTCCAGCCTCGGCCTCTCAAAGTGCTGGGATTATAGGCATGAGCCACTGCACCTGGCCCTGATTTAAAATGTTTTTAAGTTGGCTGGGCGTGGTGGCTCACCCCTGTAATCCCAGCACTTTGGGAGGCCAATGTGGGCAGATTACCTGAGGTCAGGAGTTCGAGACCAGCCTGGCCAATATGGCGAAACCCTATCTCTATTAAAAATACAAAAAATTAGCGGGGAGTGGTGGCAGGCGCCTGTAATCCCAGCTACTCAGGAGGGTGAGCTACGAGAATCGCTTGAACCCGGGAGACGGAGGTTGCAGTGAGCCAAGATCGCGCCATTGCACTCCAGCCTGGGCAATAAGAGCGAAACTCCACCTCAGAAAAAAGAAAAAAAAATCTTTTAAAACTACCCTTTTGTATTAATTTGATTCCAATATCTTACGCACCTTATGTGCCAGCACCGCAAAACAGTACTGTGAAGTCAGCCACATTTTCCCCATTCCAAAGAAGAGGAGGTTGGTGCTCAGAGAGGTTACGCCCAAGTCGCACCATGAGAGGGGGCGTGGGCTGGGATCCAACCTGAGCCTGTGTGGTTCTACCCCTCATTCTGCCTCATGCCTGGACATAAGCAGCTGCCAGGAGAGGACCATAGGAATTGGGCTGGGGCTCTGGAGCCCAGATTGGGCTCCGCAGCCCATTGCCTGTGAGATCTTGGGCAGCCACATAACCTCTCTGTTTCCCAAGTCCTCATTTGTAAATGAAGGAAGTAGAGGAACTCTGAGGCCCTGGGTCTCGCCAGACCTCCTGACTCAGATCCCCGCAGGTGGTGCCTGTGGCTGCAGGTCTAACAAAACCCCAGCAACTCTGCCGCACGCCGTGTTGGGAGCCCCTGGCTGAGCTGGCCTGTGGGCCCTTTCCCGAGAGGAGAGGCAAGTGGCAGGGCCCTGGCTGCACCTGTCCCAGAGTCCGTGTTTGGCAGAGCCTGGCCTGCAGGACAGGTCAGGGAGGTTGCAGAGAGGAAGGTGAGGGGCTGGGCATGGGAGGCCTCCCTGCAGCTCTGAAGCGGGCACCTCTGTCCCTGAGAATGGTTCCTGCAGAGGGGCAAGACTCCCTTTGCCCTTAGTGGGTTCCTCCCGCCCATCACACAGGACGTTGACAGTACTTCACAGCCCCGGGGACACCCTCCGGCATCCTTCCAGCAGAGACCAGACTGTCCCCGAGTCCTGTGGCGTCTAAATGGGCAGGCGGTGAGGACACTCCTGCAGGGGTCCCACCAGCCCCTTCCCTCCGGGGGCTGGGGTGCAGGCACTAAGGCAGGCCCCGCTTTCCTCCCTCCCCTTGTGCTTGGGGTGAGGGGCACACTGCACTTTGGTGGCTATTCTGCAGCCCCAGCCTTCAGCCCGGGTTCCCTGGCCTACCTGGCAGTGTCCTTGAATACAGAAACCTGGCAATCCCCGCCCTCCTCCCTCAGCCCCCGGGTCCGATTCTTTCTCGTCCACTAGGGGGAGCCAGTGCACACAGCTCGGCCTCCCTCGGGGCTCCTTTAGGAACCACCTGGCGCTGGTGCTGGCGCTGGACTGAGCTGTGGGCTGAGCTTTGGGCTGAGCACTGGGCGGCCGCTGTCCCTTTGGATTCTCCTACCTGTCATGATCTCCGTATTTTTTGTTTTTGCCACGGTAACTTGAATTATTTTGATTTCACAAAATAAACGACATTGAAAATACATGAATACTTATTTCAAGACTTTCAAATTGTCATAAAATAACATAAAATATCTTCGGTTTGGCTGAATACATAACTTTCCTTTTCCAGTAACAACATAATTCTTTACCCACATTAATAGTTGTATATCTTGGCCAGGCACGGTGGCTCATGCCTGTAATCCCAGCACTTTGGGAGGCCAAGGCGGGCGGATCACGAGGTCAGGAGATCGAGACCATCCTGGCTAACATGTTGAAACCCCGTCTCTACTAAAAATACAAAAATTAGCCAGGCGTGGTGGTGTGCACCTTAATCCCAGCTACTTGGGAGGCTGAGGCAGGAGAATCACTTGAACCCAGGAGGCGGAGCTTGCAGTGAGCCGAGATCACACCACTGCACTCCAGCCTGGGTGACAGAGCGAGACTCCATCTCGAAAAAAAAAAAGTTGTATATCTTAAACATATACAATAAAGAAATAATACTGTCCTCCAAAATAAAACTCAAATGATATATTTATGGCAAAAACCAAACCTAGACTATCATAAAGAAGGCGGGGATTACAGGCTTCTTATAAAGGCGTGCTCGCATCCATCTGTCAATGATCCCCACTTTGCAATTCATGCTGAGCCTTGTTACTAATAGCAGTCGTCACAGCGAGCATGTCCACCAGACGTCAGGCAGTGGACTAGACCTGCAAATAGCCTTGCATTGTCTTCCGCCCTCACTTAGGAGGGAGAACCCCCACTTTCAGACCCAGGCCCTGAGAGGGAGTGAATTGCCCTGGGGCACAAGAGGAGGGAGAAGACGGAGTTGCTGCACCTGGTCAGGGCATGTCTGGCCTTGTGGCTGCGCTGCTCCCTGGGGTCCGAGAGACTGTCCTGGAGACAAACCTGGAGAGCCTCATTGGTTCCTCTCCTTAGAAGAGGTGGCCAAATGTGAAGCCACCACTGACCCCAAAACCGCGAGCAACTGAGGCTGCCCTGGGGCAGGCTTCAACCTCAGAGCTGCTCTCTCTGTGCCAGTGGCTTAGTGCCCCCTGTCTAGCCTGCATCCCCCAAAAGCGCTTCTTGGCACTTCCGCGCTATCTCCTATATGCAAATTCAGGGCAGATGTAAATTGGAGGCAGATATTTATTTTTATGCAGATGAGCCACTCCAGCGTGTTTGGTGCATTGGAGATCTCGTGAAAGCAAAATATCTCCCGGCGTGCGCTGCTTGTGTTATGTTCGGGTTTTAAGTCGTGTCAGCGTTTACATTTTCTTAATATGAAAAATGCCTGCATTGTTCTGCCGCCAACTCCCCCTCCCTCCCTGCAACCCTCGGCCTCTCTGCTGGCGCCTAATCGTTCTTTATTCTCTTGCTTCTGCTTTCTTAGTCACAAGTTTGGGAAGAAAGTCATCTATTTCAACTACCTGAGTGAGCTCCACGAACACCTTAAATACGACCAGCTGGTCATCCCTCCCGAAGTTTTGCGGTAAGTGCCTGTTAGACCCCAGAAGCCGCATCAATACATCTTCGTGCTTCCAAAGGGCTTGGTTCAGTCCCATGAATGTTTAAGGCTTGATTTCCAAATGTGTGCTTGGCTAGATTTGGCTCAGAAATCTGCGGCATCGACAAAGATCCGCAGCAAAAGGTGCTAACTGCTGACTCAGAGAAATGAAATGGCAAAGGTTGTATACAGGACGGGATGTTTTCCTCGCCCACCATTGCAAAACTGATTTAAAAAATAAGCCCTAACATGGCAACGGCCGTTTGTTGCCTTGGTGTTTACCGTTTTTGCTTTTGAGCAGAAAATTAGGAGAATTTCCCAGGCGTGTGGATAACGCTGTGTACAGAATGAAGTGTTCTCAGGGACGTCACGGGTGCTCTAGAAAACGACCTGTCTCCTGGATGCTGAAAGCTTAATTGGTGTGTCTGCTACAAGGCTTAAATGTAGGCCCAGATGAATAGAGGCTGCCCAGAAAGGCGTATGCCACACAGCCAGTACAGGGCGCGGCCAGATCCAGCCTGGGTCTCTGGACCCCCAGCCTGGGTTCCCTCTGCCCCTGTGTCTCCCTCTCTGAGGCGCTCCTTTGAAGGAGCAGGCCCTTGCCAAAGTACGTGCAGGGAAGGCTGGTAGCCTTGCAGGGGTAATGGAGATAATAACTTCTCTCCGGACGCCAAGTCACATGGCAGGTGCTGGGATATAGAGGTGTTTAGGGAGTGTGGTCTCTGCCCTCATGACACTCTCAGACTAGTGAGGGCCACAAATCAGTGATGACAGGGGCCAGAGGAGGCACAGAACCCAGCTGGGGAGGGGACTGGTGTGTGGGGGTAATCCAGGAAGACTTCTAGGAGGAGGTAGCTCTTAAAGTGAGTTTCACAGGGACAGTTGGCTAGATGAAGAGGCCAGGGAAGCACATTTCCAGCAGAGGGAAGCCCTCCTGCAAACATATGGGTGAAATATTGGGAGATCTGGAGGCAGTGAGAAGTCCCATGTGATCAGGCAGAAGTTGGTGAACGTGAAGCTGGAGGTCACCTTGGGCCGGGAGTCCTTGGTGCCAAGCAGAGGAGAGTGAACTGGACCTGGAGGCCATGAGAGGATGATGGGAATCCCTGGTCGCCCGTGGGCCCTGGCAAGACCCCACTCCCAGACCTCACTAAAGTGATCCGGGGGAGTCCATGGAGACGGCTCAGAAGATGTATTTGTAGCAGCTCTGTGGTGGAAGTGATTTGGTCTGGTGACAAAGGGTAACTCACATCCTCCTGTGTGGGAGAGTGATTTGGGGATGAAATGGACGGCATCTGTGAAACACGCAGCTCCGGCTTCTCAGTGGGTACTGGGTGCAGTCTAGGGCCTCTGGAATGTGCAGGTGGCTGGCAACACTGAGGGTGCAGGGTCCTGTGAGTCAGAGGGGATGAGGTTTGGGAGAGGGGCTTGGGCTTGGGCATTGGGAGCTCCTGAACTTACTCAGTAGGCAGCCGGCACCCCTGTTCCATAGCCATGCAGCAGAACCCCAGAGGACACGTCCAATGCTGATGCTTTTAAATGAGCAGCTTCTAGACTGGGGGTGGGGCTGAGTCTGGATTTTCTCCACCCCCACATACTTCCTGGTGGGTGCTGCGAGCACCAGAGGCTGAGACCCACTGGCACAGCGGCAGGGCAGGGCCTTGGGGTGCTGAATCCTGGCTGTCATCCCAGCTTGTGACCTGGGGCATGTCACCAGACCTTGACAAGCCTCAGTTTCCCAATCTGTAAAGTAGACAAAATAACCCCTCTACAGTAGGCCCCTCATGAGGGACCGAGACATCTCTGGGGAGCCACTTGGGGCGCAGAGCGCTGTGATTAACTCACAAAAAACAACCGCACGTGGTAGCAGCTCACACGTGCTTGGCTGGCCAGGCTCAGTCCAGTGCACCACCTTCTCCGCAGACCTTTCCTGCATTGTCGGGTGCCTAACCCTGCACCATCTTGTGTCACTGACTGCCTCACTCCCGAGCTGCCAACTAATGGTCATGTGCCCCCCCATCCTGTGGCCGGGTCCCTGCTGTATGCACAGTGCCCGGCACATAGTAGGGCTTCAATACGTATTTGCCTGTGTTAAGGAAGGACTGTTACCTGAGCACAGAGGGTCTTTTCTTTTCTTTCTTCTTCTTTTCTTTTTTTTTTTTTTTTGAGATGGAGTCTTGCTCTATCGCCCAGGCTGGAGTGCAATGGCGCAATCTCGGCTCTCTGCAACCTCCACCTCCTGGGTTCAAGTGATTCTCCTACCTCAGCCTCCCGAGTAGCTGGGATTACAGGTGTGCACAACCATGCCCAGCTAATTTTTGTATTTTCAGTAGAGATGGGGTTTCATCATGTTGGCCGGGCTGGTCTCAAACTCCTAACCTCAAGTGATCCACCTGCCTCGGCCTCCCAAAGTGTTGGGATTACAGGCGTGAGCCACCGTGCCGAGCACAGAGGTTCTTTTCACCCGAAGGCTTTAACCACCTCCTTCAGAGTTTATCCATCCTTTTCAGAGTCCATCTGTTCATTCATGGGTTTCTTGTTTCATTCAACAAATATTTTAATTGAGCATCTAGTAGGCAGCAAGCCCTTTCCAGGCACTGGGGATAAAGTAATTAACAAAAGGGACGAGGTTCCTTTAGCATTACCGGCCAGCTCTCGTCTTAAATTCAGACACTTGCGAGAGCTGAGGGTGGTCACGCCCACCTTGGGGCTGACCGCATGGTAAGCAGGTGAGGCTGCTCTGCTGGCCAGGGGCCTCAGGAGAGACTGGACATTTGCTGGAGGTTGGACTACTGCCTCTTATGCGAACAGCCCACAGCAATGGGGGATTGTGACTGTGTGTATGTGAGTGTGTGTGTGAGCTGGCAGTGTGGCACGTGCGCCCAGAGGGATGAGATGCCCAGGTGTCCTGCAGGTGGGGCATCCAGCCCCACCCAGCGCCTCCGTGGCTGCCAGCTGCCCCTGCCAGGTGAGATCCCAGCCTCTGTTGTGTCTACAGGTACGATGAGAAGCTCCAGAGCCTGCACGAGGGCCGGACGCCGCCTCCCACCAAGACACCACCGCCGCGGCCCCCGCTGCCCACACAGCAGTTTGGCGTCAGTCTGCAATAGTAAGTGAGCCGGGGATGTGCCTGCTCCTATGCCCTGGAGCCCTGGGAGCTGTGGGGCGCTTCTGGGTCCAGAAATATTTTCCCCAGACGTTTGTCTCCAGCAGCCAAGCTGAACCCTGCAGGAAAGATAAAGCCTGAGCTCATCACTGAGGCCGTGGCTCGCTGCTCAGTGCCTGGTTGGGGGGGCGCGTGCTCGCTGCTCGGTGCCTGGTTGGGGGGCGCATGCTCGCTGCTCGGTGCCTGGTTGGGGGGCGCGTGCTCGCTGCTCGGTGCCTGGTTGGGGGGCGCGTGCTTGCTGCTCCGTGCCTCGTTGGGGGGGCGCGTGCTGGGTGCCTGGTCGGGGGGGTGCGTGTCACTGCTCTGTGCCTGATTGGGGGGACCGGCAGTGGGTAGTGGATGGGGGTCTCTGGGGTTCCCGCCCCAGCTTCCATCACTGCTGCCCCCTGCCCTCCGGGTACACAGACACTTCCCACCACCTTCAAGGAGGGCGTGGTCATGGGATGTGCTTAGGTGTAGGTGTGGGGTGTGTCGTGCTAGGAGGAAGCTTCCAGAGCCAGTGGGCAGCTGCCTCTCATGGTGATGTATAGGCCTGGGTCCGGTAGAGACGGCACGTGGTCACTCTGCATCCCTGATCCCCGCATCACCATGCACCTTGCTAACACCCAGGCTGGACACAGGCATAGAGAAGACAGGCTTGTGCTGGGCTCAGCCGCTGAGATTTAAGGGTCATTGTTACCGCAGCGTAACCTGTCCTTCCTAATACCCTTTATCAGCCACATGACCTTGAACTCACCTCTTCTCTCAGCTTGTTTCCTTATTCCTGTTATACTACCTTTTTTTGGGGTGGCGGGAACAGAGTCTTGCTCTGCTTCTCAGGCAGGAGTGCAGTGGCACCATCTCAGCTCACTGCAACCTCCGCCTCCTGGGTTCAAGCTATTCTCCTGCCTTAGCCTCCTGAGTAGCTGGGATTACAGGCGCACACCACCACGCCTGGCTAATTTTTTTGTATTTTTAGTAGAGACAGGGTTTGGCCATGTTGCCTGGCTGGTCTCGAACTCCTGACCTCAAGCGATCCACCCCTCTCAGCCTCCCAAAGTGCTGGGATTGCAGGTGTGAGCCACTGCACCTGGCCACCCAGGGTAGATTTTGAAACATTTTGAAAGGTTTTGAGAACTGAGGAGGCTCTGGGCGGCATCTGGGCCAGGGGAGGAGGTGCATCGGTCACCTGCCCTTACTGAGCCATGTGGGCAGGGGCATTCCTGGGGTTAGAGGGAAGTGGATTCGGCCCTGGGGACCTGCCTGTTTCTTTCTTGGCCAAGAGTGGAGGAGCTCAGGGAGGCCAGGGAGGGAGGCAGAATCATGGCCCCCGACGAAGTCCATGCCCTCATTCCCAGAACCTGTGATTAGGTCACCTTACATGGCAAAAGGGGCTTGGCAGAAATGATTAAGTAAAGGATCTTGGGATGGGAGGTTATCTTGGGTTCTCTGGTGGGCCCAAAGCAATCGCCAGCGTCTTTACAAGAGGGAGGTAGGAGGGTCAGAGTCAGAGAGGAGATGTGGCAGCAGAAGCAGAGGCCGGAGGGGTGCGGGGCCAGAAGCCAAGGCACTCAGGCACCTCTAGAAACTGAAAAAGGCAAGGAATGGATTCTTCCCTGGAGCCTCCAGGTGGAACACAGTCAGGTCAACCCCTTTTTGACTCCTGACACCTCCAGGATGTGGTGAGATAATACATTTGGGTGGTGGTTTTTTTTTTTTTTTTTTTTTTTTTTGAGACAGTCTCGCTCTGTCCCCCAGGCTGGAGTGCGGTGGTGTGAGCTCAGCTCACCGCAACCTCCGCTCCCCAGGTTCAAGCAATTCTCCTGCCTCAGCCTCCCAAGTAGCTGGGATTATAGGCGCCCACCGCCATGCCTGGCTAATGTTTGTATTTTTAGTAGAAACGGGGTTTCACCATGTTGGCCAGGCTGGTCTTGAACTCCTGACCTCAGGTGATCCACCTGCCTCGGCCTCCCAAAGTGCTAGGATTACAGGTGTGAGCCACCTCGCCTGGCCCATTTGTGTTGTTTTAAGCTACCAAGTTGACGGTAGTTACTGGGACCACATGAAAATAAAGTAGGTGGTAGTGAGTGGTGGGTAGTTGCGAGTATAGGGGGAGGGAAGTGTGTCTAAATCTTGTTCCCAGAGCTAGCAAGTTTGCTTCCAGGGTGCTTGAGCCCAGGAGAGGGCCGGGCCTGGAGTGCAAATGTGAAGTTGGCTGGGCATCTCGGGTGTATCACAGCTAAAGAGGACTGCTGGTGCCCCAGCGTCGGTCCCTAGACCAGCATTATCTGATGGAACTCTCTGTCAGGATGGACGAGGTCTGCACGGTCCAGTATGGTAGCCAGTGCTCGCGTGCGGCTAGTGCAGATGCTGAATTGCTAATTTTATTTCATTTTAACTAAATTAGAATCATCACATGTGACTTGACTGTCGTACTGCACTGCACAGCTCTGACCGATTCACCCTCGCCTTCCCTAACTAGGCGCACACACGAGGAGTTGTACTTAAGACATTTTGTAAGCACTTTGCCAATAAATGAGCAAGAGACTATATGTTGAAATAGAATGTTCACCCCAAATATATCTGGAACACACATTTTACTACCAAATAGTACTTCCTTTTCCTTTTTCAGACATTGTGAGAATTTGCGGGTGCGAACAACTCTTGCACTCCCACCACCCCTTAGGGGCCGCCCAGGAATGCTGGGCGGGGCAGGCACCTGCAGTGACCTCGGTCCCCTCCTGGGGGCACTGGTGAGAACTCAGCCCTTGACCAGGCTCAGCCAGCAGACCAGAATTTTTTTTTTTTTTTTTTTTTTTTTGAGACAATTTTTTTTTTGAAATGGAGTCTCACTCTGTTGCCCAGGCTGGAGTGCAGTGGCAGGATCTCGGCTCCCTGCAACCTCCGCCTCCCGGGTTTAAGCAATTCTCCTGCCTCAGCCTCCTGATTAGCTGGGACTATAGGCGTGCGCCACCACACCTGGCTAATTTTTTTTGTATTTTTAGTACAGGCAGGGTTTCACCATGTTGGCCAGGCTGGTCTTGAACTCCTGATCTCAAGTGATCCACCTGCCTCGGCCTCCTACTGGGATAACAGGCGTCAGCCAGCACACCTAGCCCGGGCCAGGATATTCCAGCCATCAGGTGACCGTTTTCCCCACGTTCCTGAAGCCCTGTGTCTCCAGCCCGTTACTGGGGCTCTGCTGGGCTGATACTGCTTCCATGTGCTGTGGCACACAGGGTCCCAGGGGTGGGTCTTTAGCTGGGAGATTCCAGCCACGCCTTTCTCGTCTCTTATCTTATTGTTTAGAGCCACTTCTCTCTTCTTATCATCTAACAAAACTTTAAAAACGAAAAACAAAGCCCGGGTGCGGTGGCTCATGCCTGTAATCCCAACACTTTGGGAGGCTGAGGTGGGTGGATCACCTGAGGTCAGGAGTTCAAGACCAGCCTGGCCGGTATGGTGAAACCCTATCTCTACTAAAAATACAAAAAAAAAAAAAAAAAAAAAAAAAAGTTGGGCATGGTGTCACACACCTGTAATCCCAGCTACTCGGGAGCCTGAGGCAGGAGAATTGCTTGAACCTGGGAGGCGGAGGTTTCAGTGAGCCGAGATTTTGCCACTGCACTCCAGCCCAGGAGACAGAGCGAGACTCCCTCTCAAAAAAGAAAAAAAAAAAAGAAAAAGAAAAAACAAGCATAGCTCACAGACTTCGAAAGCCGTCTACCTGAGTGAAGTGTGGGAAAATTGTTAGCCATGGCTGTAGGCCTCTCGGCTCCTAGAAGGCTACCAGAGATACCATTAGCCCTGCATTCTGAGCAGGTGCCTTTCAGAACGTACTGATGCAGGGCTGTTGGCTTTAACTGTCACTTTGCCATAGTCCATCCCTCTCCCAGGGCCAGTTGTAACTGTAAAAGTCCGGTCCTTAGCTGCTTTTGGGACAATGGGCCACACTGCGCGTGCAGCTTGGAGAGAGAATCCCTGCAGTTGCCTCTTTAAATTAATATTTTATGTGGTTTCATTGCCAATGATTATAATAAAATGGCAATAAACATTTTAAAGGAAGCACTAGATATGTAATTTGTTTGGACTATGAATGAATGAAAGTCATTAAAATTCATAACTGAATCCTATTCACAAATGTTAATTTGCCAAGTTCAAAAGCTTACAGCAGAAAGCTATCACCTTAGAATGAGCTAATGAAGTTAATATATTAAAGGGAAGTCAAAGATTCAAGAGGTCTTTGCTTGCCATCCCTGAAAAGGAAAAATGGAAACCTGAGGCCTGTGTGGGCACCTGGGGGAGGCAGGTACAGGGCAGAGCTTGAGATGTCCTTAGGCTGGGTGGGGCAGGTCATGGCTGAGCTCTGGCATTTTCTTTTTTTTCCTCTCTCTCTTTTTTTTTTTTTCCCTGAGATGGCGTCTCACTCTGTCGCCCAGGCTGGAGTGCAGTGGCACGATCTCTGCTCACTGCAACCTCTGCCTCCTGGGTTCAAGCAATTCTCCTGTCTCAGCCTCCCGAGTAGCTGGGACTGCAGGTGCACGCTACCAAGTCCAGCTAAGTTTTGTATTTTTAGTAGAGACGGGGTTTTGCCGTGTTGGCCAGGCTGGTCGCAAAGTCCTGACCTCAGGTGATCCACCCGCCTCAGCTTCCCAAAGTGCTGTGATTACAGGCGTGAGCCACTGCACCCGGCTGTTACTGTTTTTTATTTTTATTTTTTTAGACAGAATCTCGCTCCATCACCTAGGCTGGAGTGCAGTGGCACAATCTTGGCTCACTGCAACCTCTGCCTTCCAGTTCGGATGATTCTCCTGCCTCAGCCTCCTGAGTAGCTGGGATTACAGGTGCCTGCCACCATGCGAGCTAAATTTTTTTTTTGCATTTTTATTTTTTATTTTCTTTTATTTATTTTAGTTTTGTTTTCTGAGACAAAGTCTTGCTCTGTCACCCAGGCTGGAGTGCAATGACACGATCTCGGCTCACTGCAACCTCCACCTCCTGGGTTCAAGCGATTCTCCTGTCTCACCCTCCCGAGTATGTGTGACTACAGGTATGTGCCACCATGCCCAACTAATTTTTTTGTATTTTTAATAGAGACGAGGTTTCACCATGTTGGCCAGGCTGGTCTCGAACTCTTGACCTCAGGTGATCCACCCATCTCGGCCTCCCAAAGTGCTGGGATTACAGGCGTGAGCCACCGCGCCTGGCCTGTTTTTATTTTTTATCGTAGCCATCCTAGTAGGTGTCAAGTGTAGTTCATTATAGTTTTGTTTCACATTTCACTGATGCCTAACGCTGTTGAGCATCTTTTCATGTATTATCGGCCATTTGTTTACCTTCTTTGGAAAAATGTATATTCACTAGATCGTTTGCCCATTTTTTGTTTGGACCGTCTTTTCATTGTTGTAAAGATTTGTTGATATATGCTAGACCCTAGGCCCTTATCAGATGTATGGTTTGCAGATGTTTTCTTCCGTCCTATGTGTTGTCTTTACACCTTTTGATGGTATTTTCTGAAGCATAAAAGTTACATTTTGATGAAGTCCAATTTATTTATTTTTTTCTTTTGTCGCTTGTGCTTTTGGTGTTTTATCTAAGAAATCATTGCCAAATTCAAGGCCGTGACAATTCATGCCTATGTTTTCTTCCAAGAGTTTTACCACTTAGGGGTTAGATTTGGGTCTTTGATACATTTTGAGTAGATTTTTCTACATGTTGTGAGGTGAGGTCTGATTTGCTTCTTTGCGTGTTGTTACAGCACCACTTGTTGAAAAGACTTTTCCTGGCCAGGCAGGGTGGCTCACGCCTATAATCCCAGCACTTTGGGAGGCTGAGGCGGGTGGATCACCTGAGGTCAGGAGTTCAAGACCAGCCTTACCAACATGGTGAAACACCCATCTCTACTAATAATACAAAAAAATGTGCTGGGCATGGTGGCAGGCACCTGTAATCCCAGCTACTCCGGGGACTGAGACAGGAGAATCGCTTGAACCTGGGAGGCGGAGGTTGCAGTGAGCCAAGATCATGCCATTACACTCCAGCCTGGGTGACAAGAGCAAAAGTCATCTCCAAAAAAAGAAAAGAAAATACTTTTCTTTCCCCCATTCAGTTGTCTTGGTACCTTGTCAAAAACCAATAAACATGAGGGTTTATTTCTGGGCACTCTAATTCTTGCCTATTGGTCTATATGTTTATCCTTATGCCAGTGCCACACAATCTTGATTACTGTAGCTTTGTAGTAAGTTTTGAAATTGGGAAGTGTGAGTCTGTGAGTCCTCCAACTTTTTTTTCAATATTGTTTAGGCTATTCTGCATCTCTTTAATTTCCATATTCATTTTAGTATCAGCTCGTTAATTTCTGTAAAAGGCAGCTGGGATTTCAATAGGGCTTGTCCTGGGTGTGTAGACCAATTTTGAGGGTATTGCCATCTTGAAAATAGTAGTCTTCCAATCCATGAACATGGGATGTCTTTCCATTTATTTGGGTCTTTTAACTTTTTTTCAGTGGTATTTTATGGTTTTCACTGTACCAGTTTTTTGAACTTTTTTGTTAAATTTTTTTTTTTTAATTTGTGATGCTATTGTCAATGTAATTTTTTTTTTTTTTTTTTTTTAAAGACAGAGTCTTGCCCTGTTGCCTAGGCTGGAGTGCAGTGGTGCAATCTTGGCGCACTACAACCTCTGCCTCCTGGGTTCAAGTGATTCTCCTGCCTCAGCCTCCCAAGTAGCTGGGACTACAGGTGTGTGCTACCACGCCTGGCTAATTTTGTATTTTTGGTAGAGATGGTGTTTCACCATGTTGGCCAGGCTGGTCTCAAACTCCTGACCTCTGGTGATCTGCCTGCATCAGCCTCCCAAAGTGCTCAGATTATAGGCATGAGCCACCACACCCGGTTGTCAATGTAATTTTTAATCTATCTTTTTGTTACTGATTGCTAGGTTCTAGAAATACATTTTTTAAATATGTTGATCTTGTATCATGCAACCCTACTGAACTTGTTTATTAGTTCTAATATTTTTGTGTGTGGATTTTTTAGAATTTTCTATATCCAGGATCATGTCATCTGCAAATAGAGATGGCTTTACTTCTTCCTTTTCAACCTATTGCCTTTTATTGCCTGATTATGCCTGACTGTAACCTCCAATACATTGTTGAATAAAAATGATAAGAGCAGACATGGTTGTCTTACTCCTGATCTTAAGAATCAGCAGTTAAGCTGGGCTAAGCAGCATGTACCTATATTCTCAGCTATTTGGGAGATTGAGGTGGGAGGATCACTTGAGGCCGGGAGTTCAAGACTAGCCTGGACAACATAGCAAGACCCTGTGTCTATTAAAAACACACACACACACACACACACAAAAGAATCAACAGTCCTTCACTACTAAGCATAATGTTAGCTGTGTGCATTTCATAGATGCCCTTTATCAGGTTAAGAACCATCTTTTTTCTTTTCTTTTCTTTTCTTTTTTTTTTTTTTTTTTGAGATAGAGTCTCCCTCTGTTGCGTAGGTTGGAGCACAGTGGTGCAATTATAGATCAGTGCAACCTCAGATTCCTGGGCTCCAGTGATCCTCCTGTCTCAGCTTCCCAAGTAGCTGGTACTATAGGTATATACTACCATGCCTGGTTAATTTTTAAATGTGTTTAGTAGAGACAGGGTCTCACTATGTTGCCCAGGCTGGGAACATCATTTCTATTTCTAGTTTGTTGAGTGGTTGGTTGGTTGGTTGGTTGGTTTGTTCATGTAAAGGTGTTAGGTTTTGTGAAATGCTTTTCATCGCCATTGAGATAATCACATGGCTTTTGTCCTTTATACTGTTGATATGGTGTATTATATTGATTGATTTTTACATGTTGAATAAACCTTGTATTCCTGGGATAAATCATTTGTGTTCATGGTGTATAATCTTTTTCATATATTGCTGGATTTGCTTTGCTTGTATTTTGTTGAGGATTTTGTATTTATATTTATAAGAGGTATTAGTTTGTCATTTTCTTGTCTTATGATATCCTTGTCTGGTTTTGGTGATACTGGCCTCAGAATGAGTTGGGAAGTGTTTCCTCCTCTTCTATTTTTTGGAAGAATTTGTACCATATTAGAGTTAATTTGTTAAACATTTTACAGAATTCACCACTGAAGCCATCTGATCTTAGGCTTTACTTTGTGGGAAGTTTTAAAATTACTAATGTAACCTCTTTGCTTGTTATATTTATTCAGATTTTATATTTCTTCTTGAGTCCATTTTGATTGTTTGTGTCTTTCCAGGAATTTGTTCATTTCGTCTAGGTTTTCTAATTAGTTGGCATGTAATTGTTCATAGTACTTCATAATCCTTTTATTTGTATAATGTCACTAGTAATGTTTCCTCTTCCATTCCTGATTTTAGTAATTTGAATCTTCACCCTTTTTTTCTTGGTCAGTCTAGCTAAAAGCTTGTCAATTTGTTGATCTTTTCAAGGAGTCAACTTTTGGTTTTGATGATGTTCTCTGTTATTTTCCTATTTTCTATTTATTTCTACTCCAGTCTTTATTATTTTCTTCCTTCTGCCTGTGTCAGATTTAGTTCATTTTCTTTTTCCAGTTTTTTAAGGTGGAATGTTTATCATTTTAGAATCTTGCTTTTTGCAATGTAAGCATCTATGGCTATAAATTACTAAGTCCTGCAATAGATGTATCTGTTAGTGTATTATTTCCATGATTTTAATTAATCTTAAAGTATTTTCTAATTTATCTTGTAATTTTTTTCTTTGATTCATTGATTTCTAGGAGTCTGTTGTTAAATTTTCACATATCTGTTTTTGATTTTTAATTTTATTTTATTATAATTAGATAACTTACTTTGTATGATTTAACTTCTTTCAGATGTATGGAGGCTTGTTATGTGGTATAACATATGGTCTAGCCTGGAGAATATTCAACGGACACATGAGAAGAGTGTACATTCTATTATTGTTGGGTGGAGTGCTCTATAAATGTCAATTAAGTCTACTTGGTTTTTAGTATTTTTCAGTCTTCTGTTTCTCTGTCAATTTCTGCCTAGTTGTTCTATTTATTATTGAAAGTGGGGGATTGAAGTCTCCAGTATCATTTTAAAATTATTTATTTCTCCCTTCAATTATGTCTGTTTTGGCTCCACATGTTTAGGGGCTGTATTGTTAGGTGCATACATTTTTATGATTCTTACTTTCTTATGAATCCTTGCATGATGATAAAAAAAATGTCCTTCCTTGCCACTAGTAACAATTTTTGTGTTAAAGTCTATTTTGTCGGATATTAATATAGCCATTATAGCTCTTTTTAGTTACTGTTTGCATGGTGTATCTTTGTTCATCTCTTTACTTTCAACCTATTTGTGTCTTTGAATCTAAATTGTGTCTCTTGCAGACAGCATATAATTAGGTCATGTTTTTCCCCATTCCACCTTCTTTATTAGATTATTTAATCCATTTACATTTAGTGTGATTACTGGAGTTACATCTGCCATTTTGCTATTTGTTTTCTATATGTCTTTTTTGTTCCTTTATGTCTTCATTAATACCTTCTTTTGTGTTAAATACATACTTTCTAGTGTACTGTTTCAATTTTTTGTTTCTTTTGCTATATATATATATATATATTTAAAGTATTTTCTCAATTGTTGCCTTAGGGATTAGAATTTATATCTTAATTTATAACCATCTAGTTCTAATTAAGAAGGATTGTGGAGCCAGGCGTGGTGGCTGAAGCCTGTAGTCTCAGCACTTTGGGAGGCCGAGGTGGGCGGATCACGAGATCGAGACACTGAGACCATCCTGGCCAACATGGTGAAACCCCGTCTCTACTAAAAGTACAAAAAAAATTAGCCGGGCATGGTTGCAGGCGCCTATAGGCCCAGCTACTCAGGAGGCTGAGGCAGGAGAATCACTTGAACCGGGGAGGCGGAGGTTGCAGTGAGCCAAGATCGCGCCACTGCACTCCAGCATGGCAACAGAGTGAGAATCAGTCTCAAGAAAAAGAAGGATTGGGGACTTGCAAACTCTTCAGAGAATACAACTTTTGGGTGTTGTCTTCCACCCCGTGCTAACACTCCTTCTTTGCCACTGGAAGAAACTTGATCTGATGGTGATCTTATTAGCAAGCAGGACCATGTGGCCCTTTTAGTTTCTCCTTATCTCCCAGAGCCAAGGTGTTAACTGAGCCAGTGTTCACTTTTGTCAGAAAAGAACTGGTAAGTATCTGTCTTTCTAGTCTCTTTTTTCCTGTGTGCGTAGGATATGCTCTTCTTCGGTCTCCTGTACCATGTGGCTGTCTGGAGACTATACAATCCTTCTCTTTGCGATCGGCCTCCAGGGTGGGACACTGGC
Source organism: Homo sapiens (assembly GCF_000001405.40). Taxonomy (NCBI): domain Eukaryota; kingdom Metazoa; phylum Chordata; class Mammalia; order Primates; family Hominidae; genus Homo; species Homo sapiens. The sequence goes on from NC_000022.11 coordinate 44,835,977, forward strand.
CTCCCATAGGCTCTGGTTCTGAGCCGTGTGTGCCAATCTGACTTGCCAGAACCTCTACCCCATTAGAGTTTTGGGGACTGACCTCACTAAGGATACCAAGCAGTTTCTCATTCCCCATCTGCCTGCAAAGAGGGGCAGCCCTGCAGATGTGAGACTACAGGATTCCAGTGCCTTGTTGCCACCTTTCACCTCACGACAGCTCCACCTCATACCAAATCACAACTCTAAATGCAAGACTGTGATCTGTACCTTTTTTTTTTCTTTCTTTCTTTTGAGACAGGGTCTCACTATGTTGCTCAGGTTGGTTTCAAACTCCTGGGGCCAACTAATGTTCCTGCCTCAGCCTCCTGAGTAGCTGGGATTACAGGTGTATTGTCACACTGCTTGTCTTTTGAACCCAGGTATAATGAGGACTTTGAAGTCAGATTTTAACTTGAACCCTGGCTCTAGTCAACCCTAGGCTGTGTGACTCCAGACATAATAATTTGCCTGAGCCTCAGTTTTGTCCTCTATAAAAATGGGGGCACAGTGATGCAGTGAGTGGGCTTTAGTATTGCACGTGGTGCACAGTAGGTCCTCAGTACACAGTAGGTCCTCAGTGCACAGTGGTCACTGTGATCGTTCACATGCACTGCCCATTTCTCTGGGCATCCAGGACCTCCCTGGCTGACTCTGTGACTGAGAACTTTGCAGGTCAGTGGTGCAAGCTGCAGCCATTCATCCCCTTTCAAATATTGGGAGGGGACGTGTTGTATTTAGAAGATGCAGGACCATCTCAGAGGGTTGGGAAAAGCCTGGGTGCCCAGCTGAGGCAGGCCTGCTCAGCACTCCCCATTATCACTGTAATTTCAGGTTGCCATTCCTCCCTCCCCCTTCCCTCCTGTTTCTTTCTTTCTTGTTTTGTTTTGTTTGTTTGTTTTGAGGCAGAGGCTCACTCTGTCACCCAGGTTGGAGTGCAGTGGCACGATCTCGATCTCGTCTCAGTGCAACATCCACCTCCCTGTTTCAAGCAATTCTCCTGCCCCAGCCTCCTGAGTAGCTGGGACTACAGGCGCGTGCCACCGTACCTGGCTAATTTTTGTATTTTTGGTAGAAACGGGGTTTCACCATGTTGGCTAGGCTGGTCTCGAATTCCCGACCTCAGGTGATCCGCCCACCTTGGCCTCCCAAAGTGCTGGGATTACAGGCGTGAGCCACTGCACCCAGCCCCTACTGTTTTTAATTAGTCACAATTTCTCCTTATTTGTGCATTCCTCGCATGCAAAACCAGAGAAAAAACATGCTCTGAATTACTCTAAGCACATCTCCCGAGGGGAGGGGTACAAGCAAGAATTCTATGCTGAGAGTCCCCGATGCCCTCCAGTGGGTGGACGACTGTCGGAAAGCCAGGTGGGAGTCACTGGCCACAGAGAACGCTGTGCTGACCAACAAACTGTGCTCTGTGCTCCAGAGTCCTCCTGCCCAGCATGCATCTTGGAACTTTAGTTCATGGTGTGGGTTTAATGCAGTTTGTGCATCCTTGCTGAGACGTGACCCTGGCCCGTGCACATTGAGATGCACGAGATGAACGTGGTGTGATACGATTCACCGGCGCCCTGGGCATCCCCACCCAGCCAGGAAACACAGCACATCTGCCAACCAGAGTCCCCTGGGGTCATTGCTATGCACAGCACTGACTCTGTCAGTCCATTGAACAAGCCTCTCTCTCCGAGCCAGCAAGTAGCGGATGGGCAGGGGAGGAGAAACCCAAATTGTGGGTTTCTGCTCTATGGAGAGTAGTAATTCGATGCCGGGGCCCTGTTCTTCCGCTAGCTGTGAGAGCCTCAGAGTAGATGTGGGTGCTCCTCAAATGCACGGGCAGTGGAAAACCCGCTTGGCTGGGAGCACGGCAGCTCTGGGCCAGTCCCTCCTCTTTGGGGACCTCAGTTTTCTCATCTGCCTGAGGAGGTTGGGCTGGATGATCTCAGAGTCTCTTCCTGCTCTGAGAGTCTTTTATTTTATTATTTATTTATTTTGAGATGGAGTCTTGCTCTGTCTCCTAGGCTGGAGTGCAGTGGCACAGTCTCAGCTCGCTGCAGCCTCCACCTCCCGGGTTCAAATGATTCTTCTGCCTCAGCATCCCAAGTAGCTGAGATTACAGGAGTGCGCCACCATGCCTGGCTAATTTTTTTTTTTTTTGAAGACGGAGTCTTGCTCTGTTGCCCAGGCTGGAATGTGATGGCACGATCTTGGCTCACTGCAACCTCCGCCTCCCGGGTTCAAGCAATTCTCCTGCCTCAACCTCCTAAGTAGCTGGGATTACAGGCACGTGCCACCACACCTGGCTAATTTTTGCATTTTTAGTAGAGACAGGGTTTCACCATGTTGGTCAGGCTGGTCTCGAACTCCTGACCTCGTGATCTGCCCATGTCTGCCTCCCAAAGTGCTGGGACTACAGGCGTGAGCCACCGTACCCGGCCTTAATTTTTGCATTTGGTAGTAGAAACAGGGTTTCTCCATATTGCCCAGGCTGGTCCGGAATTCCTGACCTCAAGTGATCCACCCACCCCGGCCTCCCAAAGTGCTAGGATTATAGGCGTGAGCCACCATGCCCCATCTGAGAGTCTACTTTTAAAGGACAGCACAGAGACAAAGCAGTAGGCAAAGGGGTCTTTCAGGAACTCGTCCTCATAACTCCACATTGTCCCGCCTGTTGAGTAGGACTCAGTGGGTCTCCCTCCCCGGGAACAGTAGCCAGCCAGGGCTTTGGAATCAATGGATGCAGGCTCTCCAGCTGCGTGAACCCGGATAAGTCACTGTAGCTCACTGGGCCCATTTGTTCATCTGTGACATGGACCACCTGTGTGCAGCCTGGGAGGCTGCTCAGCCCCTGGCATTGGGACAATTTTCGTCAGTGCCATTGGCTTGTAGCTCAGCAAAGCCTGCACCTCCCTTGTTGTTTAATATTTGCAGACCTTGGGGAGAGAGCGCCAGCATCTCTGCTTTCCAAATGGAGAAACTGAAGCTGGAGAGGATAAGGAAACTGGCCGGTGGTGATCTAGCTCCTACGGGAAGGGAGGGACAGGGTTTGAAAGGGTCTGTCTGGCTTCCTAAGGAACCAGAGAGGAGGAAAAGAGCCTGTAACTTTGGCACATCCTGGGAGAAAAGGACCTGCCTGCCACATTCCTCCCTCCCCAGGGACACTGTCTCTGTGGGCCCCAGGACGCCTTCTCCCTCCCAGAGAGGAAACCAAGATGGGAAGGAGGCAGGGGGCCAGGTCCGTATTCCTGCAACAGCAGGACCTCCTGAAGGTCACGCCAGCCCTCAGGGCACCTCGGGGAGCTGTGGATTGCTGCTCAGTGTCCCCAACGTGAAGCTTCAGCAAAAGCAAAATTGCCATGAAACCAAACCACCCATCGAGATTGGATATGCAGAAGCCTTATGGCTGTGGACAGAGTTCTAATCACCGTTTAAGTGGATTAGCAGATTCCTCTGTAAATCTTGGAATAAAACTAAAGCACACTCGATACCATGTGCACCTGATAAATCATCTGACATAGAGACGTTCCCAGGGGGCCGTGGAGCCCAGCAGGAGGAGCAGAGATGGAAACCCAGGCCGGGCTTGCCTCCCTGTGCCACCTCTCAATTGTGGGACCTTGAGCTGGTCACCTGGCCTCTCCTAGTGTCGTCCTCTGATCTCTAACTTGGGCTCATGAAACGATGGTGGAAATGAGGCAGACGATACACACGTGGAGGAAAGACTTCACACTCAGCCCGGTGGGTTTCATTCGGGCCCTTTTCATCATGACCGAGTCTTCCGTTACCTGTTACCACTTCACAGATTCTCCAGGACTTAGTGGTTTCCGACAGCAACCACGTCACACTTCTCCTGGTGTTTGTGGAATTTGAGCAGAACTCGGCCAGGCGAGTTTGCCCATGGGGCGTTGGCAGAGGGCACGTGGTGGTGTCCAGCTGGTGGCTGGCTAGGATCATCCAAGACATGCCTTATGTTCCTGCACCTCTGGCCTCAGTGGGGACTGTTGGCCAGTGCACCTGCCCGCAGTGTCCCCAGCCTGATGTTCCCACGGTAGCTGTGCTTCTTCCAGGGCAGCTCAGGGTTTCCAGCAAAAAGGTTCCCGAGATCACAGGTGGGAAGAGTCAGGCTCTTTAGGACAGGAGAGAAGGACCTGGCCCAGAAACTGAACAGTTGCTTCTGTCAAATTCTGTTGATCCACACAGGGTCCTTGGGGACCTGTGGCTGCTGTCACAGTGGCTTAAAGTAACACATATTTATTTTCTTGCGATTCTGGAGGTCACAAGTCCTGAAATCAGGATCTCGGCAGGGCTGCATTTTTTCTGGAGGTTCTGGGGGGTATCTGTTTCTCTTCTAGTTTCCAGAGGCGCCTATGCTCCTTGGCTCCCAGCCCTCCCTCCCATCTTTTTCACAGCACACCACTCTGGCCCAGCTTCCCTTGTTACATCCCCTCTCCCTTCTGCTCACTAGATCCTCTGCAAGGGTCTTTGTGATCCTGTCCGGTATCTTAGTCTATTCCGGTTGCTATGACAAAGTACCATAAACAGAGTGGTTTATAAACAACGGAAATTTACTTCTCATAGAGCTGGAGGCTCTATGAGTCTAAGATCAAGGTGCCACCAGATTCGGGCAAGTAACTGTAGCTCGCTGGGCCCGTTTGTTCAGCTGTGACGTGGACCGCCTCTGTGTGGCCTGGTTGGAATGATTTTTGTCAGTGCCGTTGGCTCACAGCTCAACGAAGCCGGCACATCCCTTTTCGTGATGAGGATTCGGTGTAGGATGAGGACCTGCTTCCTGGTTCATAGATGGTGCCTCCCGGCCGCGTCCTCGCGTGGAGAAAGGGGAAGCTCCCTGGGGTCGCTTTTAAAAGAGCACTCTGTCTGCCTGGAGTGTCTGAGGTGAGCCAGGCCTTTGGGGAGGTCTGGCTGGGAAGGGGCTTGTGGCCGGATAAGCGCCTCACTGAGTACCTGGTGAGTACCTGCCGTGCCAGGCACTGCCAGCTCCATGGCCCCAAAACTTGGCTCTGCAGGCCTCATACATGCAGGGCTGCCTTTCAGGGGAGTCCCGTTTACATTTATTGGCCCCATAGAGAGCAAGGAGGAAGCGTGTGTGCCTGCCTGGCAGGGTGGAATCTGCCGTGGCCCTCGTAGGGAACGGGGGAGGGAAGATGCCAAGCACTGATCCAAGTCAACGTTAAGATTCAGGTACGCGTCATGGCCAAGAATCTGAGTAAAGTTTCCATGTATTTTTTCTTTTTTAGAATTGTTAAGTCTCTGTGCGAGCGTGATTTGCCGATTGTACTGTAACAAGTCACATAGACTGCATGTTTTCTGCGTGCTGGGGTCCATTCTCATTTAATTCTCACCCGCCTGCCCACCCTGGGAGGCAGGTGCTAGTATCCCGCCCATGTGACAGGAGAGGAAGTAGAAGCAGAGGTGTCGAGTAGCTCTCACGCCTGCTCCCTGCCTTCCAAGTGCACTCCTAGCTCCACGTGGCCAAATCCAACTTCCTTTTTGGGGTATCCCTAAAATGCCTCCTCTGCGGTACCGGACTGCGCTCAGGGTATCTCTCTTCCTGTGCACACCAGTCAGCTTTTGCTAATTATGCTGCATAACAGTCTCACTGGGCTGCAACATGTTTCTTTCTCGCTAAGGTTGGGAGGTAGACAGGCCAGCAGGGGCTCGGCCCACCTCCATGTACCTGCATTTTGGTACCGGGCTGAAGAAGTAGCCTCTTGACATGCCATTCTCAGGGTGGGGACTGGAATAAGAGTGGCCACGCCAAACTACGCTGTCTCCTTGGACGTGGTATATGTTGTGTCTGCTCACGTCCCACAGCAGGGCACATGGCCCAGCCCAGAGTCAGTGGGGCAGGGAGGTGACTGCCCTCCAGGAAATGAAGGTGACACAGAGAGGAAGGGGACGCTTGTTGACGGCACCACAGTCTACTCCCGTGTGGCTCCTGATCAGCACCAGGTGCGGGGAGCACTGCCAAAATCTGCTTCTCATCCTCCCCCAAGTATGTACTGTTTGCTGGGTCTCAGGCCCTGTGTTGGACACTTGATTTGAAGGGTTAAAACCAGGCACAGGCTTAGCGCAGTGGCTCATGCCTATAATCCCAGCACTTTGGGAGGCTGGGGCGGGCGGATCACATGGTCAAGAGATAGAGATCATCCTGGCCAACATGGTGAAACCCCGTCTCTACTAAAAATACAAAAATTAGCTGGGCATGGTGGTGCGTGCCTGTAGTCCCAGCTACTCGGGAGGCTGAGGCAGGAGAATTGCTTCAACTCAGGAGGTGGAGGTTGCAGTGAGCAGAGATTGCGCCACTGCACTCCAGCCTGGGGGACAGAGCGAGACTCCATCTCAAAACAAACAAACAAACAAACAAAAACAGCACAGGTCTTGCATACACATCCCCAGTCATTTCCTTGGGATGAATTCCTAGACATAGATTCACTGGATCAAACAGTGTGACTGTTTGTAAGGTTTTTGGTTGTCGTGGAATCACCCTCCAGAAAGGTCACGTGCTTTGTAGAGCCTGAAGCCGGGGGTCACAGGCAGACCTCAGTGGCTCAGGCAGGTGGGGCTGGTGGCGAGAGGAAAGTCCCTCATCCTAACACTCACTCACGTGCAATGTGCAAACATAGCTGATGCGTCAGCTGGAGGTGAGGGCCAGCTGGCACTGGCAGGCAGGAGCCCAGCCTGGCTTCCTTGGGGGCCACCAGGGGTGACATAGACCCTCAGAGCCAGGGCTGAGCATCAGGAGGTTGGCAGGGCCTGGGGGACGCCAGGAGCTCTCTTGCAACAAGAGAGAAAAGCAGCATCTTAGAGTTGTCTCAGTGCAAAGGCTCACATCACAGTCAGCCCCAGCAAGGCCAGGGAGACCCAGTCGAATACTTTGACCCCAGGTGGGCCTGTGTTTGTCTTTGTGTGTGTCCAGCATTGTGTTCTGTTTTGATGAGAATGTATGCCATGGGCTACGTTTTCATTTTCATCTTGGTGAAGGTTTACGTTGTTGATGACCTGTGGACTCTAAGGATCAGGGAGAGGACCCTGCATCCAGAGGTGGGCAGTTGGAATGTAAACCCCTCACGAGGCCAGCTGTGGACAGGCACGGAAGCCTTTCTCTCTCTGGACCCCTTTTCCTTATCCATGAAGTGGGTAACAGTAGCCTGCCTTGCCCACCACATTATTTCCAGTGAAACAATGCATTTTGCAAGCGGTAAAGCTGTGTATTTCAGAAATAAATGCCCAGTAAAAACTCTTTCAGATAAACCAAAGCTGAGAGAATGTATTTTCAGCAGAACTACACTATAAGAAATGTTAAGGGAAGCTCTGCAGAACAAAGAAATAGAATGCCAAATAGAAATTGGGATCCTCACAAAGGAATGAAGCATGCTGAAAATGGCAAATATGTGTAAATAGAAAATAAATAGATTTTCTCATTTTTAAGAATATCTTTGAAAGTAGATTGACTGTTTAAATAAAAATAATAAAGTAGTATGAGGCTTAAAACATGTTAGAGTACTGGATAATGTATTATATTATAAAGACAGGCCTGGCCCAGTGGCTCATGCCTGTAATCCCAGGACTTTGGGAGGCCAAGGCAGGTGGATTGCTTGAGCTCAGGAGTTCAAGACCAGCCTGGACAACATGACAAAACCCTGTCTCTACAAAAAATTAACTGGCATGGCATGGTGGCACATGCCTGTAGCCCCAGCTACTTGGGAGGCTAAGGTGAAAGTATTGCTTGAGCCCAGGAGGTCAAGGCTGCAGCTAGCCAAGATCACACCGCTGTACTCCAACCTGGGCAACAGGGTAAGACCTTGTCTCAAAAAAAAAAAAAAAAAAAAGGATGGGATATGAGACTTATACTATAAGTAGAATGGTATAATATCATTTGAAATAGACTGTATTACATTAAATATGTATAATGTAAAACTAGGGTCACTACAAATAAAAAGATACAGCATATATACATAGAGAGAAGAGGGAGAGAGTTGAAGTCTTGCTCTGTCATCCACACTTGGAGTGCAGTGGTGCGATCTTGGCTCCCTGCAACTTCCGCCTCCTGGGTTCAAGTGATTCTCCTGCCTCAGCCTCCAGAGTAGCTGGGATTACAGGCATGCATCACCACGCCTGGCTAATTTTTGCATTTTTAGTAGAGACGGGGTTTCACCATGTTGGCCAGGCTAGGCTTGAACTCCTGACCTCGTGGTCTGTCCACTTTGGCCTCCCAAAGTGCTGGAATTACAGGCGTGAGCTACTGTGCCCGGCCACATCTAATATATTAATAGAGGGATAAAATGAAGTCCTAAAAAATAATTAGCCAGCAAAATAAAGTCAAGAAAAGAGGAAAAAGGAACAGATAACAAATAGTAGATTCAAACCTAGCCATATTGATAATTACATTAAGTCTAAGTGGCCTAAACATTCCAATTAAAAGACAGAGATTCTCAGATTGGATTTTATTTTATTTTATTTTTTTTGAGATGGAGTCTCCCTCTATCACCCAGGCTGGAGTGCAGTGGCACAATCTCAGCTCACTGCAACCTCCACCTCATGGGTTCAAGTGAGTCCCCTGCCTCAGCCTGGAGAGTAGCTGAGATTACAGGTGTACACGATCACATCCAGCTAATTTTTGTATTTTTAGTAGAGACAGGGTTTCACCATGTTGGCAAGGCTACTCTTGAACTCCTGGGCTCAAGTGATCCGCCTGCCTTGGCCTCCCAAACTGCTGGGATTACAGGTGTGTGCCACCGCACCTGGCCAACATTTCTTTATGTGAATCTCTGTCTCAAAATAGTAAAGTAAGAGACAGGTTAACCCAGATAACATACTGAGTTTTTTAATTGAATCAATATCCAGTCCAGGGCTTCTTATTCTGCCCTCACAGCCAAGCCATCTCATACCACTGGGACTTCCCAGTATGGCTTCCCTGTCTAGAATGCCCTTCTCTCTTTTGTCCTCTGGCAGGCTCCTACTCATCCCTCAAAACCCAGCTCTGAAGTTGCCCCCTGGGGAAGCCCTCCCCAAACCCCATGTCTTCCCTGTATCATAAATATCCCTTTCATGGAGTTCTCAAATACTGCACTATCATTTTATTATTTGGTCTTCAGACTTTCTACTTCCTGAGGGCTGAGCCTACCTCTCTCTTCCTGGACAGTGCCTGGGTCCTGTGTTTTCACAGGGGTGTGGAGAGGACCAGCGCCTCTTCTCATTGTGATCACCCATCAAGCTCAGGTAAAAACTGCGACTTTCTTTTCTGTTTTCTCAGCCTCAAAGACAAAAATCAAGGCGAACTCATCCCCCCTGTGCTGAGGTTCACAGTGACGTACCTGAGAGAGAAAGGTGAGACGGGGCCGGCTCCAGCTGGATGACGTGAGGGCTGCTGGGTGCACCTCTCTGGGTGGTTTGTCTTGGATCCTGAGCACCCACAAGCCAGGGGGTGTGACCAGGAAGGGAGGGGCTCAAGCACAGTGGCTCCAGGTCTGGGCTCTGGCCTCGGATGGTCTGGGTTTGAATCCTGTCTCCCCTGTGTACTAGCTGTGTGACCTGGGGCAGTTACCCTCTCTGGGCCTCCATTCCCTTGTCTGTCCAGTGGGGTTAATAACAAACCGTACATGACTTGTAGGATTGTTGTAACCCCTAAACGAGACAGTGCCTGCAAAGCACTTCGGGCAGTGCTGGTCTGTAGGAAGCCCTCTCGAAATGGGGACTCCTCTGATGGGATCAACTTTGATTTGCAGATACCATTGCCAGTAGGGTGGGTGCAGTCAAGAACTTGGAGTGGGGTGAGCCTTGTGGGCTCTCCACAGCTCCTGAGGCTAGAACTGAGGTCCATGGAGAAGGTGCGTGGAGGCTGCTTTTACCTTAATGGGAGGAAAGAGGTTCCCACGGAGGAGCAGGCACCAGGGAGGCTTTCCTGGCACCACAGCTGCAGGTGTGCTAGGTGGGCCGGGTGGTCTCCAGCCTGGGTGCTGCAGCGCAGATGCGTGGGTGTCAGACAAGAAGTGAGTGCCCCCCCCCATCCCCACCACCAAGGCAGGGCTGGCTCCTCTCCAGCCTCCAGAGCTCGGCTCAACAGTTGCTTCCTCAGGGAATCCCCCTAACATGGCCAGACCCCCTAAAGCAGACCCCAGCTCTGCCCACGGACTCAGCACCGTGGGCCCCGAGACCCCGCCACCGTGTGGTCCCTTGGCTGCTGCCGTTTCTCACATTTCCATCTGGCGGGGAGTTCCCATGCAATAGCTCTTAAAGCCACCGCCTCAGCCCTGCACCTTTCTGGTTACGAGTGGGTTGATTTCCTCTTTGGAGCAGGCCAGGTGGGTGGTCTTGGAAAAACCTGCTTTAGACAGGCGGGGCCTGGAGAGCCCCTCCTCACTTGTAGGCCAGGGTGCCCAGGAAATGTGCTTTGGCACGAGAGTCCATGCACATGGGGGTGGCATCAGTGAGCAGATGTGCTGGGCGGGGGCCTGGGAGACCATCTCCCTCAAACCCCAGACCCTGCGGCCCCAGCATTTCCCTCAGTCACGATGCTCAGCTGGCAGGTGAGCAGGTACGGGGGGCACCCCACACTGGGACCCCAAGAGGCCTGCCTGTCCCCGGCCTGGACTGCCCCTCCTTGCCCTCTACCGGTTAGGTCCTGCTTTCCGGAAGCCCTCTCCAATTCTGCCCCTCTCCCAGGCAGAACTGCCTTCTTCACGCCTCCCCATCATTCACTCATTCACTTGGGAGGCATTCGCTACGTGCCTCCCTCGTGCCAGACTCTGGGGATATCAAAGTGAGCACACGGGATGGGGAAGCAGCAGCTATTCCACCGAGAGCTGCCCAGATGCTGACTTCCATCAGGGAGAAGGCCCTGCCAGACCGGGGTCCCTGTTAGGGGGGTTGACCTTGTTGGGGGGCTTCCCTGAGGGAGGGGCAGTGGAGCTGAGCTCTGAGGACGGGGAGAAGCTGGCCATGCCGTGTGACAGAAAGGCCCCAGAGAGGAGAGCAGGTGAAGGGGCTCGTGGCTGTGGGAGTGCGGGAGCGTGCGGGGCTTCGAGGAAGTTGGGAGGAGAAGGGGAGGTCAGGCCTTGCAAGTCCCAAGAAGACTTGCACCTCCAGATGCCTGCGCCACAGTCCTAGGTCCTGGTGTTCCGGGGCACCCCCATCATGCACCGCAGGCCCCCCAAGGGCAGGCTCAGGCCTGTTTCTCTTTCTGGCTCTGAAGCCAGCAGGGGCCTGGCCAGAGGGAGCCCTTCCCTCTACCCCACAGCTGCTTTCATGAGCCAATTACAAGCACTGAAAATGCTCTTTATAAACTGACAATGGAGACAAGTTTTCTTCTTTGATTACAATCACCTCTTTAGCAGAATTGCCCAACTGAACTTGGACATCATCTATATCTTCACTGTCTAAACAGCAGCCACCAGCCCCTGTGGCAGTAGCTCAATAGGGCAGTTCATATGAGGCTCATGCAATTGAGTGACTAGATTTCTAATTTTATTTAATTTTAATTAAAGTTAAATCCCCATGTGCAGCTACTGGCTGCTGTGCTGGACAGCTCAGCCCTAGCTCTTGTGGGAAGTCACGTGTCTGGACGTCTCCCAGGTGCCAGGCACTTGCTGGGCATCACCGTGTCCAGTCCTCTCTGCAGCCCTTGGAGACAGGAGCTCATGGCCTTATTCTGTAGATAAACAAGGCAGATAGGCTCAGAGAGGCCGAGAGCTTTCTCTGAGGTCACACAGCTGGTAGGCAGAGCTGGACTAGAGCCTAGGTCTGTCTGAGATTAGAGTCTATTTCCGCTTTCCCTTTCCATGGACCACAGAGGTGGGAAATCGGGTGGGTTGGGGAATATGGAAAGGATTTGAGGAACAAATAAATGTGTGGAGGCCAGCCACAGGTGGGTGATGCCGTGGGCAGGGGAGTGTCATATAATGTCCTGGAAGCCCTTTGGGCTGGGACCTGTGAGATGCCTGGAAGCTCCTCTCCTGCAGGCCTGCGCACCGAGGGCCTGTTCCGGAGATCCGCCAGCGTGCAGACCGTCCGCGAGATCCAGAGGCTCTACAACCAAGGTGAGGGTGTCCCGCAGTCCTGAGCCCCGAGCTGCCTGGTCAGCGAGCACAGCGCTCCGGGGCCTCAGAGCGGAGGCAGGGAAGCACCGCCCCCGCAACCCACCCAACTCCCAGAAAACACTCAGGGTGGGGGCAGCTTCCCAGGAGGCATCGAGGGGCCCACTGGTAGTCCAGAGTGGGGACCTTTTGTCCAGACCCCCAACCCCACTGGGACATGGTGGCCGCATGATGCCATTTTGCCTTTAGGGTCTCTCCATCCACACCACGTGGCACGTGCTTTCAGGAGACACCCTGCAGTGCAGGGAAGCTGGTTTTTTTTATCTGGCAGCTCCCCCGAATTGGCTCAGCACGGCTTCCTTAACTGCCATGTGTAACCCGCAGGCAGGGGCAGTGGCCTCTGAGCTGAGGATGCATTGCACTGACGCTAATGAAGGCGCTGTCTTGCTGACAAGACTTGCCCTCGCTCCCACTCGCTCCCGTCATCAGTTGTGCATTACACAATCATGGAGCATCAGGTCTGCACGGGGCCCAGCTCAGGCCTGCCTGTCTCAGGCCCAGGGCCTGCGGTGTCATCTCTGCCACAGACCTGGCCTCAGAGAGCTGGCATTGTAGCCGGGAGCAACAGCATGCCACAGAGAAGCCAGCAGCCCACCCCAGTCCCCACTGGGAGCCCGGGAGGAGGCAGTTAGGGTAGTGTAGGGGCTGATGGGGCCAGAGCACACCCATTTCTAGGTGGGGACAGCATCATCCCTAGGACACATGGCTCCAGCATCAGGTGCGTCCCATCCGGACATCTCACGCCCTGTGTCTCAGAGCTCGTTCTGCAGCGGCAGTGCCCAGGCCGGGGTGCAGACCTCAGCAGTGCTGTGTTGTGTGTGCAGGGAAGCCCGTGAACTTTGACGACTACGGGGACATTCACATCCCTGCCGTGATCCTGAAGACCTTCCTGCGAGAGCTGCCCCAGCCGCTTCTGACCTTCCAGGCCTACGAGCAGATTCTCGGGATCACCTGTGCGTAGCTGCCCTGGCGCAGGGGTGGGGGGCTTGGTCCTCAGATGCTGTCCCCCAGCTACTGGCCCAGGGTCAGGCTCTGGGGTGGCCGAGGTGACGTGTACCCACCCTCCTCCTGTTGCCATCTGGCACTGCAGGGCAAGAGAGGGGGTTGTTGGGGCTGCCCCCACCATGCACAGCCAGTCCACACTGTCCAAAGGCAGAGGAGGTGGGGTCGGTCAGGGTTGTCCAGGCCGGTCTCTCAGGCACAGCTGGGCCAGGAGGCAGGGTGATGGGGGGCTCTCTAGATTTGGGGCTCATCATCCTGGTCAAAGTCCTGCCTGTAACCGCTCCCAGGCCCCAGACCCTCAGCTCTCTCATCTAGAAAGGGCTCTCGGCATTTCTCCCCAGATCATTGTAGGATGCCAAGCATATATCACAGGAACTGAGCAGCTATAGTGTCTGATCCTACAGGCGCTTTGTGATGGGTCAAATGCTCAGTGTGGCTGAGCACAGATGACTCGTAAAAAACTCCGTAACAGCATCTCAAAACACTGGTGAATGCTAAGGAAAGTGATGCCTCGAAAGAACCATAAAACCCCTCAGGCCTTCATCTAAGTCATCGAACACCGTCTTTTCAAATGGGACTACCTCCAGCGCCCTCCTTTCTTCTTGGAGCACTAACAGTCGAAGGGGGGAGCTGATTTTGGTGTGAATTCTGAAGCAGCTCGGTTAAGATATCGTAAAGACAAATCTTGAATCTTAAAATCAATGTTTCTACCCCACTGTGTATTCAAGAATCACATTTGCCCAAAGGGCAGCCTGGCCTTTGTCCTGGCCCCTGGGGGGTGACTTCTGAACCTTGCACTTTCCCAAGGGGCAGGAGTTACCTTTGTCACTCATCAGGGGCCCTGATGGTTTATGGTAACTCATGGTTATGGTGTGACTCAAGATAGGGGTGTAGGGGTGGCCATTCCAGAAAGACCAATTACATGGTTAGAGGGTGCGGGCTTTGAGTGATGTGAGACCAGCCTGACCTCTGGGGAGGGCATGGGGCTGGAGACTGATTTCAGTCTCAAGGCGTCCTGTCAAGGTCGCTGGACCCCAAACTCCCCTCAAAGGCAAATTTACACCCATTTACTCAGCAGTGCTCCTAAGCGCCTGCCAAATGCAACGCCCTTTCTGAGATGGGGAAGGTCTCTCCTACACCCTGGAAGACCATGAAAGATGTTGAGGGCTGACTGACTTTGGCTAGTGGATGGGAAGCCTGGGAGAGTTCAGAGCCAGGCTGAGCCTCATGGAGACAAATTTGATCATGCGCATAGAGGTACCTATCTGGTGGAGACAGAAGGAGGCACTACATTCAGCAGCATCCTACCAGCCGGGGCCAGAGCAGGCAAGATGGACAATGCTCCATCACCTGAATGCGCCAGGCTGTGTCCTAGAGAGAAGCTTCCAGAAGCCTCCCAACTTCATTAGCCCCTGCAGAGGGATGATGACTCCAGCCTCTGTAGGTTCCTGCTTGAGAAAACTCAATGCTGCCAGGCGAACTTACTGTTTGTTCCAGCCAAAACCTGGTGACAGGGAGATAGGCCCTGGAACCCCTCTTTGAGCAGCAGTTCCTTTAGAAAGCTTGCAATTGTGGGCCAGGCATGGTGGCTCACACCTGTAATCCCAGCACTTTGAGAGGCTGAGTTGGGTGGATCACTTGTCATAGGAGTTCAAGACCAGCCTGGTCAACATGGCAAAACCCTGTCTCTACTAAAATACAAAAATTAGCCAAGCGTGGTGGTGCACGCCTGTAATCCCAGCTACTCAGGAGGCTGAGGCAGGAGAATGACTTGAACCCAGGAGGCAGAGGTTGTAGTGAGCCAGGATCGTGCCATTGCACTGCAGCCTAGGTGACAGAACAAGACTCCATCTCAAAAAAAAAAAAAAAAAAAGCTTGCAATTATGAATCCTTTATCTGTCCTTTGAGATGAAAATCATCTACCACCCAGAGCTATGTCAAGGACCTGAGAGCCATCTCTTTGAAATGAAAACATTCAAAGTGCTACCTCTGCCTCCCAGTCCCCGGGGAGGGAAGGACCCAGCTCTGGCTTGCACCACTGCCTCCGGTCATAAAGATACCAGACATTTGTCCACTTCCGGATAGGCACCAATTAACAAACCTGGAGAGCGTAGTCATATTAAGCAACCCTCTGTTGGGAAGGAAAAAATCCTTTCCTGCTACCCGTCTTAGGTTCATTGGTGGGAACCCTGTAACTTGTTATTCTGACAAAAGACAGATTCACACGAGAAAAGCATGCCAGTTTATTTAATGTAAGTTTTACATGACACAGGAGCCTTTTAAATATTTATTTATTTATTTATTTATTTATTTAATTTTTGAGACAGTGTCTCGCTCTGTCGCCCAGGCTGGAGTGCCGTGGCATAATCTCGGCACACTGCAACCTCCACCTGACATGGGAACCTTTATGAAAATGAAGAAAATGAAGACCCAGGCTGGGCATGGTGGCTCATGCCTGTAATCCCAGCACTTTGGGAGGCCAAGGCAGAAAGATCACTTGAGTCCAAGAGTTTGAGTCCAAGAGTTTGAGTCCAGCCTGGGAAACATAGTGAGACCCCATCTCTACAAAAGATTTTAAAAATTGGCTGGGCTTGGTAGTGTATGCCTGTAGTCCCAGCTGCTCAGGAGGCTGAGGTGGGAGATCACCTGAGCCTGGGAGTTGGAGGCTACAGTGAGCCATGATCACACCACTGTACTCCAGCCTGGACAAAAGAGCAAGACCATGTCCCCAAAACAGAAGGAATGATGGAGGGAGGGAGGGAGGAAAGCAAGCAAGAAAGAAAAGAAATAAAGAAAATGGGCCGGGTGCAGTGGCTCACTCCTGTAAACTCAGCACTTCGGGAAGCCAAGGTGGGTGGATCACCTGAGGTCAGGAGTTTGAGATCAGCCTGGCCAACATGGTGAAACCCCGTCTCCACTAAAAATACAAAAATTAGCTGGGCGTGGTGGTGGACACCTGTAATCCTAGCTACTCAGGAGGCTGAGGCACGAGAACTGCTTTGAACCCAGGAGGCAGAGGTTGTAGTGAGCCGAGATCGCACTGCTGCACTCCAGCCTGGGCGACAGAGTGAGACTTTGTCAAAAAAAAAAAAAAAAAAAAAAAAAAAAGGAAGGGAGGAAGGAAGGTGAAGGAAGGTGAAGACATGGTTCAGCCCGAATGTTTTGATACTAGGTTTGGTGAAGAGTGGAAAGTCATGGAGCTTCAATTCCTTTTGTCATTCCGCCGTCTTTAGAGATAAGGCACCCTCTGGACATAGGGAAGACCCCCTCCCATTAGAAGGTTTTATGATCTGCTACACAGAAGTAGGGGGAGTCAGAGAGAGCCCTTCCCACACCTGCCTTTCTTAGATTCCTTCAGCTCAATAACATATTCAGCATGCCCAGGCTCCATATTTGGGACAGTAGTGTTCCGGACCCCAGCATTCCCCCATCTGGAACTTTCCCCAGGAAGTTTTACAGTCCAGAAACTGAGTTGGTAGATTGTCTCATGTTGCATGAATCCTTCTCTCAGTGCTGTGACTAGGTCACTCCAGGGAAAGAGTTGTGTCTCAATTCAGGAGGTAGCGGTGGAGGTGGGAGTAGGGTGACTACCTAAGTCAGCCTGTTAATAAGGGGCCTTTCTTTGTCAACAAACATGAAGTTCAGTGGTTTGAACAAACCATAAGTTCCGGGGATTTTTTTTATTTTGTTTTTTGTTTGTTTGTTTTGTTTTTGAGGTGAAGTCTCACTCTCACTCAGGCTGGAGTGCAGTGGCACGATCTCGGCTCAGTGCAACCTCCACCTCCCAGGTTCAAGCCTTTCTCCTGCCCCAGCCTGCCGAGTAGCTGGGACGACAGGCCCGTGTCACCACGCCTGGCTAATTTTTTGTATTTTTAGTAGAGACAGCATTTCACTGTGTCAGCCAGGATGGTCTCAATCTCCTGACCTTGTGATCCGCCCACCTCAGCCTCCCAAAGTGCTGGGATTACAGGCATGAGCCACCGTGTCCGGCCTAAACTCCATTTTTTTAGTCAGGAGAACATTTAGTTGAGAAGATTCCTAGATGTTGGCTTGAAGTATCCTTTCATGGTAGAGAGAGAGTGGCAGCAGCTGGCCAGTGAATTCCATAGTTTGCAATTTAGATGTCTTTGGTGATGGCACTGGGTGTTCCGGTGAACTTTCTGAGCAGACTGAGTAGGAGGCACAAGGACTATCCGTACATCATCTGCTGTGATTTCTCTGAAGTTTATATCAAGTCTTCCAGCGTCAGCTTTTGGGGCTTTGGGGAAATGGCAGGTTTTAGTTCTTTGTCATGCCAACTCAGGGGGTAGGAGAAAACTGGAAATGTTAGCTTGGAGCGTCGTAGCCAGATATTGGAGGAAAGGAGAGGAACTGAGAACCCGCAAGCGTGCGCCGTAGTTTTCCACGGGAGCATCATTTCTCTGTACCGTTGCTTCTCTCTTGATTCTCAGTTACAAAATAAGTCTGGTTTCATTAGAATTTGGCCTGATTATTTACATAAGGGCAGCAAGAATGGGAATTGACCTATGTCGGCTCTTTTTAAGTCTACCTTGCTAGAACTTTTAATAAGGAATCTCAGATTCACTTTTTAAAAGCCTCTTGAGGCTAGAAAGCCAAGTTAAAAATTTGCCATCAGGGCCAGCTGCGGTGGTTCACGCCTGTAATCCTAGCACTTTGGGAGACCAAGGCGGGTGGATCACCTGAGGTTGGGAGTTTGAGACCAGTCTGACCAACATGGAGAAATCCCATCTCTACTAAAAATACAGAATTAGCCAGGCATGGTGGCATGCACCTGTAATCCCAGCTACTCGGGAGGCTGAGGCAGGAGGATCGCTTGAACCCGGGAGGCAGAGGTTGCAGTGAGCTGAGATCTCACCATTGCACTCCAGCCTGGGACACAGCGAGACTCTGTCTCAAAAAAAAAAAAAAAAAAAAAAAAAAAAAAAAAAAAAACCATCAGACTTTGCCTGCAGTATCTGTAGATTTGAGAGAATTCCTCTCTTCTCAAGGTTCTCAATATATTTTAAGTTTCCTGGGCCTGCCAGGAAGCGGCCTTGCTTACTCACTGTAACGTCATACATAACACTGAATAAGGCTAGTTGTCATTTCAAGGAATTCCCCTTGTATCTTTTTTTTTTTTTTTTTGAGACGGAGTCTTGCTTTGTTGCCCAGGTTGGAGTGCAGTGGCCTGATCTTGGCTCATTACAACTTCTGCCTCCTGGGCTCAAGTGATCCATCTGCCTCAGCCTCCGGAGTAGCTGGGATTACAGGTGTGCGCCGCCACACCCAGCTAATTGTATTTTTAGTAGAGACGGGCTTCACCATGTTGCCCAGGCTAGTCTTGAACTCCTGACCTCAAATGATCCACCCACCTCAACCTCCTAAAGTGCTGGGATTATAGGCATGAGCCACCATGCCAGGCCCTTGTTATGCATTTTTAACCCTACTTCACTAGTAAGCCCAACTACATAAAGATGTATGCTTGGATTATACTTAATATGGGTAACTCAGAAGATGCAGCTGGTTTTTTTGTTTTGTTTTTGTGTTGAGATGGAGTCTCGCTCTGTTGCCCAGGCTGGAGTGCAATGGCACCATCTCAGCTCACTGCAACCTCTGGCTCCTGGGTTCAAGCAATTCTCCCACCTCAGCCTCCCGAGTAGCTGGGATTACAGGCACCGGCCATCTTGCCTGGCTGATTTTTGTATTGTTGTAGAGACGGGGTTTCACCATGTTGCCATGTTGGCCAGGCTTGTCTTGAGCTCCTGACCTCAGGTGATCTGCCCGCCTTGGCCTCCCGAAGTGCTGGGATTACAGGCGTGAGCCACCGTGCCCAACCTATACAGCTGTTTTTAATAAACTAACAATATCAGACTAATCTTGTCAGAGTTACTCAAGTCACAAGAACTTGAAAAGAATGTTTGGCTTAGTTTCTATATTTCTGAGAGCTTTAGAAATGTTTTATATAAATGCTCATGTATCTCTAAGCCAATTTGAATAGAACTCCTTTAAGGGATTTTATAAATTAACTTGGTAATACCATCAGAGGGAGAATAATTTCACGTATACATAACATACATGCGTAGACATAACATAGATCTGCAAAGAAAAAAAGAATTTTTTTTTAAGACAGGGTCTCCTTCTCCTTGACCTCTGGGCTCAAGCAATCCTCCCACCTCAGCCTCCCAAGTAGCTGAGGCATGCACTACCACACCCAGCTAATTTTTAAATATTTTTTTGTAAAGACAGGGTCTCACCATGTTGCCCAGGCTGGTTTCAAACTCCTGGGCTCAAGTGATCTCCCCACCTCAGCCTCCCAAAGTGCTGGGATGACAGGCATGAGCCACTATGCCTGGCCACAAACCAAGATCTTATAACTTTCATACATAGTTTCATACAAGTTAAGATTACCTGTTGAGGGTGAAAGTTGTTATCAGTATTTCAGGAGAAGGCCCTAAAGATTTTTTTCTTTGGCCAGTTTGTTTCCAAATAGTCCTTTTAACCTTGTTTTTTGTTTTGTTTTGTTTTGTTGTTTTTAACCAAAGGTGTACCTAATCCAATGTAACTCGAAACCCATAAGACTTTTTGTGGCCATGGATACAAGAGATGTTCTCAGAGTCCCCCAGGATCCAAAGTTACCCCACAGATAGCCAAAAGAAAGACAAGCGCCCTCAGAGCTGGTGATGGCTGGTAGGATGTCAGCTGTCGCCGAGTCTGTGTTGCTATGAAGAAATACCTGAGGCTGGGTAATTTATAAAGAAGTTTAATTGGCTCATGTTTCTGTAGGCTTTATAGGAAGCACGGTGTTGGCATCTGCTTGGCTTCCAGGGAGGCCTCAGGAAGCTTTCAATTATGACGGAGGGCAAAGGAGGAGCAGGTGTCTCACGCAGTGCGAGTGGGAGCAAGATGGGGTGAGGTCATGCCACACACTTAACCAGATCTCTTGAGAAATCACTCACTCTCATGAGAACAGCACCAAAGAGATGGTGCTAACCATTTATGAGAAATCTGTCCCCATGATTTAATCACCCGTCACCCATCCCCACCTCCCACATTGGGGATTACATTTCAATGTGAGGTTTACAGGCAACATCATCCAACATATCAGAGTGCAGCTCACATTACTGTCTGGCCAGCTATAAATTCCCTTTTTTTTTTTTTTTTTTTTTTTTTTTTTTTTTTTGAGACAAAGTCTCACTCTGTTGCCCAGGCCAGAGTGCAGTGGCTGAGATTCTCTACTCACTACAACCTCTGCCTCCCGGGTTCAAGTGATTGTCCTGCCTCAGGCTCCCAAGTATCTGGGATTACAGGCACCCGCCACCACGCCTGGCTAATTTTTGTATTTTTAGTAGAGACGGGGTTTCACCGTGTTGGCCAGGCTGGTCTTGAACTCCTGATCTCAGGTGATCCATCCGTCTCGGCCTTCCAAAGTGCTGGGATTAAAGGCGTGAGCCACCGCGCCCGGCCTGTAAATTCTTGGGGCTACATCCTGACCATTGGCTGTTCCCCCAGGCATTTGGAAGCCAAACTGGCCATAAAGGCAAGTTCTCAGGACACAAAACAAGACGAAAGGAGAATCGTATCCCATGATTCTCCTCTTCACAACAAAGGACCCAAGAGACAGAGACAAAGGCAAACAGTGACTCTTCCTGGGAGGCTGAAGATCACCGAGGACTCCTCGAGATCAGATGCGCTGAAGTCAAAACCAAAGAACCCATTCTTCCGAATGTGGCTCTGCTGGTCCAAATTCAGAAAGGAAGAAAACAAAGAGACTTTGACCACCCTCACACAGTCGCGCTGCAGACAGAAATCTGGGAGGCTGACTTGAGTAAGAATTCTTTTTTTTTTTTTGAGACGGAGTTTTGCTCTTGTCGCAAAGGCTGGAGTGCAATGGTGCAATCTCGGCTCACTGCAACCTCTGCCTCCCGGGTTCAAATGACTCTGTTGCCTCAGCCTCCCAAGTAGCTGGGATTACAGGTGCCCACCACCACACCCGGCTAATTTTGTATTTTTAGTAGAGATGGGGTTTCTGCATGTTGGTCAGGCTGGTCTCAAACTCCTGACCTCAGGTGATTCACCCACCTCGGCCTCTGAAAGTGCTGGTATTATAGGTGTGAGCCACCACGACCAGTCTTGAGTAAGAATTCTTTCTTTTGGCCGGCTCTACCAGGGGTCCTGGCTCTCTGTGCAGCTCCCAGACCAAGTGAGGTGTTCCAGCCAAGGGTACCTCATCCCCATGACTAGAAACTGCAGGGAGGGTCAAAATCTTTTCCTTCTCCCCATCTTAGGTTCCTTGGTGGGGGCCCTGTTGCTTGGACTAACAAAAGACAGATTCACAAGAGAAAAACATACCAGTTTATTTACTAGAAGTTGCACATGACATGGGTACCTTCGTAAGGAAACGAAGGCCCAGAGATCCAGTCCACTGAGTGTGCTGATGCCAGGTTGGAAGAAGAGTGGAGAGGCGTGGGAAGTGCGACGGACAGGGGAGTGAGCCTGGGGCAGGAAACTAGGGGGACATGCCATCTTCAGAGATGAGTTTGCCCCTTCCCTCTGGGTATAGGGAAGGCGCCTCTCATAGGATGATCTCATGGCCTGCTCCAGAGGAGAAAGGGGAGGTCAGAGAGTCCTCGAGGCCCAGCCTCCCACATGCAAGCTGTGTGACCTCGGGCTAGTCACCTAACCTCTCAGAGCTCTCTTTCCTCCTCTCTCTACACTGGGGTGGTTGAAATGCTTGACCTCTTGCTCCCTCATAGGGAGTGCTCAGTGACATTGGCGGTTGTGACGCTCAGCTCACCAGTCCTGCCTACTTGCCAGCAGGTATTCTCAGAGGGACCACAGAGCTGAGGGTGACCTGCACCAGTACCCACTTGGGACCATAATTCGTAGATAAGGTTCAGGCACAACACCCAGAGAAGGAAATGGCAGCCACCTGGCTCGGTTGAAATACTCATTTCAAGGGAATTCCTTGTCCATTCAAATGACTGAACAACAGCTTGATTTCATGGAATAATGGCTTTTATTAAGAAGCCAACAGGAATGATCATAGTGGGGAGTCTTGTGTCCTGGCAGTGGGTGTTTGTAGAGCACCCGGTGGTCACCAGCAACTCTGTGCAAGGCTCAGTGGGAGGGTGATTGGTGTGTTGGAGGATGTGGGTACACAGTAGCATAGGCATGCATGTGGCTGAGTGCACACATGTGCATACATGTTCACACATGCACCCGCAGCGGGAACTTGGTGAATACTTGTTGGTTGGTGGTGGTTTTTTTTTTTTTTTGAGATGGAGTTTCACTCTTGTTGCCCAGGCTGGAGTGCAATGGCACCATCTCGGCTCAGTGCAGCCTCTGTCTTCTGAGTTCAAGCAATTCTCCAGCTTCAGCCTCCCATGTAGCTCTGGGATTACAGGTGTGTGCCACCATACCCGGCTTTTTTTTTTTTTTTTTTAAGTAACAGGGTTTCACCATGTTGGGTCAGGCTGGTCTCGCACTCCTGACCTCAAGTGATGTGCCTGCCTCGGCCTCCCAAAGTGTTGGGATTACAGGCATGAGCCACTGTGCCTGGCTGGTTGGTGGGTTTTGACTGGAAGGCTATGGAGCTCCAGTGGTAGATGTGGTTATAAGGGTAACTGGGGGGTCTCAGAGTGGGGGCCAGTTGCATCAGGCCCCTGGAGGGTGGGACACTGCCTTTCCAAGAGCAACAAAGTGTGGGCGATTTGTGGTGCTGAGAATCCTGAGCAGGCAGTTCGTCTAGAGCAGGGTTGCAAACTTTTTCTGTAAAAGGCCAGATAGTAAATATGTTAGGCTTTGTGGGCCTTGTAGTCTCTGTTGCAACTACTCAGCTCTGCCCTGATGAGGCAAAAGCAGCCACAGGCAATGTACAAAATGTCCGTGGCTGTGTTCCAAGAAAACGTTATTGGCAAAAACAGGCAGTGGGCCAGATCTAAGCCATGGGCCGTAGTTTGCCAACCCCTGGTCTAGACCACTCCCATTTATAAAGTGATTCGGCTTTAGCAGCTTCCTGGAAGGTGGTGCTGCTGGCTGATAAAGCAGAGGGATGGAGCTTGTAGAATTCAGGTGATGATAGGGCTTGGATCTGAGTCCCCAGCGCGTCTCATGTTGAATTGAAACTTTGGAGGTGGGGACTGGTGGCAGGTGATTGGATCATGAGGGCAGATACCTCATGGGTTGGTGCTGTCCTCGAGATAGTGAGTTCTTACCAGATCTGGTTTAAAAGCATGTGGCACCTCTGTCCCACTCTCTCTTGCTCCTGTTTTTGCCACGTGATGCACCTCCTTCCTTTTTGCCTTCTGCCATAATTGGAAGCCTCCTGAGGCTTCTCCAGAAGCTGAACAGGTGCTGGTGCCATGCTTGTACAGCCTGTAGAACCATGAGCCAGTTAAACCTCTTTTCTTATAAATAACCCCATCTCAGCAAGAATAGCCAAACACACAGGTTTGCTGAGCAGAGCCATACGGCCAGAAGATAAGTGGGGGTCCCAAGCCCAAATGTGGGATAGTCCATCCTCAGAGCTGTCCTTCCTACACCCCTGTTCTCCTCCCGGGCCGGGATGCAGCGCTGCCCCTGGCCCCTCTGGAGCTCAGCAGGGAGCCCCATGCCCTTCCAGGTGTGGAGAGCAGCCTGCGTGTCACTGGCTGCCGCCAGATCTTACGGAGCCTCCCAGAGCACAACTACGTCGTCCTCCGCTACCTCATGGGCTTCCTGCATGCGGTGAGTGGGGAAGGGGGGAGCTTGGGGTGAAGCCCAGTGGCCTTCCCTCCCATGCTGGGCCCGCATGGACCAGTCCCCTCCTTGCCCTGGGTCTGGGGTCATGCCCTGCTTGGGCCTCGGAATACCACTCCCTGCCCCCCAAGGACCTCATCCAAGGCCTGGTCAGGCACCCATGCTGCTGCGGACCTCCTGCCTGTCAGACAGGGCGTACCTGCCCCTGCCTGCTCCTGTACCTGCTGTCCCTCAGCCATTGCCAGTGACTTTTGTTATTGGGGTCCTCTGCCCCCATGTCATTTCCTGCTTGGGCTGAGTCTCTAGGAGGTGGGAGCTGTGTCCACCACTGGTACAGAGCCCAGTGGACTGAGCTGACCATTCCTGGGGAAGGGATACACCCAGAACCACGTACATTAAGTTCCTGTGACTGCATCGTGGGTGCCTTAAAACAGATTTACTGTGTCACTCTTCTAGAGGCTAGCAGTCCAAAAGCAAGGTGTGGCGGGCTGTGCTCCTTCCAGAGGCTCTAGGGAAGGTTCCCCTTCCTGGCCTCTCCCAGCTCCTGGTCACTCCAGCTATGCCTCCAGCTCCCCCCTGGCCTTTGTCTGTGTGTGTGTCTAATCTCCCTCCACCTTTCCCTCCTAAGTGTGGACCCCCTGCCATATGTCACTGGGTTTAGGACCCACCCAGATGACGCGGGATGATCTCATCTTGAGATCCTCAACGACAGCTGCAACGGCCCTCGTTCCAAATAAGGTCACAGTCAGATTCTCTGTGGTCTATCTTAGAGGGGCCACCATTCAATCTACTACACA
The DNA here is from genome assembly GCF_000001405.40 of Homo sapiens. NCBI lineage: Eukaryota > Metazoa > Chordata > Mammalia > Primates > Hominidae > Homo > Homo sapiens. Next base: position 44,860,644 of record NC_000022.11, read on the forward strand.
CCAGGCTAAGCAAATGACCAGAGAGAGAGAAACCCTTCAGTGCTCTGGGCCTGGGCTTAGTGTGCTCTCCCCCTGGGGCAGGGATCCATTTGGAGCAAAAACCTGTGCAGCCAACAGGGGAAGGTTCAACACATCCACGTGGGTCCACCCCCAACCCCCAGACCCACGGCCTTGAATGTTTAACCCCCTCCATCTCTCCAGGCCTTCGCCCCAGGCTGTGCAGGGTGAGGAGAGCCTGAGCAGAGTAGGCGTCACATCCCAGAGTCTGTTGGAGAATGTCACTTCTTGGTTTTACAACAATTTTTTTTCTCCCTGTTGCTTGACATAATTTCTCAGAGGCCCAAAACTAAACTCTCCTAATTCTCTCAAAAAAATTTTTTGAGACAGTCTTGCTCTGTTGCCCTAGCTGGTGTGCACTGGTGCAATCTCAGCTCACTGCAACCCCAGCCTCCCACGTAGCTGGGATTACAGGTGAGAACCACCATGCCCGGCTAATTTTTGTTTTTTTAGTAGAGATGGGGTTTCGTCACATTGGCCAGGCTGATCTTGAACTCCTGACCTCAGGTGATCCACCTGCCTCGGCCTCTTAAGAGTGCTGGGATTACAGGTGTGAGCCACTGCACCCAGCCTACTTCTTTTTCATTAGGAGAGACTGATTTCTCTCTCTAGCCGCCACCTCCATGGGCACCGATGTGAATGCACCTGGTGGGGTGTGGTGTTGCGTGTTATCACCCCAGTGGCACCTGGGGGCCTCGGCTTGAGGAGGGGTGGCCTGCAGTGGGCCTGGCTGGTGCACACCTGCAACGGGCTTGGGGGACCGGCAGCCAGGGGGAGCCTGAAAGGCATCCAGCCATCTCACCTGAGCATCCTCAACAGATCTGTGAGGGTGGTGCCTGGCCCTGCCTCCCTCCAGTTCTCTGCTCTGCCCTGGTACTCACCGCCTCATGACCCCTGTTTCTGACTGAGGTTCCCCCCAGCTTGAATCTTGTAGGGAGGCAAGGAGCAGAGAACAGGCCCTGCCCTCACGTTGGTCCACATGGCCCCCTGCCACTGGCTGGCCACATGACCTTGGGCAAGTCTCCTGTACCTTCCAGGCCCCAGATTCCTCATCTGTAAGATGGGGAGTAATGACTCCCCCGTGCTGGGGTTGCACGTGTTGGCGGAGATGGACAAGGAGCCCCTTCTAGCAGGCAAGCTCTTTCCACTCTCCCTGCCCCTCGTAGTGGCCCCTAGATGTGCTGGCTGGTCCCCATCATGCCCAGTTCGCCACTCACAGAGCCGAGGCCAGAGAGGTCACCAAGTTCGTACCGTCTGTGCTACAGCCCATCCCCAAGATTGCATCTCCCCAGAAGGTGCAGTGGAAGAGGAGATAGTGGGGGGTTGAGGCTGTCACAGAAGGTCAGAGCCAGAGGGTCCTCCAGGACATGGAGGCCAAGCCTTCCTTTTAGAGATAGGGTAACTAAGGCCCTGAGTGGGCAGGTGGCTGCACAGGGTCCCCATTACTGGCTGCCGGCTCCCAGTCCAGTGCTCCTCTCACTACACCTACGCCTCTCCCTAAGTTCGGGAGGGAGTTCCAGGTGCCCGTGCCCCTTGGTGTTCACTCCCCTTTACTTGTGTGTGGTTTCCTCCAGGTGTCCCGGGAGAGCATCTTCAACAAAATGAACAGCTCTAACCTGGCCTGTGTCTTCGGGCTGAATTTGATCTGGCCATCCCAGGGGGTCTCCTCCCTGAGTGCCCTTGTGCCCCTGAACATGTTCACTGAACTGCTGATCGAGTACTATGAAAAGATCTTCAGCACCCCGGAGGCACCTGGGGAGCACGGCCTGGCACCATGGGAACAGGGGAGCAGGGCAGCCCCTTTGCAGGAGGCTGTGCCACGGACACAAGCCACGGGCCTCACCAAGCCTACCCTACCTCCGAGTCCCCTGATGGCAGCCAGAAGACGTCTCTAGTGTTGCGAACACTCTGTATATTTCGAGCTACCTCCCACACCTGTCTGTGCACTTGTATGTTTTGTAAACTTGGCATCTGTAAAAATAACCAGCCATTAGATGAATTCAGAACCTTCTAATGAAAACTCCATGCCTCTGGTCCTTGGACTCTTGTCCATGGTTCCTGAGCTGTGGACCGGGATAGAATAATGCATTTGTTAGGATGGATGTTTTGAATCCCAACCCAATGTGGTTTAACTGAAAACAGGAATGGAGTGGCTAACGGCTGCCAGGTCCTGCTGCTGCCACACTGCTGTGTAACACACCACCTAAGCCCAGTCACTGAAAGTTACTGCCCAGGAGTCAGTGGGTCAGCTGGGTGGTTCTATTGGTCTTTTGAGGGGGTCACTTACATGTCCTGGCTGAGCTGGCTGGCAGCTGGGGTGACTCTGTTCTCCCCCAGGTGTCCCAAGTCCTTCCAATGGCCAAACGGGGCACATTCTTACAACATAGGTCCAGGTGCACACACAAGCGCTATTGCAAGCAGTTTTCATGCTTTGACTGGCGTCCTGTATGCTCACATCTCATTGGCCAAAGCAAGCCTGGTGGCCAAGGCCAGGGTCACAGAGGGAGGGCCCTGCAAAGGGGGTGGATATGGGGAGGGTGAAGAATTGGGCATAAAGCAGCCAAGCTGCCCGAGGGCTCTGGGGTGCGACAGGACTCTGCAGTCTCAGGCAGGCTGACTCTTGGGCTGGCAAAACGGGCCCTGTATTTCCATCAGATATGGTAGAGAAGGATACAACTTCTTAGTGCCACAGTCCCAGCAAAAAAGCCCCAGGTTCACCCTGATTGGACAAGCCTAGGTCACATGCTCACCTTAGACCCATTGCTGCAGCCAGGGAAGGCTCTGATTGGCTTAGGCCTGAGTCTTGTGCCCCACCCAGACCAGGCAGTGGGGGAGGAGTGGCAGGCCGCTGCAGGGGATTACCCACGAGTCCCACGCTGCCGTCTCCCCAGCTCTTGATGCAGGGAGAAGCGGGGGAGGTTCTGGGGAGCAAAGGACAAAAGTCCCCTCTACAGATCCCCCATGGTGGCCCCTCCGTGCCTGCTTGGGGTGTTGACCGAGTTGTGCCGGGACCCCCGGTACGCGTTAGGATGCTTGGGGGAATCACTGGCAGCCCCAGGCCAAACCCACACCCAGGGCTCTCCTCTGAAACTTAGAGGGTGCGGTCTCCTCGCTGGCCTCCCTCTTCACTTGTGTGTCTTCCCATTATTCCCCTGCCCCTCATCTGCCGCTGTGTGTGTTCTACCCTGCTGGTGCTCGCTGTCCTTAAGGGAGGGGCTCGTGTGGCTGCTGAGCGACCCCCCACGCCCTGCCTTCAGAACATGGATGGTACAGGGTCACGGGCATGGGGACAGGGATGGGGAGGGTTGCAGAATGGCCGTTACACCCCCTGGTAAGCTTCGTGCCATCCCAGCTGGGGATGGAGTCCCCAAATGACACCCCTCTTCTCTGCCCAAGCTCAGAACCTACCTGAGTCACACGGTATATTACTGACGGCCAATGCCTATGTTCTGCAGCAATCTCAATCCTTGCCTCCTCAGAAGAAAGAGTTCGACTGGCCGGGCGCGGTGACTCACGCCTGTAATCCCAGCACTTTAGGAAGCCAAGGCAGTTGCATCACCTGAGGTCAAGAGTTCGAGACCAGCCTGGCCAACATGGTGAAACCCCGTCTCTACTAAAAATACAAAAAATTAGCCAAGTGTGGTGGAGCACACCTGTAGTCCCAGCTACTCGGGAGGCCGAGGCAGGAGAATCGCTTGAACCCGGGAGGCAGAGGTTGCAGTGAGCCAAGATCGTGCCAGGGCATTCCAGTCTGGGCAACAGAGTGAGACTCCGTCTCAAAAAAATAAAAAAGAGAGTTCAACTGAGGGGCATAAGGATGAGTGAGAGACCGAGGACCGAGGCAAGTTTTAGAGCAGGAGTGAAAGTGTATTAAAAAACTTTAAAGCAGGAACGAAAGGAAGAAAAGTACCCTTGGAAGAAGACCAAGCGGGCGACTTGAGAGATCAAGTGGGTGGTTTGACCTTCGACCTAGGGTAGGCCGGGCACAGTGGCTCATGCCTGTAATCCCAGCACTTTGGGAGGCCAAGGCAGGTGGATCACTTGAGGTCCAGAGTTCAAGACCAGCCTGGCCAACATGGTGAAACCTTGTGTTTACTTGTCTACTCAAAATATGAAAATTAGCCAGGCAGGGGGGCAGTGGGGCCAGGGGGATGCCCAAGCCCAGTCACTGAAAGCAACTGCTGGTCATTACTGCCCATGAGTCAGTGGGTCAGCTGGGTGGTTCTATTGGTCTTTTGAGGGGATGGCTTACATGTCCTGGCTGAGCTGGCTGTCAGCCAGGGTGACTCTGTTCTCCTGCAGGTGTCCCAAATCCTCCAACGGCTAAAAGGGGCACATTCTTACAACACAGGTCCAGGCGCACACACAAGCGCTACTGCAAGCAGTTTTCATGCTTTGACTGGTGTCCTGCATGCTCACATCCCATTGGCCAAAGCAAGCCTGGTGGCCGAGGCCAGGGTCACAGTGGGAGGGCCCTGCAAAGGAGGTGGATAGGGGGAGGGTGAAGAATTGGGCATAAAACAGCCAAGCTGCCCGAGGGCTCTGGGGTGCGACAGGACTCTGCAGTCTCAGGCAGGCTGACTCCTCGGGCTGGCAAGATAGAAGCACAGGGCCCATCAAATATGGCGGAGAAGGATACAACGTCTTAGTGCCACATTCCCAGCAAAAAAGCCCCAGATTCGCCCTGATTGGACAAGCCTAGGTCACATGCTCACCTTGGACCCATTGCTGCAGCCAGGGAAGGCTCCGACTGGCTTAAGCCTGAGTCCTGCGCCCACCTAGACCTGGCAGTGGGGGAGGAGTGACAGGCCTCTGCGGGAGATTACCCGCAAGTCCCACGCTGCGGTCTCCCCAGCTCTTGCTGCAGGGAGAAATGGGGGAGGTTCTGGGGAGCAGAGGACAAAAGTCCCCTCAGCAGCGTGGGTACCTGACCGGGCCTTGGATGAGGTCCTTGGTGGCCAGGAAGTAGTATTCCGAGGCCCAAGTAGGGCATGACCCCAGACCCGGGGCAAGGAGGGGACTGGTCCATGCGGGCCCAGCATGGCAGGGAAGGCCACTGGGCTTCACCCCAAGCGCCCCCCTTGCCCACTCACCGTGTGCAGGAAGCCCATGAGGTAGCGGAGGACGACACAGTTGTGCTCCAGTGCCCCGTAGGATGGGGCGGCAGCGAGTGACGCGCAGGCTGCTCTCCACACCTGGAAGGGCATGGGGCTCCCTGCTGAGCTCCAGAGGGGCCAGGGGCAGCGCTGCATCCCGGCCCAGGGGGAGGACAGGGGCGTAGGGAGGACAGCTCTGAAGATGGACTGACTGTCCCACAGTCGGGCTTGAGACCCCCACTTAACTTTCTGGCCGTGTGTCTCTGCTCAGCAAACTTTGTGTTTGGCCGTTCTTGCATTGCTATGAAGAAATACCTGAGATGCGGTCATTTATAAGAAAAGAGGTTTAACTGGCTTATGGTTCTGCAAGCTATACAAGCATGCCACTAGCACCTGTTCAACTTCTGGGGAAGCCTCAGGAGGCTTCCAATCATGGCAGACGGCAAAAAGGAAGGAGGCGCATCACATGGCAAAAACAGGAGCAAGAGAGAGTGTGGGGCAGAGGTGCCACATGCTTTTAAACCAGATCTGGTAAGAACTCACTCACTGTCTAGAGGACAGCACCAACCCATGAGGTATCTGCTCTCATGATCCAATCACCTCCCACCAGTCCCCACCTCCAACCTTGAGGGTTCCAATTCAACATGAGATGCGCTGGGGACTGAGATCCAAGCCCTATCACCTGAATTCTGCAAGCTCCGTCCCTCTGCTTTATCAGCCAGCAGCACCACCTTCCAGGAAGCTGCTAAAGCCGAATCACTTTATAAATGGGAGTGGTCTAGACCAGGGGTTGGCAAACTACGGCCCATGGCTTAGATCTGGCCCACTGCCTGTTTTTGCCAATAAAGTTTTCTTGGAACACAGCCACGGACATTTTGTACATTGCCTGTGGCTGCTTTTGCCTCATCAGGGCAGAGCTGAGTAGTTGCAACAGAGACTACAAGGCCCACAAAGCCTAACATATTTACTATCTGGCCTTTTACAGAAAAAGTTTGCAACCCTGCTCTAGACGAACTGCCTGCTCACGATTCTCAGCACCACAAATCGCCCACACTTTGTTGCTCTTGGAAAGGCAGTGTCCCACCCTCCAGGGGCCTGATGCAACTGGCCCCCACTCTGAGACCCCCCCCCCCAGTTACCCTTATAACCACATCTACCACTGGAGCTCCATAGCCTTCCAATCAAAACCCACCGAGTAGCCAGGCACAGTGGCTCATGCCTGTAATCCCAACAGTTGGGGAGGCCGAGGCAGGCGCATCACTTGAGGTCAGGAGTTTGAGACCAGCCTGATCCAACATGGTGAAAGCCTGTCTCCACAAAAAAAAAAGAAAAAAAAAATTTATCCAGGTGTAGTGGCACACACCTGTAATCCCAGCTACTTGGGAGGCCGAAGCAGGAGAATTGCTTGAACTGGGAAGACAGGTTGCAGTGAGCCAAGATGGCGCCATTGCACTCCAGCCTGGGCAACAAGAGCAAAACTCCATCTCAAAAAAAAAAAAAAACAAAAAAACACACCAACCAACAAGTATTCACCAAGTTCCCGCTGCAGGTGCATGTATGAACACGTATGCACATGCATGCCCATGCTACTGTATACCCACATCCTCCAACACACCAACCACCCTCCGAGACTTGCACAGAGTTGCTGGTGAACACTGGGTGCTCTACAAACACCCACTGCCAAGACACAAGACTCCCCACTGTGATCATTCCTGTTGGCTTCTTAATAAAAGCCATTATTCCATGAAATCAAGCTGTTGTTCAGTCATTTGAATGGACAAGGAATTCCCTTGAAATGAATATTTCAACCGAGCCTGGTGGCTGCCATCTCCTTCGTGCCTGCATGGGGTGTTGACCTATCGGTGCACCGCGGGCACCTCACACTCCAGGGCAAGCTGGAGAGGGTTCTGCTTTCTCCCAACCAGCCTCCAACTCCGATTCTGTCTGACGTCCAGGTGGCAGCACCATGCCCCTGAGGCCCGGTCATTCCTTTACCAATGGCGGGGATGAGTCGCGAGGGTGCCAGTCTGGTGGGGAGCCACTAGCTGAATCCATTTTCCTTCTAGGAGAGAGGGCGGCTCAGTAGCAGCTCGGTGCTGGTGGGCGCTGAGCTGGCCCTGCCTTCAGAACATGGATGGTGCAGGGTCATGGGCATGGGGACAGAGATAGGGAGGGTTGCAGAGTGGCCGTTACACCCCCTGGTAAGCCTCGTGCCATCCCAGCTGCGGATGGAGTCCCCAAATGACACCCCTCTTCTCTGCCCAAGCTGAGAACCTACCTCAGACACATGGTATATTACTGACCACGAATCCCTATGTTCTGCAGCAATCTCAATCCTTACCTCCTCAGAAGAAAGAGTTCGACTGGCCGGGCTCGGCGACTCACGCCTGTAATCCCAGCACTTTGGGAGGCCAAGGCGGGTGGATTACCTGAGGTCAGGAGTTCGAGACCAGCCTGGCCAACATGATGAAACCCTGTGTCTACTAAAAATACAAAAATTAGCCAGGTGGGGGGCAGGGGGACGGGGGGCGGCGGGGGTGGGCACCTGTAGTCCCAGCTACTTGGGAGGCGGAGGCAGGAGAATCACTTGAACCTGGGAGGCGGAGGTTGCAGTGAGACGAGATTGCGCCACTGTACTCCAGCTTGAGTGACAAGTGAGACTGTCTCAAGAAAAAAAAAGGTTTTATGTGTTGGCAGGCATCTGAGGTCTGTGTGCCTTCTCCCGATTCCTCCCTTGGGGTGGGCTGTCCGCATGCACAGAGGCCCGCCAGCACTTTGGAGGGGAGCACGCACAGTGTTTACCGGAGCTGTGTGCGTGCTCGCCTGGGTGTTTTCCCCTTACCCGTCGAGCGCTCCTGTAGCAGGACGAGCCGCAGACAAAACTCCTCAGACACCAGACTAAAGAAGGACGAGGTTTTTTATCCAGCCTGGAACGCCGACAGACTCGCGTCTTAAGAGCCGACCTCGCCGAAGACACCGTTCCTGGCCCTTTTAAGGGCTTACAACTCTAAGGGGTTCCACGTGAACGGGTCGTGATGGATTGAGAGCACGTGTGGTTAGAGGTCGGGGGGTAATCTTTTAACCTCAGGCCGGGTCATCGGTGGCACCGGCTGGTCTTGCCACTGACTTCATTCCTGTTGTTTTTCAACGTTTACTTCCTCCTCCTCTTCAGAGACAGGAGACAGTAAGAGAAGTGGCTTCTCTCCTCGTTCCCATGAGGTCAAACACAAGTTAAATTCCACCATTTTGCCTCCTAGTGCTCGTGTGTGAACTCGCTCGCCCAACTCCTGAGATCTTTGTCGGGGGAAGCTTATTACCATGGCACCAGCTTCAGGTGATTCTATTCAGAGGCTGCGTTCCCTGGTTCTGGCTGCAAACAATTACAATTATAGAGAAACAGTAACAACTGCCTGCCATCACGTGGCCACCTGACTCTCCTAGTGGGGGTGGGGGGAGCCCTCCCCTGCCCCGCTCCCGTCTGACTAGCTACTACTGTAACAAATTGAGAAAGCGGTCTTTCAGGAGGCCCACAGGTGGAAACTGAAGTTTCCCTACAGCTGCCCAGAGGCCCTGATCTGTGGATGAGGGCCTTTGCTAACTGGTCACTGTGATTCAGACGGACTCACCGCCCGGTCACTGGCCCTGCAGACAGCTGGCTCTTGAGGACTGGCACAGCTAACCAGGCCTGGCTTCCTCTCTGGGGAGTGACAGTCAGAATATTCTCTACTCTTCCCATGGGAGGAGGCATGGGGAGGCCAGGAATATTAATCCTACTGGATGAGTTTCTCCTGTGAGGACACTGGAGTAGGTCTGTGTGCCCTCTGATATTCTCATTCCTAGTGTGCACATGAGAATCCAGAGGCCCCCCACAGAACAGTAAGAGAACACACCTGAAGTCACACAGCTAGTGAGTGGCAGAGCTGGGATTTGAACCAGGGCAACCCCATGTTTTTCCACGGAGCTGTGGGAGCCAAAGGGAGACACCTGGGCCTTGGGCTTCCCATCTATACAGTGGGTTTTGTTTTTCGTCTGTTTGTTTTGAGACAGAGTCTCGCTCTAACCCCCAGGCTGGACTGCAGTGGCACAATCTCGGCTCACTGCAAACTCCACCTCCTGGGTTCAAGCGACTCTCCTGCTTCAGCCTCCCAAGTAGCTGGGATTACAAACACACACCACCATGCCCAGTGAATATTTTTTATTTTAGTATAGATGGGGTTCCACCATGTTGCCCAGGCTGGTCTCAAACTCCTGAGCTCAGGCAATCCACCCAACTCGGCCTCCCGGAGTGCTAGGATTACAGGCATGAGCCACTGCACCTGGCCCTACAATGGGTTTTTACACTGCCTACTCCCAGCTCTGAGAACGCCAGTCAGAGACCAAAAATCCTGAGCTAGGATCAGCCCCACCTTTTGCAGTGACTCAGCAAGTTTAATCCACACTGGGTTGTCAGCTGTCACCATCAGCCCACGTTTAGGCAGGAAACAGAGATGCATGGCGGTGCCCCTGGCAGCCTCTGCACTGAAGTCCTTTGAGAGGCTCCAGGTCCCTGCTCACCCCCCACCAGCCCTCATCCAGCTTAGAGCAGGAGGACTGCACCTCATGCCCTCACTGCTTCAGGGCTCCAGGGAGCAGGACTACAGGCACCCAGCCCTGAGCCCTATCCTTCGGAGGAACCACCAGGGCCTGTGGGCCTCAGTGAGGCTTTCTGGACTCCTCTTCCCCTTTCCCCTCCCGGCTCCTTCTTCCCCACTGGTCTCTTGTCCAATGCCTGGCTACGCCTTCCTCCTCCCTTCATTCATGTTTTTACTCCCTCCCGCACCTTCACCATACATGATCTGTTTTTCTGTTCTTTTTAGCTCTCACTCCTAGCTAACCTAGGCCAGAATGATTCTTTTATGCATCTTGAAAGTTGATTATTGTTTTATTTCTTTTCTACTCTGCTACAAAGTCTTTTTTTCCTTTTTCTTGAAATGGAGTTTCACTCCATCGCCCAGGCTGGAGTGCAGTGGTGCAATCTTGGCTTACTACAACCTCCGCCTCCCAGATTCAAGTGGTTCTCCTGCCTCAGCATCTCTAGTAGCTGGGATTACAGGCGCCCGCCACCACGCCTGGCTTTTTTTTTTTTTTTTTTGTAATTTTAGTAGAGACGGGGTTTCACCATGTTGGCCAGGCTGGTCTCGAACTCCTGACCTCAGGTGATCCACCCACCTCGGCCTCCCAAAGTGTTGGGATTATAGGCGTAAGCCACCGCGCCTGGCCTAAAGCCTTTTTCTTTTGATTCACTCATTCATTCTTTTTTTTAAAAACTGCAACCTTCCAGCTCTGACCAAACACATCCAGGCACAAGGCACCCAGACCAGGCCTGAGTGGGATCCCCAAGAATGGCTCGATTTGGAGCCCGAGGCAATCAGCCACCTGTCTCCCTGGCCACAGCCTCTGGAAAAGCCACACCTAGCATCTGCACCCCCTCCCCAGGAAGGTGTCTTGTGCTCACACAATTCAGAACAACCCTAAAATGGTCTCAGAATTCTGTTGCCAGGGAAAAAAAAAAAAACTGAAATAAAAATGATGGCTCCCTGAAGAGCCCACCATTGTGAGCACCAGAATTAACAATGACATTAAATCAAATCTCATGCATTATGCAGAGAGGTTTACAGCAAAATGCACGTCTGTGAAATATATGTTTCAAATTTCCTGACTCCAAGAGGTGGCCCCAAGATGTTCTCCTGTGGCTTCTTTGATAACAGTTTCCCTGTCACAAACGTTAATTGTGGAATCCTAGCTTAGCACTGCGTGGCCTCATCACCCTTCCCTTGTATCAAAGCACAATTTCCTGATCATTTCCACAGCAAAAGAAAGTGATTACAGAGATAATGTGGTGGAAGCACATCAGCACATTTCAGCTTAAAACAATGAAATGCGGTGCTGAAATGAGGACTCCAGGGTGTCTCTATTGACAGGACGCACAGAATAAATTGTCCAAACATTCACCTTTGCAGTAACGACAGAGATTTTTAAGTGACTCCAGAGATTAGGCGGGCTGCCCAGAACTTGTAACTGACATCCACAATGAATTATTGAATTCTGTTGAGGCATAAAAGTCTGTAGCAAACCAAGTAGTCAGTCTACCCTGAAGAAGGCCAGCCTGCTGTCACTGGAGGGGCAAAGACTGGGCACCCCACTTCTGGTACCATTTGCAGCTGTGTGACCATTGGCAAGTCATTTAGCCCAGGACGGGGAGTTGAAAGTCACAAGGCTCAGCTTGGGTGTTTGTCCTACATGGTGGGCATATGACCTGTGTAAGTTCTCTGAGCTTTTTCTCTTTGTGTGATGGGGAAGGTCAGCATCCACCCTGCAATACCCTGTGTGCTCCCAAGCACCTGCTTTGTGCCAGGCAGTGAAAGTCTCATAATTACAGAGAAGAGCACAGTACATTTCCTGCCCTCAAAGGGCTTCCTCAATAGCTGGGGAGAATGTAAGAAAGTAAATGCGGCCGGGCGCGGTGGCTCACGCTTGTAATCCCAGCACTTTGGAAGGCTGAGGCGGGCGGATCACGAGGTCAGGAGATCGAGACCATCCTGGCTAACACGGTGAAACCCTGTCTCTACTAAAAATACAAAAAAATTATCCAGGCGTGATGGCGGGCGCCTGTAGTCCCAGCTACTTGGGAGGCTGAGGCAGGAGAATGGCGTGAACCCAGGAGGCGGAGGTTGCAGTGAGCTGAGATTGCGCCACTGCACTCCCGCCTGGGCCACAGAGCGAGACTCCATCTCAAAAAAAAAAAAAAAAAAAAAAGAAAGAAAGTAAATGCGCAATTAACTGTTTTTAAGAACTAAAGCAGTATGTGCAGGGCACAGGGAGGTGCAGGATAGGAGACAGAAGAGACAAGAGAGTCGTAAACACCTCCTGGTTTTTGGCTTGAGATATGTGGGCAACTAAGGGTGATCGTCCCTGGAATGGCAGGAGTATGGGAGAAAGAGCAGGTTCTGCTGTTGATTTTTTAAAATTTATTATTTTATTATTATTATTTTTGAGATTGAGTCTCACTCTGTCACCCAGGCTGGAGTGCAGTGGTGCAATCTCTGTTCACTGCAGCCCTTTTGGGTTCAAGCGATTCTCCTACCTCAGCCTCCCTAGTAGCTGGAATTACAGGCACACACCACTATGCCTGGGTAATTCTCGTATTTTTAGTAGAGACAGGGTTTCACCACGTTGGCCAGGCTGGGCTCAAACTCCTGACCTCAAGTGATCTTCCTGTCTCAGCCTCCCAAAGTGCTGGGATTACAGGCGTGAGCCACTGTGCCCAGCCTCTCTGCTGTTGATTTGATATCAAAAAGCTTTACTTTTTTGTTAGAATAACAATAACTTACTGTTTAGGGGAAAAAAGAAAAAAAAAAAAAAACAATGACAGAAGGTATACAAGCTGTGCCTGTAGTCCCAGCTCCTTTGGAGGCTGAAATGGGAGGACTGCTTGAGTCCAGGAGGTTGATGCTGCAATGAGCCGAGATCATGATCATGCCACTGAACTCCAGCCTGGGTGACAGTGAGACCCTGTCTTAAAAACAACACACACACACACACACACACACACACACACACACACACACGCCAAGAAAAGAAAAATCACTTGAAATGTGACTATCTATGAATCCTATTCTTAATATTTTGAGAAATGGGCACTCTCGTATACTGCTGGTCACAATGCAAATAGTACAGTCACTTTAGAGAGCGATTTAGCAAGCTGGTGAAGTTCAAGCATTGTTAAGTCTAGATAATAACCAAGAAAGTAGGTATAATAACATCACCGCAGCACGGCTGTCAGAGAAAATAATTAGATGCAGCCTAAATATCCATCAGTAGCAGAAATGACAAATAAATTGGGTGATGTATTCACAAGATTGAAGAGTGTCCTGCAGTTAAACTGAACAAAATAGGAGTGAATTTATCAATATAGATAGATCTCAAAATATTGCATTAGGAAGGAAAAAAGCTACAGAACAATAAAGATAGCATGGCATCATATGTGTAAAAATTTTAAGCTACCAAGACAATCCTATATGTTGTTCATGGATTGAATAATATTATATACATTGACATATATACACACACACACACACACACACAATGTCCTATATATATACACATGACCTATACATATATATATATATATATATGTGTATATATATATACAAGAAGAATTTTTAAAAAGTAGCTGGGAAGGAGATATACCAAACTCTTCATAGAAGAAAGGAACAAGAGGGTCTTTACCTACAGCTATATATTTAAAAAATTTAATATTAGGGCTTACAGTATCAACCTTAAGTAAACTGAAAGGTAATGATGTATATTATGATGCAAGGATCAACTACCAAAAAATAATGTAAAAAGATATAGCTGGCTGGGTGTGGTGGCTCACGCCTATAATCCCAGCACTTTGGGAGGCCAAGGTCGGCAGATCACCTGAGGTCAGGAGTTTTGAGACCAACGTGGCCAACATGGTGAAACCCCGTCTCTACAAAAATACAAAAATTAGCTGGGCATGATGGTGGGTGCCTGTAATCCCAGCTACTTGGGAGGCTGAGGCAGGAGACTCGCTTGAACCCGGGAGGCGGAAGTTGCAGTGAGCCACGATCGCTAGTGCACTCCAGCATGGGCGACGGAGACAGACTCTGTCTCAAACAAACAAAAGAAGATATAGCTAACAAAAAAATTAAAAGTGAATTATTAAAAATATTTTTTAGGCTGGGCGTGGTGGCTCATGCCTGTAATCCTAGCTCTTTGGGAGGCCGAGGCGGGTGGATCACGAGGTCAGGAGATCAAGACCATACTGGCCAACATGGTGAAACCCCATCTCTACTAAAAATACAAAAATTAGCCAGGCGTGGTGGTGCACACCTGTAGTCCCAGCTACTCGGGAGGCTGACGCAGAAGAATTGCTTGAACCTGGGAGGCAGAGGTTGCAGTGAGCCAAGATCGCACCATTGCACTCCAGCCTGGCGACAGAGCAAGACTCCATCTCAAAAAAAAAAAAAAAAATTTAAACCAAAAAAAGCCAAGATAAACAGTGGAACAAGAAACCAAATGGGACAAACAGGAAACAAATAATAAAGTTACCAACTGCATCAATAATTATCTCTAATATTCATGGACTAAACTTTAAAATTAAGGGGCAGATGTCAAAATGGATATAAAAGCAAGAACTAACTACATTCACTTTAAATATAGACAGGTTGAAGGTACATGAATACAAAAAATATACCATGCACGCAGTAGGCATCAGGAGTGTGGGGTGTCTATATTAACCTTAGATAAAATAAACTTCAAGACAAAAAGTATTATCATTTAGAGAGGGTCTTCTGATACTGATACAATGGTCAATTTATTCAGAAGATGTAACTATCAAATGTAAATGCACCTAGTATATAGAACTTCAAATACAGGAAGAAAAAAAAACACAAGATAATTTAAAAGATAGACATTTCATAATCATAGTTGGAGACTTTAGCATTTCTCTCATCAACTGAAAGATCAACTTGACAGAAAGTAAAGTCACAGATAATCTGAACAACTATCAACCACCTTGACCTGATTGATATTTTTATAATGTTACAGCCAACAACAGAAGAATACACATTCTTTTCAAAGTGCACATGATACAGACATGAATACTGACCACATTCTGGAATACAAAACAAGTCTCAATAAATTTAAAGGAATTGAAATCACATGAAGCCTATAATGAAATAAAATTGAAAATAAAAATAAATGATATTTAGGTTTCTTTTTTCTTTTTGTAAAAAAGAAAAAGAAACCACACTTCTAAATAATTCACATGTCAAAGAAGATATCATAATGGATGTGAGAAAATAATTTGAATTCAAATCCAAATTAATTTGAATATATGCTAATGTGATATGTCAACATTTCTGTAACAGTTAAAACAGTACCTGGAGGGAAATCTAAATGCTTATATTAGGAAAAAAGAAAAAAAGAGAAAATTCTAAAATCAATGACTAGTGATGAGTCATTTTTAAGAAAAAAAATTTATGTATCAAAGTAAACCCACACAAGTAGAAGGAAGGAAATAATAAATAACAGAAATCAACAACGACAATAAAACAGACAGTAGAGGAAATTAACAAAGCCAAAAATTAGTTATTTGAAAAGATAAACAGAATTCACAAACACATAGCTAGATAGATCAAAAGAAGTCAGAAATTAAGAATAAAAATTATGACTTTAGAGTCTACAGATAGTAAAATAATAAGAAAATATTATGATCAGCAAGATGACAAACTCCTTGAATAATTCAACTTAGCTGAAACTGAATATCTGAATAGCCTTGTATATTAAATACGCTGAAAATTTTAATGGAAAAAAACCTTCTCGTATGTAAAACTCTTGGCACAAATGGCTTCGCTGGTGAATTCTAACAATAGAAAGATCTTCTTTCAGAAACTAGAACATTTCTAACTTATTTAACACCATAACCTGATGATGATTTGCAAAGAAGTCTATAGTTCAATATCCCTCATAGACATAAATATGAAAATACTTAAATATTAGCAAATCAAATAAAGCAATATGAAAAAGATACTATATAGTGAACCAAGTAAAGTTTATTTCAATAATTAAAGGTTGGTTTAACATTTGAAAATCAATATAAATCATATTTCCAGAATACAGGAGATATGCATATTGTTTTAAAAATGGATATAAGTGTTTGACAAAATTTTAAAACCATCTGTGATTTTTAAAAAATCAAAGCAAACTAAGAAGGGACTTTCTATCTACTAATTAATGTACTTAATGGTCAAATTATTGAAACATTCTCCTTACAAAATCAGAAACAAGACAAGGGTGCCCAGTCTCACCTCTTCCATTCCACATTGTATTGGAGATCCTGACTATTGCAATATGGCAAGAAAACTAATAGGCATAAAGATTCGAAAGAGGGAAGTAAAACTGACGCTACTTGCAGACGACATAATTGTTTAGATGGAAAGTATTACAGGGTTTACAAAACAACTACTAGAACTAATAAGAGGATGTGGCAAGGTTTCAGGATATAAGGTGTATCAGTCAGGGTTCACTCAGGAAACAGAAAACACAATAATTTGAAAAGGGAAAGTTTAGTGTAAACAAATCAGTAGCTATAACAGGGCCATAAATATTAGGGTAGAAACTGATCTCTGAAGAGTACCTTTGGGCTACATGAGAGCATCCTGGGGAGGAACAATTTGGAAGGGGAAGCCCATCCCCAAAGCTGAGATTCAGACCTCTTTGGAGAAGGAGCAGCTGCAAGCCCTCTGGGTGCTGAGGTTTGCCCAGTTGGCTGGGCTGGGCCGGTCCACAGTCACTCGCAAGTAGAAAACACGCCTGTGGGTTGCAGGTACCAATGCTGGTGAGTGGGCAAGCAGAGGCTTTCAGTAATTAATAAAGTTTGAAAACACCAATAAGCCAGCTCCCAAGTACTTAAGGCTCACTCGGGCCTTTCTTTAGTGCTAGATGCTTCTTTCATGAGGGAACTGGTACAATTCCTGGAGAGGCCTCTTGCTGGCATGTCTTGGGTCATGTGGCCTGTTCATTAACAAATCAACTTGGCTGGGAGATGTGGTACTCGTATTGTACCATCATGGGCCATGTGCCCCTAGAGGGGCACAGGAGGCAAACAGGGCAGCTCCAGATGGCTCCAGAGAGCAGAAGCCCCAGGGAAGCAAGTTTCAGGCAACCCAAGGAAAGCTGTCTATGATGGGTTTGTCTTAGTCAGTTTCTGCTGCTATAACAAAATACCACAGACTAAGGCTGGGCACAGTGGCTCACGCCTGTAATCCCAGCACTTTGGGAGACTGAGGTGGGCAGATCACCTGAGGTCGGGAGTTCAAGACCAGCCTGGCCAACAAGGCAAAACCCCATCTCTACTAAAAATACAAAAATTAGCCCAGCATGATGGCAAGCGCCTGTCATCCCAGCTACTCAGGCGGCTGAGGCAGGAGAATCGCTTGAACCCGGGAGGCAGAGGTTGCAGTGAGCTGAGATCGTGCCACTGCACTCCACCCTGGGCAACAGAGTGAGACTCTGTCTAAAAAACCAACAAACAAAAAACAAAAACAACACAGACTGGGCAATTTACACAGGATAGAAACTGATTTTCTCACAGTTCTGGAGGCTGGGAAGTCCAAGACGAAGGCACCATAGGTTGGCTGTGCGGTGAGGGCTGCTCTCTGCTTCCAACAGCTCCTCCAGAGGGGAAGAGCATTGCGTCCTCCTCACCCGGCTGGAGGCGGAAGGGCAGAGAGGGATGAAATACCTCGCTCAAGCCCCTCTTGCAAGGGCACCAATCCCATTCATGAGGAAGGAGCCCTCAGGGTCTAATCACCTCTTCAAGGCCCTGCCACCTAATACTATCACACAGGCAACAGCTGGATTTTGGAGGGGACACATTCGAACCATAGCAGGGTTAAGTCGTGTGCCCCAGGGTTGAAGTCCTAACCCCCAGTACAATGACCCTTATGCAGTAATCCCCACTTATCTGCAGTTTCAGTTACTCATGGTCAACTACAGTCCAAAAATATTAAATGGAAATTTCCAGAAATAAACAATTCATAAGCAGTGTCCCGCCCTGGATAGGAAGCGTCCCTCCGTCCAGCTACCTGCTCATGAGTCACTTGGCCACCATCTCATTGATCAGCTCGACCATTGCAGTGTCCCTGTGTTTGTGCTCAAGCAACCCTCACCCCCTACTTAACAATGGCCCCCAAGGGATGCTGGCAGTTGGGATCTGCCAAAGAGAAGCTTCCTTCCATGCTGACCGCCTGCCCTGGACAGCCAGCCCACCCTGAGCTGGGCACCCTGCTCTCCAGGGGCCGTGTTAGATGGAGCTGGGAGTGAGGGTCCTGGAGTGACCGCTGTCCCAAACTGAGGCTTGTCTCAGCACAGGGTCCCCTGGGTGCTGTGGGGTGGGGTGTGTTGAGCTACAGGCGGCAGATGTCTGCACATCGTGGGAGCCCCCTTCTAATGGCAGAGCTGTCCCTGGGAGGGAGGGAGGGAGCTGCTGTTGCTGGAGTAGAGGGGCAGGGCAGTGAGGGGTGCTTTGGAGGGAAGTCCCTGCACGGTCCGGGAGCTGGAGGTCACAGGAGCTGCCCCTGAGCCCTGCTCTTGGTTGGGAGTATGGCTGTGATGGAACCGCATGGGATTGGAGGACAAGGACGGAGTGGAGTCCAGGCACGTCCACTCGGCACCTGCAGGATCGCAGGCAATTCCATCCCTTTCCTGGCCTCTGCTTTCTCATCTGCCTGCCCAGCCTCACCTGGCAGTTGGGGTGGCCTAAGGGACTCCCCAGGGGAGGGCCCTGAACCAGGATGGCGCAGCCCCAAGGCCTAGCAGCTCTGTCTCTCCAAAGTCTATGCTGGGTGCCAACTGTTTGCCAGGCACTTCTAGATGCTGGGGTTTGGAAAGAAAACCAACCAAACTCCCTATCTTCCTGAGTAGACAGATAAAAACCCACAGGGGTGCACACAGCAGGCTGTGGAAGCTCAAGGAACCAAAGAGCAGGCAGAAGGACAGGCAATGCCAGGGTCCTGGCGAGGGGGCTGGAAGGCGGCACTGCGAGGAGGCGGTGCTCAGGGTCAGGTCTTCAGGGAGATGGCTGGGGGCCGAGGGCACAGCACATGCAAAGGCCCTGCGGTGGGAGCAAGCGAGGAGGCAGGCAAGGAGGAGAGGAGCAGGGCATAAACCAGAGGCCAGAGCAAGCGGGGCCTGTGGCCCTGGAGGCACAAGTAAGGTGAGTAGGGTGAGGCCTTTAGCTTTTGCTGAACGAGACACAGGGCAGCAGGGTTTTGTTTGTTTTTTGAGACGGAGTTTCGCTCTTTCGCCCAGGCTGGAGTGCAGCGGTGTGATTTCAGCTCACTGCAACCTCCACCTTCCGGTTTCAAGCGATTCTCCTGCCTCAGCCTCCCAAGTAGCTGGGATTACAGGCGCCCGGATGGCAGGGTTTTGACAGCGTCGCCATCACACTAGTTGCTGGGTTGAGAAGAGACTGCAGCGGGGCAGGGTTTGGAAAGAGCAGGTGGGTGGCAGCTGCCGGAATCCAGGGGAGATCATGGGGCTGGGACCAAGGTGATTTTGGGGTGGGCGGTGAGGCTTGTCCCATCCTGCTTATGTCCTGAGGGCGGAGCTGATGGATTTGCCAAGGACCAGGTATGCAAGGTGGGAGAAAAGAGCCAAGAGTGACTCCCAGGGTGCCAGCCCCAGCAGCCTGAAGCTCCTCTGAGATGGGGAGGTGGGAGGGACTGGCCTGGTAGAGACTGTGCAGAGCGTGAGACACCCGCAGCCGTACAGTGGGCCTGGGGGTACAGACAGAAGCCAGGGGCAGGTGAAGGCCGGCTGCGGGAGATCTGAACACAGACCTGGGCCTTCAGTGATTAGGTAGAAGAGAAGCAAGTCTGGAGCAGAGACCAGGGAGCAGCCACATTGGCAGGAGTGAGGTCCCAGGAGCCTCCTTTGGCAGGGGGTGTGGCCAATGTGTCCTCTGGTTCTGAGAGGTCCAGGTGATGACCGGGAGCACCCCGGGGATCTGGCCATGGGAGGTCACTACTGACCTGGTGTTCCAGAGGTGCAAAGGGGTGGGGAGTCGGACTGAAGAGAATCCAAAGAGGACAGGAGTGAGCCACGGATGCCGAGTGTGGTCTTTTGAGTGGCCCCCAGGAGGGCTCAGGCAGAGCTGACTTGAAACCTGCTCCCCTCCTCCCAAACTATTCTCCCCAGGGCAAGCCATGAAGCGGGACTGTGTGGCAGCCCTGCATGCCCTCCACCTCTCTGTCCCCTGGGGCACCGGACCCCACTTTGGCATTAGACCCCAGCCTCTGGCCACAGCTAACTGCCCAGGGGTCGGCCCCGACCCACTTGGCCAATCAGAGTCCCCCGTGCAATGCCAGGAGCTAGGACTCAGGGGGGCTGATTCCCCACCTCTTGTAGGGCAAGGTGTAAGCTCAGCGTGGCTGCAGGAGCGCCTGTACCCGCTGCTGGGGGAGAGAGACAGCGGTGATGTTGCCAGGCTGAGAGGCAGGAACCCATGAGGGAGCAGAGGGCACCACCTTGGGCTCTGCACAGTGACAGACCTGCTGGGTTTCCAAGACTTTCCACCCTCAATCCTAGCCCTAAAGGGTCACCCGCCGCCTCTGAGGACTGGGAATCGGGGGTGAGTGAGTGGAGGGCACTGAGCTCTCTCCCTGTTTCCCTCCCTCCATCCCTCCCTCCTCAGGATGGGAGAAGACCCTGATTTCCAGCCCCTCCAACGCCCACCTGGCTGCCCTGGGCACTCCCGGGGGCCTCTCCGCAACGCAAGGACACCAAAACCACAGGGCTTTGAAATCATCGATCGAGTTTAATACATTGTAAAGAAGGAAAACTACATTGGCGTATTTAAGACAAACACTTTTTCTCTATCCTCACTACCCACTGGACGGTCCTCCTTGGTCCAAAAAAAACCTAACAATCTCAAGACACATCGGCAGCTACCCCTCCCGGGTCCAACCTTTCAGATCCTCCCATTACACTGTTAAAACATGTAACTCAATCCATCCGCGAAGAAAACCAAACCAACAGAAAAGGAAGCTGAAGACATGGACATCGCAAGCCACGCGGTAATGCATACTTGGCACAGAGTAGCCAATATAGAAGACGTGTGCCTCACACGGTTCACTTTGTTCATCAATAAAAGAATATAAAAATCTTGTTCACCCAGTGGTAAGTGTATTAAAATAGATCTGTATCATACAGCACAGTTTCTCCCGGAGTCGTGAGAATGACAGGAGGGACCGTGGCAGCTGCGGGATTTGCCGGCCTCCTCGCTCTGCACCTCTGCGTGTGTGCATGCGTGTCTGTGGTCGTGGCCGCGTGCGATGCACACACGCGTGTTCAGTGCAATTCGGCACCATGTGATATGCTCGGGGTGGGAGCCCGTGGCTCCTGGACGCTTATCCTGTTGTGCTGAGTCCCTCAGGACTGGGATGTGGGAATCGGGCAAGGGTGACAAGCTGCCACTGCCCACCCTGGATGCAGAAGCCCTTGGCAGCAAGTCTGGTCCCCGAAGGCCGGAACCTCCCGAGCCACCGCCCTTTCTTTCCTCCCCAACCCTCCACCCGGCTCGTAAAAAACCTGCCGGATCTTCCAGCTTGGCCAGGCTTCCCGAGGGGAGGTGTTCCCATTTGTACCTTGAAGCAGAGACTACTAGAAGCAGAAAGGAAGTCAGCCAGAGTCCCCCCAACCATTCACATTAAATATCTCACAATAAAAACGCCATACAAAAGTGTGAAGTTATTTTTTGGCATAGTGTCTGCACTGGCAAGAAGGGAGGAGTGGAATACTTATCGGCTCTTCCAAAGGAGACAAGAAAGGGCTTCAGTCGTTAAGTTGAATGATTCAACCCCAAGGAGAAAACCTGCCAAATGCTGCCCCCCACAACAGGGTTGCAGCTCCACTCTGCCCAGAAACTCCATGAGAAAAACGCATCAACGGCAAACTGAGTCCAAGAGATTGGCAAAAGGAAGGAGGCAGCCTTGAGGACCCCAAAGACGGAGCAGGAAGGGCACAGGCTCTGGCGGGGATCACTGCAGCGTCCCGGCGCCCAGATGCTCACCTCCGACAGTGTCTTTCAAGTTAAACAGCTGCAATTCGTAACCCTAATAATACTGACAGAAAGGGGCCCAGGTGGTTCTGCAAAGGCGACGGAGTGCCCCAGGCCCGCCCGCCCACCCCAGGGGGACCTCCTAGGAGCGTGGGGCATTGAGGAACTACCTAGATCCACTACCCCGCTTCTCGTCCCAACTACCGCTACCACTCAGCTAGTCCATGTGTTCTCAGCTCGCCCTCCCACAGGACACCAATAGGCGGTGCCCTCAGTGGAGACTGCGTTCTGGGGGGCGTGCTTGTCCCCTCCACAGCCTCAGCCTGCCCCTCCAACGGGCCAGAGGGAGGCCGTGGAGAGCAGGGCCTGGAAGCCAGAGGCCCAGGCAGCCCCGAGGTGGCCGGGGGGAGACTGTGTGCCCCAGCCTGTCGTACCCCACCTGGCTCCTAGGTACCCCCTGTGAATTTGGAGGGCACAGGGCCGCACCCCCACCTGGTCCTGGCTCTAGGCCTCTCGCCCAGCTCTTCCTCCCTCCTCTCCTCTGTCTGGTTAATTTTTGTCTGAAATTCATAGTGTTTATGAATTAAGGCCGACAGAACCCCCAGGCTGTGTAAGCAGGGTCCCAATAACTTTCCGTGGGTATGAAGACTGGTCCCTCGGGGTCAGTTGTGGCCCTGGGGGTGCTGGACGGTGGGGTGTGTGGCTGCCACTGAGGGCTTGGTCCAGGGCCCGGCCAGCAGTGGGGCAGGGCTAGTGGTCGTCATGGTGACCTGGAGCAGCTGCTCGCCCTGTATCAGTCTCAGGAGGGCCCGCAGGCGGTCCAGGGATGACTGGGTGCCCCTCTGGCGGGCCAGCAGGCTTGTCTTCAACTCCAGGCATTTCTGTTGGGGAGAAGGTCAGGGGAAAGGGTCTCAGTATTCGGCTCTACAGCCATCCTGGGGCAGCCACCGTCTGGGCCCCTCTCCCCTCCACTACAAAGGCCTACAAGAAACCAGGCTGAGGGCTTCACAAAAACCAGGCAGTGGTGCAAATGCAATTAAAGAGCAGCCAGACCCACAGGAGATGATGCTCGCTTTGGAACTTAGGGCTAGAAAAAGTGTGGCTCTGCCTGGGAACGTCCTTCCCATGGCTGTGATGTGACCTCCTCCTCCCCGCTAGCTGCCCACACTCTTCCTCCTCCTCCTGCTGGCCAAACTGCAGCAGCCTCGGAGGCCTTTGGCTTCCCAGTCGCCTTTCTGCTCTTTCTCTCGCCTGTTGTGCTGTGTGGTGCTGCACAACACACTGTCTCTCTACGCACCACCGCAACAAGGAAAAGCAGTAAGGACTGATGCCTACAGTCCCATATCCATCTGCTCTGGGTGAAATACTGCTTGGGCAAATAACAACCTCCCCGAGATGGTTTCTAAAATGATTATAGGGACAATCACAAAGCCTCTTCACAGCATTATAGAGAGGATTAAATGAGACACTGCATTTAAAGAGCTTCCCCAGGGCCCGCTACCATCACCATCCTCTAACACATCAACACCACCATCATCACCATTACTGTGATCATTACCACCATCACCACCACCATGATCACCATTATCACCACCGCCACCACCATCACTGTGATCAGCACCACCACCACCATCACCACCACCATGATCACCATTATCACCACCGCCACCACCATCACTGTGATCAGCACCATCACCATCATGATCACCATTATCACCACCACCACCATCACTGTGATCAGCACCATCACCACCATCATTACCACCATCACCACCACGATCACCAACGTCACCACCACCACCACCACTGTGATCAGCACCATCACCACCATCATCACTACCACCATCACCACCACCATGATCACCATTATCACCACCACCACCATCACTGTGATCAGCACCATCACCACCATCATTAGCACCATCACCACCACGATCACCAACGTCACCACCACCACCATCACGGTGATGAGCACCATCACCACCATCACCACCACCATGATCACCATTATCACCACCACCACCATCACGGTGATGAGCACCATCACCACCATCACCACCACCATGATCACCATCGTCACCACCACCACCATCACTGTGATCAGCACCATCATCACCACCATCACCACAACCATGATCGCCATTATCACCATCACTGTGATCAGCACCATCAACACCACCATCACCATAATCACCACCATAATCACCATTATCATCACCACCATCACCATCACTGTGGTCTGCACCATCACCATCATCACCATCATCATTACAACCATCACCATCACCACCATGATCACCATCACCACCACCATCACTGTGATCAGCACCACCATCATTACCACCATCACCATCACCACCACCATTACGACCAACACCATATCATCATCACCATCACCATCATCACCACCACCACCATTATCATATTCCCATCACCACTATCATCACCATCACCATTACTACCATCACCATCATCACCACCACCACAACCATCATCTTCATTATCTTGTCTATCTCCATCCTATGGAGGAGGAATTACGTTCACTTTACACAAGAGGAAACAGATTCGGAGGTCAGGGCCCTGCCAAGGGGCCTGAGCAGGCGCACAGCCAGGGTGCTGTCAATCGCTTGATAAATATTTGTTGAATGAGTCACAGCGCTGCCTTCTCCACATACTGGCTTGCTGGGGGATGCTTGGTGAGTCTGTCTTCTTCCTAGGCCTTACAGGTGAACAGTGAAGCTCTGCATCCACACCTGTGGTTCTAAGGACACATCTGCCTGTCCCCAGGCCCCGGTGCACACCTGCAGGGCTGAGGCCAGCCTGGATCTACACTTGTGGTTTGAATGACACGCCTGCCTGTCCACCAGGCCCTGGCTCCTTCCTGCACTGCTGAGGCCAGCCTGGATCTACACCTGTGGTTCTAAGGACACATCTATCTGTCCCCTAGACCCGGGGCACACCTGCAGGGCTGAGGCCAGCCTCCCCCAGGCCCCGGGGCACACCTGCACTGCTGACGCCAGCCGCCGGTCCCGCTCCTCCAGCTGCTGGTGCTCGTTCTGCAGCTCACTGCCTCGTTGCAGCAGCTTCTGCTTCTCCTCTTCTTTGACTAGAAAAGAGAAGGCCAGGTCCCTGGAGAGGGGCAGGTAAGGAGCGGCTGGGTCGTAGAGTAAATGGGAGAGGCAGAAGGGATGAAACCAAGGCCTAGGACATCCCCCTGAAGAAGCCAGTGGCTGTGGCCAAATGCACAGGACCTGGAGCCACTCTCCCCTGGCCACACCTGCCCCGGACACAGGACCGGTCCCAGGATCCCACTTTTCAGTGCTCTGGCCCTGAAGGGAATGGACCCACCTGTCCTCCCACAGGACCAGGTGAGCCCAGAGGCCTGGGTGGGGGAGGAGGGGGAGCAGGTACCCTTTTCCACTCCCCAGGGATGCCTCACCTGTCTTGTGGGTGACATAAGAGTGCACGATGGCCAGCATCCCAGTCCAGGGCACACCCTCGTCTTTCTTTAAGGCCTGGGGAGCAGACGGGGAGATGAAAAAGTGGACAGGCCCTGGGACCTGCTGGGACTGTCCACACCCTGGCTGTGTAACCCTGAGGGGGCACGCCCTGTCTGAGCCACAGGGTCCTCACCCGTGACCAGGAGCTGGGGCCGCACATGCCTCATGGCCCAGCTCACAGGGGCTACACAGCTCCACGAGGCTGGAACATTCTGGGCCTCTCCCCTGCTCATCACCAGGGCCCTGAACAGGCAGCAGGCTCAAATACTTCTCGAACGAACGAATGATCACCTGTCTTCCTCCCACGTCCAGAAGACCTGAGGGCAGCGACCCCAGGCACGCCAGGGACAAATGGAGAGACTCGATGTCCCCCACACTATGCTGAAGTGGGGAACAGAATTCTGTTCCCTCTCCACATGGCCTCAAAAAGTTGTGACAAAAAAGAAAGAAGAAAAAAGGAAGAAGAGGCAAAAAAAAAAAAAAAAAAAAAAAAAAAAGCTGGGCATTAATCCCAGCAGTTTGGGAGGCCAAGGTGGGAGGACTGCTTGAACCCAGGAGTTCGAGATCAGCCTGGGCAACAAAGTGAGACCCAACCTCTACAAAAAATTAAAAAATTAGCTGGCCATGGTGGTGTGTACCTGTGGTCCCAGCTCCTCAGGAGGCTGAGGTGGGAAGATTGTTTGAGCCCCGAAGGTCAAGACTGCAGTGAGCTGTGCTCATGCTCCTGCACTCTAGCCTGTGAAACAGAGCAAGACCCTGTCTACCAAAAAAAAAAAAGGATGTAACCCCCGACCCAGGCAGTCACAATGCAGGGGCAGGTAGCCGCAGAGGGAACAGCCCGACAGCAGCCCCTGCCCACCATATCCACAGCCTTTGATCCCCACAGAACCAGGGATGATGGGAACTCCCAATGGTTAATACTTTTTGAAATAAAGTATTAAAACTCCCGGCCTGGGTGCAGTGGCTCATACCTGTAATCCCAGCACTCTGGGAGGTCAAGGCGGACAGATCACTTGAGGTCAGGAGTTTGAGACCAGCCTGGCCAACATGGTGAAACCCCATCTCTACTAAAAATACAAAAAATTAGCCAGGAGTGGTGGCGCATGCCTGTAATCCCAGCTACTTGGGAGGCTGAAGCAGGAGAATCGCTTGAACCCAGAAGGCAGAGGTGGCAGTGAGCTGAGATCATGCCATTGCACTCCAGCTTGGGCAACAAGAGCGAAACTCCATCTCAAAAAAAAAAAAAAAAAAAGAAAGAAAGAAAGGTAACTCCCTATGACCACACAAGTCATGCATCTGTGGAAGGCACACTTGAAGCCAAGCACTGCTGCCACCCGCCACCCACCACACTCAGGGGCCACACTCCCAAGCGTTTTCTCCCAGGGTTTTTACTCTGCAGTTTTTCTCAGATGGCTGATTCCCAAACTATATAGCAGCTGTAAAGCCTGTTTTTTATCTTTATAATTCCATATAGTGAACAAGATCCAGAGAATCACACTTTTTGTAAAAACCTGTTGGATGCTGGCGGAATATCTCACTGAGTGCAGAGCTGGGCTATTCCACTATCTCCCGCTGCTGGGAGGAGAGGCTGCTTCCCCTCTAGTCTTGATCACCTGAGGTCAGGAGTTTGAGACCAGCCTGGCCAACATGGTGAAACCCCCCATCTACTAAAAATACAAAAATTATCCGGGTGTGGTGGTGGGCGCCTATAACCCCAGCTACTTGAGAGGCTGAGGCAGGAGGATCACTTGAACCCAGGAGGCAGAGGTTGCAATGACCCGAGACTGTGCCACTGCACTCCAGCCTGGGCAACAGAACGAGACTCTGTCTCAAAAAAAAAAAAAAAAAAAAAATCCCATAATACACAGGACAAAGTTCCTCAACCAAGGATTATCCAGCCCCAAATGTCAATTGTGCTGAGGTTGAAAAAGCCTTCCTATACCCAAGCCCCTTTTTTCACCCCTCCTCTGCCCTGTCTCTGCCTACGGTGGGGACCTCCATGCCAGTCTGGGGTGAGGGGGTCACACAGCCTCCTGTACCTTCTGCTGGCACCTGGGGCACACCCACACGCCCTTGGGCGCCGTCTTGAGGGGCGGCTCCAGGCAGCTGAGGTGGTAGGCCCCCGGGCAGGTGCCGCAGGGCTGCAGGTTGGCCCCTCGCTTGCAGGCGGCACAGTGCTCATCGTGGGTGATCTCGTTCTGGAAGAGAAGGGAGGGCAGGAGACAGGTCAGCCACAGCCAGGGCAGCGGGGGCCGGTCAGCCAGGGCCAGGCCCAGGCAGCTGTGTCTGACCTACATGTGGCCGCTCTTCTGCCAACGTTTCCCAGCAGCTCTACGGAGAGAGAGGGATAAACCCTGGAGGGCGACAGTGTGGGGTCAGGCCTGGGCCCTGGGAGGAGGGGGGGCACCCACAGGGCCAGATTTACTAGGGGCTGGGGCACTGAGCATTGGAGTCTGGCCTGGTGTGACTCCCATAACCTGATTCTTCTGTGCTAAGACCTGGACCCCAGGTGCGGGCGACAAGGCAGGCTGTCCTGCTGCGGCCTAGAAAACAGCCCCCTGAGGGTCTGTGTTGCACCAGAGGTCCATGTGCTGGGAGTGGGACCAGTGATGAATGCAGCACTCCCTCCCCGCCCCCACTGCTTATGTGGACACTGCCTGGAGGGGCGGCGTAGCCCCGGCCAAGACCCTGTACTCGGCTCTCTGTTCACCATCCACGTGTCAACAGCATGCTCCAACTTCAGAGTTGGAAAAGACCAGAGAGCTCTCCTCTGGGATGGCCCGTGCCACAAGGACACTGGATGTCCCTGAAGGAGGGGCAACACCCTCAGAGGAGGCCTCAGAGGTCCCTGTCTCCACCCCTTGTGTCATGCAAATGCCCAGGGAGGGAGAGGCGGTTGTCACACAGGGAGGGGGAGGCAGTTATCACACAGCAAGCTGGAGGGGGAGCCGGGACCAGCAACCAGGTGGCCTGCCTCAAAGCCGAGGCCCTCTCCAAGTCTGTGGGCTCTGTGGGGACAGAGCTCAGGCTCCAGGTGTCCCCTGTCCACATGCCCGCCCTGGATGGGCACAAGATGTTTGCAGATAAACACTGCCAGGCCCCCCAGCACCAACCCGTGCCATTGCAGGGCTATTGTGAAAATGACACAGCCTAACCGGAGCTGACTGCAATCATCACCTACTGCTTCTTAGAGGCTTGACAGTTACAAGCATGCAGGGACTAGAATGTTCTTTTAGAATTAGATCAGAAATTCAGTGAAGAAAAACACTGAATAAATTCTGAGATCATGCCATGAACGAGGTCATGACCAGCCAATGTTCTGGGAATCAGGGATGTGGTGTGTGCACGGGTAGGGGGTAGGGGGTAGGGGGTGGGGGCCCCACAGGATCACAGAAATGTGGGTGTGTGGGGTGAGTCCCTGGGGATTAACAAGTCCAGCCCCTTTTCGGACGGGTAACAGAAGACCAGGGAGGGCCAGCTCTGCCCAGGTCACACTGAGGCCAGTAGAGCCAGGGTGGAGGCCTTTGGGCACCAGCTGGCTGCTTCCAGTTGGGCCTCAGTGGCCCCTGCAGTCTCTGCATCCTCAATTCTGAGGAGGGAGGGCTCCTGTTTGAAGCTGAGAGCAGAGCCCTGTGGCAATGCCCGACTTGACGCTGCCTGGCCGGCTGGAAAGCTGGCTGAGTGTTGCACAAAGCTCTTAGCACCTAAAGGCAGAACCGAAAGGCCTTCTGCACCACTCCGGGCTCTTTCCCTCTTTCCAGGAGGGACCCTATGAGGACTGTACTGAAAACATTCTCCACCCCGGAAGTGTGAAGACGGAGGGAGGGGACACGTACCTTCCAGCAGGGGTCCTCATTGGCTAGCACAGGGAAGAAGGGCGGAGAACACGTTAGTGGCCGTCAGAGGAGCACAGATCAGGACTGGAGTCCATGAGGCCTCATGTGGCAAGGGCTCTTACCCCAGGGCATGATGGGAGCATCATAAGGCCCCCATGATACCTGGGCTCTCACCCCAGGGCATGATGGGAATATCACAAGGCCCTGTGATACCTGGGATCTTACCCCAGGGCATGATGGGAATATCACAAGGCCCCCATGACACCTGGGCTCACCCCAGGGCATGATGGGAATATCACAAGGCCCCCATGACACCTGGGCTCACCCCAGGGCATGATGGGAATATCACAAGGCCCTGTGATACCTGGGGTCTCACTCCTGGGCAGGATGGGAGTAAGGATCTCAGCCCTGGTCACAGCTAGGAGCCACCATGGGAACAGGCTCATGTGGCCCCTGTGCTGAGGACATAGTGGCAGTGAGCTGCCCGGGGGGAAGGAAACATCACTCCAAGAACCCCTCAAAGTGACTTATTTTCAACTCTTTTTAAACTGTAATCCACTCTCATTCTAGTAAATGATACCAAACCACACATTTTAATGATCGCAAACATATATATCTTTCAGGTTCCAGATCAGATCTGTCTGCAAATAATGCCACCCAGCGGGAGAACAGTTCCGGAGTCTGCACAGCACTCGACAGCTCACAAAGTGCAGTCACACTCGCCCTTCAAGTCACTGTCCCAGCTCTGAGAAGCAGGTAGCTATGGGCCCACTTTCCAGATCAGTAAACCAAGGCCCAGGGAGGGATGGTGACATGTTGAAAGCTACACAGAATCCCAGCAAGCTGGTCGTCATTTCCTGCTCGTGGGACTATGGTTTTCTAACTGAAGAGAACTGGCAGCTTCCTGCTGCTGTCTGAATGCAAGGATGTGGCTCCCTGAGGTCCTGCACTGGGGCACGGCTGGCAGAGGAGGGAGGGGCCCTGCAGACACAGGTAGAGGCCTGAGGCCAGGTTCCAGCCTGAAGATCTGGCCCAATGCCTTGTACAGAAGGAGCCCTCGGCTCCAACACACACAGCGAGGCAGAGGCAGAACTGGGCTGAGATCCCCACCCCTGTCCAGCCTGTGCTCTTCCAATGCCCAGAGCAGGCACAAGAGGGTGGGCAAGGTGTGGGCTGAGAGGCGCCAGCCCAGCCCAGGGGTATCAGAGGCCGCCCGCGTGTGGGGAAGAGAGGTTGTCTCCAGTGGAGTATGGAAGCAGCAGCACCTGGGCTGGGTCACACCTGCAGAGGCCCCATCGGTCACGCTCACACCTATGGCCCAGGCTGTGGACCTCTCCCAGGCCACAGCTCCAAGCTCACACACAGGCTGCAGGAGGAGCGGGGAGGTGGGAGGCTCCTCTCAGCACAGCATCCTCACCTTCCTCTGCCCAGGTCAGACCAGTGGGAGGCGGGCAGCCCTGCCCAGGCCCAGGCGTGGAGGACCACCCAGGGATGACTCCCCGCGGCCCTGAGCAGCTCTGGCAGAAGGCCTGAAGCCGGTGCTTACCTCTCGCTGTGAGGAACAGGGGGTTGTTGAGATAGTTGGAGGCCAGCCGTTTCCTCTGCAGGGACAGAAAACAAAACAACACACCCCATCATCTGGAGGCTCTCTTCGATGGTGACGTCACCCCAGGTCAGGACTCTCTCTGGGACAGGGTTCCCACCCAGGGCTCCAGGCTCTGGCTGGACACCCCCTGCCAGGGGCAGAAATAGGAACAAATACAGGGCAGAAGCACGCAGGAATGGCTGAGGATGGGGCGGGGCGGGGCAGGGAAGTCGGCAAAGGCTCTGCCTGCAGGAGGCCTAGGACACCCTCTCTGCACCCATGGGTGCGTCTAGCTCAGGAAGGGCCGTCAGTGGGACACATCAGTCACATGGTGCATGTTACATTCTCCACCTGTCTCCTGCCTCTCAACTGGGTCTGGAGTCAGGTGGAAAAATGGGTGTTATAGACTGGCTCCCCTAAATTCCACTTCTTGGCATGTGGCCTGAAACATCACATGTGGACAAAGGTTTCTGGAACATTCCAGAAGAGCGGCCTTAGTCCTGGCTTTGGCAACCACAGGCCACACCGGTCTAAACCTTGGTGGTTCAAAGTGGCTTTGACTGCGGCTGTTGTAATACTGCGTGGCCAGATTTGACACCACTTCTCTCGGTGTGGTCAGGCTGTGGACCTGGGGAAGGGCCCCCTCGGGCTGTGTGCCTGCTCCAGGCTCAGGGTCACGGGGCCTTGGGTTGACTCCTGACCTGCTTATGCCGTCTCTGGCCCTGGCCTCAGACTTGGGAGCCTAGAGTAACGCCTCGTCCACACAGCAGCCTGCATTTTCATGAACGAACAAATCTAAAGGAATGAAGCCCTCCCTGTCTGGAGAACACACCATTTCCTTGGGTGGAGGCTGAAAACACCTCCACGATGTTCTTACGAAGGGTCCGAGTCAGGGGACAGAGCTTGCTCAGATGAAGGAAGAGGAAGTGAATGGTATGAAACGGCCCACGTGGAGCACGTTCTCAGAACAGGAGCGGGGCAGGCAGAAGTAGAGGAAAGGCGTGGACAGGCTGATGAGGCCAGAGGACGCCCCATGGTGGGCTCTCCCCACAGACAGGGCAATTGCAGAGCCTGGAACTGGCTGCCGCTCTGCGCGAAACGCCTCCCTCCCACTTGAGCTCAGGTTCCCAAGACATGGATTCTGGGCAGTGGCCCAGACTAGCCCGCACCCTGGGAGGTGAGACAGCACTTTCCTCACCTTCCTCCAGATCTCACAGAGCTGGCATCTGCAACACACCAGGCACTGACCTCGGGGGACATCGTTTCCCTCAGGACAGCTGTCCCAAGCTCTGGACTTCGGAGCTCTAAGCAAATGGCTTCCATCCCAGAGAAAGACTCTAAGACACTGCCCCTAAGAAAGCCCTGAGCCTCTGAGCTAATGGTCCCAACAGACCCTGCAGAGTTGGCTTTGGGGAGATGACATTAGGATTTTAACCTAAGAATTTTGGACTGTCATTTACAAGGGCAGGAAGGTGTCATTTATGATCTGGTTTCTCCCTGGGGACATGCTCATGGGAGAGGCCCTTGTGCTCCCCTATGGCATCCTTAAATCCCAACCCTGCTGCACTGGACCGATTTTGGTGTAGGCTCTCGGATTCCCACCCCCATCCCTGGGTATGGACGCTCCAACTGGGAGTAGGGAAGGGCACTGGCCACGCCCACCCAGCCCCTTTCTTTACGGTGCCCGCCTGCTCCAGGCTGTGCACATCCTCAGTCTCTCCCAGCCATGAGCCAACTGCACAGGCTCTAGACAAGGTGTGAGGTGGTCCAGGGAGGCCAGGGTGTCCAGCCCTGCCTGTGACCGGAGATTTGCCTGATCATTCAGGGTGAAGAGGCAAGAAGCCGGTGTACCTCACACGAAGCCACGCCCACCAGAGAGCCTCTATTAGGAATAAACTGACATCTCCTCTTCCGCATCTTCCTATCAATTGACTGTCAACTCGGAGGTGATGAGAGAGATGATTTACGGTCACCCCCCAGCCCCACTCCCAGGAGGGACAGACGAGGGGGGTGCTTAGGAAAGCGAATGAGGGAGGCCCTGGGACTTTTCCTGGAGGCTGTGCACTGGGAGCCCCCACCCTCCTGGTGGCATGGGGCTGGCGGGTTCCCCACCTCGGTCTCCAGGAGGCCGCTGTAGGCAGGGTTGGCTGTGCTTCTTCTCTTCCGCTCCTGTCGCTTGCTCTGGATTTCTGGAAAGGCACAGACACAGCAGTTACTGGGTCCTGCCTGCCCTGGGAACCCCAAATGCTTCCTTGCCAAGCCCTGGGCACCACCATCCCCTCCTGCTCTGAAGCCTCTCTGTGTGCTCAGCATCCATGCCACAGAATGGCCCAGGGTGGGTTAGGGCCTCCAGGAATCACTGACTCCATGGCAGGACAGCTCTGGTGGCCTCAGGCTGAATGACAGATTGGTGGGAGGCTGGCAGGTACCCAGAATCCAGGTGCCCACTCTTAGCACGGGGTCCTCCTTTTGTGTCCCTATCTGGCCCATGGCCGTTATTGGGGACCCACAGGATGGCAGATACCCACAGGTTGGGTGATACCCACTGGTCCAGTGAGCTGCAGGGTGAGGCTCCCAGCTCCCGGAAGCCCAGGAGCAAGCCTCTACCCAGGTGGCCTCTGCCCCAGTGCAGCCCCCAGCAGGAATCCTTCGCATGCGAGCGAGAGGGGGCATGGCCACACTGACGGTGTTTTCTTTTCCTTTTTCTTTGCTTTGACCCCCAGGCAGGACCCATGACCTGCCTCTCTGTGTGCAGCTGTGCTAGCGTCTTCTAATCTCTGTCTCCCGGACCTAGTTTTGCTTTTTAAACCTTCTCAATATTACTCAGCCTGTTTTCTGTAAGGCACTCAGACCTTCTGTGGAATAACACAGGGTCTAAAGAAAGAAAGAATTAAGGATATCACAGCAGAGGTTGGGGAGAGGTTTCTAAATGAGGACTATTTATAAAACCAATAATGATCACGCCTATTAGGAACGCACTTTTCGATCAGTCCCTCACCAACTCCACGAAGTTTACAGGCGCAGTTTTCCCCATGTTGCAGATGAGAAAACTGAGGTTCGGAGTGGGGAAGGACCTTGCCTAGGGACTCCGGCCAGTGCACAGGCGGGACTTGAGCATAAGACTTCTGTCCCCACAGCCCCATGCTGCCTCTGTGGCACCGTGGTTTCGGTCAGAGATTAAATCAATCCCAAAGGCAAGCTGAGGGCAGCGGGATTCATCTCGCTCAAGCTCACACCATCAGGCGGGGAGCTCACAGAGGTTCTTACAAAGGAACCTTGGCTGGAGGGTAATGCCTTCCAACCATGCACGCAGAAGGGTGAGGAAGGCCAGGGGCAAGGGTTGCTTACAGGGGGCTTCCCTGCCCAGGGATCTGGAAGGCTGGGGCTCTTCCCTGGCTCTCCCCATCCTGGCTGCTGCCAGAGAGCAAGTCAGACCCAGGGGACATAAAGGGAGAGGGCTGTCTTCTCGGAGCCTGCATGGCAGGCTGCTGTCCCCGCGCGCTGGGCTCTGCTGAGCTCAGGAAGGCTTGCCCTGCTCCCACTTGCCCCGGATGAGCTGTGTGACCTCAGCCAGGTCCCTCCCCTCCCCTGGGCTTCGGTGGCTCACCTGCTGCAATGGATAGAAACTCTTAACTTCAAGACTGCTAGTGCCTCGGGCACCGCGGGGGTTCACTTCATTCCCTCTTGCTTTGAAGAAGAGGAACGCTAGGCGAACCTTCCCGCATCCAGGTTTACCAGGGTATGTGCTTTCCCTTTATAAAACGCCTTTGCAGGTGAGGTGGGTGTGGTGGAATACGTTCTGGGTTGGGAGTCAGGAGGCCTGGATTCCAGCCTGGGCCTGGTATCAACTGGCCCTGGGACCCTGGGCAAGTGAATCAGCTTCCCTGGCCTCAGCTTCCCCATGGGGGCTTCCCCAAGGGGGCTGGTTTCGAGGCTTCCCAGGCCCTAAGATTCTAGGATGACGTTCACAGCTCACGTGAGATTGCCCTCATCATTCTACGATGATGTTCACGGCCCATGTGAAGCTGCCCTCATCCGTAAGGTCACACAGCCCCTTCGTAGAGTCACAGTGCCCTGTCTGCTCAAATAAACTACTGTTCCAATTTTCACGGACACATTTGGTGGCACACATGAAGTCCGCAGGCTAGTATGACGGCAGGGGAGCTGGTGGTCAGCTCTCCCACTGTGCTGGGCACTGCTTCCAACAATCCCCAGAGGACAGTTCGGCCATTACCCATTTTATACATGAAGAGACTGAGGCATACAGAAGTAACCTGCCCACACTTAAGAAAGTGGTGGGACCGGGCAGTCTGCCTCTTGTCATTTCCCTGTGTTGAGAGCAGGGAGCCCACACGGTCCCTCCGCTGAAACAAGGAAGTGCCACAGTGGGTATTGTGCATAGTCATGGAGCCAGGGCGAGTCTGGAAGGCTTCTCTGTCTTGTTCGTCTTTGATGACAGCCACCCAGCCTCAGGCACTTGGGGCAGACCTCCTGCGAGGTGGTTTATACACAGACACTGCCATCCGAGCCGGGACATCCTGAGACCCACTGCAGCAGTGTGAGGCCACGCTCCACCCATATCGGCTGCTGCTGAAGCCCAGACCACCCATCATCACACCTGGCCCCCAACACCCCGGCTTTCGGGTCAGTCCCAGCCCAACCTGCTGCTACCTGGATCCTTCCTTACCTTCCAAATGTTCCGTGGTAACCAGGCCTAGCGCTACCATGAAGGCGATTTTCTGAGGGAAGGAACAGACAAAGGAGCATTAACACAACCGTCAAAGTTCATTCATGCACTCAACAAACATCTGCTGTGGCAGGTGCAGGGCGATACCTCATGGGTGCCCTAACCACAGAGGCCTCCAACTCCAGATGCCAAGTCAGTTTCTAAGAAACGTGGGGAAATAGGATTTCCAAAGAGAGTATCTACAGCTCAATTTGGAGGGCCTCCTTGAAAACACTGGATACGTGTATTCAAACATACTTTAAGGGGCTAAGGTGCACATAGCTGGGCTAATCCTTATGGGTGCCCCAACCACTAAGGCCCCTAACTCCAGACACCAAGTCAGTTTCTAAGAAACACAGGGAAATAGGATTCCCAAAGAAAGCATCTACAGCTCGATTTGGAGGGGCTCCTTGAAAACACTGGATACACGTATTCAAATATACTTTAAAGAGCTAAGGTGCACACAGCTGGGCTAATCAATGTCACATAACACGTCACTGGTTCATAACACATTTGCATCATTGGTCCTTTCATGGCTGTCCTTCATTTTATTTAATAATAAATTGAACATCATGAACCTACTAATAAACTCAAAACCTGACACTTGACCCATAAGTTGCATCTCTTCTGTGTTCCTCACTTTATCTCATTCTTTTCACCCTCATTTCTAGTGATCCTAGTTTTGTAATGACCATTTCTCCAGTTTTGTAATGACCTTCTCCAGTTTTGTAATGACCATTTCTTTGACTTTGTATACATATGCATGTATTTCTGTCACTTATGAAACAGGGTGGCACTTAGTTTTATCTGTTTTTTTTTTTTTTTTGAGACAGGTTCTCACTCTGTCACCCAGACTGGAGTGCACTGGAGTAATCACAGCTCACTGCAGCTTCAATCTCTGGGGTTCAAGTGATCCTCCTACCTCAGCCTCCCGAGGAGCTGGGACCACAGGTGCGCACCACCGTGCCCAGCTAATTTTCGTATTTTTTGAAGAGATGGAGTTTTGCCATGTTGCCCAGGCTGGTCTTGAACTCCTGGGTGCAGGCCTACCCCAGCCTCCCAAAGTGCTGGTATTATAGACGTGGGCCACCATGCCCAGCCATTACCTGTTTTTGACTTGTGAAAAGGTCATGACACTGTATTGTCTACAGAGCTCACTAGGGCATTTTTTTTTCATTTGACATTCTTTGGTGGTGGAAGGCAGAATCTAGAATGGCCCCCGAGCCCCTACCCTGCGGTGTAGCCACCCCGTATCATTCCCTGCCTTGAGTGTGGGCAGGATTGAAAATACCACGGGATTAGGTAACATCACAGAGCGAAGAGGTGCCAAAGCCACTCCTATGGCGTATGATGTTATATAAGACCCCTGTTGGTGACGGGAGTGAGGCTCTCTTGCTGGCCTTGAGAGACAGCCTGCCAGGAGTCCTGCAGCCACCACGCTGTAGGAAGAACAACTCCTGGAGCCTCACTCAAGGCCGGCCACAGAGTAGGTGCTCGTGAGTATTTGATGAATCTGTGAGTCAATATTTCCTTGTCTGGGATATGACTTGCAATATATTTTCCCCCTTTATCTTTTATTTATGGGGCTGGCTTATTTATTGTAGTTTCAGATTTACAGGGAAGTTGCAAGACTCATTACTGGGAGTTCCTGTATACCCCACACCCAGTTCATCGCAACTAAAGAACCAACGTCGGTACATTATTATCAGCTAAAACCCATACTTTATTTGGATTTCTTTAGTCTTTTTGTTTTTTAGAGACAGAGTCTCACTCTGTCAACCAGGCTGGAGTACAGTGGCACAATCATAGCTCACTGCAGCCTCAAACTCCTGGGCTCAAGCAATTCTCCTGCCTCAGCCTCCCAAGTAACTGAGACTACAGGTGCACACCACCACACCCAGCTAATTTTTAAATTTTTTGTAGAGATGAGGTCTTGCTATGTTACCCAGGCTAGTCTCAAACTCTTGGCTTCAAGCGATCCTCCCACCTCTGCCTCTGGAAGCACTGGGATACAGGTGTGAGCCACTGTGCCCAGCCCTTTGTTTTCTGTCCCAGGATCCCACATGATATTTAGATATCATGCCTCCTTACACTCTTCTGGGCTGTGAGGGTTTCTCAGCTTGTCTTTTTTTGGTGACCTGGACAGCTTGAGGAGGACTGGTCAGGTATTTTGCAGAGCCACCCTCAATTGGGATTTGTCTGATATTTTCCTCGTAAGTGGGCTGGGGTGGTAGGTTTGGGGGAGGAAGACCACAGAGGTAACACACCTTCTCATCACATCGCAGCAAGGGCGTAGACCACCCACCTGACTCATAGCTGCTGGTGACCCTGGTCACTGGCTGAAGTGTGTCTGCCAAGCTCCACTCAGCAAAGCCACTCTTTCCGTGCCTGCCCCGTGCCCCCATACCATACTTATTGGGAATAAGTCACCATGGGCAGCTCACACTTAAGGAGCTGGGAATCAGACTCCACTCAGGCAGGGCTTTTTTCACTTTGTTGCCATGCATCTAGATTTTTTTAAAAAGAGTATCGATTTTTAAATTATAGTAAAAATTTTAAAATGCATCAATTTTTAATTTTTAAAATTTTAAATTAAATTGTAATGAAACTTATCAATATTTTCTTTTGCAGTGTTTTGATTGTTTGGATCCTGGCTAGAGGAGCTGAGGTAATAAAATAATTTTAGTCTCTATAGTTTCACTTTTTACATTTAAATTTTTGATCCATTTGGAACGGATCCTGGTGTGCCCGGTGTGAAGTCCGGGCTCACTGCTTTCTGTATGGCTACCATTTGTTCCAATACCATTTACTGAAAATTCCATCTTCCCGTGTTTCACTGACTTAAGGAGCCACTTTAATCATATACTAAATTATCATAGATCTATTTGGGTCTATTTCTGGGCCTTCTATTTTGTTCCTTAAATCTGCCTCTCTAGGAGCTCCTGCCACACGTTCAGTTCTCAAGGCTTTAGGGTCTATTTTAATATCCGGGAGGATTAGAATATCCCTTCACTGTTTTTCCTGTTCAGTTTCCTGGCTCTTCTTATTTTTTCATGTGAAATTTAGAAACCATCTTAGGAAGCTCTGAGGATGAGGGAATCAGTTGGTGGATTTGCTGGAATGTTAAAATTATAAATTAACTTTGGGCATAATGACAGTTTTATATTATTAAGTTTTCCTACTTAAATCTATGACATGCCCCTCTGTTCTTATTCTTTTTTTTTTTTTTTTTTTTTTGAGACGGAGCTTCGCTCTTGTCACCCAGCCTGGAGTGCAGTGGCATGATCTCAGCTCACTGCAATCTCCGCCTCCTGGTTTCAACCGATTCTCTTGCCTCAGCCTCCCAAGTAGCTGGGATTATGGGTGCCTGCTACCAAGCCCAGCTAATTTTTGTATTTCTAGTAGAGACGGGGTTTCACCATGTTGGCCAGGCTGGTCTCGAACTCTTGACCTCAGGTGATCTGCCTGGCTCGCCTCCCAAAGTGCTGGGATTACAGGCGTGACCTACCACACCCAGCCTCTTCTTTTTTCTTCTCCTTCTCCTCTTTTCTTCCTTCTCCTTCCTTCTTCTTCTCCTCCTCCTCTCCTTCCTTCTCCTCTTCTTCTGTCTTAAGGGGTTTTAAATTTTTCCTTAAATATTGAATATTCTTATTATGTTTATTCTTGGCATTTAATCTTTTTGCTGCAATCATAAATGGGGTTGTGTATAAAGCTTCTAACAGGTTACTGTGTTGCTATGAAGATTAGTGATATTTTTACCTTAATTTTACACCCTGCTGCAATGCCAAATTCTCTTATTGTCTGCAGCTTTTTCAGCAATTCTCTTGAGTTTTCCAGATCTCTTGGGTTTTTCAGCAAATCTCTTGGGTTTTCTCAAATAGTTTACTCCTTTCTGATTTTTACTTCTATGCTGTTAAAAATGGTTCTCTTTAATTTTTCAGCTTTAAAGGGTATTTTCTGATTCATTTAAAGTCCCAACTGCTACAGATAAGCTCATCTGAGAACTCTTTCCACTTCCCACCTTCTTTCCCTCCTTCTCCTCTCAATTTTACTTACATGAATCTTTTATATATTATCGGAACACATCATATTTAAACTCTATTCTGACATCCTCACCCACAGTTAAATATATTTGATGCTCACCCCAGTGCTGGTACCAAAGTTTCCCCATGTCTCTTGGTTGCTTGGGTTTGGGTCTCCAGCAGTTTCTCATAAATGGCTCATGGAACATTTCCTGAGCTCTCCAAAGATTTACAACTTTTTTTTGTTGCCCAGACTGGAGTGTAGTGGCATGATCTTGGCTCACTGCAACCTCCACCTCCCAGACTAAAGTGATTCTCCTGCCTCAGTCTCCCGAGTAGCTGGGATTACAGGCACCCGCCACCACGCCCAGCTAATTTTTGTATTTTTACTAGAGATGGGGTTTCACCATGTTGGCCAGGCTGGTCTCAAACTCCTGACCTCAAGTGATCCACCCGCCTCGGCCTCCTAAAGTGCTGAGATTACAGGCGTGAGCCACTGCACCCGGCTAGATTTACAACTTTTTATCTGTAGCCTTTAAACTTGAAGGACAGCTTGGCTGCAAATGAAATCCTTGGCTTGTTCTTTCTTTCCCTTATTTTCTTGCAGATGTTACTCTAGCGTATCCTGGAATTGAATGTGGCTGTGGAAAAGTCAGACACCAGCTTAACTGCTTTCCCTCTAAAGTGACTCTTTTTTTTTTTTTTTTTGGCCTGGATGCCTATAGGATTCTTTTGTTTCCATAGTCAATCAGTAACTTCACTGGGTGTGTCTCAGCATTACACATTTTCCCCCTGGAGCACACATCAGCTGTCCCTGGGACCCAATGTGTCCTTTCAAGATGCAGATTATAAAGTCTTTTTAAAAGTTCAGGACATTTTCCTTGAATTATATTTCAAAAAGTGAAGCATCACCATACCATGAAAAGTGGGGTCTGTCAAACTCAATCCTGTGAGATGTGCACTCACATAGGTGGAAGATCAGTGGAGCAGCTGAGGGGGCTGCAGAGCCACCTGACTGGGAATTCTGGGGCCATCCAGCAGCTCGGCCAATCAGTACCAGTCTGGCAGCAGTCTGGTGCCACCTGGTTCAAATATCACTTCTGGACCCTGTGTCTAACTAACTGGACAGTGGCAGGGACTCTAGGATGCCCTGAGCTGCTGGCAGCCGTTTTACTGGCCTGACCTGGGAAGGCTGGGCTGGGAGAACACTGGGAATGTGGTGCCTCCACTTCCTCACATCATCTTCTCCTCCCCGAGTCCCCTCCACTGACACTCATTTGAAGACAGGTTATGAACAGGAAACAGGAACCAATGCCAACCACAGGACAGCCAAATTCACCTCATTGCAGGAAATTATGGAAATGTTTTCATCATTCTGGTTTCCTTCTTTGATGCCTCCCATTATACATGTGTTGTATCTTCTTTGCTTGCCTCCTGTAGGTTTCACTTACTCTGAAACTTAAAAACTCATTATTGAGTTCTCTTTCCCATCTTGCAAGATGGTGAGAAGTTGGATACTGAGGAGAAGAAACCCGAAGCCAAGAAGGCTGATGCTGGTGGCAAGGTGAAAAGGGGGAACCTCAAAGCTAAAAAGCCCAAGGGGGAAGCCCCATTGAAGCTGAAATCCCATCCTTGTCAGAGGAATTGGCAGATATTCCCAATCTGCTACATATTCCAGAAAGGCCGTGTACAAGAGGAAGTACTCAGCTGCTAAATCCAAGGTTGAAAAGAAAAAGGAGGAGAAGGTTCTTGCAACTGTTACAAACAGTTGGTGGTGACAAGAATGGTGGTACCCGGCTGGTTCAACTTCACAAAATGCCTAGATATTCTCCTACTGAAGACATGCCTTGGAAGCTATTGAGCCATGGCAAAAACCCCTTCAGCCAGCATGGGAGAAAATTGTAAGCCAGCATCACCCCTGGGACCTTCTGATCATCCTCACTGGACACCACAGAGGCAAGAGGGCGGTTCTCCTGAAGAGCTGGGCAGTGGCTGTTACTTGTGTCTGGACCTCTGGTCCTCAGTTGAGGACACACCAGAAATTTGCCATTGCCACCTCAACCAAAATTGGTATCAGCAATGTGAAAATCCCAATACATCTTACTGATGCTTAATTCAAGCAGCAGCAGCTGCAGAACCCCAGACACCAGAAAGGTGAGCTCTTCGACACACAAACAGAGAAGTACAAGATTACAGGGCAGCGCAAGGTTGATCATCAAAAAGCTGTGGACTCACAAATTTTACTGAGTATCAAAGCTATTCCTCAGCTCCAGGGCTACCTGAGATCTGTGTTTGCCCTGATGAGTGGAGTTTATCCCTCACAAACTGGTGTTCTAAATTTCTTAAGAACCTAATAAAG
Organism: Homo sapiens; assembly: GCF_000001405.40. NCBI lineage: Eukaryota > Metazoa > Chordata > Mammalia > Primates > Hominidae > Homo > Homo sapiens. Next base: position 44,902,452 of record NC_000022.11, read on the forward strand.
GATATATAAAAATAAAATAACTATTTTTTGAATTTCGTATACTTTTCCCCCTTCTGCCTCTGGTGTCCCTTACCGTGTCTTCTGCTGTATCCATGGCCCTCTGTGTTCATTCAGCTATGCATCCATTTCTGGGATGGTTTTATTATTTTTCATGAATAATTCCAGCTCATGGTTAATTCTCTCCAGTAATTTAGCCACTTAGCCATCTCTTCCATAAATCTGTGTATTTTAGCCATGTAGTTTCCTTCTTAGTGCTGATTGTTTCATTAAGTTTTTTTTAAAAAATCACAGCAGGATATCAATTTTTTTTTCCTAGTATTCTTTATGTTATGGTAAAAATAACTTCTCTTTCCTGTATTTTTTGCTTATAGCAGCTTCATATTGATGTTTTGTTGTTAAACATAACTAAATGAGCTGAATTTTCCCATACTGGAGATTTGTAGCAGGTGGGAAAGGGATTACATTAGCCTTCTAGAAGCAACTCAAAGGCTCTGCCTCTCCTGCCAAGGCAATTGACTTCATTCTTCGTCCCTCAGTGGGATTCTCTGGTTAACCACGCCTCCTCTGCCTCTCCCCCATGGTCAAAGAGCATTTCTGCCACCTTCCCTGTTCCTGGATGCCTTACAGATTGCAGGTGCAATCCCTCCAGGAGACATATTTTGCCTGGCACTTTCTAAGACCTGACAACACCAAGCACTCCCTCCTCCAGCACATTCTCTCTATATTATCTCAGGCCCAGCTTTCACCTGACCCAGCCCTGTCTAAGCTAAGACTAGCTCAGATACTCCCTTTCCTTTTGCACTTCAAGATGGACTTCTGATCTTCAGGGAGTGCATGCCACTGACTTTTTCTGCAGCCTGTGGCTCCTTGGCCCTCTCTGGAGTCCCCTACACCACTCCTGGCCACTGCTCATTGCACCATTGGCTTGCTGCCCAGCCCTGACCTCTGCTGCCTCTGACGACACTAACACTTCTTGCCCAGTCTGCCGATGCTCTGCTCATGTCTGAAATCCACAAAATGAAGAAAAAAATTCTTGTTGCTATTAGTTTATAGGGGATGCAGGGGGAGTCTCAGTTCTAAGTAGCTGCTCTGTTCCTTCTGGAAGCTCAGCCAAGTCTTTTTGCCCTGTGGGATCAACTGGCTTCATTCTGATAGACGTGTGTTCAAAACTGTGTTCTGCAGATTTTGTCAAATTTGCCTTTTACAATTCTGCTGTTAGGTTGGTGCAAAGTAATTGCACAATTACTTTTGCACCAAATGCATATCCCAAACGATGTTGCTATGGTACACTTAAGTTCGTGACTGTTAAATTATCTTGATGGATGTACCTTTAGTATTTACATTAATATGTCTTTTTCATTCCTTTCAACCTTTCTGGTGTTGTTTATTTAGGTATGCCTCTGACAAACAGCACACAACTGGATTGTGTTGTTTTTAAGCCTGTTTTCATTTCTCTAAAAGTAGGAAGATTTCATTTGCATTTATTATGGTTACTGAGTTATTTGGACTTATTTCCTCTACTTTATTTGTATTTTCAGTGTATCCTTTTTCATTTCCTACTTCTTGGGAAAAAAAAGCTCCACATTCACTTTTTTTTTCCTCTGCTGATTTAGAAATTATAGGTGGCATTACATTTTTTTCACTGATTAGCCTAAATGTTTTGAGCATATGTTTCTAACTATACACTTTTCTAATAAAGGCTGGAGTTAATATTTCTATTCTTCTTCCCCAAATTACACTGCTCCTGGCATGTTCTAACTCCCTCTAAAACATCACCTCCAACCAATTTATTGTTTCCTAGAATTTTCCTTTTATCTGCTTTGTAAAACAAAACTGGATTTTTTTTTTCAGTCTACACTTAAATACATCTACCTATAATTTAACAGTCTATACACTCGGTTGTTTCTTATACCCACTGGCTGTCTCTGGCTTCATCTATCTTCTGGCAAAAGCACAGTTCTTTTAAGGATGGTCTGTGGGTGATAAAACCCTTAGTCTTCCTATGTGTAAAATGTCTTTCTTTTGCCCTTGCTCTTGAAAAACAACTTAACTGAGCTTCCAGAAGGAACAGAGCAGCTACTTAGAACTGAGACTCCCCCTGCATCCCCTATAAACTAATAGCAACAAGAATTTTTTTCTTCATTTTGTGGATTTCAGACATGAGCAGAGCATCGGCAGACTGGGCAAGAAGTGTTAGTGTCGTCAGAGGCAGCAGAGGTCAGGGCTGGGCAGCAAGCCAATGGTGCAATGAGCAGTGGCCAGGAGTGGTGTAGGGGACTCCAGAGAGGGCCAAGGAGCCACAGGCTGCAGAAAAAGTCAGTGGCATGCACTCCCTGAAGATCAGAAGTCCATCTTGAAGTGCAAAAGGAAAGGGAGTATCTGAGCTAGTCTTAGCTTAGACAGGGCTGGGTCAGGTTGGCAGCAACTTTCCCTCGGCAGTCTGCAGATATTTATTGCTCTGTGGTCATCTGCCTGAGGCTGCTGGAGGCCCCCGGCACATCTGTCATTCCGCTGTTTTTGCCCTGGTAGTTTTTTATGATTTTTCTCTTTATCTTTGACATGAATCTCTAGCCTCCTAGATTTGCTTTTATTAATCCCACCTGAGAGATGGAGTCTACTTTTGACTTAAAAACTCACACTGATGCTCTTCAATCCTGGGACATTCTTCAGCTTTGCTTCTCCACCTGCCCTGTCACCCTACACCGACTCCCTCCTGCTGAAAGCCCCATGAGGTGAAAGCGAGGTTTCCCCACTTGTTTTCTGTCCCTGCCTGCTCCTATTTTTTCTTTTACATGTTTGCATCTCTGTGCTCCATGCACGGTATCCTATTCAAAAGCACTAATTATCTCTGTTCCTGCCGTCTAGTAAGCTTTTCAAATGTCATCTCATCGCCATGTTTGTCATCATCAAATTCTCGAATTTTTATGTTCATCTAAATGTTTTATATCCTTGGTTTTTGTGCTTCGTTATTCCTTATTTCTAGACATTACTCCTTTCTTTGTGGATCTTAAATACACTTATTTAAAAGCTGTTGCTAGAGTATTTAGCACAATTCACTTCATCTGGAATAAATTCATGTTCGAAATGTTGATTTCATTGATCGCCAGCCTTGGCATGAGATCTCGCATATGTTAGAATTCTGTCGAGACTTACCTGGGCACAATTTCTTTTTGTTTTTTTGTTTTTTGTTTTTTTGATACGGAATCTCGCTCGGTCACCCAGGCTGTAGTGCAGTGGCACCATCTCAGCTCACTGCAAGCTCCACCTCCCGGGTTCACACCATTCTCCTGCCTCAGCCTCCTGAGTAGCTGGGACTACAGGCACCCGCCACCAGGCCTGGCTAATTTTTTGTATTTTGAGTAGAGACAGGGTTTCACCGTGTTAGCCAGGATGGTCTCAATCTCCTGACCTCGTGATCCGCCCACCTCGGCCTCCCGAAGTGCTGGGCACAATTTCTTTCTTTTTCTCTCCCTCACGCTTACCCTTCCCTTTCAGCAAGTTTGCAGTTGCCTCAGCGCTGGCCACTTCCCTAGGTCTGGCTGTGGCCCGGACCAGCAGAGAAGCCTGGTCAACTTGTCTCTTACCCAAGGAATTCTTGGAACCCGCTGCCCTGTGTGAGCTGCCCACCCTCAGGGTCACCCTTGCTCAATTCCGAACCAAGGGTGTGGGTCCCTGGCTGCCGTGTTTTAGGGACACAGCAACGTTCAGCTCCATCATTATCCTCTCTCTCTCCACTGTATCTGGGGTTGCTGTGGGTTTGAAACGGAGAGGTCCATTCACGTGAACCCAGAGTCTTCCTGATGGACGGGGTGCTTGGATGGAGTTCAAGAGGGGGAGTGACTTAGTTATTTCTGAATTTTGGAAAGATCATTTGCAGGGCGAATAGACAGGGAGGAAGCCATCCAGGGGCAGGGAGACGGGCCAGGGTCCACTGCAGTAGCCCCGGGCAGATATGAGACAGGAAGGAGGGCTGGGCACAGGGCCGAAACGTGTGTGTAACAGGGCTTGCTCAGAGAGGTGCGGGGCTGGGACCTTGCTCCGACTGCCCTTTGCAGGGCGTGTACTGATTTGAGGGCAGCCAGACTCATTCAGATGCTAGCTGAGGCCAGGACAATGGCTGGCCCCAGAGAGGGCTGCAGCTCTGTCCTAAGGCAGGCTGTAGGCCCTGGGACAGGAGGGAGCAGACAGCGCCCTGGGTCGGGAGCCAGAAGCCCAGGTTCTGTCTGAAGTTAGCATGCAGCTCCGTGACCGTACATGTGGTTTCCCTCTGAGCCTCAGCTTCCTCGTCTGTAAAATGAACCTTGTAATTCCTGCCCCCCGCTACTGTGCAGCCGCCGTGACGACAGGGGGAGAAGGAAGGGGAAGCACAGTCAACCGTGAGACTCAGTGGTGATCAGAGTGGGGTGATGGCCACCGCCCTGCAGTGGACACTGCTACCTCACATCCCTGAGAGAAGGGGAAGCACAGTCAGCCGTGAGACTCAGTGGCGATCAGCGTGGGGTGATGGCCACCGCCCTGCAGTGGACACTGCCACCTCACATCCCTGAGCTTCCACTGCCCATCACCTTGACACCTGTAGGTACATACATGTCACGCGTTTTAGAGCATTGCAGATGTGAGGAGCCTGCTAGGAAGCATGTCCGTGCCGCAACCTCACCCTTACTGTGAGAAACCCCAGGGCAGCTGAGGCAGCCTGGGAACCTCAGTCTGACAGTGGCCCCGCCCACCCCCAGCCTCCGCCTCTGCTCCGAGTTGCTTCCTGGGTCCCCATTCTCTATGTATTGCTGTAGGTGCCATTTTCTGTTATGGCTGAAATCAGGAGGCATCTGAAGGATGGCAGAAAGGCTGGGGATGTGAGGTCACGGCCCGGCTGGCTCAAGCTGAGTTGCAGCTACAACCTTGGGCAAGGTGCTGTGAGCCTGTGGTTTGTAAATCCTAAAGGGGACACGATCCCACCTCTGTGTGCTTGTGTGGGGTGAACAGGCCAGCCGTGTTCAGCGTCCCGCACGTGCCTGGTGCGGAGTGGGGCGTGGGATGTACACGGCCTGGGAGCCCTGGGCTTAGGATCATGAGAGACTTTGGCTTCCCTGTCTGTGACCTGGAAGGGCAGATAAGCAAGTGTCCTTAGGGCAGTCTCAGCCACACACAAAAGGACAGGCCCTTCAAGGAGGTTCTGGCCTTGGTCACGGGAAGGGCGGAACACAGCTAAGAGATGAGCGTTCATTACTTACATCTATCCTGATTCTGGGAAAAGGTTTTGTGGGGCATTTGCACAACACGCTGAAACAGACGGTAAACAAGGAAGAAAGGAGACAGGACAGCAAACCTAGGAAAGTAAGGTGAAGCCATGTCATAGGCCCTGACAATTATTAGAGGTGGGACACAGACTGGCCTGTGAGCTCCCTAGCTGCCACAGCAAAGAGGGATGCAGGGCCAGGAACACAATCCCACGGTCCACTGACCTGCTGGAATCTCTGGGAAGTACAGGGGCGCTGGGGGGGTGAGGCCAGCCTTGTGGCCCCCTGGGAAGGCTGGTAATGCGGCCCCTTTCACGCCCATAATGTTTATATGCAGGAAAAGCTGGGAGCTGTAAGTGGGAAAATCAGGGAAGGATGATAACCCAAAGTATCGGGCAGCCTCTTCACGACTGAGCGGTTCGGGTCCTGAGCAGTAGGTTCTGACCCCAAACCTGACCTCCACTCAGCCTGACCAAAGGCAGAGATGGCGTCTCCAGTGGCGAGGCTTCACGGCATAGACTGCAGACTCTGAGGCCAGAAGCTAGAGTGTGGCTCCCACCTCTGAGGATCAGTGCCTCTGGGCCTCAGCGTCCCCATCTGTACCATGGGCTAACAACAGTCCCTTCCTGTGGGGCCTGAAACTGACCCATGTTGAGCATGGACGGGCGGCAGCTAACACCCTCCTAGGTGGTCTTATCTCGTTCTGCTGTTCCCCACATGGGCCTTATGGGGTCTGAGAGCTACTGAAATATTTCTCCCCATGGTGCATGGGTCACTCTGGGACACTGCTGACTCGACGTCCCCTTCTGCTGCAGCCCCTGTTGCCATTTAGTGTGGCTCCAAGCAACCCCTGGGCTGGCCATCCCACATGTGCCCTGCTGAGGGCAAGTGCCACTTTCTGGGGAGCTGCAGCGACAGCGGAGTTGCCCAAACACCAATCATGTTTCTTCACAAAAATCCACACCCCTACTGGCTGACCTTGGCTCCTCCTGTGACGTTTCTGGGGGCAGCTACTGCTGTCCGGTTTCTAGGCTCTAACTCAGACACTTCACTGACAGGTTCAAGGTCCAGCAGTCTGTGCAGCACAGCTCTTCTTGGTATGCATGTATGTGTGTATGTATGTACATGAGATGGAGTCTTGCTCTGTCACCCAGGCTGGAGTGCAGTGGTGCAATCTTGGCTCACCGCAACCTCCGCCTCCCAGGTTCAAGCGATTCTCCTGCCTCAGCCTCCCAAGTAGCTGGGATTACAGCTGTGTGGCACCATGCCTGGCTCATTTTTTGTATTTTTGTAGAGACCAGGTTTCACCCTATTGACCAGGCTGGTCTTGAACTCCTGACCTCAGATGACCCGCCCACCTTGGCCTCCCAAAGTGCCAGGATTACAGGTGTGAGCCACTGCGCCTGGCCTTGGTCCTCTTTTAAAATAAACTTTAATAAGGATTTTTATCCCAGGACATGCTGTAATTGCAAGTTCTATCTATCTAAGTCATCGCATATGTTTACACTAATTATGTAATTAGATGTAATTATACTAATTGTATAAATGCACAATAATTGACTAAGATATATTAAATACTTTGAGAGAACAAAGAGAATCCACCCAGAATACCTTCCCCAATATTAAGGGTGCAGCTGAACCCCAAGAGAGGACAGAAGGGTCATCATGGGAGTCTTGGGCTGCCAGCCGAGCCAGGGCCTCACAGTGCACCTGCAGGTGCAGACACTGCCACAGAATGGAACGGACTTTCTTGAGACGATTAGGCCCAGGGCCACAGAGGAGACCTGGTTCACGCTGCAGCCTCACTTAGCAGCTCCTTGACTTCACTGGCTTTTTAGACATGTCGAAGGACAATAATCAAGTCATTCTTCTGCTCAAAGATATTCCGTGGCTCCCCATTACCTAAGAATAAAGCTCCACTTTGTCAGCCTGCATTCAGGCCCTCCAGGACCAGGTTCCCACGTCTGTCTTCACCCCCTACTGCAGTCCGAAAGCCCAGCTGACTGCTCTGGGTGTGTGGAATCCTTTCCCACTCGTGTGCTATTGCCTATGCAGTGCCCTCCAGCTGGTGAGCTACCCCTCTGCCTCCTGTTCTCTGCTGGATCCTGGCAACTCCTCTACCCCTGCAGACCATGCCCCTTCTCTCCAAAGCCTTCCTCAGTCCTTCCAGGAGGAAACAGCTCTCTCCCTTTGCCCTCATCTCCTGTAGCCCTTCATTTAGAATTCTCTCACGACACACGCATTTTTGAACCCGTTAGAGTCCTTGGTAGCCATCTCTGTCTTTACCCATGGAAGTGAGTTTTCCAAGGGCAAGGACCATGGCTGCCTGCATCCTGATGTCCCTAGCCTTTGGCACGGAGCCTGGCAGGGAGCAAACTCGAAGGCATGTTGAACAACTAAAGGAAAAAGTGAAGGGATGCACAACAGGTTTCCTTTGGTAATGACAGTACATTGATGGGGAGAATCGTTGGGAGCTGCAGGGGCCCAGGGGGTCCAGGGCGGGGTGCTGCAGTTGGGGACATGGTGGTCAGAAACCACTCCTGGGGGCCAACATGTCTCAACTCAATCTTGTGGAATGAAGGGCACAACAGGGAGGGAAAAGGGAACCGAGTCTGAGCTTGGTGGCTTACACTTATAATCCCAGCACTTTCGGAGGCTGAGGCAGGAGGATCACTTGAGGCTTGAGGCCAGGAACTCAAGACCAGCCTGGGCAACATGGAGAGACCCTGTGATATGGTTTGGTTGTGTCCCCATCCAAATCTCATCTTGAATTCCCACATATTATGGGAGGGACCTGGTGGGAGGTAATTGAATCATGGGGCGGGTCTTTCCTGTGCTGTTCTTGTGATAGTGAATGTCTCACGAGATCTGATGGGTGTAAAAATGGGAGTTTCCCTGCACAAGCTCTCTCTTTGCTTGCTGCCATCCATGTAAGATGTAACTTGCTCCTTCTTTCCTTCTGCCATGATTGTGAGGCTTCCCCAGCCATCTGGAACTGTGAGTTCTCCATTAAACCTCTTTCCTTTGTAAATTGTCCTGTCTCAGGTATGTCTTTATCAGCAGTGTAAAATGGACTAATACAGTAAATTGGTACCAGTAGAGTGGGATGTTGCTGAAAAGATACCCCAAAATGTGGAAGTGACTTTGGAACTGGGTAATAGGCAGAGGTTAGAACAGTTTGGAGGGCTCAGAAGAAGACAGAAAAATATGGAAAAGTTCAGAACTTACTAGAGATTTGTTAAATGGCTTTCACAAACATGCTGATAGTGAGATGAACAATAAGGTCAGGCTGAGGTGGTCTCAGATGGAGACAAGGAACTTGTTGGGAACTGGAGCAAAGGTGACTCTTGTTATGTTTTAGCAAAGAGACTGGCGGCATTTTGCCTCTGCTCTAGAGACTTGTGGAACTTTGAACTTGAGAGAGATGATTTAGGGTATCTGACAGAAAAAACTTCTAAGCAGCAAAGCATTTGAGAGGTGACTTGGGTGCTGTTAAAGGCATTCAGTTTTAAAAGGGGAAACAGAGCATAAAAGTTCAGAAAATGTGCAGCCTGACAATGCGATAGAAAAGAAAAATCCCATTTTCTGAGGAGAAATTCAAGCTGGCTGCAGAAATTTGCATAAGTAACGAGGAGTTACTTATGTTAATCACCAAGACAGTGGGGAAAATGTCTCCAGGGAATGTCAGAGACCTTTGCAGCAGCCCCTCCCATTGTAGGCCTAGAGGTTTAGGAGGAAAAAATGTTTTCTTAGGCTGGGCCCAGGGTCCCTCTGCTGTGTGCAGTCTAGGGACTTAGTGCCCTGTGTCCCAGCCACTCCAGCCATGACTAAAAGGGGCCAAGGTACCCCTCAGCCTGTTGCTTCAGAGGGTGGAAGCACAAGCCTCGGCAGCTTCCACATGGTGTTGAGTCTGCAGGTGCAGAGAAGTCAAGAATTGAGGTTTTGGAACCTCTGCCTAGATTTCACAAGATGTATGGAAATGCTTGGATATACAGGCAGAAGTTTGCTGCAGGGGCAGAGCCCTCATGGAGAATCTCTGCTAGGGCAGTGCAGAAGGGAAATGTGCAGTTGGAGCCCCTACACGGAGTCTCTACTGGGGCACTGGCTAGTGGAGCTATGAGAAGAGGGCCACTGTCCTCTGGACACCAGAATGATAGATCCACCAACAGCTCGTACTGTGCACCTGGAAAAGCTGCAGACACTCAACACCAGCCGGTGAAAGCAACCAGGAGGGAGGCTATACCCTGCAAAGCCACAGCAGCAGAGCTGCTCAAGGCTGTGGAAGCCCAGCTCTTGAATCAGCATGACCTGGATCTGAGACAGGGAGTCAAAGGAGATAATTTTGGAGCTTTAAGGTTTAACTGCCCCACCAGATTTCGGACTTGCATGGGGCCTGTAGCCCCTTTGTTTTGGCCAATTTCTCCCATTTGGAATGGCTGTATTTACCCAATGCCTGTACCCTCATTGTATTTAGGAAGTAACTAATTTGCTTTGATTTTACAGGCTCATAGGTGGAAGGGACTTGCCTTGTCTCGGATGAGACTTTGGACTGTGGACTTTTGAGGTTAATGTTGAAATGAGTTAAGACTTTGAGGGACTGTTGGGAAGGCATGATTGGTTTTGAAATATGAAGACATGAGATGTGGAAGGAGCCAGGGGTGAAATGATATGGTTTGGCTGTGTCCTCACCCAAATCTCATCTTGAATTCCCACATGTTGTAGGAGGGACCTGGTGGGAAGTAACTGAATTATGGCACGGGTCTTTCCCATGCTGTTCTCGTGATAGTGAATAGGTCTCACAAGATCTGATGTGTTTAAAAAACGGGAGCTTCCCTACACAAGCTCTCTCTTTGCCTGCCGCCATGTAAGATGTGACTTGCTCCTCATCTTCCGCCATGATTGTGAGGTTTCCCCAGCCATGTGGAACTGTGAGTTCTCCATTAAACCTCTTTCCTTTGTAAATTGCCCAGTCTTGGGTATGTCTTTATCAGCAGCATGAAAACGGACTAATACACCCTGTCTCTACAAAACATTAAAAAATTAGCCAGTAGTGGTAGTGCACACCTTGTAGTCCCAGCTACTTGGGAGGCTGAGGTGGGAGGATCACTTGAGCCCAGGAGGTTGAGGCTGCAGTGAGCTATGATGGTGCCAGTGCACACCAGCATGGCTCAAAGAGTCAGACTCTATCTCAAAAAAAAAAAAAAAAAAAGACAAAAAGAAAGGAAAAAAGAAAAGGAAACTGGGTGGGAAGGGTTGAATGGAAAAGACCCAGAGTGGAGGATGTGGGGCTGGTGTTGGCCTAGGATGCCGAGGACCAAGCTGCAGTACACCTGCTGCCACCACCAGTTCAGCAAAGGACGGCCCTGAGTCAGCTGCTGTCCCCGCGCCACCATCAGTGCAGGGGCTGCGCATCCACTATGTATTTGGATGCTTCAATATGAGCTTATTTATCTGGCCTCCTTCAGAGGCTGTGTGGGAGAGGTGGAGACATAGGCAATTTCTGGCAAGTTCTCCAGGCACCTTCAGGAGACATCTGCACCTCTCGTGCCAGCCTGGGGCACAGCTACTTCTACAGTGCCCAGGGTCCTGCACACACCCAGGACTGGCCATGGCAGAGAAGAGGCAGGGGCCACTGCCCAGAGGAGCCCCTTTCCCTCCTAGACTCAGGACAGAGGGGCCCATAGCCGGGGCCCCTAGGATGGGGTGTAGTGGCCAAAAGTCCCCACCAGGTGCTGTCCAGGGGCTCAGCAAACATGAACTCGCAGAATCCTCCCAGCAGCCCTGTGAGGAAGGAGGCCCTGCCATTCCCACCTTACAGATGAGCAAACAGACGCGAGCTGCTCACGGTCACACCACTGGAAACTGGCAGTGCAGGACCCATGCAGAATGGTTCTAGAATTTGTGCTAACAACTGCCTCACACTGCCGTTCAGCCAGTGCCTCCCTGAGATAGAACAGTTGAGACCTGGGCTTGCTTGGCGAGGCCCCATCCTGGTCGCCGACTGCACAGGGCAGCTGTGCCCACGGCTTGTCGGGACCACCCCACAGTGAGGCCATCCCCGCTATACACAGCGGCCTCAGATGGCACCTGCAGACTGAGCAGGGCCTGGGCCCTCCGGAGAGGCCTGTCCTACCTCGGGGTTCTCCTGGGTCGGGGGCCGGTCTTCCTTCTTCTTTTTGGTGGCCTGAGCTCCCTGAGATGGCTCCTCTGTGGGCGGCCGCGACTCTGCCGTGCTCTCGGGCTGCGTCTGCACTTGAGGCTGAATGATGATGACCTGGAAGATGCCATGGAGGGGTGAAGGGGACAGTGATGGGGAGGGAGGGGTGAGGGGAAGAGAGGAGGGGTGGAGGGGACAGTGATGGGTTGCGGGGTGAGGGGAAGAGAGGAGGCGTGGAGGAGGCTGGAGAGCGAGGGTGAGGGGCACAGGGAGGAAGGGAAGAGTGAGGGGGGCTGGGGAGGTAGCTGGTATGGCACAGGGCAGGGGTTGGGGAGCACAGAGCCTGGGCCAGGCCAACCTGGGAGGGCGGATCCCCGGGAACTGGGTGGTTTGCGCCCCTGTCTGTCTAGCACCTGCCCCTCCTGACACACCTTTTCCACCATGGGGAGGGTCTGCATGAGAAGCTGGCCTGGTTTAGGAACTGGGAAGGTCTGGGTTCCAGTCCTGCCCCACCGCTTCCCAGCTGTGTGGCCTCAGGGGAGTCACTGCTTCTGAGAGTCAGGTTGGTCATCAGTGAAACTGGCCACACCTCTCCCCAGGGAGGCCGTGCACACTCAGGCGGCGAGGACTTCTCATCCCAGCTCAGGTGCAGATGAACTGAGGCCACGAGAGCTCAGACTTGCTCCTGGCCTGAGGCCATCCAGTCAGGAGGCAGAGGAGCTGGGAACCCCTCAGGTCAGCCTGGCTCCGTTTCTCCCTCCCCACACCACAGTGCCTGAGACACACAACCCTGGCTTGGGGGCACAGGTGGGAATAACATTCTATTTTTTTTCACTGCCATGAGGCCCCTCACGTGGTGGATGGGGAAGGGGAAGGGGGTCTTCAGATGCCACCCTGCAGCAGCCCCCCTTAGCCAGCCTGCCTCGAGGCTCAGGGGGTGATCTGGTTTGATGAAACGGTGTGATGCTGAAAGTCAGCCTGAAATCCACCCATCCGGCCCAGCCTCTCCCTGGGCCAGGATCCGCTCCATCTCTAGCTCTACCATTTTATTTCTTTGGACAGGAAATTGGGAAAGAATTATTAGTTTTCACGGCTCCAAGAAGAAGAATTCTCCAGGATCCATCAGCCACAGTCTGGTTTAAACTAGGAATTACTTGAACTTGGGTGTTTTTTTGGTTTGTTTTTCCCTAAGCACGGGTGGTGACTGTCTGATGAATTTGAGGCTTCTGAGCACAAAGAGAAAATATGTCCCATTTTTCTGCTGGCTTAAGGGAAGCTCTGTCTTCCTCTTTGTATCACATTTTTAAAACCCCAAAATCTCTGTATGGAAGAAATATGTCCATTTTTATATCCATGGGAAGAAAAACATTAAGATCTCCAATAAGAAAAAGGGCAAAGAATATTCTCAAGTCACACATGAGAAGATAGAATTCTTAAGTGTAAGAAAAACACTGAAGCTTAACAGTAACCAAGGGAATTCAACTTTCAACAATGAGGCATCTATGTGCCTAGTAAATGAACAAAACAGTGTTTAAATGACCAACATCAAATGCTGGTGCAGTTGGGTGAAACAGACACACTCCTTCCAGCATCTGCTAAGCACCTTGTCTGGATCAGGTGCCCTCCTGGGATACACCTGCCATCCCACCATGGCCCATGACAACTCTTCAGACTGCGAATTCTTTGAGGGGCCCTCAGTGGGCGGGAGAGCCTGGAAGCACAGGACTCCCGGGAATGCACTGGGTGCAACAGCACCAGCTCACATGAGGGTCGGCCGTCAACATCCAGGCTGGGGAAGCAGAAGGTACCCCAGCCATAAGCAAGAGAGGGGCGGCCTGGCAGACCCCAAATGGGGAACAGAGAGAAAGAGGCCACAGACAGGGGACGGCAGAGATGAGGCAGCCCCGAAGGCCTCAAACAGCACAACCACCAGGAGCTCGGAGGGGAGCAGCGGGAGGACCTTAGTTTTAGTTTTAAAACTTGGCAGAAATTATGGGAGATTGTGCACTTGGGCAGTGGGGTAAAAACAGCCCTTGACCGTCCAACTCCACCAGCAGAAACAGAGAATCAGTATCTCTTCTAGTCACTCATTCAGCCACACATGTCATTAATTGGTTAATCATTTGAATGAATTCATTCATTGACCAATCACTCCTTTTCCACTGGTATTAATTCATGCAGCCGTATTGTCTCTGGATCGCATATTCATTCATTTGTTCATGCACTAATTCACTCCCTTAATCATGTGTTCATACTCCATTCATTCATTTGCTCCTCTGTTTCCGTCCCATTCATTCATTTGTCCACTTGATCATTCTGCCTCCTGGTCATTCATCCTGCCTGGGCTTGTTCATTTGGCCCTTCCCAAATGATTGCTCTCGGCCTCCTGTATGCGGCCGCACACCCTTTCCGGAGCCTGCTGGTGGGCACTCACCTTGTTGTCAGCACTGATGAGGAGGGGCTGGACTTTGATGCTGTCACTGACCACAGACACGGCGGTGCTGGGGGCCATGGCGGCGGCATTGCTGGGGGAGGTGGAGATGATGGCGTAGGCCACCCCCGCACTGCTCAGCGGAGAGGCGAGGGCGGCGGGCTCGGCGAGGGCCTGGGGCTGGCTGCCGGGCGCTGGCACATGGCTGACAGTGTTGTTGGCGGTGGGGAGGGCTGGGCTGGGGTTCTTGACGCTGACCACGGTGGCCTTCTGGAATGTTGGGGGCTGCTTGGGTGGCCGGTCCCGGCCCGGGGCAACGGGGAGGCTGTCTGGAATCAGAGTCTTTGGCCTAACCTGGGAAGAAGGGACAGGTATGTGGTCAGACAGGCAGACACACAGGAGTGCAGGGGAGGGGCCGCCCTGGCTCGGAGACTTCCTATATTCAAGGGGAAGGGGCAGCACTGGAAAGAGCACAGCGCCTGTCACGGCCTCACAGCAGGTGAGACCTCGACCCCAATGCCTCCCTCCTCCTGGGCTTGCACCGACTGGCCACGGGGCTCAGGAGGGGCTGCTCTGGACCCACGGCCCTCCCAGCTGCACTCAGAGAAAACGGTGAAGAGCAGCGGGGAGGCTTGGAAGGCAGCGCTTGGGCGCGAGGGGACAGTCTGTGCAGTGTGACGCCCTGCAGATCAAGTCCCAAGCGGCAAAGCCCCCTTTGGCCTTGGAAGTCTGGAAAGCGCTGCCCCTCGGCAGGGACTGGGAGGGGCTTCGAGGGCTCCTGGGCCTTGCCCAGTTCTGCTTCTCAGTCTGGGTGGGGGCTGCTGCTGCGCTCCCGTGAAAACCAGAGCTGAGCCCGCGTGACTGCGGCGGGCCTGACAGTGAAGGTGTGCAGAGGGCAGCCGGGCAGCCACTGGGTGGTTCAGGCCAGGGCTCTGGACAGACTGTTGGTTTGGGCCCAATCCTGGCTCCTCTGGGGTCCTGGTGACACACCTGAACTGGGCCAGGTCCCTCATCTGCATGAGGTGATGAGACTTACTGGGGTTCGGAAGAAAGAAAATGCACAGGAAGTGCTGGGTGTACTTGACTGAGGGCTGTCACCAGCACCCCCACACCCAGCAGAGTGTTTCTGATGGTGGAAATTCCCATCAGAGCCACCACCACTGACCCCATGCATGGAACCAGGAGCGCCACATGCCCCAGATGAGGACACACCAACCCTGGGAGGTCCACGCCAATATTATGCCTTGAGAGACAAGGGGACAAGGAGAAGGGGTACGACCTGCCTTCTCATCTGAACCCCGCTGCGCTCGCACTGCAGGGTGGCCATCCTGGCCTGTTCTACAGATAAGCAAACTGAGGTGCATAATGGAGCCTCACCGGTAATAATGATGCTACCGTCGTTATCATTAGGGCCTGTCTGGCATCGGTGAAGGGCACAGAGCGCTGTACTGCCCCGCCCATCTCCTCCCACCCTGTGTCCAGTGGTGCATGTGGAAGGAGTGGTCCAGGGTGGCTCCTACAGGGCCCTGTGGCCTTGGGCAGGTCACCAAGGCACAGCGTGCTCTTCAGTTGGACAGTATCACGTCTGTCAGCTCCTCACCAGTGCCTGGCACAGAGCTGGCCCTTGAGTCTAGTGATCTCTGTGTCCCCTGCCATGCTGGGTCCTTAGCAAAATGAGCCCGGCCTCCCACATCAGGGCCCTGGCCACACCACGGGCAGGCGATGTGGCCAGCCTGGGTTCAGGTAAGCCTGCCACTCTGTCCTTGGCACCAGAGGTCAGGGCCTTTGTCCCCCAATGCCAGGCTTACAGCCCAACAGAAACTCCAATACCAAAGGCTTTAAAAAATCCATCTTCTCGTTCCTGCCGGCCCTCAGCTGGAGAAAGTTACCCGTTGGAAAACTGCTGTTCTCCGCCTCTGAAGAGGACTGGCGTGGGGGCGGATGGACACCCATGTGGTGGTCAGTGAGGACCTCAGCTGTGGCAGTGGCCGTTCCGTGTTCTGGTCGATCATCTGGGGTTTGCCCACATGTTCTTGTTGACCCTGGCCGCCCACCCTATGTAAGCAGACTCTGGGCATGGGCGAGCTGGCGTCAATCACAGATGCCAGACACAGAAACTAAGCTCAGCTGGAAGCTCAGGATCTGGCCTGAGCCACCCCACAGAGAACACCTTCAGGGGACCTTGGAGCTTATCATCTTTCTGCCTGTGCCTCCTGGCCTGTATGCAGCCCCAGGCCGGGAAGCCCCCGGGTCCACCCTGTCCCCACCCTCTCTCCTTTCTCAGATCTGCAGTCACCCTGCCAGGCTGGCCCCAACACAGGCTGCCTACTCTGTTGCCCGTGAGCCACCTGGGACAGCAGCAGCTGGTAGCTGGACCCGGCATGCACTGGACACCTTCTGGCCCAAGCTGACTGTCCTGGAGGCCAGCAGGCCAACGGCAGGTGCAGACTTTTGTGGGGCAGAGACAGCAAGGACAAAACATGGAGACAGAGGTCCAGGCGGAAGGGAGAGAGGAAGAAGAGAGGGTGCTGGGCAGAGGGAAATAGCACTGGCCTTGATTGGCAGCCTCTCCCTGGAGCCTGCCTTGCTCTGAAGCCTCGCATAGCTCCCTGCTGCCCAAGGGTCACCGACAGGAGAAGTCCAACTCTAAGGTCCCCATGGGCCCCTGGTGGCCTCTCCACCCCCAGGACTGTCCCAACCTCCCTCCCTCAGTGCTTTGACTCTGGTCTCTCCCTACCACCTCTGCCTCCGTTTCTCACCCTGCACCCTCCTCCTGGGGGGCTCCCTCTAGGGCCTAACTCTACCTCAGCCTGCAATGTCCTCTTACCCTGAGGTCTAGCTCAAGCACTACCTCCTCCAGGAAGCCTTCCTTGATGCCCAGGTGTGTGGCAAGTCTCCTCAGGGCTCCCGCCCCGCAGTGTCTCTTTCTGGCATGGCCCGATCACCCTGGACTCACAGTATCTGTTTTTCCTTGTCTGTCCTCCCTCTAGACCAAGCCTGTCCAAACCACAGGCTGCATGCGGCCCAGGATGGCTTCGAATGCGGCTCAACACAAATTCAAACCTTCTTAAAACAGTACGAGAGTTTTTTGCCATTTTTTTCCCTTTATCTCATCAGCTACTGTTAGTGTTAGTGTATTTTATGTGCGGCCTAAGACAATTCTTCTTCCAGTGTGGCCCAGGGAAACCAAAAGATTGGAAGATTGGCCACCCCTGCTCTAGACTCTGATTCAGCTCAAGTGGGCACTTGGGGAAAGTTGCCACATGAATGAGGGAGCTCAGGGCGGCCACCTCTCACCATCCTTGAGCTGGGGGAATCTGTCTAGCCCTGAGGTCCCACGACAGGCAGGGGCCATCTTGGTCTTTACCACTGGCAGCCTCTGGCCCAGTATGCTATATACAGCAAGTGCTCAACAAAGCTGAGCTTGTGGTAATAAGGGAGCTGGCTAATAACTACCTGGCGTTTGCTCTGTACCAGGCACGGTTACAAATGTTTTGTCTTGACTCAATACTCACAGCCACCATTGGCTCAACCCTCACAGCCACCAACGAAGGAAGCCGGCACCTGCACCAGTCCCTCTGCAGGTGAGAAGCCTCGGCCCAGGAAGGCTGAGAGGTCAGGTGACTGGGGCAAAGCGTGGAGTCCAGTCGGGGGGGACCCTGCACTAGAAGCCAGGGCACCTGGCCCAGAGTCTGTGCTGCCCCTCCCTGAAATGAATCCCCTCGTCCAGAGTGTCTCAAACTTCCTGACCATAACCCATAGTCAAAAATACACACGACGGAGTCACCCAGTCTTGAAACAAGTTGGTCAAGAAACAATGCATAGGATGCATATCTTGATATTTCCATTCTATTTTAGTCTGGCCTCATTTATTCCATTTTAAAAAATTCTGGTCATGACCCACTAAATTGATTTCCCAATTCCTTGCTGAAGAAACGTATCTGGTCCAAATGTTTCCATTGAAGAATGGATAGAAGAGGTAAGAGGGGAAGGTGCAGCTGAGAGGGCACGAGTTCCGCCTGGCCCAGTGCCCACCAGAAACCTCAGTGCTGAGGGGTTAGGAACAGAGACTGCGGGGACAGACAGACGGACACCCCAGGGCCCGCCCGAGGGCTGCTTACCTGAGGTAGCACTGCCGCTCCTTGCCCGGCCAACCTCTGCAAGGAGCTGACCTGAGGACCCGTGACAGGCACTGCAGTGATCGTTCCCAAAGCCTGAAACATACAGGAGGGCAACGCTGAGACAGGAGGAGCAGCTGAGACCGAATCCGTTGCCCCCAGCCTGGCCAAGCAGGGGGCAGCTGCCTTGGAGACAGCAAATTCTACTCTTCCCTTTCTTAATTATGATTTTTAAAAAATCACAATAGTAATCGATATTCCTTCCAGAAAGTTTGGAAACTAGAGAAAGGAAAAGAGCAGCACTGCCCAGAAATCAATTACCCTTTGTTACACATTGGCTTCCTCTTTTAAGTGAATTTTTTATACAGCTAAATATAGAATGTTGTAACCTATTTTTCTACTTTCACTTAAGGACAAGGTGTGATGTCGCTACGATCTTCATAAATCACTCCTTTAATGGCTATGGGATCTTCCATTCAGCAGACATAATGGTATTTCCTCAGACAATCCTCTACTCTTGGAAATTTGAGTTCTAGCTCCATCTTTTTCCAGTTAATAAACAATGCTGCAGCGAACATCTTTGTGGATAAATCCATTTCCACATCACAGAGCATTTCTGTAGGAGAGTCTGAATATGGGGATCCATGGACCAAAATGCAGGAATATTTTCAGGCCCTTGGTGCATATCTGCACTGGGTCCCTCAGGAGGGGGAACGGCCTGGGTGTGCACCAACCTGCCCCCCAAATCCCAGCCCCCCAATATGGGGGTCTCGCCAACACACGATGGGATGGCAGCACCACTAGCAGGGTGGACATTCAGGGTAAGGAGAAGGGAGATGGCACCCTCCCAGGAATTCCAGGCCCACACGCGTACAGGAGATGTGTTGTGGGGTGCTCACTTGTCTAAAGTCTCCTTTTGTGGGAACCACCACTACCCACAGCCCCCGATGGAACCGGAACAGTTCTTTTTTTTTTTCTTTTTTTTTTTCTTGAGACGGAGTCTTGCTCTGTCCCCAGGCTGGAGTGCAGTGGCGCGATCTCGGCTCATTGCAAGCTCCGCCTCCCGGGTTCACGCCATTCTCCTGCCTCAGCCTCCCGAGTAGCTGGAACTACAGGCGCTGCCACCACGCCTGGCTAATTTTTTGTATTTTTAGTAGAGACGGGGTTTCACCGTGTTAGCCAGGATGGTCTCAATCTCCTGACCTCATGATCCACCCCCCGCCTCGGCCTCCCAAAGTGCTAGGATTACAGGCATGAGCCACGGAACCCAGCCTTTCTTTTTCAGATGGAGACTCGCTCTGTTGCCCAGGTTGGAATGTAGTGGCGTGATCTTGGCTCACTGCAACCTCCGCCTCCTAGGTTCAAGTGATTCTCCCGCCTCAGCCTCCCGAGTAGCTGGGATTACAGGCGCCCGCCACCACGCCTGGGTAACTTTTGTATTTTTAGTAGAGATGGGGTTTCATTATGTTGGCCAGGCTGGTCTCAAACTCCTAACCTCAGGTGATCCACCCACCTCGGCCTCCCAAAGTGCTGGGATTATAGGCATGAGCCACCGCGCCCGGTCCTGATGGAGCAGTTCTACATGGCTACATTCGCACCCCACGAGCCTGCCTGATGGGGAGAGAGGGAACCCCTTGCTCAGATCCAGTCAAACCATCAGTGGCCAGGGACCAGTGAGGTTCTCTCTTGATCTCAGATGCAGAAATTCTTAACAGAATGTTAGCAAATCAATTCTAACAATAACAAAAAGGATAAGACATCATGAACAAGCTGGGTTTATCCCAGGACTGCAGGGCTGCTTTGCCATTTGAAAGTCAGTCTGTGTAATTTGCTAAAATAACACATGGAAGAAGAAAAACCGTATGCCGGCCTCAACAGATTTTCAAACAGCTGTTAGGACTAATAAATGAGTTTAGCCAGGTTGCAGGATAGAACAATATATAAAAATCAGTTGTGGGCTGGGCGCGGTGGCTCACGCCTGTAATCCCAGCACTTTGGGAGACCAAGGCAGGCAGATCACCTGAGGTCAGGAGTTCAAGACCAGCCTGACCAACATGGAGAAACCCCATCTCTACTAAAAATACAAAATTAGCCAGGCGTGATGGCACATGCCTCTAATCCCAGCTATTCAGGAGGCTGAGGCAGGAGAATCGCTTGAACCTGGGAGGTGGAGGTTGCAGTGAGCCGAGATCACACCACTGCACTCCAGCCTGGGCAACAAGAGTGAAACTCCATCTCAAAAAAAAAGAAAAAAAAAATCAGTTGTGTTTCTATACACTAGGCACCAACATTTAGAAATTCAAAAAATTTTAAATGCCATTTGCAATAGCATCAATAAATAAAAATAAGAAATAGGGATGAATCTGACAATAGCTATATAAGACCTGTACACTGGAAACTTCCAAATATCGCCAAAAGAATTGTTTAAAGACTTAAGAAAGAGATATACCGTAACCATGAATCAGAAGCCTCAACATTGTTAAGATTTCAATCCTTCCCAGATTGATCTACAGATTCAACACAACCTCAAATCAAAATCTCAGTCAGCTTTTTTTTAAAAAAATAGAAATTGACAAGATGATTTTAGAATGCATATGAAATTATAAGGGACCTAGAATAGCCAAAACTATGAAACAAACAAAAATAACAACCAAACAAAGGGAAAGATTTAACATTATCTGACTCCAAGACCCGCTATAAAGCTATGGTAATCAAGACAGTGTAGTATTGGTGTTAAGATGCATAAATAGATCAATGGAACAGAACAGAGAGTCCAAAGTAGACTTACACATACATAGTCCATTGATTTTCAGCAAAGCCCAAAAAGGTAATTAATTTAGTACAAAAAAGATAATGTTTTCAAAATGGTATTAGAACAAGGAGATATATACTAAAATCGAACAGAAAAGAACTTCAGTCCATACCACATACCATATCAAAAAAAAAAAAAAAAGAACAAATGGATCAGAGATCTGAATGTAGGGACCAAAACTATAAAACTGCTCGAACAAAATGTCTCAAATAAAATGTAACAGAAATCTTTGGGATGTTAGGTCAGGCAAAGAATCTTAGATACAACACCAAAAACATAATCGATATAAGGGCAAAATAATAAATTAACTTCAACAAAATAAGAAACTCCCAAAGATGGAAAGAGAATGTTAGGAAAATGCAAAAAGTGGCCACACCCTGGAAAAAAACACATACAAATCACCTATCTGATGAAAGCCTTGTATCCATAATATATGACAGAACTCTTAAAACTCAATAATCTGAAAACAAACAACTCATTAAAATGAACACAATATTTGAACAGATACTCCACTAAAGAAGATATACTGGGCCAGGCACAGTGCCTCATGCTTGAAATCCCAGCACTTTGGGAGGTGGAGGTAGGCCAATCTCTTGAGGCCAGGAGTTCAAAACCAGCCTGTGCAATATAGTCTCTAGAAAAAAAAAATTAAAAATTAGCTGAGCATGGTAGCACATGCCTGTAGTCTCAGCTGCTTGGGAGGCTGAGGCAGGAGGGTCACTTTAGGCCAGGAGGTTGAGGCTGCAGTGAGCCATGATTGCACCACTGCACTCCAGCCTGAGTGACAAAGTGAGATCCAAGAAGAAGAAGAAAGATGAAGAAGAAAGAAGAAAGAGGAGGAAGAAGAGGGAGGGAGGGAGGGAGGGGAGGGAAGAGGGGAGGAAGGAGGAGAGGAGGGAGGGGAGGGAAGAGGGGAGGAAGGAGAACAACAACAAAAACAACTACTGATGGCAAATAAGCAAATAAAAAATTACTAAACATAATTAGTTATTAGGGAAATGCAAATTAAAACCACAATAAGATACTGCTACAAGCCTATTCAGATGGCTAAAATTAAAAAGACTGACCAAATCAAGTGCTGGTGAGGATGTAGAGCAAATGGAACTCTCAACCACTGCTGTCGGGAACATAAAATGATACGCTTTGAAAGACAGTTTGGCAGTTAAAAAGTTAAACTTATGTATGGCAATGAACAGAACGTATGTGTCCTCTCCCAGATCCAAATGTTGAAATCCTAACCCTCAATGTGATGGTATTTGGAGATGGGGCCTCCGGGAGGTGATCCGGTCATGAGGGTGGAGCCCTCAGTTAGTGCTCTTATAAGAAGAGACACGAGGGAGTTTGTGTCCTCTCTCTCTCTCATTCTCTTTCTCTCTCTGCCATGGGCAAATACAGCAAGAAGGTGGCCATCAGCAAACCAGGAATAGAGCCCTCATCAGGAACTGAATCTGCTGGCACCTTGATCTTGGACTTCCCAGCCTCCAGAACCATAAGAAACTGATTTCTGTTGCTTAAGCCAGCCAGTCCATGGTATTTTTGTTATGGCAGCCTGGGCAGACTAGGACATTTATGATACGAGACAGCCATTCTATTCCTAAGCATTCGCCAAGAGAAGGGAAGGCACGTGTTCATACAGAGACTTGTACGTGAATGTTCACAGCAGCTCTTGGTGTCACAGCACAAATGGGAAGCAACCCAAACGCTCACCAACAAGTACACGGATGAGCAAGCTGTGGTATCTTCACACGACAGAGTATTACTCAGCAATAAAAAGGAACAAACTACTGACACACACAATATGGATGAATCACAAAATAACACTGCCAAAAAAACCCAGACTCCAAAAAATATCCATACTGTATGATGCTAGTTATACGAAATTCTGAAAATGGCAAACAAAGTGACAGAAAATAAATCCCAGGTTTTGTGGAGATGGTGCAGGGACGAGAGGAAGGGATTACAAAACGACACCAGGACATTTTCAGGGAGAAAGATGTGTTCACGATCTTCATTGTGGCAATGGGTTCACATTTGTCAAACTTATATTGTACATTCTAAATACATGCAGCTCATTGTGTATCACTTATACCTCCACAAAGCTGTTAAAAATTCCCTCCCCATTTCTCTCCTTATCTAATCTCTCTCCACCCCTAGAATGAATATCATCCATCCTCAAATGACATGGCAGAGGGTCTCAGGCCCCACCACAGAGCTGCTTCTCTCATTATGCTCGGACGGCGGTTCCTGCCTCCTCTTTGCCACCTGTCCCATGGGGGTCAAAACTCTGAGAGGCTCATGTCCTCTGAGCCAACTGCCTGTCTCTCTGCATGGAACCAAATGACCCACATTCCCCTGGATATCCACTTTGGACATTTGTTAAAACAGAGCTTTTTATGCAATGCGGAGCCCATGACAAACAGCCTCGGCCACTGGATGAGGCAGCTCCCAATCCATAACACCGCCTGCTGCTCTTGGCTGGCACAGCCTGGCGGGCAGCACTGAGACCACCTCAGGTGCCACCTGATGCCCGCCTCCCCTAATGCATGTCTCAAAGATGGGGGGTTATGGGGATTGTCCTCCCCATTACCTCGAACTCCACGACCAGTGTTCCCCCAACTTCCACAAAGCAAGGTGTGTGGAAGGCTCTGATCTCCCCGCCCCTGGCCTGCCAGCCAGTGCCATTTATGCAGCTGGTCAACAGTCAGGGCCCCAGGCCAGCCCAGACTGTGGGG
This sequence comes from Homo sapiens, assembly GCF_000001405.40. Lineage (NCBI taxonomy): Eukaryota > Metazoa > Chordata > Mammalia > Primates > Hominidae > Homo > Homo sapiens. The sequence continues at coordinate 44,925,939 of NC_000022.11, forward strand.
GCGGGAGGCAAGCAGGAGCAGCCATTTGATGAGCCAGATTCCAGGTAACTCCACCCAACTGGGGCCGCAGGCCGAGAGTAAGCAAGCCCTGTGGTGGGAAGGCCCACGTGGCCCGGCCTGCAGTGGATTTCCGGGGAAGTGGGTTCTGTGGTGGGAAGGCCCACATGCCACGTCCCTAAGGTGTGTTCCCTGGCAAGCGGGTTCTGTGGTGGGAAGGTCCATGAGGCATGACCCTGCAATGGATTCCCAGGGAAGCACATTCAGTGGCATGAAGGCCCACACGGCATGTGGGTTCCTGGGGAAGCAGGTTCTGTGGCGGGAAGGCCCACATGGCATGTCCCCGCGGTGGATTCCCGAGGCAGGTTCCCCGTAAGTGTGTGCATGAGGGGCAGGCCGTGGGGCCCCGGGGAGGAGAAATTTCCACATGGATGGGGCTGGCCAGCATATCCAATAGGGGCCAGAGAACAGGCACGAACCTGTTTTGCTGGGGCTTCCGTCCTCACTCAGATGCCCCAGATAAAACCTCCAGGCATGGGCCAGCCCGTGAGGAGGTGTGGGCTGGCCCTCCAGGCAAGGCGGGTGTGTGCTGCTGTGTTTTCCAAGCCCACATGTGCCTCTGTGAGTCCTGGAGGGTTGCTGTGTGAAGTTGCTCCTGCAGATAGCTCTGGGTGGGCTGAGGAGGCCGAGGACAGCCATGTGTGTTTTCCATGTTGCCTCGTGGACCAAGGGTTGCCGTGTGGGCTGGGATGGCGATGTGTCCATGTCCAAGTACTGCCACGTGGGCCATGGGTAGCTGTGTGTTTTGTGTGTTGCTGCATGAGCTAGGGGTGGCCATGTATCCGTGTCCGGGTGTTGCTGCGTGAGCCGGGGGTGGCCGTGTCTGTATCCGGGTGTTGCCATGTGGGCCGGGAGTGACCGTGTATCTGTGTCTGGGCGTTGCTCAGCAGCAGCTGTTGCTTTCTCTGATACCCACTCAGGTGTGCACAGCTCTGCTTCCACACGAGTTCTTCTCGGGAGCGTCTTTGGCTCTGTGTCTGTGTTTCTGGGCCTCATATCTGGTCAAGGCTCGACGCTCCCTCCTGACTTGGGACCCTGACAACTCCTGTGCCCTTACTTTAGGAATTCACAGCCGGGGACAGGGAAAGGAGGGGAGACCCAAAGGAGAGGGACGGATGGAGGCGGCGGAGAGGCAGAACCCCGAGAGAGAGGTGAGGAGATGACAGGAAGAGCTATTTCCACTTGATCCTCCCTAGTCAGTTACCAAGAAAGGGACACAACCCGCCCTGGGGAAACGTCCACACCCGCAGGAGGCCGGCAACAAACAGTGCCTGGCCATGCGTGTCCCCCCAAAACTCCAAACCAACGGCCTGTGTGCCCCTGCCTGGGACTCGAGGTGCCCTGCAGCTCTTCAGGGAGCAAATATGGGGTGCCCTCAAGTATCCAGCACCCTTAGCTAGGCAGGCAGAAAGAGTGGGCTCTGCAACCATGGACCTACAGCCCCAGCACCAAAGGAGAGACGATTCTGAGTCAAAGTCCAAAGTCCCCATTATCTGGGGAAGAGTCTGCTGCAAACAGGGCTGCCTTGCAGGGCCCCCTCCTCACCGCCCTGGGGACGGTGGGTTCCTTTTCGAACACTGCCATCCCCTTCCAACAACCGTCCATTCTCCGCCAATGCTAAGCTAGCTTCAGGCTCTCCAATCTCTACGTGTTTTCTTCACTCCAAGCCTACCCGAGTGCGTTCTTCCACTTCCCTACAAACCTTTAATTAGCGAGCTGAAAGCCATTTTTTTCTGGCAAGGGCTGACCTTTCTGCTCCAAGCTGGAATTTATTGACACCAGCAGAAACAATCATCTCAGACTCGATTTCACCAGCACCAGGTAGTTTACAGCCGCACTTACTTCAAGATCAATGAGCTTGTGACTACGTTTACAGCTCCAAGCATTTTAATAGGGGGTAAAAAACGGGCCATAACAGTCAAAGATAACTTCAAATTCTTCCTGCCATGGCTGAGTCTGGGGCGGGGCGGGGCACAGCTGGGGAAATCTCTAGGAAGCTCAGACACGGGGAGACAGCGGGAAGGAGACAGGTGTTGGTGCAGACCCTACAACCTTCCAGGGCAAAAGCCACATGTGGCTCTGGAAAAATCTGTCTTTAATAAATGTTTCTGAGCGCTCTAGGGACTTGGCTCTGGAGCTCTGCCAGGGCAGAGGGGTTCCAGCGCTGGCTTTGACATCAGCTGTGCGGGACCCCTCAGCTCTTCCCACCCCCGCTTCAGCACGCACCACCAGGACTCACCCCATACGGCAACACCAGCCTCACGCCCGCCGTCCTCGAACTGCCAGGCCACAGTCTAACTCCCTGACTGTCCCATTGGTTACAAGCAGGACCTGGTCCAGGACGAGCCCTGTCATTTGTGGGTCTCTTCTGCCTCTTTCCATTTAGAACAGCCCCACAGCACCCCTTCTTCCCATGAAAGGAACTTTTTTTTGAGACGGAGTCTTGCTCTGTCTCCCAGGCTGCAGTGCAATAGCGTGATCTTGGCTCACTGCAACCTCTGCTTCCCGGGTTCAAGTGATTCTCCTGCCTCAGCCTCCCGAGTAGCTGGGATTACAGGCGCCCACCACCATGTCTGGCTAATTTTTATATTTTTAGTAGAGACAGTGTTTCACCATGTTGACTGGGCTGGTCTCGAACTCCCGACCTCAAACGATCTGCCCACCTTGGCCTCCCAAAGTGCTGGGATTAGAGGCATGAGCCAACACACATGGCTTAAAGGAACTTTTTAAAGAAACCAGGACAATTGTCTACAGAAGGCGCTGGGTTTCTGTGGCTGCTTCCTCGCAGTGGGCCGTGTTTCCCATGGAGACCCTCACTGGACAAGGGTGGACCAGGCTCTCCAGAGTCTTCACCCACCATTCAGGCCCTGGGGCTGCAGAGGCCCCCCACCCCTCACCGCTGAGGCCCCACTGCCGGGGCTGAGGACCCACAGGCCTCTGGACATTTGAGCTTCACCAGGCTGGGGAGGCGAGAGGGGAGGCAGCCCCAGGCCTCCCAGAAGCCCCCATGGAAGGCGGCCTTGCTCTCCTCCTCTCCACATGGCCCAGCCGCCACGCGCACAGCCACAGAGCACGGCAATTTAATTGCTTCTCGAGTTGCAATTTTCCTTGCATCTTTAGAGAACTGCTGTGATGTGTGGCAAAGATAACAAGTCAGTTCCAACATCAATAACCGCTAATAAATATTAATATAACATAAGCACCACTTTTACTGTCATGTGAAACCAGTTCATTATTCACAGATGAAATCCAACTGCCGCCTTTATCACTGTCAGGAACGAACGAGCTGGTTCCACGGGCCGCTGCTGCTGCATGAGAATGTGCTTAGGCTTGGCCTTTATGTCCCCATTTGGTGTCCCCCACCCTCATCCAGACATCCCGCCTTCATGAGCCCCAAGCTCATCCAGGAGGGACCAGCAAGGGCCACGGCGAGTGCATGTGAAAATCCAGGCAAATTCCACTTGCTCTGGTCTCAGCTGGCTGCCCTGTGCCTCCTCCAGCCCACGTGCGTTTACCACCATGCCCGGTGCACCTGCAACAAAGACCACCATGGGGAGGCCAACCCATGTGCATTTGAATTTGACTTCTGGACTGGCGCTGGTCATGCCAGACTCATTGCTCCCCCACCTCCAAAGAAAGAGGGCAAGAACTGCTGTCACTGTTACAAGGACCAGAGGGGAGGTCCCTGTACCAGGAGATGCCCGGCACAAAGGTGCTCTAACAGCAGCCGGTGGCACTGGCACTTGAGTCGTTCCAATGGTGCCACTGCCTCTCAGTCCTGCGCGCCTCTGTGGGCCAAGACACACCCACAGAAATGCAGCATGAGGCGGCAGGCCTGAGGGACCCACAGAGATGCGAGGGTCCACCGGGCTGGAGGGAGGGGAGGCGACAGGTCGAAGATGAGGTGAGGCAGCGAGCCCAGGCCTGCAGTTCCAGGAAGGACCCCTGCAGCACCTGCAACCAGGCAAGCTGGGATCCACCCACTGTCACTAGGAGGGAAAAGAGGAACCAGAAAGTTCTCATACAATGGAAAACTTCCCAGCAGCCAGAGGGAAGAAACCAGACTTGCCCGGGTCACCAAGAGTGTGGAAGACACCCCTCGGGGTGAACAACACGAGCACCTGCGTCTGCGCACAGCCTGACTCCATCCGCTCAGGCAAAGCCAGCACTGGGGCGGGTGTGGCCTGCTGGTGTCCCATAAACGCACACAGCCAGGGCTGGGTCTATCCCCAAGTCATGACTGCGGCTGCCCCTGTGGAGGGGAGAGGGAGAGGAGGAAGCTGGAGGATGCCTATTGCCTCTACCGTGTACTAGCCTTTAAGAAAGTGATCAGAAGCAAACTGCCCAACCTCCCTGTTTACCCATTTGGGTGGAGAACATGTGGAGGCTTACTATAGGGCCCTTTGTATATTTTATAATAAATAAATATGCATGAAGGAGACAGAGGGAGCTCTGTCTACAGCTGGAAGCAGGAGGGGGTGTCTGAGTGGCACCTTGCAAGCTGGACCGGAATGTTACCAGTGGGCAGTCAGGAAAGCACATAGGAGTCGGGAGGCGGGACAGGAGGGTGGTGGGAGGGGCAGAGGCACCAGCAGCAGGGGTGCCAAGAGGCTCAGAGCACTGGAGGCTACAGCTCCCAAAGGTGGACAGTGAAGGAGGAGAGGAGGGGCCTGCCACCAGGGGCCCTGAATCCATCCATGCCCAGGAGCTGAATGTGAGTCAGGCAGAGCACTCTGGGGCAGGCACCAGAAGGGCTCTCACCTCTTCTGACAGGATAGGTTGCTGGCCAAGCCCTGAAAGGGCAGGGCGCAAGGGCGGCACCCCCCAACCCCGAGGTACTGAGGCCTGTTTGGACCTCGGTATCTTCTCCTGCCAGGAACAGCTGTCCGGGGCCTGCAGCCCTTCCCCATCCTGAATCCTGCTCTCTCCCAGGGTGCTGGTGACAGCCCCGATACCCAGCAGCTCCGGAGAGGTGAGCTACGCCCAGGGGACTCTTAGAAGACCTCAATGCTGGAACCCTCTTCCAAAGCCAGCTTCAGCAAGCCCCACAAGGAGTCATTTTCTTTCTTTCTTTTCAGAGACCAGGTCTCGCTCTGTTGCCCCAACTGCAGTGCAGTGGCGCAACCGTAGCTCACTGCAGCCTCGAATTCCTGGGCTCAAGCGAGTCACCCATCTCGGCCTCCCAAAGTGCTAGAATTACAGGCATGAGCCACCATGACCACCCGAAGAGTCACTTTCTAAAGTTCTGACTCCAGAATGCTGCTCATGTCTCGCTCCGAGGCAATTCTGTTTACTGAGAGCACTGCGGGAACAAAGATATGCGGCCGCTGTGGCCCGGCTGCCAGGCGCAGGCGGCTCCCACCCGGCTCGGTCTCGGTGACCCTGACCAAAGCCAGGCCGGCCGAGGCAGGCTGCCCAGGGCCACTTAACCAATCGCAGAGGCCTTTACAGGCAGCTGCTCTTAATCAAAAAGTGCCAGACAACACAAGTGGCTACCGTATGCTGACATTTAAAACACCCGTTCAGCGGCCCTCGGCGTTGCAGAGCAGTTTGTTTAAGTTGAAAGGATGTAATTTTATGCTATTTAGCAAAAAAACACACACTCTGAATGGCATCATGAACTAAGGATTGGGGGTTGTGATCTTGGGGGGGGGGTGTCAAAAAATGGTTGTGAGGTCCCCCGTGACCACAGGTGCATGTGTAGAGGTGTATTCTGGAAACTTCTGCACGGAAGTGGCAGCCTCTGAGGTCACGCTAGTTCTGCCGTGGAGGGTGTCCGTGAGACCAGCTAAAACGGCCACTTCTGCATCTACTCAACTGGAAAACATACCATCTGGAAGAGATCTGGACTCCAGGGGCCCAGGAGCCCACCAGGAGCCTCCTGTGCAATCCCTCCCACCGTGGGCCCTGCTCTCAGAGAAGGACTGGCACAGCCAGCAGCCTGCTGGGAATGTCCAAAATCCAGGGAGGGGCTGGACAGGAGGGACATCTCTAAGCTGCGTCCCCCAGGAAGGAAGGAAGGCAGGGCACAGGGAAAGACGCAGCCTTGAGGCCTTGGAGAGGGTGGGTGAGGCCGTGTCACTCAACAGAGGACCCGGGGCAGAGGCTGGAGGCCTCGAACCTCCACTGGGAAGACCCGGAGGTTAGTTTTCCCTCTACTCATCTGTTTCCTAAAGATGCAGCAAAATCTGTTCTTTAAGAGGGGCCATGGGCTTGCTGTAAGGGCTGCCAGGAGAGGGCAGATTGGGGGGCGAATGCCCCACCCCAGAGAGGAGAGGTGCTGCCTCTCTTGAGCCTGAGGTAAGAGGAAAAACACAAGTGGTTGGTACTTACTCGTCCCTGTGTCACAGACTGCTCACCCACTATCAGAGTGTCCTTATTCCTTCCTAGCCAGGGGGCCCTGAACCCCCAACCTGGGCCCTTGGATCTGGAGTGGCCGCCACCACCAGGCACACGTCTTCCAAACAAATCACAGTAGCAGCAAAATCCAATCGATGGTAGTGCCTCTAGCTGCCTGTCCCCACTGACCTCCAGACCTCTGTAAAATAGACGGTCATTGAGAAGATCTAATTCCCACAAAAGATGGGTTCACACAGTCCCGCTGGCCTCAGCTTCATCATCCCCACCTCCGACGGCCTGGGATCTAACTGAGGGTGCACCACGGAACGCTGATGACGGCCTGGAATCTGAGGGTGCACCTCCGCACCTGCACCACGGAATGCCGATGACGGCCCAGCAGGTGCTCCTCTCTCTGCAGAGGCCTCCTGGAGCTAGCCTTGGTGTGGGCAGGGATGCAAGGGTGGGTGGACCCCAGTCACCCCATCCCCAACCCCTGGCCCTCCAGAGGAAGGGCCCATTTTACTTCCAGTGAATGGCACAGAGCTTAGGCCACAGCTCACTGGATTTGACAAACATCTACACCCAAGTAACCACCGTGCAGACCAAGATACAGAACATTCCAGCAACCCTAGAGGTGCCCACAAGCCCCTCAAAGGGGGCCCCGCATTCTAACAAGGCACTCGCCAAGGAGAGCAGGTCCTGTCCTCGGGGACAGACTTCTGGTTGGATTGGCAAATGCTCCCGCCCCGCTGTGGAAACAGCTTCAGGTCTCTTCTATTTCTTTTTTTTTTTTTTTGAGATGGAGTCTCACTCTGTCACCCAGGCTGGAGTGCACTGGCACATCTCGGCTTGCTGCAACTTCTGCCTCCTGGGTTCAAGCGATTCTCCTGCCTCAGCCTCCCAAGTAGCTGGGATTACAGGCATGTGCCACCACGCCTGGCTAATTTTGTATTTTTGGTAGAGACAGGGTTTCTCCATGTTGGTCAGGCTGGTCTCGAACTCCCGCCATCAGGGGATCCGTCCGCCTCGGCCTCCGAAAGTGATGGGATTACAGGCGTGAGCCACTGCGCTCGGCCTCTTCTATTTCCTGAAGCCATTGGCACTGACTAAACTCAGCAAGTGTTCACTGCACACCTACCCCGTGCTGGGTCCCTTGTGCACAGATGAGAGGTTCTGCCCGCGATCTGGGGAAACAGACCAGAAGTGAGCATCAGAACGTGCTGCCCGCAACTCAACGGAAGTGCACGGGAAGGTCTCGGCTACATAGAAGGGGTAAGCGTTAAGTGGGGTGGGGGAGCCGTCTGAGGTTGGTCACGCACCTCCATGCCTAGTTCATCTCCACCATTCCAGGAGACGAGTATCTGGAGCTCTTCGTGCAGATAAGAGAGAGAGAGAGAGAGAGACAGACAGACAGACAGAGAGACAGAGACAGAGAGACAGACACATGACTGCCCCAAGCAAGTGAGGAATGAATCTGTGTGTACCCTGCACCGCGAGGGAAGGGTTTTCCGGGCACAGTAACTGAATACAAATGATTTACACAACCACAGGGAAGGCTCTGGCAGTCCCCAGGAGACAGGCCATGGACTCGTGAAGCGTCCTTGTCTATTTACTGAGATCCTGCCATGCTCAGCAGTCGCTGCATTTCCACGCAGTTTGAGGGACTTCCTGGTGAAAACTAACAAGAAAATATATGGCATGTGTAACCACAAGACCAGAGGGGCCCTTCTTGACCTCTGCTTCCTCTCCTCTGACGTGGGCATGGCAGCCCGTCCCCTCCTGGGGACTGCTGACCCAGTGGGTGGTCCTGGTGGCTGCCACAAGGCAGGGGGCCTTTGCACGGGGCTCAGAGTCCCATCGGCCACTTCCTCCTGACTCTCAGGTGCCGCTGGCCCTCACCTGCACCTCACCCACCTGCTTCCCCTGTCCTGGAGCGTGGCGGTGAGGATGTTAGAACAGCCTGGTACCCAGCCACCCATCACCGCACGCGACCTAAGACAAGACAGGCACATAGAGGAGCGATGACATCATCACAACAAACATGAATGAGACTCCTTACAGACGTCCACATCCAACAGAAGGGACTTCCACGAGCAGGAGTTTTTTTCAGGCCAAGAAGGGACAACATCGTCCCAGGCAGAGAGGGACAGTCTAGAGGTATACCAGGATGGCGTGGTCAGGAACAGAGCCCTCCCCTGCCAGGGCGTCAGGTCCATCTGGGAACGGGCAGGTGTCAGCACATGGACAGACCACACCCATCAAGCTAAGCTGTCTCGACTCTGCAGGTAGGCACTGGGGCTCTAGGAGTTTCCAAGCCAAGGGTAACATCACGTGGGCCCATAACTGGAGGGTGTAGGGAGTCCTGGAGTCCCCTGAGTCTGGGGTTAGAAGAACTAAAGGTCCCCTCAGCCAGAAGCTTCTGATTCGTCCAAAGTCCCCACTGCACCCACTTCTGCAAAGTGTCTGGGATGGCCACATCGCCTGTCCCTGTCTGGTCCTCACTCTTTCCTGGTCTGGCTGCTTAACTCCAGACCCACCGAAAGCTCAGCAGGCCCCACCAGGCCATCCTGGGAAGTGTCCCAGCCCTCGCTGAGACCTTCCAGGAGCGTGGGAAGAGAAGACATGTGGCGCTAGGCTTTGGAGAGGAGGACAGTCCCTGCTCTGCTCCAGAAGAAGTTCCCAGGGCCTTTGATATCTCTGTGGCTGGTTAAACACACACGCTCATGCAGTATATTCACTTTCATCAAGAGAAAAAGGATCACGGCAATCGGTCCAGTGGTCACCCCTGTCCCCGACACACTCCCTCTGACCTGCGTCTAACTGGAAGCTTCAGGAACATAGCCCAAAGATCTGAGAGCAAACCCCAGTCCTGCCACCTAAGGGTTATGAGACCCTGAACAAGTTACTCAAACTCCCCGAGCCCCAGTTTCCCTCCTCTGTAAACAGGGAGAACTAACGTTCACACAGGTTTGCCCTGACAGTTAAAACAGAAGCACATGGCCGGGCGCGGTGGCTCACGCCTGTAATCCCAGCACTTTGCGAGGCTGAGACGGGCGGATCACGAGGTCAGGAGATCGAGACCATCCTGGCTAACACGGTGAAACCCTGTCTCTACTAAAAACACAAAAAATTAGCCGGGCGTGGTGGCGGGCGCCTGTAGTCCCAGCTGCTCGGGAGGCTGAGGCAGGAGAATGGCGTGAACCCGGGAGGTGGAGCTTGCAGTGAGCCGAGATCGAGCCACTGCACTCTAGCCTGGGCGACAGAGCAAGACTCCGCCTCAAAAACAAACAAACAAACAAAAAAAAAACAGAAGCACATGGCTCACACCTGGCACCTTGGAGGCCCCAAGAAACTGGCAGGTCTCATGGGAGAGGGCAACAGGGCCTTCTGCAGCTGTGACTTCAAGCTGTTTAACCTCCTGAGCCTCAGTTTCCTCATCTGTAAGATGGAGATGTTGATGCCAGCTTCACAGGGGGAGCAGAGTTAGCGAGACTAGAAAAGTGTTCAGCTCAAGAAGGGGTGGCTCTGCCCTGTCTCTGCCCGCCTCGGGGAAGCTCCAACCTCGCACGAACCCACTCTGGGCTGGGGCCCAGAGCTGAGCCTGGCGCCACGCCGTGCTGCCCAGGAGACACACCACATTCTGTTCTCTCTGCTGGGGTATTTTTAGAAGGAACAGCACTTCTAACTGTGCAAATAACGTGTTGAAAATAAGCTTTAGATTTTGACTTAAATGTACTAGGAGAGGCGGAAACATTCCTTGTCCTCCAAATACCGTGGAGAACATCTTTTTGGAGGGTCCTGAAGAACCCGGCTGCTGTCTTCACTCCTGGGATGAATGGGCCAAGCCCCCTCCCGGGAGAGCTACGGAACGGGGCTGTGGGGTCCGCCTTGTCACCTGCATGAGCCCTGGAGTGCTCCTCCCTGGCCATGTCCAGTGGAGACGGCACAGGGGAAGCTGCAGGTCCCGCCTGGTTCTGAAGGCGGCTCCTTGTAGAGAGGCCGCAGCCTCAGGCCGACTGTCTCTCTGGCCCAGCAGAAATGCTGGCTCCTGGCCTGTGGCCCTCATCTCTCCCTGTATACCGGCAGCCCTGTCGCCTCCTGTCCCCAGCCCCTCTCCTTCGAGCTCCAGATCTGCGTGTGACATCCCACCTGGATGCCTCGCTGCCCACTCGAGACAGGACCGCCTCCTGCCATCCGTTACTGGTGAGCCCTTGCAAGTGGCTAACCTGAGCTGAGACGGGTTTCAAGTGGGACCTTGAAGACTCATGAAAAGATATTAAAGTATCTAATTAATATTTTAAAAATGAAGTACATGCTGAAATAATATCTTGGACATATTGGATTACATAAAATAATTATTAAAATGATTTTCACCCCCCCAGGTTAATTTCACTTGTTTCTTTTTACTTTTTTTATTGTGGCTTACCAGAAGATTTAAACTTACACATATGGCTCTCACTGCGCTTTTATTAGACAATGCTGTTCTACAGGAAACTTGTAATTTAAGACAAAAGTTGTGGACATCCACTTTCTTTCTTTTTTTTTTTTTTTTCCTGAGATGGAGTTTCACTCTTATTGCCCAGGCTGGAGTGCAATGGCGCAATTTCGGCTTACTGCAACCTCCACCTCCCGGGATTGTCCTGCCTCAGCCTCCTGAGTAGCTGGGATTACAGGTGCCCGCCACCACACCCAGCTACTTTTTTGTATTTTTAGTAGAGGTGAGGTTTCACCATGTTGGCCAGGATGGTCTCGAACTCCTGACCTCAAGTGATCCAACTGCCTCGGCCTCCCAAACTGCTGGGATTACAGGCATGAACCACCGCACCCGGCTGAACATTCGCTTCTGCTGAAGAAGTGGAAGGATGAGAAAACTTTAACTCCATGGTAACATCAAAACACACCCAGACAAAATAAAAATCCTATTCATCCCCAAGAGCAGTGACTACGAGAAAGCCTTGAAGGACCAAGTTCCAGGGAGAAAGGAGCCTCAAAGGCTGGGCAGAGACGGAGACATCACAGCCAGGCGGCCACCAGGTGTGAACACAGGTGCACACTCAGCACAGGTGCAGGCCGCTGAGGACGGAGACCCAAGTGGGCTGAGCTGGGCCATCACGGAGTAGCCGGGTCTCTCACAAACCACTGCAGGAGTGGGAGGCAGTGCGAACACTTCAAAAAATAGTTGGGTCATTTCTTACAAAACTAAACACACACCTGTGCTCTCTGACCCAGCAATTTCACTCCTAGGTGTTTACACAAGAGAAATGAAAACCTGTATCCCCAAAACATCATGTGCATGAAAATTCGGAGCAGCTTTATTCATAATCTCTTAAAAGGGAAAACAACTCAAATGTCCATCAACTGGTGAGTGGGCAAACCTACTGTGGGACCCCCACGCCACGGGATGCCACTGAGAAACACGCAGGGAAAGAATGACGAATACTCTCGATGACACGGAGGAGCCTCATAGCACTGCGTGGAACGAAGGGAGCCCACACAAAGGCCGCAGGCCTCCCCGGACATGAGGCTCAAGAAGCAGCAAAACTAATCCCTGGTGATGAAATCTCAACAGCGGGTGCTCTGCGGGACGCATCGCGCAGGTGCAGAATTTTCTGAGGTGATGCAAATGCTCTATTTTGGAGTATAAGTTACCTGGGTGTACACAACTGTCAAAACTCATCCAGCAGTACAATCAAAATCTGTGAATTTCAATGTATGCAAATTTTATCTCAAATTTTAAAAATCTATGTATTTTATTTTTGAGACAGAGTCTCGCTGTGTCACCCAGGATGGAGTGTAGTACCTCGATCTCGGCTCACTGCAACCTCCACCTCCCAGGTTCAAGCCATTCTCATGCCTCAGTCTCCCGAGTAGCTGGGATTACAGATGCCTGCCACCATGCCTGGTTTTTTGTTTTTTTGAGACAGAGTCTCACTCTCTTGCCCAGGCTGGAGTGCAGTGGCGCGGACTTGGCTCACTGCAACCTCTGCCTCCCAGGTTCAAGCCATTCTCATGCCTCAGCCTCCAGAGTAGCTGGGATTACAGGCACCTGCCATCATGCATGGTTGATTTTTGTATTTTTAGTAGAGACAGGGTTTCTCCATGTTGGCCAGGCTGGTATCAACTCCTGATCTCAAGTGGTCCGCCTGCCTTGGCCTCCCAAAGTGCTGGGACTACAGGCGTGAGCCACTGCGCCCAAAAAATCTATATATTTTAAGAAGGACAAGAGCTGCAGCTCCAACCCTCATAGAAAGGCAGGGCCAAGGGGGCAGCTAGAGGAGCCCAGCTGGTGCACAGACCTATGCCCTCTCAGGGGCAGCACTGATAGACCCTCATTATGGCAGCTGCATGGCTAAGATGCTTCATCTGGAATGGAATCAATATTCATAGTTATGTCAATGAGGGCCTGAAAAATAAGGTGCCATCTCTAGGAGGAGACCCAGGACCAGGATCAGGAACAGGTTCTGGGTGGCACTGAATATGGGGCAGGAAATCTGGATGCGCCATTATGGAAATAAATGCACTCTGGCCTCACTGATGACCAGGAAGGCACTAAGGAAGGACTCGTGTCTCGCTTCTCTGCTATGCATTGATAGCACCTGGACCTGCAGAAAAGCAGGAGCTGGTTGAGGACTGAAAAAGACCAAGGACTTCACAAAACCTCCACCAGGCTGCTGGGCTGCACACACACGGCGCCTCCAGTGCGTGAGCTCAGAGCCGGCACCGACCATCTGCAGCAGCTGCACAAGCGCAGGCCCTTCCTGCCTTCTGCCAAGACCCCTTAGGAGCCTCCAGTAGAAAACTCAAGATCGGCTCAGACAGGGCTGGGGAAGAGGGAGACTCCCGCTGAGCCAAAAGCAGGCTGCTGTGATGAGCCAGGGACTGCGGGAAGCTGCACGACCCATAGAGGCAGGAGACGCTCCTTCACCCACGGCTGGGGAGACTCTGAAGCTCCAGGGTGCAGTTAGGTAAGTGGAGAAGGAGAGAGGGCTGTGGGTAGAACACGTCTGAGCTCTGCCCCAGGACTGCCATGTGTGACTGGTGTCCCCACCTGAGGCCTTACCTGTCACCTTGCAAAGTTGCCGCGAAGTTTCAATGAAATGCAGGAAGCACTGCGCACTGAGCAAATGCCAAGGTTCTCCCACTGGACCTCCCACGAGCTTCCCAGGTGGGGGCGGCAGAGGGGGCTCAACGCATCTGTGAGCACAGTGGGGACCAGGAAAGGGTGAAGGAGATGCTGGCGCTGTCTTGGAAGTTAAGTAGGGTTCCCAGACATGGGGCGGAGGTAACTGTGGGACACCCAGCCCGTCCTGTCCCAGCATCAACGAGGAGACCAGGAGAAGTCACGGCCACAGGGGATGGGTGGGAGCAGGGCTAGGGAGGGGCGAAGGGATAGGGCCGAAGGCAGCAAAGGCCACCTGCAGGAGGGTGGGTCTGAGGAAGAGGGAGACGGGTAGAGATGGGAGCCCAGCAGTCCAGGAGCTGCCCAGTAATCCAAGATGAATAAGAGGCTGCCCACGGAGGCAGGGAGACCAGGAGGAGGTTGCAGAGGCCCAGGGAGGTGAGGATGAGTAAGACATGGTTGGGCTCTGGGCTTTAAGCAGGAAGAGTGATGTATCTATCAAAAACTCAAAAAGCCCAGAGTTAGGTGGTGGGGACAACAATAAAGTCCCCATCCTCAAAATACAGCCAGGGGCCAGTGGGGTGGGGACTCAGGCAAGCCACTGCCACCCTGGGCCTCAGTTTCCCCTTCTGTAAAAAGCAATCTGAAAGCAATCTGTGAAATGCAGAAGTGCTTAAGATGCCGCACCTCCACCAGGGCAGGTGCCACGGGCTTAGATCACCAGTTTTTCCGCACCTCCTCTTGGCAAGAGGGCCTGAACCTGCCTCCGGGCAAGCCTGTCCACACCCTCCAGCCACCTTAATTATTCCCACATTCCTAACAGGAAATCTGGCCCTTAAATTCACCAGCAAGCCTGCACCCAGCGCCAATGCCACGTCCCTAATTACCAGCATTAGCATTGCTAATCTCCCGCCAGCCCCATCACAGGCACCCCTTGTCCATGCAGTCCTCCTGTTAATAAGCCGGAATAATGAGGCTTCACCGCGCAGCGGGGGCCAACAGGATGCAGGAGGATTTTAATTTCAGATTTTGGGGTCCCAAGTTATGAGGGACAACTGAAAGGGATCAGGAATGATCCCAGGGGCTGAAGGAGGCCGCCTGAGAGGCTGCCTAAATGGCCCCCAGAGAAACAGTGCTGGGTGGGGAAGGATGGGGAGAGGATAAGAGAACACTGCTCTCAGACTTTGGTGGACAAATAAAAATAACTGGGAGGGAGGGACTTCTGTGAAGCACCTGCTTCCCCACCTAGAAGGCGAAGGGGCCGAAGGAAGAGGCAGACTAACCCCAACAGCTGGGACCTTCCAGAGCCCCGGTCAGCTGGACAAGGCTCAGGGACTAGAGGCAAACTCTTGGCCCATGTGGGCAGGAGTGGGTGAGATGGATACAGGGGAAGGGTGCCAACACCCCCTTCTTCATGTGAAGGCATCCAAAGCTTGGGGTGGGGCTGTGGAGGTGAGTGGGGGGCTGTCGTTTCATGGAATGTAATTTTAATTTCCATTAATCAACTTCTAAACATTACAACTCATTGCAATTTTTAAAGGCTCAACAAATGTTTGCTGCATGAGCAGCGGGATTCGTGAACAGTAACAACCCACATCCACAGCACCCCGCAGCGCCATGCAGTCCTGATGTCATGGACTCAGGAATGCTGCGCGTGCTCACAATGACCATTCCCTTAAACCTGAGGAAATGGAGGATCAGAGGTTGAGTGACCTGCCCAAGACCACCCAGCTACCAGTCAGCCAACACCCAGAGGAAGATTCCCAGTCAGCAACACCCAGAGGGAGATTCCAGAGACCTCCAGAGGTCCACGCAGTGCTACCTCCTGCAAGCTACACCGCGCCATGCCGCACCACCAGCTCTCAGCGGGGACTTCGGGGGCTGTGCCCTTCCAGGGCTGTTTGCCCCGGAGTGGATCAGGCCAGTCCGTCCCTCTGTGACTCGGCCTCTCAATCCTACACCTCAGGAGGAAGCTCAGTCTCCTCCTCCTCCCCCGAGGCCACTTCAGCTCTGGTTTTAATCTCCACTGCTTAGAGTAACAGCGGCGGAGGAGGTGGGTCACAAAGACCTGAAAATCACAGATCCCAACCCAGCTGGATCGCTTTGTTCCTCTGACGTTGTGGTGGGCACAATGCAAAATTGTGAGACGCCACCAACCCCACTTCCCACGTTAGCAGGGGGATGGGGCAGGGGTGGACGGAGTCCACCGTCACTTTAAGCCTCTGCCTCGATGTGGGCTCGGGAGCACCCACTAGATGCTGGGCAGGGGGATACGGCGGCAGGGCCTTCATTCTGGTCAGGAAACAGACCTGCTCATGGTGACCAGCCAAGGTGAGGACGGCAGGGGCACAGGCTGGGGGGGCCACCTGCCATTGATTCATTCACTAACGCAGCACCCACCCCAGGTACAGGGGACACAGCACTGAGTCAGAAGCAGCCCCGTCTCCCAGGGACTGCCTGTTCAGTGGGCACAGACCCATCCCCCACCCCATCTGTGAGACCACAGAGATGCCACTTCCCAGAGGAGATGACAATGAGTAGGACCCTGAAAGAAAAGTCCACGACATGGCCCGAGGCCCAGTGGGGGGAATGCGGCCCTGGGGACTCAGAACAGCCTGACATGGCACAGCAAGTCTGGGGCCAGAAGAGCCTGGGATGCCAGGCTCAGCATCTGCCCTTGTCCCAGCACCACCAAAGGGTCCGCCTTCTCCCTTTTCCCAGCCAGACTCGGGACAGGAGCAGAAAATCCAGAGCCTGCAACATCTCATACTTGGTGTGGGGGCCTGGGACACAGATCCAGGCCACCGGGACAGTGTGTGCCAGGCACCATCTGGAGGGCAGCCGATGGGCTCTGCCAGATTCCTGATCCACAGTAGGACCCTGGGGGCACCCTCTGCCCGAGGACCCTGGAACACACAGCTCGGGGACAAGAGAATAACTGCAGGGATCTCGCCAATTCCTGACTAACCCCACCCTAGGTCAGTCCCAGACTTCATCCCCCCAGCTCTGTGGAAAGGTACTATTACCATCCCACTGAACACACAGGGAAACGTGACCTGCCAATGCTGGGAGGTGGAGGAAGCCAGTCCAGCCCAGGCAGCTGACTGCAGAGCCCATGTGTGCTCCAGGCTGCCCTAGGAGCAGCTGCCCCACACAGGGCACCGAGGTCTGTGGCCCTGAGGACACAGCCAAGGCACACGGTCAGAGGAGGGTGCCCACAGCTCACCCACAGCCTGGCCCCTGAGCTGAGGCCCAGCGCACGAGCTGTCGGGGAGCCACGTGGAGGGCAGGACCACCCAGGCTTCCCTGGGAGTGGCAGTCCTAGGAGGACACCCGGGACGGGGGTGCAGGAGTTGGTTCAGCAGCAAACCCTTGCCCCAGCTGGACCTGAGTTTCCCCATCTTTATGATGGGGTGGGGCTGGAGTGGCTGATTCCTGGGGGCCAGGGTGAAGCGTGTGACTCAGTGAAGAAAGGGGGATTCAGAGCTTAGGACACAGGCCTGAGGCAGGGACCCACAGGCGGACCCCCAGCAGGGAGGGACCCCCCCCCCCCCATCCTCAGAAGGGCTGACCAAAGCCAAGAGCACACAAAGTAGATGGAAGATCCGGATTGAATCCTGCTCAGCACCGCCTCTGCCCCCCAAGCCAGCCCCTCCTGCCCATGATGCCCTCCACGCTGCTCCCCAACATGCTCCGGGGTTGCCTGCCTGTGGCCTTCGTGCCAGCACCCGCTCCCCCAAGCCTGGAGAAAAGAGCTGCCTGTAGTCCCTGAGCCCGTCCCCAGGAGCACACAGTCCCTGTGCCTGTCCCCCAGTAGCACAGCCAGGGGCTCGGGGACACAGAAGCACAGGGGGTTGATTACACCCGAAGGGCCGTAATCCCTAGGACAGAGCTGGCCCGGGGAGGCCAGAAAAACCCAAGCCCCTATTTTGTTTTGAGCAGAGCCCCATCTGAGCTAGATCCCAGGGAAGTACCAGGGAATGTTTGGGAACGATGAGCATGTGGGGCTCTGGGAAAGGCCCCACTAGTGCTGGGGGCGGCCCGATCTCCAGCAGGCTCAGCTACATCTCCGTCTCCTCGTGGGGACACGGGCAGCTGCACGCTTCCTCCAGGCCCCGCGGGCTCTAGAGTCCTGGCAGCTGGCTCACACCGGGATACTTGACTGCTGTGCCCCACTCCCACCCCCTTTGTAAAGCAAACAGGTTTAGATTTCGACGGACAGGTTTGGGGTCCACATTCAGTGGCCGGGCACATGACAGCGACTCCTGGGCCGTGTGACACTCACCCTCAGCTCTCACCTTAGTCTCTACCAGTTTTGGTCCAAGAAGTGGCAGCAGCCCAAGCATCCAGCCCAGCGGCACCCTGGCACCATGCTCGTGGGGCACCGGGAAAAGCCACCTGCAGCATTCCAGGCCCGGCTTCCGAGTTCCTCCTAGCAACTGGGTCTCATGCAGATGAAAACCCCCAGGCCTGGCGCACAGTAGCTGCTCAGTCAAATGTCTTCAGCCCTTTGGACTCAACAGTACACTTGGACCCTGAGGGAAGGAACAGCGCTGGGCCTGGGGTCCGAAAACCTGGCTTCAACCCAGCTCCCTCCTCTACCCTCCTGCTGCTCCACCTTCGGTAAGATGCTGAGCCCCGCAAGCCTCAGTTTCTCCATCTGTAAAGGCTGCAGCTGTTCTGCAGACAGTGAAGGACTGTGCGCCCAGCATCCAGTGGCTTCCACCTATGGCGTGTGTTGTCAGGCTATGAGAACCCTGATGGCAAAGGTGCCCTGAGCAGAAGCTGAAAACCACGTCCTTTCAAGGGAATTCGGGGAGGAAATAAGGTTCCTTTCCACGTGCATCTTATTTCTGGGGCCTCAAGGTGCCAGGAGCCACCGCCCAGGAGCTGGACGCCTGTGCTGGGAGGGGCACTATGGCATGCTCACCTCTGATGTCTGTTTCCATCCATTCCTCCTCTCTGGTCATCTGAAGCACCCTCTGGATTCTGGGAGCTATCGAGACTTAATGAGGGCCACCTGGAGGCCCTGCATCAATAACAAGTTTGTATTATTGCCTCGGTATTTGGACAAATTAGGAACCCCACAGCCGGCGTCAGCAGAGTTTGGGAATTTCCTAAGATGCCAGGCCAAGTCCACTCCTGAGCCTGCCCACCAGCAAATGACGCATCACAGGGCCACGCTGGCCCATCCTGGTTCCTCTATCTGCTAGATGTGGATGGTGGGGTCCTGGCCTTCGAACGGGAATGTCTGATTCGAGAACATCCCCAGAGCCAGGAAGAAACAAGCTGACCGAGCTCCTGATGAGTGAGTGAATGGGTGAATGGAGGAAGAAACCCTTTGCCCAGCCCATCGCATGGGTTCAGAAGCTCTAATGAAGTCAGGGGCCTGGAAGGAAGGACTTGGGGAAGGAAAGCATCCGACTGCACAGTCAGGCAAGAGCTGGGCCTCGACGGTCACTCCTGCCTTCCTGCCGCAGTCCTGAGCCTTCGTTTCCTCCTCTGTGAATTAGAGCGATCCTTACCTCTTAGGAGCACATGAGATTCCTGCATACCGGGCTGCGCCTGCACCTCAAAGGTGCTTGCGACGGCTCACTCACTCCTTGCCTGTTTCCCGTATTAATTTCCTGCCTCTAAATCACTGGTGAAAACGAGGTTTGCTTCTCAGGTTACCATGGCAGGAAAACCCTCCAAGTACACAAAAAGCTGCAGAAATCCTGGGTTTCCTGAAGACCTGGCTCAGGTGTGACTGTGTTACCATCTCCTCCGTGTTGGGAGGCCCATGGGCACCTAGCTTTCCCCAGTGGGAACGGACAGGCTCGCTCTGGGTAGGAGCAGCAGGGGTCTGACCCAGGCTCCCCCAGCGCCCTGTGAATGGGGCGATTTAACTCCGTCTGAGTGACATGAAGCATGGGAGGCACTTGTCTGTGCTTCCCAAGCAGCCGCCCCTAGAAATCTGAGACCCTCCCATCCTTGGGTGGGAATTGAGAGTACATGGGGTTTTGTGCTTTCTGCAGAATCACCTGCGCTTGAGTGCACGGGGCCTGTTTCCCAGCACAGTGCCCACACAGCTGGGGCTTGTTTCCCTGGCTCCAGCCCCAGCCCCAAATCCCCACACTGCTCAGATCCCCTGCACCTGGGCTGCAGGGCAATGAGTGCCTCCAGAAGGGCCTGATCGTGGGGACAGGGAGTGATAGGGAACCCCAGGAACGCCATCTTCCAGCACCTGACCAGTCTCCTCCCAAATACTGTTGGCAGAATTGGGGGGGGGGTGGTATAAAGCAGTCCTGCTTACCTTGACCTTGGCAGGAAGCTGTGGGTAAGCACGAGGGGTCAGCCTGAACCTGAGTCTGGGGCTCCAAAGGGGGCTGAGTGCCTCCCAGATGGTACCAGAACTCTTTGGGCCTCAGGCCCCAGGCAGTGAGATGGGGAAGATGCTACCATCCCCTCCTGAGGATGACCTCAGGGCCACCCGTGCTGTTCCTTCTGCCTGGGTCGCTCTGTCCCCTGCCTCTTGCCCAAGTCACCCACTTACTCCCCAAATAATTACCAAGTTCCTACAGTGTGCCAAGCACCCAGAACTAACTACACACAGGTGGACACCGCCCTGGCCTCCACCGGCTCATCAGGGAGAGTCAGGCCCTGCGGGAGGGAAGCATGGGGGCTGGGAGGCCTGCTGGAGCCAGAGTGGTCACGGAAGGCTTCCCAGAGGAGGTGCACTGCGGCAGAGCCCAGGCTGAGAGTGGAGGGGGCACCACGTACTTCTGGGGCTCGGGGTGGGGAGGGATGCCAGAGACTAGAGAGGCTCCCTATCTCTGAGAAGCTTCCCCTGACACCCCCAAACGAGGCCAGATACCCCAATTCTGCCCTCTACCAGCACCTTCTATGCCCTCCCGACATGCCTACAATCTCGATCCCTCCTGCTGGGCTCTCATCTCTCAGAGCGTAGGGAGTAGGTCATGTCTCGAAGAGTGCTGGCGTCCTGGGCGCTCAGTGTACACGTACTGAGTGGGATGGGAAAGAGGAAACACGGAAAGTCCTGTTATTATGGATGGATGAAAGGGTGGACGGATGGTGGGTGGACGGATGGAAGGGTAGATGGACAGTGGGTGGACATACGGAAGGGTGGATGGACGGGTAGATGGATGGACAGTGGTTGTATGGATGGATGGGTGGATGGATGGATGGGTGGATGGACGGTGCGTGGGTAGAATCAATTCCACCTTCCTGCAGAAGACTCTCCTGCCTCATGTTCCATCTCAGGGGGATGCTCAGGATTCCAGGGGCTGAAAATATTCCAGGTTGCAGGGGCTGCACACCACACTCCCCACCCCAGCCCAAGGCCATGAACATGGCAGGGAAGACAGAAGCCTGTGGCTGGGGAACCTTTGGTGACACTGTGGAGGCCCCTGCTAGCTCAGCCACCTGCCACAGAAGGATGGAGGGTAGCAGGGCCTCTGGTGACTCTGCAGGACCTGGAAACGGGGCACAGGATAGAGGCTGGCCAAGCAGATGCTCCGTTTAAGGGGGCTGCGGCCAATTGGCATCACTGAAGCCCAATGACAATGCCACCAGGAGGTCCTGTTATTCATCCCCTGTTAAACGTGAGAAAACCAAGGCACACTGGAGTTAAGCAAGTGGTCCAAGATCACGCACTGCGTGGGTGGCAGAGCCCTTCCCCATGAGAAGCCTGGCCTTGCAGGCTGAGCTGTCCCAGTCCCCAGGCAAGATCCCCGCCCCCACCCTTGGCCCTGCTATTCTCAGTGCTTCTGGAAGGGCTGCCTCCAGTCTGTGTGTTGCCATTCTGAGCACCTACTCGGCACCAAGCATTCTGTTCACGTTCATGATCTCATTTAAAATGATCTCGCAAGGCAGGGCTCTGCTGCCTTTGTTTTTAAGCAGACCGACGCATGGGCAGGTGACTGACAGCCATGGATGCTAACTTAGGAAGTGCCCGCTGGGCCTTAAATCCTGGCCAGCGCCAGGGCCCAGCCCCCTGCCCTATAGAACCTCTCAGCCACGCAGCTCCCATGAATGGCCTGGCAGAGGGAAGGGCTCTGGGCCCTCCAGGTGTGCTGGGTGCATCTCCTGGGACAGGCTGGGCCCAGAGCACTCACCGCAGCCCCGCTCGGCAGCACAGGCACCAAATTCTGCCTCTCTGTCATGTCACACCTTCCACGCGGACCCTGTGGGGACCAGAGTGTGAATTCTGCTTTCGTACCTGCTCTTGCCACTGCCATCCATGAAAGGCCTGAGGATAGGGGTCAGGTGGAGTCTGGGTCTCCAAGCACAGGGCTGATGACCAGGGTGTGGCCCTGGCTCCCGGAAGCTCAGATATGTTTCAGTTTGTCACTTCGGCTCTGCTTGGTGTGCTTCCTTTTCTTTTTTACTTATCCAGATACGACTTACAAACAGCGATGTGCGCAGGTCTTAAGGGTACAGCTGGAGGAACTCCTCCTGCATCCACACCCAGACAATGACCGCTGAGTTCAGGATCCAGAGCACAGGGCGCCAGAGCCTCCTCCCCGCTGTTGTCCCTCCTCCCCGCTGTTGTCCCTCCTCCCCACTGCTGTCCCGTTCGGACGTGATGCTGCCTGTTTTGTACCTTACATCAGTGGTCTCCAACCTTTTTGGCACAGAGACCAGCTCCGTGGAAGATGGTTTTTCCACGGACCTGGGAGGGAGATGGTTTTGGGATGATTCAAGCACATTACATTTATTGTGTAGTTTATTTCTGTTATTATTACATTGTAATAGATAATGAAATAATTACACGACTCACCATAACATAGCATAAGTGGGAAATCTGAGCTTGTTTTCCTGCAACTAGACAGTCCCATCTGCGGGTGGGTGATGGGGACAGTGACACCCTAAATGTGTTGCTTATGTCCAGTCTACTCCATCATCTCGTTTTGGTTGCTGTCACTGCAGAAAACTCTGCTTCAGGCTGGGCGCAGTGGCTCATGCCTGTAATCCCGGCACTCTGGGAGGCCGAGGCGGGCAGATCATCTGATGTCGGGAGTTTGAGACTAGCCTAGCCAACACGGCAAAATCCATCTCTACTAAAAATAAAATAAAAAAAAACATTTAGCTAGGTGTGGTGGTGCAGAACTGTAGTCCCAGATACTTGGGAGGCTGAGGCACAAGAATCGCTCGAACCCGGGAGGCAGAGGTGGCAGTGAGCCGAGACTGTGCCACTGCACTCCAGCATGGGTGACAGAGTGAGACTCTGTCTGGAAAAAAAAAAAAAAAAGAGAGACAGAGAAAACCCGGCTTCACAAAGACAGGATGCTGGACATGGAAGCAGGCTTTTCAGTGCTCACGTGGCAATCTCAGGATATTCCACTTTGACTTTTATCCAGAACATATGGAGATTTGAAGTTGTCTCAAACACACTTTTAGGGCCACTGTCATTTGCAGTCTCAAGCAGTTGATCCTCTTCTAGCACAGACAAAGGTGATTCGCGTGGCTTATCCACAAATGGGTCACAGATCCATTCCTTCCCAGTTTGGGGTTCTTTGGTGGTTGGGAAGTAACGCTCAAGCTCTTTTGAAAGCTGAGGTAGGGGCCGGGCGCGGTGGCTCACGCCTGTAATCCCAGCACTTTGGGAGGTGGAGGCAGCAGATCACCTGAGGTCAGGAGTTCAGTACCAGCCTGACCAACATGGAGAAACCCCGTCTCTACTAAAAATACAAAATTAGTTGGGTGTAGTGGCGCATGCCTGTAATCCCAGATACTTGGGAGGCTGAGGCAGGAGAACTGCTTGAACCTGGGAGGCGGAGGTTGCGGTGAGCCAAGATCGTGCCATTGCACTTCAGCCTGGGTAACAAGAGCGAAACTCCATCTCAAAAAAAAGAAAAAAAAAAAAAAAGAAAAAAGAGAGCTGAGGTAGGTGATCATGCACCAGCTGGAAGAGGGAAGGCCCTGGCTCTATCTCTTTCAAAATCTCTGCTAATGTTTGAAACATGTCAAAAATCCCAGTGTTCCCTCGTCACCCCCATAATTCCAATTTGGCTTTGAATGCAGCCACTTTATCTGCCGACTTGAACACAGTTGTCATTCTTCCCTGAAGTGACAGATTGAGTTTGTTGAGCAGGTTGAATACGTCGCACAAGTCAGCAAGTTTTGCGACTCATCCTATGTCACTGAAATATGCTGCTAGTGGGGACTATTTTTCTAAAAGAAATCTCTGGAGCAGCTCTCATAACTCAGAAACTCTGGCCAGTGATCTACCTTTGGAAAGCATCTCACTTCTGTGTATCAGAGAAGACGTGTGTGTACCGCGTCCATCTCCTCACAGAGCCGCGAGAACAGACCTCGTGAGTTAAAGGCATGCACTTTGCTGTGGCTGATCATTTCAATCACATCCTGCAAAACGTTCTTAAGTTCAGGTGATTTTTTCGGCACCGCTGCAAGAACAGATGTGAGTTAAAGCCCATGTACTTTAACGTGACTGATCATTTTAATCACAGCTTCCAAAACGCTGTTAAGTTCAGGCAACATTTTTTGGCTGGCCGGCATTTCTCCATGGATGACACAGCGTGTGGACTCACATTCAGAAGTGACCTCTTTGACCTGAGTAATGAAACCAGAAAGCCGTCCAGCCATGGCAGTCTCTCCGTCCATGCACAGACCAACATAAAGTGATCAATTCACCTTTCCTGATATGTAATCAAAGACGTGAATACCAGCTGTGGTGTGGGTTGGCAACAGAAGCACACATAACACATCCTCATGCACATCCTCCTGAACATATATGCACAAAAACAAGCATTGTTGCCTTGTTTTCAACATCGGTAGACTCGTCAACCCTGGGTTGCGTACCGCAGTGACTCATTAATCCCCTCTAACAATTGTGCCTCAATACCCTCTGTCGTTTCATCAATTCATCTAGTTATGGTGCTAGCCAAAAGAGGAATACGTGCTACCCTTTCAACTGCAGTCTCTCTCAAAAGTTCACGACAGATGTCCTTAGCAGCAGCAGGCAGGATCAACTCCACCAACAGTAAAGGGATTCCTAGCTTTAGCAATGCGGTTAGACACTAAGAGTGACGCTCTCAGTGCAGACACAGTCAACTAAGTGGTGGCCTTCAATCATTGCTTCTGTTCTTCGTGTTCGTGTTTTTTTTTTTCTTTTGAAAAACTCTAAAGGTTTGTCTTTTAATGCAAGGTGCTTGGTCTCCATGTGGCGAAGCGGTTTTGAAGGTTTTACGGCTTCACTGGATAGCCAGTGGTCACATATTATGCAAAGAGGGCTTGGGGAATATGAATCACTTGTTGCAATGAATCCATAATTGAAGCAGGGCTCTTGCTGTTTCCTTTTAAATGCAACTTTCTTTGAGTCTTCTGCTGTTTCACCATTGGGCCTTTCCCCCTTTTCAAAGAAGCTCTCCAGAGACGCTTGATTTTTTTCTTACTCATTCTGGCTAGGGTTAGCCGGTGGACTTACCCAAACTGTGACTGAGACACGTGCTGAGTGTGGGAAAGAGGCATGGACAGAAGTGGTAAGTAACATCACAGGCGGGCCACACGCAGCCTAAAATAAGCATCAGGTTCTGACGTAAAGCCTGCCGCCAGACGCAGCGGTACAACTGAAGTACATCAACTCACTTGCCACTATAAAGCCTGCCACCAGATGCAGCTTAAGCACCCGCCACTCACAGATATGGTTTTGATATGAGTCTGCAAGCAACTGACTTACTATGGTCTCTGTGCAGTCAAACCTCTCTGCTAATGCTTATCTGTATTTGCAGCCGTGCTCCAGTGCCAGCATCACCGCCTCAGCTCCACCGCAGATCATCGGGCATTAGATTCTCATAAGGAGTGCACAGCCTAGATCCCTTGCATGCAGAGTTCACAATAGGGTTCGTGTTCCTATGAAAATCGAATGCTGCTGCTAATCTGACAGGAGGCGGAACTCGGGGTAATGCGAGCAATGGGGAGCGGCTGTAAATACAGATGAAGCTTTGCTCACTCACCCACTCCTCACCTCCTGCTGTGAGCCCCAGTTCCTAACAGGCCACAGACCAGTACCAGTCCATGGCCCGGGAGATGGGAATCCCTGCTTTACATAAAAGGGATCACACAGTTTGCACTCTTTGGGTCTTGATGCATTTGCCCAACATTAACACCTGTGAGATGCATGAAAGCTGTTGTAGCCAGATGTCCTTTTTCATTGCTGCATAGTATTCCCCTCTGTGAATGGACCACAATCTACATCTCCAGTGTACTGCTGACTGGCATTTGGGTTGTTTCCAGTTTGGATTATCATAAAGAATGGCTAATGCTGAACACCTTTTTTTTGGTGAGTCAGGCACTCATTTTTTTGGGTCTGCACCCAGGAGTGGAACTCCTAGATCATGGGATAGGTGCAGGTTTAGCTTTAGTGGACTGTTAGCTTTGTGCATTTCCCATCTCACTTTTCCTTGCCTTTTGTCCTTTATTACCTCAAATTTCTTTTGGAAAGAGGTGGTGAACAAGAGTGAAATAAAGATTCCGAGTAACAGTGGTTATGATGAAATGATTCCATGATTCTCAGATCTGTGGTTAAACTTCTCTGTGATGGTGCTCACTGCGTGTTATGTATACAATTAAGAAAACAGAACTGGCTGGGTACGGTGGCTCACACCTGTAATCCCAGCACCTATGGAGGCCAAGGCAGGTATATCACCTGAGGTCAGGAGTTCCAGACTAGCCTGGCCAACACGGTGAAACCTCGTCTCTATTAAAAAAACAAAAACTAGCTAGGCGTGGTGGCAGACGCCTATAATCCCAGCTACTTTGGAGGCTGAGGCAGGAGAATCGCTTGAACTCGAGAGTCGGAGGTTGCAGTGAGCCGAGATCGCACCAGTGTACTCTGGCCTGGGCAACAAGAGCGAAACTTTGTCTCAAAAAAGAAAATAAAATAGAACCAACATGCATGCAACGTGAGAGAAACTGTTCAGTTCACTGTGGCATGTTTCCACAACAAAATGGCATATGGTCATTGAAAACAGTTTTGACATGGGAAAAGGTTCCCGTCTATCCTGGGGGTGGAGGGAGCACAGGGAGGCAGAACCGAAGAAAAAGTCAAGTTCCAAGTGGACTGAACGATGCCCAGCATTTTTGGGCTTTCAACTGATGGGAATTACATCTAATCACTAACGGTGACTGCCTCTCATGGAGAATATGATAAATTTCTGTTTTTCTATTACTTTATCCTTTACGATACTTTCCACATCTCCTATGATGAATATGTTTACAGTTGAAAAAGAGAAGAGTATAAGAGTCTGATTCCAAGATTCTATCATTTTTGAAGAGCTATAATTATGAGCCTCCTCTAAATAACCCCAGAGGTTCAGAGACCCTGGCAGCCCTCAGTGACGTGAATGGGGTGCTAGGCGCAGATTCTCAGTGACAGAGAGCTCTCAGGACAAAAGGCAGGATTCAGCCCCTGTGTCGGGCACCCTCCTAGCCCTCGGTTGCCCTCGGGACTGCTGAGCCCTGTGTGCTGGGCTGCCCTGTGCCCTGCTGACCTAGCTCCTCCCCATTCCGCAGACCCCTGGGTCTCTTCTATAGCAGCCAGGGGGACAGAAGTGGGCTGGGGTGGGCCAGGCATCAGGATCCCAACTGCTACGATGGCTTCAGTCCTGAGCAGCCCCTTCCTCTCTCTGAGGCCCAGGGTGCCCATGAACACTGAGCCAGAAGGAGAAGGTCCCCACAGGACTCTTCTCTCGGACACTGAGGCCCGCAGCTGGGGCAGAAATGGCTCTCACAGGTCTGACTCCCAAGCCCTGGGCAGGATGCACTAGCGAGTTGGGGTACAATTTCCCAGTTTGTTTTAAGCAGAAACTCAACCCATTTGACGCATCACACTGGAAATTAGAACTCACAGCAATTCCTGTCTTTGAAGCTCCCGTGAGTGCCCCTCCCTACCCCTCCCTGCAAGTCTTATGCAAACCAACCAGCCACAGGTTCCATCGGGCTTTTGTGGTGTGATCACCGCTAATTTTCCACGTTCCCTTTCGTTTTATTTTTCCTGCTCTAATTTATTAATTAGCTTCTCTGCTTGCAACACCATCTCTGCTTGCAGCCCCAGAGTGGATCTTTCAACGCTGTGAACTCCTCTAAATGTTTTCTCTGCTAATGTGTCTCAGTGGGGGACTGGAGAGGGAGCTTCCTGCTAAAATGGAGATTCCCCAGGGGAGGCCCCAGCCCTCCTTCCTGAGACCTGCAGCTTCCAGGTGTGTGGGTGAGCAGAATTTTGAAGAATGCATTGGACTTTGTCAGACCCAAATGCACCCATTAGTATCACAAGCAAGCATGGCTTATAAAATAATACCTAACATCTTATGGATTTTTAGGCACTAAATACTATTTTAAGCATTAATTAATCCTCAAAACAACTCTATGTAAAGGCATGATCATGCCCATCCAACAGCTGTGCCAACTGAGGCACAGAACAGTGAAGCAACTTGCCCAAGCCCACCCCGCCAGGAGAGGTGAAGCCAGGCTCGGCCCTGAAAGGCAGCTCAGCGTGCCCTTGGCCTGAACCACCACCCCACCGGGCTCTTCCTAAGGAGCCTCTCCCGGCTCAGAGCAGACCCCCAGTGGGGTGTGGCCCACCGTGATTCCTCTGGCCCTGAGAGGATCCAGGTTTACGGGGAAGGAAAGCTACCAGCTGATGCAGCTACAGGAAATAGCACTGCTAAGGTCCTTTTCTTATTAATGCATTGTACGTTTCGTTTCTTTCTTGTTGTTAAAAAAAAAATCCCCTTGGAAAATACTTTTGCAAGCACCCAGTGCTTATCTGGTACTTTCCAGCCTTCTGAAAGAATCTGTGGTTACTGGGACACATCACTCCCTCCCTCTTTGGGGACCCAGCGCAGGACACGCAGGCTGCCCTTCCTCCAGGCCCTCTCACGCTCAGGGATCTTGGATCTGGATCTTGCCAGATTCCTCTCTCCCTACCTGGTGCCCAATGCCACATCTGAGGAATTCATTCCATAAACAGCTACAGTGAATGAAGAAACAGCCGGCTCTGATGGTCCAGCTGCTCCACCCTAGCAGCTGGACCCGGCACTAGCCGAGCCAGCGTGTGCAACACACAAAGCGTTTCTGCATGAAGCCCTGTCTGCATTTTACCATCTTCCATCCCATTTTACCTGCTTCTCTAAATAAAACCATCTGGCCTCTCTTGAGCAATTCAGGTCTACAGATTCACCAAGCAGTAATTATTCACATCACAAAACCATCCTTTAACCAAAGGCACCAACATCCATCTCTAGGCACCGAGCGTATTGTGTTTGTAGAGACCGGGCTTGATGCACCTGAGTCCTTCCCACCCCACGCTCCCAGGAATTTAACCGAGGAGTGGTCTGGCCCCGCTGGAAGACAGGCTCTGGGCAGGCCTCCGAAGTCGGGCTTTGAAGGAAGAGGCAAATCTTGCCAGGTGGCACAGAGGACAGTCCTCCAGGGAGAAGGAATGGGACAGAGAAGGCAGGACGGGTGATGTTGGGAGCAGGCGGGGACAACAGGACCTCGGGGTGGCAGGCGGGGTGGAGCTTCCAGCCCAGAAGCCATGATCAAGCAAAGCCCAGAGCAACCACACTAGGGATCACTGTCCAGCGGTGCAGCTGCGTCCAGCCTGAGGGGGCAGAGGGTGGGAATGGCCGGTTAAGAAGAAGTCAGCGGTCATGCTGTGTCTCCCAGAGTCCTGGCCTCGGAGGAGGCTCCACAGCAACACCACCAGCCCCACTTGCAGACAAGAGCCAGCACAGCGCCTGGGAGGAGCACACAGCACCACTCCACAGCTGTGTGACCTTGGAAAGCCCCCTGAGCCTCTCTGGGCTTCAGCCTCCTCATCTGGGTAAACACCACCTGTGCTCACAGGGGTGTTGTGACCTCAAAGTGAGAAGATGCACTCACGGTCCTGTGACGGTTAATTTCACACGGCAGCCTGACCTGGCTAAGGGGTGCCACACAGCTGGTAAGTATGCTTTCTGGGTGTGTCTGTGAGGGCGTTTCTGGAAGAGATCAGCATATGGGTAGGTAGACCCAGCAAAGAGAATCCGCGCCACCAATTCGGGTGGGCATCCACCAATCCACTGAGGGCCCAGATAGAACAAAAAGGCGGG
The DNA here is from genome assembly GCF_000001405.40 of Homo sapiens. Lineage (NCBI taxonomy): Eukaryota > Metazoa > Chordata > Mammalia > Primates > Hominidae > Homo > Homo sapiens. Next base: position 44,955,570 of record NC_000022.11, read on the forward strand.
GAAGGGTGGCTTCTCTCTTCCTGAGCGGGGAGATCCTCCTTCTCCTGCTCTCAGGCCTCAGAGCTCCTGGTCCCCAGGCCTTCAGACTCTGGGACTTACCCACCAGACCCTCAGGCCTTAGATTTGGACTGAATGACAGCACCGGCGTTCCAGAGTCTCCAGTTTCCAGGTGGTGGATCACGGGACTTCTCAGCCTCCACCATTGCAGGAGCTGGTTCCCCAGATCAATCCCCGTATGCATCCCCATCTGTATCCCATTGGTTCTGCTCTCTGGCGAGCCCTGACTGATGTGGGTGCTTAGAATTGAGTCGGGCCATGGTCAGCACTCAAAGACGCTTCCGTCATATTACAGATGAGGAGAGTGGTGAGGCTGAGGGCACGCACTTCCCTGGCAGTTCTATATGAGCCCTGGCCCACGACAGGGAGGCACGGTGCTTTGTCCTGGGCACAGCGATGAACAACACAACTGTCTCCTCCCACCCCACAACGTCCAGCCATCAGCCCGCGAGGAAGGGGACTGAGCCCTCCAGCTTGACGACACAGCGGTGGGAGCACAGGGGAGATGCTCTGTGTGCTCTGCACAAGCAACGTCCCACCAGGCTGGACTCAATGGGTTGGAGATACAGGGGAACCAAGGGAGGAGGCTCCCTGGGGAGGGGGATTTTGCCTGGGGGAGAAGCTGAGCAGGAAGAGGAAGGCTATTTGGAGAGCCGCCCCAATGCTAGGGCACCCAGTCTATGAGGCAGAGGCCCGACCCAGGGGCCCGAGAATCAGTACTTTCTTACCCTGACGAGTGTATCTTTTCCTCATTACTCAACACTTAACGGGGTGACAGCCTGGATTAAACAGTAAGTCATCTGCAGCCCCATTAGGGCCCCAGCAAGATGGCTCCAAATTAAATCTAACAGTCAATGAAATCGTCAATATTTAATTTACTCATTGCAGGTGGCAATTTAGCCCTTGTGACAATATCGTTTAATGGCAGAAATACTGGGATTTATCACACATTATGGGACTGCAGAGCTGCCGAGCTTCCTTCACGAGGCGGCTGCTGCCCAGGGAGACCTCGAGGGACCCTCCACAAGCGACCCCAGGAGGTCTGAAGCCCAAGGCCAGTGGGACCATGAGGCCTGACCACCGGAAAGGCCCAGGGGACCTCTTGCTGGGCCCACCCAAGGCAGTGCTTTCTGTTTCTGGAATCCACTTTGGAAACAGAAAACTTGGGCTAAGGGACAGAGGCCCCTCCACGCGGTGGGCTCTCCCTCCTCCTCCGACCTCCCTCCCTTCTCATCAAAGCTGTACCCCAGATGCTCAGGGCTGGGCCTGCAGCATTCAGGAGCCAACCGAGTGAAGAGAGACAATGGCCACATCCACTCACCAACCACAGGGAAAGAGGAGGCAGCCGTCACGCCTCAGTCCTGGGCTCCATCCTCGTCCCAGCCCTCCTGCTGGTGGTGGGAGCTGTACCCAGAGGTCACTGCCCACACGGCAGTCCAATGGCCACCTCCACCTCAGCACCGCCCCCTCCCTCCTCCCTCTGAGCTCACAGCTGCCTCGTCCTGCGCATTCTTCTGTACCTGTGGCCTCCCTGGCTGTGGACCCACAGCCTCTGCAGGGGACTGCAGTCTCTGAAAGCCAGGCTGAGAACACAGTTGCACAGTGCTCACCCAGCCTCAGAGGGTCAGGCACCGGACGGTGCACTTTACAACAATTAGCTCTTCTGGAAAAAGTTGTTTCGGTTTTTTCCCTGATCCTTTGCATGAAAAACCCTCTGAAGGTACAAAGCAAATTCCTGAACTGACTGTAGAAGGAGTGAGAGAGACCTGGGCTGCCGCACAGGGCTGGCATGCGGGCCCCTCACAGCCTTCCTCTGGGGCTTGCCACTGTCCGTCCTCATGCTGCCTCCAGAGGGAGTTCTCAAATCCATTTTATGTGTATTTAAATAACGTATGCACAGAATCAATAGTCAGCCCTCTCTTTCTTCTACCGCTGCTTTTTTTCTCCTGCCTTGAGTTCCCATTTGTTTGGCGTTCTGGGTTCCTCCTGCTAATTTTTCCTAAGTTCCCTGATAGAATTATAAAACCCTTTCCTGTGCAAACACACCAGGCATCAGTTCCCTGTTGCTAACCTAAATAGGTTTCTCTCCAGGCTGCTGGGGCCCCCTCTCCTGAATTTAGATCTGCTGTTTTTCTGGGCTTAATTCCTTTATTTCAGTAGAATGCCTCACCCAGTATCTTTCTGAGAAAGGCGACGCATGAAATAAGCATTCTAAACCCGTTCAGGCCTTGTGTGTCTAAAAGCAGAACTCTAGCTGGACCTGATCACCACTGGACATTTTTTTTTTTTTTTTGAGATGGAGTTTCGCTCTTGTTGCCCAGGCTGGAGTGCAATGGCGCGATCTCGGCTCACCACAACCTCCACCTCCCAGGTTCAAGCGATTCTCCTGCCTCTGCCTCCCGAGTAGCTAGGATTACAGGCATGTGCTATCATGCCTGGCTAACTTTTTGTATTTTTAATAGAGACGGGGTTTCTCCATTTGGTCAGGCTGGTCTCGAACTCCCGACCTCAGGTGATCTGCCCACCTTGGCCTCCCAAAGTGCTGGGATTACAGGTGTGAGCCACCACGACAGCCCCCATCCCTGGGCATTTTGAGTGCACGACTCTGCTGGCTTCTGGCATCCGGGCCTGCTGCCTCCCTGACTCTCTCCCTACACAGTGAGGGTCTAGTCGGGGTCTGCTGAAACCCTGTGCTCTGGAATTTCATGGTGTGCACTGCAGTGTGGACCTTTTCCTGTTAGTTGTGCTGAGAACTCCGAGAGCTTTCTCAACCCGGAGGCCTGTGTCCTTCGATTAGGAATGTGCACATTGCATCCATATGGTTCTCTCTGCCAATACCCCTGTTTTATCTGAAACTCCTTAGTTAGAGATTTTCCAATTTTCTCAACTTCTCTCACCTAGTCCCATTCCATTAGCGTCCTATTCTACTCTTTGAGAGATCTCCTCAGCTTCATCTTCCAGCCTTCCTTTGATTTTTTTTTTTTTTTTTTTTTTTTTGAGATGGAGTCTTACTCTGTCACCCATGCTGGAGTGCAGTGGCATGATCTTGGCTCACAGCAACCTCCGCCTCCTGGGTTCAAGTGACTCTCCTGCCTCAGCCTCTTGAGTAGCTGGAATTACAGGCGCCTGCCACCACACCTGGCTAATTTTTTATTTTTATTTTTGTATTTTGTAGAGACAGGGTTTTTGTATTTTGTAGAGACGGGGTTTCACCATGTTGGCTAGGCTGGTCTTGAACTCCTGACCTCTGGTGATCTGCCCACCTTGGCCTCCCAAAGTGCTGGGGTTACAGGTGTGAGCCACCGCACCCGGCCCCTCCTTTGATCATTTAACTGCGCAATCTACATTTCCAATGTCTCCTGCTGGTTCCATGGCCGGCCCCGCTGGAGCGCCTGTTCTGATTCAGATGGTATACTGCCTGATTTCTCGGAGGATGAGACAGTTTTGGAAGCCTTCTTCTGCTTCCTGCATGGCCTCCTCTCCCTCTCAGATCCGGTTTCTGTTTTGGTCTCTTCCTTGTTGGAAGCTCCCCTGGCATGTCCTGAGACTGCTGATGATCTGCTCCCATCTCAGGACGAGGCTCGCATGCCTTCTGGAGGGCCTGGTGTGTTGGTGATGCTGAATAACAAATGTCTTCTAGAGAATGATGACATTTTGCCCCGACCCATCTTCTCATACTCTCCACTTTGTGATTCACGCCTTAACTACGGGACTTATCACATTTCTGGGCCTCTTTGTGCCTTGCTCTTGTGTGGGCCTTTGCTCCTGCTGTCTGTCCCCTGCCTGGGTCCTTCCTCCTCCTTTCTAACTGGTCCAAGTGGACAGTAGACACCAGTTCTAGCCAAGTGCTCTCTCAAGGCCCCAAGAAAAGTGTTTGTGCTCAGCAGGTTTCATTCACACCTGGCTGCCCCGGCTCTGACCTGGAGACCAGTCTGTCT